>NC_000019.10:22985986-24448980 GCF_000001405.40 Homo sapiens
TACTCTGTCCAAAAATAAAATGGGAATTACAACTACCCAAGCCCCTTGTAATAAGCTAACCCTAGTGCAGAGCCAGCAGCCTTGTGACCAAGCTACAACCCCACTCTACTACAAACCCAGAGGGCATTCTATCACGCTGGAGGCCCAACAAAAGATTTTTACCCTCTGAAACCAGTTTATAAAAACTTTAAGAGGTGTTTGCGCCTTCAAATTGAGACACCAATGGAAAAGTATATTGTGCCCATTGTCAATGCTTCTATTTTAACACAGCACTTGACGTATGTGGAAGAAAAATTAGTCAAAAAAATTTTAAAGTCATTGAAATTGAAGACAAATAAGTAAAACATTGCTGCTTGTAGATCATGCAGTGTTCTCTATAAAAAAAACCATAAACAGTACATTAAAACCTTTTAAAATACACTCAGTAAATTAGCAAAATATAAAATTAACATATAAGTTATGATTCCATACACTTAAACTATCTGATAAAATAGAGGAAGAAAACAATCTTATTTACAATAGCACTAAAATAATAAATATCCGAGAACAAATTTAACCGAGGAGCTGAAAAACTTTTCAAGTGAAAGATTTATCAATGAAAAATGAGAGAACACAAATAAATTGAAATATATTTTGTCTATCGATTCAAAGAATAAATGTTAAAATGCCATATTATCCAAAGTGGTCTCTAGATTCAATAAACTCTCTATCAATATTCCAGTGGTTTTTTTTCACAGTAATGAAAAATACAATCATAAAATTTACATGAAACTACAAGAAACTGTGAATAGCCAAGGAAATCTTGAGGAAAAAGAAAAAAGCAGGACAACATACTTTATAATTTCAAACTATATTTCAAGACTATAGTAATAAAAACAGGATGAAATGTACAGAAAAATGAACAAAAAACACCCAATGATACAGAAACCACTACTCTCACATATTTCAGAGATGATGGAAAAAGAGAACTTAAAAGATAGTTTAACATGGAGTACCTTAAAATTATGGAAATATCTGTGTCCACAAAAACAAAAACAAAAAAACTCAGATTGTGCACTCTCTTGTATGCCATGAACAGTACTTTGGCTGTCACTGTAAACTTGAAGGAAGATTACTGAAGGGAAAAAATAATTCTTAGAAATTTTAAAAGCATAAGACAGAAGATGCCACTGTGTGAGAGAAAATTAAAAAATAAAAATAAAAATTAGGCTTTCCAGAAACTATTTCTTTTGGAACACAGCTTCCCATATCACTTTAAGGACTGGCTTTCTCCTTGACTTTGGACCTCTCATCCATGTTGTCTGTATTCATTCTCACCTACCTGGCGGTTCTTTCACCAGCTCATGTCTCTTCATATTCCAGGGCTCTTTTCCTTGCTCCAGAAAAATGATCAGGTCTGGCTTAGGGGCAGCAATACCTGTTTTATTAAAAATGAGTAACATGCATCTTGCTCATATTCTCCAATTAACAACTTAGTAATGTGCTCAGTAAAGAGGATGTGATAGAATATTCTAATACATTTATCCCAAAATACTAAATTACAACAGAAATTTCTAAATATTTAGAAAACACTCTAATTTTGTAAGTTCTTAATTTTATCACCTGGTACTACTGAATTAAAAATTGGTGGTGGAAATTAGATTTTAAGGTGTGAGCACCAGTATTTATGCCAGTAAAATTTTGAAATTACCATTAATCTAAAGTGAAGGACAGAGATCAGCTCAAGAATGTGGTTAAGTTAAGGTCAAGATGAAACATCTTGAAATTTTTTTCTCTATGGAAAAATCCCTATGATTTTCTTGAAAACAGAAATCTGAAAGCATAAATTACCAAAAAGAAATTATACAAAAGAGAAATGATGTTGGGAGCCGAAAGGCTGAGGGTTGTGACCAACTCAGCATTCCACTGGAGGCTATATGATCAAACAGCAAACTGTTTATCATGAATGCAGAATGTGGGCGAATTCGCTTCTGCTCCTGCCGCCACAAGGTACACTAAGGACAGTCACCCCCTGGTGCCATGCTTCTTGAGGTTATCTACTGGAACATCTGCAGAGTACTGTTTAAAGAATACAGTCATGCAGGGTTGTACTAAGTCAAGCAGCTGACCACAACCTCCCCCTTCTCCCTATCTCCTTTACTCAATAAATATGAAGGGCTATAGAAGCTCAGGGCCCTTGTTCACTAGAAGCAAAGAGCCCCCTGGTGCCGTCTTCCAAATATACTCTTTTGTCTGCCTTTATTCCTGCATTCATCCTCCTTTGTCCAGGCCAATAAAGTCCACAGCAAAATGAAACCTATAGTGTATACTAGGAATTGCGTATTAAAGTTATTCTCACCCAGGAAGACCAGGTTTCTGTAGTTCTCTAACATCACATTCCTATATAAATTCTGCTGTGCAGTGTCCAGGCATTGCCACTCCTCCAGAGAGAATTGTATGGCCACATCCCGAAATGTCAACGATCCCTGGAAAACACACACAAACACACATATTTACCAAGTGGTCATGGGCAGAATTTTTAATTTGACTCAAGGTAAAATGGAAAGAGTAAAAAGAGCTCATTCTGACTTACAGGAGTGACTGAAATCATTCAATAAAATAGTTTTCAACACAACAATATTCTCTAATGTATTCTCTAACTCTGAGAAAAGAAAGTGGTATAAGATCCATAACATCAGTGTATGTATAGTATTTTTCTAGATAATAAAGTATAAACTTGAGGGCATAAACACTAACATGTACAATTTTGAGTGCTATATTTACATCAAACAGAATTAATTGTGTGCCAGGCGTGGTGGCTCATGCCTGTAATCCCAGCACTTTGGGAGGCCAAGGCGGGCAGATCACCTGAGGTCGGGAGTTTTAGACCAGCCTGACCAACATGGAGAAACCACGTCTGTACTAAAAATACAAAATTAGCTGGGTGTGGTGGTGTGTGCTTGTAATTCTAGCTACTTGGGAGGCTGAGGCAGGAGAATCGCTTGAACCCAGGAGGCGGACGTTGTGGTGAGCCGAGATCATGCCATTGCCCTCCAGCCTGGGCAACAAGAGCGAAACTCCATCTCAAAAAAAAAAAAAAAAAAAAAAAAAGAATTAATTGTTTGTATTTTTCAGATGGAAAAGACATAGTTGTGTATATTGTTCAGATGGAATAGACATGTTGAGTTAGAAGGTATCACTCAAATTTTAATGTGTACAATAAGCTGGAGATCCCATTAATGCAGATTATTATTTTTTTTTTTCAGAACATCAGGGATAAAGTCTGAGTTGCTGAATTTTTAAAAAGCTCATCAGTATGCCAATGGTTTTGGCCCAAAAAGACTATTTTGTCAAATACCCAGTAATTGAATGAGCCTGTGTTTTTCTCAGTTTTTCTGGTTTGTAAACAAAGATTCTCATCTTCATTTCCCAAAAACAGACAAATGCAAAGGAAACCTAAGAAAGAAGGGCAGCTGCCAGATTAAATGTGTTGGTTTGTTCACATCAGCTGCATAAAGATACTTAACGATGAACAGAAAAATAATTCTATAGTGAAAAAATGTGTCGGAGAGCTTATCAACCAAGTGATTTATTAACATCAACTACACTAGAACAAATTTTTATAATGTCCTGATGCACCCAGAAGGATACAGCATTACTACTGAGATATTACCCCCCAAAAGGTAAATTATAGTCTGAATTTAACCATAAGGAAACATTAGTTTAATGGAAAGTTCAAGATACAGATATCTCCCATGTTCTGTAATTTTTAATAGTGATTTTAAATAGTCTTTCTTTAGCACTGTAGAGAGCAGTTATCTCCTATAAATTTTTTTAGAATTTCCTGGGTAATAAATACTATACTGCTTCAATGAGTGGTTTCTTAATCCTGTACTGCATAGACATAATAAGGAACACAGACAAAACCTCAACATTACATGTTCTCTGCCTTCACTAAAAACCCCAGGTTTTCCCCAATAGGAATTTTGAGTATCTACACCTTCCCATGTTCAACAGCCACAAAGGGACATTTTAAATATTGCAGATTATAAAATCATAGTGAGATTTCTGCACGGCATATAAGAAGCCATAATGTAGAGAAGGCTCTGGTATATAGAAAAAAATATATTTTTCAGAGACTTTGACTATTGTAAGAATTTTTTAAAGTAGTTAAGACAAACTCATTAGGGAGGAAAAACACAAGTAGAGAAGTACAGGTTTGCAAGTACTAAATGTATGTTTCCTGGAGGAAGCAGAGTGGACACAGATCTTGATCTGAGACACATTTAGCTGAAAAAAAAAAAGGTCATTTTTTTCTCTTTCTCCTCCTTTTCTAGGATTCTTTCTCAGATAAAATTCTCTGGACAAATTACACCTGCATCTTGAGAAGATGCCTTTAAAAGAGTCAGCACCACAGGTCTACCTGCTGTCACCACATCCACAGGCAGAAGGACCAAGACAGAAAAACTCCACCCAATTCTGTCCTTTATAGCAGAAGAGATGAAGAAACAATGAGTAGCTCCAGAGATAAAAATATGCTTTTCTTTATTTTGTCCTCGGGAGCCATCCCCTGACACAGGCAACAGCAATTTCTGCCACAGTAATGGAAATATGGGCCACGCTGTCCTGCCCCTACCAAATCCAAACAGAACAGGTTCTTGGACCACCCTTTAATGCAAAGATGGAACTTAACTCTCATGAATGTATTATGAATTCCTCATACTTGATTCTGGCCTCACCTTAGAGTCACATGAGCCACTTAATTAAAACAACATGGATGCTTCCACAAGAACAATAAACAGAATCCATGGAAAGGGCACAAGTAAAAAGAGTTCTGCAAAATGGCCAGGTGATACTATTTAGCGGCCTGGGCTGATAACCCCTTAACTAAGACTAAGCATTTCCTCTCAAGCTCTAACGAGCTTATAAATCACTTGGTAATTTTCTCCCCACTCTATGAAATGTAATTCTGCAGGTATGGAAAGGGTCCACAAATGGGTCTTTTAAACAAGTGCGCTGTCAGTAATGATGTTGTTCCCACTGGGCTTATTATTACCCTTAATTAGAAAAATGAGGCACAACACAGAGTCCCTTACACCCAGCACTCTTGTCACAACACAAATACTTCTGGTACAAATGAAGACAAACATTCTTCATCCTAAAGTATTATATTCTTTGCTGACTAAAGTTTACAGAGAAAATAGAAAGCAGCAATTTCTGAGTAAGTCTGCATTTGGAAAACAACATGTGCACATGTACTAATGTAATTTTTATTAAGCAGGTATTATGTGATGTTACAGAGTGCTGTGATAGCACATTATGTGATTTAATCCTAATAACACCCTGTGAGTTGATACTAAGTGTTCAGTAATTCCAACACTTTAAAGGACCCAGCATTTTTATTTCTATTTCTGTTTATCTGTCACTGATTTTTTCAAAAAATGCATAGAAAAGGTAAATATAGACAGATGAAAGGGATACAGATGGAAAGAATTTAATGCAATTTAGATAAATTTTTATTGTGTTTATATTTACTTTCTTGTGACTTGTGAATCAACTACTAGATCTGCAGGAACAGAAAACAGTTGCTAAATAATGTTTCTGCAAGCACTGGTTTTAATAAAAAATTTGAAAAGATCCTACAATACATACTTTATATTTCCCGTTATCTGCTTTTGGGTTTCAGAAAATGTTGAGCACCAGCTCTAAAAAGGCAACAGGATTCATGACTCAAAACTCTGATTTCCTGTAATCAGTTCTGTGAGGCAAGACTCCGGGGTAGAGCCAGACATAAATAAGGCCTCCAAAAAGGGTGAATATGAACAGGGCTGGGGCAGAGCGTACAGCCAATGTACAATTCTGTTCTCTATGCCACTGGGGGGTATTGTCAGTTCTTTTTGTTAAAGCTTACTTAAGTAAACTTAAATCTGAGTTTGTATAATTTTAATCTTTTTTATCACTGTCCTGTGAATTTTATATTATATGCTAATAAGCAATTTTAAAAATCCCTTAAGGTTTTCTAGAATAATTTTTTAGAAGAAAAATAAGTATTCTTAGCAGGGTAAAATAAATACAAATAACAATGACGACTCTTCTAAGTTCAGCTGTAGACATCAGAAGCCACAATATAAAGTGGCCCAAATAAAGCCCAAGTTTTTGCACACAGCTATTTATTGTACCCACCATATGATGTATAATTCAACCATATTTCCAGTTGCTAGTCTAGACTAAAACTGCCAGGATGGTAGGAACCATGACTGCTTCATCTATTTTTCTTTTCTTTTTCCTTTTTTTTGAGACTGAGTCTCACTTTGTTGCCCAGGCTGGAGTGCAATGGTGTGATCTCGGCTCACTGCAGCCTCCGCTTCCCAGGTTCAAGCGATTCTCCTGCCTCAGCCTCCCAAGTAACCAGGACTATAGGCATGAGCCACCACACCAGGCTAATTTTTGTATTTTTAGTAGAGACGGGATTTCACTATGTTGGCCAGGCTGGTCTCGAACTCCTGACCTCAGGTGATCCACCCACCTTGGCTTCCCAAAGTGCTGGGATTACAGGTATGAGTCACTGCACCCCACCTGCTTCATCTATTTTTTTTTTATGACTATATGAAATGGAAGCAATTAGTTTATCTGTTTGAGCCCAATTAGTTTATCTGTCTGAGCCTCGAGACCTCCTGATTTTTTACCCGAGTACAGGGAACTTGAAAAACTCTCTTCTGGGTACCAACCAAAGATACTTCTTGTATAAGGGGAGAAACAAACACAAGATGACTCATTTCTCTCACAATGGGACAGAAGCAGAATTTGTCACTCTTATCAGCCTGACACAATTCTGTTCTGGACATTCTCAAATGTCTCAAAGATTCAGAGGTGATTGTGAGAGGGTTCCCCATGACCCTGGGCTGATGGTCCACTGATAAGCCAGGCAGAGAAGACTCGGGATGATTCTAAATAAAAAATGGAACTGCCTTGGTTGAACTCCCAAACCTGGGTCATCCATCCTGATTTGCTAGCTGTCCTGATTTGCTAGCTGGTGGGTAAGTAGAAGGACAAGAATACTTTACTCCAGTATCACATTTTACAGGTAGATATAGTTGTGGTCATGGCTCTGGATACTTTGTGGCCTTAAGATGCTTGTTTACACTTAGAGATTCTGCCATCAGATTCTATTTACTCCGGGAGCCTCTCACATACCTGTGGCAGATTAATGAAGAAGATGTGAAAAGGTCAAAAAGCCACACTCTCAAAAGAGGAATTTAAAATGTCTATGTTGATATCTCACAATGCAGAAAATGCCTCCTGTTGGTTTTCTGTAAATTCTCAATCCAAAGTCTGGCCCTGCCTTGTAAATCCCAGGCAGAGGCCAGCCAGATCTTATTTGCAGATTCTAGGTGAAATCAACCTCACTCTGCATTTTTGGGTGTTACAGCAAGTAGAGTGAAATCAAAGGAGAGATTCCCTCATAGAGGCTGCTCTAGAACATTCTAAATAATATTTTACCTTAAAAAAGCTGACACAACATGAACATAAGCAGACAGTTTATTTGGGTCAAGCTTAAGGATTTTAACTTGAGACCAAATATTCAAGTTGCCTGGAATCCACGCTTTCATTAGCAGCACTTACAAGTGGATTTGCAAAGGCAAAAAAAAAGGAACAGTGAGTGAGCTGATACAAAATTGGTTGCGAGAAATTCTTATTTATGTAAAGAAATAACTTTAATAATTAATTGGATATACATTGTTAAGGTTAAGGATATGGAATACAGTGTCCAGTGTGGAATTATTAGTTTAATTTATAGCTACTTGTGGCAATAGTGAACAGTTTCAAGAGATACATAGCTGAAAAAAAGGGAGAAAAACATGATTGTGCTCTCATTTTAATGCCTCTCTGAGTCTGATAACTAAAAGGACTTGCATTCCTCAGACAAAAACTTTTTTTTTCTTCTCAATTCTCAAGACCTAGATTTAGAATTTGGAGCTGCAAATTCAGGTCCTGCATGGGTAAAATAGCAGCAAGTGTTACCTGAACATTTGTGGGCATTTTAGCATGAGGAGGGAGGGAGAAGTGGATTCTCATGTCTACAGGTCTGCTCAATGCACATATTTTACTCTGATTGGGCCCCATGGTCACTGAATCAGTTTCAGGTCTGAGGACACAAGAGTCACTGAAAGAGGTAAAATGGCTAATATCTGACCAATGAAGTCTGTAGAAATCTGGTCTAGCCTCTCTAAAAGTGACTCTAGACATGATAGATACCAAGTAGGCAGACGCACAATTCCACCTGCATATTTAGGGGACAGCATGCACTTCACAGCACAATTGTGAACTGACTGGAAGCCGAAAAGGCCCATCTAGAGTAAAGCTTAGTTGGCACCTTATGTGTTTACATTATGTCTGGTAATTCTAGACAGGATTTGGAAAATATAATTAAAAGCAAAATTTTCTTCAGCCCCAGAGGAACTGCACAGTAACAGAACAGAAAGAAAACTGTTTTATTACACAATTACATGTGAATGTGACATGCATTACAGTCAATTTGCTCAAGAGATTGCAAAGACAGAAAGACAGTGACCATAATCAGTCTACAAGTAGAATTTACAGCACCATGTCATACATAGTTCATCCTAAATTCATCTGGTAGTTGGGAAGGCCATCCATGTATGCTAATTGGTTATAATCAATGACAAAATAAACTTTTCACATCTTCATGACTGGAGGTAGTTTTGCAACTTGAACCCCGGTGCCTGCTGAAGGTAGGCTTTGACTCTTCTACAAAAATTGTTGATTCGGGTGCTATCTTTTTGGCTCTTTACATTTTAAAGCAATAGGTCTCTACTCCCTGAGCACTGGGCTTGAGTACTCCTGTTTCCCTCTCCTGGTGGCTAGTGTACTCTCTTGACCCCTACCATCTGCCACTGAGGCACAGCCCACAGCACAGGGCTCACAGCTGGAAACTCACATCTTAGGTGAACCCCAATTGCCACAGCAGCACTCCAGTGCCACATCAGACAGTGAAGCCTGAGCAGCAGGAGGAGAGCTTGCAGGCCTCCTGGGTAGAATTGCACCTTCACAATAATAGAAAAGGGAGCACTGTTTCAGCCTCAGTTTTTATTTATAATGGTGGCATGAAAAAAATACTGCTGGGTTTTGGCATGAGTCCAGATAGAGATAGCTCTGAGAGTTCTCACTGTGACAGCCCACGTCTTTCACAGACACCATGGGACTAATAGGGTTTCTGAAACAGACACACAATGCATTTGAGAGAAAAACAGCTCTCATTCTGAGAAAGATTATATTGAAAGAAAAAAGTTAAAAGTGTCTTAAGAAAAAACTGAGATTGGATATAAGATTGATCAAGTCAGCCAGAAAATATCTCCCTAAGAAGAATTTCTCTCCAAACACCCAAGTGCATAGCTACTCTCAGCAAGAGAAACAGGAGCATTATTGAATAAAGGGGGCATATTCTCAGCAGAATTTTTTTTTTTTTTTGAGATGGAGTTTCAATCTTGTTGCCTAGGCTGGAGTGCAATGGCGTGATCTTGGCTCACTGCAACCTCTGCCTCCTGGGTTCAAGTGATTCTCCTGTCTGAGCCTCACAAATAGCTGGGACTATAGGCACGCGCCACCACACCCAGCTAATTTTGTATTTTCTGTAGAGACAAGGTTTCACTATGTTGTCCAGGCTGGTCTCAGACTCCTGACCTCAGGTGATCCACCCACCTTGGCCTCCCAAAATCCTGGGATTAGAGGCATGAGCCACTGCACCCAGCTCTCAGCAGAATTTTAAAAGATTTATCTTCCATCTCTGCTGCTCTCTTATTTCCTAACCATTGAATGTGAGATCTATATTGGAATATATCTGACAACTTCCAGTAGCACTTTTTTATAAAAAATTGAAATCTGTGTTAATATAGTAGAATATATTAGAGCTTGCAACATAGCTAACTGGAGAGCTATTATGGTTTTTGGGTAGCCATATCATCTGTCTTTATTTGTCCTGTAATAGCAGCATACCAATTTGGTAAAATATAAGACACTAAAATTATGCTTACCTATAATTATTCCCACTGGATAAATTAATAGCATGTCAGACTAATATCTACTGCAACGATTTAATGGTAAATTTTTTTGGATATCAGATATAAATATATAAGTATGAATAATTTTATGTACTAGTCATAAGGTATGTAATATTTTAAAAAATTATCTGAACTGTAATTCAGTTGAAACACTGTATTTCAAAAGTATGAATAACAATATTAAAATAACTAAGGAATTCAATCAAAGTAAATATTGTGGCCTTATATTCATACTATTGTAGAAAATACTGTTTAATTTATATGAATGCAGGTTGTCTACAAACACTACACATAACTATACTAACTGTACTGAAGTAACCCAAGTACAACAGACTCCACTGTTCAGTTTATACACTGAACTCTTCTGGCTTTTGCAGTGTAAGTATGTCAGCCTGCAAATAATCACCTTGGATAATCAGGTTTCTGCCAAAGAACTTACTCAGTATCTTTTAGTCTATATTATTCTGCATTGCTAAATTTATTCCGATCTTTGTGCTCAACTTTTTTATGCTCTTGAAATGAAGTTTACTCTGAACAAATCTGTGTCTAGTTTAAAGACTAAAGAAAGATAAAAAAATATAACCTTTTGCCAAGACAAAAAGAAAGCAATGAATCTCAGGTCCCAGATAAAGACAATTCTGAGTCAAAAAGAATGACAAAAGGTTTGTTTCATTGTTAATATGATTTACATATACTTCAAAAAGCAGAAGAAATATATACATATAATCTAAACTTTTTTTTAAAAAATTAACAAGTTATCCTCCCTTATTTTCACATATGAGAATAAAACCTCTTATTGCTAATTTATATTTTCTCTTACAACAGCCAGGTCTCTGGACAAGTTCTTGAACTCTTGGATCTCTGAATTTTGCACAGTGTGTGCACTTGAAAGGATGTTTATGGGGGGAAAAGCAGAAGAGAGAAAGATGTTATTAAGAAACCCCATGGGTTCACATGAATAAAGCAAGTTCTTAGAGACCTATGAAGAGACTTAGAATCTGACACAGTAATAATCAGAGACTACATCTGACAAGCACTAATGGACAGATCATTGAAGAAGAAAATTAACAACAATATTAGGACCTGAACTCAACACTTGACCAAATAGTCCTAATACACATCTACAGAACTCTTCATCTAAAAATACCATAATATACATTCTTCTCATCACCACGTGGCACATACTCTAAAACTGACCACACAATCAGAAATAAAACAATTCTCAGCAAATTCAAAAATCCCAAAATGACACAAACCACACACACGGGCTACAGCTTAAGAAAAATATAATTCAATACCAATAAAACAACTGGAAACCATACAATTAAATAAAAATTAAATGGCCTACACCTACACTTGAATAACTTTTTGGTAAATAATGAAATTAAAGCAGAAACCAAGAAGTGTTTTGAAACAAATAAGAACAAAAATACAAAATACCAGAATCCCTGCAATACAGCTAAGGCAGTGTTAAAAGAAAAATTCATAGCGTTAAATCCTCACATCAGAAAGTTAGATCTCAGTTTAACAACCTGATATCATAAATAAAAGACTGAGAGCAGTAAAAGCAAATCAGTCCCTAAGCTAGCAAAGGCAAGAAGTAACCAAAATCGGATCTGAACTGAAGGAGATTTAGACATGAAAAACTACAAAATATCAAGAAATCCTGGCATTAAATCTATTTAAAAAAAAAAAAAAGGAAATAAACTACTAGCTAGGTTAATGAAGATACGAATAAACACAATTAGAAATGAGAAAAAGAGACATTACCACTAACCTCACAAAAATATACTGAAGTCTGCTATGCACATAAAAAAAAATCTAGAAGAAATGAAAAAATTCTTCAAAGGACACAAATGTGGCTAACAAGCATATAAAAAAATGCTCATCACTGATCATTAGAGAAATGCAAAAGAAAAACCACAACAAGAAATCATCTCAAACCAGTGAGAACGGCCATTATTATAATTCAACCATTGTGAAAAGCAGTGTGTTGATTCCTCACTAAACTAAAAACAAAATTACCATTTGACCCAGTAACCTCACAATTGGGTATATACCTAAAAATATATAAATTATTCTATCATAAAGACACATGCACAATCACATTCATTGCAGCACTATTCACAACAGCAAAGACACGGAATCAACCTAAATGCCTATCAATGGTAGACTGGATAAAGAAAATATGGTATGGTTGGGCATGATGGCACATGCCTGTAATCCAGCACTTTGGGGGCCAAGCCAGGTGGATTGCCTGAGCTCAGGAGTTTGAGACCGGCATGGACAACATAGCAAAATCCCATCTATAAAAAAAAAAAAAACATAAAGAAAAATTAGCTAGGCATGGTGGCACAAGACTTTAGTCTTAGCTACTTGGGAAGCTTAAGTAGAAGAGGACTGCTTGAGCCTGAGAGGTTGAGAGTCAGCACAGACCCTGATTCAGGGCTCAGTCCCACAACATTGTCCTCACTGCAGATGCCAGTCACAAACTTCATGGGCTCATCTATGCTTCTGACCTACTGTTTAAAAATTGGGGACTCCCATAACCTTTCTGAAATTCAATAATCTGATAGAGCTACTCACAGAACTCAGCAGAACACTGTAGTTATATTTACAGGTTTCAAATAAAATATACAACCCCCAAAAAGTCAAATGGAAGAAAAGTATAGAACCAAGAAAAGAGGTGGGAAAAGATGAAGCATATAGATAATAAATAGCTGTGATTAATAAAATTCTCTATCCTCTGTGTTCTCCAGTAACACTTTATGAAAAGAAACACCCTTCCCATTATGACTTAGATGGTACTCTCTTTACTTACCTAATACACAGCCAGGAAAACACTCTGCATATTTTCTTCTTTTTCTCATTAAAAAAGCAGCTGAGTTTGTCTTCAGTGGTCAACATAAAATACTTCTTAATCAAAATTCACTTGTTTATTTTCTTCCCACAGGCTCCTGAACTCTGAGCTATGCTCAGTCTGAGCCACCATACAACCTCATTTTATGTCCCTACTAAGAACACACAGACTTTAGGGTAAAACATTGTCTGATCTAAAATCTGATTATTTCACCCTTCATTTAAACATTCCCCTCACCTTTTTTCTAATCTTATTTGCTTTTCCCTAGGAAAAAAAGCCCTTTTCTACCTAATCTTTGCAATCCTTAAAGATCTTATAGTTGGTACTTCCTCCTGTTGCAATACTCCTTTGGAATTCTTTTTTTTTTATATATACATCTAACTGGTTTATTTTAAAATCTCTCAAAACTGCCTCAAAAAAGTAACAATTTTATCTTCAGTAAGACACTCCCAAACCCCTTCTATCTTAACCTTAACTGCATCTGTCTGTGGGGCCCCAGCTTTCCAAGGCTCTGTAGCTTCTCTCACTATAGAGGCTTCTTCCATGGCTGGGGTAAGCAGGCTGGGACATCTGCAGGAAAGGCTTTCCAGAAGGAACTAACTGGGCCTTTAATAACCTCCTTTTGCCGGCTCAAAATTAACCTTCGCTCGCAGTCATTGGGCTCAAGCTTTAATTACCATGTCAGAGTCATTCACTTAGTTTTTGAAAATAAGTGTTTGAAAAATCCAGCAAAATGATTCAAAAACATATAAGAAAATTTTAAGGTGCTTACATTTTGTACCTCAGTAAGAGAAGCAAATGTATTTATTTCTTTTGGACAATAAAGTATTATTTTATTTTTTGTATTAAAAATCATGTGGTAAACAGTTACATGGGAACACTTCTAGGAGGTACCAAATTTCATCAGATAAAATTTAGCATTAAACTCAGAAATTGAAATAACAGGATATAGAACAAAGATATTTACTTTAGCAAGTTTACCCTGCAAAAAAAGAAACTGATGTTTTCATGAAACTATGTAACTCACCAATTATCTACCACATTTTCTTGTGGAAATACATTAATTCTCTACAGCCGAAATGGAAGAAAAATTTTTCTTATTTTTTTTCCTTGGTAGCTAACATTCTAAAAGCTAGATGGAATTCTGTTTGAAATCATTCAGCCATAAAAAACACACCTGAAGGCCAGGCATGGTGGCTTACGCCTGTAATCCCAGCACTTTGTGGGGCCAAGGCAGGTGGATCATGAGGTCAGGAGATCGAGACCACCCTGGCTAACATGGCTAATATGGCGAAACCCCGTCTCTACTAAAAATACAAAAAAATTAGCTGGGTGTGGTGGCGGGCGCCTGTAGTCCCAGCTACTCGGGAGACTGAAGCAGGAGAATGGCGTAAACCCTGGAGACAGAGCTTGCAGTGAGCCGAGATCCCACCATTGCACTCCAGCCTGGGTGACAGAGCAAGACTCTGCCTCAAAAAAACAAAAAAACAAAAAAAAAAACACCAGAGAAAACTCCTAAATTCACTCTGAGAAAGAAAAAGGTGAATGAGAATTTTCAACAAATAAAATATACAGATATTATTTTCTGAAACTCACCTTTTTATGCTCTTTGTAAATATTTTCTTACCTTTCAAGCCCTACTAATAAAATGCAATTTACAGTTAAAAAACTGAGGTCAGCCGGGCACAGTGGCTCACACCTGCAATCCCAGCACTTTGGGAGGCCAAGGTGGGCAGATTACTTGAGGTCAGAATTTTCAGCTCAAACAGCCTGGTCAACATGGCAAACCCCCATCTCTACTAAAAATACAAAAAGTAGCCAGGTGTGGTGGTGGGCACCTGTAGTCCCACCTACTTGGGAGGCTGAGGCATGAGAATCACTTGAACTCGTGATGCAGAGGTTGCAGTGAGCCAAGATTGCACCACTGCACTACAGCCTGGGCGACAGAGGAAAACACTGTCAAAAAAAAAAAAAAAAAAAACCAAAAAAAAAAAAACCCTGAGGTCAAAATAAGTGAACAATGCATTTAATCATGTCAAGGTACGGATATGTCTGACTCATGTGTCAAGTCAGGCCATCCAATTACTTGAGAGATTCTCCCACCCCATCCTGTTCACTTAAGTGCTCAATAATCATTCTCTCAGGAGACTCTGAACTATGCCCCAGAGTGCCCCAGGTATATTTTACTTTGCAAGTTTTTGCACCATCTCACTGGGGTCAGTTGTTTTTGTCTTTGGAGTGCTATTTTATTTCACAAACCTTTTACCATTTTTATTTCACTATTTTTCTGTCCCCTAAGAGAATGCAGGGGCAAAAATTATTTTGGTTTCCCCTTCAATACCAGCATCTGATTGTCTGAACAGCAATGTGTCTCCAAGAAATGGAAGCTGGGTTGGGTAAAGACAATATTAATATCTCAAGGGAGTAGCTTTCCAAAAAAACAGCACACCAGAAGATGACTCAGCCACAGTGCATTCACCTGCTCTCTTGAGAAGCTACGCTTCATATCTCAGGTTGTCTTATGGGAGATCAGAGGCTACACTCCATACCTCAGGTTGTCTTATGGGAGAAAAAGACCCAGGAGCTGATATTCACTAGACACTCTCACAGACATAGCCATGGCGGGTATCTTGGTTTTTCCCCAGACAGTACTGAATCTCAAGTCCAAGAAAAAACTGAAGGGTGGCTGAGGACACATCTCCCTATAAAGTTTCCAAAGGGAAATCTTGACCCAAAAACATTGTGATATCTGTGTCTACGGAAAACAGAAGAAAAAATATTTACAAACAGAAAACAAATCTTTTTAAATGTGCCATCAAATGCTTTGTCAAAAAATGATTAAAATAGGTATCAAAATGTACACTAAACTATTTGTTGATAATATGAATAAGGGAGGGGAAATTGGCATTTGGGAATGTCAGAAGGAAGTGAAAATCAAGTATTTTACTGCAAGCCAGAGTCAGGCCGGAGAAATAGGGGATGGGGGATGGACTTGAGGCCCTACTTGGGACACATGTGAAAAATGCAAGGAAACAGCAGTTCCCTGTGGGGTGTGAAAATAATTAAGTGGCTGGCAGTTAGACTGAGGAGGCTGTAGTTCCTAATTTCTACTTTTAAAAAATCTAATTCGGCCAGGCGCGGTGGCTTACACTTGTAATCCCAGCACTTTGGGAGGCCGAGGCAGGTGGATCACTTGAAATCAGGAGTTCAAGACCAGCCTGACCAACATGGTGAAACCCCATCGCTATTAAAAATACAAAGTTAACGGGGCGTGGTGGCGCATGCCTGCAATCCCAGCTACCTGAGAGGCTAAGGCAGGAGAATCGCTTGAACCTGGGAGGCGGAGATTGCAGTGAGCCCAGACGGCGCCATTGCACTCCAGCCAGGGCGACAGAGTGAGACTTTGTCTCAAAAAAACTAATTCAAATGCATTTTTTGTAAATTACTATATTGGGGGAAAAAATTCAGGCTTAACAAACTATAAACTGCCAATTAACCTCTGATTACATAACCAAGAAATTTCCATCTTGATAGTACGAATTAAGAAACTACGTAACTGTACCTAACCAATTATCGAATTTGGTTTTCTTCATTAGGCACCTTATAAAACTCTTCCGTCAAACCTCTTCAATAGACCATAAACTACAACCCATAGCTGGGTGCTCTACAATTTTGGAATCACTCTTTGGTTAAATTATTTAATATTTGTGCGGTGACTTCTGCAAATTTTTAATAGGAGAAAACAGGGGCTGGGAACCTCACGGACCAAAGCTCTTTCCATTCTTGAACCCACACGCCGAGTCAGGATTCTCCTGTGACGACCCTCCCATGCTCCCTGCACATCTGAGAGAGACTCCGCGCTGCGGGTGCAGAGCGGCCCCAAGAGGGCTCCAGGCCAGGGCACAATCACAGCGCAGGGAAAAGACAGGACGCCCGGGGACCGGGTGTCAGCGCAGCCGCCATCTTATGCCTGAAGCGGACTGAGGTCGAGCTAGGCAAGGAGAACACGGGGCACAGATTGTGGAGCTGACTGAGAGGAGGCCTGAGTCCCGCCACAGCCACTTCCCACCGGTTCCAACCAGCGGCTGCCACTCTCTCGGGATGTCGGACCCGGCTGACTCACCATTTCTAGGCTTCCGGGGGTCCTGGCGACTTAGTTGTGAATCTCCCAATACCTGCAGGTCACAGGGCCATAGAAGCTGGGCCTTTAGGAGCGGACGACACACAGCAGTAAGGACGACACCTTGACCTCCGCGTGCAGCGAGAGCCAACGGTCCTACCACATCCCGGAAGCCGCCCTGTCCGCTCCAGCTGCGTGCCTGATTGGACGGTCCCAGTCCAGCGTCCCTGATTGGATAATGTTTAAGGCCCCGCCCCTTCAGGCCCTGAGTGACGGAAGATGTTATCAGATGCTGGGCTGACTGAAGAAAGAGTGCCAGCCCAGTCTGCCGCAAAGGCCGGGCGTGATGGCTTACGCCTTTAATCCCATCGGTTTGGGAGGCGGAGGCGGGGGGATCACCTGAGGTCAGAAGTTCAAGACTAGCCTGGTCGACCTGGTGAAACTCCTTCTCTACTAAAAATACAAAAATTAGTTGGGCGTGGTGGTGGGCGCCTGCAATCCCAGCTACTCAGGAGGCTGAAGCAGGAGAATCATTTGAACCCAGGAGGTGGAGGTTGCAGTGAGCCGAGATCGGGCCATTGCACTCCAGCCTGGGCAACAAGAGTGAAACGCCATCTCAAAAAACAAAACAAAAAACCCTAATTTTAGTAAAATCTTATAAATAAATCCATCAAATTTGTCATTTTTGAACGCTCTAGATTTTCATATATATTTTATAATCTCTTTTTTTTATTTGTTTATCTTTTTGAGACAGTCTCCCTCTGCCGCCCAGGCTGGAGTGCAGTGGCAGGATCTCGGCTAACTGAAAGCTCCGCCTCCCGGGTGCAAGTAATTCTCCTCCCTCAGCCTCCCCAGAAGCTGGGATTACAGGCGCCCGCCACCACGCCCTGCTAATTTTTGTTTTTTTAGTAGAGACAGGGTTTCACCACGTTGAGGCCAGGCTGGTCTGAAACTACTGACAGGCAATCCGCCCACCTTGGCTTCCCAAAGTGCTGGGATTACAGGCTTGAGCCACGGCGCCCGGCCTTATAAACGCTTATAATTTTTTAACTCTTTCGATTTTATTAGACTTTTTTTTTTAACTTGAAACAACCTTTATTTTATTTTATTTGAGAGTCTTGCTCTGCTGGCCAGGCTACAGTGCAATGGCATGATCTCAGCTCACTGCAACCTCCCCCTCTTGGGTTCAAGCGATTCTCCTGCCTCAGCCTCCCGAGTAGCTGGATTACAGGCGCCCTCCACCACACCCAGCTAATTTAGCATGGTGGCCTGAACCTGTAGTAGCAGCTATTCAGGGGCTGAAGTAGGAGGATTGCCTGAGCCCAGGAGGTTGTGTCTGCAGTGAGCCCTGATCAAGCCACTGCACTCCATTCTGGGTGACAGAGTGAGACCCTTTCTAAAAAAAAAAAAAAAAAAAAGCCAAAGCATATAAACTTAAACTTATGAGAGTTTGGGGGTTTTATTTTTGTCTTAAATTATTATATTTCAATAGTTTTGGGGTACAGGTAGTATTTGGTTACATGGATAAGTTCTTTTGTGGTGATTTCTGAGATTTCGGTGCACCAATCTCCCAAGTAGAGTGCGCTGTACCCAATGTGTACTCTTTCATCCCTCATCCCCTCTCCCACCCTTCCCACTGAGTGCCCAGAGTCCATTATGTAATTCTTTTTAATTTTTAATTTTTTTTTTTTTGAGACAGAGTTTCACTTGCCTCGGCCTCCCAAAGTGCTGAGATTACAAGCGTGAGCCACCGCGCCTGGCCCCATTTTGTAATTTTTATGCCTTTGCATCTTCATAGCTTAGCTCCCACTTATAAGTGAGGACATACAATATTTGGGGTTTTATCTCTTTTTTTCTTTTCTTTTCTTTTTTTTTTGAGACGGAGTTTGCTGTAATTACAGGCATGAGCCACCATGCCTGGCCTAGTTTTTGATGTTTTGATTATGGTCTTTTCTGTTTGTTTGTTTGTTTGTTTTTGATGGAGTCTCGCTCTGTCGATCTCGGCTCACTGCAACCTCCGCCTCCTGGGTTCAAGCGATTCTCCAGCCTCAGCCTCCCGAGTAGCAGGGATTACAGACCCATGCCATCGTGCCCTGCTAATTTTTGTATTTTTAGTAGAGGCGGGGTTTTACCATGTTGGCCAAGCTGGTCTGGAACTCCTGACCTCAGGTGATCCACCAGTCTCGGTCTCCCAAAGTGCTGGGATTACAGGCATGAGCCACCATGACCAGCCAATTATGGTCATTCTTGCGAGAGTAAGGTGGTATCACGTTGTGGTTTTGATTTGCATTTCCCTGATCATTAATCATTAGTGATATTCAGCATTTTTTTTCTATGTTGGCTATTTGTATATCTTCTTTTGAGAATTGTTTAAGTCCCATCTGTCTTTGTTTTTGTTGCATTTGCTTTGGGGTTCTTGTTCGTGCACTCTTTGCCCAAGTCAATGTCTGGAAGAGTTTTTCCAATGCTTTAGAATTCGGGTGGTTTCAGGTCTTAGATTAAAGTATTTGATCCATCTTGAGTTGATTTTTTTATAAGGTGAGAGATGAAGATTCTTTTTTTTTTTTTTTTGAGACGGAGTCTCACTCTGTTCCCAGGCTGGGGTGCAGTGGCACGATCTCTGCCTCCCGGGTTCAAGCAATTATCTGCCTCAGCCTCCCGAGTAGCTGGGATTACAGGCACCCGCCACCACACCCGGCTAAATTTTTTTTGTAGTTTTAGTAGAGACGGGGTTTCACCATCTTGGCCAGGCTGGTCTTGAACTCCTGACCTCGTGATCCACCCACCTCGACCTCCCTAAGTGCTGGGATAACAGGTATGAGCCACTGTGCCCAGCCGAAGATCCAGTTTTATTCTTCAATATGTGGCTTCCCAATTATGCCAGCATTTATTGAATTGGGTGTTCTTTCTCCACTTTGTATCTTTGTTTACTTTGTCAAAGATCAGTTGGCTGTAAATATTTGGGTTCATTTCTGGTTTCGCTATTCTGTTTCATTGGTCTACATGTCTATTTTTATACCCATACAATGCTGTTTTGGTAACTATAGCCTTGTAGTATAGTTTGAAGTCATATAATGTAATGCCTTCAGATTTTTGTGTGTGTGTTTTTGGTTTTATTGGTTTTTTTTTTCTTAGTCTTGCTTTGACTTTGGAAGCTCTCTTTTTATTTTACATAAATTTTAGGATTTTTTTTAGTTCTGTGAAGAATGATAATGTTATTTTAATGGAAATTACATTGAATTTGTAGATTGTTTTTGGTAGGTTGATCATTGTCACAGTAGGATTGCTACCCATCCATAAGCATGAAATATGTTTCCATTTGTTTTTGTTGTCTATGATTTCTTTTAGCAGCATTTTGTAGTTTTTCTCATAGAGATCTTTCACCACCTTGGTTAGACATGTTCCTAATTATTTTTTTTTTTTGCAGCTATTTTAAAATGAGTTGAGTTCTTAATTTAATTCTTAGTTTGGTCACTGTTAGCGTACACCAGTGCCACTAACTTGTGCACATTGATTTTGTATCCTGAAATTTTACTGAATTTATGTATCAGATTGAAAAGCCTTTTTTTCTTTTTTCTTTTTGAGACAAGGTCTTACTCTGTTGCCCAGGCTGGAGTGCAGTAGCATGATCTCTCGGCTCACTGCAACCTCTGCCTCCTGGGTTCAAGTGATTCTCCTGTCTCAGCTTCCCTAGTAGCTGGAATTACAGCCTCTTGCCACTGCGCCTGGCTAATTTTTGTATTCTTAGTAGAGACAGGGTTTTACCATGTTGGCTAGGCTGGTCTTGAACTCCTGACCTCAGATGATCCACCTGCCTCCACCTCCCCAAGTGCTGGGATTACAGGCTTGAGCCACTGCACCTGGCCCTAAAAGCTTTTTAGATGAGTATTTAGGGTTTCCCAGCTATACAATTATATCATTGGTAAAAAGTGACAATTTGACTTCCTCTTTACCAATGTTGTTTATTTTTTGCTTTACTCTGATTGCTCTGGCCAAGACTTCCATTACTATGTTGAATAGAAGCGGTGAGAGTGGGCATTATTGTCTTGTTCCAGTTCTCAGAAAAAATCCTTTCAACTTTTTCCCGTTCAGTGTAATGTTGGCTGTTTATCATAGACAGCTTTTTTTTTCTTTTTTCTTTCTTTTTTTCAGACAGAGTCTTGCTCTGTCGCCCAGGCTGGAGTGCACTGGCACGATCTCCACTCACTGCAATTTCTGCCTCCCGGACTCAAGCGATTCTCCCGCCTCAGCCTCCCCAGTAACTGGGATAACAGGCACCCACCATCATGCCTGGCTAACTTTTGTAGTTTTGTACAGACCAGGTTTCACCATGTTGGCCAGGCTGATCTCAAACTCCTGACCTCAGGTGATTTGCCCACCTTGGCCTCCCAAAGTGCTGGGATTACAGGCATAAGCCACCGCGCCCAGCCTGTCATAGATGGCTTTTATGACCTTAAAATATGTTCCCTCTATCCCGATTTTGCTGAGGATTTTAATCGTAAAGGGATGCTGGATTTTGCCAAATGATTTTTCTGTGTATTTTGAGATAATCATATAATTTTTGGTTTTAATTCTGTTTATTTGATGTATAACATGTATTGACTTACCTATGTTAAATCATCTCTGCATCCCTGGCATAAAATGTTCTCGATTATGGTGTACTATCTTATTAATATGCTGCTGTGTTGGGTTAGCTAGTATTTTATCGAAGATTTTTGCATTCATCAGGAACATTGGTGTGTAGTTTTCTTTTATTATGTCTTTTCCTGATCTTGGTATTAGAGTGATATTGGCTTCACAGAATGACTTAGGAAGGATTGCATTTTTCTCTCTCTTTTGGAATAGTTTCAGTAGGACTGGTCCCAATTCTTTAAATGTCAGGTAGAATTGAGCTACGAATCCACCTTGTCCTGGACTTTTTTTGTTGGCAGTTTGTTTTTTGTTTTTTTTTTCTTGAGTCTTGCTCTGTCACCCAGGCTGGAATGTAATGGTGCAATCTTGACTCACTGCAACCTCTAACTTCTGGGTTTAAGTGATTCTCCTGACTCAGCCTCCCAAGTAGCTGGGATTACAGGCCAGCTTGTGACCTGGCTAATTTTTGTATTTTAAGTAGAGATGGGTTTTGCCATGTTGATCAGGCTGATCTCAAACCCCTGACCTCAAATGATCCACCCACCTCATCCTACCAAAGTGCTAGGATTACAGGCATGAGCCACTGTACCCAGCCAGCAATTTTTTATTATTAGTTTAATCTTGCTACTTGTTATTGGTCTCTTCAGGGTTTTTATTTCTTCCTGGTTTAATTTAGGAGGGTTGTATATTTTCAGGAATTTATCGAACTCCTCTAGGTTTTCTAGTTTGAGCATGTAAAGGTATTCATAGTAGCTTTGAATGATCTTTTATTTCTAATTGAGCAAATTTGGACCTTCTGCTTTTCTGGGTTAATCTCACTAATAGTCTGTCAGTTTGGTTTATCTTTTCAAATGACTAGCTTATTGTTTTATCTTTTATATTTTTTAAATTTCAATTTTATTTAGTTCTGCTCTGATCTTTGTTATTTTTTTTTTCTGCTGGGTTTGGTTTGTTCTTGTTTCTCTTGTTCCTTGAGGTGTAATCTTAGGTTGTTTATTGTGGTTTTTTGCACTTTTTGATGTATGTATTTCATACTATGAACTTTCCTCTTAGTACTGCTTTTGCTGTATCCCAGAAGTTTTAATATGTTGTGTCACTATTATTCAGTTTAGAGAATTATTTAATTTCCATCTTGATTTCATTGTGAACCCAATAATCATTCAGGAGCAGTTTATTTAATTTTCATGTATTTGTATGGTTTTGAGTGTTCCTATTGGAATTGATTTCTAATTTTATTCCACTGTGGCCTAAGACAGTACTTGATAAAATTTTGATATTCTTAAATTTATTCAGGGGCTGGGCATGGTGGCTCATGCTTTAATCCCAGTACTTTGGGAGGCCAAGGCAGGCAGATAACCTGAGGTCAGAAGTTCAAAACCAGCCTAGCCAACATGGTGAAACCCCATCTCTACTAAAAATACAAAAATTAGGAACGCATGGTGGCACATGCGTGTAATCCCAGCTACCCAGAAGGCTGAGGCAGGAGAATCCCTTGAACCTGGGAGGCAGAGGTTGCTGTGAGCTAAAATTGCACCATTGCACTCCAGCCTTGGTGACAGAGCAAGACTCTGTCACACACACACAAAAAAAAAAAAAAAAAAAAAATTCAGACTTGTCTTGTGACTTATCATATGGTCTATCTTGAAGAATGTTTTGTGTGCTGATGAAAAGAATGTATATTCTGCAGTTGCTGGGTGGAATATTCTGTAAATATCTGTTAAGTCCATTTGTTCTAAGGTATAGTTTAAGCCCATTGATTTTTGTTTGTTTCACTTTCTCTCCTGATGGCCTGTCTAATGCTGTAAGTAAAGTATAAGTCTCCCACTGTTTTTGTGTTGTTGTCTATCTCATTGCATTTCTTAAGGGACAACTTAGGTGAAACAAGAAAATTTGTATTTCTGAAGCATAGAGTTAATATTTTAGGCTAAAATATATTTTTTTCTTTGAGACAGAGTCTTGCTCTGTCGCCCAAGCTGGAATGCAGTGGCATGATCTTGGCTCACTGCAACTTCTGCCTCCCAGGTTCAAGTGATTCTTCTGCCTCAGACTCTTGAGTAGCTAGGACTGTAGGCACCCACCACCATGCATGGCTAATTGTTCTGTTTTTAGTAGAAACAAGGTTTTACCATATTGGCCAGGCTGGTTTCGAACTCCTGACCTCAGGTGATCTGCCCTCCTTGGCCTCCCAGAGTGTTGGGATTATGGGTGTGAGCCACTGCTCCTGGCCTTAAATGTACCATTTATGGTTTTTTTAATATATAATATTATATGATCTGCAAACATCAACTCTTTACTTACTTGTCATCAATTTCAGTGGCTTTAAACAATTTTTTTTTTTGCCTAACTCTTCTGCTACATACTTCCAGGGTTATGTTAAAATGGAAGCATTGACAATGGGGACAATATAGTTTTGCATTGCATTGGTTTTTGTAAATTTCATTGAACGAAAACCTCTTCAAGTTTATATAAAGTGGTTACAAGAGGTAAAGATCCCATATTTATAGGATGCCCTCTTCATTTGTAATAGACAGAGGTGGTAGGTTGGTCACAAGGCTGCTGGTTCTACATAGGGTTTACCTTTAGTTGGCTTGTTAAAAAAGGCTTGGGTAGTTGTAATTCCCATTTTATTATTGGACAGACTGAATATCCTTCAGGACTTTCATCTGTAGAGCAGACACTAGGGGAAGTTGTTGCAGTCAGGTCTGCATATGGTGGGGCTTACATCAGGATGTGGATGAGGATTCCTTTCACTGAGTACTAGAGAGGGTCTTCCCAGGTCACTGTGTGGGATTCTACCAAGGCAGAATTGTCCATGAACTGTGGCTTGGAACTAGAAGTAAAACATTAAACTGTATGGCTACAAATGGGAATCTTCCTCCAGGTCTCTGGAAGAGCAGGAGCTCTCCCAGGCTGTGGCTGGGAGGAGTTTGGAATGGTTATAAGGTAAGTTCAGAATTCTCAGTGGGAGCAAGTTGGGTTGGCTATTTTTTGGTCTGTAGCCAAGAAGAGATGTCCTGTAGTTTGCCACCTTAATAGAAGCCTGTCTCCTGAAAAGAACATACCTCAATCTTGGGCTTTAGGAGAGTTTCACAACTCCATCCCTGGATCTCAACTTACCTTTTACCTTAGAAGGAATATCTTGACAGGCCCTAGACCACTGGACCCCTAGAAATTTTACTGAGGTAGAAGGTCCCTAAATTTTAGTCAGTTTTATTTTCCATCCTCTAGAATGTAAATGTCTCATAAATAAGTCCAGTGTGTTTGCTATTTCTTGCTCATTGGATTCAATCAGCATAATGTCATCAATGTAATGGACCACTGTAATATTTGCAAAAGCAAAAAGTGACAGAGGTCTCTTTGAATAAGATTATGACACAAAGCCAGAGAGTTGATATATCCTTGAGGTAGAACAGTAAAGGTATATTGCCGACTTTGCCAGCTGAAAGCAAATTGCTTCTGGTGGGCCTTATGGACAGCAATGGAGAAAAGGGCAATTGCTAAGTCAATGTCTGCATACCAGGTACAAAGAGATGCGTTAATTTGCTCAAGCAACGAAACCATATCTGGTACAGCAGCTGCAACTGGAGTCATCACTTGGTTAAGCTTACAATAATCCACTGTCATTCTCCAAAATCCATCTGTCTTCTGTACAGGCCAAACGAAAGAGTTGAATGAGGATGTGGTAGGAATCACCGCCTCTGCATCCTTTAAGTCCGTGATGGTGGCACTAATCTCTGCACTCCCTCCATGGATACAATATTGGTTTTGATTTACTATTTTCATAGGTAGAGGCAGATCTAATGGCTTCCATTTGGCTTTTCCCACCATAATAGCCCTCACCCTACTAGTCAGCAAGCCAATTTGGGAATTCTGCCATCTGCTAAGTATGTCTATGCCAATTATGCATTCGGGCACTGGGGAAATGACCACAAAATGAGTCTTGGGACTCACTGGACCAACTCTAAGTTGGACCTGTGCTAAATCTCTATTAAGTACCTGACCTCTATAAGCCCCTATTTTAACTGGAGGACCACAGTGATGTTTTGGGTCCCCAGGAATCAATGTCAGCTCAGAGCCAGTGTTTAGTAGTCCCCAAAATATCCAATCATTTCCCTTTTCCCAGTGCACTGTTACCCCCATAAAAGGCCAGAGATCTACTTGGGGAAAGATGGGAGAAAGATTCACTGGATAAATTGTTGGTAGTGTAGTGGGGTTGCTCTTCAAGAGAATCCAGCCTCCCCTTTATTCAAGGGGTTCTGGGTCTGTAAACTGGCTCAAGTCTGGAAATTGATTGAGGGGCCATGATTCTCTGTTTTTATATTTCAAATTAGTCTTCTGCCCATTCAACCTAGAATTTTTCTGCTTGTATAAATTAAGTAGGAATGCAGTAGGTTTCCTATCAATTTTACTTCTAGGAACATCGTGATGAATCAGCCAATGCCAGAACTCTACACAAGTCAGACTGTTCTGATTGCCATTTTGCCTCTGCTGTCCATTACAGTAGCTATGCCCACCTTGCCTTTGATGGTCGAGTGCCACCACTTGGCCCCTGCCACCTCGGGATCCAATTATTCCCATTGTATTTACATTTTTTAGCTGAGTGACTGCGGTTCCCATTGTTGGACCTGACATGCAAAGAAGAGCAATTACAGGGCTCTTCAAAGATTCAGGTGCTGCCCTCACAAATCTATTTTGCAAGGCAATGGTCAAGGGTATATATTTTGGACCTTCCCTGCTGGAATTAGTAGGTCTAAAGTGACTAATCCACTCCAGTATCGCAATCTCCCTAAGCCTTTTGATCTCTCCCTCTACATTAAACCAAGGGACATCAGGCATTTCCAGCTCACTCACAGTGGGCTATCATTTTTTTTTTTTTTTTTTTTTGAGACAGAGTTTTGCTCTTGTTGCCCAGGCTGGAGTGCAATGGCACAATCTCGGCTCACTGCAACCTCCACCTCCTAGGTTCAAGCGATTCTCCTGCCTCAGCCTCCCGAGTAGCTGGGATTACAGGCATGCACCACCACACCCGGCTAATTTTGTATTTTTAGTAGAGACAGGGTTTCTCCATGTTGGTCAGGCTGGTCTCGAACTCCTGACCTCAAGTGATCCACCTGCCTCAGCCTCCCAAAGTGCTGGGATTACAGGCATGAGCCACCACACCCGGCCAGTGGGCCATCTTTTAATCCATATTTCAGCTAACCAAGCAAAGAAACTATTAGAAACTTGTTTAACTCCCCAACCTGCAACATTAAATGCAGTGTTCCTATTTAGTGGGGCCTAATAAATAAATTCTGCCTGATTCAACCCTATGTTCCTTCCACCATTATCCCACACCCTTAACATTCATCTCCAAGCCTGTTCTCCAAATTTCTATTTATATAAATTAGAAAACTCAAGCAGTTCTTTTTGAGTGCAGTACACCTTCTCATGGGGAACACTCTCAACCTCACCTCTGAAGGTCCACTGGGACTTTAGTCTACTTATATGCCAAGAAGCAAACATGGGTGTTGAGGTTGGCTCCTGAGAAGAATCAACATTATTTTGCCTGGGAACTGCCTCAGGGAAGGCCATCACTGTTGCCTCAGGCAGTGCAGGGTTTATTTCAAAGGTGGAAAGGCAGCAGGGATCAGAAAGGGGATGTTACCACTACTGGGGATGGGGAAGCTCTTTCTTCTAACAGAAAAGGTTCATCGGAGTTTGCAAACTCAGTCACCCCGGCTTCATCAGGGTCCTTCCACACATCCCCATTCCAAGTGGCAGGGTCCCATTCTTTTCCAATAAATGCCCTCACTTTAATAGTAGACACCTGGCGAGGTTGCCCATACACCTTTTGTTGCAGATCAGCCACTAGCACAATAACAGTTTGTGTCTGTTTTTCCACAATTTCAGCTCTTTCTCTACAGGAGATGAGACTCTCACTCAGGGTGATCTTAGCAGATTTGAGGCTCAGTATCTGCTTCTAAAGCCAAAAGATAGAATCCCTGAGTTCATCATTTTATATCATCTCTCTGTCCACTGAACTTAGGACAACCAGCTTCATTATGTTCCTTTGTTCTCCACATATGGTCAAAGGTTGTTTTTGTTTTGTTTTGTTTTGAGATAGACTCTCACTCTGTCACCAAGGCTGGAGGGCAGTGGTGCGATCTCAGTTCACTGCAAACTCCGCCTCCCGGGTTCAAGCAATTCTCTGCCTCAGCCTCCGGAGTAGCTGGGATTACAGGTGCCTGCCACCACACCCAGCTAATTTTTGTATTTTTAGTAGAGATGGGGTTTCACCATCTTGGCCAGGCTGGTCTTGAACTCCTGACCTTTTGATCCACCTGCCTCGGCCTCCCAAAGTGCTGGGATTATAGGTGTGAGCCACTGCGCCCGGCTGGTCAAAGGTATTATGTATAGAGTCACTAAACTCCTTGCCTCCCATGAGTGATAGTGTCATATGCATTTATTTTACATAACTTCTTAAACTGTTCATCCCAAGGGCTATCAGTGTTCTCCATACTATTAGAAGTAGAGTCTTTAGCATTTTTGGGTCTAATCATATTAAGCAGCCAACTCCAGAAACCCCAGAATCAAAAAAGAACTCTATACTTAATATTCTTTTCCTCTAGAATCACTCCTGGTACCAAAATCTGTATTAGTCAGGGTTCTCTAGAGGGACATAAGTATTAACTCACACAATCACAAGATCCCACAATAGACTGTCTGCAGGCTGAGAATGAAGGAGAGCCACTCCGAGTCCCAAAAATGAAGAACTTGGAATCTGGTGTTCAAGGGCAGGAAGCATCCAGCACAGGAGAAAGATGTAGGCTGGGAGACTAGGCCAATCTCTCTTTTCACATTTTTCTGCCTGCTTATATTCTAACCATGCTGGCAGCTGATTAGATTGTGCCCATCCAGATTAAGGGTGGGTCTGCCTTTTCCAGCCCACTGACTCAATTGTTAATCTCCTTTGGCAACACCCTCACAGACACACCCAAGATTGATACGTCGTATCCTTCAATCCAATCAAATTGACACTCAGTATTAACTATCACACCTAGTTAAAAGAGTCAACCAACATCCCTCCATTTGGCTGAATCCAGGTGAAACAGTCATCACCATTTTTCTAAGCTGAATCCAGAAATGAGTCAGCATTCCACCTATGGGCAGACTCACATATCACAGTCACAATTCCAATGGTGAATTTTTTTGATGTGTGAGATTTAGAACCTTACCAGTGGGCTCTGTTTATATGTGAAGGTGACAATACTGTTAGCTTTGTTTGTGTATTAAAGGGTCAATCTCACCTGTGTGCTGGGCCTGTGATAAAACTTTGTACTGCCAGAGGGCTTCATGTAATTTCCATTAACTGTAATAATCTTCTGTGAGTCTCATACAGGTAGGAGACCAAGGACCATACCAGTTTCCTCAAGCCTAGCTATAATAGTCAACATATCTTTTATTGGCTGGATCCAGGTATGAGAGTTATCAATGTGCCTGTGAGCTAACTTTATAAATAGGTCAACATCACACCTGTGGCTGGATCTACATATGACATTCCAACTGCGGACTGTGTCCATGTACAAGATTCAAGACCTAACCAGAGGTCTCTGTCCATGTGTGAGGGTGACACTCATAACTTTTGGCAGGATGAGCATACGAGATACTTCACCTGTGTGCTGGGTGCAGTTATATGTCAAAATCCCACCTGTGGAAAAGAAACAAGCTAAGAGAGTCACATATTTTAAATTCTAGGCTAAAGATATGTTAAAATATGCCTTGCAGGCGGGGCTCAGGAAAGAGAGTTACATCACCTGAGTGCTGTGACGGGTGATATGTCACAATGCCTTCTATGGGCATGGCTCAGGCAGGAGTTTTACATTATTTTTGTGTTGGCCCTATGATATGTAACAATCCCCCTCCATTTGCATGACCTAGAGAAAATAGAAGAGTCACAGCACCTAAATTATGACCATAGAGATCTATCATGATACCTCCTATGGGCAGAGCCTAAGATAGAGGGTCACATCACCTGCAAACTGGGCTCAGTACAATGTTTCAATCTCCCCTGAGGCCAGAGCCCAGGCAGAAGAGGAGAGTTATATCACCTAAGTGCTTGGGCCTGTGGTATGTCACAGTTCATTTTTGGGGGGTGGCAGAATGCAGGCAAAGGAGGAGTGTTACATCACCTAGGTAATGGGTTCAGAAGTATTTCACAATACCTACTGTGGGCAGGGCCCAGGCAGTACAGTCACATCATGGAGATGCTGGGCTCAGTGATATCTCACAAAGACTTTGTGGACAGGGCCCAGGCTGAAAATAAGAGTCACATGACCTAAGTGCTGGGCCCAGTGAAATTTCACAATACCCTCTGTAGGTAGGGCTTAAGCAAGAGAGTCACATCACAATCTTTTCTGAGAGCTGGGCCCAGGCAGGGAAGTAAAATCACTCAGGTGCTAGGCAAAAGTATATGTCACAATCATACCTGTGGGAAGATCTAGGGCTAGGATTCACAATTCCACACATGTCCCAGCTTCAGGTAAAAAGCGTCAACACCTCCTGTGAGTTGCATCCAAGTACATGAGTCACAGTATCAATGATGAACTGGATCCATGCATGAGAGTCCCAATTCCACCTGCAGACTGTGTATTATGTTGGCTTTATGATATGTCAAAATCCGCCTCCATTTGCATGACCTAGAGAAAATAGAAGAGTCACAGAGCCTTCTGTGACTGGTATCAGAGTCAAAGCCTTCTAGGTGTGTTGAATCCTGGTCTTAGAGTCACCATCCACCTGTAGACAAAATCCAGTAAAACAATTACAATCCCAACTTTCGACTGCATCCGAGTGTGAGATTCAGAAGCTCAACAGTTTTCTGTATCCATGCAGGAGGGTGACAATTTTTACTAGGCGCTAGAAGTGCATATGAGAATTAAAATCTCAGCTTGTTCTGGGTCCTCTTATGACACTCTCTGTACCACCCCGAGGGCTTTACATTGTTTGGGTGAGAGTCATCATCTGCTGTGAGACATTAGTGCTGGTATAAATTCATGATCTTGCCTATTGCCCTAAGCTTAGGTATGAAAGTCAACATCTCTCCTATTGTCTGGGTCCAGGTATGAAAGTCATTGCTGTGCCTCTTAGTTGGGTTTTATGAGTCACCCTCCCACCTGTGGTTGGATCCACACATGACATTAAAAATTCCAACTGTGGACTGCATCTGTAAGTGAGTTTCAGGACTTCACAAGTGGGTTCTGTCCATATATGTGGGGGACAATTCTTACTGTTTGCTGGGTGTGCATTTGAGAGTCACAATCTCAAATTTTGCTGAGTTATGTAATGACACTTTTTGTACAACCTGAGGGCATTATACAATATTAGTGAGTGTAGTAATCCTCTGTGACATTTATACAAGTAGAAAACCCAAAACCTTACCTGTTGCCCTAAGCCTAAGTACAAGCATCAACATATCTTCTATTGGCTGGGTTTATTGTGCAAGTGAATTGGGTTCAGAAATTTGCCACCATCCAACCGGCGGAATAGGTTCATGTGTGAGGTTCAGGACCTCACCAGTAAGCTCAGTCTACATGTGAGGGTGGCAATTCAAACTGTTGGTTAGGTGTGTATAGGAGAGTCACAATCTCACCTGTGTGCTCAGTCTTGTAATGACACTCTGTATTGCCCAAAAGCTTTATACAATATGTGTGAGTGTCATAATCTTCTGTTACCTTCCTACAAGTAAAAGACCTAGACCCCTAAGCCTAGCTACCAGAGTCAACATCTCTCTTATTGGCTGGGCCCATGTTTGACAGTCATCACCATTTCTGTGAGCTGAATCCAGAAATGAATCACCATCCCACTTATGGCAAGATATACATATGACAGTCACAATTCCAGCTGTTGACTGCATTCACTCATGAGACTCAGGACCTCAACAGCAGTCTTTGTCCATGTGTTATAGTGACAATAGTAACTGTTGTATGGGATTGCATACAAGAATAAAAATCTCATCTGTGTCCTGGACCACATCATATTTCACAATCTTATCTGTGGGAAAGGTTAAAAAATGAGAGTAACATCACCTGAATTCTTCACCTGGAATATGTCTCAATCTCCTCTATGGGCAAGGCCCAGACTGGAGAATTGGATCACTTGCATGCAGGGTCCGGTGACATATTATAATATTTTCTCTAGGCACAGCTCAGGCAGGAGAGTCACAACATTTGGGTGCTGGGCTCAGAGATATGCCACAATCCCTTTTTTGGGCATGTCTCCTGCAACAGAGAAGAGGCACATTATGTAGAAAATTGGTACAGGGATTTGTCACAATGTCCCCTTTTGGTGGTGCACAGGCAGGTGAGGAGAGTCACATCACCCAGATAATGGGCCTAGCAATATATCACAATGCCCCCTGATGGAAGGGCAAAGACAAGAAAGTCACATAACCTAGGTGAGAAAACCTGACATAGGTCACAATGCATGTTATGAGTAGGGATCATGGAAAAGAGGAGAGTCATATAACCTGGAGGCTGCACTCAGATAAATGTCATAATCATCCCAGTGGGCAGGGCCTAGGCATGAGAGGAGAGTCACATCACATAAATGCTAGGCCTAGCGATATGTCATAGTCCCCACTGTGTACAGGTCCCAGAATAAAGTAAAGAGTCACACCATCTACATGTTGGGACCAAAGATATGTAGCAATTACACCTGTGGGCAGGGGTCAGGCAGAAGAGCCACAGCACCTGTGTGCTGGACCCTGTGATAAGTTTTTTTTTTATTTATCTGTTGGCATGGCCCAGTCAGAAGAGGCAAATCAAACCACCTGGGTTCTGGGCCCAGTGATATGTCACAATGTCTTCCATAGGCAAAGCCCAGGTAACAGAGGAGACTCACATCAAATAATTGATGGACCCAGAGATATTTCACAATGCCCGCTGTGAGCAAGAGCCAGGCAAGAGACTCACATCACTTTTGTGCTGGGCCACTATCTTTTGTGTGAGCAGAACATAGGAAAAAGAGAAGCATTGGCCGGGCGCGGTGGCTCATGCCTGTAATCTCAGCACTTTGCGGGGCTGAGGAGGGTGGATCACCTGAGATCAGGAGTTTGAGACCAGCCTGACCAACAAGGTGAAGCCCCGTCTCTACTAAAAATACAAAATACACCAAGTGTGATGGCAGGTGCCTGTAGTCCCAGCTGCTCAGGAGGCTGAGACAGAAGAATTTCTTGAACCCAGGAGGCAGATATTGCAGTGAGCCGAGATCGTGCCACTGCACTCCAGCCTGGGTGATGGAGCAAGACTCCATCTCAAAAAAAAAAAAAAAAAAAAAAAAAAAAAAAAAAAAAAGAGAGAGAAGCATCACATCAGCAGAGTGCTGAGCCCAGATATGTCCCAATCCCCCTGTGAGCAGAATGCATGCAGAAGAGAGTCAACATACATGGATGATGGGCACAGAGATATTTCATAATGTCCACTGCAGGAAGGGCACAGGAAGAAGTGTAACATCACTTGAGTGTTGGACAGTGCAATATGTCAAAATAGCCAATGTGGTCAGGGCACAGGCAGAAATCACATAACCTGGGTGCAGGGCCTGACAGTGCATCACAGTGTCCTCTATGGGCGGAGCCAAGGCAGGAGAATAGGTCACATCAGCTAAGTGCTTGGCCAAGTGATACGTCATAATCCCTACTGGGGGCTGGACCGAGGCTGGGAAGTCAAATCGCTCAGATTCTGGGCAGAAGCATACATCAGAATTACACCAGCAGGAAGGTCCTGAAATGAAATTAACAATCCCACACATGTCCCAGTTTCAGGTATGAGAGTCAACACCTTCTGTAGGTTTGGTTTAAGTACCTGAGTCACAGTTTCAACAATGGACTGAATTTGTACACAAAAGACCCAATCCCTTCTGAAGACTGTGTCCCCTTATTGAAGCCACAGCCTCACAGCCATGAGGAATCTTGGTCTGAGAGTAACCAACCCACCTATGGATCAGATCCACATATAAGAGTTAATTATTCAACTTCCCATTGCCTCTGGTTGGGAGATTCAGAGCCTCAACAGTGGGCTGTGCTCATGTGAAAGGATGACAATATTTGCTATTGGCTACCTGTGCATAAGAGTGTCACAATATTACCTGTGTGCTGGGTGCTGTAAGGACACTTTCTCTACCATTCAAGGGCTGTATATGCTATGCATGAGAGTTAGAATTTGCTCTGAGACCTCCATGCTAGTATGAACCCATGATTGTCACCCGTGGCCCTAAGCTCATGTATGAGACTCAACATCTCTTTAATTGACTTGGTCCAGATAGGAGATTCCTCAACTGCCTATGAGATGGCTTTAGAAATGAGTCGCCATCTCAATTGTGGTTGGATGTTTACATATGACAGTCACAATTCCAACTGTAAACTGCATCCGTGTATGAAGTTCAAGACCTCACCAGTAAACTGTGTCCTTGCATGAATGCAATAATCCTAATAATTGGTGGGGTGTACACACAATATAAACAATCTCACCTGTGTGTTGGGCACTGTGAAGACACTCTCTGTATCACCTGAGGGCTTTATACAGTATGTGAGGGAGTGGAAATTCTCTATGACCTTTCTACAAAAAGGAGACTCAGGATCTTACCCATTTCTCTAAGCTTAGCTACAAGAGACAGTATCTCTTCTGGTGACTGTTATGAGAGTTATTATTGCACCTGTCAGCCAGGCCAAGATGTATGTTACAATCCCATTTGTCAGTAGAGAGTGAGCAGGATGGTCACATCACATGAGTGCTGGGAAAGGGTTATGTCACAGTCATTTTTGAGGCCAGGGACCAGGGATAAAAGAAATATCACCTTAGTGCTAGGCCAAGGGTTATGTTCCACTGTTTTCTGTGGGCAAGGTGCAGGCAAAACAAACTCATCACCTTGTTACTGGGCCCAGTGATATGTCACAATTTTCACTGAGGGCAAAGTGGAGGCTAAAAACAAGGGTCATATCTCTTAGGTCATGATGCAGAGATACATCACAAGGCCTCCCGTGGGCAGGCCACAGGTAGAAATCACCAATTTCCTAGGTGTTGGAGCCTGTGATATGTCAAAACACACAATGTATGCAGGGCCCATGCAGGAGAGAAGAGTCACATAACTTAGGTACTGAGCCTAGCAATACATCCCAATTTCTTCTTGGACAGAGCCCAAGAGATAGAAGAGTCTTATTACCCAGGTGTTGGGTCTAGCTATATGTCAAAATATTCTCTGAAGGGAGAGATCAGGGAGGAGTGTAACCTCACCTAGGTCAGAAGCCCAGAGATGTTGCCGATTCTGTGTAAGTCTCAGGAAAAAGAGAAGAGTCAGGTATCCTAGAAACTAGGCTACATTATATGTTGCAATTATCCAAGTGGGAGGGTTCTCATGAGAAGAGAGTCACAACATGTAGCTGCTGAGCTAAACGATGCATCACAATTCCCACTGCGTACTGGTCCCAGAAAGAAGAGGAGAGTCCCATCATCTAGGTGATGGGTCCAGAAATATGGCATACGCATCCTGTGGGCAAGCAACAGGCAGAGGTATCTCAGCATGTCTGTAGTAGGCCCGGTATTAAGTTACTCTCCCTTGTATGGGCATGATCCAGGCAGAAGAAGTCACATCACCTAGGTGCTGGGCCCAGAGATATATCACAATATCTTTTGTGGGAAAAGACAAGGTAAAAGAAGAGACATCAAATAGTTGATGGGTCTAGAGATATGTTACAATCTTTCTGTGGGCAGGGTCTAGGCAGGAGACTCAGTCACTGTGGTCCTGGGCACAGCACTATGTAAAAATGCTTTATTTTGGAAGAGCCAAGGCAGAAGAATATCACCTGTCTGTTAGCCCAGCGACTTGTCACAATATCCCCTGCAAACTGAACCTTGAAAGAAGATTAGAGTAATGTCAGCTAGGTGCTGGCCCCAATTATTTGTCAAAATCCTTCTTTTGAAAAGAAATTGGTAGAAGAGGATTATCAAAACACAAAGTTGATTGGTGCATAGATATGTCACAAAAATCCTTGTAGGCAGGGCCAGGCAGGAGAGTTACATCACCTGGGTATTGGACCCAGCAACATGTCAAAATTGCCCATATGGGCAGGGCACAGGCAGGGGACTCACATAACCTGAATGTGGTGCCAAGTGATATGTGACAGTGCCCCCTGTGGGCAGCATGAAGGCAGAAGAGACTCACATCACCTGGATGCAAGGCCAAGCAATATGTCACAATGTTCCCTTTTGGCAACGCTAAGGCAGGAGTATGCAGCTGCATCACCTAATTGTTGGTTTTGATGAAATTTTATAATTTCAGCTGTGGGCTGGGCCCAGGGAGTAGAGTTAAATCACTCAGGTGATGGGCAGAATCTATGTCACAATCATATCTGCAGGAATATCCAGGTATGTGATTAACAATCCCATATATGTCTAGGTTCTAGGTGTAAGATTCAATAGCCGGCCAGGCATGGTGGCTCACGCCTGTAATCCCAGCACTTTGGGAGGCCAAGGCAGACAGATCACCTGAGGTCAAGATTTTGACCTCAGATGGCCAACGAGGTGAAACTCCGTCTCTACTAAAAATACAAAAATTAGCCAGGTGTGGTGCCAGGTGTCTGTAATCCCAGCTACTCTACTCAGGAGGCTGAGGCAGGAGAATTGCTTGAATCCAGGAGGTGGAGGTTGCAGTGAGCCAAGATCTGCCACTGCACTCCAGCCTGGGGAAAAAGAGTCAGGCTCCATCTAAAGAAAAAAAAAAAAAAAAAAAAAAAATTCAGCAGCTCATGTATGTTGGACCTAAGTAAAGGAGTCACAATCTAAGTGGTAGAATAATCTGTCCATGAGACCCTTAATCCCTCCTGTGACCTGCTTCTCCTTAGTGAAGTCACAGCCTCAGACTTGTGTTGAATCTGAGACTCACCATCCCACCTGTGAATGGGATCCAGGTATGATAGTCAATTTTCTAACTTTTGACTGCCTTCGAGTCTGAGATTCAGAAGCTCAATCACTGGCTGTTTCATGAGACAGAATGACAATCTTTACTGTTGACTGGGTGTGCATATGAGTGGCACAGTCTCACCTGTGTGCTGGGCTCTGTTGGAACACATTCTGCACCGCCTGAGGGCTTTATGCAGTGTGCCTAAAAGTCACAGTCTGCTCTGAGACCTTTCTGCTTTTATAGACCCATGGTCATACCTGTGACCCTAAGTTCAGGTGTGAGCATAGTTGGCAGGGTTCAAATTAGAGAGTCCTCACTCTCTAGTCAGCAGGGTCTAGACTGGAGAGTCGTCACCCACCTGCGCACTGGATTTATTAATGAGTCACCACCTTAATTGTTGCCGGATGTTAATATATGACAGTAACAATTCCAACTTTGAACCATATCCACCTGTAAGATTCAGGACCTCAACAGTTGGCTGTTGCCATGTGTGAGGGTGACAATCATAACAGTTGGCAGTTTGTGCATTGTAGAAACAATCTCACCTGTGTGCTAAGCCCTGTGAAGACACTCTTTGTGGCACCCAAAAGTTTATAGAACACACTAAAGATTGGTAATTCATTATGACATTCATACAAAGAGAAGGCCCAGGGTCTTGTTTCCTAATCTACACTACAAGAGACACTATCTCCCCTATTGGCTGATTCCAGGTATCATCATAGCACCTATGAGTTGGGCCAGGATATTTGTCACAATCTCACCTGTAAGTAGAAAATGAGCAGAAGAGTCACATCACCTGGATGCTGTATGAGGAATGTCACAATATTTTCTGGAAGCAGGGCACAGGCAGAAGAGTCACATAACCTGGTGGCTGAGCCCAGTGATGTTTCACAATGCTCCCTGTGGGAAAAGACCTGCCAGAAAAGACACATCACCTGGTTACTGGGCAGAGCTATATGTCACAATCTTCTCTATGTGCAGGCTGCAGGCAGAAAAAGAGTCACATCACTTAGGCGATAGATGCAGACATATGTCACAAGGCCGCCTATGGGCAGGGCTTATTCAGTAGCCTCTGATCCAATCCTGTAGGTGTTGGGTCCAGCGACATGTCACAATACCAAAAATATGCATGGCTCAGCAAAAGAAAAGATTTACATCATCTAGGTACTGGATCCAGTGATATGTCACAATCTTCTTTTTTGGCATAGCTCAGGAAGAAGTAGAGAGTCACATCACCAAGGTGTTGGATCAAGCCATATGTCACAATACACAATAAATGCAGGGCTCATGAAAAGATGAGAGTCAAATCTCTTAGGTGTGGAACAGTGGTACATCACAATTTCTCCTTTGTCAGAGCCACATCACCTAGGTGGCTGGCCCAGTAATATGTCACAATTCCCTTGAGAGGTGAGCCCAGGCAGGAGAGTCACATCATTTCGGTGAGAACCCCACAGATGTGTCATTATTTTCCCTGTGAATAGGGCTCAGGAAGAAAATGACAGTCACATCATTTAAATGATGGGCCCAGAGATAGATTACAATGGCTCCTGGGTACAAAAACCAGGCAGAAGAATTACATCACCTGTGTGCTGGGCCCAGTGATAAGTCACTTTCCCTTGTGTGGGCATGGCTTCAGCAGGAGAGAAGCGTCACATCACTAAGGTTCTGGTTCCAGAGATATGTCACAATCTCTCCTATTGACAAAGCATGGGTAGGAGAGGAGAGTCAAATGAAGCAGTTGATGGGCCCAGAGATATGTCACAATGCCCCCCCCCCCCCCGCCCGTAGGCAGAGTACAAGCAGGTACCTCCCAATTCTTTAGATGTTGTGGCCAGGGACATGTCACAATACTTAAAAAATGCAGGACACAGGCAATAAAACAAAGTCACATCACCTAGGTGCTAGGTTCAGCGATATATCACAATCCCTAATTCAAGAGGGGAGATAAAAAGATTCACGTAACCAAGGTGTTAAATGTAAAGATATGTCATAATATTCCTGTGGGCAGAGACCATTCAGGAGAGTCACATTACCTTAATGTTGGACCCAGCCATATATCACAATACACAGCATATCCAGAGTTCAAGCAGGGAAGAAAAATCACATCATCTAGTTGCTGGGTTTGATAATATGTCACAATCACTTGTTTTTGTAGAACCCAGACAGAAAAGAAGAGTCACATCTCCTGGTTGATGGATGCAGAGATAAGCCAAAAGACTCCTTGTGGCCAGGACCCAGGCGGGAGGTTCTCATGCCCTAGGTGTTTGTCTCAGCCATACGTCATATTACCAAATATATGCAGGGCCCAGGCAAACAAGGAGAGTCATAACACCTTGGTGCTAAGTTTAGTGATATGTTACGATCCCCACTTTTGGCAGGGCCGGGACACACACACACACAAAGTCACATCACCTAGGCAGTATAAAAAAAGATATGTCATAATACCCCTGTAGACAGGGTCCATTCAGAAGAGTCTCATCACCTAGCTTTTAGACTCAGTTATTTGTCACAATACACAATTTATGCAAGACTCAGTCAAAAGAGGAAAGTCATGTAACCTAGGTGCTGGGTCCAGTGATACATTACAATCTCTCCTTGGGTAAAGTCCAAGCACTAGAAAAGAGTTACATTACCTAGGTACTTGGTCCAGGAATATGTCACAATACCTCCTGAGGAAAGAGCCCAGGAAGGGGAGTCACATCACCTAATCGTGGGGTCCAAAGATATTTCCCAGTGCTTCTTGTAGGTAGAGCTGAGGATAAGCAAAAGAGTCACATAACCTAGGGGCTGGGCCCAGCTATATGTCACAACTACCCCAGGTGGCAAGTCTCTGGTATGAAAGGAGAATCACATCACATAGATACTGGGCCAAGCAATATGTCACAATCTCCACTGTAGGAAGGTCCCAGGAAAAGAGAAGAGTCACATTATCTGGGTGACGGGCACAGGAACATATCATAATTACCCTAAGCATATGTGTTACTGTCATGCGCAACCGCGTGAAGAGACCACCAAACAGGCTTTGTGTAAGCAATAAAGCTTTTTAATCACCTGGGTGCAAGCGGGCTGAGTCCGAAAAAAGAGTCAGCGAAGGGAGATAGGGGTGGGGCCGTTTTAAAGGATTTGGGCGGGTAGTGGAAAATTACAGTCAAAGGGGGTTTTTCTCTTGCAGGCAGGGGTGGGGGTCACAAGGTGCTCAGTGAGGGAGGTTCTGAGCCAGGAGAAGGAATTTCACAACATTAATGGCTCAGTTAAGGTGGGGCAGGAACAAATCACAATGGTGGAATGTCATCAGTTAAGGCAGGAACCAGCAATTTTCACTTCTTTTGTGATTCTTCACTTGCTTCAGGCCATCCGCATGTATTCCTGCAGGTCACAGGGGATATCATGGCTTAGCTTGGGCTCAGAGGCCTGACAGTTAGGTCACCTGTGTGTGAGGCCCAGTGATAAGCCACTCTTCCTTTTGTGCACAGGGTCTAAGCAAAAGATGAAAAGTCACATCACCTAGGTGCTGGGCTTACAGAATTGTCTCAATCTCTCCTATGGTCAAAGCCAATTTAAGAGACATAAATCATATTAGCTGCTCTGCCTATGGAGCAGCCATCTTTTTGTTTCTTTACTTCTCTAATAAACTTGGTTTCACTTTACTGCATGGACTCACCTTGGCTTCTTTCTTTCTTGCATGAGATCCAAGAACCCTTTCTTGGGGTGTGAATCAAAAGCCCTTTCCAGAACAGCTTTTTGGCAAACTATAAAGGGACTATACTGATGAGAAACCTGACCCAAAGGAAATAACTACAGCACCAATTAGCCTGCTTTGGGTAACTAGTGGGGTACATTTTTTTCACACACGTCCATGTGAAGAGACCACCAAACAGGCTTTGTGTGAGCAATAAAGCTTTTTAATCACCTGGATGCAGGTGGGCTGAGTCTGAAAAGAAAGTCAGTGAAGGGAGATAGGGGTAGGGCCATTTTATAGGATTCGGGTAGGTAATGGAAAATTACAGTCAAAGGGGGTTGTTCTCTGGTTGGCAGGGGTTGGGGGTCACAAGGTGCTCAGTGGGGGAGCTTTTGAGCCAGGATGAGCCAGGAGAAGGAATTTCACAAAGTAATGTCATCAGTTAAGGCAGGAACTGGCCATTTTCACTTCTTTTGTGATTCTTCACTTGCTTCAGGTCATCTGGATGAATACGTGCAGGCATGGGCTCAGAGACCTGACATTTATTAATATTTTCTTATATTAATAAGAAAAATAAAATAGTGTTGAAGTGTTGGGGCAGTGAAAATTTTTGGGAGTGGTATGGAGAGATAATGGGCGATGTTTCTCAGGGCTGCTTTGAGCGGGATTAGGGGCAGCGTGGGAACCTAGAGTGGGAGAGATTAAGCTGAAGGAAGATTTTGTGGTAAGGGGTGACATTGTGGGGTTGTTAGAAGGAGCATTTGTCATATCGAATGATTGGTGATGGCCTGGATGCAGTTTTGTATGAATTGAAAAACTAAACAGAAGACACAAGGTCTGAATAAGAGAAGGAGAAAAATAGGTATTAAAGGACTAAGAATTGGGAGGACCCAGGACATCCAATTAGAGAGTGTCCAAGGGGGTTCAGCATAATTACTTGCTTTGCTGGCAAGTTTTTGAGCTCTATCCTTGACAGAGTCCTCCTTTTTAAGTTGGAGGTTGAGTTTGCTGAGGTGTGTTTTTAAAAAACCATTAGTCTGTTCTACCTTTCCTGATGATTGAGGACGGTAAGGGGTATGAAGTTTCCACTGAATACCAAGAGCCTGAAAAACTGCTTGGGTGATTTGACTAATAAAGGCCAGTCCGTTATTGGACTGTATAGAGGTGGGAAGGCCAAACCAAGGAATTATGTCTTACAGAAGGGAAGAAATGACCATGGTGGCCTTTTCAGACCCTGTGGGAAAGGCCTCTACCTAACCAGTGAAAGTGTCTACCCAGACCAAGAGGTATTTTAGTTTCCTGACTCGAGACACGTAAGTAAAGTCAATTTGCCAGTCCTGGGCAGGGGTAAATCCCTGAGCCTGATGTGTATGGAAGGGAGGGGACCTGAAAAATCCCTGAGGAGTACTAGAATAGCAGATGGAACACTGAGAGGTGATTTCCTTGAGGACAGATTTCCACAATGGAAAGGAAATGAGAGGTTCTAAGAGGTGGGCTAGTGGCTTGTAACCTACATGGAAGAGGTTATGAAATGTTGATGGAATAGAATAGGCCTGTGAGGCTGGAAGGACATGGACATATTTTCCTTGGTCTAAGAACCATTTGCCTTGTGTGGGAAGAGATTCATAGGTGGAAGTTTCAGTGGGGGAGTAGGTGGGAGTGACCGATGAGAAGGAGAAAAACTGGCCATGAGGGACAGAAGTTGGAATGCTAGCTGCTTCTTTAGCTACCTCAGCAGCATAAGCGTTGTCCTGAGCTATGAGATCTGACGTCTTCTGATGGCCCTTGCAGTGAATGACTCCAGCTTCCTTTGGAAGTAAAGCGGCCTTGAGAAGAGTTTTTATTAAAGAGGCATTAAAGATGGAGGACCCTTGCATAGCGAGGAAACCTTTTTCAGCCCATATAACAACATGGTGGTGCAGGATATGGAAGGTATATTTAGAGTCAGTATGAATATTGACACATCATCAATATTTGTGAGAGTGAGGGTTCAAGTTAAGGCAATGAGTTCGACTTGCTGAGAGCTGGTGGAGGGGGCAGAGTGGTAGCCTCAATGATAGATGTGGAAGATACTATAGCATAGCCTGCCTTTGCTGATGAGCGGCGAGTAGGCCTGGTGGAACTGCCATTGATAAACCAAGTGTGATTAGAGTGAGGAACAAGAAAGAAGGAAATATGGGGAAATGGAGTGAATGTCAGGTGGATCAGGGAGATATAGTCATGGGGGTCAGGTGTGGTATCCGGAATAATGTGGGAGCCTGGATTGAAGTCTGGGCCAGGAACAATGGTAATTGTGGGAGGCTCAACAAAGAGTGAGTATAGCTGAAGGAGCTGGGGAGCAGAAAGTATATGTGTTAGCTGTGAGGAAGAAAATAGATTTTGGAAGTTATGAGAACTGTAGAGAGTGAGTTGAGCATAGTTTGTGATTTTGAGGGCCTCTAAAATATTAAAGCAGCGGCAGCCACAGCACACAGACATGAGGGCTAGGCTAAAACAGTAAGGTCAAGTTGTTTGGACAGAAAGGCTACAGGGCGCAGTCCCAGCTCTTCTGTAAGAACTCTGACCACACAGCCCTGCACTTCAGCTGTGTGTAATGAAAAGGGAGTGATGAGTTAGGGAGAGCTAGTGTGGGAGCTGTTTTTCAAGGAATGGAAAGGGGAGTGGGGAAAGGATTTAGGATCTATGGGGTAAGCTAGGTTTGCTTTTCTGAGTTTATATAATCGTTTAGTCAGGATGGTAAAACTAGGTATCCAAAGGCAGAAGTACCTAACCATGCCTAAGAAGGAAAGGAGTTGTTGTTTTATAGAAAGGGTTGGGGTTCAGAAGATTAGCCAGACATGATTAGCAGGGAGAGCTTGTGTGTTTTCATGAAGAATTATGCCGAGATAGGTAACAGATGGGGAATAAATTTGGGCTTGACTTAAGTAATGGGGGCTGTCCGTGAAGCCTTGTGGCAGTACAGCCCAGGTAATTTGCTGAGCCCAATGGGTGTCAGGGTCAGTCCAAATGAAAGCGAAGAGAGGCTGGGATGAAGGGTGCAAAGGAATAGTAAAGAAAGCATGTTTGAGATCCAGAACAGAATAACGGGTTGTGGAGGGGTTGTGGAGGGAGGTATTGAGGATAGGAGAGTATATGGGTTTGGCTCCACGGAGTGGATAGGCAAAACAATTTGGTTGATAAGGTGCAGATCCTGAACTAACTTGTAAGACTTGCCCAGTTTTTGGACAGGTAAAATGGGGGAATTGTAAGAAGAGTTTATAGGCTTTAAAAGACCATGCTGTAACAGGTGAGTGATAACAGGCTTTAATCCTTTTAAAGAGTGCTGTGGGATGGGATATTGGCATTCAGTGGCATAAGGGTGGTTAGGTTTTAACAGGATGGTAAGGGGTGCATGTTCGGTTGCCAAGGAAGGAGTAGAGGTGTCCTATACTTGTGGATTAAGGTGGGGAGAAACAAGGGGAGGAGGCAAAGGAGGCTTTGAACTGGGAAAAAGGGTAGCAATGAGGTGTGGCTGTAGCCTAGGAATAGTCAGGGAAGCAAATAATTTAGTTAAAATGCCTAGACCTGATAAGGGAACTGGGCAGGTGGGGATAACTAAAAAGGAGTGCATAAAAGAATATTGTCCAAGTTGGCACCAGAGTTGGGGAGTTTTAAGAGGTTTAGAAGCCTGGCCATCAATACCCACAACAGTTATGGAGACAAGGGAAACAGGCCCTTGAAAAGAAGGTAATATGGAATGGGCAGCCTCTGTGTTGATTAAGAAGGGGAAGGACTTACCCTCCACTGTAAGAGTTACTCAAAGTGTCTATGATGGTCCAGGAGGCTTCCGAGGTGATCAGAGCAGCATCAGTCTTCAGCTGCTAAGCCGAGAAGATATGGGAAAGAGTCAGTCAGAGCCTTGGGCCAATTGGACAGTCCAATTTCCAGTGGGGTCCCACACAGATGGGACATGGCTTAGGAGGAATCCTGGGCTGTGGGCATTCCTTGGCCCAGTGGCCAGATTTCCAGCACTTGAAGTAAGATCCTGGGGGAGGAGGTCCTGAAGGAACACCTGACTGCTGTGGCTTAGGCGTTTTGAAGTTCTTGTGTGCTGGAGATGTGGCTGGGGTTTCTCTCACAGCAGAGGAAAGTAATTGCAACTCTTCTCTATTATTGTACACCTTGAAGGTGAGGTTAATTAAGTCCTGTTGTGGGGTTTGAGGGCCAGAATATAATTTTTGGAGTTTTATTTAATGTTGGGAGCAGATTGGGTAATAAAATGCATATTGAGAATAAGATGGCCTTCTGACACTTCAGGGTCTAGGGCTGTAAAGTGTCTAAGGGTTGTTGCCAAACAGGCCATGAACTGCGCTGTGTTTTTATATTTGATGATAAAGAGCCTAAACGCTAACTGATTTGGGAGAGGTCAGATAAAGAAAAAGGAGCATTAACCTTGACTATGCCTTTAGCTCCAGCCACCTTTTTAAGAGGAAATTGCTGGGCAGGTGGGGGAGAGCTAGTCACGAAACAAAACTGTAAGCCAGACCAGGTGTGAGCAGGGGAGGTGATAAAGGATTATAGGGTTGGGGAAGAGAGGCTGAGGAAGAATCAGGACCTGACTCGGCCTGGCAAGGAGCAGTCTGGGGAGGAGAGGTCAGATGGGTCTGTAGAAAAGGATTCAAAAGACTCAGTGACACTTGGGGTTGGGACTGAAGGGACAGGTGGGAGGGAAAGAAGGAGGATTTGGGATGAGTTGCATTGGGAACGGAGACTAGGGAGGGACCGATGTGTAAAAGAATGCCTGGACATCAGGCACCTCAGATCATTTGCCCATTTTTCAACAAAAATCATCCAGGTCTTGTAAAATGGAGAAATCAAAAGTACCATTTTCTGGCTATTTAGAACCATTATCGAGTTTGTATTGGGGCCAAACAGTGTTGCAGAAGAAAATAAAATGCTTAGGTTTTAGGTCAGGTGAGAATTGAAGAGGTTTTAAGTTTTTGAGAACATAGGATAAGGGAGAAGAAGGGGGAATGGAGGGTGGAAGGTTGCCCATAGTGAAGGAGGCAAGCCCAGAGAAAAGAGAGGGTAGAGACACAGAGAAGGGGTGGGTAGTGAGCAGCCCTGGGCTGCAATGTGGGTGAGCAGCCAAAGCAGGCATCCCCACAATTGACTTGCCACTAAGGAAATGTGGGTGAATGACCAAGGCAGGCATCCCAGTGGTGATCAGACACAAATGGAGTGTGGGTGAATAATTAGGCAGGCATCCCAGCAGTGATTAAACACCAAGGGAAGACTGTCTTCCCGAGTCTGTGACTGGCGCTGGAGTTTTGGGTCCACGGATAAAAGTGTCTCCTTTGTCTCTACTAGCGAGGAAAAAGAACTGGAATTGGAAGGACAGGGAGATTGAAGGGTAGCAAGAGAGGCTGGAGAAGAGAGTGAAAAGACAGCTTACCCAATTTGAAATTGGTGAGATGTTGCTTGGGCTGGTTGGTCTGAGGACCCGAGGTTGTAGGTGGATCTCCTTATGGAGTGAGGGCGAGGACAGGGGACCGGTCTCCCAAAGGAGTCCTCCTATCCTGGGTCTTCGGCACCAAATGTCACGTGCATCTGTGTAAAGAGACCACCAAACAGTCTTTGTGTGAGCAACAAGGCTATTTATTTCACCTGGGAACAGGCTGGCTGAGTCCAAAAAGAGAGTCCGCGAAGGGAGATAGGGGTGGGGCTGTTTTATAGGATTTGGGTAGGTAGTGGAAAATTACAGTCAAAGGGGGTTGTTCTCTGGCGGTCAGGGGTGGGGGTCACAAGGTTCTCAATGGGGGAGGTTCTGAGCCAGGAGAAGGAATTTCACAAGGTAATGTCATCAGTTAAGGCAGGAACAGGCCATTTTCACTTCTTTTGTGATTCTTCACTTGCTTCAGGCCATCTGGATATATACATGCAGGTCACAGGGGATATGATGGCTTAGCTTGGGCTCAGAGGTGTGACAAAAATCAAGAAAAATACTTCAGTCCGCTGAGAAAAATTCTTTTTCCAACAAAACAACATCCAAGAAAGAAAAACATTAAGGCCTTTTTTTTTTTTTTTTTTTTTTTTGAGACAGAGTCTCACTGTGTCACCCAGGCTGGAGTGCAGTGGCACAATCTTGGCTCACTGCAACCTCTGCCTCCTGGATTCAAGCAGTTCTCCTATCTCAGCCTCCTGAGTAGCTGGGACTACAGGTGCATGCCACCACACCCGGCTAATTTTTTTGTATTTTTAGTAGAGATGGGGTTTCACCATATTGGTCAGGCTGGTCTCAAACTCCTGACCTCAGGTGATACATCCGCAAGGCCTTTTAAATATACTTATAACTTGGATGTCCACTTTTAATTAAGCTGATCGCTCTTTAAGAAAATTCTTTTAACTCCCTTATTACTTAACTTTAGCCATGCCAAGCAGCCATTATTTCTGGCTTCCAAATTTTATTAGAAGTTCAGAGAAAGGAGAATCGAAGGCAGTTCATAAAGGAAAAAAGAATTAGCAAAAAGCAAAAGTCACACAGACATCAAACCAGAAAGAACTCATTTTCTAAGCCAGGATTAAACCCCAGACAACCATTGTAAAATCGCAAAGGCTAGAACAAAACATTATCATCGTCAGGCCTCTGAGCCCAAGCTAAGCCATCATATCCCCTGTGACCTGCACGTATACATCCAGATGGCCTGAAGCAAGTGAAGAATCATAAAAGAAATGAAAATGGACAGTTCCTGCCTTAACTGATGACATTACCTTGTGAAATTCCTTCTCCTGGCTCAGAAGCTCCCCCACTGAGCACCTTGTGACCACCGCCCCTGCCCGCCAGAGAACAACCCCCTTTGACTGTAACTTTCCACTACCTACCCAAATCCTATAAAGAGGCCCCACACCTATGTCCCTTCACTGACTCTCTTTTCGGACTCAGCCCACCTGCACCCAGGTGATTAAAGCGCTTTATTGCTCACACAAAGCCTGTTTGGTGGTCTCTTCACACAGACGTGCGTGACAACCATGTGGTGGTTGTGACTTAAAACCGGATGGAGGCCTGCAGCAAAGTTTGCTACAGACCATACAGCACACAAAGCACACCAGATTGGCTACTTAAGATCAAGCTCACAAATTTTTCCTACAATAAAAACTCTACAGAAGATATAAACAGTGATGTTCATCATTCCTGGATCAACAGAATGTCCTCCAAAGAGAAAAAAAAGAAAACACGCTTAAAAGTCAACTGCTGGCTATGTGCGTGGCTCATGCCTGTAATCCCAGCACTTTGGGAGGCCAAGGTGGGTGGCTCACCTGAGGTCAGGAGTTTGAGACCAGCCTGGCCAACATGGCAAAACCCTGTCTGTCTGTACTAAAAATACAAAAATTAGCCAGGCGTGGTGATGCACGCCTGTATCCCAGCTACTCATGGAGGCTGAGGCAGGAGAATCACTTGAACTCGGGAAGCAGAGGTTGCAGTGAGCCAAGATCACACCACTGCACTCCAGCCTAGGTAACATAAGTGAAACTCTATCTCAAAAAAAAAAAAAAGAAAAGTCAACCCTGACAAGGTAGAAAAAAAAGAAAAGATGCCTGGGGAAGAACGTCTTATTCTTATGCAAATGGGCTTCTCTACCAGAGAGAGAAACTTCATTGCTCCCTAATAAAGTGGGATCTTTTGGCTGGGGGAGGGCAAGCCTCTATGGATGCATGGCAGGGAGTGCTGGCCAGCCTGGCATCGGGCACCCTGTAACCATGGACTCCAGCCCTAGTTGGGAGTGGTGTGGGGAAGCTGCCATTCCCTGGTCCATCCTCCACATACCTGCAGCCATTGGGGTGGGGTGGGGTGCACTCTCAAAGGAGGTCTGAAGAGAAAAAGGCTTAGAAATAAAAGGAAAGAAGGTTTTTGAGTTTGTATGGTACTCACCCTTCCTCAAGCCCCATGTCTGGAAACCAAAAATGTTATAGGAAAAAAACCAGTTTCTTGTAAAATTACCAGGAAATATTAGGTTCACAGACACATAGAGGGGCGAGGAGCAGAATTTATTAGGCAAAAAGGAAGAAGAAAACAACTCAATAAAATGAGATGGGGTCCTGCTAACAAGCTCTCCACCTCACCGATTGAATTCCAGGTCCCCATACAGGAACAGGAGAGGCCAGGAAACTCCTCCTGCAGACGGTGTGAACTTCCTGAGGCTCTGCCCCATCCTCCCAGTGCATAGGCCGGTTTGAGATTCTCTGAGGACTCATTTTTACTTGGCTGTCTCAATACATAGGCATTAGCCTTGGCAACTGACTTCTAGAAATCTGCTATGCAATTAGAGCTTTACAAACATTAAGCAAATATTTTATCATTTAATCTCTGTGGTTTTCTTTTCTTTTTTTTTTCCTTTTTCTTGAGAGAGACTATCTCTGTCACTCAGGGTGGAGCGCAGTGGCGTGATCACAGCTCATTGCAGCCTCAACAATCTAGGCTCAAGCACTTTTGCTACTTCAGCCTCTGAGCAGCAGAGACCCCAGGCATGTGCCACCATGCTCAGCTAATCTCCCATTTTTCTTTTTGTAGAGATAAGCTCTCCCTATGTAGCATAGGCTGGTCTCGCATGTCATTCACATAGCCCGTGAAAAAGCTGGCCCTCCTACTTTAGCCTTTTAATATGCAAAGGCAGGGCGCCATGGATGTTCTACACACGTGGAGATATGTGGGGGTGGCCATGTTGCCAGGAACATTTGGTGCAAGGGCAAGAAGGCCACGAGGGAATCACCAAATTGGGTGGACCAAGTTTCTAAGGGCCTGCATTTGTATATCAAAAGTTGCCAGCCTGGCTCTAAGAGCTGGGGCTTTAAAAGAAACTTTTCCAGAGATACTTTAAAAAATGAAAACTTCCCAAGGACCTATTTTCCTCTAATCCACGTAAAATAATTTCTTAATAACTCCTACCACACAGGGCTAGGATTACAGGCATGAGCCACTACATGCAGACAGAGGTTTTATTTTTATATCAAAATATAAAAATAGCATTAGCCAGGCACGGTGGCTCACGCCTGTAATCCCAGCACTTTGGGAGCCCAAGGCAGGCAGTTCATGAGGTCAGGAGTTCCTAGACCAGCCTGACCAATATGGTGAAATCCCGTCTCTACTAAAAATACAAAATTAGTCAGGCATGGTGGCACACACCTGTAATCTCAGCTACTCAGGAGGGTGAGGCAGGAGAATTGCTTGAACCTGGGAGGCAGAAATGGCAGTAAGCCAAAATTGTGCCACTGCACTCCAGCCTGGGGGACAGAGCAAGACACCATCTCAAAAAAAAAAGGAAAAAAAAAAAAAGAAAAAATTAGCTGGGTGTGGTGGCACATGCCTGTAATCCTAGCTACTCTGGAGGCTGAGGCAGAAGAATCACTTGAACCTGGAAGGCGGAGGTTTCAGTGAGCCAAGATTGCACCATTGTACTCCAGTCTGGGTAACAAGAGCTAAACTCCATCTCAAAAAAACAAAACACAACAAAAAAAAAGAAAGCAAATTCAAATAAATAAAAATAACAAAATATCATATAGTATAGATAATATGACCAGAAAGAAAAAAAAAAGCTTAGCTTTCCTGACTTTAAGCTGCATTAGTACTATAGTACTAATAGAATATCCTTAGTGAAGACTATTCTATTTCCATAAAAAATTCAACATAAGATAATTTTCAGGTTTTAGAAATTGATGAATAACATAATATAGAAAGGCAGCAATGTGTTCCCATGATGTAGTATTGTTGTGGGACAATCAGAGATGGGAGAGACCGAACAGAGTTCAGGAAAGCCTTTATTAAGGTGATCACCTGGCTCAGTAGGACTAGAGTCCAGGAAAGTGAGCCCCAGACAAAGAAAGCAGCCACCTTTTAAGCAGTCAGCAGCCGGGAGCTACGTGATGCAGGAAGCATACTTACAGAAGTGAGAACAGAGGCAGTTGATCAGTCTTTTACATTTATCTATACTATGTGTTCCACATCCTTGGGAAACCATGTTTCTGTAACATATGCTTACCAACCTTGTAACTGCAGCTGCGCTAGGGAGGTGAAGCAGAAACTCACTGAGCCTCAAGGAATGTGAAACTGGTGAGTACAGATAAGGCTCTCTGAGCACAGAAGGAAAAACAGGCAGTTAGTATTCTTCTCTAACTTAGACTTTGTTGGGGGGCTACACTACACTTAGCTTTTGAAGGAAAAAATAAAAATTTCTTGGTTGTCTTTGATTACACTTGTAAAATTCATGATTCCTTCTTTAGTATTACTTGAAATAAAAACTGAGCAAATACAGCAAAATACATTTTAAAGTTAATCTCATGTCAAAATAGGTACAGAAGTTCTAATAAAATAATAAATGGAATCCAGAAATGTATTAAAAATAATATGTTGTATATATATGTATTGTATTAGAATGTCAATGCAATTAAAGATGGAAAATGTGTTGTTTAATTACATGAAAAGTTTAAAAAGTGACCATTCTCTATGATTCTGAAAACAGGAATTGTCTCAACAGATGTGTTTTCGCATCTACATTTACCTACACATATTTTATATGACATCTATCTATTCTTTATCCATTCATAGAATGTATAAAAAAAGAATGGATTTAAAATGAATAGCATCTGATAAAAGAAGCACTTAAATGTATTATGAAAGTTACTTTATTACATAGTGTCCAGATACTTATATGTTCCCTCAGAAATTATAAAATAAGATTGTATCAACTCTTCCAGGTAATTTAAGAAAATATTTTAAAAATATGTGGATAAGGTTATTAGCTGAAAATAAGAGAGAATACATTCATTTGCACAGATAAAGAGAACACTTTTTAAATACAAAAAGTATCACGAAAAATGCAGATAATGTACATTATCTAAAAAATACTAAATCTAAAAAACAACTCAGTGCTATAAGATTTATGCAGCATAGAGAAATTATATATAAATATCAACTGTTTATATTTACTTTTTTGAGAGAGGGTCTCACTCCATTACCCAGGCTGGAGTGCAGTGGCTTGATCATGGCTCACTGCAGCGTCAACTCCCTGGGCTCAGGTGATTCTCCCATCCCAGCCTCTTAATTAGCTGACACTACAGGTGTATGATACCACACCCAGCTAGTTTTATGTACTTTTTTGTAGAAATGAGGTTTCGCCGTGTTTCCCAGGCTGAACTCGAACTCCTGAGCTCAAGCAACCCGCCTGCCTAGGCTTCCCAAAGTGCTGAAACTACAGGCATTAGCAACCATGCCCTGCCTGAATATGGATATTTTAAATAACTTCAGTGTGAAATACTAAACACAGTTCAAAATGTATTTTACTTATATGCAATGAGTTGAACAAACATTCAAGAGCTAAATGATGAGTAAATATAAGGCCCAACAACCAGGGGCATGATAATGCAAACAGCTAATGTGTGGAGCACTCTTGCTTTGCCAGCCTGTGTTTCAAAGCATTTTAAATATTTTTGCTCATTAAATCCTCATCAGCAAAAACTCTGTAAGTTTAATTATTCCCCATGTCACAGACAAGTGACTGAAGGAAAAAAAATTCAGGGACTTGTCCAAGGCCACCCATATAGGGAGTGGTTGAGCTAAGGTGTGCTCTGACTTACTCCTCTCTGCTTCTCTTGAATAGAAAGTGCTATAATTCATTGATTAAAAAAACTACTCTTGGCCGGACATGGTGGCACATGCCTATAATCCTAGCACTTTGGGAGGCTGAGGCAGGTGGATCACAAGGTCAAGAGATCAAGATCATCCTGGCCAACATGGTGAAACCCTGTCTCTACTAAAAATACAAAAATTAGCTGGGTGTGGTGGCACATGCCTGTAGTCTCAGCTACTTGGGAGGCTGAGGCAGAAGAATTGCTTGAACCCGGGAGGTGGAGGTTGCAGTGAGCCAAGATCGTGCCACTGCACTCCAGCTGCGTGATGGAGCAAGACTCTGTCAAAAACAAAAACAAAAAAACTACTCTTTGAGCACCTGCCATGGACCAAGCACTGTGATTGGCACTAGGAACATAGTGGTAAACTAGACACAGCTCCCAGGAGCAAAGACATAAAGAAGTAAACAACAAACCTCAAGATCATTTCAGAGAATGTGAAGTGCCAGGACATGCTGCTGCTATAAAGAATGTGTGTGCACAGGGCTAATGGGGGTGAGCTCTAGTTAAAATGAGGTGGGTAGAACAAAGCTTCCCAGGGAGAGCCAGAGCTGAGCCAGGCCTGGTGGCTCCTATCAGTGTGAGAATGTGGTTATATTCTGTCTCAGTTTTTTTGTATGCAGCCCTTAAAATCTTTGGAATGTCTGATATGAGAAATGTCTTTCGCATGCTAATGAGATTACTGCTTTCCAGGGGCTTCTGGACAGCCTCAGAATGGGGATTGGTTGCCAGAAAAACCAATCCTGTAATACAGAGTTAAAACTTTCAGCTTAACCCCTTATCTCCTGGGATGTTAGAGGAGCTATCTTGCCTTTGTAAAAGTAAAAATAGTACCTTATACCATTTAAATGAATAGATAAATTGTTCAAAAAAGGGGCATATCATTAAAAAGCTCCTCTGCCCCAGCCTGACTACTTAAAGTACCCATTAGGGGAAGTTTTTTTGGTATCCTTCTGAAATTGCTTTCTGTCTTTCCATGCATACCATCCTTAGGAAAGGGCACACTTTTTTGAGACGGAGTCTTGCTCTGTCTCCCAGGCTGGAGTGCAGTGGCCCGATCTCGGCTGACTACAACCTCCACCTCCCGAGTTCCAGTGATTCTCCCACCTCAGCCTCCCAAGTAGTTGGGATTATAGGCACCCACCACCACACCAAGCTAATTTTTTGTATTTTTAGTAGAGATGGGGTTTCACCATGTCAGCCAGGCTGGTCTTGAACTCCTGACCTCAAGTGATCTGCCCATCTCTCCCAAAGTGCTGGGATTATAGGCATGAGCCACCATGCTCGGCCTGGGCACACTCTTAAACCAATCTGTAATCTCTGTTCCTGAGGTTTTAGTAACCTGATATTTCTCTCCTGTTGGAGACAACCCTGAAAATGAGTTTTCACCTCAGAGAACAGACCAACAAAAGGTCAGGTGAGCTTAAAAAAGCTGGCGGGGGGATTTGGGTCCAGAAAGGGCAGGCTGGCCATACATTCAGGGGCATCAGTGTGACTGTCTTTGCAATTAGGAGCCAGGCCCCACAGAGCTTCCCACTGCATGTGTGTTTGACCTATGCTGGGCCCTGATGTTGATTCGTTTCCTTCACTGAGCAGGTGGCTCATAGTTGGGCTATTATACCCAGGAGAATGTTCCAGGCCAGCCCCTAGTTAACTTAAAATAATCAAAAAGTTTAGAATCAAATTTGAAACAAATTTATTCAGGGTCGCATATTGAGGATCACCTCCATAAGGATAGATTTAAATTGCCCTGAATATATATTCTGATTAGCAGCCATTACAAGCAGGTATTTCTATGAAAATGAGAAGGCAGTTCTAAAGTGGTTTACCAAAAATTTACATTAAAATACATAAGCTATTGATTAGCTATTTTTCTTTATTTTACAAATTTCAGAAAAAAGAAATAATGGGTGAGACAGCCAGTCAGAAACACAATGTAAGGTCCTCTGAACAGGCTACACCATGGTGGAGCCATTGCAACCTCTGTGACCCACATGTACAGGCCTCCTGGAGTCACAAAGCCTGTAGCAACAGGAGAACCACTAAAGAAGAAGAAACAGCTAGTTCCTGCCTTAACTGATTAACCAACCTTGCAACATTCCACCATTGTGATATGTTGCTGCCCTTCCCTAACTAATCAATCGACTTTGTGATATCGTGCCTTGTAACCTCCCCCTACCTCGTGACTATGCACCTTGTGACATTCTTCCCCTGCCTGAAAAAACTGCCCTAACTGTAACTTTCCACTACCTACCCCAAACCTATAAAACCACTTCCACTGACACCACCCTTTGCTGACTCCCTTTTTGGACTCAGCTCATTCGCACCTGAGTGAATAAACAGCCTTGTTGCTCACAGTAAGCCTGCTAAGGTGGTCTCTTATACAGATGCACATAACACATAACATCTTTTTTTTTTTTTTTTTTTTTGAGATGGAGTCTTACTCTGTCACCAGGCTGGAGTGCAATGGCACTTTTTCAGCTCACTGCAACCTCTGCCTTCCGGGTTCATGCCATTCTCCTGCCTCAGCCTCCTGAGTAGCTGGGACTACAGGCACCTGCCACCACACCTGGCTAATTTTTGTATTTTTAGTAGAGATGGGGTTTCACCCTGTTGGCCAGGATGGTCTCGATCTCTTGACCTCATGATCCACCCGGCTCGGCCTCCCAAAGTGCTGGGATTACAGGCATGAACCACTGTGCCCAGCAACACATAATAGCTTTAAACAATTGACCCTGGGCACAGGTGTGGAGTGAGACTGAAGTCCTAGACTCTCATCTCTCTGGGCTTGATGAATTGTGCAGAACGCACAAAGCTGAGACTGCCATGAGCTATTTTTCTTCTCTCACCCCCTTGCTTAGGTCACATGAACTATAAAGAGGAAACAAATTCAAATTAGAGACTTGTCAACCCACAAAAATAATGCCTGAAGATGCCTTCCAGGAATCTGGCTCCTACCTCCTTTCCCCACCCTGCCATCAACCATCAACTCCCCTTACACACACACACCCTGGATCACAAGAAAGACAAAACCATTTCACCAGCCACTGAGAGAGGAGCCACAGAAGGACCCAGAACCCCTGCATGGCCACCTTGGACAAGCCTAGAATATACTGACAGCCATTGTTAGCATCCAGGAGCTATTTATTCCCATCTTCGCACTACAGTAAAGAATTTTGTTTTTTGAGACAGAGTCTCACTCTGCCCGGACTGGTGTTCAGTGGCTTGATCTCAGTTCATTGCAACCTCTGCCTCCAAGATTCAAGAGATTCTCCTCCCTCAGCCCCCCTTGTAGCTGGGATTACAGGCACCTGCCACCATGCCTAATTTTTGTATTTTTTTTTTTTTTAGTAGAGACAGGATATCGTCATGTTGGCCAGGCTGATCTCGAACTCCTGACCTCAGGTGATCTGCCAACCTTGGCCTCCCAAAGTGCTGGGATTACAGGTGTGAGCCGCTCGAAAGCAGCCTGGCCAACATTGCGAAACCCCATCTCTACTAAAAATACAAAAATTAGCCAGGTATGGTGGTGCGTGCCTGTAATCCCAGCTACTAGGGGTTTGAGGCAGGAGGATCACTTGAACTCGAGAGGTGGAGGTTGCAGTGACCCGATATCCTGCCATTGCACTCCAGCCTGGGCAACAGAGCGAGACTCTGTCTCAAAAACGACAAAAACAACAACAACAAAACTTTAAACAGTCACAAGGAAGATTGTCTAGACTGTCTAGATTCCCTAGACTAGCTGGAAGCTGGTGCTTGCAACATCCCGTATCCCCCAGGAGCTCACTGCTGCAGTCTCAGGTACACACCTGCCCATGTGCCATTCAAATGAAACAACTGTTATCAAGGAACCAGAGTTCCTGCAATGGTCGTGCTTCAGTCTGGGGTGCATTAGTGACCAGCTAGCAGGGTCTTGCCTGTGTAAACCAAAAGTTATCTGAGACAGGTCTCAATGTAGAAAGCTTATTTTCCCAAAGTTAAGAATGAGCCCATGACACAGCCTCAGGAGGTCCTGGTGACATGTACCCAAGGTGGTCGGGATATAGCTTGCTTTTATGCATTTTAAGAAGACAAATTAGCTGGGCTTGGTGGCATATGCCTGTAGTCCCAGCTGCTCAGAGGCTGAGACAGGAAAATTGCTTGAACCCGGGAGGTGGAGGCTGCAGTGAGCCAAGATCACACCACTGCACTCCAGCCTGGGTGACAGAGTGAGACTGTTTCAAAAAAAAAAAGAAGACATAAGACATCAATCAATATGTATAAGATGTACATTGGTTTCGCCTGTTAAGGGGGGTCAGCTTGAGATTGGGGCTGCCAGGTCATAAGTAAATAAAAGACAAAAGGATAAATTCTTTTGAGTCCTTGATCAGCCTTCCACTGAATACAAAATTTAGTCTGGCTCAGTGAATCTGCATTTCTAAATTAACAATAGGGGCCAGGCACAGTGGCTCACATCTGTAATCCCAGCACTTTGGGAGGCTGAGGTGGGTGGATCACTTGAGGTCAGGAGTTCAAGACCAGCCTGGCCAACATGGTGAAACCCTGTCTCCTCTAAAAACACAAAAATTAATTGGGCATGGTGGCGGGCACCTGTAATCCCAGCTACTTGGGGGCTGAGACAGGAGAATCACTTGAACCTGAGAGGTGGAGGTTGCAGTGAGGTGAGATCATGCCACTGCACTCCAGCCTGGATGATAGAGCGAGACTCTGTCTCAAAAATGTAAAATAAATTAGCAATAGGGCAGGGGAGGCAATCAGATATTCATATGTCTCAGGCAAGTCTCAGAGGGATGACTTTGAGTTCTGTCTGTCATTTGTTCACACAAGAAATGTCTGTGGGCAAATTGTGAAGAAGGTATGTAGCTTTTATTTATCTTTGTAGCTATCTTATTTAGAAATAAAATGGAAGGCAGATTTGCCCGACATAGTTCTCAGATTGACTTTTCCAGTGGCTTAGTAATTTTCACGTCACGAGATTTATTTTCCTTTCACAGCAGGGACCCCTTTTATTATCAAGTGTATCTGTTTAAACTAGACAGACTAAAACAAGATGTCTATTCATAAGTTACAAATGGAGGTTAATAGAAAACTCATAAACACAAATATAACTATCCTACATCTTTCAAAATAGCCCATCCTAATTCTTCCATTTCTTGTTCACTATAATTCATGTAGATTTTTTTCATAATTTTATAGTGGATCTCAATATCAGAGGTGTTCAAACCAGAGCAACTCCATCTCAAAAAGTAGCTGGGTAAAATGAGGCTGAGACCTACTGGGCTGCATCCCCAGGTTAGGCATTCATAGTTACAGGATGAGATAGGAGATCAGCACAAGATACACTGCACTTAGCAATATGTCACAATCTTCCCTGTGAGCAGGGCACAGGCAGAATAGAGGAGTCACATATTTAGGTCATGGATGCAGAGATTTGTCACAAAGGCCCTGTGGGTGGGGTCAAGAAAGGAGCTTCCCATCCCCTAGGTGTTGGGCCCAGCAATATATCACAATACCCAATACACAGGAAAAAGGTAGAGTCATATCACCTAGGTGCTCGGTCCAGTGATATTTCACAACTGTTCTTTGTGTGGCAGATTCTAGTCAAAAAAGGAGAGTCACAACACTTAAGTGATGAAAAATATGTCATAACACCTTTCTGAACAGAGACCATGCAGGAGACTCATACTACCTAGGTGTTGGACCCAGCCATATTTCACAATACACAATGTGTGCAGAGACCAGGCACAAAAAAAAACAAAAACAAAAATAAGTCACGCCAGACGTGGTGGCTCACGCCTGTAATCCCAGCACTTTGGGAGGCTGAGGCAGGCAGATCATGAGGTCAGGAGATTGAGACCATCCTGGCCAACATGGTGAAACCCCGTCTCTACTAAAAATACAAAAATTAGGCCAGGCGCGGTGGCTCACGCCTGTAATCCCTACACTTTGGGAGGCCGAGGTGGGTGGATCACCTTAGGTCAGGAGTTCGAGACCAGCATGACCAACATGGTGAAACCCCATCTCTAGTAAAAATACAAAATTAGCCAGGTGTGGTGGCACATGCCTGTAATCCCAGTTACTTGGGAGGCTGAGGCAGGAGAATTGCTTGAACCCAGGAGGCAGAGATTGCAGTGAGGCAAGATCATGCCAATACACTCTAGCCTGGTGACAGAGTGAGACTCTGTCTCAAAATTAAAAATAAAAAAAGTCCCATGTTGGGGCCAGGTGCGGTGGCTCACCCCTGTAATCCCAGCACTTGGGAGGTTGAGGCAGGAGGATCACCTGAGGTCAGGAGTTCGAGACCACCCTGGCCAACATGGTGAAACTCCATCTCTACTAAAAATACAAAAATTAGCCAGGCATGGTTGTGTGTGCCTGTAATCCCAGCTACTCAGGAGGCTGAGGCAGGAGAATCACTTTAATCCAGGAGGCGGAGGTTTCAGTGAGCAGAGACATGCCATTGCACTCTAGCCTGGGCAACACAGTGAGACTCCGTCTAAAAAAAAAAAAAGGTCACATTTTGTGCAGAGCCCAAACAGTAGAAGAGAGTCATATCACCTAAGTTCTGGGTCCAGAAATGTCACAGTACCCTCTGAGGGAAGACCCCTGGCAGAAAAGTCACATCATCTAGGTGAGAGGCTCAGAGATATGTCACAATGCCCCCTGTGGGTAGGGCTCAGGAAGAAGAGAAAGATCACATAACCTAAGAGCTGGGCCGAGCTACATATCACAACCACCCAGTGGGCAGGGCCAAAGCATGAGAAAAGAGTCACATCACATAGGTGCTAAACCAAGTGATACATCACAATCCCCACTGTGGACAGGTCCCGGGAAGAAGAGGAGTCACATCATCTAGGTAATGGGCCCAGAGATATGTAACAAGAACCCCTTTGAACAGGAACCAGGCAGAAGTATTACGTTCCCTGTGTGCTGATCCCGGGGATAAGTCACTCTCTTTTATGGGAGCGTGGCAATAGCAGCAAAAAAGAGTCACATAATCTAGGTGTTGGGCCCAGAGATATGTCACAATCTCTCCTATAGGAAAAACCTAAGTAAAAGAGTCACATCACATAGATGATGGATTCACAGATATGTCACTATGCCTGCTGTGGGCAGAGTTCAGGAAGAAGGCTCATATCACCTAGGTTCTGAGCCTGACAATATGTCACAATGCATGATGAGGAAAGGGCCAAGGCAAAAATGTAACATCACCTTGGTGTTTGGCCCAACAGTATGTCACAATCTACACTGTGAGCAGAACCTAGGTAGAAGGGAAGAGGCATATCAGCTAGGTGCCAGGCCCAGTGATAGGTAACAATCCTTTCTGTGAGCAGGGACCTGGTAGAAAGAGAGAGTCACGTTACCCGGGTAATGGGTACACAGATAGGTCATAATGCTTCCTGTAGGCAGGACCCAGCAAGGAGAGTTACATCACCTGGATGTTGGACATAGCAATATGTCACAATGGCCCATGAAGGCAGGGCACAGGCAGGAGAGTCACATAATCAAGTTGTAGGGCCCAGCAATATGTCACAATGCCCTCTATGGGCAATACCGAGGCAAAAATATGGATCACACAACCTAGGTGTTGGATTCAGCAATGTGTCACAATCCAATTTGTGGCCTGCAAACCAGGCAGGTGAGTCAAATCACTCGGGTGCTGGGCAGAGGTGTATGTCACAATTATAGTTGCAGAACAATGTAGAGATAAAATTAACAATCCCACACATGTCCCATTTCTAGGTATTAGAGTCAACACTTTTTTTTTTTTTTGAGATGGGGTCTTGCTCTGTCACCGAGGCTGGAGTACAAGTGGCGCGATCTTGGCTCACTGCAACCTCCACCTCCTGGGTTTAAGTGATTCTCCTGCCTCAGTCTCCTGAATAGCTGGGACTACAGGCACGCACCACCACGCCTGGCTAATTTTTGTATTTTTAGTAGAGATGGGGTTTCACCATGTTGGCCAGGCTGGTCTCGAACTCCTGACCTTGTGATCCACCTGCCTTGGCCTCCCAAAGTGTTGTGATTACAGGTGTGAGCCACCGCGCCTGGTGAGTCAACACCTTTTGTTATGTTCAGTCTGAGTACACGAGTCACAGTCTCAACGGTTAACTGGATACACTGATGAGAGCCTCAATTGTTGCTGGGGACTGTGTCCCCTTAGTGGGGTCAAAGCTGCACACGTATGCTGAATCTTGGTCTGAGAGTCACCAACCCACATTTCAACAAAATCCGTGTATGAGAGTCAATTTTCCAACTTTTGGCTATGTCCAGGTGTGATATTCAGTACTTCAATAGCTGTGTTCATGTGGAAAGATGACAATCTTTATCGTTGGCTGGGTGTGCATAGGAGTGTCACAATGTCGCTTGTGCACTGGGCCCTGTTACAGAACTCTCTGTACTAACTGAGAGCTTTATACAATATGCATGATAGTCACAAGTTGTTCTGAGACCTTTGTTGTAGTATGGACTCAATTGTACCTGTGGACCTAAGCCCATGTATTAGAATCAACATCTCTCCAATTGGCTGGGTCCAGAGAGAAGAGTCCTCAGCTGCCTATGAGCTGGGTTTAGAAATGAGACACTAACTTAACTGTGGTCACATAATCACATGTGACAGTCACAATTTTTACTGTGGACTGCATTCACATGTGAAATTAAGGATCTCTTCAGTGGGCTCTGTCCATGTGTGAGGGCTACAAGTTATGAAAGTCAACATTGTTTGGATGTTGGGTGTAACTACACAAGTCACAATCTCAATGTGCATGGATCCATGCATAAGAGCCTCAATCTCTCTGCAAACTCCCTCTCACTAAATTATATCCTCACAGGCGTGCTGAATCTTGGTCTGTGAGTCACCAACCCCCCTGTGGACCAGGTTCACATATGAGAGTCAATTTTGCAACTTTCCATGTGGTAGGTTGTGCATGAGAGAAACACAGTCTCACCTGTGTGCCTGGTTCTGTGATGACGCTCTTTGTACCATGCAAAGACATTGCACAATATATGAAAGAATGACCATCCTTTATGACGTTCTTACTACAGAAGACTCAGGAGTTTATTCATTTCTGTAAGTCTAGCTACAAGTGGCAGTATCTCTCCTATTGGCTGTTTTGTGGCGTAAGTGTCATCATCACAACCATGAGCTGTGCTAAAGTGTATGTCACAATCCAACCTGTGAGTAGAAAGCAAACAGGAGAGTATCGTCACGTGGGTGCTGGGTTAAGAATATGTCACAATTTTTCCAAGGCAGGGACCAGGCAGGAGAGTCAAATCACCTGGTTGCCTGGCCAGGGTTATGTCACAATTCCCTCCTGAAAGCAAGACACAGACAGCAAAGTCACACCACTCTGGTGAGCTGGGCCTAGCTATGTCAGAATTCTCTCTGTAGGCAAAGTCTGGGCACAAGGGACACACCACCTTGTTGATGAACCCAGAGATATGTCACAATCTTCTGTGTGGACATAGTGCAGATAGAAGAGGAGTCACATCTCCAAAGTAATGGATGCACAGATATGTCACAAGACCTCCTATGGGCAGAACCCAGGCAAGAGTCTTTCACCCATTTGGTTTGACCCAGGGATATGTCATAATACCCAAAATACAAGGAACCCAGGTGAAAAAGGAGAGTGATATCACCTAGATGCTAGGTCCAGTGATATCTCACAATCCCCCCTTTTTATAGGGTTCAGGTAGAAAAGGAGAGTTACATCACTTAGGTGATAAACAAAAAGATATGTCCTAATTCCCCTATTAACAGGGCCCATGCAAGAGAGTCACATCACCTGGGTGTTGAACCCAATCATATTTCAATATACACAGTTTTCTTTTCTTTTCTTTTCCTTTTTTTTTTGAGATGGAGTTTTTGCTCTTGTTGCCCAGGCTGGAGTGCAATGGCATGATCTTGGCTCACTGCAACCTCCGCCTCCAGGGTTCAAGCGATTCTCCTGCCTCAGCCTCCTGAGTAGCTGGAATTACAGGCACGTGCCACCAAGCCTGGCTAATTTTGTATTTTTAATAGAGATGGGGTTTCTCCATGTTGGTCAGGCTGGTCTCGAACTCCTGACCTCAGGTGATCTGCCCGCCTCGGCCTCCCAAAATGCTGGGATTACAGGCATGAGCCACTGCGCCTGGCCAATATACACAATTTTCAACATACACAATATAAAATTTGTAAATTTAAATATGGCTGGGTCCAACGTCTAGGTGATGTGATCCCCCTGCATGGGCCCTGCTAAGGGAATTAGGGCATATCATTTTGTTTGTCACCTAAGTGATGTGACTCTTCCTTTCTACCTGAACCCTGTAGCAGGAGAGGAGAGTCACATCACTAAGGTGCTGGCCCCAGTGATACCTTACAATTCCTCCATTGGCCGAACCCAAGCAGTAGAAGAGAGTCACATCACCTTGTTGCTAGGTCAAAAAATATAGCACAATATTCCCTGAAGAAAAGAAAAAATGAGCCCATGAAGCAGAGTCACATCATCTAAGAGAGGGCTCCAGAGATATGTGAAAATGCCCCATGTGGGTAAGGTTCATGAAGAAGAGAGGAGTCACATAACCTAGGAATTGGGACTAGTTAAATGTCACAATCACCCCAGTGGGGGGACCCAGGTATGAGATGAAAGTCACATTATGAAGATGCTGAGTCAAGTGACATGTCACAATCCCCACTATGGACAGGTCTCAGAGACAAAAGGAGAGGCACAGCATCTAGTTTATGGACCCAGGGACATGTCACAATGTCCCCTGTGGATAGGGACCAGGCAGAAAAATTACATCATCTGTGTGCTGAACCCAGTGATAAGTCACTCTCCTTTCTGTGGTCAGGGCCCAGGCAAGAGAGAAGAGAAACATCACATAGGTGCTTGGCCCAGATAGGTTACAATGTCTCCTAGAGAAAAGCTCTTGTAAAAGTAGAGAGTAACATCAAATAGATGATAGGTCCAGGAATATGGCAAAATTCCCCCTGTAGGCAAGGTCTAGGAAGGAGATTCACATCACCTGAGTGTTAGACCCAGCAATATGTTACAATAGCCCATGTGGGTAGGGCACAGAAAGGACAAACACATTACCAGGGTGCAGGGACCAGTGACATGTCACAATGCCCTCTGTGGCAGCACCAAGAAAAAAGTACAGATCCACATTATCTACATGCTGGGTTCAACGATGTGTCACAATCCCACAATCCCATCTGTGTGCTGGGCCCAGGCAGGAGAGTCAAATCACTCTGTTTCTGAGAAGCATGTGTCACAATCACACCTGCAGAAAGGCCCAGGTATGAGAAGAACAATTCCTCACATGTACCTGCTCTAGTTATGAAAGTCAACACTGTTTGGATGTTGGGTGTAACCACACAAGTCACAATCTCAATGTGCATGGATCCATGCATAAGAGCCTCAATCTCTCTGCAAACTCTCTCTCCTCAATAAATTACAGCCTCACAGGTGTGCGGAATCTTGGTCTGTGAGTCACCAACCCCCGTTGTGGAACAGGTCCACATATGAGAGTCAATTTTGCAACTTTCCACTGCCTCCGGGTGTGAGATTCAGAACTTCAGAATCTTCAGAACTTCAGAAGTGGGTTGTGTTTATGTAAAAGGGTTGTGTTTATGTAATATTTACTGTTGGCTGGTTGTGCATACGGGTGTCAGAATGTCACCTGTGTGCTGGGCCATGTAAGGTTACTCAATCTGAGGACTTTACACAATATGCATGAGAGTCACAATCCACTCTGAGACCTTTGTGGTACCATGGACCCATGATTATACCTGTGGCTCTAAGCTAAGGAATGAGAGGCAACTTCTGTCCAATTGGTTGATCCATATAGGAGAGTCCTCAACTGCCTATGAACTAGGTTTAGAAATTAGTCATCATTTCTTTTCTGGCTGGATGTTTGCATATCACAGTCACAATTTCAACCGTGGACTGCATGTGCATGTGAGATTCAGAACCTCACCAGGGGGCTCTGTCCATATTGAGGTAACAATCATAATGGTTGGCAGGGTGTTCATTTAAGAAACATGATCTCAGCTATGTTTTCGGCCTGTCATGATGCTCTGTGCCACCTGAGAACTTTTTACAATATTTAAAAGTGGTGGGCCAGGTGCAGTGGCTCATGCCTGTAATCCTAGCACTTTGGGAGGCCCAGGCAGGCAGATCATGAGTTCAGGAGTTTGAGACCAGCCTGGCCAACATGGCGAAACTCTGTCTCTACTAAAAATACAAAAAATTAGCCAGGTGTGGTGGCAGGCACCTGTGATCCTGGCTACTCAGGAGGCTGAGGCAGGAGAATCACTTGAACCAGGAGGTGGAGGTTGCAGCGAGCTGAGGTGACGCCACTGCATGCTAGCCTGGGCGACAGTGTGAGACTCCATCTTAAAAAAAAAAAAAAAAGAAAGAAAAGAAAAAAGAAAAAAAAAAGAGTGGTGACTCTCTATGACCTTTGCAAATAGAGGAGACTCGGGATTATGTTTGTTTTTCTAAGGCTAGCTAAGAGAGGGTGTATCTCTTTTATTATCTGGTTCGAGGTATGAGAATTATTACAGCAACTGTAAGTGGGGACAAGACATATGTCACAATTACATCTCTGGGTAGGGAGGGGGCAAGAGAGTCACACCTGGGGCTAGTTCAGAGATATGTCACAATATTTTTTAAGGGCAAGGACCAAGCAGGAGAGTCATATCACCTAGGTGCTTGGCGAGGGATGTATTAAAATCTCTGCCTGTAAGATGGGCGCAGGCAGCAAGTCACATCACCTGGGTGCTGGGCCTAGTGATATGTTACAATGTTTTCTTTGGGCATGATGCATATAGATGAGAAGAGTCACATTTCATAGGTGACAAATGCCAAAATATGTCACAAGACCCCCTGTGGGCAGCGCCCAGATAGGAGCCTCCCATTTCCTAATGTCAAACCCAGTGATATGTAACAATATGCAAAATATGTAAGATCCAGGCAAAAGATGAAAGTTACATCATCTAGGTGCTAGGTCCAGTGATACATGATAATCCTTTTTTTGGCAGGTTGCAGGCTAAAGAAGAGTCACAACACTCAGGTGATGAATGAAAAGATAGGTCATCTACTCTTGTGGTCAAGGCTTATGTAGAAGACTCACATCACTGGGCTGACAGACCCGGCTATATGTCACAATACAAAATCTATGCAGAACCCAGACAAGAGAAAAGAATCCCGTCATGTAGGTGCTGGGCCCAGTGATACATCACAATCCCTTTTTGGTCAAAGTCCAAGTAGTAGAGGAAAAGTCGCATCACCTAAATGCTGCATCCAGCAACATATCACAATACCCCCTGAGAGGAGAGTCCAGGCAGAAAAGTCACATCACCAAGGTTAAAGGCCCAGAGATATTTCATAATGTTATCTGTTTGTAGGGCTCCAGAAAAATATAGGAATCAGATAACATAGGAGCTGGGCACACCTATATAGCACAATCACCACAGTGGGTAGAGCCTAGGCATGAGAGAAGAGTCACATGACATAGGTCCTCAGCCAAGTGATATGTTACATTTCCCACTGTGGACAGATTCAGGAAAAAAAAAAAAAGGAGAGGTCTATCATTAGGTAATCAGATTCAGAAAAAAAAAAGAGAGATCTATCGTCTAGGTAATCGGCCCAGAGATATGTCACAATGACCACTTGGGCAAGGACCAAGCAAAAGAATCACATCCCCTGTGTGCTGAACCCAGCAATAAGTCACTCTTCCTTCTGTTAGCATGACCCAGGCCCAAAGATATATTACAATCTAACCTATGGGCAAAGCCCAGATAAAAGAGGAGAGTCACATAAAATAGCTGATGGGCTCAGAGATGTGTCAAAATATTTTCAGTAAGTGGGGTGGGTCCAGGCAGAAAACTCACATCATCTAGGTGTAGGGCCCAGCAATACGTCACAATGTCTTACATGGGCAGGACCAAGAAAAAAAAAGAGTAATATCCATTTGGTGCTAGGTTCAGCAATATTCCACAGTCTGTTTTTCAGGAAAAACTAAGAAATAAAAGAAGAGTCACATCAGCTATATGCTGTGAAAGGTCAAAATCCTTCCTGTGAGCAGACAGCAGGTAACAGAAGAGTCACATCACCTGTGTGATTGATGCAACGTCATTCCAAAATGCCCCCTGTAGGCCAGGTGCAGGCATAAAAGTTACATCACCTCATTGTTGGACCCAGCAATATCTCACAATGGCCCAAGTGGGCAAACCGCAGACAGAAGAATCACATAATGTCAGTGCAGAGTCGGGCAATATGTCACAGTATCCTCTGCAGGCAAAACCAAGAAAAAGATTAGAGTAACATCAGCTAGGTACTGGGCATAGCAATATGCTACAATTTCCCTGTAAGCAAAGACCAGGCAGAAGAAGAGAATCACATCACCTGGATGCCGGGCCCAGTCATATTTCAACAATCTTTCCTGTAATAAAGACCCAGGCAGGAGAAACACATCATCTGGTTGCTGACCACAGCAATATGCTACAATTTTTCCTGTAGGCAGCGTGCAGGCAGAAGAGGAGAGTCACATCTCCTAGGTGATGAGTGCAGAAATATGTCACAATGCCCCCTATAGGAAGTGCCCAGGTAAGAGATTCCCATCCCTTAGGTGTTGAGCCTAGCACTATGTCACAATACCCAAATATGTGTGGCCTAAGAAAAAGAGGAGACTTACATCACCTAGATAGGCCAGTGATGTTTCACAATTTCTCTGAGCAGAGACCAGGCAGGAGAAGAGAGTAACATCATCATGGTGATAGGCATTCAGTTATGTCACAAAGATGCCTCCTGGCAGGGCCCAGGAAGATAATGTTACATCACCTGGGTGTTGGACCCAGCAATATGTAACAATGTCTAATGTGACATATTTTGCCAAAATATGGCACAAAATACAGGGCACAGGTGGCAGAGTCACATAACAGGGGTGCAGGATCCAGCAATATCTGACAATACCCAAAATTTGTGGGGTCCCAAAAATAGAGGAGAGTCACATCACCTAGGGGCTGGCTCCAGTGATATATCACAATCTCACCTTTGGGCTATGACCAGGTAGAAAAGTCAAGTCACTCAGGTTCTGATTAGAAGTGTATGTCACAATCACATCTGCAGAAAGGTCCAGTGATGAATTAACAGTCCTGCACAGGTCCCAGTTCCAGGTATGAGAGTCCCCACATTCTCTATGTTGGGTCTAAGTATGATAGTGACAATCTCACCAATAAAGTGGATCCATGTATGAGATTCTACATACCTCCTGTGAACTGTATTCGCTGTGGCCTTAAGCCCAGGTATGGGAGTCAACATGTCCCCAGTTGGCTGGGGGACATGTTGACTCCCATACCTGGGCTTAGATAGATAGAATACTCACGGGTTCAGATAGAAGAATTCTCACCTGCCTATGAACTGGATTTAGAAATGAGTCGTCATGCCAGGCTCCGTGGCTCATGCCTGTAATCCCAGCACTTTGGGAGGCTGATGCAGGTGGGTCACCTGAGGTCAGGAGCTTGAGACCAGCCTGGCCAACATGATGAAACCCCATCTCTACTAAAAATACAAAAAATTAGCCGGGCATGGTGGTGGGCGCCTGAAATCCCAGCTACTTCGGAGGCTGAGGCAGGAGAATCGCCTTAACCCAGGAGATGGAGGTTGCAGTGAGCCAAGATAATGCCATTGCACTCCAGCCTGGGCAACAAGAATGAAACTGCATCCCAAAAAAAAGAAAGAAAAAAGTCATAATTCCAACTCTGGCTGGATGTTCATGTATGACAGTCACAATTTCAACTGTGGACCGTGTTCGTGTGTGAGATTCGAGACCTCACCAGTGGGCTCTGGCCACGTGTGAGGGTGACAATTTTAATAGTTGCTGGGGTATGCATATGAGAAACACAATCTCACCTGTGTTCTGAACCCTGGAATGGCAATCTCTGTACAATTAGAGATTTATATAGTATGCAAGAAAGTGGATATTCTCTATAACCTTTGTAAAAGAAGGAGAGCCAGCATTTTACTCATTATTTTAAGCCTAGCAATAAGAAACAGCATCTCTCCTACTGACTGGTTTGAGGTATGAAAGCCACCGCACTCAGCATGGTAAATCATTTCTAAATCCAGTTCATAGCCGGTGAGAATTCTTCTATCTGAACCCGTGAGGTATGAGGTATGAGAGTCATCATCACACCTGTGAGCTGGGCCAAATTATTTTAAAATCTCACCTGTGAATATGGAGAGACAAGAGTCACAACACCTGGGTTTTTGGCCAGGAATACATCTCAATCTTTTCTTACAGCAGGGACCACACAGGAGTGTCACATCAACTGAATACTCAGCCAGGAATATGTTACGACTTTCTCCTGAAAGCAGGACACTGACAGTAGAGTCGTATCACCTGGGTGCTGAGCCCAGCAATAGGTAACAATGCTCTCTGTGGTCAAGGCCCAGGTAGGAGAGACACCTGGTACCTGGGCCTAGTGACAATTCACAATTTTTCCTGTGGGCAGAGTGCAGGCAAAAATGGAGAGTCACATCTCCTAGGTGATTGATGAAGAGATATGTCACAAGGCCCTCTCTAGACAGGGCCCAGGCAGGAGCCTCTGATTTTATAGGTGTTCAGCCTAGTAACATGTCCTAACATGTGAAATATTCAGGGCACGGGCAAAAGAGAAGAGTCACATAACCTGAGTGCAGGGCTTAGCAGTATGTCATAATCCACCCTGTGGGCAGCACCAAGGCTGGAAGAGAAAGTCATATCTTCAAGGTGCAGAGTCAAGCGATATGTCACAATCTTATCTGTGGACTGGGTCAAGGCAGGAAACTCAAATCACTAAGGTGCTTAGCAGATGCACACAATCACACCTGCAGGAAAGTCCAGGAATGAGATTAGAAATTCCATACATGTCCAGGTTCTAGGTATGAGAGTCAACACCTCCTGGATGTTGGATCTATTTATCTATTTTGTTTTTGCTTTTGTTTTTTTGAGATGAAGTCTCACTCTTGTCCCCCAGGCTGGGATGCAATGGTGTGATCTCGGCTCACTGCAACCTCTGCCTCCCAGGTTCAAGCGATTCTCCTGTGTCAGCCTCCCGAGTAGCTGGGATTACAGGTGCCTGCCACCACGCGCGGCTAATTTTTGTATTTTTAGTAGAGATGGGGGTTTCACCATGTTGGCCAGGATGGTCTTGAACTCCTGACCTCCGGTGATCCGCCTGCGTTGGCCTTTCAAAGTGCTGGGATTACAGGCGTGAGCCACTGCGCCCAGCCTTGGATGTTGGATCTAAGTGTGTGAGTCACAGTCTCAATGGTTGACAGAATTTTTGCAAGACAGCCACAGTTTATTCTGCAGACTTGTCCTTTCAGTGCAGTTACAGCCTCACATGTGTGCTGAATCTTGGTCTGAGAGTCACTAGCCCACCTGTGGAGCAGATCCACATATGAGAGTCAATTCTCTAACTTTTGACAGCCTCCATGTGTGATATTTAGAACCTCAACAGTGGGATGTATTTTTGTGGAGAATGACAATCTTTACTGTTGCCTGGGTGTACATTTGAGAAACACTATCTCACCTGTGTGCTGTGTTCTCTTATGACACTCTCTGTGTCACCTGAAGGCTTTATACAATATGCAAGAATGGTGATCCTCTGTGACCTTCATACAGGAAGGAGATCCAGAGTCTTCCCTGTGGTTCTACGTCCAGATATGACAGTCAACATCTCTCCAATTGGTTGAGTCCAGATAGGAGAGTCCTCACCTTCCTACAAGCTGGGTTTAGAAATGAGTCACCATCCCAACTGTGGCCAGATGTTCACTTATGACAGTGAAAATTCCAACTGTGAACGGCATTCACGTGTGATTCAGGACCTCACCAGTGGGCTCTGTCCATGTGTGAGGATAACAATTCTGAAGGTTAGTGGGGTCTGCATAGGACAAACATAATCTCACCTGTGTGCTGGGTCTTGTTATGACATTCTCTGTAACATACTAGGTCTTTATAGATGTGAGAAATTGGTAATTCTCTATGACTTTTGTACAGAAAAAAGACTTTGTTATTTTCCTAAGCCTACCTAGGGGCAACATTATCTCTCCTATTGCCACCTTCGAGGTATGACAGTCATCATTACATCTTTGTTCTTGGCCACAATATATGTGGGTAAAGAGCAAGCATAAGAGTGACATTAACTGTGTGCTGGACCAGGGGTATGTCACAATCTTCCCTGAGGGCATGGACCAGGAAGGAGAGTCACATCACGGGGCACTCAGCCAAGGATGTTACAATTTCCTCCTAAAAGCAGGACACAGGCAGAAGAGTAAGATCACCTGGATGCTGGGCCAGGATTTAGTCACAAGGCTCACTGTGGGTGAGGCCCAGAGAGGACAGACACAATACCTGGTTGCTGGGCCTAATGATTGTCACAATCTTCCGAGTGGGCAGAATGCAGAAGTAGACAGTTTCATCTCCTGGGTGATGGATACAGAAATATGTCACAAGGCCCCCTGTAGGAAGGGCTCAGTCAGAAACCTTCCAACCCCTAGGTATTTGTTCTAATGATATGTCACAACATCCAAAATATGAAGATCTCAGGCAAATGAGGAGAGTCATATCGCCTAGGTGCTGGACCCAGTGATCTGTCACAATCTTTTCTTTTGGCAGGCCTCAAGCAGAAGGGAAGAGTCACACCACCCAGGTAATAAATACAAAGATGTGTTTAATATATCTGTGGGAGGGCCCATCACCTCAGTGTTGGACACAGAGATGTGTTGCAATACACAACGTATACAGGGCCCAGGCAGCAGAGGAGAGTCACATCACCTAGGTTCTCAGTTCAGCAATATTTCACAATACCCCCTGAGGAGAAGGCCTAGGCAAAAATGTCATATTATCTAGGTAAAAGGCTAGGGATATGTCACAATGCCTTCTGTGGGTAGGGCTCATAAACAAGAGGAAAGACATAACCTAGATATGGGGCTCAGCTTTATGTTCCAATCACCCCACTGAAAAGGGCCCAAGAATGAAAGAAGAGTCATATCACAATTCCCACTGTAGACAAACCCCAGAAGAGGAGAGTCACATCATGTAGAAAAAAGAAGGCATTTACCTGGGCTTTGCCCATAGGAGAAATTGCAATGGGTCAAGAGATATGTTACAATGCTTCCTGTGGTCAGGGTTCAGGCAGAAAACTCACATAATCTTGGTGCTGGACCCAGCAGTATGTTTCAGTGTTTTCTAAGGGCACAGCCAGAGCAAAGAAGTAACATCACCTTAGGGTTAGATGCCACAATCTCATTTGTGGGCAGAAAGTACCCCCTGTGAGTAGAGAAAAGGGAGGAAAAAAAGGCACATTCCCTCAGTGATTGGTGAAGATATATATTACAATGACTTCTGTAGACAGAGTCCAGAATGAAGTTACATCACCTGAGTGTTGGACTCAGCCATGTGTCACAATAACCCATGTGGAAAGGACACAAGTAAGAGAGTCACATAACCTAGGCCTAACAATATGTTACAGTACACCTGTGGGCAGCATCAAGAAGAGGAGACTCACATCACCTGGGTGCATGGCCCAGTGATATATCACAATGCCCCCTGTGGGTTGTATCAAGGCAAAATAGAGTGACATTACCAAGGGTCTGGGTCCCATGATATGTCACTGTGAGCTGGGCCCAGGTGAGAGAGTCAAATAACTCAGATGCTGGGCAGAGTCACATGTCACAATCAGACCTGTAAGAAGGTACTGTGGTGACATTAAAAATGACATTGTCAGCCAGGTGCAGTGGCTCACACTTGTAATCCCAGCACTTTGGGAGGCTGAGGCAGGTGGATCACCTGAGGTTAGGAGTTCGAGACCATCCTGGCCAACACGGCAAAACCCCGTCTCTATCAAAAATACAAAAATTAGCTGGATGTGGTGGTGTGTGCCTGCAGTCCCAGCTACTAGGGAGGCTGAAGCAGGTGAATCACTTGAACCTGGGAGGTGGAAGTTGCACTGAGCCAAGATCGTGCCACTGCACTCCAGGTTGGGTGGCAGAGCAAGACTCCGTCTCAAAAAAAAAAAAAAAAAAAAAAAGAAAGGGCTAGGCACGGTGTTTCATGCCTGTAATCCCAGCATTTGAGAGGCCGAGGCGGGTGGATCATGAAATCAGGAGTTCAAGACCAGCCTGCCCAAGATGGTGAAACCTCATCTCTACTAAAAATCCATAAAAATTTGCCTGGCGTGGTGGCATGCACCTATAATTCCAGCTACTTGGGAGGCTGAGGCAGAGAATCACTTGAACCCAGGAGGTGGAGTTTGCAGTGAGCCGAGATTGTGCCACCGCACTCCAGACTGGGCAACAGAGCAAGACTCCATCTCAAAAGAAAAAAATATGACATTGTCTTGAATCAAGGAATGAGAGTCAACACCTCCTACATGTTGGGTTTAAGTACAAGAAATCACAATCTCAGTGGTGGACTGGATTTGCCAATGAGCCTCAATTTCTCTTGCAAACTCTGTGCCTTAGTGAAGTTACAGCCACAAAGGTGTGCTGAATCTTGGTTAAAGAGTTACCAACCTGGCCAGGTGCGATGGCTTACGCCTGTAATTGCAGCACTTTGGGAGGCCAAGGCGGGCAGATCACGAGGTCAGGAGATTGAGACCATCCTGACTAACACGGTGAAACCCTGCCTCTATTAAAAATACAAAAAATTAGCTGGGCGTGGTAGCAGGCACCTGTAGTCCCAGCTACTTGGGAGGCTGAGGCAGGAGAATGGCATGAACCCGGGAGGCGGAGCTTGCAGTGAGCCGAGATTGGGCCACTGCACTCCAGCCTGGGCGACAGAGCAAGACTCTGTCTCAAAAAAAAAAGTCATCAACCCAACTGTGGACAGTATCCATGAGTGAGAGTCCATTTTCCAACATTCAATTGCCTCCAAATGTGAAATTCAGAACCTCAGAAGTGGGTTGCGTTCATTTAAGTGAATGATTTGCTGTTGGCTAGGTGTGAATATGAGTGTCACAATCTCACCTGTGTGCTTGTCCCTGTCAGGACACACTCTGTACCACTTGAGGGCTTTATATGGTATGCATGAGTTGCAATCTGCTCTGAGACTTTTGTGCTCCTATGGACCCATGATCTTATGTGGCCCTAAGTCTAGGTATGAGCGTCAACATCTCTCCAATTGGCTGGGTCCAGAGAGGAGAGTCCTCACCTGCCTATGAGCTGGGTTTAGAAATGAGTCACCATCTCAACTGTGGCCAGATGTTCACATATGATAGTCACAATTTCAACTATGTACTGCATCTGCGCGTGAGAATCATGAACTCATCAGTGGGTTCTGTCTGTGTGTGAGAGTGGTAATTCTAAAAATTGGCAGAGTGTGCTTACAAGAAACACAATCTAACCTGTTTGCTATGTCCTCATCACCCTCTGTACCATCCAAGAGCTTTATACAATATATGAGAGAGTAGTAATTATTTATAACCTTCATATAGAGAGGAGACCCAGGATTTTACCCCTTTTTCTAAGCCTAGCTGTGAGAGACAGTATCTCTTCAATTGGCTAGTACAAAGTCTTAGAGTCATCATCACACCTGTGATCTGGGCCAAGATATATGTTACCAACCAACCTGTTAGCAGAAAGCATCCAGGAGAATCACATCTCCTGGGTGCTGGACCAATGATATAAAAAATCCTTCCCTGAGGGCAGTGACCAGGCAGGAGAATCACATCACCTGGTTTCTCAACTAGTGATAGGTTACCATTTCTTCCTGAAAGTAATGCACATGGAGGAGACACACATCACCTGGTGGCTGGACCCTGCAATATGTCACAATCTTTCCTGTGGGCAGGTAGAAAAGGAGTCACATCTTTTATGTAATGGATGCAGATAAATGTCACAAAAACCCTTGCAGACAGGGCTGAGGCAGGAGCCTCCCATCTTTCAGGTGTTTGGCCCAGTTAAATGTCACAATACCCAAAAATGTGGTTCGCAGGCAGAAGAGAAGAGTCACATTGCCTAAGTGCTAGTTCCAGTGATATGTCTCAATCTTTCCCTTTGGCAGGGTCCAGGGTGAAGAGAGGATTCACACAGCCTAAGTGATGAAGGAAAATATATGTCCTAATATGCCCAGGAGCAGGGCCTATATGAGACAGTTGCATCAGCTGTATGTTGAACCCAGTGATATGTCAAAACATACAATTTATGCAGGGCCCAGGCAGAAGAGAGTGTCATAACCTAGGTGTCAGTCCCAGTGATACATCACATACATCACAATGCCTTACTTTTTGTTGTTGTTTTTTTTGTTTTGTTTTGGCGAAGTCTCACTCTGTCACCACGGCAACCTCCACCTCTTAGGTTCAGCGTCCAGGGATATGTCCCAATCCCTCTTTTTGTCAAGGCCCAGCCATAAGTAGAGAGTAGCATCACCTGGGTGATGAAAGAAAAGATATGTCATCATACCCCTGCAGGCAAAGCCCATGCAGGAGAGTCACATCACCTAGGTGTGGGGCCCAACGATATATTAAAATCTCTTCTTGGGTATATCCCAAGCAGTAGAGGAGAGTCACATCACCTAGGTTCTCAGTCCAGCAATATGTCACAAGGCCCCTTGAGGGGAAGGCCCAGGCAGGAGAGTCACATCACTTAGGTTAGGGGCCAAGAGATGTGTCACAATGTTCCCTGTAGGAAGGGCTCAAGAAGAAGAGGAGAGTAACATGACCTAGGGGCTTGGTCAAGTTATGTGTCACAATCATACCTGTGAGCAGGGTCTAGGCATGAGAGGAGAGTCACATCAAGTAAGTACTGGGCCACGTACATGATGTATCACAATAACCCATATAGACAGGTCCCAGGAAGATATCACCTAGGTGCTAGGTCCAGAAATGCATCACAATGTCTCTCATGGGCAAACACCAGGAAAAAAAGGGAAGGGGATAACATGAACAATCTGATGGGCCAAGAGATATGTCACAGTGCCCACTGTGGGCAGGGTCCAGCCAGGAGACGCACATCACCTTGGTGTTGGACCCAGGAATATGTCATAATGCCTTCTGAGGGCAGGCCCAAGGTGCCCAGCAACATGTTACAATCTCTTCTGCAGGCAGAACCTAGAAAGAAGAGTTGAGTCACACCAGCTAGGTACTGGGCTCAGCAATATGTCACATTAGTTTTTGTGAGAAGGAACTAGGCAGGAGAAGAAAGTCACATCACCTGGGTGATGAGCAAAGAGATATGTGACAATGACTCCTATAGGCAGAACCCAAACAAATTAGTTACATCACCTAGGTTTTGGACCCAGCAACATGTCACAATGGCCCATGTTGGCAGAGCACAGGCAAGAGAGTCACATAACTTGTAGGGGACAGCAGCGATATGTCACAATGCTCACTGTGGACAGTACCAAGGCAGAAAACAGAACTTCCATCATCTGGGTGCTAGGCCCAGTGATATGTCACAATGTCCCATGTGAAAGCACAGAAGCAAGAGAATACAGTCACATCACCTAGTTTCTGGTCCAGCGATATGTCACAATTTCATCTGTGGGCTAAATCCAGGCAGGAGAGTAAACTATACAGAGGCATATGGCACAATCACCCTTGCGTATACAGAGGCATATGGCACAATCGTGCTTGCAGGAAGGTCCACAGATGAGATCAACAATTCTGTACATATCCTGCTTCTGTGGGCACCAGGAAGACAGGAGAGGAGACTCACATTACCTGGGAGCAAGGCTCTGAGATATGTTACAATGTCCTTTTTGGGTAGCACCAAAGCAGGAGAATAGAGTTACGTCACCTAGGTGCTGGGTCCAGCAGTGTGGCACAATCCTATCTGTAGGCTGTGCTGGTGCTAAAGAGTCACATTACTCAGGTGCAAGGCAGAGGTGTATGTCAAAATCACACCTGCAGGAAGGACAGGGGATGAGATGAACAATACTGTACATATCCCGATTCTAGGTATGAGAGTCAACACCTCCTGTATGTTGGTTCTAAGTACACTAGTCACAGTCTCTGAAATGAACTGAATCAGTGCATGAGAAACTCAGTCCCTCTTACCACTGTGCCTCCTTAGTGGAATCACAGCCTCACAGGTGGGTCAAATTTTAGTCTGAAAGTCACCAACTTACCTTTGAACTGGATCCACATATGAGAGTAAATTTTCCACCTTGCAACTGCATCTGTGTGAGATTCAGAACCTCAACAGTAGGCTGTGTTCATGTGAGAAGATGACAACATTTACTGTCGGCTGGGTGTACATATGAGTGTCAAAATCTCAACTGTACTTTGGGCCCAGTTAGAACATGCTCTGTACCAGCCAAGTGTTTTATAAGGTATGCATAAGAGTCACAGTCCTTTGTGACTGGGAGACATTCGTGCTGGTTTGGACTCATGATTGTGCCTGTGGCTCTATGCCCAGTTATAAGAGTTAACTTCTCTGCAATGGCTCAGTCCAGATATAAGAGTTGTCCCCTGCCTATAAGCTTGGCTTACTAAGGAGTCACCACCTCTGCTGTTGCCTGATGTTCACATACGACAGTCACAATTTCAACTCTGCACTGCATCCACCTGTAAGATTTAAGACCTCACCAGTGGGCTCTGTCCATGGATGAGAGTGACAATCTTTTTTATTTTTATTTTTATTTTTATTTTTATTTTTGAGACAGAGTCTTGCTGCGTCACCCAGGCTGGAGTGCAGTGGCAAGACCTTGGCTCACTGCAAACTCCACCTCCCAGGTTCAGCCAATTCTCCTGCTTCAGCCTCCGGAGTAGCTGGGATTACAGGTGCTCACCACCACGCCCAGGTAATTTTTGTATTTTAGTAGAGACACGGTTTCACCATGTTGGCCAGGCTGGTCTTGAACTCGTGACCTCAAGTGATCCACCCACCTCGGCCTCCCAAAGTGATGGGATTACAGGCATGAGCCACCACCCCGGCCGACGGTCTTAACAATTGGCAAAGCGTGCATACAAAAAACACAATTGCACCTGTTTGCTGGGCCCTGTTATGACACTATATTACCCGAGGGTTTATACAATATGTGAGAGAGTGTAATTTTCTCTGACCATCCTAAAGAGGAGAGCCAGGATTTTATCCATTTTCCTAAGCCTAGCTATGAGAAACAGCATCTCTTCTATTGGCTAGTTTGAGGCATGAGAGTCAACATCGCACCTATGATCTAAACAAAGATATATGTCACAGTCTCACGTGTGGATAGGGCATGCACAGGAGAGTTACGTCATCTGGGTGCTGGGCCAGGGATATGTCACAATCTTCCCTGAGAACAGGAATCAGGCAGAAGTGTTATCACCTGGGTGGTTGGTCAGAGATACGTTACAATTTCCTCCTGAAAGCAGGGCACACTCAGTAGAGTCACATCATTTGGGTTCTAGGCCCAGTGATATGTCACAATGCTCCCTGTGAGCAAAGCTCAGGCAGGAGAAACACATCACCTGATTTCTGGGCCAAAAGATATGTCACAATCTCTCCTATGAGCAAAGCCTTGGTATAAAAAAAGAGTCACATCAAACAGTTGATGCTCCCAAAGATATGCCACAATGTTCTCTGTTATCAGGGTTCATACAAACAACCCATGTCACCTTGTTGCTGGGCCCAGCAATATGTCACAATGCCTTTTGAGGTCCAGGCCAAGACAAAACAGTAATGTCACATTGTTGTTAAGCTCCACAAGATGTCTTAATATCTCTCGCAAGCAGAACTTATGAAGAGTCACATTTGTTTGGCACTGGGACAAGTGAGATGTCAAAATTCCCCATGTGAGCAGGGACCAGGTAGGAAATGAGAGTCACATCATCTGGGTGACGGGTGAAGAGATATGTCATGATGTTCTAGAACCTAGGCAGTAGAATTACATTACCAGGTGTTGGACCCAGCAATATGTCACAATTGCTTATGTGGTCGGGGCACAGGCATGACAGTCATATAACCTGGGTGTAGGCCCAGAGATATGTCACAATGCCCCCTATGGGCAGTGCCAAGGCAGGAGAGGAGACTCACATCACCTAAGTGCAGGGCCCAGCGATATGTCACAATGTCCTCTGCAAGCAGCACCAATGCATAAGAATAGAGTCATATCTCAGATCTGGGTTCAGCAATATTCACTATCCCATCTGTGGGCTGGTCCCAGGGAAGAGAGTCAGATTACTCAGGTGCTGGGGAGAGGAAAATGTCACAGTTAAATCTGCAGGAAGGTCCAGGGATGATACTAGCAATCCCATACATGTCATGATTTTAGGTATAGGAGGTTAACCCCTTCTATATGTTGTGTCTAAGAACAGGAGTTATAATCTCAACGGTGGACTAAAATTGTGCCTGAGCGCCTCAACTCCTCCTGTGGACTTTGTCTAATTAGTGAAGTCACAGCCTCATAGGTGTGCTGAATCTTGCTCTGAGTGTCATCAACTCACCTGTGGACTGGATCCACATCTGAGAGTCAAGTTTCCGACCTTTGACTGCCTATGGGTGTGAGATTCAGAACCTCAAAAGTGAGCTGTGTTCCTTTTTTTTTTTTTTTTTTTGAGACGGAGTCTCGCTCTGTAGCCCAGGCTGGAGTGCAGTGGCACGATCTCGGCTCACTGCAACCTCCGCCACCCGGGTTCATGCCATTCTCCTGCCTCAGCCTCCCGAGCAGCTGGGACTACAGGCGTCCACCACCATGCCCAGCTAATTTTTTGTATTTTTAGTAGAGACGGGGTTTCACTGTGTTAGCCAGGATGGTCTCAATCTCCTGACCTCGTGATCCACCCACCTCGGCCTCCCAAAGTCCTGGGATTACAGGCGTGAGCCACCGCATCCGGCCAAAAGTGAGCTGTGTTCATTTGAGAAAATGATGATGTATACTGTTGGGAGGGTGTGCATACAACTATCACAATCTCCTGTGTTCTGGGCCTTGTTAATACCCTCTTTAAAATACCCCAAAGCTTTATACACTATGAATGAGAATGACAATTAACTCTGAGATCATGTTTGTAAACACCCATGACCATACCTGTGGCCCTAAGCCCAGATATGAGTGCCATCTCTCCTATTGGCTGGGTCCAGACAGTAGAGTCCTCATCTGCTTATGTTCTGGGTTTAGAAATGTGTCACCATTCCAACTGTAGCTGGAGGCTCACATATGACAGCCACAATTCCAAGTGTGGACTGTGTTTGCATGGGAAATTCAAGACCTCGGCAATGGGCTCTTTCCATGTGTGACGGTGATAATCCTAATGGTTGGTGAGGTGCACATATGAGAAACACAATTTCATCTGTTTGCCGTGCCCTGTGATGACACTTTCTGTAACACCTGAAGGCATTATATGATAGGTAGGTGGGTGGCAATCCTTTATAACCTTCATACAAAGAGGAGACCCAGAATGTCGTCCATTTTTCTAAGTCGAGCTATGACAGTATTTCTTCTAATAGCTCATTTGACGTATGAGAGTCATCATTGCACTTGTAAGCTGACTACAGTATATGTCACAATTTTACCTGTAGGTAGGGAGCTAGCAGGAGAGTCACATCACCTGGATTTCAGCCAAGGTATCTCACAATCTTCCCTGAGGGAGGGAGCCAAGCAGGAGTGTCACATCACCTGGGTGCTCAGCCAGGGATATGTTACAATTCTCTCCTGAAAGCACAGCACAGGCAACAGACTCACATCACCTGGGTGCTGAGCTCAGCACTATGTTACAATGCTCCCTGGGGACAAGACAGAGGCAGAAGAGCCACATCACCTGGTGTCTGCTTCCAGGGATATGTCACAATCTTTCCTGTGCAGGCCAGGGTACCGGCAAATATGAAATGTCACACATTCTAGGTCATGGATGCAGATATATGTCACAAGGTCCCTGTGGGCAGAGCCCAGGCAGGAGCATGCAATCTCATAGGTTTTGGACCTAGTAACGTTTTACAATATCCAAAATATGCGAAGCCCAGGCAAAACAAGAGAGTCACATCACCTAGGTGCTGGGTTCAGTGATTTGCCACAATTCCCCCTTTTGGCAGGGTCTAGTCAAAAGAGGAGAATTATATCACCTGGGTGATGAATGAAAAGATATGTTATAACATCTCTGTAAGCAGGGCCCATGCAGGAGATTCACATCACCAAGGTGTTAGAAACAATCACATGTCACAATACGCAATGTACAGGAGGAACCAGGCAGGAGAGGAGAGTCACATCCCCTAGGTGTTGGACCCAGCAATATATTACAATCCCTTCTTGGGAAAAGCCCAGGAAGTAGAGGAAAGTCACATTACCTGGGTACTAGGCCCAGTGATATGTCTCAATGTCCTCTGTGAAAAGCACTAAGGCAAGAGAAGACTCACATCACCTAAATGCTGGGTCCAGCAATGTGGCACAATCCCATCTGTACACTGGGCCCAGGCAGAAGAGTCAAATCACTCAGGTGCTGGGCAGAGGTGTATGTCACAATCACATCTGCATGAAGGTCAAGGTATGAGATTAACAATTTAACACATTTTCTAGATCTAGGTATGACATATAACACCTCCTGGATGTTGGGTCTAAGAACATGAGTCACAATCTCAATGATGGTCTGGATCTGTGTGAGAACCTCAATCCCTCCTGCAAACTGTGTCCCCTTAGTGGAGTCACAGACTCACAGGTGTGCTGGATCCTGGTCTGAGAGACACCTCCCTTATGAAAGATAGTTACACATGTGATTTGATTTTTCAAGTATGTCTGCCTCTGGGTGAGATTCAGAATCTCAACAGTGAGCTGTGTTTATGTGGAAGGATGACAGTCTTTACTCTTGGCAGGCTATGCATATGAGTGTCACAACCTCCCCTGTGTGCTGAGTTCTGTTAGGACATTCTTTGTACCTCTTGACAACTTTACACAGTATGTGAGAGAGTGTTAATTCTTTATGATCTTCATACAAAGAGGAGACCCAAGACATTACTCATTTTCCTAATCCTGGCTATGAGAGACAGTATGTCTGCTATTGGTTACTTTGAGGTATGAGAGTCATCATTGCACCTGTAAGCTGGGCCAAGATATGCATCACAATCCCACCAGTGAAGAGGGACTGAGCAGTAGAGTCACATCACCTGGGTTTGGGGGCAGTGATATGTCACAAACTTCTCTGAGGGCAGAGACCAGGCAGCAGTGTCACATCATCTGGGTGCTGGGCCCAGTGATATGTTAAAATGTTCTTTGTGGTCAAGGCCCAAGCAGGAAAAACACATCACCTGATTGCTGAGACCAATGATTTGTCACAGCCCTCCCAGTGGTCAGGGTGCAGGCAGAAGAGGGGAGTTAAATCTCCTAGATTACGGATGCAGAGATATGTCACAAGGTCCCCTATGTGCTGGGCCCAGGCAGGAGCGTTCCATCCCATGGCTGTTGAACTCAGTGAAATGTCACTATACCCAAAAGGTGCCAGGAACAGGGAAAATAAAAGGGTCACATCACCTAGGTGATGAAAAAGATATGTCGTAATACTGTGGGCAGTTCCCATGTCATAAAGTCACATCACCTTGGTGTTGAATCCAGGCATATGTCACAATACACAAAGCATGCAGGCCTTAAGCAGAAGAGGAGAGTCACATCACCTAGGCGGTGGGCCCAGCAATACATCACAATTCCTGCTTGGACAAAGCCCAATCCATAGAGGAGAGTCACATCACCTATGTACTGGGCTCAGCAATATGTCACACTGTCCTTTGTGGGGAGGGCCCATGCAAGAGAGTCACATCACCTAAATGATGGGCTCAAAAATATGTCAAAATGCCCTCTGTGGGTAGGGCTCAGAAAAAAAAGAAAATCGCATAACCCAGGGGCTGGGTCCAGCTATATGTAATAAACACCCTAGTCGGCAGGGCCCATGCATGAGAGAAGAGTCACATCACCTAGGTGCTGGGTTCAGTGCACCATACTGAGACCTTGTCTCTACTAAAGTAACAATACTTTTTTGGCATGGCCCAGGCAGAAGAGGAGTGTCACATCACCTAGGTGATTAATAGAAAAATATTTTATAATACCTCTATGGGCAGGGCCCATGCAGGAGAGTTGTGTTATCCAGGTGTTGAAGCCAGTGACATGTCTCAATACACAACGTATGTAGGTCCCAGGCTGGAGAGGAGAGTCACCTCATCTAGGTTCTTGACAGAGTGATATGACACAATCCCTTTTTGGGTAGAGACCAAACAGTAGAGAATAGTCACATCACCTAGATGCTGGGCTCATCAATATGTTACAATACCCCGAGAAGAGGGTCCAAACAAAAGAGTTATATCATCTAATTGAGGGTCTCAGAGATATGACACAATGCCCCCTGTGGGTAGGGCTCAGGAAGAAGTGTGCAGTCACATAACCTTGAGGCTGGGCCCAGCTACATGTCAAAATCACCCCAGTGGGCAAGGCCCAGGCATAAGGACAGAGTCACTTCATGTAAGTTCTGGGCCAAGCAATATGTCACATTCCCCACTGTGGACAGGTCCCAGGAAAAAGAGAGTCATATAATCTCAGTGATCAGCCAAGATATATGTTACAGTGACTTCTGTGAGCCGGAATAAGAGTCATATTACCTGTGTGCTGAACTCATCAATAAGTCACTCTCTCTTCGGTGGGCAAGCCCCAGGCAGGAGAGGGGAGACATCACCTCGGTGCTGGGCCCAAAGTTATGTCACAATCTCTTTTTGGGCAACATCTAAGAGAGGAGAGACACATAATATAGTCAAAGGGCCCAGAGATATGTCACAATGCACCTTGTAGGCAGGGTCCAGGCAGGAGACTCACATCACATTGGTGCTGGGCCCAGCAATATACCACCATGCCTTCTGAGGGCAGTGCCAAGGCAAAAGAGTAATGTCACCTGGCCGGGTGCGGTGGCTCACACCTGTAAACCCAGCGCTTTGGTAGGCTGAGAGGGGCTGGATCACCTAAGTTCGGGTGTTCGAGACCAGCCTGACCAACATGCAGAAACGTCATCTTTACTAAAAATACAAAAACAAACAAACCAACAAACCAACACAATATCACCTTAGTATTAGGCTCACTGACATGTCACAATATCCCCTGCAAGCAGAACCTAGGACAAGGAGGAGAGACATGTTAGCTAGGTGTGCACCCAGTGATATGTCACAATCTCTTCTGTGATCGGGGCCAGGCAGGAGAGAGAGCCGCATTACCTGTGTGATGGGTGCAGGTATATGACACAATGTCCTCTGTAGGCAGGGCCTAGGCAGTAGAGTTATATCACCTGGGTGTTGGACCCAGCAATATGTCACAATGACCCACATGCACAGGGCACAGGCAGGAGAGTCACATAACGTATGTGTGGGACCCAGCGATATGACACAATGCCCCCCGTGGAAGAACCAAGGCAGGAGAGAAGATTCACACCACCTGGGTACAAGACCCAGTGATGTCACAATGTCCCCTGTGTGCAGTGCCAAGGCAGTAGAATAATCACATCACCTCAGTGTTGGGTCCAGTGATATGTCACAATCTCTTCTGTGGGCTGGGCCAGGGCTGGAGCACCAACTCACTCTGGTGCTGGGTAAAGTCATATGTCATAATCACACTGTCAGGAATGTTCAGCGGTGAGATTATGCATCTGGAGTGGGAAGAAGCAACACATCAAAAATATGACCAGACCATCCACGGCGGCTCATGCCTGTAATCCCAGCACATTGGGAGGCTAAGGTGGGAGGATACGTGGAGCCCAGGAGTTCAAGACTACCCTGGGGGCTATATGGCGAGACATCTTTATTAAAAAATGATAATTAAAGTTTAAAAAGTAATATATATAACCACAGCCTGGACAACATACTGAGACCATGTCTCTACTAAAAAAAATAGATAGATAGATAGATAGATAGATAGATGATAGATAGATAGGTAGATAGATAGAGCCAGGCACGGTGGCTCACGCCTGTAATTCCAGCACTTTGGGGGCCAAGGCCTCACTCAAAAAGAAAAAAAAAAGAAGAAAAAAGAAATCTAAAACAACAGCAACTTCAGTGTGCAGGAAGGAGCAAGAGAAAGACAAAAGAAACAGAAAAAGAAAGAAATAAATAAAAATAAAACAGCGGCCAGGCGCGGTGGCTCACGCCTGTAATCTCAGCACTTCGGGAGGCCAACGCGGGCTGATCACCTGAGGTCGGGAGTTCGACACCAGCCTGACCAACATGGAGAAACCTCGTCTCTGCTAAAAATACAAAATTAGCCAAGTGTGGTGGCACATGCCTGTAATCCCAGCTACTCGGGAGGCTGAGGCCCGAGAACCGCTTGAACCCAAAAGGCGGAGGTTGCAGTGAGCCGAGATCGCGACTTTGCACTCCAGCCTGGGTAACAAGAGCAAAACTCCGTCTCAACAAGCAAACAAACAAAAAACAGCAACTCAATGTACTGTGGAAACAAACTTGAAGTGGGGCTAGGAAAACAAAAAAAAGAAAACAAAAACAGAAAGATCCCCTGAGCCTCAGCTACTCGGAGGCCGAAAAGAAAGGATTGCCTGGGTGAGCCCGGGAAGGTGGAGGTCGCAGTGAGCAGTAATCGCACCCTCTACTGGATCTTAGCGGTTCTGCAGCCGAGGAGAGCCATCTGGTCCGTCTTAAATATTTCAAGCTGGTGGCCAAGTCCTACACTCTTGGCCGACATCTGGTGGACCCGGCGGCCGGACTGAGAAGCCAGCAGGTAGAGGCCCAGCGGATCCACCCTACAGGCCAAGGGTGGCGCTCGCGGCCTGAAGCTGTTTTTCTGGCATCTAAGTCGCCAACCTTCCTTCCCACCGCGCCCCCAACCCCCATCTGCTGATCGATGTGGGCGGTGGAAAGAGGAGCAAGGGCTCAAGCGCAGGGACTGCCCCCCCGGTGACCATCCCACCCGCGGGGTGGGAGAGGGCAGGGACCCAGACTGCCACCCCCGGGCCCTCACAGCCATACCTGGGATGGGGCCTGCCGGGCCACACCCCCGGACACCTGCAACTGAACCATCCATACCATGCTTCCCCAGCCCTATCCCAGCCGGTGGATCGAGCTGCCACCACCCCCACTCCCAGGAATGAGGGGAGGAGCCAGGAACCAGAGGGGTGGGAGGCCAAGCAGGGGAGCCCCCCAACCCAAGGCACCCACCACGCAGCACGCCGTCCCTTTCGGCGCTCGGAAAGCCCTCGGGCGAACCCCTCCCGAGCCCACCCCTCCCGGGACCTCAGAAGATGGCTCAGGACGGCCCCTGACTCTCCATGGGGACTTGGGAATAAACTCGGCAGGCGCCTCAGACAGTCGGGACCAGCGTGGGCGTCCCTGGCCCCCTGCGTCAGGCCTGGTGGGTCCTGCGGGTCGGGCCTCGGCAGTTGCAGTGCGCTTGGGATCAGCCGGGGCAGCCCCACACTCGGCTCGGGCTGGGAGCGCGGGGACAGCCTCCCAAGCCACAGCCCTGCGCGCCCGACCTCCGACTCACAAGGGACGCGCCAGAGCTCTGGTCCCATTGAGACAGTTCAGCTGAAGGCTGCGGGCCTTCCCGAGCTCCGCCCAGCTCACAGCGGGGACGGTCCCTCCCTCGGCAGCTGCCGCTGGAGCTCCGGAGGACAAGAGAACTTAGAGAGGTGGCCTCAGTGGAGCCCGACAACCAGCGCGAACGTCAACAAGACAGATCGAGATGGCAAGGGCAGCTCGTGGGCGAAATGGATCCACCCGACCCCAGAAATGATCCCCGATACGTGGCTCTGCATAGACCACGACAGAGTCCAGTCAAAGACAACCCGTGGGTGTGGGTGTTTGCAGATGCTTGGAGATGCATCTCAGCGGGAGAAAGAATGACCAGGACTCGGTAGTGGGTGGTTTAGGACACAGGGAGATACAGAATGAGGAGACTGTCCCAGAATCCACACAAAGACGGACAGACGACGAACGGAAGGAAGGAAATAAAACAGAAAAAAAAAAAAGAAAGAGAAGAGAGAGAAAAAAAATGAAGAAAGAGAAAGAAATATCAAAAGAAAAATAGAGAAAATAATGAAAAGAAAAAGGGAAGATGAAAAAGGAAGGAAAAAGGTGGAGAGACACAAAAAGAAAAAGGAAGAAATGAAGGAAAAAAGGAAAGAAGAAAGAGAGAGGGGAAAAAAAGAATACAAAGAAAAAAGAAGAAAATAAAAGAGGGCAGAGCATGGTGGCTCATGCCTGTAATTCCAACACTTTGGGAGGCTGAGGTGGGAGAATCACTTGAGCCTAGGAGGTTGAGACCAGCCCTGACAACATAGTGAGGCCCTGCCTCTACTAAAAGTTAGCCAGGCATGATGCCACATTCCTGTAGTAGGAAGGAAGGAAGGCAGGAGAGGAGGAAAAAAAGGGAGGAAGGTAGGAATGTTGAGAGAAAGGCAGGAAGGAAGACAGGAGGGAATGAAGGAAGTTAGGGACCAGGTTCTACAAGGAGGAAATGTTAAAAAGAAACAGAGAAAAAGAAAGGAAGAGAGAAACACAGGAAGAAAAAGGGAAGGACAGTAAGAAAGAGACAGAAAGGGAGAAATTATGAAAATAGAAAGAAAAGAAAAAAAGTAGAAAGATGAAAATACATCTCTAAAAGAATAATAGGCGGGGCATCGTGGCTCATGCCTGTAATCCTAGCACTTTGGGAAGTCCAGGTGGGTGGCTCATGAAGTCAAGAGATCAGGACCATCCTGGCCAACATGGTGAAACCTCATCTCTACTAAAAATGCAAAAATTTGCTGGGCATCGTGGTGCGTGCCTGCAGTCCCAGCTACTTGGGAGGCTGAGGCAGGAGAATCACACATACACACAAAACCTGCTGCCTCAGGCTTTAAACACACACGTTTTCTGTAATCCAGGCTCATTTGATTGTGAGGGCTGTTGTCAGAAATGTTACTAAGAGAGGAATATGCATAAATTAGATCACATTTAAGGTTATGCTTATAATGCCACTTGAGTGGGAAGCAAGAGAGTGGAGTTACAGGCACCCAGCTGGGGTTTACCCACACCAGGTTGGTTCTTTCTCTTTTTTTTTTTTTTTGAGACAGAGTATCACTCTGTCACTCAGGCTGGAGTGCAGAGGCATGATTTCAGCTCATTGCAACCTCCGCCTCCTGGGTTAGAGCAGTTCTTGTGCCTCAGCCTCCGGAGTAGCCGGAATTAAAGGCACGTGCTACTATGTCCGGTTAATATTTGTATTTTTAGTAGAGACAGGGTTTCATCATATTGACCAGCCTTGCCTTGAACTCCTGACTTCAAGTGATCTGACCGCCTTGGCCTCCCAAAGTGCTGGCATTACAGGTATGAGCCACCGTACCCGGCCAACCAATGCCAGTTTCTAGGCTCATGAGAGTGTGGCACAGGTAAACATCACCTGTCATTGGTGACAGAAGAAAAAAGGCTGGAGGGAAGACCAGGTGGGGGAGAGGTGGTAGGCTGTGGGGCTAGACCCTGGGCATGCTGGACCTGTTAGGTCACTGAACATCTATCTGGCTGGCCACCTGCCCCTTCACGTCAGTTGAGGAAAGGGGATTGGGCAGCATTCTCCATAAGTCCCACTGTGCTGTGAGGATGGAGGAGTGTCTACAAATTGCCATCTTAGGGTAGGTTTTAGTGTGAGCTGGACTCTCTTGGAGAGCCAATGAGATGGGAGGAAGACAGTCCCCCAGGTAAACCTTAGGGACAGAGCCTGTGAAGTAAGAGGGGGTGTGTGGAGGTGGCCTGTCCCTATGAGAAGGGGAGTTTAAAACTATTACAGGCTGGGCACTGTGGCTCACGCCTGTAATCCCAGTACTTTGGGAGACAGAGACGGGTGGATCACTTGAGGTCAGGAGTTCGACACCAGCCTGGCCATGACAGCGAAACCCCAGCTCTACTAAAAATACAAAAATTAGCCAGGCGCTGTGGCACGCGCCTATAGTCCCAGCTACTTGGGAGGCTGAGGCAGGAGAATCCCTTGAACCTGGGAGAGGGAAGTTGCAGTGAGCTGCAATGGCGCCACTGCAGTCCAGCCTGAGCGACAGAGTCTCGCTCTGTCAAAAAAAAAGAAAAAAAAAGAAAGAAAGAAAGAAAAGAAAAAGACATTTGAATTCTAGTATCTGTCAGTTCCTCTGAGCCAACTGGAAAATAGATGCCTTTCACCTTGAAGTTTGTTTTTGCTTGTTTGTTTTTTTGAGACAGAGTCTCGCTCTGTTACTATACTGGAGGGCAGTGGCCTGATCTCAGCTCACTGCAACCTCTGCCTCCTTCAAGCGATTCTCCTGCATCAGCATCAGCCTCCCTAGTAGCTGGGACTACATGCGCACGCCACCACACCCGGCTAATTTTTGTAATTTTAGTAGAGATGGGGTTTCACCATGTTGGCCAGTATGGTCTCTATTTCTAGACCTCAAGACCCGCCCGCCACAGCCTCCCAAAGTGCTGGAATTACAGGCGTGAGCCACCAGGCCTGGCCACCTTGAAGTTTTAAGTGACAACCAAGGATAGCCACCAGTGTCTTGGTTATGGAAGCCTCCTACGTGCTTCCCGCCCCCAGTTTGATTTGCAGGCTCCTGGTTGTGTTGCAGTAAACACGCTTTCCTCTGGCCTTGTCCAATGAATACGGTTCACACAGCTAACAGTACTTCTTGAGAGGGGTTACCATGTAAAGCTGAGAATAAACTGGGTTTAGGTAACGTTGTGCCTCCTTATCACCTGAGAGGCCATTGTTCCTGGTTCATTCTGTAAGTGTATTAGTGCTGTCAGACATCTTTGGACAATTCAAATGAAAAGGGGCTGTGGTTTTATAAAGGAAACAAATGCTTTAGATGTGAAATCCTTCTTTTATTCTCCACTTCTCTTACGTGAAAATTTTTGTTTTATTTATTTATTTTTGAGACAGTGTCTCCCTCTGTCATCCAGGCTGGAGTGCAATGGTGCGATCTTGGCTCACTGCAACTTCTGCCTCCCGGGTTCAAGCGATTCTCCTGCCTCAGCCTCCCGAGCAGTTGGGATTACAGGAGCCCACCACCACGCCCGGCTAGTTTTTGTATTTTTACTAGAGACGGGGTTTCGCCATGTTGGTCAGGAGGGTGTCGAACTCCTGACCTCAGGTGATCCGCCCGCCTCTGCCTCTCAAAGTGCTGGGATCACAGGCGTGAGCCACCGCCCCCCGACGCCTCAGCTCATTTGTTAATTAGCAGTAATTGCCCGGGTCAGTGACACCTCCTACTTGAGCCTCTTTCCCTGTCCATAAAATGCACTAATACTGGGGTGGGTGGGATTGGGAGGTGGGTCCTGGAGCTCCATCCAATCAGTGGCACTGGTGTAGGAACCGCCCGATCAGGCGCGCAGTTGGAGAGGAGGGCGTGGCTTCCGGCATTTGGCGGGGTCTTTGTCTCTCGCTCCCGCCAGAGCTTGGGATCGGTCTTCACTGTTCCGCGTCCTCTACCTGGGAACCACCGACCCCCGCCCGGCGACTTTGTCACAGACTCTGTTGCCCTGTGATCTGCAGGTCCTGGGAGACGCACAGCCAAGATGCCAGGGCACCCTGGAAGCTGTGAAGTGGTGCGTATGCGGGGTTGGGCATCCCTTGAGGCGAGAGCGGGCTGTGAAACCTGCAGGACCGGCCTCCCCACAGTCCGCTCCCGGGTCCGCCGACCTCAGTCCTCTCTGGCGCAGCTCGGCCCCAGGCGTCTCTGGCCGCAAGATGGCGGCTGGGCCCGCGGCCGGGACCCCCAGCGTCTCGCCGCGTCCCTGCTGGGCGCCCTGTCTGGACCTCCCTGGGCAGCTCTGCGCCCGCAGCCCCGAGTATTTCCCAGAGTGCTTAGGGATGCCAGGCGGGTCATCAGGGTAGAATCCCGACTAGGTGTGTGCGTGGGAGGAGCTGCGACCCGTGGGGTTCCCAAGCTTTCCTGTTATTTTTTTTTTCTTTTCTTTTTAGACAGTCTCGCTCTGTCGCTAAGGTAAAGTGCAGTGGTGTGACCTCGGTTTCTGTAAGCTCCGTCTCCCAGGGTCAAGCCTCCCAAAGTGCCGGGATTACAGGGTTGAGCCACCGCGCCTGGCCTAATATATTAATTTATAAGAAATGCATTCGAGTTGGGTTTTAGATTTTTTAAATTTATGAACACAGGGGACTAGAGCCACTTTAGTCTAATTTCCTGCTGTTTAATTATTTTAACACTCCACAGAGGACTCGTTTTCCTCTGTGCCTTCCTAATGTGTGGCAAGCAGGGCTCTAATCCACTTTTTTCCCTTAGCCTAACTCAGGCTTGCAGTAAAATTATAAATTTCCACTTTTGTTCCTACATTCTCAAATGTGGGATATGAGACCAACTTCCCCTGTCCAGTTTACGACACTATCAACTATTTGTCCTTTATTGTACATTAGAGACACGGTATTTTAATTGTTAATCATGATTTTACACAGCAGTGGATGGTGGCAGGTTTTTAAAGATTTGTTTTCTGTCTATAAACATTTCACATGAGAAAAATGTAGAAAATAATCCTCTGTCACTCCACTGTAAAAAATAAAAATAAAAATTATCTCTGCCTCTCCCACTTTTATCTTCCCTAGGTACACACACCTTATTAGTACGTCTTCGGGTTGAAGTTTTGCTTTGGAGAAATTACAGGGCCCTTTACAGCAGCCCTCTGGTCTTTTCTTGGTCATGAGTTTCAGAACTGTCTTAACCAACCCAGGATGCCCGTAGTGACCATATCTCTTGGAGTGTCTAATGAATATCATCCCCTGGGTCATTTCTTAGAGGGCAGCCTGAGGAATGGGAGTATAGCCTCTCAGAGGAGCAACTGGGTGGTCTGGGCCTGAGGACAGTCTCCTGGTATACCATTTGTCTAAAAAGCTACCTCTTAGAACATTAAGATTTTTTTGGTCAAAGGAATGCTTAGGCACCACTGGTGGGAGTTTAAATCAGTTCACCTATTGTCGACAGTGTGGCCATTCCTCAGAGACCTAGAGAAAGCAATACCATTCAACCTAGCAATCCAGTTATTGGGTATATACCCAAAATAATATAAATCATTCTACTATAAAGACACGTGCATGTGTATATTCATTGCAGCACAATTCACAATAGCAAAGACATGGAGTCAAGCTGAATGCCTATCAATGATAGACTCAATAAAGAAAATGTGGTACATATACACCATGGGATATTGTGCAGCTATAAAAAAAATGAGATCATGTCTTTCGGAGGAATGTGGATGGAGCTGTAGGCTGTTATCCTTAGCAAAGTAACACAGGAACAGAAAACTAAATACCACATATTCTCACTTTAAAGTGAAAGTTGAATGATGGGAACACATGGACACAGAGGGGAACAATCCATACTGGGGTCTATTGGAAGGAGGAGGGAGAGGAACAAAAAAAGTAATTAATGGGTACTAGGTTTCATACCTGGGTGATGAAATAATCTTCACAACAAACCCCCATAACACACCTATGTAAAAAATGTGCATAGGTAAAAATGTGTCTCAAACTCCTGACCTCAGGTGATCTGCCCGCCTTGGCCTCCCAATGTGCTGGGATTACAGGTGTAGGTTTTTTAAAAATTTAGGTAGCTTTTCCCATAATTCCCTAAGAGCTTTTTTTTTTTTTTTTTTTTTTTTTTTTTTTGAGATGGCGTTTCACTCTGTCACCCAGGCTGGAGTGCAGTAGCAGTGTCTTGGCTCACTGCAACCTCCAACTCCTGGGTTAAAGCAATCCTCCTGCCTTAGCCTCCCGAGTAGCTGGGATTATAGGCATGTGCCAGCCAACACACCCGGCTAATTTTTGTATTTTTAGTAGAGATAGGGCTTCATCATGTTGGCCAGGCTGGTCTTGAACTCCTGATGTCAAGTGATCTGACCGCCTCAGCCTCCCAAAGTGCTGGGGTTACAGGCGTGAGGCACCACGCCCAGTCTGTGTGGGGAAAAGAGAGATCAGACTGTTACTGTGTCTGTGTAGAAAGAAGTAGGCATAAGAGACTCCATTTTGCTCTGTACTAAGAAAAATTCTTCTGCCTTGAGATGCTATTAATCTGTAACCCTACCCCCAACCCTGTGCTCACAGAGACAAGTGCTGTGTTAACTCAAGGTTTAATGGATTTAGGGCTATGCAGGATGTGCTTTGTTAAACAAGTGCTTAAAGGCAGTATGCTTGTTAAAGTCATCACCAGTCTCTAATCTCAAGTACCCAGGGACACAATACACTGCTGAAGGCCGCAGGGACCTCTGCCTAGGAAAGCCAGGTATTGTCCAAGGTTTTTCCCCATGTGATAGTCTGAGATATGGCCTCATGGGAAGGGAAAGACCTGACCGTCCCCCAGCCTGACATGGGTAAAGGGTCTGTCCTGAGGAGGATTAGTAAAAGAGGAAGACCTCTTTGCAGTTGAGATAAGAGGAAGGCATCTGTCTCCAGGCATGTGTCTTTATAGTAGAATATAGTAGAATGATTTATATTATTCCCGGAGAGTGATTTATATTATTCCCTGGGCAATGGAATGTCTCGGTGTAAAACCCGATTGTATGTTCCATATACTGAGATAGGAGAAAACTGCCTTAAGGCTGCAGGTGAGACATGCTGGCGGCACTACTCTTTAATGCACCAGAGATGTTTATGTATGTGCACATCAAAGTACAGCACCTTTTCTAACCTTGTTTATGACACAGAGATATTTGTTCACGTGTTTTCCTGCTGACCCTCTCCCCACTATTACCCTATTGTCCTGGAACATCCCCCTCTCTTGAGATGGTAGAGATAATGATCAATAAATACTGAGGGAACTCAGAGACCGGTGCTGGCACGGGTCCTCCACATGCTGAGCGCCGCCCCTGGGCCCACTTTTCTTTCTCTATACTTTGTCTCTGTGTCTCTTTCTTTTCTCAGTCTCTCGTCCCACCCGACGAGAAACACCCACAGGTGTGGAGGGGCAGGCCACCCCTTCAGTCTGAAGAATAATTTTCCACTCTGTGCAATTTAAGACAATTATCTTTTTTTTTTTTGAAATGGAGTTTTGCTCTTGTGCCCAGACTGGAGTGCAGTGGCACAATCTCGGCTCACTGCAACGTCCATCTCCTGGGTTCAAGCGATTCTCCTGCCTCAGCCTCCTGAGTAGCTGGGATTACAGGCATGTGCCATCATGCCTGGCTAATTTCTGTATTTTTAGTAGAGATGGGGATTTCACCACGTTGGCCAGGCTGATCTCGAACTCCTGACCTCAGGTGATCTGCCCTCCTCAGCCTCCCAAAGTGCTGGGATTACAGGCGTGAGCCACTGTACCCGGCCCTATCTATGTATTTTTAATCAATGTTGTCCCTGCTTTGTTTATGACACAATTTTTTCTAGGTTTTCAATAAGGCAGAGTTTTGCTCTTGTTGCCCAGGGTAGAGCGCAGCGGTGCGACCTTGGCTCACTGCAACCTCTGCCTCCCAGGTTCAAGTGATTCTCCTGCCTCAGCCCCCTCAGTAGCTAGGATTACAGGCATGCGCCACCACGCCCAGCTTATTTTGTATTTTTAGTGAAGATGAGGGTTTCTCCACGTTGGTCAGGCTGGTCTCCAACTCCCGACCTCAGGTGATCCGCCCGCCTTGGCCTCCCAGAGTGCTGGAATTACAGCCATAGCCACCGCGCCCGGCCTATTGCTTTATTTTGTCTTGGTGAGTAGTCAAGGAAATAATCTTAAATTCACAATCTACTTATAGTTTGAATATATATAATTTTGTGAGAAGAACACTTGTTATTTGAAGGTAATTTTTAAAAAATTTTGTAACTTTTTAGGTATTCTTAAATTTTAAATTGTGGTTAAAAACATGCAATAGTCATTTCAGACATTATTAGGTGTACAGTTTAGAAGTATTAAGTGCAGTCCTGTTGTTTTCCAGGAGGTTAGAGATGATTTTTGTCTTACAAAAGTAAAAGCAAATACTCACTAAACAACAAATTGTCCTTTCCACCTCTCTCTAGCTCCTGAAGAACCCCATTTTACTTTCTTTTTTCATGACTTTGACTAAGTATTCTATGTAAGTGTGATTATACAGTGTCTCTTTTTTTGACTATTTTATTTTACTTGACATAGTATCGTAAAGATTTATCATTATTGTAGTATTTGTCAAGATGTCCCTATTTTATTTATTTATTTATTTGGAGTCGAACTCTTGCTGTATCTCCCAGGCTGGAGTGCAGTGGCGCCATCTTGGCTAACTGCAACCTCTGCTTCCTGGGTTCAAGCAATTCTCCTGCCTCAGCCTCCTGAGTAGCTGGGATTACAGGCACGCGCCACCATGCCCAGCTAATTTTTGTATTTTTAGTAGAGACAGAGTTTCACCATGTTGGTCAGGCTGAGATGACCCTATTTCAAAAGACTGAATAATATCCTGTTGTATATATGTGCCGCATTCGTTTAATCTACTCATTTGTAAAGGGACATTTGCTTCCAGGTATTATCTTTTGTGAGTCATACTGCAATGTACATGAATGTACAAATATCTGTTCCATGTTTTGCCTTGACTATGGGATATTTTGAATCCACTGATTTAGTGTCATGTATATACTCTTATTTTTTTTTTTTTATTTTGAGACAGAGTCTCACTCTGCCACCCAGGCTGGAGTGCAGTGGCGTGATCTCGGCTCACTGCAACCTTTGCCTCCCGACTTCAAGTGATTCTCTACCTCAGCCTTCTGAGTAGCTGGGATTATAGGTGCGCACCACCATGCCTGGCTAAGTTTTTTATTTTTAGTAGAGACGGGGTTTCAGCATGTTGCCCAGGCTGGTCTCAAATTCCTGGCCTCAAGTGATCCACCTGCCTCGGCCTCCCAAAGTGCTGGGATTACAGACGTGAACCACTGTGCCTGGCTATGCTCTTACTTTTATTGCCTGATCTCTTGATGTTGTGTTCCCCAAATCATTGCCAAACCCATTGTCATGAAGCTTCCCCCTTCTGTATTGTTCTAGGAGTTTTACAGTTATAGATTTTATGTTAAAGCCTTAGTTCATTTCTTTTTTTCTGTTTTGTTTCTTTTTTCTTTTCTTTTTTTTTTTTTTTTGAGATGGAGTCTTGCTCTGTCGCCCAGGCTAGAGTGCAGTGGCACAATCTCGGTTTACTGCAATCTCTGCCTCCCAGGTTCTAGCGATTCTCCTGCCTCTGCCTCCCAAGTAGCTGGGATTACAGGTGCACGCCACCACTCCTGGCTAAGTTTTGAATTTTTCGTAGATACAGTGTTTCGCCATGTTGGCCAGACTGCTCTCGAACTCCCGACCTCAGGTGATCCAGCCGCCTCTGCCTCCCAAAGTGCTGGGATTACAGGCGTGAGCCACCATACTAGACCTCTTTTTTTCTTTTTTTTTTTGAGGGTCTCACTTTGTTGCAGAGGCTGGAGGGCAGTAGTGTGATCTCGGCTTGCTGCAAACTCTGCCTCCTGGGTTCAAGTGATTCTCGTGCCTGAACCTCCTGAGCAGCTTGGATTACAGGCATTTGCCACCACTCCCAGCTAATTTTTGTTTTTTGTTTTTCTTTTTTTGAGATGTAGTCTCTCTCAGTCGCCCAGGCTGGAGTGCAATGGTGCTATCTTAGCTTACTGCAACCTCCGCCTCCCGGGTTCAAGCGATTCTCCTGCCTCAGCCTTCTGAGTAGCTGGGATTACAGGCGTGAGCCACCACGCCCACCTGATCTTTGTAGTTTTAGTAGAGATGGGGTTTCACCATGTTGGCCAGGCTGGTCTCAAATTCCTGACCCCAGGTGATCCACCCGCCTCGGCTTCTCAAAGTGCTGGGACTACAGGTGTGAGCCACTGCACCTGGCTAATTTTTGTATTTTCAGTGGAGATGGGATTTTGCCATGTTGGCCAGACTGGACTTGAATTTCTGGGTTCAAGTGATTCACCCACCTCGGCCTCCCAAAGTGCTGGGATTTCAGTCTTGAGCCAACACACCCAGCCTTATCTTTTATTTATTTGTTTATAGACAGACTCTTGTTCTGTCACCCAGACTGGAGTGCAGTGGAGCAATGATAGCTCACTGTAACCCCAAACTCGCAGACTATCTTTCCACCTCAGCTTCCCTAGTAGCTGGGGCTACAAAAATATGCCACCATGCCATGTCTATTTATTTTTTGTAGAGATGAGGTCTCATGTTGTTCAGGCTGGTCTTGAACTTCTGACTTCAAGTAATTCTCTTGTCTCAGTCTTTCACACTGTAGGAATTACAGTCATGTGCCACCACACCTGGACTTTGCTAACTATTTTGTAATATGCAACACTTTTTTATTCATCATTGTCATCCTACTGTGTAATAGAAAACCAGAACTTACTCTTCTTCTTTAATTGTAACTTAATATTTGTTAAGTAACCTCTTCCCATCCTCCCACTTTAGTCTCTGGTGACACCTGTTGTATTCTTTGCTTCTATAAACCCTTTTTTTCAGAGTCCTCGTATGAGTAAAATTATGAGATCATGAAGTATTTGTCTTTCTGTGTATGACATTTCACTTAACATGATATCCTCTTGGTCCACCCATGTTGTTGCAAATAGCAGAATTTTTTTTTTTTTTGAGATGGAGTCTTGCTCTGTTGCCCAGGCTGGAGTGCAATGGTACGATCTTGGCTCACTGCAACCTCTGCCTCCCAGGTTCAAGCAATTCTCCTGCCTCAGCCTCCCGAGTAGCTAGGATTACAGGCGCCCGCCTCCATGCCCAGCTAATTTTTTGTATTTCAGTAGAGACAGGGTTTCACCATGTTGCCCAGGCTGGTTGCAAACTTCTGAGCTCAGGCAGTCCACCCGCCTCAGCCTCCCAAAGTGTTGGGATTACAGGCGTGAGCCACAGCGCCTGGCATAATTTTTTTTAATAGCTAAGTAGTATTGTATTGTGTATGTATACCACATTTTCTTTTTTCATTTTTTTTTTGAGACAAAATCTCGCTCTTGTTACCCAGGCTGGAGTGCAATGGCGTGATCTCGGCTCACCGCAATCTCTGCCTCTTGGGTTCAGGTGATTCTCCTGCATCAGCTTCCCAAGTAGCCGGGATTACAGGCATGTGCCACCATGCCCAACTAATTTTGTGTTTTTAGGGGACGGGGTTTCTGCACGTTGGTCAGGCTGGTCTCGAACTCCTGACGTCAGGTCATCTGCCCACCTCAGGCTTCGAAAGTGCTGGGATTACAGGTGTGAGCCACCGGACCCGGCCTTTTTTCTTTATTCATTTATCTGTTGCTATACATTTGAATTGATTCTGTATCTTAGCTTTTATAAATAGTGCTGCAATAAACACGGGAATGCAGATATCTTTTTGAAATATGGATTTTCTTTTTTTTAGATATATAGGCAGTAGTGGCTGAGCCCGGTGGCTCACATCTGTAATTCCAGCACTTTGGGAGGCTGAGGCCGGCTGATCACGAGGTCAGGAGTTCGAGACCAGCCCAGCCAATACGGTGACAACCTGCCTCTACTGAAAATACAAAAATTAGCCAGGCATGGTGGCACATGCCTGTAGTCCCAGCTACTCGGGAGGCTGAGGCAGGAGAACCGCTTGAACCGGGGAGGGGGAGGTTGCAGTGAGCCGAGATTGTGCCACTTCACTCCAGCCTGAGGGACACAGCGAGACTCCATCTCAAAGAAAGAAAGAAGATACATACCCAGTAGTAACATTACTGGGTCATATAGTAGCTCTATTTTTAATTATTCGAGGAACCTCCATACTATTTTCTATAATGGACATAAATATTTACACTCCCGCCAACAGTGTGTATGTGTTTCCTCTTTATTACATCCTCATTAGTGCTTGTTTTTTTTTTTTTAAGTATAGCCATTCTAATAGCGTTAGGTTGTATATTATTGTAGTTTGGGTTTGCATTTACCTGGTGATTAGTTTATGTTGAGCATCTTTTTATGTACCTGTTAGCCATTCATATGTTTTTTTGATAATACCTGTTAAGATCTACATATTTTTAATAGATTGTGTTTTATTTTAGAATTTCACAGTTTTTAAAATAATTTTGAATATTAATTCCTTGTCATATGTATAGTTTGTACATTATTTTCCTTCATTTTTTAGATTGCCTCTTCACCCTCATAGTTGTTTCCTTTTATATGCAAAAGCATTTTAGCTTGATGTAATCTCATTAGCTCATTTTTGCTTTTGTTTCCTATGCTTTTGAAGTCTTATTTTAAAAAATTATTTCCCAGTCTAATGTTTTAAAACATTTTTTCTATGTTTCTGTTTAATAGTTTCATAGTTTGTGGTATTACATTTGAGTCTTTAATTCATCTTGAGTTGATTTTTGTATATAATGAGGGGTAGGGATCTGGTTATATTATTCTGTGTATGGATATTTGATTTTCCCTGCCATTTGTTGAAGAGATTGTCTTTTCCCCAAAGTGTGTTCTCAATACCATTGTTAAAAACTAGTTGGCTTTAGGTGCATAGATTTGTTTCTGAGCTTATTGGGCACATTGATCTATGTGTTTGTTTTTATGTGAGTACAATGCTGTTTTGGTTATAATAGCCATGTAGCAAATTTTGAAGTCAGATATTGTGATGCCTTCAGCTTTGCGCTTTTAAAAAAAATGTATAAAAAGTATTTCCTAGACAAGTGGCAGATTACATTTTAGAAACAAAACCATCTTTGAAAATACTGGCCGATTCTTCTTTAAAACGTACAAATAGGTCTTTTAAAAAAACTTAAGTTCAGGGGTACAAGTGTACGTTTGTTGCACTGGTAAACATGTGTCATATGGGTTTGTTGTAAAGATTAAGCCTAAGTACCCATTAGTTATTTTTCCTGATCCTTTTCCTCCTCCAACCTTCCACCCTCTGAAAGGCCCCAGTGTGTGCTGTTCCCCTCTGTGTGTCCATGTGTTCTCATTATTTACCTCCCACTTATAAATGAGAACATGCAGTATTTGGTTTTCTATTCCTGTGTTAGTTTGCTAGGGATAATGGCCTCCAGCTCTGTCCACATGCCTGCAAAGGACATGATCTCATTCTTTTTTATGGCTGCATAGTATTTCATGGTGTATATGTACCACATTTTTCTTTATCCAGTCTATCATTAATGGACATTTCAGTTGATTTCATGTCTTTGCTATGGTGAATAGTGCTGCAGTGAACATACACGTGAATGTGTGTTTATAATAGAAGAATTTATATTCTTTTAGCTATATACCCAGTAATGAAATTACTGGTCAAATGTTATTTCTGTCTTTAGGTCTTTAAAAAATCACCACACTGTCTTCAACCTTAGCTGAACAAATTTACACTCCCACCAACAGAGTATAAGCATTTCTTTTCCTCCACAACCTCGTCAGCATCTGTTATTATTTTGCTTTTTTAAAATAGCCATTCTGACTAAGGTGAGATGGTATCTCATTGTGGTTTTGATTTGCATTTCTCTAATCGGTGATGTTGAGCTTTCTTTCAGATGATTTTGATCACACATAAGTCTTCTTTTTAAAGGCTCATGTCCTTTTAAAGGTTCGTGTCCTTTACCCACCTTTGTTTGTTTTTTTTCTTTTTAAAGGATCATGTCCTTTACCCATCTTTTTTTGCTTTTTTTCTTTTTTTTTAAGTAGAGACAGGGTTTCACCATGTTGGTCAGGCTGTTCTCGAACTCCTGACCTCAAATGATCCGCCCTCCTCAGCCTCCCAAAGTGCTGGGATTACAGGCATGAGCCACCATGCCCGTCTTTTTTTTTTTTTTTTTTTTTTTTTTTTTTTAAATATAGACAGAGTCTTGCTCTGTCACCGAGGCTGGAGTGCGGTGGCATGATCTTGGCTGCAACTTCCACCTCCCAGATTGAAGCGATTCTCCTGCCTCTGCCTCTCTAGTAGATGGGATTACAGGCTCCCACCACCAAGTTTGGCTAATTATTTTTTTGTATTTTTAGTAGAGATAGGGTTTCACCATGTTGACCAGGCTAGTCTCGAACTGCTGACCTCAGGTGGTCCACCCGCCTTTGTCTCCAAAAGTGATGATTACTGATGTGAGCCACCGCACCCAGACCTATTTCACCCAATTTTTTTTTCTTTTTTTTTTTTTTTTTTTTTTTTTTTGAGATGGAGTCTCGCTCTGTCACCCAGGCTGGAGTGCGGTGGCACGATCTCGGCTCACTGCAGCCTCCGCCTCCCAGGTTCAAGCAATTCTCTGCTTCAGCCTCCTGAGTAGTTGGGATTACAGGCGCCTGCCACCATGTCCAGCTAATTTTTGTATTTTTAATAGAGACGGGGTTTCACCGTCGTGGCCAGGCTGGTCTGGAATTCCTGACCTCATGATCCACCCGCCTTGGCCTCCCAAAGTGCTGTGATTACAGGCGTGAGCCGCCTTGCCCGGCCCCACCCAATTTTTAATGGAGTTGTTTATGTCTTGTAAATTTGTTTCTTCTAGCTGCTGGATATTAGACCTTTGACGGATGCATAGTTTGCAAAAATTTTCTCCCATACCGTAGGTTCTGTTTACTCTGTTCATAGTTTCTTTTGCTTTGCAGAAGCTCTTTAGTTTAATTAGATTTTACTTATTTATTTATTTATTGTGATTGCTTTGGCATCTTTGTAATGAAGTCTTTGCCTGTGCCTATGTCCTGAATCATGTTACCTAGGTTGTCTTTCAGGGTTTTTATAGTTTTGGGTTTTTCATTTAAGTTTGTAATCCATCTTGAGTTAGTTTTTGTATAGGGTGTAAGGAAAGGATCAAGTTTTAATTTTCTGCAAATGGCTAGCCAGTTTATTTATTGAAGAGAAAATTCTTTGCTCATTGCTTTTGTCAGCTTTGTCAAAGGTCAGATGGTTGTAGGTGTGCAGCTTAATTTCTGGCCCTCTATTCTGTTCCATTGGTCTGTTTCTGTTCTTGTACCAGTACCATGCTGTTTTAGTTTCTGGAGCCCTGTAGTATAGTTGAAAGTCGGGTAGTGTGATGCCTCCAGCTTTGCTATTATTTGTGTTTAGGATTGTCATGCCTATTCAGGGTGTTTTTTGGAAAGTTTCATATGAATTTTAAAATAATTTTTTTCTAATTCTGTGAGAATGTCAATGCTTGTTTAATGGGAAAAGCATCGAATCTATAAATTGCTTTGGGCAGTATGGCCATTTTAGTGATATGGATTCTTATTATTCATAAGCATGGAAAGTTTTTCCATTTGTGTCATTTCTGATACCTTTGAGCAGTGGTTTGTAGTTCTCCTTGTAGAGATCTTTCACCTCCCTTGTTAGCTGTATTCCTAGGCATTTTATCTTTTTTGTGGCAACTGTGAATGTGAGTTTGTTCGTGATTTGGCTCTCAGCTTGACTGTCATTAATGTAAAAAAATGCTAGTAATTTTTGGCTGGGTGCAGTGGCTCATGCCTATAATCCCAGCACTTTGGGAGGCCCAGGCAGTTGGATCACCTGAGATCAGGTGTTCGAGACCAGCCTGGCCAACATGGTGAAATCTTGTCTCTACTAAAATTACAAAAATTAGCCAGGCATGGTGGCGGGTGCCTGTAATCCCAGGTACTCAGAAGGCTGAAGCAGGAGAATTGCTTGAACCCGGGAGGCAGAGGTTGCAGTGAGTCGAGATCGCACCACTGCACTCCAGCCTGGGAGACAGAGCAAGATTCCGTCTCAAAGAAAAAAAAGAAAAAAAGAAATGCTAGTAATTTTTGCACATTGATTTTGTATTCTGAGAGTTTGCCAAAGTTGTTTATCAGCTTAAGGAGCTTATGGGCTGAGATTATGGCATATTCTCGATATAAGATTATGTTATCTGCAAACAGGAATAGTTTGATTTCCTCTTTTTCTATTTGAATGCCCTTTATTTTTCTTGTCTTTTCTTGCTTTTTTTTTTTTTTTGAGACGGAGTTTGCTCTTGTTGCTCAGGCTGGAGTGCAATGGCATGATCTTGGCTCACTGCAGCCTCCACCTCTGAGGCTCAAGCAATTCTCCTGCCTCAGCCTCCCAAGTAGCTGGGATTACAGGCATGCGCCACCACGCCTGGCTAATTTTGTATTTTTAGTAGAGACAGGTTTCTTCATCTTGGTCAGGCTGGTTTCGAACTCCCAACCTGAGGTGATCCACCACCTCGGCCTCCCAAAGTGCTGGGATTACAGGTGTGAGCCACCACACTCAGCCTAGATGCCCTTTATTTCTTTCTCTTTTCTTGTTACCCGGACCAGAAGTTCCAATATTATGTTGAATAGGAGTGATGAAAGAGGGCATCCTTGTCTAGTTTTAGTTTTTGTTTGTTTGGTTTTTTGAGAGGGAGTCTCACCCTATCACCCAGGCTGGAGTGCAGTGGTGCGATCTTGGCTCACTGGAACCTCCGCCTCCCGGGTTCAAGCAATTCTCCCTGCCTCAGCCTCCCGAGCAGCTGGGATTACAGGTGCCCACCACCACGCCTGGCTAATTTTTGTATTTTTAGTAGAGATGTGGTTTCACCATGTTGGCCAGGCTGGTCTTGAACACCTGACCTCAGGTGATCTGCCCGCCTTGGCCTCCCAAAGTGGTGGGATTACAGGTGTGAGCCACGCACCCAGCCTAGTTTTAGTTTTCAACGAGAATGTTTCCAGTTTTTGCCCATTCAGTATAATGTTGGCTGTGGGTTTGTCATAGATGTCTTTTAGTATTTTGAGATATATTTTTTCAATACCTTGTTTATTGAGAGGGGTTTTTTTGTTTGTTTGTTTTTTGTTTTTCTCCAGATGGTGTCTCACTCTGTCTCTCCAGCACCTAGGCTGGAGTGCAATGGCATGATCTCAGTGCAGCCTCCACCTACTGGGCTCAAGAGATTCTCCCACCTCAGCCTCCCGAGTAGCTGGGACTACAGGCGTGTGCTACCACGCCTGGCTAATTTTTTGTATTTTTAGTAGAGATGGGTTTTCACCATGTTGGCCAGGCTGGTCTTGAACTCCTGACCTCAAGTGATCTGCCTACCTCAGCTTCCCAAAGTGCTGGGATTACAGGTGTGAGCCACCATGCCCAGCGTATTGAGAGTTTTTAACATGAATGGATGTTGAAGTGTATTGAAAGTTTTTTATGCATCTATTGAAATGATCATGTGGTTTTGTTCCTTTTTGTTTGTTGGTTGGTTGGTGGGTTGGTTGGTTTTTGAGATGGAGTTTCTCTCTTGTTGCCCAGGCTGGAGTGCAGTGGTGCGATCTCGGCTCACCACAACCTCCACCTCCCGGGTTCAAGTGATTCTTCTTCCTCAGCCTCTCGAGTAGCTGGGATTACAGGCATGTGCCACCTTGCCTGGCTAATTTTGTATTTTTAGTAGAGAGGGGGTTTCTCCATGTTGGTCAGGCTGGTCTCGAACTCTCGACCTCAGGCGATCCACCTGGCTCGACCTCCCAAGTGTTGGGCTTACAGGCGTGAGCCACCGCGCCTGGCTGATTATGTGGTTTTTGTCTTTAGTTCTGTTATATGATGCATCGTATTTCTTTTTTCCTATTTATTTTTTTCTGTCTCCCAGGCTGGAGTGTAGTGGTGTGATCTCGGCTTCTGGCAACCTTTGTCTCCTAGGTTCAAGCAATTCTCCTGCCTCAGTCCCAAGTAGCTGGGACTACAGGTGGGCGCCTCCATGCCCTGCTAATTTTTGTATTTTTAGTAGAGACAGTGATATTGTTTGATTGAGTCTCCATTCAGATCTCAATTTGAATTGTGTTTCCCAGAATTCCCATGTGTTATGGGAGGGACCGGGGGGAGATTATTGAATCGTGGGGTCTGTTTTTTTCCTGTAGTATTCTCGTGATATTGAATAAGTCTCACAAGATATGATGGGTTTATTAGTGGTTTCTGCTTTGCTTCTTTCTCATTTTCTCTTGCTGCTGTGATGTAAGAAGTGCCTTTTGGCTACTGCCATGTTTCTGATGCCTCCCCAGCCATGTGGAATTGTAAGTCCAATTAAACCGCTTTTTCTTCCCCGTCCTGGTTATGTCTTTATCAGCAGTGTGAAAACAGACTAATACAGTAAATTGGTACCAGTAGACTGGGGCCTTGCTGAAAAAAAATAACCGAAAATGTGGAAGCGATTTTGGAACTGAGTAACAGGCAAAGGTTGGAACAGTTTGGAGGGCTCAGAAGAAGACAGGAAAATGTGGGAAAGTTTGGAACCTCCTAAAAATGTATTGAATGGCTTTGAAAAAAATGCTGATAGTGATATGAACAATAAGATTCCAGCTGAGAGGGCTGGGCACAGTGGCTCATGCCTGTAATCCCAGCACTTTGAGAGGCTGAGGAGGGCAGACCACGAGGTCAAGAGATCAAGACTATCCTGGCCAACATGGTGAAACCCTGTCTCTACTAAAAATACAAAAATCAGCTGGGTGTGGTGGCGCATGCCTGTAGTCCCAGCCACTTGGGAGGCCGAGGCAGGAGAATTGTTTGAACCCGAGAGGCGGAGGTTGCTGTGAGCCAAGATTGTACCACTGTACTCTAGCCTGGCAACAAAATGAGACTCCATCTCAAAGAAAAAAAAAAAAATCCCAGCTGAGGTGGTCTCAGATGGAGATGAGAAACTTGGAACCGAAGCAAAGGTGAGCCTTATGTTTTAGCAAAGTGACTGGTGGCATTTTGCCCTGCCCTAGAGATTTGTGGAACTTTGAGCTTGAGAGAGATGATTTAAGGTATCTGGTGGAAGAAATTTCTAAGCAGAAAAGCATTCAAGAGGTGACTTGGGTACTTTTAAAAGCACTCTGTTTTAAAAGGGAAACAGAACATAAAAGTTCAGAAAATTTGCAGCCTGATGATGCAATAGAAAAGAAAACCCCATTTTTTGAGGAGAAATTCAAGCTGGCTACAGAAATTTGCATAAGTAGCAAGGAGCCTAATGTTAATCCCCAAGACCATGGGGAAAACATCTCTAGGCCATGTCAGAGATTTTCACAGCAGCTCCTCCCATCACAGGCCCAGAGGCCCAGGAAGAAAAAGTGGTTTTGCTAGGCATGGTGGCTCATGCCTGTAATCCCAGCACTTTGGGAGGCTGAGGTGGGTGGATCACCTGAAGTCAGGAGTTTGAGACCAGCCTGGCCAATATGGTGAAACCCCATCTCTACTAAAAATACAAAAACTAGCCAGGCATGGTGGCAGGTGCCTGTAATTTCAGCTACTCAGGAGGCTGAGGCAGGAGAATTACTTGAACCCAGGAGGCGGTGGAGGTTGCAGTGAGCCAAGATCATGCCATTGCACTCCATCCTGGGTGACAAGAGCAAGACTTCGTCTCAAAAAAAAAAAAAAGAAAAAGAAAAAGTGGTTTTGTGGCCCGGGGCCCAGGGTCCCCATGCTGTGTGCAGCCTAAGGACTTGGTGTCCTGTGTCCCAGCTACTCTAGCCATGGCTGAAAGGGGCCAATGTACAGCTTTGGCTGTGGCTTCAGAGGGTGGAAGCCTCAAGCCTTGGTAGCTTCCATGTGGTGTTGAGGCTGTGGGTGCACAGAAGTCAAGAATTGAGGTTTAGGAACCTCCACCTAGATTTCAGAAAATGTATGGCAACACGTGGATATCCGGGCAGAAGTTTGCTGCAGGGGTGGAGCCCTCATGGAGAACCTCTGCTAGGGCAGTGTGGAAGGGAAATGTGGGGTCAGAGCCCCCACACAGTCCCTACTGGGGTACAGCCTAGTGGAGCTGTGAGAAGAAGGCCACCATCCGCCAGACCCCAGAATGGTAGATTCACCCACAGCTTGCACTGTGCACCTGGAAAAGCTGCAGACACTCAATGCCAGCCAGTGAAAGCAACTGGGAGGGAAGCTGTTCCCTGCAAAGCCACAGGGGTGGAGCTGTTCCGGATCATGGGAACCCACCTTTTGCATCAGCGTGACCTGGATCTGAGACTTGGAGTCAAAGGAGATCATTTTGGAGCTTTAAAATTTGACTGCCTCGCTGGATTTTGGACTTGCATGGTCCCTGTAACCCCTTTATTTTGTCCAATTTATCTCATTTGGAATGGCTATATTTACCCAATGCCTGTACCCCTATTGTATCTAGGAAGTAACTAGCTTGCTTTTGATTTTACAGACTCATAGGCAGAAGGGACTTGCCTTGTCTCAGATGAGACTTTGGACTGTGGACTTTTGGGTTAATGCTGAAATGAGTTAAGACTTTGGGGATCTGTTGGGGAAGCATGATTGGATTTGAAATGTGAGGACATGAGATTTGGAGGGGCCAGGGGCAGAATGATATTCTTTGGATGTGTCCCCATTCAAATCTCAACTTGAGTTGTGTATCCCAGAAGTCCCGTGTTTTGTGGGAGTGACCCAGGGGAATGTAATTGAATCATGAGGGCTGTTCTTTCCCATGCTATTCTCGTGATAGTGAATATCTCTCTCAAGATCTGATGGGCTTATCAGGGGTTTCCAGTTTTGCTTCTTTCTCATTTTCTCTTGCTGCTGTGATATAAGAAGGGCCTTTTGCCTCCCACCATGATTCTGATGCCTCCCTAGCCATGTGGAACTGTAAGTCCAATTAAACCTTTTTCTTCTCAGTCTCAGGTATGTCTTTATCAACAGCATGAAAACAGATTAATATAAATGGGGTTGGTGGCCAGGTGCTGTGGCTCTTGCCTGTAATCCCAGCACTTTGGGAGGCCGAGGCAGGCGAATCACCTGAGGTTGGGAGTTCGAGACCAGCCTGATGAACATGGAGAAGCCCCATCTCTCTTAAAAAAATTAGCTGGGCATGGTGGTGCATGCCTATAATCCCAGCTACTTGGGAGGCTGAAACAGGAGAATCACTTGAACCCAGGAGGCAGAGGTTGCGGTGAGCCAAGATTGCACCATTGCACTCCAGCCTGGGCAAGAGCAAAACTCCATCTCAAAAAAATAAAAATAAAAAACAGATGGGGTTTCACCATGTTGGCCAGGCTGGTCTCAAACTCCTGACTTCAGATGATCCGCCCACCTCGGCCTCCCAAAGTGCTGGGATTGCATGTGTGAGCCACCACAGCTGGCCTGAATAATATTTCTTAATTTCAGTATGTTCAACCAACCTTGCATTTCAGAGATGAAGCCTACCTGATTCTGGTGGATAAGTTTTTTCATTTGCTGCTGAATTTGGTTTGCCAGTATTTTGTTGAAATTTTTTGCATCACTGTTCATCAAAGATACTTACCTGAAGCTTTCTTTTTTTGTTGTACTCTGTTGGGTTTTGGTGTGAAGATTGTCCTGGCCTCATAGAATGAGTTAGGGAGAAGTCCCTTCTCCTCAATTGTTTTTTTGTTTTTGTTTTTGTTTTTTTGAGACAAAACAAAACTCTTGTCACCCAGGCTGGAGTGGAATGGTGTGATTTCAGCTCACTGTAACCTCCGCCTCCCGGGTTCAAGTGATTCTTCTGCCTCAGCCTCTTACAGGCACACGCCACTAGGCCCAGCTAATTTTGTATTTTTAGTAGATACAGGACTTCGCCCTGTTAGCCAGGCTGTTCTCGAACTCCTGATCTCAGGTGATCCACTCGCCTTGGCCTCCCAAAGTGCTAGGATTACAGGCATGAGCCACTGCGCCCAGCCTGTCGTTAATTTTTTGAAAGAATTTCAGTAGAAACTGTACCAGCTCTTCTTTTTACATCTGGTGGAATTCAACTGTGAATCTTTCTTCCCATGGGGACTCAGGGACCATCCTGTGTCATCTTCTGAGGGCCCGGAAGGGGTTTGCCTGTGGGCTTTCTAATTGCCGGAAGGGACGGCATGCTGCATGGTGGGTGCCCCTGCTGTGGGTTAGGGGGTACCCCTGCTTGGCATCCCGCCCCTCTGGTTCCTGCTTCCCCCCCTCATTCTTGGGGGTGGGGGTGGTGGCAGCTTGATCCCCGGGCTGGGACAGGGCTGGGGGAGCCTGGTGTGGATGGCTGAGGCACTGGTGTCTGGGGATGTGGCCCAGCAGGCTCCATCCCAGGTAAGGCCCTGAGGGCCCAGAGGTAGCCGTCTTGGTCCCAGCCCTCTCCCACCCCAGGGGTAGGGTGGTCACTAAGGGGCAGTCCCTGCACTTGAGCCCTTCCTCCTCTTTCCACCACCTACGGTTGATCAACAGACGGGGTCAGGGGCATGGTGGGAAGGAAGGTTGGCAACTTAGATACCAGAGGAACAGCTTCAGGCCACGAGCGCCTCCCTTGGCCTGTAGGGTGGACCCGCTGTGCCTCTGCCAGTTGGCTTTTCCTTCTGTCTGCCAGGTCCACCAGATGTTTGCCAAGAGTGTAGGACTTGGCCACCAGCTTGAAGTGTTTCAGGTGGACCAGAGGGCTCTCGCCGGGGTCAGAACTGCTTAGATCCAGCAGAGGGTGCGATTGTGGCTCACTGCTACCTCCATCTTCCCAGGCTTACCGAGGCGATCCTCCCATTTTGGTCTCCCAAGTGGCTGCGGCTCTGGGGATCTTTCTGTTTTGTTTTGTTTTGTTTTTTTCCCTAGGCCCACTTCAAGTTTGTTTCCACAGTACATTGAATTGCTGTTTTTTTTTTCTTTCTTTTCTCTCTGTTATGCTCCTTCCTGCATACTGAAGTTCCTGTTATTTTAGATTTTTTCTTTTCTTTTTTTTTTTTAAATCAGGCTTTGGCTCCCAAAGTGCTGGAATTACAGGTGTGAGCCACCATGCCTGGCTCTATCTATCTATCTATCTATCTATCTATCTATCTGTCTATCTGTCTATCTATCTGTGGGCACTCTATAGATAGGTAGGTAGGTAGGTGGTAGGTAGGTAGGTAGAAAATAAATAAGTTTTCATTTATTTATTTATTTATTTTGAGATGGAATTTCACTCTTGTCACCCAGGCTGGGCACCATCTCCAGTCACTGCAACCACCGCTTCCTGGGTTCAAGCAATTCTCCATCCTCAGCCTCCCAAGTATCTGGGATTACAGGCGTGTGCCACCACACCCAGCTAACTTTTGTATTTTTAGTAGAAATGGGGTTTCAACATGTTGACCAGGCTGATCTCGAACTCCTGACCTCAGGTGATCCACCCACCTCGGCCTCCCAGAGTGCTGGGATTACAGTCGTGAGCCAAGGAGCCCGGCCTATCTATTTTTTTAGTAGAGATGTGGTCTCACTATGTTGTCCAGGCTTTGGTTATATATATTACTCTTTTAACTTTGTCATTTTTCATTAGAGATGTCTCACAATGTTGCCCCCAGTATCGTATCAAACTCCTTGGCTCCATCTATCCTCCCGATTTGGCCTCCCAAAGTGCTGGGATTACAGGCATGAGCCACCGTGCCTCATCTGGTTATATTTTTGATGTGTTGACTCTTTCCAGTTCAGATGCATAATCTCATCCCTGAACATCCTGCTGGTGCGATTATGACATATGATTTTACCCAGCACCAGAGGGATTTGATGCTCCTGCCTGGGCCCAACTCACAGAAGGGATTGTGACATATCACTGGACCCAGCACTGAGGTAATGTGACTATCTTACTGCCTTGACACTGCCCACAGAGGACATAGTGACATATCACTGGGTCTTGTACCCAGGTGGTGTGAATCTTCTGCCTTGGTTCTTCCACAGGGGACATTGTGTAATATCGTTGGGCCTCACACGTACGTTATGTGACTCTCCTGCGTGTGCCCTGTCCATGTGGGCCATTGTGACATATTGCTGGGTCCAACAACTGGTTGATGTAGCTCTACTGCCTAGGTCCTGCCTATGGAGGACTTTGTGATGTATCCCTGAACCCATCACACAGGTAATGCAACTCTATTCTCCTACCTGGCCCCTTCTCACAGAAGAGATTGTAACATATCACTGGGCTAAGCACCTAGCTCACATGACTCTCCCCCTCTTTCTAGATTCTGCCCTCAGAGGACATTGTGACATGTCACTGGGCCTAATACTAAGATGACATCATTCTTTAGTTTTGGCACTGCCCTCAGAAGCCGTGGTGGTGTATTGCTGGGCCCAGAGCCAATGTGATGTGAGTCTCCTGCCTGGATCCTGCCTACAAGGTGCATTGTGACATACCTCTGGGCCCTTTGACTATTTTATGTGACTCTCCTCTCTTACCTGGATGTTGCCCAAAAAGAGATTGTGACATACTTTGCACCCAGCACTGAGGTGATTTGACTGTCCTCTTCTGCCTGTGCTTTGCCTACAGGAGAGAGAGTGACTTATTACTGAGTTTAGCATACACATGATGTGATTTTCCTCCACTCACAGAAGTCATTGTGACATATATCTTGGCCCATCACTGAGATTGTGACTGTCTTTTTCCTGGGACCTGTCCACAGTGGAGAGTATGACACTTTTTGGCCAAGCACCTACAAGATACGACTCTCTTCTTACACCTGGGCCACTGGGGTGATTTTGACATGTAGTTGGCCCCAGCTCCAAGATTATGTGACTCCACACTTCTTCCTGAGCCCTACCTACAGGTAGCATTGTGTCATATCTGTGAGACCCTCAATTAGGTGAAATGACTCTTTGTTTGGGCCCTCTTCTCAAGGTACCGTGACATTGCTGGGCCCAGCATCTAGGTGATGTAACTCTACTGTACTGTTTGGTTTCTGCCTAAAAAGGGATTGTGACATACCACTCTATCAAGAACCTAGGTGAGGTGACTCCTCTCCAGCCTGGGACCTGCATACATTGCTTATTGACACATATCACTGGCTCCAGCACCTAGGTAATGCAACTCTCCTACATGGGCCCCCACCCATAGGGGTATTATAAGATATCTTTCTATTAATCACCTAGGTGGTGTGACACTCCTCTTCTGCCTGGGCCCTCCCAAAAAAGTATTGTTACACATCACTGAGCCCAGCACCTAGGTGATGTGACTCTTCTCTCATGCATCGGCCCTGCCAACTGGGGTGTTTGTTACATATAGCTGGGCGCAGCCCCTAGGTCATGCGATTCTTTTTTTTCTGAGCCCTACCCACAGAAGGCATTTTGACATATTTTGAGCCCATCATTTAGGTGATGTGACCCTTTTGCATGGGCCCTCCCCACAAGGGGTACTGTGACATATTGCTGAACCCAGTACATAGGTGATGTGACTCTGCTCTATGGATTGGGCTTTGGCCAAGCAGGGCTGTGATGTGTTGCTGGACTCACCACCTATGTATTGTGATTATTCTGTTCTGCCTAAGCCCTGCGTACAGTGTGTATTGTGACATATGCCTGGATTTAGCACCTAGGAAATGTGACTTTATGGCATGGGAACTGTCCACAAAAGTGTTATGACATCTTTTTCATCACCTAGGTGATATGACCCTTTTATTTTCCCGGTTCTGGCATATTCTGGGTATAGTAACATATCATTGAGTCCAATGCCTATGGGATATGTGGCTCCTCCCTGGGCCCAGCACATAGAGTGCCTCATTGACATATCTCTGCATCCATAGTCTAGGAGATTTAACTCTTCTCCTGACTTTCTTCTCCTGCCTAGTTTCTTCACACAAAAAGTATTGTCACATATCACTGGGCCCAACAGCAACAGTAACAATGATGTTACTCTTTGGCCTACTGTTTGCCCTCAGAAGGCATTGTGACACATTACTTGGCCAACATCAAGGTCATGTGCTTCTCCTGCCTGGACGCTGTCACAGGGGACATTGTGACATATCTCTGTGTCCATCACCCAGGTGAGGTGAATCTTTTCACCTGCCTGGTGTCTGCTTGCTGGGGGATAATGATATATATTGCTGATTTCATACCGAGCTGATGTAACTCTTCTCGTCTTCATACATCCTGCCCGGAAGAAAACTGAAATATTGCTGGGCCCAACACCAAGGTTATTTGGCCTGGCCCCGCCTTCAAAAGGCATTGTGACATATTGCAGTGCCCAGCACCAATGTAATTTGTCTCCTGCCTACACCCTGCCTACTTGGGGCATTGTGACATGTCTTGGCCCATCAACTATTTGATAAAGCTCTCCTTTCTTACCTGGGTTTTTCCCATAGTAGAGATTGTGAAAGATCTCTGGGACCAGCACCTAGATTATGTGACTCTCTTCTTTTGCCTGGGCCCTTTCCACGGGGATGATTGTGTCATATAGTTTTACCCAGCCCCTAGGTTATGGTTTCTGTGACATATTGCTTGACTCAGCACATAGGTGATATGACTCTTCTCCACCGCTTGGACTCTGTCAAGGAGGTATTGTGGGCCAGGTGTGGTGGCTCATGCCTGTAATTTCAGCACTTTGGGAGGTCAAGGCAGGTGGGTCACCTGAGGTCTGGAGTCTAAGACCAGCCTGGCCAACATGGCAAAACGCTGTCTCTACCAAAAATACAAAGAAAAAAATAGCCGGGTATGATAGTGTGCCCCTGTAGTCCTGGCTACTTGGGAGGCTGAGACAGGAGAATCACTTGAACCCAAGAAGTGGAGGTTGTGGTGAGCCAAGATCATTCCATTGCACTTCAGCCTGGGTGACAGAGTGAGACTCTGTCTCAAGAAAAAAAAAAAAAGAAGGTATTGCAATGTATCACTGGGACTGACACCTAGGTTATGATACTCTCTCCTGCCTGAGCCCTGCATAAATTGTATATTTTGACATAGCACTGCATTCAACATATAGCTGATGCAACTCTAGCACATAGGCCCTGCTCATGGGCATATTAGGACATATATTTTTCTTCATCACCTAGGTTATGTGAATCCTCTTCTTCCCAGATCCTGCCAAAAGGAAAGATTGTGACATATCACTGGAACCAGCACTTAGGTAATGTGACTTTTCTGCTCTGCCTGAGAACCACATTTTTGGTATTGTGACATTTCACTGTGCCAAACACCTAAACGATGGGAGGCCCTGCCTCAGCCCTGTCCACAGGGGTTCTTGTGACATATATCTGCATCTATTACATAAAAAATGTGACTCCATTTCTACCTGTCCCCTGCTTACAGGAAAGATTGTGACATAGTGCAGGGTCCAGCCACCAGGTGATGTGTCTCTCCTACGTGTGCATTATTTTTAGGAAGAAATGGTAACATACCATTGGTTGAGAACTCAGGTGATATGACTCTCCTGCCTGATCAGTGCCGTCAGGGAAAATTTTACATATCATTTGCCCAGCATCCAGGTGATGTGACGGTTCTGGGTACTTTCTGTCAACAAGTAGGTTGGTAACGTATAGCTTAGCCCAGCTCACAGGTGTGATGATGACTCTAATACTTTGTACCAGCCAATAGAAGAGATACTGTCTCTCACAGCTAGGCTTAGAAAAAGGGGTAAAATCCTGGGTCTCCTCTCTGTATGAAGGTTATAGAGAATTAATACTCTCGCATATTGTATAAAGCCCTCAGATGGTACAGAGAGTGTCGTCATAGGAAAAAGCAAACAGATTAGATCATGTTTCTTGTAAGCACACTGTCAATTTTTAGAATTACCACTATCACACAGGGACAGAACCCACGGAGGAGTTCATGATTCTCATGTGCAGATGCAGTCCATAGTTAAAATTGTGATATCATATGTGAACATCTGGCCACAGTTGAGATGGTGACTCATTTCTAAACCCAGGTCATAGGCAGGTGAGGACTGTCCTCTGTGGACCCAGCCATTCGGAGAATGTTGACTCTCATACCTAGACTTAGAGCCGCATAAGATCATAGGTCCATAGCACCACAAAAATCTCAGAGCAGATTGTGACTCATGCATACCATATAAAGCCCTCAAATGGTACAGAGAGTGTCTTGACAGGGCCAAGCACAGAGGTGAGATTGTGACCCTCATATTCACAACCAGTCAACAGTAGAGATTGTCATCTGCTTAAATAAACACAACCCACTTCTGAGGTTCTGAATCTCACATTGGGAGGCAGTTGAATGTTGGAAAATGGACTCTGTTTGTGGATTCTGTCCACAGTTGGGTTGATGACTCTTTAACCAAAATTCAGCACACCTTTGTGGCTGTCACTTCACTAAGGCACAGGGTTTACAAGAGAAATTGAGGCTCTCATACACAAATCCATTCCACCATTGAGATTGTGACTTCTTGTACTTAGACCCAACTTGCAGGAGATGTTGACTCTCATTCCTTGACTCAAGACCTTGTCATTTTTAATGTCACCAAAAGACCTTCTTATAGGTGTGATTGTGACATGTGCCTCTGCCCAACGTCTGAGTTATTTGACTCTCACCTGGGCCCAGTACCCAGTGACATATTAGGGGACCCAGACCTTTGGTAATGTCACTCTGTTCTGCCTTGATATAGCCCACAGGAGGCATTGTGACATATCACTGGGCCTTGCACTCAGGTGATGTGAGTTTTCTCTTCTTGGTGCTGCCGCATAGGTGTATTGTGACATATTGTTGGGCCTAAGTTATGTGACTCTCTTGCTTGTGTTCTTCCCACTTAGGCTATTGTGACATATGCCTGAGGCTAACACCCAGATGATATAAGTCTTCATCCTGGACCCTGTCTACAGAAGTCATTGCGATATATGTCTTCACCAATCACTGAGGTCGAACGCCCAGTGATGTGACTCTCCTTCCTGGTCCATGCCCTCAGGGAAGATTGTGACATACCCCGGCCCAGCACACAGTTAATGTCACTCTTGTGCTTGCTGTCTACCCATGGGTAGGATTGTGACATATATCGTGGCCAAGCACAAAGATGTAATGACTGTCATACCTCGAAGAAAGCAATAGAGTTAATGTTGCTCCTAGGTAGGCTTAGGAAAATGAGGAAGTCGTCTTTCTGTTCAAATCTCACTCTCTGACATATATAAAGCCCTAGTGTGTTACAGAGAATGTCATAACAGGGCTCCTCACACAGGTGAGATCGTGTTCTATACACAGCCCACCAATCTTGAGAATTGTCACCCTCACACATGGACAGAGTCCACTGGTGAAGTCCTGAATCACACATGAATGCAGTTCACAATTGGAATTGTGACTGTCATCATTGAACATCTAGCCACAATTTGGATGGTGATTCTTTTTTTTTTTTTTTTTTTTTTTTTTTTTTTTTTTTTTTTTTTGAGACAGAATCTTGCTCTGTCACCCAGGCTGGAGTGCAGTGATGCAATCTTGGCTCACTGCAACCTCTGCCTCCTGGGTTCAAGCGATTCTCCTGCCTCATCCCCCTGAGTAGCTGTGATTCCAGGCACCCGCCACCAAGCCCAGCTAATTTTTGTATTTTAAGTAGAGACAGGGTTTCACCATGTTGGCCAGGCTGGTCTCGAAGTCCTGACCTCGTGATCTGCCCACCTCAGCCTCCCAAAGTGCTGGGATTACAGGTGTGAACCACCATGCCCGGCAGTGATTCATTTCTAAACCCAGCTTGTTAAAAGGTGAGGACTCTCCTATCTGGACTAAACCAATAGTTTAGTTTAGTTAGGATAGATGTTGATGCTCATATCTGGGCTTGGAACCACAGGAAAGATCTTCTTGGACAAAGGTCACAGAGGATTACCACTCTTGCATATTGTATAAATCATCAAGTGAAACTATCATAAGAGAACATAGCACATGCGTGAGATTTTGTCTTTTGAATGTACACCCAGGCAACAGTAAAGATTGTCATTCTCCCATATTGAGGTTCTGAATGTCAGACACAGAGACTGTGAAAAGTTGAATAATTGACTCTCACGTGGATCTGGACTAGAGGTGGACTGGTGACTCTCAGAGCAAGATTCAGCACACATAAGAGTCTGTGACTTCACTGAAAGGACAAGCCTGCAGAAGAAATTGTGGCTTTCCTGCCCACATTCTGTCAACCATTGATATTGTGACTCACATACTTAGACCCAACGTACAGAAAGTGTTGACTCATACCTAGCACCTGGACATATATGGAATTTCTACTCTAATTCCTGGACTTTTCTGCAGGTGTGATTGTATGCATCTGCTACCCACCTTAGTGATTTGACTTTGCTGCCTTGGCCCAGCCCACAGATGAGATTGTGACATATCGCTTGACTCTGCACCTTGATGGTGCAATCTCCGCTCACTGCAACCTCTGCCTCCCAGGTTCAAGTGATTCTTCTGCCTCAGCCTCCTGAGGAGCTGGGAGTACAGGCATGCACCACCACACCCAACTAGTTTTTGTATTTTTAGTAGAGACGGGGTTTCACCATGTTGGTCAGGCTGGTCTCGAACTCCTGACCTCGTGTTCTGCCCGCCTCAGCCTCCCAAAGTCCTGGGATTACAGGTATGAGCCACCATGCCCGGCCTCGCTGGGCCTTTCACCCAGATGATGTGAGTTATTTTTCTTGCATTGGTACTGCTCACAGGGTGCATTGTGACATATTTCTAAGCCCTTCACTCAGGTTATGTGACTACTTTTTTGCCTGTGCCCTAACTATTTTGCATGTTAGGACATATTATGAGGCCCAACACCTGTAAAATAGAGGCTCCTCCCTGGGCCTTGTCTACAGAGGGCCTTGTGACATATCTCTGCATCAGTCACCTAGGAAATGTGACTCCGTTTTTGCCTGCACTCTGTCCACAGGAAACATTGTGACTTATCACTAGGCCCAGGTACTAGTTGATGTGTCTCTGGTAACTGGGCCTTGACCACAGAGAGGATTGTTACCTATTGCTGGGCTCAGCCCCCATGTGGTGTGACTGTACTGTCTGTGTCCTGCTTTCAGGAGAAGGCTGTAACATATTCCTGGTTGAGTATTCAGGTGATGTGACACTCCTGTTTGGTCCCTGCCTTCAGAAAAGATTGTGATGTACTCCTGGCCAAAAACCCAGGTGATGTGACTCTTATCTCTCCCTATTCACAGGTAAGATTGTAAAATGCCTTGGTCTAGCTCACAGGTGTGATGATGTTGATCCTTTTTTTTTTTTTATTTTATTTATTTTTTTTATTTTTGGAGATGGAGTTGCTCTGTCGCCCAGGCTGGAGTGCAGTGGTGTGATCTCAGCTCACTGCAACCTCCACCTCCTGGGTTCTAGGGATTCTCCTGCCTCAGCCTCCCAAGTAGCTGGGATTACAGGTGCACACCACCAATCCCGGCTAATTTTTGTATTTTCCGTAGAGACATGGTTTCAGCATGTTGGCCAGGCTGGTCTCGAGCTCCGTACTTCAAGTGATCTGCCTGCCTCAGCCTCGCAAAGTTCTGGGATTACAGGCATGAGCCACCGTGCCCGGCCACAAGTGTGGTGGTGACTCTCATACCTCAAACCAGCCAATAGGAGAGATCCTGTTTCTTATAGCTAGGCTTAAAATCATGAGTATGGTCATGGGTCTTCTTGTACGAAGGTCCTAGAGAAATACCACTTTCTTTTATACTATATAAATCTCTTACTGTACAGAGATTGCCATTCCAGCGTTCAGAACACAGGTGAGATTGTGTTTCTCATATGCATACCCCAGCAAACATTAAAATTGTCATCTTCACACATGGACAGGGTCCACTGGTAAGTCCTGAATCTCACACATGGAAAAAATCCACAGTTGAAATTGTGACTGTCATATATGAACATCCGGCCAGAGTTGAAATCATGAGTCATTTCTAAATTCAGTTTATAGGCAAGTGAGAATTTTTCTATCTGAACCTGAGAGAATAAAAGGTGGTTTTGAATTAGACAAAATAGAGCTAAAAGTTCAAACAAATGGTGGAAGGATTGTAAAAATCTTGCAAAGAATTCCATGTGTGGTTATATTGACTAAATTCAAAAAGGTACTACATGGTTTTTCTGTAAATAAAAAATTGAAATAAAAGCACAACAAGGTACTCGTAATGCACTAATCTGCTTTTTAGCAAACTTTGTTAACGGTTATAACAGATTGTTGCTTCTTTAAAATTTTGGAGTCATTGTAACAAAATAAATAATTTAGGATAATCTGAAATTCTATTTTATAACATCAAGTGTTTCAAATCTCTAACACTTAACATGCTTCCCAAAATCATACTTTAGTTTCAAAATTGCCTTTCCTGATTCCTGGCTTTTGGATACTTCAGAGGGTCCCTGGAGTATCTAAAAGAGAGGTAAACAGAATTATTTGACATGTTTAGGTACATGAGATTGGCAAAATGGTGTTTATTCCATCTTTAGGTTATATTTTGGTGAATAATACTAATATATGTTCCAAAATTGTTTGGGATTTCTAAAATTCTAATATATGGTATCAATGGTAATTAAGGTTGTTATGTTAAGTTATTGTAAACCACAGAGATAGCCAAACTTCTTTGTCAATTGTGTTTCTAACTGTAACTAACCTGGACATTTTGTTATTCACAGACAAGTGTTGTCTTGTCTTAATTATTTTTAAAAGATGGTTTATATTAAACTATAGAACTTTCACAGGTGCTTTCAAATACAGGTTTCTGATAGCCTTGGAGATTGTGACATTGGAATAAAGGAAAAAAGGACAGGATTCAGGGCCGGGTGTGGTGGCTTACACCTGTAATCCCAGCACTTTGGGAGGCCAAGGCAGGTGGATCACGAGTTCAGATCGAGACCATCCTGGCTAACACGGTGAAACCCAGACTCTACTAAAAATACAAAAAATTAGCATGGTGGCTGGCACCTCTAGTCTCAGCTACTCGGGAGGCTGAGGCAGGAGAATCGCTTGAACCTGGGAGGCGGAGGTTGCAGTGAGCTGAGATCACACCACTGCACTTTAGCCTGGGCGACAGAGAGAGACTCCATCTCAAAAAAAAAAAAAAAAAAAATGCACAGGACTCATGAGGAGCTAAAATGTTCACAAATATCAAGCAAAACAAGAGTTAAGTAAATGGACTGCACTCAGAAAACTAAAGCAACCTTTTTGACTTTTGCTTGGTATATTGCTGATCCTTGTTTAATTTTTTAGAGTCAAGGAAACTTGTTTTTAACTACTATTTATGGCCTTCAATAATTGAGTAAAGTATACTCCTATGAACAAAATTAGGAATATGTTTGTTTTTCTCTGCCTCTTTCCTCTAGAATTTGGAAACTATCTGTGAGTATTCTCAACTTATGGCAATATAGTTGTTTGTATGAGTGCAATAAGAATCCATTTTCTTTAGCAACAGGATGCAACTGGAGAAACTGTTTGTTTGTTTGTTTTAACCAAGGCTTTGACTGAAAGGGTATGCTTCCCTTTAAAGAGTCAAGCTTGACTTGCAGAGATGATAAAAGCCCCTTGAAAAAACTGCCCTCATATCCTTGTCTACACAGTCTCTGTACAGCGTTCCTGACCTGTGGTCAGTGAAAAATATCACTTTTTAACAGGCCTAGGAGCTCCAAGTTTGTCTTGGGACCTTAAAAGGAAAGGATTACCCAGCTCACAGGTATTTGAGGATACAAACACATGGCTGTGCTCAGCTTTAGAAGGTCTTATTCCTTGTGGAAGATTTCCATCGAAGCCAATCTAAAAGGCCTATGTAGAGATAGTCATTTTTGCTCACCTTATGCAAATAATCAGGGCGAGTATAGGACTAAAGGCTATGTTGCAAACAACTCAGTCCTGTTATGATTTTTTCTTTTCTTTTTTTTTTTTTTTTTTAGATGGAGTCTCGCTCTGTCACCCAGGCTGGAGTGCAGTGGCACAATCTCGGCTCACTGCATCCTCCACCTCCCAGGTTCAAGCAATTCTCTGCCTCAGCCTCTTGGGTAGCTGGGATTACAGGTGCCCGCCACCATGCCCTGCTAATTTTTGTATTTTTAGTACAGACAGGATTTAGCCATCTTGGCCAGCTGCTCCTAAACTCCTGACCTCATGATCCACCCACTTCGGCCTCCAAAGTGCTGGGATTACAGGCGTGAGCTACCATGCCTGGCCAGAACCCAATATTTTCTACAATATTTTATACATTTCTTTCTACATGGATTATATAAATTGGGCTTTCCAGCAGAAAAAGGAAAAGAAAAAGCATATGTCTCAATGAGAGCACACAATTATGAGAATGGCAACCATGTAAAGAAAAATTGCAAGGACTTAGTGCTGATGAGGATTTACAGCAACTAAAACTAGAAATGTAAAATGATACAGTAAAACAATTTAACGGTTTATTGTAATGTTATATATACATTTATCATATTACCAGGATATCCACTCCTAGGTCATTACTAAAGCAAAGTGAAAACTAATGTTGAAATGCAAACCTTTTTGTGGCTGTGTATTGCTAACTTTATTTTCAATTGCAAAAAGCTAGGTATAAACCAGTTGCTTTATAGCAGTTGAATAAACTGTGGTGCATCCATAAAATAGCATCCTAGTTGTCAACAACAACAAAAAACAAATTATTGATCTACGCCACAGTATGCATGAGTCAGACATGCATTTCCTTCAGTGAAGGAAGTAAGATCCAAAAGGCTACATATTACATGATCCAATTATATGGCATTGTAGAAAAAGAAAGTTATAGAGATTGATTATAATCAAGCTAGGCTTGATAGCTCAAACCTATAATCTCAGCATGTTGGGAGGCTGAGGTGAGAGAGTTGTTTGAGTCAGGGATTTTAAGAGCAGCCTGAGCAATATAACAAGACCTTCCTAAAAAAAAGAAGAAGAAAGCAGAAGGAGAAGGAGAAGGGGAGATGGAGAAATAGAAGGAGGAGGAGAAAAGGAAGGGGAAGAAAAAAGAGGAGGAGGAAGGAAAAGCAGGAGGAAGAGGAGAAAGAATAACAAAAAGTAGTAGTAGTTAGGACGATGAAACAGTTCTGTGTGGTACTCTGAAGATGGGTATGTGACTCTAGACAGTTGTCAAATCTTATGAAACTGAACATCACAGAGAATAAATTTTCCTCTGCAAAACAACACAAAACAAAAAAAATACATTGATTTGGAGTATATTTAGATACAATGTAGAAAATTTTAAAAGGAGCTTAACCTAATAGAAATGTATTACCTAACCCTATTAAAGAGGGTTGGAATGAGGCCAGGCATGGTTGCTCATGCCTGTAATCCCAGCATTTTGGGAGGCCGAGGCAGGTGGATCACCTGAGGTCGAGAATTTGAGACTAGCCTGACCAACATGGAGAAACCCCATCTCTACAAAAAACACAAAATTAGCTGGGTATGGTGGCACATGCCTGTAATCCCAGCTCCTCGGGAGGTTGAGGCAGGAGAATCACTTGAACCCAGAGGTGTATGTTATGAAGAGCCAAGATCGTGCCATTGCACTCCAGCCTGGGCCACGAGAGCGAGAACTGCGTCTCAAAAAAAAAAAAAAAAAAGGTTGGAATGAAAGGTCTTAATTTAAATCACTTTGAAAAACAGTGTTTTGATTGAATACTGCAAGAGTCAAAAACTATACACAAACTGTATTCTTGTTGTTTTTTCATAAGCATATGAATTAGCAATTTTTAAAACTATATGTTGGCATATACACACACGCATAGTAATTACTGCCTGTTTTTTGAACTTGAAAAATGTTAGCATCAAAGGGAGAATTTTAGAATAAATGATGTGATGCTGGACCGGAGTTGCGCATGTTTTTGTTTTTTTTTTTTTGAGACAGTCATTGTCACCCAGGCTGTAGTGCAGTGGTGCATTCCTGGCTCACTGAAGCCTCCACCTCCCAGGTTCAAGTGATTTTCATGTTTGAGCCTCCTGAGTAGCTAGAATTACAGGTGTGTACCAACTCACCTGACTAATTTTTGTATTTTTAGTAATGATGGGGTTTCACCATGTTGGCCAGGCTGGTCTCAAACCCCCTTGATCTGCCCACCTTGACCTTCCAAAGTGCTGGGATTACAGGTGTGAGCCACCACACCTGGCCTGTTTTTTCAATAAGACTTATGACACCCACCTCAGACTTCCAAGTATCCTGGACCCTCTGGTGATATCCTGTCTCTACTTTAAAAAAAAAATACCAAAAAAAAAAAAAAAAAAAAAAAAAACCACCACAGCTCTGTTTTTTGTTATTTTTTTAAAGTAGAGACAGGGTCTCACCATGTTGCCCAAGCTCGTCTTGAACTCTTGAGCTCAAGCAGTTTGTCCCTTTTGGCCTTCCAAAGTGCTGGGATTACAGGCAGTGTATTACTTGGTAAGAATTCATTAAGCTTTGCATGAATTAATGATTTCCACGTATATTTCTGTATGAATGTTTTATATCAACAAAAAATTACATAGTACATATTTGCACAAAATGCTAACTCATCTCAGAATAATGGCAGCATCTTTTGGTTTGTTTATGGTGGAACACACTCAGGACAAGATCATACAGATTGTAATATTCCAAGAGGAGTATTAAAGCCCCACCCCTTGGGTGAAACTGTAGGTCTTTTTATTTTTACCTCAGTTTGGTTCATGGTATGTTTTTTATTTTAAGAGAATGCAATTTTTTTGTTGTTGTTGTTTGTTTTTTCCAGAAAATGTCCCCTCACAGCAATGATTGCCAACGCCGAGGCACCTAGCACAGTGTCTTGCTCAGTGGGTACTCAGTATATATGGAACTGGGTTGATTAAGGCACAAAACCAACAGCAAGGTTGGTTCAGTGAAGAATAATTTAGTAATACTGGTTAGACTAAAAGGCCATGACTTAGCAGCAAACATTTTTACATTCATTTGAGAAATAATTTACAATTAGGTCACCTAAAAATGTTAATTTACAGCGGTGGCATTTAAGCTTGGCTGCTCTGTCATCACCTATACAGATTAAAATCACACTGTTGCCCAGGTTCAACTCAAGCAATTCTGATTTAATTAGGGTGTTGCAATTTGTGTTTAGGGGATTTTTAACACCACCACCCCCTCCCACCCCCACGCTGCCCCAAGTGATTTTTACATGCAGTCTGGGATGAAAACAATTGGTTTAGGATGAGGGATGGATTCACTGTGTGTGATTATCATGAGTGCTGCTGAGATTTGTCCCATGGCTGCTTCTGACTTTGGGATTTTGAAAAGCAGCGCTGCCATTGTAAAAATCAAAAGACAGCTTCAAGATGTACTCAAATACTTTGCTAAACTGCAACAGAATAAAATGTCTTCTTAGCAGCTCGGTCTATAGTCACTTTAATTCAAGGTAAGAGATTGTTTCAGGTACAGTAGTTTTAGTAAGTGTTGAAAATCATAAATAGCCTACACATACCAAGAAACTATTTTAATCCTTTGACATATTTGACAGGCTTTTCCAAATCAAATTTTAGCTTACAAATTGTCTTTTTTTTTTGTTTGTTTGTTTTTGTTTTTGAGACAGAGTCTCACTCTATTGCCCTGGCTGGAGCACGGTGGTGCGATCTTGGCTCACTGCAACCTCTGCCTCCCAGGTTCAAGCAATTCTCCTGTCTCAGCCTTCCAAGTAGCAGGGATTACAGGTGTGTGCCACCATGCACGGCTAATTTTTGTATTTTTAGTAGAGACGGGGTTTTGCTATGTTGGCCAGGCTGGTCTCGAACTCCTAACTTCAGGTGATCTACCTGCCTCGGCCTCTCATTAAGTGATGGGATTACAGGCATGAGCCACAGCACCCAGCCAAAAAATTGTGTCTTTTTTGACCTCTAACTTTTGGATGCTATAGAGTGCCAATGCAGCATATAAAAGAATAAGAAACAGAATTTTTTTTTTGTTGAATTACATGGAAAGCATTGTCAAAAATGTTTGATCTTCAACTTAATATTTTAATAAATGTTATTAATGTTTATTTCAAAATGTATGAAATTTCCTTTTTTTTGAGACGGAGTCTTGCTCTGTCACCAGGCTGGAGTGCAGTGGTGCAATCTTGGCTCACTGCAACCCCGCCTCCCAGGTTCAAGTGATTCTCCTGCCTCAGTCTCTCAAGTAGCTGGGACTACAGGCACACACCACCACGCCCAGCTAATTTTTTTTTTCCTTTTTTTTCTTTTTTTTTTGAGGCGGAGTCTCCATCTGTCACCCAGGCTGGAGTGCAGTTGTGAGATGTCGACTCACTGCAGCCTCTGCCTCCAGGGTTCAAGTGATTCTCCTGCCTCAGCCTCCCGAGTAGCTGGGATTACAGGCGCCACACCCAGCTAATTTTTGTATTTTTAGTAGAGATGGGGTTTCACCAGGTTGGTCAGGCTGGTTTTGAACTCCTGACCTGACCTGGTTTTGAATTCCTGAGCCCGCCTCAGGCTCCCCAAGTGCTGGGATTACAGGTGTGAGCCACTGCGCCTAGCCTAATTTTTGTATTTTTAGTAAAGACAAGGTTTCACCATGTTGGCCAGTATGGTCTTGATATTTTGACCTTGTGATCCACCCGCCTTGGCCTCCCAAAGTGCTGAGATTACAGGCGTGAGCCACCGTGCCCAGCCAATGTATGAAATTTCTAAAAATCTAATTTATCTGAGTATATCTAATTGTCATAATTATGGTTATTATGACAAATTATTGTAGGCTGAAGACATAATCGATTTCTTTTATTTGTTTCTTTATAACCATTTTTTTTTTTAAGACGGAGTTTCACTTTTGTTGCCCAGGCTAGGGTGCAGTGGTGTGATCTTGGCTCACAGCAACCTGCACCTCCCAGGTTCAAGCGATTCTCCTGCCTCAGCCTCCCAAGTAGCTGAGATTACAGGCATGCACCACCATGCCTGGCTAATTTTTGTATTTTTAGTAGAGAAGGGGTTTCACCATGTTGATCAGGCTGGATGGTCTCGAACTTCTGACCTTGGGTGATCCACCCGCCTTGGCCTCCCAAAGTGCTGGGATTACAGGCATGAGCCACCGTGTCTGGCCTCTTTATAACCATTTTTTTTTTTAAGACGGAGTTTCACTTTTGTTGCCCAGGCTAGGGTGCAGTGGTGTGATCTTGGCTCACAGCAACCTCCACCTCCCAGGTTCAAGCGATTCTCCTGCCTCAGCCTCCCAAGTAGCTGAGATTACAGGCATGCACCACCATGCCTGGCTAATTTTTGTATTTTTAGTAGAGAAGGGGTTTCACCATGTTGATCAGGCTGGATGGTCTCGAACTTCTGACCTTGGGTGATCCACCCGCCTTGGCCTCCCAAAGTGCTGGGATTACAGGCATGAGCCACCGTGTCTGGCCTCTTTATAACCATTTTAAGTCATTTCCACAGTTAATGGTCTAATTCTAATGCAGTTTCTCAAAACTCCAAAAGCTTGCAAAATTGTAAAATATAGTGTCTTTAAGGAGGTTTATGAAAGTATGGGTAAAGTCGAGTATAGGTTTCTGATCAGTTTGGGATTAATTGTTTGGACTGGGTAAGGACTCTGAGAATCCTAATGAAGAGATTGATTCTTATAAAACTGCTAACCCAAGCAAAACAAAGATTAATTAAATATTAGAAAAATATTCTGCCACATATTGTGTTAAATCAGCCAGTACTGAAGTTTTTTAGACATGCCATTTGAATGAACTCTGTGGCCTAAGTCAAATTACCTATGATAACCCCTCAGTTTTCAGTGCTGTGCACCTAAATTGTAGAAACCTGGTATTTAAGAGGACAAATTTAATGTTAAGTGTGGACTCTTGGAGAACCTAGACAGCCAACAGCTACTTGTTCATTCCTGAGTTCTTAAAGCTTCCATTATTAACAGCTCTGCATTCCATTACTCATCACAGAAGAGATAAAATAATCTAAATTAAATATAAATTAAGTTTGTGGTGACTCTTCTAAATTACTAAAATAGGTTAAGACCAATTTTTTTTGTCAAGCATATAATCCCAATAAGACAATCAAAACTTCTTGTACATTTCTGCTACCTGATGAGCCATTTAAACATTTATACAGAAATTTTATTTAATTGTCATTTTAATGCATGTTTTCTTGTATAAAAGTTTTCTCATGCAAGAGGGTTGATGTTATAACAGTAACTAAAAGGATATTAGGATACATGTTTTCTCATATCTTCAGTGATAAAGATACTTATTTCTCTAGACAAGTTGTAAAACTGTTAAACAAGATATTAGGCTGGGCATGGTGGCTTATGCCTGTAATCCCAGCAGTTTTGGAGGCTGAGGTGGGTGGAACACTTGAGGTCAGGAGTTCAAGACCAGCCTGATCAACATAGTGAAACCCCGTCTCTACTAAAAATTACAAAAAATTAGCCGGGCATGGTGGTGCATGCCTGTAGTCCCAGCTACTCGGGAGGCTGAGGCAGGAGAATTGCTTGAACCCAGGAGGCGGAGGTTTCAGTGAGCCGACATCACACCACTGCACTCCAGTCTGGAGATAGAACAAGACTCCGTCTCAAAAAAAAAAAAAGATAGATACAGTAGTATTGAGCAAAACTAACTAAATTGACTGGATTGCTTTTGTAATTGCAGATTGATGACATATCAGATCCATTTAGAGTGGAAAAAATATGTTGGCCATTTAAAAATAGTCATTGGAAGGCCTATGCACCTAAGAGAACCTCATGTATCTTCTGCTACTGAAGTCTAATATTACTAAATTCAAAAAGGCTTTAATGCATTATGACAAAGCATATGAAGAAAGCCTTAAGGTGAAGAAAGCCTTAATAGTCTACTGACTGTGGACAGTAAAACCCTTTATTATCTAGAACCCAGAGATTGAGTCTGCCTGCCATGTACACTGAAGCAAGACATCAAGACTTTGAAAGCTGGGTTGATAATCTCACAACTTAGAAGGGCCCCTCCAGACTCTTTAATTGTAAACCCATAGGAGATCTTAAAGCTAACCAGAAAGATTTCTCCTAAAAAGCAGATGGATATCTTTATGTAGATAGCTTTTTTAATAAGATCAAAAATCAAGACACATTTGCTATCATGATACTCTTAGTTAAGTTTGTTTATGGCTCTACAAACAATAGAAATTTAAAAAGCATCTTTTGTGTGCACTCATTGGGTATACTTATATGTAGAGAATTTTGCAGCCAACGTGTGAAAAAACATAACATCTTTTATAGGTAAAAAATGAAAGGCAGGCCAGGCACGGTGGCTAATGCCTGTAATCCCAACACTTTGGGAGGCTGAGGTGGGCAGATCATGAGGTCAGGAGTTTGAGACCAGCCTGACCAACATAGTGAAACCCCATCTCTACTAAAAATACAAAAATTAGTCAGCGTGGTGGTGCACTCCTGTAATCCCAGCTACTCGTGGGAGACTGGGGCACGAGAATCGCTTAAACCCGGGAGGTGGAAGTTGCAGTGAGCTGAAATCGCGCCACTACCCTCCAGGCTGGGCTACAGAGCGAGACTTCGTCTCAAAAAAATAGAAGAAAAAAAAAAAAAAACTGGAAGGCCAATATGGGTGAGAAATTTTAATGGGACATTTGTTGTCTCATCAGAAACAGAATGTGTGTCCACTGCTCTTAACCTATTTCACAAGTTAAAGAGAACTTATTCAAAATAGGTTAAAGAGCATTGCCAGGGTGCCATTACTTTTCTAAATGGGCATCCTTTGATAGGTCTTTTTTCCCCCTGGTTTAGAGTAAATGAGGCAATGGTTAGAAATGTATCCCCTATCATAGGGCTTTATAGCAGATTGCACTGTAAAGGCTATGGTTACACAATAGACTTTAAATTTTTTGCTAAAGTTGTGCTGAATCATATAATTTCTTTGGATTACTTACTGTATAAACAGAAGTGTCTGCAGTTGCTAATTCTTGTAGTTGCACATGGAGAAATACATTGGGTATTACAGAGATGCAGTTGTAGGGGATTAATGAACAGGCTGTTTGGTTAAAATAAGTAGACTATAGCTAATTATTTGATCTATGTAATGTTAGTTGGTGGTTCATGAGGACCCTGGTTAAAAAGCACGCTTCAAACTCTTCGTATTATCCTCCTGGTAGTCAAAATAGTAGTCTCCCTGCTGCATTGTATTCTCAAAAGTTAGAAATGTTTTCATGCAATCACCTGTAGAATATAAAATTGTCTCTCACTAACTGGAATGACAGAAACTCAAAGACATATGTAACTATGATGAAACCATAACCTAGGAATGACATAAGAACAAAGACCCTAAATAATGGAAACAGTGGTACTAAGGCCCTGAGTTTTGGTTACACTGTGCACTGTTGAAAATTTTTTGAACAAAATTATTAGAGGCCATCATTCTGGACTGAGCTTGTGCACTAGGTCCAAACAGACAAAATCAAACTGAAAATTTAAGGAAATAGGTAGATTCTGTAGGTTTTGTTTTTCTTCTGTAAACAGCAGATCTTAACACAAGGGGTTTCCCTCTACTCAAACCTTTAAAAATAATAATAAAATAATAACCTGAATTTCTTGATTCCACTTTACAAAACCCATAGTTCTGCTATTTCACAGTGGAATCTGAGACTAAGTACATTTTTGATGGTGACAGTGTTATCAATGTCTAAAGTTTTGGTCTATCAAAATTTAGAAGATGACCAAAAAAGGAGAAATTGTTTAATTATACCCTAAATCTACCCCCTTTCATGTTTAAGTTTGGTCAATAAGTTTTTTTGTTGTTTTGTTTTGTTTACATAGTAAACTGAAACCTAACTGAATGTGTAAATAGACTGTACTCATTTTTGTACCAACAACTGTGTTTTGGCCAATAAAAGGATGTCAAATGTTCAAACCATGTTTAAATAAGGAAAATCCCAAGCTGTAATCAATCTAGCTGTTCCTGTATTTCACTTCTATTTTCTGATGTCACCTTGCTTCTTCTGTCCATAAATCTTTCACCATCATGTTGCTGTGCTGGAGTATTTCAGAGCCTACTTTGGATCCACAGGCTACTCAATTTGCAAATCCCTCTTTGCCCAATAAAACTCTGTTAAATTTAGTTTATCTAAAGTTGTTTTTCTTTTTCTTTTCTTTTTTTTTTTTTTTTTTTGAGACGGAGTCTCGCTTTGTCACCCAGGCTGGAGTGCAGTGGAGCGATCTCGGCTCACTGCAAGCTCCGCCTCCCGGGTTCTCGCCATTCTCCTGCCTCAGCCTCCCCAGTAGTTGGGAATACAGGCGCCCGCCATCACACCCGGCTAATTTTTTTATTTTTATTTATTTTTATTTTTATTTTATTTATTTTTATTTATTTTTATTTTTAGTAGAGACGGAGTTTCACCGTGTTAGCCAGGATGGTCTCGATCTCCTGACTTCATGATCCGCCCGCCTCGGCCTCCCAAGTGCTGGGATTACAGGCGTGAGCCACCATGCCCGGCCCTAAAGTTGTTTTTCTTTTAGAAGTTTTCAAATGTATTCTCTGATCAAAAATGAATAATCTGTTGTTGGGCTTTGATTTTCTAAACTCATCCCTCAGCTATTTTTCCAAATTATTCTATGTCCTTTCAAAATGTTTCTGCAATTTTTTTGAGATGGGGTCTCATTCTATCACCCAGGCTGGAGTGTAGTGGTGTAATCAATTATGGCTTACTGCGGCTTTTACCTTCCATACTCAAGCCATCCTCCTGCCCTAGTCACAGAGTACCTCGGACTACAGGCATGCAACATCATGCTTGGCTAATTTTTTTTCATGAAGACAGGATTTTACTATGTCGCCCACGCTGTGTTTGAACTGCTGAGCTCAAGTTATTCTCCCATCTCAGCCTCACAAAGTGCTAAGATTACAGGTGTGAACCACCATGTGCTTCTGCAATTTCTTGACAGGATTATTTCCAATAATAAACAGTACTATGTGGGCACAAATCTAAAAAAAAAAAAAACTGTCTTCTTTTGCAGAAGTGTCACTCTCCAGAATTTCAAGGGTCTGTGGCAGTTACTCTAGTAATATAGTTTGATCTATGGAGGTGCCTGAGCTTTGGAGTCAGAATTTATCCTGAGGTTCAGCCCAGCCAATTAGTAGCTTTGGGTCTTTGGACAAGTTTCTTCATGTGAAAGAGTTGTATAAACCACATATGCAAAAAAGGCAGAATGATACTAATTGCAGAAATTGCAGCAATTTTTCATCCCTCCTATATCCTTTGCCACGTGCTTTTTTACAGCCGTTCCCATTGAGATATGGAATCTGTTTTCCAGACCCTAGATACGGCTGACCTTATTTCCTCAGGTCAGTAGAAACCTGTGAACATGACCGTGTGCCAGTTTGGGGCCTAGGCTCAAATGGTCTTGAATGCTTCTGCTTTTCTTTCAGAATGCTGCCCTCTCCATGAACAAAGCACATGTTAGCCAGCTGGAGGATAACATAACATGGTGGGTGGGGAAGAGAAGCAAAGTGCCTCTGTTGACAGAAGCAGAAGCTCACCCCCAGAAGCAGAAGCTTACCCCCAGAAGCACAGCTTCCTAGTCAAGAAGCAGTTGTTGATACATGTCTGAAGGAGCTCAGCTGGGACCAGAAGAATGGCCCCAGTGAGCCCAGCCTAAATGGCTGACCATCTCAATTATTACCTAATAAGTTTTGGATGGTTGGTTATGCTGCAATAGCTAACTAATACATGCACCCAGTGCAGATAGGTGCCATGATTTAATGACAGGTTGATTACTAGTTACCTTCTAACAGTGGGCTCCATAAAGGTACTAATATTTTCCCCTGATTTAAAGTTAGATGTGTTGTAAGATAATGTTGAGTAACGCTGCAATACATGTAGATATGTATGCATGTGATTGGTCCTTAGTCCCCGCACGCACAGGAGAAAACGTAAAACTACATCCTGACACTTAGGGCCAAGGCCAAATAGCAAAATAATTTTGCCTTTAATCTGTTTTCTTCATATCTAACATTGGAGGTCCAGACTGTGGACAGATCTGAAGACATAGAGTTTTCTTCCCCTGTGGCCCCATCATCCTTTGTTCAGTGTCTGATCTCTGGAAGAAAGGTGGTCACCAGATAGTGATCTACCTGTGGTTATTCTGCTTTTTCTTTTCTTTTCTTTTCTTTTCTTTCTTTCTTTCCTTTCTTTCCTTATTTCTTTTCTTTCTCTCTTTTCTTTCTTTCTTTTTCTCTCTCTCTTTCTCTCCTCCTCCCTTCCTCCTTTCCTTCCTTCCTTTCATCTCACTCTGTCACCAGGCTGGAGTTCAGTGGTACGATCTCGGCTCATTGCAACCTCCACCTCCTGGGTTCAAGCGATTCCCCTGCCTTAGCCTCCCGAGTAGCTGGGATTACAGGCGCGCGCCACTACTCCCAGCTACTTTTTTTTTTTTTTTTTTTTGTATTTTTAGTAGAGACGGGGTTTCACTTGTTGGCCAGGCTGGTCTCAAACTCCTGACCTCAGATGATCCACCCGCCTCGGCCCCCCAAAGTGCTGGGATTACAGGCGTGAGCCACCGCGCCCGGTCTATGTTCTTTTGATTTGTGAATATTCATATAGCGTATTATTTATAAATACATATGATCTTACACAAAAGGTTAAAGTCAGTACCCTCTGGGGTGGGCCTGTCTCAGTTCAGGGAGGAAGTCCTGCCCGAAAAGGCTGCAGCCTACGCTGTCACTCTTCATTCAGTCCAGCATCTGATCACATCTGTCACTCAGGGCCTGAGGGGGCGGGGCCTTAAACGTTATCCAATCGGGGACACTGGGCGGGGGGCCGTCCAATCAGGCCCGCAGCTGGAGCAGACAGGGCGGCTTCCGGGATTTGGCGCGGCCTTTGTTTCTCGCTGCCGCCGAAGCTCCAATTTTCGTCTGTCTGCTTTGTGTCCTCTGCACGTAGAAGCCCAGCCTGTGTGGCCCTGCGACCTGCGGGTATTGGGAGATCCACAGCTAAGACGCCAGGGCCCCCTGGAAGCCTAGAAATGGTGAGAGTGCCGGTCCGACATCCCGAGAGAGGGAACGGGGCTGGTTGGAACCGGTGGGAAGCGGCTGTGGCGGGACCCAGGCCTCCCCGCAGTCAGCTTCACAATCTGCGCCCAGAGTTCTTGCCCAGCTCGGCCTCAGTCCCCTTCAGCCATACGATGGCGGCCGCGCTGACAGCCGGGGCCCCGGCGTCCTGTCTCTTCCCTGCACTGTGACTGTGCCCTGCCCTGGAGCCCTCTCTGGGCAGCTCTGCACCCGCAGCGCTGCGTCTCTCCCAGATTATGCAGGAACCAGAGAGGATCGTCAGAGGAGAATCCTGACTCGGGCTGCGGGTTCATGAATGGGAAGAGCTTTGGTCTGTGGCGTTCCCAATTCCTCTTTCCTTCTGTTAAAAATTTATGGGAGTCATCACCAAAATATTAAAGAATTTAATTAAAGAATGATTCTAAAATTGTAGAGCACCCAGTTATGGGGTGTAGCTTGTTATCCATGGGACGGGCTTGAAGGAAAGACTTTCATAAGATGCATGATGCAAAAACCCAAATTCAGTAATCGGTTAGGTACAGTTACATAGTTTCTAAATTTGCACCTTGAGCGTACAAATTTTCTGGTTATGTAATCAGAGCTTAATAGGCAGTTTATAGTTTGTTACGCCTAAATTTTGTTTTCCTTAATGTAGTAATTTACAAAAAAATACATTTGAGTTACATTTTTTTTTAAAGTAGGAATCCAGGCATCGCAGCCACGTACCTCGAATTGCCTGTCACTTAACTATTTTCACACTCCACAGGAGACTGATCTTCTGCATTTTTTTTTCATGTTTCTCAAACGGGGTCTCAAGTCTACCCCTCAACCCCCATTCCTCCAGCCTAACTCTGTCTTGCAGTAAAATACTAAATTTCCAGTTTCTTCTGATTATCCCAAATGCCAACTTTCCCTCTCTAATTCACATTATTATCTGTTTGTCCTTTAGGGTACATTTTTGATACTGTATTTTAATTATTTTTTTACAAACCATTGGGTGGGACATTTAAAAAGATTTGTTTTCTGTTTGTAAATATCGCCCATGAAAATAAACCAAAACTAATTCCCTGACACTGTATTGTAAAAAAATCTCTGTGCCTCTTTTTCTTTTGTCTCCCCTAGGCACAGAGATCTTGTGAAAGTGTTTTGGGGTCAAGTTTGTTTTTTGTTTTTTTTTTTTGTTTTTTTAATTTTTATGGGATGATGTATTCTCAGCCACCCTTTAGTTTTTTCCTGGTCCTGGTTTTCAGTACTGGCTGTGAATAAACCAGGGTACACACCATGGCTATGTCTGCTAGAGTGTTTGATGATTATTAGCTTCTGGGTCATTTTCTCTCACAGGACAACAAGAGGTATGAAGTGTAGTCTCTCAAGAGAGCAGGTGGATGCCCTGGGGCTAAGAGGAATCTCCTGGTGTCTTTGAAAAGCTAACCACTTCAGACATTAACATTGTCTTCACCCAACCTAGCTTCCCTTTCTTAGAGACACATTGCGGGTCAGCCAATCTTATGCGGGTATTGAGGGAAAAACAGAAGTGATTTCTGCCCCTCGGATTCTCTGAGATTCATGGAAAAAATAGTATCCAAATGGCAGATTTTACCTATTCTTTTATTTGGTAGCATTCTACAACCAAATGTTGTAGATAATGGGTGAGTTACAAGATTTATGAAATCATCGGTTGTTATTTTTGCAGGGTAAATTTGTGACAGTGAATATCTCTGTTCTCTATCCTGTTATCTTAATTTCTGAGTTTAATGCTAAATTTTATAAAAAGAAAAAGAATCATCTGCAAACAGAGATTGTTTTAATTTCCTCTCTTCCTGTTTGGATGTGTTTTATTTCTTTCTCTTGCCTGAATGCTCTGGCCAGGACTTCCAATTTTATGTTGAATAGTGGGGGTGAGAGAAGGCATTCTTGCTCCAGTTTTCAAGAAGGAATGTTTCCAGCTTGTGTCCATTCAGTATGTTGGCTGTGGGTTTGTCATAGATAACTCATTATTTTGAACTATTTGCCTTCAATGCCAAGTTTGTTGAGGGTGTTAAACATGAAGGATATTAACTTTTATTGAAAACTTTTTCTGTATCGAAATAATTTTGTGGTTTTTATCTGTAGTTTGTTTATCTGATTAATCAAACATATTGATTTGTGTATGTTGAACAAACCTTGCATCCCAGGGATACAACCTACTTGATCATAGTGGATTAGCTTTTTAATGTGCTGCTGGATTTGGTTTGCTAGTATTTTGTTGAAGATTTTTACATCAGTGTTCATCAAGGATATTAGCCTGAAGTTTCCTTTTTTTGTTTTATCTCTGCCAGATTTTGGTATTAGAATGATGCTGTTGCCAGGAGCAGTGGCTCACGCCATCTCAGCACTTTGGGAGGCTGAGGTGGGTGGATCAGGAGGTCAAGAGATGGAGATGATCTTGGCCAACATGGTGAAACCCTGTCTCTACTAAAAATACAAAAAGTAGCTGGGTGTGGTGGTGCACACCTGTAATCCCAGCTGCTCGGGAGGCTGAGGTAGGAGAATCACTTGAACCTAGGAGGCAGAGGTTGCAGTGAGCCAAGATCGCGCCACTGCACTCCAGCCTGGCGACAGAATGAGACTCCGTCTCAAAAATAAATAAATAAATAAATAAAAAGAATGATGCTGCTTTTATATAATGAGTTGGGGAGGAGTCCCTTCTTCTCAATTTTTTAAAATAGTTTTGTAAGATATAATACTTGTTTTTCTTTGTACATTTGTTAGAATTCAGCTGTGAATCTGTCTGGTCCTGGACTCACTTTCTTTCTTTTTTTTTTTTTTTTTTCTCAGGCAGAGCCTCGCTCTGTTGCCCAGGCTGAAATGCAGTGGTGGGATTTCGGCTCACTGCAACCTCCACCTCCCAGGTTCAAGCAGTTCTCCTGCCTCAGCCTCCCAAGTAGCCAGGACTACAGGCGGGTGCCACCATGACCGGCTAATTTTTGTATTTGTAGTAGAGACAGTATTTCACCATGTTGGCCAGGCTGGTCTCGAACTCCTAACCTCAGGTGATCCTCCCACCTCGGCTTCCCAAAGTGCTGGGATTACAGGCATGAGCCAGCACAACTGGCTGGTCCTGGGCTTTCTTTTGGTTGGTAGGCTGTTTACTACTATTTCAATTTTGGAGCTTGTTATTGGTCTATTCACTGATTCATTTTGTTGTTTTTGTTCAGTTATGGGAAGATGGATTTTTCCAGAAATTTATCCATTTTTTTTTTTTAGATTTTCTAGTTTTCACAGAGAAGTTTGTAGTAGACTTCAGTACTTATTCATATTTTTGTGGGGTCAGTGGTAATGTCGCTTTTGTCATTTCTAATTGTGTTTATTTGGTTCTTCTTTTTTCACTAATCTTATTAGTGGTTTATTAATCTTATTAACTTTGTTATAAGATAATAAGATAAGTGGTTATTATCTTATTAAATTTTTCAAAAGATTTAACTCAATAGATTTCTTATTTGTATGACTTTTCATGTCTAAATCTCCATCAGTTCAGATCTTCTTGTCTTCTGCTAGCTTAGGAGTTGGTTTTCTCTTGCTTCTTTCATTCTTTTATTTATGATGTTAGGTTGTTATATTGACCTCTTTCTAACTTTCTGATGTGAGCATCAAAAAGTGCTATACATTTCCCTCTTACCACTGTCTTAGCCATGTTGCAGAGATTCTAGTATGTTGTATCTTTGTTCCCATTTGTTTCAAAAAACTGCTTAATTTCTACCTTAATTTCATTATTTATTCAAAAGTCATTCACATGCAGATTCTTTAATTTCCATGTAATTGTATAATTTCAAGTAGTTTTCTTTGTGTTGAATTATATATTTATCAAGCTGTGGCCTAAGAATGTGTTTGGTATGATTTGGGTATTATTAAATTTGCTGATAATTGTTTTATTTCTGATTGTGTGGTCAGTTTTAGAGTATTTGACACGTGGTGGTGAGAAGAGTGTATACTGTGTAGATTTCAGATGGAGAGTGTTGTAGATGTCTATTAGGACTATTTGGTCAAGCATTTAGTTCTGATATCTTTGTTAATTTTCTGCCTCAGTGATCTGTCTAATAGTGTCCATGGGGTGTTGTAGGAGTCAGAATCTAAATCTCTTCATAGTTCTCTAAGAACTTTGTGTGTGTGTGTGTGTGTATGACAGAGTCTTGCTCTGTTGCCCAGGCTAGAGTGTAGTGGCACGATCTCGGCTCACTGCAACCTCCGCCTCCCAGGTTCAAGAGATTCTCCTGCTGCTTCAGCCTCCTGAGTAGCTGGGATTACAGGAGTGTGCCACCATGCCTGGCTAATTTTTGTATTTTCAGTAGAGACCAGGTTTCACCATGTTGGTCAGGCTGGTCTTGAACTCCTGACCTCGTGATCCACCTGCCTCAGCCTCCCAAAGTGCTGAGATTACAGGCGTGAGCTGCCATGCCCAGCAGAACTTGTTTTATTCATGTGCGTGCATGGATTTTTAATAACATATTTTTTCTGTCTGCTTTTTTTCATAAACATTCTTTCAAGTGCATACCGTATGCCCAAGGCTACAGCTTAGATGTCTGCATCCAGTGTCTACTGAAGTTCAGATGTCCAGTGTTCAAGAACATGTCCAGAGACTTGGCTGTTGTAGAAAAAAGTATAAATTAAAGATAAGAGGCTTTATTCTCTTACGTGAAAGTAAGGGAGGATATTTTGTTCATCTCTCTTTTTTTAAAACATTTAGATTACACGTAGATAGTTTTCTCTGCTTTTTAGAAATATATGTAAATCATAGTAACAGCTATATAAACCTTTTGTTATTCTTTCTGACTCAGAATTGTCTTCATCTAGGACCTCAGAACCATTGCTTTGTTTTTGCTTTGGCAAAGGTTTTTTTTTGTTTTTGTTTATTTTCATTTTTAGTCTTTTAAAGTAGACACAAATTTGTTTAAAGCTTTTTTTTTTTTTTTTTTTTTTTTTTTAGACAGAGTTTCACTCTTGTCGCCCAGGCTGGAATACAATGGCACGATCTTGGCTCCTTGCAACCTCCACCTCCCAGTTCAAATGATTTTCCTGCCTCAGCCATTCAAGTAGCTGGGATTACAGGCTCCTGCCACCACCCTTGACTAATTTTTTTATATTTTTAGTAGAGACTGAGTTTTGCCATACTGGCCAGGCTAGTCTCAAACTCCTGACCTCAGGTGATCCTCCTGCCTTGGCCTCCCAAAGTGCTGGGATTACAAGCGTGAGCCACCACATCGGGCCGTTTAAAGCTTATTTTAAGAGCACACAAAAGTTGAGCACAAAGATAAGATTAAATTTAGCAACACAGAATGATAAAGAATAAAAAAGATACTGAGTAAACTTTTTTGACAGAAAACTGATTATCCAAGGTAATTATCTCATATTTGCAGGCTAAAGTACTTACACTGCAAAGGCAAGAACAGTTCAGTTTATTCACTAAATAGTGGAATCTGTAGGTGGACTTTGGTTTCTGTTACTTCAGAACAATTAGTATAGTTAGGTGTAGTGTTTGTAGACAACTTGCATTCACACAAATTAACATTTTGTATAATAGTATGAATATAAGGCTACAATATTTGAATAAATCCCTTTAGTCATTTTAATATTGTTATTTATACTCTTGAAATATAAAGTGTTTTAACTGAATTATGGTTATAGATATTTTTAAAGTTCTACATACATTATGACAAGTACATTAAAATTATTTATACTTAGATATTTATATCTAATATCCAAAGAAAATTCACTACAAAATTGTTACAGTTGTTATTAGTTTGACATGCTTATTAATTTATCCAATAGGATAATTATAGGTAAGCATTGTTTTAGTGTCTTTCATTTCACTGAATTTGAATGCTGCTTTTACAGGACAAATAAACATAATGGGCTATGTGACCACCCAAAACCATAATAGCTCTTCAGTTAGCTATGTTGCAAGCTCAAATATATTCCACTGTATAACAAAGTCAGATTCCAGTTTTTCATCAAAAAGTGCTGGTGAAAATTGTCAGATGTATTCCAATATAGATCCCCAATTCACTGGTTAGGAGATGGGAGAGCAGCAGACATGAAAAAGAAACCTTATAGGCCAGACACGGTGGCTCACGCCTGTAATCCCAGCACTTTGGGAGGCCAAGGCAGGTGGATCACGAGGTCGGGAGATCAAGACCATCCTGGCTAACATGGTGAAACCCCGTCTCTACTAAAAACTACAAAAAATTAGCCAGGAGTGGTGGCGGGCACCTGTAGTCCCAGCTACTTGGGAGGCTGAGGCAGGAGAATGGCCTGAACCCAAGAGGTGGAGCTTTCAGTGAGCCGAGATCGTGCCACTGCATTCCAGCCTAGGCAACACAGCGAGACTCCAAGACTCCATCTCAAAAAAAAAAAAAAAAGAAACCTTATAAAATTCTGCTGAGAACATGCCTTTTTTTTTCATAATGCTCATGTTTCTCATGCTGAGAGTAGCCATGCATTTTGAGTGTTTCAAGAAAAATTCCTTTTGGGGGACTATCTTCTGGCCAAGTTGATCAGTCTTACATCTAATCTGAGTTTTTTCTTAAGATGCTTTTAGCTTATTTTTTCTTTCAATATAATCTTGCTCAGATTGAGAGCTGTTTTTCTCTCCAATGCTTTGGGTGTCTGTTTCAGAAACCCTATTAGTATCCCATGGTCTCTGTGAATGAGGTGGGTTGTCACAGGGAGAATATTCTTGGAGTTATCTCTATCTGGATTCATGCTGGAAATCTAGCAGTACTTTTTTTTTTATGTCACCCTTATAAATAGAAACTGAGGGTGAAATACTGCTCCCATTCCCATTACTGTGAAGGTGCAGTTCTACCCAGGAGGCCTGCAGTCTCCTCTCCCTGCAGCGCAGGCTCCACTCTCTGATGTGACACTAGAGTACTGCTGTGGCATTGGGGTTCATGTAAGATGTGAACCAGCAGCTTTGAGCTGTGTGTTGTGGGCTGTGTTTCAGTGGAAGTTGGTAGGCGTAAAGAGAGGACACTGGCCACTAGGAGAACGCAAGCAGGGTGCTGCATGTTCTACATTCTGTGAGAGGTTCCGAGAGTAAATAGAATCTGATGGCCAAATCTGTAAATGTAAACAAGCATCTTAGGAGTGAAAGATCAAGGCTACAAAGTATCCAGAGCCATAACCACAACTATACCTACCAGTAAAATGCAAGACTGGAATACAGTATTGTTGTCCTTCCTCTTACTGAAGAGCTAGAATCAGGACAGGTGATCCAGGTTCTGGAGCTCGACCAGAGCAGTTCCATTTTTTATTTAGAATCAGCCTGAGTCTCTCCTGCCTGGCTTATCATTGGGCAATCAACCCAGGGTAACTGGGAACCCTCTCACAATTACCTAGCCATCTTTGAAACATTTGAGAATATCCAGAGCAGAATTTTATCAGGCTGACAAGAGTGGTTAATGCTACTTCTTTCTCAGTGTAAAAGAAATGAGTCATTCTGTGTTTGTTCCTCCCTCATACAAGAGATAATTTTGGTTGGTACTCAGATGATAGTTTCCCCAGTTTTCTTGTACTTGGGTGAAAAACAAGGAAGAGGTCTAGAAACTAAAACAGATAAACTGATTGCTTTCATTTCATATTATCATTAGAAAAATAGGTAGAGCAGTTATGGTTCTTATCATACAGAAACTTTTAGTCTAGACTAGTGATATGGCTTGGCTATGTCACCACCCAAATCTCATCTTAAATTGTAACTCCCACAGTTTCTACATGTTGTGGTAGGAACCCAGATGGAGGTGATTAAATTATGAGGGGAGGTGTTTCCTGCACTGTTCTCATGATAGTGAATGAGTTTCACAAGATCTGATGATTTTAAAAATGGGAGTTTCCCTGCACAAGCTCTCGTTTTGCTTGCCACCATCCACGTAAGATATGACTTGCTTCTCCTTGCCTTCTGCCATGATTGCGAGGCCTCCCCAGCCATGTGGTATTGTAAGTCCATTAAATCTCTTTTTCTTCCCAGTCTCTGGTGTGTTTTTATCAGCAGTGTGAGAACAGACTAATACAAAAAATTGTTACCAGTAGAGCCGGGCATTGATGAAAAGATACCTGAAAATGTGCATGTGACTTTGGAACTGGGCAACAGGCAGAGGTTGGAGCAGTTTGGAGGTCTCAGAAGACAGGAAAATGTGGGAAAGTGTGGAACTCCCTAGAAACTTGTTGAATGGCTGTGACCAAGATGCTGATAATGATATAGAAAATAAAATCCAGGCTGAAATGGTCTCAGATGGACATGAGGAACTTGCTGAGAACTGGAGCAAAGGTGACTTTTCTTATGTTTTAGCAAAGAGACTGGTGTTATTTTGCCCCTTCCCTAGAGATTTGTGAAACTTTGAACTTGAGAGAGATGATTTAGGTTATCTGGCAGAAGAAATTTCTAAGCAAGGCAGGTCTCTGTTGAGCCATGGATGCCAGTCTCTGTTCTGCAGGATAGGTTTTGTTAAAGTTGTTAAAAATAATGCCTATTTTAAGAGATAACAAATGAAATTTAGAGGACAAGAGGATAAAGCTAATTACTATTCTTGGAAATGCTTGATGATACAGGATAAAAATAAATACAACACACCCAAATACAGGATGATAGTTTTTTTGTTAGTTGGGTTTTTTAAAGCATAATGCAGGAGTAGATTTATTATAGCTACTCCAAATGTTGAAGAGTGATACAGTGACCACAGAGTTAAAAACTCTCACTGTTATTGCTGTTTATTTTACAATAATTGGTTTAGTCTACAAGTTTAAGGCAAACATACTAATGCATTTGCTTTTCTTCAGAAATCATAAAGATTACATAAAATCTGTACCAAAACTTCTAAGAAATATTCAGTAGTTAAAAATAAGTCTGATTAAGATGCTTTACCAGGATACATGAATGAACTAAGGTGGTATATAATGCTTTTTTAAAACAAAATTTTAAAAAATTCTGTTTTAAAGGCAATAAAGGCAATCTTTATCTTGTTTGAACAATGCATTCTGAAAAGGTTAAACTTCAGAAATTATTTAAAGGTAAATAAGATTGGCATCCATAAGGAATACTATTTATAAAATAAATGCAGTTATAGAGGCTACTTTAAAGAAGAATAAAACTTGGACTTCTGAGTATGATGAGTGCACAATAATGGGCCACTATCTTGGGGAACACAGTGCGGCATTACACCACACAGACTGGCATCGCCTGTACATGGTGCTGCTCCATGCTTCTCAGAAAAAGAGTAGATCCATTTTGTCAGCTGTTTTTTATTTGTTTCCAGTGAGCATAAATGCGTAACATCATTAAGAAAACAAAAATAAAATTTGAAGGAAGGCAGCCCTTTTCAACAGGAAGGCAGAATGTGGCTTATGTGTCTCCGTTTAGCACTGCCAGGCAGTTTGGCAGCAACTGTAGGTTACCCTTTGCATGCTTCAGTTCTAACTCTGCCAGTTCCACTAGTTTTTTTTTTTTTCTGAATGCAGCAATGCTTCTTGTCTTAAAATCTATAAGTTCTTGTTTTGCAGACTGAGATTTTTTTTTTTCAAATTTCTGACTACATAATTGTTGGGAAGTTTTAGCCAGCAGAACATCTTTATTTTTTGCTCTTGCTTTATCCAGTGCTATATTAGCATTTTCATAATCCAGTAGTGACCTAGACCTTCAATACAGGAGATCCTTAGCAGCTTGAGTTTCTCTTAAGTAATATTTTTAAGGGTCAGAAAGTTTGAGGTCCTCATCAGCAGACACTCATGCTTCTATTTTTCTTGTTTTATCAAACATTTCTGAAACTTTGAGAAAAAACTTGCGTATATCTGTAGAATCCCGAGTTCCTAAAGCATATAATGAAGAACCAATTCTATTGTAATAATCTGCAGCACTTTTGTGGGATCTTGTCCTTCTATGAGTTAGCAGATGCATCCTTATCTCGGTTATGATATTCTAAAAGAAATGTTTGTTCATGCTCAAAGAAATTATCTACATCCTTTACTCCGGAAATAATTACTCCATCTGCTGATTTAACCATGTTTTTAAAGAAATCTTCAAGTTTCTCTTTTTATTTTTCCTTGCACACTCAAATCTTGATTATATTCCAAGAAGACATGGAAATTTAAATATTTTCTCAAAATAGGATGTGCTGTCACATGACATAGGAACACTTCATGCATCACAACTGTGTTCTTGGATATTCCCAAATATTCAGCTTCCAGTTCCTGTTTCATCTTTGTGAATTCTTCCTTTGTCATTGACCCTTCTCCTTCTCCAAGCTTCTGTACTTTTTCCCTTGAAGCATCAAAATCAGCTCTTGGTGGTGCTGGTGGAATGATGTAACCTGCATAGTCTTCATTTTTAACAAAGGAATCATGAAGCCAGATAAATTGCTCATGTTGCTGAACAACAGAAAACTCATTTTGTTTAAAATTTGGCAATAAACTCTTTGTGTGAATGGTGAATTTTACTTTATTCCGCTCACTAAGAGCATCAGAAATGTCCACCAGCAGAGCAGGATCACTTTGAAGATCTACATTTATTGCTTTAAGTCCACAGTTCTCTTCCTGAGAGGAAGTTAGGGCCATCGTCCAGGTCTTCCATCCTGGCTGCTCCACAGGATGATAGTTTGTGTAACAAACAAATATTGTCAGATTGCTTATACCCGTATAGAAGAGGATGTGATATTACACACAGCATATGCTCGTAAACTGCCAAAATATGATGTGAAGGTTGGCCTAACCAATTACACTGCAATGTATTGTACTGGCCTGCTGCTGGCCTGCAGGCTCCTCAGTAGGTCAAGATCTGTGACCTATGGCATGGACAAGATCTGTGAAGGCCAAGTGGAGGTGACTGGCAATGAATACAATGTGGAAAGCACTGATGGTCAGCCAAGTGCCTTCACCTGCTATTTGGATGTAGGCCTTGCCAGAACTACCACTGGCAATAAAGTTTTTGGTTCCCTGAAGAGAGCAGTAGATGGAGGCTTGTCTATCCCTCACAGTACCAAACAGTTCCCTGGTTATGATTCTGAAAGCAAGGACTTTAATGCAGCAGTACACCAGAAGTACATCATAGGCCAGAATGTTGCAGATTACATGCACTACTTAATGAAGGATGATGAAGATGGTTACAGGAAACAGTTCTCTCAATACATAAACAAAAGCGTAACTCCAGACTTGAAGGAGATGCATAAGAAAGCTCATGCTGCTATGTGAGAGAATCCAGTCTATGAGAAGAAGCCCAAGAAAAAGAAGTGGAACCATCCCAAAATGTCCCTTGCTCAAAAGATCGAGTAGCTCAAAAGAAGGCAAGCTTCCTCAGAGCTCAGGAGTGGGCTTCTGAGAGCTAATCCAAACAATTTTCAATGAGGATTTTTTAGATGAAGAAAATAAACTTATTGACAGCAAAATTTTAAAAAAATTAAATTTATAAGCAGCAAAGCATTCAAGAGATTACTTGGGTTCTGTTAAGGGCATTCAGTTTTAAAATGGAAACAGAGCATAAAAGTTTGGAAAATTTGCAGCCTGACAATGCAATAGAATAGAAAACCTCATTTTTTGAGGAGAAATTTAAGCCAGCTGTGGGAAAAATGTTTCCAGTTCATGACAGAGGTCTTCTCTGCAGCCCCTTCCATCACAGGCCCAGAGGCCTAAAAGAAAAAGACGGCTTTGTGGGTCAGGCCCAGGGCTCCCCTGCTCTGTGAAGCCTAGGGACTTGGTATCCTGTATTCCAGCCACTACAGTCATGGCTAAAAGGGGCCAAGGTAGAGCTCAGGCTGTTGTTTCAGAGGGTGGAAGCCCCAAGCCTTGGCAGCTTCCATATTGTGTTGAGCCTGTGGGTTCACGGAAGTCAAGAATTGAGGTTTGGCACCCTCCACCTAGATTTCAGAGCTATATGGGAACCCCTGGATGGCCAGGCAGAAGTTTGCAGCAGGGGTGAAGGCCTCATGAAGAATATCTGCTAGGGCAGTACAGAAAAAAATGTTGGGTTGGAGACCCCACACAGAGTCCTTACTGGGGCACCGCCTAGTGGAGCTGTGAGAAGAGGGCCATTGTCCTCCAGATTCCAGAATGGTAGATCCACTGACAGCTTGCACCATGTGCCCGGAGAAGCCACAGGCACTCAACACCAGCCCATGAAGGTGGCCAGGAGGGAGGCTGTACCCTGCAGAGCCACAGGGGTGGAGCTGCTCAAGACGATGGGAACCCACTTTTTGCATCAGCATGACCCAATGCGGGACATGGAGTCAAAGGAGATCATTTTGGAGCTTTAAGATTTGACTGCCCTGCTTGATTTTGGACTCGCATGGGGCCAGTAGCCCCTTTGTTTTGGCCAATTTCTCCCTTATGGAATGACTGTATTTACCCAATGCTTGTATCCCCCCCCCCATTATATCAGGGAAGTAACTAACTTGCTTTTAATTGTACAGGCTCATAGGCAGAAGGGACTTGCCTTGTTTCAGATAAGACATTGAATTGTGGACTTTTGAGTTGATGCTGAAATGAGTTAAGACTTTGGGCCGGGCGTGGTGGCTCATGCTAGTAATCCCAGCACTTTGGGAGGCCGAGACGGGTGGATCACGAGGCCAGGAGATTGAGACCATCCTGGCTAACACAGTGAAACCCCATCTCTACTAAAAATACAAAAAAATTAGCCGGATGTGGTGGCGGGCACCTGTAGTCCCAGCTACTCAGGAGGCTGCGGCAGGAGAATGGCGTGAACCCGGAAGGCAGAGCTTGCAGTGAGCCAAGATCGTGCCACTGCACTCCAGCCTGGGTGCTGGAGCGAGACTCCGCCTCAAAAAAAAAAAAAAAAAGACTTTGGGGGACTGTTGGGAAGGTATGATTGGTTTTGCAATGTAAAGACATTAGATTTGGAGGGGCCAGGGGTGGAATGATATGGTTTTGCTGTGTCCCCACCCAAATCTCATCTTGAATTGTAATTCTCACAAGTCATGGGAAAAACACGGTGGGAGATGATTCAGTTATGGGAGTGGGTCTTCCCTGCGCTGTTCTCGTGATAGTGAATGAACTTCAGAATATATAATGGTTGTAACAACGGGAGGTTTCCTGCACAAGCTCTCTCTTTGCCTGCCACTATCTATGTAAAATGTGACTTGCTTCTCCTTGTCTTTTGCCATGATTGTGAGGCCTCCTCAGCCACGTAGAACTGTAAGTCCATTAAATCTCTTTCTCTTCCCAGTCTCAGGTATGTCTTTATCAGCAGCATGAGAACAGACTAATAAAACTAGCAACTGAATAAAGGTTGAATTATGCATCATATGGTAGGTAAATAAATGTGTGCAAAAAAAACTTGGGCTTTATTTCGGCCATGTTCTTTATATTGTTGTGACTTTTGGTGTTTTCACCTGAAGGAATATTTATGAACAGAAGGGTTGTTATGATTATTTGTATTTCTTTTACCTTACTAAAAATACATATTCATCTTTTAATAAAATTATCCGCGGAAACCTTAAATGATTTGTTTAAATGGCTTATTAGTATATGATATAAAATTGACAGGGAAGTGACTATAAAAGGTTTAAATTACACAAACTCTGAGATTTAAATTTCTCTTAGGTAAGCTTAGGAAAAACAAAACTGGAAATATCCCCATTGGCATACAGAACCAAATTCTAGCTAGGGTCCACTCCCTGCCCCAGTTCTGTTCAGATTTACCCCTTTTGAAGGCCTTATTTAAGTCTGGCCCTACCCTGGAGTCTCATCTCACAGAACTGATTAGAAAAGATCAGTTTTGGGTGATGAATCCTGTTCCATTTTTAGAGCTGGTGCTCACAATTTTCTGAAACAGAAAAGCAGATAAATGAGAAATATAAAGTATGAATTTTAGGGTCTTTTTAAAATTATTAAAACCAGTGCTTGCAGAGACATTTTATTTAGCAACTTGTTTTCCATTCCTGCAGATCTACTCGTTGCTCCCCAAGCCACAAGAAGTAAATATAAAAACAATAAAAATTTCTGTAAATTATATTAAACTCTTCATTTCTCTATTCCTCTCATCTGTTTATGTTTAGTTTTTATTCTACACATTTTTTTAAAAGGTCAATGACAGAGAAACAGAAAAAAATATGGATCATTTTTCTAAATACTGGGAATTATTGAACACTTAGTATCAACACACAGGGTGTTATTAAGATTAAATCCTGTAATGTGCTATCACAGTGCCCTGTAGCATCTTATTGAGCTTGTAGTACCTGAATAATAAACATTGCATTACTGCATGTGTATATGTTGTTTTCTAAATGCAGACTTAAACGTTGCTTTCTAAATACAAAAACAAAAAACAAACAAAAAACATTGTTGCTTTCTGTTTCTTCTGTAAACTTTAAAAAAGCCAGCAAAGATTATAATACTTTAAGGTGGAGATTGATTGTCTTTATTTGTACCAAAAGTGTTTGTATTGTCACAAGAGTGCTGAGTGTAATGAACTCTGTGCTGTGCCTGCTTGCTCTAACTAATGCTAATAATGACCCCAGGTGGAGAAACATCAGCATTGATAGGAAACTTGTTTATAACACCCATTCCTGTATCCTTTCAAAACCTGCAGAATCACATTTCATAGAGTAGGGCCAAAATTACCAAGTGATTTATAAGCTGTTAAAGCTGGAGAGGCAATGCTTAGTTAAATGGTTATAAGCCCAGGCTTCTAATTAGAATCATGTGACTCTAAGTTGAGGCCAGAATCAAGTATGAGGGTTCAAGATACATTTATGATAGTTAAGTCTCATCTTTGCACTAAAGGGTGGTCCCAGAACCTGTTCTGTTTGGGTTGCATAGGAACAGGGCAGTGTGGCCCACGTTTTTCTTAACTGTAGCAGAAATTGCTGGTGTCTGTGGCAGGGGAGGGCACCTGAGGACAGGAAAGGAGAAACATATTTTTACATCTGTGGAGCAGCTTATTGTTCCTCAATCTCTTCTGTTATAAAGGACAGAAATGGGTAGAGTTTTTCTGTATTGGTCCTTCTACCTATGAGTGTGGTGGTAGCAGGTAAAGATGTGGTGCTTACATTGTTAAGGCATATTCTCCAGATGCAGATGTAATTTGTTTCAAAAATCTCATCTGAGAAGAAATTCCAGAGAAAGACGAGAAGAGAAAAAATGGCTTTTTTTCAGCTAAACATGCCTTGGAGTAAGGGTTGTGTCCACTCTGCCTGCTAGAATGCCATGCCTTTAGTACTTGCCAAACTTTAATTCTCTACTTGTGCTTTTCCTCTTAAATGAGTTTGTTGTAACTACGTTTTAAAATTCTTATAATAGTCAAGGATCTCAGAGAAATATTTCTTTCCTATGTACCAGAGCCTTCTCTACATTCTCTACATCATGGCTTCTTATATGCCATGATTCTCACCATGAATTTATAATCTGCAATATTAAAAATGTTCCCTTTGTGGCTGTTGAACATGGGAAGGTGTGGATGCTCAAGATTCCTATTGGGGAAACGCCAGGGTTCTTAGTAAAAATAAAGACCATGTAATGTTGAGGTTCTGTCTGTGTTCTCCATCAGCTCTATGTAGAGAAGGATTAAGAAAATGCTTATTTAAACAGGGTGGCATTTATTACCCAGTAAGTTCTGAAAAAAATTATTAGGAGATACTTGTTCTCCATGGTGCTAAAGAAAGACTATTTAAAATAACTATTAACTATTAACAATTATAGAACATGGGAAATATCTGTATTTTGAACTTTGCATAAAACTGATGTTTCTTTGTAGTTAAATTCAGGCTGTAATTTACTTTTGGAGGGCCACTATTACAACAGTGATGCTGTGTCCTGTGTGCATCAGCACATCATAAAAATTTGCCTTAGTCCAGTTGATATTAGTAACTCACTTGATTAATGAAGCTGACAGATTTCTTCAATATGGAGTTAATTATTTTTCTCTTCATTAGTAGTTTCTTTATGCAGCTGATGTGCAGAAACCATCACATTTAATCTGGCAGCTGCCCTTCTTATGTTTTCTTTGCCTTTATCTGCCTATGGAAAATGAAAGCTCTAATGTTTGTTACAGGCCAGAAAAACTGGAAAAAAAAGACTACAGGCTCTTCCAGTTACTCCATATTTGACAAAATAGCCTTCTTGGGCCATAAATATTGGCATCACTGGTCATCTTGTGTTTTTTTTGTTTTTTTTTTGTTTTTGTTTTTTTGAGACAGTTTCACTCTTATTGCCCAGGCTGGATTACAATGGCACAATCTTGGCTCACTGCAACCTCTGTTTCCCAGGTTCAAGCAATTCGCCTGCCTCAGCCTTCCCGAGTAGCTGGAATTACAGGCATGCGCCACCATGGCCAGCTAATTTTGTGTTTTTAGTAGAGATGGGATTTCTCTGTGTTGGTCAGGCTGGTCCCGAAATCCTGACCTCAGGTGATCCGCCTGCCTCGGCCTCCCAAAGTGCTGGGATTACAGGCATGAGCCACCGCACCAAGATCCAGAAACTCAGGCTTTATTCCAGACCTTCTGACACAGACTGCATTAACAAGATCTTCAGTTTATTGTAGACATTACAATTTGAGCAGTACCTTCTAACTCAATGTGACTTTTCCATCTGAAAAGTTTACACAACTCTTTCTGTATGATGTAAATATACCACTCAAAAATGTACATGTTAGTGTTCATGTCTTACTTCATCATCTGGAAAAGTATCATATAAATACTGATATTTTGGATCTTATGCCAATCTCTTTTCTCAGAGTTAGAGTATATTTTCACAGAGTAGAGAATATTTCTGTGTTGAAGGTTATTAGATAATTTCAGTCACCCCTATAAGTAAGACCCAATTATATTTACTCTTATTTCACCTTGAGTGAAACTTAAAATTCTGCCCAGGGGCACTTGGTAAATATGTGTGTTTGTTTGTGTTTTTCAGGGAGCGTTGACATTTAGAGATGTGGCCATAGAATTCTCTCTGGAGGAGTGGCAATGTCTGGACACCGAACAACAGAATTTATATAGAAATGTAATGTTAGATAACTACAGAAACCTGGTCTTCCTGGGTGAGGATAACTTTAATATACAATTCCTAATATACCCTATAGATTTCATTTATTTTTGTAAAAATTCTGTGCTTTCAGATCCCGGGTTTTTTTCTTTTTCTTTTTCTTTTTTTTTTTAAGTCCTCAGGATTTGTCCCCTGCCCCTCTGCCCGGCCAGCCGCCCCGTCCGGGAGGGAGGTGGGGGGGTCAGCCCCCCGCCCGGCCAGCCGCCCAGTCCGGGAGGGAGGCGGAGGGGGGTCGGCCAGCCGCCCTGTCCGGGAGGGAGGTGGGGGGGCCAGCCCCCCGCCCGGCCGGCCGCCCCGTCCGGGAGGTGAGGGGCGCCTCTGCCCGGCCGCCCCTACTGGGAAGTGAGGACCCCTCTGCCTGGCCAGCCGCCCCGTCCTGGAGGGTGGGGGGGGGGGTCAGCCCCCCGCCCGGCCAGCCGCCCCATCCAGGAGGTGAGGGGCGCTTCTGCCCGGCCGCCCCTACTGGGAAGTGAGGAGCCCCTCTGCCCGGCCACGACCCCGTCTGGGAGGTGTGCCCAGCGGCTCATTGGGGATGGGCCATGATGACAATGGCGGTTTTGTGGAATAGAAAGGCGGGAAGAGTGGGGAAAAAATTGAGAAATCGGATGGTTGCCGGGTCTGTGTGGATAGAAGTAGACATGGGAGACTTTTCATTTTGTTCTGTACTAAGAAAAATTCTTCTGCCTTGGGATCCTGTTGATCTGTGACCTTATCCCCAACCCTGTGCTCTCTGAAACATGTGCTGTGTCCACTCAGGGTTAAATGGATTAAGGGCGGTGCAAGATGTGCTTTGTTAAACAGATGCTTGAAGGCAGCATGCTCGTTAAGAGTCATCACCACTCCCTAATCTTAAGTACCCAGGGACACAAACACTGTGGAAGGCCGCAGGGTCCTCTGCCTAGGAAAACCAGAGACCTTTGTTCACTTGTTTATCTACTGACCTTCCCTCCACTATTGTCCTATGACCCTGCCAAATCCCCCTCTGCGAGAAACACCCAAGAATGATCAATAAAAAAAAAAAAAAAAAAAAAAAAAAAAAAAAAAAAAAGTCCTCAGGATTTGTCCATGTAGAAAAGAATTTCAAGATGTTTTATTTTGACCTGAACTTTCCACTTTCCTGAGCTGATTTGTTTCCTTCACTCTAGATTAGGATTAATTTTAGAAATTTAGTTGCAACATATTGTTGCTCACATCTTAAAATTTAATCACCATCACCAATTTTTGAATTAGTACAAAGTAGTTAAATTAAGAACCTATAAAATTAAAATATTTTTAAATATTTAGAAATTTCTTTTCTTTATTTTTTTTATTTTTTTGGAGACAGAGTCTCATTCTGTCACCCAGGCTGGAGTGCAGTGGCACAATGTCGGCTCACTGCAACCTCTGCCTCCTGGGTTCAAGCGATTCTCCTGCCTCGGCCTCTTGAGTAGCTGGGACTACAGGCGTGTGCCACCACACCTAGCTAATTTTTTCGTATTTTTAGTAGAGACAGGGTTTCACTATGTTGGCCAGGCTGGTCTTGAACTCCTGACCTTGTGATCTGCCTGCCTCAGCCTCCCAAAGTGCTGGTATTAAAGGCATGAGCCACCGTGCCTGGTCTATTTAGAAAATTTTTATAAATTATTATTTTGGGGTTAATTTACTAGAATATTCCATTACATTCTCTTTACTGAGAGCATTACTAAGTTGGTAATTGGAGAATATGAGCAAGATTCATGTTATTTTTCATAAAACAGGTATTGCTGTCTCAAAGCCAGACCTGATCACCTGTCTGGAGCAAGAAAAAGAGCCTTGGAATTTGAAGACACATGATATGGTAGCCAAACCCCCAGGTAGGTGACAGTAAATACAATACACAAAACTGATAAGAGATCTATAGTTTAAAAAAAGAAAAAAAACCAGTTTTTAAAATAATTTGGGAAGCTGTTTTACAAAGGAAATAGTTTCTGTTTCTTTTTATTTATTTTGCTTTTTATTTATTTTTTTTCCTCTCACATAGAAGCATCTTTTGTTTTATCTTTTTTAAAATCTCTAAAAATTCTTTCCCTTTGGTAATCTTACTTTACAGTGAGAGCCAAAGTCCATTTCATGGCATATAATAGACTGCACAATCTCACTGCTTTTCCATTGTTTCTGGAAACACACAGATATTTGAATAATTTTGAGAAACTCTATGTTGAACTATTTTTATTTTATTTATTTATTTTTTTTGAGACGGAGTCTTGCACTATCACCAGGGCTGGAGTGCAGTGGTGCGATCTCGGCTCACTGCAACCTCTGTCTCTCGGATTCATGTGATTCTCCTGCCTCAGCCTCCTGAGTAGCTAGGATTACAGGCGTGCATCACCACACCCAGCAAATTAAACTATTTTTTAAGTTATCTTTTTGCATTATGTCTGAAATGTGTGAGAATAGTGGTTTCTGTTTCATTTATTTATTGCTAATTTTTCTGCATATTCCATGCCGTTTTATTACTATAGTTTTGAAATATAGTTTGAAATTATACAGTATGATGTCCTCCTGCTTTTTTTTTTTTCTTTCAGGATTGCTTTGGCTATTCAAAGTTTATTGTAGTTTCATGTAAATTTTGGAATTGTATTTTCTATTACCTTAAATAACTGGAATTCTGATGGGAGTTTATTGAATCTAGAGACACCTTAGATAACAAGGCATTTTAGCCTGGGCATGGTGGCTCACACCTGTAATCCCAGCACTTTGGGAGGCTGAGGCAGGTGGATCATGAGGTCAGGAATTCCAGACCAGCCTGGCCAACATAGTGAAACCCTGTCTCTACTAAAAATACAAAAAATTAGCCGGACGTGGTGGCAGGCACCTGTAATCCCAGCTACTTGGGAGGCTGAGACAGGAGAATTGCTTGAATCTGGGAAATGGAGGTTGCAGTGAGCCAAGACTGTGCCACTGCACTCCATCCAGGGCAAGAGAGTGAGACTCTGTCAAAAAAATAAAAATTAAAAATAAGGCACTGCAACAATATTTATTCTTTCCATTAATAGACATAAAATATTTTTAAATTTATTTGTGTCTTCTCTAATTTTTTTAATTGATATATCTTTCATTTAAAATATTTTTTAGTTCCTTGGTTAAATTTGTTCTCAGAAATTTATTTTAGTGCTATTGTAAATAAGGTTACTTTCTTTCTATATTTTATCAGATAGTTTAAGTGTATGGAACCATAACGTATAGTTGTATGTTAATTTTCTATTTGCTAATGTATTGAGTATAATTATTACTTTAATCAGGTTTTAATGTACTGTTTATGGTTTTTTATATATAAAGTCAAATGCTCCAGAACCAGCAGCTTCTTACTTGTCTTCAATGTCAGTGACTTTAAAAATTTATTTTGACTAATTTTTCTGCCACGTACCTTCAGTGCTATGTTTAAGTAGAAGCATTGAGAATGGGCACAATATAGTTTTGCTTTGTTCTCTGTGAATTTTAAGAAGCAAACACCTCTTCAGGTTTTTATAAACTGGCTTCAAGATGTAAAGATATTCTTTTGTTGGGTGCCCAGGGTGATAGAATGCCCTCTGGGCTTATAGTGGAGAGGGGTTGTAGCTTGGTAACAAGGCTGCTGGGTCTTCACTGGGGTCCAACTTTAGTTGACTTGTTACAAGGGGCTTGGGTAGTTATAATTCCCATTATATTTTTGGGCAGAGTGAATATCCTTTAGGACTTTGCTCTGTAGGGTAGACACTAGGGCAGGTTTCTGCAATTGGTTGTGCATATATGGTGGGCTTTATATCAAAATGTAGATGAAAATGGCTTTCACGGCCGGGCGCGGTGGCTCACGCCTGTAATCCCAGCACTTTGGGAGGCCGAGGCGGGCGGATCACGAGGTCAGGAGATCGAGACCATCCCGGCTAAAACGGTGAAACCCCGTCTCTACTAAAAATACAAAAAATTAGCCGGGCGTGGTGGCGGGCGCCTGTAGTCCCAGCTACTTGGGAGGCTGAGGCAGGAGAATGGCGTGAACCCGGGAGGCGGAGCTTGCAGTGAGCCGAGATCCCGCCACTGCACTCCAGCCTGGGCGACAGAGCGAGACTCCGTCTCAAAAAAAAAAAAAAAAAAAAAGAAAATGGCTTTCACTGGGTACCAGAAAGGATTTCCCCAGGTCTCTGTGTGGGTTTCCATGTAGGTAGAGCTGACCATGAACTGTGGCTCAAAGAGCTGGAACTGAGTCATGCAAGTGCTTCGGGGAAGACAATAAGGACCAAGGTCTGCAGTCTTGTCTGTGTGGCTATAAATGAGTGTCTTTCTCCAGGCCTCTGAAAAGGCAGGACCTCTTCCAGACTTTGGCTGGGAAGAGTTTTGGATGGTTTCAGAGTAAGTTCAAAATTCTCAGTGGGACCAAGTTGGGTGGATAATTTTCTGGTCTGTAGCCAAGAACAGGGGTCCTGTTGTTTGCCACCTGAATGAAAGCCTGCCTTCTAAAAAGGATGCTCCTCAATCTTGGGCATTAGCAGAGTTTCACAACTTCCTTCCTGAATCTCAGAGCTCTCTTAAAGGCACTTATTTTGGAGATGGGGTCTTGTTACATAACCCAGACTAGTCTTGAAATCTTTGCCTGAAGCAATTCTTCAGCCTTAATGTACCATGTAGCTGTCATTACAGGTTTGAGCCATGATGCCTGTTTCTCTCATAAAGGCATTTTTTTTCAGGGATTGCTGACAGATTTTCTTGCTGTAGGAAAATAAGCAAATAGGGCACCTTTTATTTTTCCATCTTACTGATGTCACTCTCCCTGTACATTTTTACTTTCTATTTCAATTTTGTGTGTAATTTTAGATTGAAACATTTAGGGAAATATACTAGAATTGACATGTTATGTCTGAAGTAAATTAGATAATTAGTAGGCAGGCAGGCAAAAAGAAATAGACAGGCAAAATGGAATTATAGGATTTTCACCCATGTTTGTCAGCCTATGTCTAAAAAATAACATGATTTATTCTCAAATATTTGGTTTATATATCAGAGATCCTAACTATATTCTGCAAAAAATATATTTTTTTTTCTTTATTTAGCATTGTAAAGCTATTCTTTGCTTCTAAGCTTGGATTACAGCAGTTTCATTTTGTGTATAAATAGCATATATTTAAAACTTAAAAATTATTTTTAGTTTCTTTTAAATGTTTATCAAAAGTTTTTCATAGAATCTTCTATTTATAATTATACTGCATTTTATCTGAAATTTTACTACCATATAGTGGATGCCAGTGATTCAAAATACCTTTCCTCCATGAGTACAGTTTCAGTCTAATATTGCATTATCTAGACAAACTCTTTTTTTGTTTTTATTTTTTGTTTTTTTCTGAGATGGAGTCTTGCTCTGTTTCCCAGGCTGGAGTGCAGTGGCACGATCTCGGCTCCCTGCAACATCCACCTCCTGAATTCAAGCAATTCTCCTGTCTCAGCCTCCCGAGTAACTGGGACTACAGGCACCTGCCACCATGCCTGGCTAATTTTTGTATTTTTAGTAGAGACAGGGTTTCACCTTGTTGGTCAGGCTGGTCTCGAACTCCTGACCTCAGGTGCTCCACACACCTCAGCCTCCCAAAGTGCTGGGATTACAGACGTGAGCCACTGTGCTCAGCTGACAAATTCTTTTTAATGCTACATCAACGTTGCATACCAGATTTTATGAGTAAGCATTTCTGTTATTATTGTTTTGCAGTTCCATATCAGTGTGTTTTTTCGGTGTGGGTTTCCTAATATCAGTTTATTGTGTTTGCTGGTTTTACAGTTTTAGGCGGTTTGCAACTCTGTTTGTACATATAAGTCAATGTGGGATATAATTAAGAGATAAATCAGCCATATGTTTATCACAATCAGATTATGTGTGTGTGTGTGTGTGTATGTGTGTATCTATAAATATGACCCCTACTTTGGTTATGGCACATCTTATATATTTTTTTTTCTCAGCAGATTTTCCATGGTGTTTTTTTCTTGTGTAAGTGAGTAGTCATGAAAGTAGTTTTATTTTCACCTTGTGTTTAATAATAAATATTTCCTTTGAGAAAAACACTTTTGTGACTTGAAGGTCATATTTGAAAAAATTTATAATTTTGTATCTTTTAATTTATTCTTTTTAAAAAATAGATTGGTTGTGGTGGCTCGTGACTGTAATCCCAGCACTTTGGGAGGCCAAGGTGGGCAGATCACTTGAGGTCAGGAGTATGAGACCAGCCTGGCCAACATGGTGAGACCCCATCTCTACTGAAAACACAAAAAATTAGCCGAGTGTAGTGGCGTGCACCTGTAATCCCAGCTACTTGGGAGGCTGAGACAGGAGAATTGCTTTAACCCAGGAGGCAGAGGTTGCAGTGAGCCAAAGTAGCGCCACTGCACTCCAGCCTGGGCAAAGCAAGACTCGGTCTTAAAAAAAAAAAAAAAAAGATGTAAAAACATATAACCTAAAATTTACCATCTTAAAACTATTTAAGGCCGGGCGTGGTGGCTCACGTCTGTAATCCCAGCACTTTGGGAGGCCGAGGCAGGCTGATCACAAGGTCAGGAGTTCAAGACCAGCCTCACCAATATGGTGAAACCCCATCTCTACTAAAAATACAAAAATTGGCCAGGCATGGTGGCCAGTGCCTGTAGTTCCACCTACAGGGGAGGCTGAGGCAGGAGAATCGCTTCAACCCAGGAGGCAGAGGTTGCAGTGAGCCTAGATTTTGCCACTACACTCTAGCCTGGGTGACAGAGCGAGATTCTGTCTCAAAAAAAAACTAAGTATTCATTTCATGGCCAGTCATGGTGGTGTTTCACATCTGTAATCCCTGGATATTAGGAGGCTAAGGCAAAAGGATCGCTTGAGCCCCAAAATTTGAGACCAGCCCAAGCAATATATGGAGACCCCATCTTTCCAAAAAAAAATTTAGGCTAGATGTGGTGGCTCACGCCTGTAATCCCAACACTTTGGGACGCCGAGGTGGGTGGATCATGAGGTTAGGAAATCGAGACCATCCTGGCTAACACGGTGAAACCCCGTCTATACTAAAAATACAAAAAAATTAGCCGGGTGTGGTGGCGGGCACCTGTACTCCCAGCTACTTGGGAGGCTGAGGCAGGGGAATCACTTGAACCCAGGAGGCAGAGGTTGTAGGGAGGTGAGATCACGCCACTGCACTCCAACGTGGGTGACAGAATGAGACTCCGTCTCAAAAAAAAAAAAACAATTTTAAAATAAACAGACATGGTGTTGTGCACCTGTTATCCCAGCTACTTGGGAGATTAAGGGGTAAGGATTAATTGAGCCTAAAAGTTTGACGTTGCAATGAGCTGTAATTGTGCCACTGCACTCCACCTTGTAATCTGTAGATTGCATTGAGCAGGATAGACACATTTACAATATTAACTATTTCAACCTTTCTACAAGAGCACAATCAAGAGTGTGTTAATTTTTATATATTTGTGAATTTTTTTAGTTTTTTTCTCATTATTTATAGTCTCATTCCATTTTGGTCATATAAAGTAATTTATACAATTTTAGTTTTAAAAAATTTGGTAAGACTTTTTTTTTGGCCTAGGACGTTGTCTATGAAGGAAAATGTTCTATGAGCTATTGATAAAAGTGTGTATCCTAAGGTTATTGATGGGTGCCCTCTATACCTTTGTTAGGAATAATTGTTTTATACTGCCTTCAAGTTGTCTGTTTTCTTACTAATATTCTGTCTTGTTTTATTTTTATTACAGAAAGTGCAATATTAAAGTATACAATAATTATATTGCTCTCTATGTGTTTCTTTTATTCTGTCGATATTTGCTTTATATGTTTAGAGCCCTAATGTGAGAGATATATATACTCACACATACACACACAGAAACAAACACACACACATACACAGAAACACACGTGTATATACAAATGTTTCATAGGTTCCCAGTGAATAAATCTATAATTTTTTGAGGTCCTATTTTGTCTCTTTAGAGTTTTGACTTCAAGTACATTTTATAAAACATGATAGTTTTTAACTTAAGATGTAGTTGCATAATATTATTTTGACCTCTTCTGCTCTCATTTGATTAATATTTGCATGAAGCATCTACTTCCATCTTCCCACTTTCAGTCTGTTTTTATCATTAGATCTCAAGTGACTTGTAGAAAGGCAAGTTGGATCTTGGTTTTTAAAATGTTTAATAAATCTATTTATTGAAAGTATGTCTCTTGGCCAGGCGCGGTGGCTCACTCCTGTAATCCCAGTACTTTGGGAGGCTGAGGCAGGCAGATCACAAGGTCAGGAGATTGAGACCATCCTGGCTAACACGGAGAAATCCCATCTCTACTAAAAATACAAAAACAAAAATTAGCCGGGTATGGTGGCGGGCGCCTGTAGTCCCAGCTACTTGGGAGGCTGAGGTGGGAGAATGGCGTGAACCTGGGAGGTGGAGCTTGCAGTGAGCCAAGATCGCGCCGCTGCACTCCAGCCTGGGTGACAGAGTGAGACTCTGTCTCAAAAAAAAAAAAAAAAAAAAAGTTTATCTCTCAATTTGAAAGTTAATTATATATATTTTTAAATAATTTTATGAAAGAGAAAGACTTACTGTTATTTTATTATTTTGATTCTTGCATTTTTGTCCCTCATTTTCTCTTTTTGTCTTTCTTTGTGTCTTTTTGATTTTTGTATTGATATGGTTTTACTAATTTCTTATTCTCTTTGTGTATCTATACAGATATTTTCTTTGTGGTACCTTGGGGATTACATAAAACCTCTTAAAAAAAACAAGAGTAGCCAGGCGTGGTGGCTCACGCCTATAATCCTAGCACTTTGGGAGGCCGAGGCAGATGGATCATGAGGTCAGGAGATCGAGGCCATCCTGGCTAACACGGTGAAACCCTGTCTCTACTAAAAACACAAAAAATTAGCCGGGCGTGGTGGCAGGCACCTGTAGCCCCAGCTACTCAGGAGTCTGAGGCAGGAGAATGGTGTGAACCCCGGGAGGCGGAGCTTGCAGTGAGCCGAAATAGTGCCACTGCACTCCAGCCTGGGGGACAGAGCGAGACTCCGTCTCAAAAAAGAAAAAAAAAAACAATATATTTTTGGTTTGGTAAAAAATTAACTTCAACTGAATAAAAAATTCTTCCTTATTACATCTGCCTTGAAATTTGTCATTGATGTTGCTACCATCTTTTTATGTTGTATATTTATTAACAAATGTTTATAATAATTGCTATGCTTTTATCTTTCAAATTTTAGAGAATAATTTAAAATGTTTTCTGCACCATTATGATAATGCTACAAAAATCCTTTTTTTATGTATGTGCATATTTTTCTCAGAACATAATTTGTTTTTGTTTGATTATATGGTATTTTCTTGAATCCTTTTATTTTCCGTTTCAGGAACTGCTTTCAGCATCTTTTATATGTTTGTGAAGTTTTATAAGTATATGCAGTGCCAATATACTTTTTCAGAATTTGGCTATTTTGGAACATCATTTTTTCATTTTTCAGGACAGATTTGCTGATGGTGTTACTCTCACTTGAAAGCTATTTTTTTTCCCAGGACTTTGACTGCATCACACAGTTTCTTTCCGGCCTACAAAATTTTTGTTGACAATTCACTGGTTATATCGTAAGACTATGTTTGTATATGACACATCACTTTTATCTTGTAGCTCCCAAGATGCTCTGTGACTTTTGAAATTGTGCTTATATATGTATTTGTTATAAATATTTTGTATGTATTCTAGTTTGTTTGTTAAGCTTCTTCATGTTTACATTATTTTTCTTACTGAGGGATTTTTCAGGTATTATTTCTTCTTGTATTTTTTACCCCCATAATTTCTATTTTTTAATTTTTTCAATATTTTTGTTCTTATCTTCATTTCTGATTTTCTGTAGTCTGTGTTCCTGTTTCACTCATTGAATATTCAATTTTTTATCAATTTTTAAAATTAATGTGTACATCTTTTCTATGGTTTCCTTCTGAAAATTTTATAATATTTTTGATGGAATTATATTGCCCTGTTTTGTATATATTGTAATCTTTAATTGAGATTTGGACATTAAAAAAATCTACCTGTCACAATCTTTATAATGTAGTTCTGTCCTGACATAGTCTAAAAGCAATCGTTTTGGCTAGACATTCTGGGAGTCTCTCACACATGTTCTTAAAATGTGTCTTGTCTAAAATTTTGTGTTTGCTTTTAGTTAAAGGAGTTTGTGTTTCTTCTTAAAAATCAGTAGGCCAGTTGTGGTGGCTCATGTCTGTAATCCCAGCACTTTGAGAGGCTGAGGTGGACATATCACAAGGTCAAGAGATCGAGACCATCCTAGTCAACATGGTGAAATCCCATCTCTACTAAAAATACAAAAAATTAGCTGGGCGTGGTGGCATGTGCCTGTAGTCCCACCTACTTGGGAGGCTGAGTCAGGAGAATCGCCTGAACCTGGGAGGCAGAGGTTTCAGTGAGCTGAGATTGCACCACCGCACTCCAGCCTGGGTGACAGAGCAAGACTCTTGTCTCAAAAAAAAAAAAAAAATTAGTAATCACTTGCTACATTTGTTCTCTGTCTGTGATACCACAGTCTCTCTGATGCTGTAAAACTTATTTTTTTGTCTCAGCAGGCTCAAATTGTCATTTTAAAGTATGCCACCATTTCTTTCAGAACTTTTTGTCATAAGAGATAGAAACCAGTGTCTAGAAAAGCCCCTATAAACCAGAAATAAAGATGTATGTGCCAGTATTTTAACTTGTCTTTTAAAAAGGAAACCAAGAGTTGGTAATTTACTTGTAAAGTCACTATGTTACAATGGAGGGGAGGAAGAGCTGTGTTGGGTAAAATGTAACAGACTTTCTTTTTTCCTCTATATAGCTCTTTGCATTGTGTTCACCTGGGGCACTGTACACACTCAACTTACTTTTTTACAAATGTACTTTGGATTTTTGTTACATTTATATGTTTATGAAGAAATTAGGGCCTGTGGTATTTTGCTATGCTATCTTGTTATGTAGTTTGTATAACTTTATAGGTTAGGTTTATAAACTATACTCAGTCTAGTACATGCAGTAATTTGTTATTTTTATTTCTTTCAGTTATATGTTCTCATATTGCCCAAGACCTTTGGCCAGAGCAAGGCATAAAAGATTATTTCCAAGAAGTCATACTGAGACAATATAAAAAATGTAGACATGAGAATTTACTGTTAAGAAAAGGCTGTAAAAATGTGGATGAGTTTAAGATGCACAAAAAAGGTTATAATAGACATAACCAGTGTTTGACAACTTCCCATAGCAAAATATTTCAGTGTGACAAATATGTGAAAGTCTTTCATAAATTTTCAAATTCAAACAGACATAAGATAAGACATACTTCGAAGAAACCTTTCAAATGTAAAGAATGTGGAAAATTATTTTGCATTCTTTCACACTTAGCTCAACATAAAAAAATTCATACTGGAGAGAAATCCTACAAATGTGAAGAATATGGCAAAGCCTTTAATGAGTCCTCAAACTGTACTACACATAAAAGAATTACTGAGAAAAAACCTTACAAATGTAAAGAATGTGGCAAAGCCTTTAACTGGTTTTCACATTTTACTACACATAAGAGAATTCATACTGGAGAAAAACCCTACCAATGTGAGAAATGTGGCAAATTTTTTAACCAATCCACAAACCTTACTACACATAAAAGAATTCATACTGGAGAGAAACCCTATAAATGTGAAGAATGTGGCAAAGCCTTTAACCAGTCCTCAAACCTTACTGAACATAAGAAAATTCATACTAAAGAGCAACCATACAAATGCGAAAAATGTGGCAAAGCTTTTAAGTGGTCCTCAACCCTTACAAAACATAAAAGAATTCATAATGGAGAAAAACCCTACAAATGTGAAGAATGTGGCAAAGCTTTTAACCGATCCTCAACCCTTAATAGACATAAGATAACTCATACTGGAGGGAAACCCTACAAATATAAAGAATGTGGTAAAGCTTTTAACCAATCCTCAACTCTTACTATACATAAGATAATTCATACTGTAGAGAAATTTTACAAATGTGAAGAATGTGGCAAAGCCTTTAGCCGTATCTCACACCTTACTACACATAAGAGAATTCATACTGGAGAGAAACCCTACAAATGTGAAGAATGTGGCAGAGCTTTCAACCAGTCCTCAACCCTTACTACACATAAAAGAATTCATACTGGAGAGAAACCCTATGAATGTGAAGAATGTGGCAAAGCTTTTAACCGGTCCTCAACCCTCACTACACATAAGATAATTCATTCTGGGGAAAAAATCTACAAATGTAAAGAATGTGGTAAAGCCTTTAGGCGGTTCTCACACCTTACTAGGCATAAGACAATTCATACATAAAATTGTAAAGACTGTGGCAAAGCTTTTAAACAATCTTTATACCTTACTACACATAAGATAATTCATACTGAAGAGAAACCCTACAAATGTGAAGAATGTGGCAAAGCTTTTAACCAGTCCTCAAATCTTACTAAACATAAGGTAATTCATACTGGAGAAAAACCTACAAATGTGAAGAATGTGGCAAAGTCTTCAACCAATCTTCACACCTTACTACACATAAGATAATTCATACTGGAGAGAAACCCTACAAGTGTGAAGAATGTGACAAAGCCTTTAACAAATCCTTAATTCTTAACAGACATGATTCATACCAGAGAGAAACTCTACAAACCTGAAAGTTTTAACAGTGCTTTTGACAACACCTCAAACTTTTCCAGATGTCAAAGAAATGCTGGTGAGAAATTCTAGAAATATGAAGAATGTGACAAAGCCATTAAATTGTTGTCACATTTAATTGTAGGTAAGGTGATTCATACTGGAGAAAACTTCTACAAGTGTAAACAAAGTGGCAAAACTTTTAACCAATGCTCACACTTTATTGCACAGGACATTTATACTTGAGAATAAATATACAAGTGTAAAGAAAGTGAAAACCCTATTAATATCTGCTCACATCAACTCAACATCAGAGTTCATACTTAATAAAATCATTAAAAGTGCAATTACTGTCCAAAGATTTTTTCAGAAAATATAAGCCTTTAAACTTCAGAAGATGATTTATTTTGAAGACAAACATTGAAATGTAGAGAGTTATAGTAACTTTACTTGTATCACAATCTTATTCTACTCATTTTGTACTAGAGGCAAACCCTGAAGCCATTGCTCAAATTTTGTTCGACATCAGACAGATAATTTGTATTAATGAAAAACTCTCCAAATAAAATAGATTTGGAGAAAACATTTTTTTCAAAAACTACAGCTTAGGAAACTTCAGAGAGTTTATACTAAAATATATTTTTGTGGATGCAATAAATAGAAAAAAAAATTTAATCCAAAATTAAGTTTAGGTAAGGCCAGGCACAGTGGCTCACACCTGTAATCCCAGTACCTTGGGATGCCAAGGCTTGCATTTCTGTAATAATAATTGACATTGATAATTTCTTAATGTATCTGTTGGTCATATGTATGTATTTTCTTGAAAAATATTTATGCCTCTTGCTCATTTGTAACAGTTATTTGTTGTTTGTTGTGTAGTCATTTAAGTTTCTGATGTATTTTTGATATTAACCCCTTGACACATGTATGATTTACAAATATTTTGTTCCAATTTTTAGTTGACTTGTTGATTGTGTCAGATTCTGTGCAACAGCATTTTAATTTGTAGTAATCTGACTCATTTGTTTTTCCTTTTCTTCCCTGGGATTTCGAGGTTAAATTTAAAAAGTCACTGCCCAACCAATGTTATGGGGCTTTTACTCTATTTTTTGTAGTAGTTTCCAGTTTTCAGGCCTTACATTTAAGTGATTTATTTTGAGTGGCCAGGCACGGTGCCTCAGCCTGTAAAGACTGTAATCCCAGCACTTTGGGAGGCCAAGGCAGGCAGATTACCTTAGGTCAGGAGCTCAAGACCAGCCTTGCCAACATGACGAAACCCCGTCTCTGCTAAAAATACAAAAATTAACTGGGCATGGTGACACCCACCTGTAATCCCAGCTACTCAGGAGGTTGAGGCAGGAGAATCACATGAACCTGGGAGGCAGAGGTTGGAGTTAGCTGAGAAGGCACCACTGCAGTCCAGCCTGGGCGACAGAGTGAGACTCTGTCTCAAATAATAATAATAATAATTTATTATGAGTTGGTTTTTATATATGACGTGAGATGATAGTCTGATTTTATTACTCTACTTGTGGCTATAACATTTTCTCAACACCATTTATTGAAGATACTGTCCTGTCTCTAAGAAATAGTCACCTTTATTTAAAATCAGTTAGCTGTAAGTAGATGGATATATTTCTGGTCTTTTTTTTTTTTTCCTGCTCCATTGCCCTATGTGTCTGTTTTTATTCAAGTACCATACTGTTTTTGTTACTATAGCTTTATAGTATATTTCAAAGTCAGGTTGCATGATATCTTTACTTTTTTTTTTTTTTTTTTTTTTTTTTTTTTTTGCTTTATTTGGCTATTCAGGGTCTTTTGTATTACCATATAAATTGTAGATGTATTTTTAAAAATATTTATTATGTCACTGGGATTTTCATTGAGATTGAATTATATCTGTAGATCTTTTTCTGTAATACAAATATTTAACAGTATTAATGCCAATTCAGGAATAAGAAATGTTTTTTATTCATGTATTAATTTCTTTCTTTTTTTTTTTTTTTTTTTGAGACAGAGTCTCGCTCTGTCGCCCAGGCTGGAGTGCAGTGGCGCGATCTCGGCTCACTGCAAGCTCCGCCTCCTGGGTTCACGCCATTCTCCTGCCTCAGCCTCCCGAGTAGCTGGGACTACAGGCGCCCGCCACCACGCCCGGCTAATTTTTTGTATTTTTAGTAGAGACGGGGTTTCACCGTGTTAGCCAGGATGGTCTCGATCTCCTGACCTCGTGATCCGCCCACCTCGGCCTCCCAAAGTGCTGGGATTACAGGCGTGAGCCACCGCGCCCGGCTATTCATGTATTAATTTCTTACTTTAATGTTCTTTAGAGTATAATGTAAGGTGTTTCAAATTTTTGGTTAAATTTATTTCAAAGTATAGTTATAGTTATTGAGATGGAATTGTTTTTTAATTCATTCTGAGATAGTTGTCAGTGAATAGAAATTCTGACTTTTGGATGTTGCTTTTGTATTCTGCAAGTTTAATAAATTTGTTTATTCTAATAGGTTTTAGTAAAGTCTTAGGCTTTTCTTATGATTATGCATAGAGATAAAATATTATATAGGAATAATTTAACTTTTTCTTCTCAACTGGATGCTTTTGATTGTATTCTTCAATATGTCTTTCTTGGACATTTAGTACTATGTTTAGTAAGACTGAAGAAATGGCACATTGTTGACTTGTTTTAGATCTTAGAGTAAAATCTTACATTTCCTTGTTTAGTATGTAATTAGCTCTGCATTTTTTGTTATATGTGACATTTATTGGCTTGAGGTGCCTTTTTCCTATACCTAAATTTTTCAGAGATTTATCATGAGGAAATGTTGAATTTTGTCAAGCTTTTATTCTGCATCTATTTAATGTTAAAAATGTAAAATCACAATGAATTCTACATAAATTGAAAAGTTTTCAAAGACTATTATGAACATCTCTATGTATGCAAACTAAAAAATTTAGAGAAAACTGATAAAGTTTTAACTATACACAACTTTCTAAGATTGAACCAGTAAGAACCAGAAGTCTTAACCAGAGCAAAAATGTATAAAATATATAATGATATTGAATAAGTAATAAAAAAGTATCAATAATAAAAAGCCTTGTGTGATATAAACTCACAGCCAGATTTTACCATATATACAATGATGAGTTGGTACTAAGCCTACTAAATGTATTCCAAAATATCAAGATGGGATTCTGCCCTAACTTGTTATATAAAATCAGTATCGTCTTGATACCAAAATATAGTGAAGACATAAAAAAGAAAACTACAAGCCAGTATTTTTATAAACATTGAAACAAAGTTATTCATGAAATAATAGTCAACTGAGTTTATAAGTAAATCCAAAAGTTATTTTGCCACAATCATGTGAGCTTCATTCCATGTAAGGATGTTTTTTCACATGTAAGTCATTAAGTGTTCTTCACCATGTAAAGATAAGCCAAAAATTATATGATTAACACAATAGATGCAGAAAAAACATTCAAGAAAATTTAATATTGATTCATGAAAATATTCTCAACAAACTAAACATTGATGAAACATACCTCAAAATAATAAAAGCCATCCATCACAAATCTTCAGCACACATCATACTGAACAAGCAAAATCTGGATGTATTCTCCATAAAAATAAACATAAGACAAGAATTTCCACTCTAAGTAGTTCTATTAAACATAATTCTGAAAGCTCTAGGCTGGGCATGGTGGCCTTTGCCTGTAATCCCAGCACTTTGGGAGGCCAAGGTGGGCAGATCACCTGAGGTCAGGAGTTCAATACCAGGCTGGCCAACGTGGTGAAACCCTGTCTCTATTAAAAATACAAAAATTAGCCGGGTGTGTTGGTGCATGCCTGTAGTCCCAGGTATTCGAGACTGAGAAGGGGAAATGCTTGAACCTGGGAGGTGGAGGTTGCAGTGAGCGGACATCACCCAACTGCACTCCAGTCGGGGTGACAAAGCAAGTAAAATTCATAGGGAAGAATAAGAAAACCCAAATAGCCAAGGCAACTTTAGACATTAAAAAAAGAGAGAAAGAAACCCTGAAGGCTTCCCATTACCTGACTTTAAACTGTACTACAAGCTACTGTAACGAGTGTAACATGATTCTGGTACAAAAATACACATATAGACCAATGGAAAAGAGAGAGCCCTGAAATAAAGCAATACTTTTACAACCAACTTATTTTTTACAAAGTCAACAGAAATACAGGAGAAATAACTCCTATTCAATAAATGGTAGTACTGGGAAAACTAGTTAGTCGTGCAGAAAAAAAGTAGACCCCTGTCTCTTCCCACATAAAAAATATAACTCAAGATGGATTAAAGACTTACCTGTGAGTCTTCGAGCTACAAAAATTCTAGAAGAACACGTAGAAAGTACTCATTTAGACACTGGCCTCTGGTAAAAATTTGTGAATAACACCTTAAAAGTGAGTGCAAATAAAAATCAAAAGGCTGTGTATGGTGGCGCATGCTTGTAATCCTAGTGCTTTGGGAGGCCAAGGCAGGTGGATCACCTGAGGTCAGGAGTTTGAGACCAGCCTGGCTCACACAGTGAAATCCTGTCTCTACTAAAAATACAAAAAATTAGCCAGGCATGGTGGCTCGTGCCTGTAATCCCAGCTACTCAGGAGGCTGAGGCAGGAGAATCACTTGAACCAGGGAGGCAGAGGTTGTGGTGAGCTGAGATTGCACCACTGCACTCCAGCCTGGGCGACAGAGCAAGACTCCGTCTCAAAAAATTAAAATAAAAATAAAAAATGGCATCTAATTAAAGAACTTCGGCACAGCAAAAGTAACTAAACAAAGTAAGCAGACACCCTACGTTATGAAGTAAAATACTTGCAAACTGCATACAACAAAAAATATATAGAATTTATTTTAAAATTAATTTAAAAACAGACAAATGATATGACTAGATACTTCTCAAAGGAAGACGTGTTTCCAGTAAACATGCCAAAAATGTTCAACACTCCTAATCATCTTAGAGATGTAAATCAAAACGAAAATGTGATACCATTTCACACCAGTTAGAATAGCTGTTATTAAAAGTCAGAAAATAACAGATTTGAAGTTGTGGAGAAATGTATTATGAAGAAAATTTATCTTCATAAATTGTTGGTGGGAATGCAATAAAATTTAGCCACTGTGGAAAGTAGTTTGGAGATTTCTCAAAGAACTATAAATAGAATTGCCATTTGACCCATCAGCCCCATTATTCCCAAAAAGAATAAATTTTCTTTGCCAAAAAGCCACCTGCACTCACTTGTTTATTCTAGCATGATTCACAATAGCAAAGACATAGAATTAAACCAGGTACCTATAAACCTTAGATTGGATGAGGAAAATGAGGTCCTTATATACCATGCGATACTATGCAGCCACAGAAATGAAGTAATGTCCTTTGCAGCAACATGAATGCAGCAGATGGCCATTAAGCAAATTAACACAGATCAGTAAAACAAATACCACATGTTCTCACTTACATGTGGAAGGTGAACATTGGATGCGTGTGGAAACACAGATAAAATCAATAAACACTGGGAATTCTAAAAAGATGGAAGAAGAAATGGAGACAAGCATTGACAAACTACTTTCCAGTGTGTTGTACACTACTTGGGCGATGGGATTATTAAGTATCCAAACCTCAACACCATGCAGTATACCTATGCTACAAATCTGCACATGTTCTCCCTGAATCTAAAATAGAAATAAGATGTTTTGTGGTATAATGACATATTATGTATCTTTAGCTCCAAGTTAATGGTTGGAATTAGCAGTGTAAGACAGAAGTATTTACCTCTTAAGGCATAGGGGTAAATGTTTTTATACCAGGTCTCCTACATGTTGTAAGCTATCCTCTCTGAAAGCTCTTGGTCTATAGCCCAAGAAGTGTTTTATTCCCAAGTGTGCAGCTGAAATAAATGACTGTATCCTTTTTTAATGTATTAACTGTAGACAAGAATATATAGTTAGTTACTCTTTTTGGGGATAAGTGGTATGTGGTTTAATCACTTTTATTTTTAGAATGAATCATTTTTTTTTAATGTGAGGTTGTGGAAAATCATGTTAAATTACTGAATAAGGAAAATGAAACATTTTTCTTAAGCATAAAAGTCTTATGGCCAAACCCCAAGAATGATGAAACAGAGAGTGTGGATTAAGACCACACTGCTGCAACAATTCTATCACAATCATTCTGGTAAAAACAAAATAATGGGTCAGAAGGAATTTTTAGAATACTTTTTTGATTCTATCACAGTGTTAAATTTTTATTTGTCTTTATTATTTGCTATATAGAAGTCTGTACTTCAGCAAAAGATGCCATGAATTTCTAGTTAATGTGCTCACACATATTCTCCCTAGAAAGGTACTGCTGTGTTTACAATAAATGTGGAGCATTGATTATCTTCCTTGTGCTGCTATGTTTGTATAAAAAAAGACTTCAAGTCTGACTTTGCAAGTAAAGCAGAGTCAACCCTGACTTTTCTAGTTTCAACAGCCACAGCCTCTGAAATTTAGTATAATGTCAACTATGAATAATGACAGCATTTCAAAACTGAGAAAAAGAAATTGATAACTTTATATTTTTAGTTTATCATTTAGTTTATAAAAATTTATAGTTTCTAAATTATATGTTAAATAACTTGAACATGCAGATACCTAAAAGATTCATTTAGATGATAGTATTAATATTTAATAGCTTATAATTGTGTATCACATTTGCTGCTTTGGGCTTCCTGGAAAGCAGTTATTTAGTTTCTAAATGTAAATGGAGAAAAGGCTTTCTATAATCCTAATCATACAGTTCTTTTAAGATTAGCACTATGTTTAGATTTGAATAAAATTCATAGGTTTGTAAGTAAGGTAAATGTTAATAGTTTTTTTCTAAAACCAACATTTTAAGTGACTGATCAGTAATTTCAATCTATTTCATTTTATTAACTGAGAAGCCAAATTATTTAAGCAAAATAAGTATTCTTATATTACTCTTTCTAGAACTTTCAGAAACTAACTCAATGGATGATAATGTACATAGAGACCACAAATATTCTATATAATAATAGGCTCATTCTTGCTCTCTTTCTTTGCCCAGGCTGTTGTGCAGTGGCACAATCTCGGCTCACTGCAACCTCCGCCTCCTGGGTTCAGGTGATTCTCCTGCCTCAGCCTCCCAAGTAGCTGGAACTACAGGCGCATGCCACCACACCCAGCTAGTTTTTTTTTTTTTTGTATTTTTAATAAGGATGGGGTTTCACCATGTTGATCAGGCTGATCTTGAACTCCTGACTTCGTGATCTGCCCCCCTTGGCCTCCCAAAGTGCTGGGATTACAGGCGTTAGCCACCACGCCCGGCCCATTCTAGATTTTAATATAAAAAATATATTTCAAAAGTAAAATTGGTGTCTGCTCTTTTAAGCCATGAGAGGAACACCATTGTTAGAATCTATTTACCAAAGTGCATTAGGCTTAGTAATAAGTGCTTTACGCCAAAAATCAAGTTCTACCTACTATCTAAGGGTAAAGAGAAGTAGTTTTAAAATTCCTATGTATTTCTACTACCCTAAAAAATTAAAAGCCAAAATGTTAGGAATAAAAAGCATTGCATGAAATGGTGTTAAGCATAAAGATTAAAACTGAAACTCAATATTAGGTGGTGCTGTAGCAGGACAAGCTGTAGACAAACCCCTCTGACACTGAGTTAAAGAAGGAAGGGCTTTATTCGTCTGGGAGCTTTGGCAAGACTCACATCTCCAACAACAGGGCTCCCTGAGTGAGCAATTCGTGCCCCTTTTAAGGGCTTACAACTCTAAGGGGATCCGCATGAGAGGGTCATGATCAATTGAGCAAGCAGGGGGTACATGACTAGGGGCTGCATGCACTGGTAATCAGAACGGAATAGAACAGGACAGGGATTTTCACAATGCTTTTCCATACAATGTCTGGAATCTATAGCTAACATAACTGGTTAGGTCATGGGTCAATCTTTAACCAGGCCCAGGGTGCGGCGCTGGGCTGTCTGCCTGTGGATTTCATTTCTGCCTTTTAGTTTTTACTTCTTCTTTCTTTGGAGGCAGAAATTGGGCATAAAACAATATGAGGGGTGGTCTCCTCCCTTATTCCCCCCCTTTGAGAATCTCACTCAATAGTGGGGGTTCTCAGTTTTATTCTTATTACCCATGTCTTCTTGCAAGACAGATTGATAGTGATTCATATAGTACACTTGTGCTGAAGCATTTTGATGAACTAAGGTAGTGATAAAGCTTTCTATCATTTGAAGAAGTACAGGTAGCAAACAAAGGAGCAGTAAGCAGGTTTCCATTACTATTATAACTCCTATTATAACAGTTTTAAATCTTTTTAGCACTGGCAACCACTTTCCAAACATGGCCCCAGGATTAAATCCATGCCACACTTGCACAGGCACATGTGCCAGTTTTGTCATATTTCTATGTCTTCAACTACTTGCCCTTGATCATCTATGTGAAGACAGCAATTAGTAAGGTTAAATTTTCTACTGACCCCCTCCTTCAGCTGCTAGCAAGTAGTTGAGAGCCAATCTATTTTGATAGATAGCATTTCTCATCGAGTTTCTTGCCAGGCCAGAATAGTCAAGGCTTTGCTGGTCTTATTAGTGATTATTTTTAAGACAGCTTTTAACCATATGATTTGGTTGAGCATGTAAATGGAGGTCTGGTATCCCCACGAGCCGTCTTGTGGCCAAGTAGCAGGCCCATAATATTGTATGATTCTCTCAGGGGGCCATTCATTATCTTTCCTATTTTCTATAGCTATGATTCTCTTTTCGCGGGAAGCATAGACAGGGAAGCCCAGGAGTTCACCTGTCTTTATGGGCAGTAGGAAGAAAGATGGTTTAATAGTGCCAATAACACAACTACCTGCCCACTGGTCAGGTAATTTGGCATAAGGTCTATGCCCACATATCCAGTATAATCCAGTGGGTCCAGTCCTGGTGGGACTCCGGGTGGGTCTACACAGTTTGCAACTTTGGGAATTTACTAAATGGATTTTTCTTAATATGGTTTGAACTATATTAGGTGGCTGTTTTTGTAGTACTATTATACAGTTTTTGCCCAAGGCAGCTGAGTCTTCCCACAGGATGGGTGAAGTCCTTCCCAACTCTTGCTATACAGTATTGTCTAATGATTGAGGCTTTTAGGACCCAGAAGTTACCAGGGTGATTCTTTTGAGCCAGGAATTTATCAGGAACTGGGTCTGTGGGTACTAATTCTCGGGCTTCCCATGGCCATTGATCTCCTGTTATAGTTCCTCCACATACATAACATGAAGTGACATTGAGAGACTGGGCTACATGCTTGGCTAATTGCAAAAACAAATTTCTTGTTTTTCCTGGAATTTCTGGTACTGGCACATTCAGTTCGTCATAGAAGGTTTGAAATACTGGCTCAGGAGAGCATTTATAAACTCCTCAAACCATGATATTTATTTGAGGATCCAATTCAGCTTCGTCGATTTCTAGGGTTACACATTCCCCTTTTTTCCAGTGAGGATTAAGGGGGTTGGTTATTACTAGTTCTAAGGGGTTACAGTGACCACTGGTAGAGGAAGGGCACTTTATCCTTTCTGAAGCTGGACAGGATTCTTTTCATTTTTTATCCAAGTAGCCTAAATGACACAAGATCAGTATCCACATTCATTTCCACACAGTCCTAATTCATGGCAAATGTACTTATTTTCTGCCATATAGCCTCTTCTTTAAATTAAGAGAACCATATCCTCTTCCTAACATAACTATTAGTGACAGCACAGGCATCATATTTCAAGGTGACTTGTTTGGGCACCCCTTTTTCTTCTGTTTTGGCTAACACTTTACTTGTATCGTTTATGAGCCCCCACCAGTCCTCAGTCCTTAATCTTATTTTAAAAACTGTGGTCGGCTGGGTGCAGTGGCTCACACTTGTAATCCCAGCACTTTGAGAGGCCAAGGAGGGCGGATCACAAGGTCAGGAGATCTAGACCATCCTGCTAACAGGGTAAAACCCCATTTCTACTAAAAATACGAAATAATTAGCCGGGCGTGGTGGTGGGTGCCTGTAGTCCCAGCTACTCGGGAGGCTGAGGCAGGAGAATGGTGTGAACCCAGGAGGTGGAGCTTGCAGAGAGCCGAGATCATGCCACTGCACTCCAGCCTGGGCAGCAGAGCGAGACTCCATCTCAAAAACAAAAACAAAAACAAAACAAACAAAAAACAAAAAAACTGGTCATGGAAGTCTCAGATGGGTCATAACACACATCAGGTTAGTCATTTCCTGGGCTACATACCTTGTATAGAATAACATTATACAAATAAGTTCTTTTTAGAGTTCCAGTACACTTATAATAACCACAAAATAATAGGACCGTAGCAATCTTTTGTCCTACCTCAGTGACTTGAAGTATACACTGGGAACAGTCCTCAGTATGAGGAAGGTCAGTTGAAGTCCTTACTGTAAAAGTCCAAATTTTAAGGAAAATGAGTCCTACAATGAGTTTTCTCATGCTTCGGCCATGCGTGGACCAGTCAGCTTCCAGGTGTGACTGGAGCAGGTCTTGTCGTCTTCTTCAGAGTCACTTTGCAGGGGTTGGAGAAGCTGCTCCCGTCCACGTACAGCTCCCAGTCAACTAATGTTCAAGGATAGTCTCAGAGGTTGGGCCTGCTAGAATAAACTGAGTCCAACACCTCTACACAGTTATGTTCAACTGCACTCTCTGATACCGGGAGCAAGGTGGCGGGGTTTAGGGTGTTGCAAACTTCAATGGTTATGCGGGAATTTTCACAGAGCAAGCTTTGGTACTTGGTTAATCTAACATTTGTTAACCAATGATGTCCTTTGGCAGTCATTAAAGTTACCACAGCTTGGGGGGGCCTTTATATTTAGGTTTTGCCCAAGGGTTAGTTAATCTGCTTCTTGTGCTAACAGGGCCGTTGCTGCCAGAGCCCTTAGACATGGGGACCAGCCTTTGGAAACCCCATCTAGTTGTTTTGAGAGATAGGCCACTGGCCTTGGCCAGGGCCCCACAGTCTGGGTTAAAACTCCAACTGCCATTTTTTTCTCTTTCTGACACATAAGGTATAAAGGGTTTTGTCATGTCAGGTTGCCCCAGGGCTGGGGCCAACATGAGTTTTTCTTTTAACTCATGAAAAGCTTGTTGCTATTGGCTGTAATAGATGTAGTTTATTCAATCTACATTTTTATTAACTGCCACCCACCAAAATATTGACTCATATGCTGCAGCTATTTGTTTTTAAGCTTTAAATTGATCTGATATTCCCCGTGGGACTCCAATTGCATTTAATGAACGTGAGAGTCGATAGATCCATAAGGGGCTTCTCTCGCTTTACAATGTCTTATTTTTCCTCCTTCTGGTTGATGAAATGCCAGGGTGAAAGGGATAGCCAACTGGACTAAAGTATAAGTGCCACTCCAGTTATTCGGCAGAATGCCCGGTAAAGGTCTACCACAATACCACCACACATCCACTCAGGGATGAACAAGGGCTGACTGATTGATAAGCTCTTGAAAATTCTTAAGCTCACTGCATCTCTTCGGGTCTCCAAGGAATGCTAAGTTTCCTCCCTGTCATGAGAGACACAAAGTGAACTTAATGTTGGGAGACAGAAGCTGGATGGCCCTTGGGTGTGACCCGAAGGGTACTGGACTTCAGGATATAGCAGAGAGAGAGCTTGGCATGACTTGTTACTTCAGGCTGTAGAATCCTGGAAAACAGCTACAATGGAGCCCACGCCTAGTCGACTGGAGGACCACCCTAGTGGAAAGGGGACAATCTGGGCCTCTGGCCTGCCATGCACACAAGCATAACAATTGCTTTTGTTTAACGTGCGGATGGAATATTTGATCTATTCCAACCAGACATTTGCATCTTGGTATCCTGTCTTAATTGCCAAAGTTTGTTTTAAGTCTTTAAAACAAGATGATCCTCTGGTAAAATGATCCTCTATAAGGAACATAGTAAAATGAATCTATGATTTTAGGAAGTTATAAAAATCAGTTAGGGCAGTCCATCCTTGCTCTTTAGTGGTCCAAAGAACGTTGGACCAACTATGGCATAAAAGTTCTACATTGGAGGGCAAGACTCCTGGTTGACAATGGAGTCTTTATCAAAATTTCCCCAGATTAAATTGTCCTAATTTACTAATGCCCAGACTGAGGAGAGTCAGGAGGGACAGAGGTACTTTTCTGAAGTACAGACCTGTCTTTGACTTGGCAAGTCCCCACAGGGTATAACAAGGTAAACATTAAATGCAATAGTTTGAGGCAAAATTGACTTGGTTATGTTAATAACTAGATGGTCAGCAATAGAGTGAGGAAAGAAGAAAGAGTAATAGAACAGATGAAAGAGTTAAATTTTTCTAAGCTTTAGTTTGGTAGGGTATTCCCCTGGGACTATGGCCCATGACTCTGGAGGGGGTGGTGCTTTCTTGACTTGGGTGTGATGAGTCCATCATTTTTACACTGTATGAACAGCAGTCTTGGTGGTTAGCAACACAAGGTAGGGTCCTTCCTAGGCTGGCTCGAGTTTCCTTTTTTTTTTTTTTTTCACCTTTTGATGAGAATGTGATCTTCAGGCTGGTGCTAGTTTACCAGAAATTCTAGGGGTGGTACATGTGCTAAAAGAGTTTTAGTTTTGAGGGAAAGTGGAAGATAAATCAAGTATATAATTTTTAAGAAATTGACCTTTTGTTTTAAATGTGGGGACATCAGCAGTGGACTTTATAGTCCTTGGTGCCTTTCTACTGAGAAATTTCCTTTAGCACCCATTTTTTTAATTAGTTTTTAGACCAAAGAAGCCAAACACCATTTTATATTTGACAATGCTTCCTGCATGATTTTTATACCAGATAAGCTAAATGTCACCTTTATATTAGTGTGCCATTAATGTTAAACTTAGTTTTAATAAAACTTTGTAGACATATTTATTCAATTTTTAATGTCAGACCATAAAGTAAGATTTTTATAGACTCTTTTTAACCTTTTATAATTTTTGTTGAAGAGTAGGTTAGTGCTTTAAGAAAAACTCATTGTGTTTATACTTTAATTTCCTGTTCACAGAAAAACTGGATGACACCCCTTTAACTTTAGCTGATGTTTACACACAGAATTTTCTTTACAATTAACGTTTCAAAACTTGCTTAAACCTTCAAAACAAATTTTAACCTTTTAATGTAGGTAAAAATCCACATTCTTATGCCTCCTTATAATCCTTTTACCAAAGGTATATTTTACCTTTCTTATGGACCTTGCACATAAACTGTTTCTTCAATAGTACTCAGGAGGCCTTATTATTTTTAAATTATACAACATTTCTTGCATAATTTTTTTTTTTTTTTTGGTATATATTGATCATTCTTGGGTGTTTCTCGGAGAGGGGGATTTGGCAGGGTCATAGGACAATAGTGGAGGGAAGGTCAGCAGATAAACATGTGAACAAAGGTCTCTGGTTTTCCTAGGCAGAGGGCCCTGCCACCTTCCGCCTTCCACAGTGTTTGTGTCCCTGGGTAGTTGAGATTAGGGAGTGGTGATGACTCGTTTAACCAGTATGCTGCCTTCAAGCATCTGTTTAACAAAGCACAACTTGCATCGCCCTTAATCCATTTAACCCTTAGTGGACACAGCGCATGTTTCAGAGAGCAGGGGGTTGGGGGTAAGGTTATAGATTTTTCCTAGTACAGAACAAAATGGAGTCTCCCACGTCTGCCTCCCTCTACACAGACACAACAACAATCCGATCTCTCCCTCTTTTCCCCACACTTCCCCCTTCTCCATTCAACCAAACCGCCATTGTCATCATGGCCCTTCTCAATGAGCTGTTGGGCACACCTCCCAGATGGGGTGGCGGCCAGGCAGAGGGGCCCCCCACCTCCCGGGGCAGCCGGGCAGAGGGGCTCCTCACTTCCCAGATGGGGCTGCCGGGCAGAGGGGCCCCCCACCTCCCAGACGGGGTGGCGGCCGGGCAGAGGGGCTCCCCACTTCCCAGACCGGGCGGCTGGGCACAGGCGCCCCCCACCTCCTGGGTGGGGTGGCTGGCCGGGCGGGGACTGCCCCCCACCTCCCGGACGGGGCGGCTGCCGGTCGGAGTCACTCCTCACTTCCCAGACGGGGCAGCTGCTGGTCGGAGGGGCTCCTCACTTCTCAGAAGGGGCGGCCGGTCAGAAACGCTCCTCACCTTCAAGATGGGGTGGCGGCAGGGCAGAGACACTCCTCAGTTCCCAGACAGGGTCATGGCCGGGCAGAGGCTCTCTTCACATCTCAGACGGGGCGGCGGGGCAGAGGCGCTCCCCACATCCCAGATGATGGGTGGCCAGGCAGAGACACTCCTCACTTCCTAGACGGGGTGGTGGCCGGGAAGAGGCACTCCTCACTTCCTAAACGGGGTGGTGGCCGGGAAGAAGCGCTCCTCACTTCCCGGATTGGGCGGCCAGGCAGAGGGGCTCCTCACATCCCAGACCATGGGCGGCCAGGCAGAGACGCTCCTCACTTCCTATACAGGGTGGCGGCCGGGCAGAGGCTGCAATCTCAGCACTTTGGGAGGCCAAGCCAGGCAGCTGGGAGGTGTAGGTTGTAGCGATCTGAGATCACGCCACTGCACTCCAGCCTGGGCACCATTCAGCACTGAGTCAGCGAGACTCCGTCTGCAATCCCGGCACCTCGGGAGGCCGAGGCTGGCAGACCACTCGCAGCCAGGAGCTGGAGACCAGCCCGGTCAACACGGCGAAACCCCGTCTCCACCAAAAAATATGAAGACCAGTCAGGTGTGGCAGTGCGCGCCTGCAATCCCAGGCACTCGGCAGGCTGAGGCAGGAGAATCAGGCAGGGAGGCTGCAGTGAGCCAAGATGGCGGCAGTACAGTCCAGCCTCGGCTTGGCATCAGAGGGAGACCGTGCAAAGGGGAGATGAGGACCATGAAAAAGGGAGAGGGAGAGGGAGAAGGAGAGGGAGAGGGAGAGTGCATAAATTTTTTTTAACATTTTTCTCTTTCACAACTTTTGCAGACAATTCTTTGACATGCCTCAACTTTCTGACTTATTACAAATATTTCTTTCTTTAAACAACCAGTTAATTTATTTCAGGACAATAATTTACCATATAACATTCTTTTTACAGAAATTCTGCCCCCCACTTTTTTTTTTCGAAGATGATAACCATTCTTTTCCAAAGCGAACTTCTTTTATGTCTGTGGACTAGACCATCTAAGGCCACAAGATTAGAAGTTACTATAATACATGTTACACTGTTAACTTTTAGCAAATTTTACTTTTGTTGAAAACCTTGTAAGTTTGGGATTTCAATTATCCTTTGCTATCAATAAGACCTTGTTTAGTCCAAATGAACTTAGAATTGGTATAGATAGGTTTTTTTTTTTTTAATTACCTTGGAGGAATCATCTATCGTCCTGTCATGAAGGGAGTTCCTCCTAGGTCTGGTCGGAATTTTGTATGGTAATTAAGATTTAGATCCCCTGTTAGGGAACCTGCTGGGTTAAGGGAATTTTCAGTGGTTAATGTTAAATCATCTTTTTTTCTTTTTTTAGGATACTTCTGAACTGGTGAGATGTGCTCAAAATGAGGTTTCCTCTAAAAGTTATTTTTCTACTTTCTTCTGTTAGCAAAGCAGTTGCCACTACAGATTGAATGCATTTGGGCCATCCACAGATTACTAGGTTAAGGATTTTTGATAGGAAGGCTACACAGGTTGTCAGTGGCCTCAGTGCTTTCAGGCTATGCCCTTGTTTACACTGACAACAAAGTGATATTGGAGTGTTGTAGGGTTATGGAGAATACCTTTAATTATCAATTATAGGTTTTAAATTTACCTTGGCTTTTAAAGGAATAGGGTACACTGTTTGTTTTTCTTAACAACTTGTATATCTTTCTTTCTTTCTGTCTTTGATTTTCTGTCTCTTTTTCTCTTTGACTTTCCTTTTGCCTCTGTCTCTTTCTCTCTCTCTGTCTCTCTCTTTCTCTCTCTCTCTCTTTCCTTGACTCCCTCTTTGTCTCTCTGTCTCTTCCTCTTTCTCTCTCCTGGTCTTTCCCTGCCTCTGCCAGCTGCTTATGCTGCTGTTCTCTCAACCACTGTGGGGGTAGGGTGGGGGTCTAAAACCAGCCGTGAGCAAGTGTCTATGTACGGCAACTGGTCTGGGTGCCCTGGCTTACAGGTTACCTTGTGCCATACCTTTGAAACAAGGGACCTGTCCAGGCTTCCTTCTGATGGCCAACCCACTTCTAATGCTGACCAGTCTATTTCACACAAAGTTCTAAGTTTTCCTGCTCTCATAGTAACACTCTAATCTCCCTTAAATCCTTTCTTTAAATTTTTCAACATAGTTCCTAGTGGGGTGGGCTTACTTTGTGCCTGACCCATGCTTTTTTGAGACAAAACACCACGCTCACACCACACACACACCACAAAACAAAGAATGTGTAAAAAGGGCACACATACACTTTTACAGTTTACACAAAACCAGAATCAAAACCAAAATCAGAGTATCCAGAAATCCAAGCCAGGTCGAAACCAAAACCAAAGTATCAAGCAATCCAAGTCAACTCAAAAACAAAAACCAAAGTGCTGGTACAGGCACACTGTGGGTGATCAGACCACACTTCCACTCAAATGGAGTGGGCAAGTTCCAAAAACTAGTCTTACCAAGTTTCAGGTGTCCAGACTCCAAGTGCCAGTTCCTTCCCGGTGTTCAGCCACTGCGCTGATCCTCCACAGGGGCATGCCACACACTGCTCTGGTGAGGCGTTCCACTGGAGTAATTGCCTACCTGGGAGTGCTCTCAGGATCCGCGTCGCTCAAGCTGGCTGCAGTCTCCAACAGGGATGCTCCACAGGGCAGGCCTAAGCCACCTAAAGGGCTGCCTCGACCATCTGTTAATCACTTTGCTTCCTGGTTGGGGAACCAAGAAATGTAGCAGGATGAGCCACAGACAAAACCCCTCAGACACTGAGTTGAAGAAGGAAGGGCTTTATTCAGCCAGGAGCTTTGGCAAGACTCAAGTCTCCAACAACCGAGCTCCCCAAGTGAGCAATTCCTGTCCCTTTTAAGGTCTTACAACTCTAAGGGGGTCTGCGTGAGAGGGTCATGATCCATTGAGCAAGCAGGGGGTACATGACTGGGGGCTGCATCCACTGGTAATCAGAATGGAACAGAACAGGACAGGGATTTTCACAATGCTTTTCCATACAATGTCTGGAATCTATAGATAACATAACCGGTTAGGTCAGGGGTCAACCTTTAACCAGGCCCACTGGCGCCGGGCTGTCTGCCTGTAGATTTCATTTCTGCCTTTTAGTTTTTACTTCTTCTTTCTTTGGAGGCAGAAATTGGGCATAAGACATTATGAGGGGTGGTCTCCTCCCTTGGTGCCTGATTGTATCTCAGTTCTCCCACTTATGGGCTGTATGACCTAAGTATAGTTTCTTGCCTGTCTGTGCTTGGCCCTATAGTGGTTCTGTGAGAATAATAGTGCCTACATCCTAACGTTTTGTTTAAATTAAAGCAATTAATGCAAATAAAGGTGTCAGAAAAATGCCCAGCACATAACAAGTGTACAGGAAGTTTATTAGCTCTTATTTGTTGATTCTGTTAGATCATGACAAATGTTAAGCCTGAAAACAAGATGGCCATACCACTGGTTTGTAACCCATGTTCCTTCTAATTTGTCCGTCTGGGGCTATAATAGTAGTTGAATGTTTTTAATACTAACCTTGGCAAATTCCCATATATTCACATACAGCATGGATATAAATATCTTTAAAAGATTTATCATTGAGTACTGCTCTTTAGCACTCCAGTAAATGGATAAAGAGGAACTTAAATGGTGAGTGTTTGTCAGTTTTATTCATTAGAGAATGAGGCAAATTGTTTCTTTATCTACTTGTTTAATATATTTCTTATTTATTTTCATTTGATACATTTAAATGTAGTTTGAAAATATATATTTAAATAACTTTTTTCTCTAACAAATGAAGAAAATCATTTATTTATAAATTTAGACAGAATTTTACTCTAAACTGTTGCTTTAGATTTTTTTTAAGGTATTAGATCATTAAAAATCAGCATACTTTATTTCTGAGTGTGGGTTCAGACTATTCATGATATTAAAAGTTTACTTACATCACTACATGAGCAAGCCACATGAAATAAAAAAATATGTATATGTCTCCTGAAATTTTAAAATGAACAAACACTTTATTCTCTGGCCCAATTTCTTAAAATTTCTCTCTTTTTTTTTTTTTTTTTGAGACATAGTCTTGCTCTGTCACCCAGGCTGGAGTGCAGTGGCATGACCTCAGCTCACTGCAACCTCCACCTCCCAGATTCAAGCAATTCTCCCTGCCTCAGCCTCCTGAGTAGCTGGGATTACAGGCGCCCACTACCACTTCCAGCTAATTTTTGTATTTTTAGTAGAGATAGGGTTTCACCATGTTGGCTAGGCTGGTCTTGAACTCCTGACCTCAGGTGATCTGCCCACTTTGGCCTCCCAAACTGCTGGGATTACAGATATGAGCCACCGCACCCAGCCTCTCTCTCTTTTTTTTTTTTTTGAGATGGAATTTCACTCTATCACCCAGGCTGAAGTGCAATGGCACAATCTCAGTTCACTGCAACCTCTGTCTCCTGGATTCAAGTGATTGTCCTGACTCAGCCTCCCAAGCAGCTGGGATTATAGGCACCTGCCACCACACTAGGCTAATTTTTGCATTTTTAGAAGAGATGGGGTTTTGCCATGTTGGCCAGGCTGGTCTCCAACTCCTGACCTCAGGTAATCCACCTGCCTTGGGCTCCCAAAGTGCTGGGATTATAAACGTGAGCCACCACACCCAGCCTTCTCTTATATATTTTTTATAGTATTAATAGTATTTTTGATTGGCAAATAAGAGTTGTATAAATTTATGGGTTAAAATGTGGTTTTAATATATGCATATTATATAATATGATTAAGTCAAGTTTTATAACATATCTGTCAACTCACTTATCAATCATTTCTTATGATACATTTGAAATTTACTCAGTTTTTTAAAAATATAGTACTTTATAGTTTACTATCATCATGCTGCTGTGCAATAGATCTCAAAACCTACTTACCCTGTCTTTTTGAAATTTTGTACCCTTTGATCAACAACTTCCTATTTACTTCCCACCACACCTAACCTCTCATAACCATTATTTCATTTTCTACTTTTTTGAGTTAAACTTTATTAGATTCTACATATAAATAAGATCATGCAGTATTTGTCTTTTTGTGTCAGGCTTATTTCATCTAGCATGATGTCTTCAAAATTTATCTATATTGTTTTAAATGATGGGATTTATCCATTGTTATGGTTGACTAGTGTTCCATCGTGTATCTATACCAAAATTTTAAAAAATAATTTAAATATATGTATATTAGTTAATAACTAATATTAATTTGTTATTTACATAAATATATATTTATCTCTTGGTTGAAAAACTAGTGTGTTATGAGAAAATATTTCTTTGTTAAAGCATGTATCATTGTAATTTAGCATATAAATATTTTGTTAATAATAGCTCATTTGTACCAAGCACTAACCATAACACTATATGTGTTAATAAATTTAATTCTGACAGTAATTTAATAACATAAGTATACTAATTATCATTATTTCACAGTGGAAGAAAGAGAGCCACTGAGAGAAATGACTCACTCACAATAGCAGAGCCCATATTAAAATACAGGCAACTTTGTCTTAAAGATAACTCTTGAGTACAACCATAAAAATCTTTCAAACAGATAAGACAAAATTACTTTTAACAATTATTTTTCAGAAAAACTAACATAAATTGAATAATTGGATAAATTGTCATTGTTATACGTGTGTGTAAATGTATAAAATGGTACATAAAATAGAAATAATTTAAGCTAGAAAAAAGATGTTAATAATTATTATGAATAAAATGGTGAGGTAGTCAATTATTATTTGTAGATGATATCTTTGTTTACTTAGATAACAAAAAAACTACAAGACTACTTTAAATGTCTATTCAGGTGGGTAGGCAAAATTTTAAGACGATCACCTGGATTTTCAGTCTGTTGCACACCTGCTGTGTAATCTTCACCTCTGAAGTGTAAAAAACAAGTGTCTCACTGTGGTGGAAAATTACTTATGAAATTAGGTTACTAATGTGTTGACTCTGTGTTCATCAAAAGGGAGATTACCCTGATTGGGCTAAACTTAATGAGAGGTACTTTTAAGAGAAAAAGACACATCATAGAAAAATACCCCTGCTGACCTGGAAGTAAGTGACTTCTAGGTCAACCAATTTGTAAACTGCTTATGGTGACCCCATGGCAGGAAATCTATTTGTATATTGTCAGAATTCCTGCCTTCCACATGATGCTTCCAGTAGGAAGAGAAAAAGGATACCATGACAAGTTAAAAAAAAAAAGGGAGGGGGCTCTCTTTTTTCAAGAAATAATCACCTCTCATCTGGGATAGCTTAATATAAACAGAGGAGACCACAACATGAGCACATCGATGAGAGGAAAAAGGCAACCTGGTTGAAAGGGCTCACTGACATGATGGAGCAGCATTTACTAAGTCACAGTGAATGATTAGCCTCTGGGATAGCAATAGTCCGCCAAGAAGTCTACACTCATTCTTATACTGATTAAATGAGCATATCCGTGCCATTCTGGAGGCCCAGTTTTACACTACATATTACAGAAATAACATAGAGACCAGTGGGTAACCTCCTAGAATTAAACTTCTTGTGAAAAAGCATATCTTATTGTTTTCACAATTGAAAAACCTTGAAAACATAATGAATTTATATAATAAATGTAGTAATACAGATGTTTATTGTTGCGGGAAGTCAGGGACGCCAAATGGAGGGACCGGCTGAAGCCATGACAGAAGAACGTGGATTGTGAAGATTTTATGGACATTTATTAGTTCCCCAAATTAATACTTTTGTAATTTCTTATGCCTGTCTTTACTGCAATCTCTAAACATAAATTGTAAAGATTTCATGGACACTTATCACTTCCCCAATCAATACCCTTGTGATTTCCTATGCCTGTCTTTACTTTAATCTCTTAATCCTGTCAGCCGAGAAGGATGTATATAGTCTCAGGACCCTGTAATAATTGCGTTAACTACACAAATTGTACAGCATGTGTGTTTGAGGAATATGAAATGTGGGCACCCTGAAAAAAGAACAGGATAACAGCAATTATTCAGGGAATAAGAGAGATAACCTTAAACTCTGACGCCGGTGAGCCGGGCAGAACAGAGCCATATTTCTCTTCTTTCAAAAGCAAATGGGAGAAATATTGCTGAATTCTTTTTCTCAGCATGGAACGTCCCTGAGAAAGAGAATGCACACCCAGGGGTAGGTCTCTGAACTGGGCCCCCCAGGGCGAACCTGTCTCTTATGGTCGAGATTGCAGGGGTGAAATAAACTCCAGTCTCCCTTAGCGCTCCCAGGCTTATTAGGAAGAGGAAATTCCCACCTAATAAATTTTGGTCAGGCCGGTTGATCTCAAAACCTTGCCTCCTGAGAAGATGTTGTCAATGACAATGGTGCCCAAAGCTTCATTAGCAATTTTAATTTCGCCTCGGTCCTGTGGTCCTGTGATCTCGCCCTGCCTCCACTTGCCTTGTGTTCTATTACCCTGTTAAGTACTTGATGTCTGTCACCCACACCTATTTCGCACACTCCCTCCCCTTTTGAAAATCCCTAATAAAAACTTGCTGGCTTTGTGGCTTGTGGGGCATCAGGGATCCTACCAACGTATGATGTCTCCCCCGGACACCCAGCTTTAATATTTCTCTCTTTTGTACTCTGTCCCTTTATTTCTCAAGCCGGCCGATGCTTAGGAAAATAGAAAAGAACCTACGTGATTATTGGGGCAGGTCTCCCGATAGTTTATAATAATAAACTGCTAATTTTAGAAGATTCTACTATATTGTCATACAATATTGAACTTTAAACACCTTAATATGAATATGTCTTGAATGCATGAACAGCTATGCAGGTAGTTTCTCTTAGATTAACATGATAAAAGTAACAATTAGAGAAAACATTTAGAATGGGATAAAATTTATCAAAACCACATTTTTTCAATGGCTTGGCATAATTGTCATGCTTTTGGAAATGGCTAGATTACTAACAAGAAGCAAAGACAAAATCATGGCTTTGCCAAATGATTAAATTCTTGACCATTTAAAATCTAAAATCTTGTTATGCCAGTATAGTTATTTGCATAAGTGCAATAAGAATCTGTTTTGTTTTGCTTTTTTGAGATGGAATCTCACTCTGTCACCCAGGCTGGAGTGCAGTGGCATGATCTTGGCTCACTGCAACCTCCGCCTCCTGGGTTCAAGTGATTCTCCTGCCTCAGCCTCCAAAGTAGCTGGGATTACAGGTGCCTGCCACCATGCCTGGCTTTTTTTATTATTTTTAGTGCAGATGGGGTTTCACCATCTTGGCCAGGCTGTTCTCAAACTCCTGACCTCATAATCCACAAGCCTCAGCCTCCCAAAGTGCTGGGATTACAGGCATGAGCCACCACACCTGGCCTAAGAATCTGTTTTCTTTTGTGACATTACACAACTGGAAAACTTGGTTATTTTACCAAGGCTTTAACTGGAATGTTGTGCTTTCTTTTAAGGAATCAAACTTGACTTAGGAAACCAATAAATCCCTTGGAAACTGGCCTCATATTTTGTGTACACAGTCCCAGTGCAGGGTTTCTGATCTGTGGTAAGTAAAGAATGTCACTTTCTAGCAGGCTGGGAAGTCCAAGTTATCTTGGAACCTCAAGAAGAGAGAAATTCACTCAACTCATAAGTATTTGATGGTACAAATCCGTGGCTAGGCTTGGCTGTAAAAAGGTCTTATCTCAGATTCCTTCTACAAAACAAAGTTCCATCAAAGCCAATTTAGAAGACCTATGTAACAAATAATTATTCTTGCTGCACCGTATGCAAATAATTAAGATAACTATAATAAAGCAAACCCATCCTACCATGATTAGTCTTCTAATAAAAATGGGAAACTGGAGAGAGAAAATTGTTTCAAAAACTACAGCATGCCTGTTGTTATATTCTAGTCTTGCCTAACGTTTTTTATTTTTATTATTTTATTTATTTTATTTTTATTATTTTCTACCGTTTAAATTAAATTCTAATTTTTCTGACTACAATTTCCAAAATAAGCTGTGTTTTCTTAAAGCCCTATGAATGGAAAACTAAATGTTTCAGCAGGCGCTGCCTCTGAGCCCCCATATCATCACAGGAGGAAATCTCTTCACTGTTAGTACTGACAACTAATAACTGAGTGTGCCCAGAATCCTTCTCCACCACATCTAGTGAGTCCATGGAACCCAGGGTAATTCAGAGAGTATCTGTTATAGGAATCAACTCCTGGATACATCACACATAAGTCAAAGCCTGGAAAGATGAGGAAGCAACCCCTGATAGCCCAAAGGAATGTCCTAAATATCAATATAAAGAAATAGGAAATCTTAAGCTGAAAATAGTAAAAAATAAGTAACTGAGTGAGAACTACTCATCTTACTCAGTCTCACCCCTACCTTACCAAATACTTTTTGTCATTCCTACCTCAAATATTAATGAGGCAGAAATTTAAAAATAATAATAAGAATAAGTACTGCATTTATTCACTACTAGAAAAGTAAAAGCTAAGTCTCAGAATGTGGCAAGGCAAGGGTTAAAAGGAAAAAGAAAAGAACAAATTTTCCTCTGCCTAGCAAGCTCACTTCAAGGACAGTTGTAAGTTAATGCTGTCTGAATAGCCAAGGCCAAAGGAATGGGCTCCAGACACCCCCCCATGCCCTTCCAGAGCAAGGTTGAAGGAAGAAAAAGAAAGACGGATTCTTTTACTGTTACTCTTTTCCCAGGCTTCTTAAGCATTATTATGTTTTACAAATGTCTATATTTAGCCAGGTCTTGTTTTTCTTTCAATGCAGCTACAAGGCCACCAGCTATGCAAGGTCACAAGTTATGTTATGCTATAGGTTACATGACCTGTCACTGTATGACTAACTGCTTTTGTTTTGCTTCTGTAAGGCCACTTATAAAAACCCCACTCTGTCTTTGTTCAATGCTCAGCTTTTTGGATGTGAGTCCACTGAGCCAGTGCGTACCTAAAATAAACAACAATCCTCCTGTACTCCATATTGGTCTCTCTGTTCCTCAGTTTACCACAACAATAAAACTTTTTAATTAAAATTATTATTATTATTTTTTTGAGACGGAGTTTCATTCTTGTTGCCCAGGCTGGAGTGCAATAGCATGATCTCAGCTTATCACAACCTCCACCTACCGGGTTCCAGCGATTCTCCTGCCTCAGCCTCCTGAGTAACTGGGATTATAGGTGTGGGCCACCCACCCGGCTGATTTTGTATTTTTAATAGAGACGGAGTTTCTCCATGTTGGTCAGGCTGGTCTCGAACTCCCGACCTCAGGTGAGCCACCCACCTCAGCCTCCCAAAGTGCTGGGATTACAGACATGAGTCATTGCACCTGGCCATGAAAATTATTTACTATGCCACCTTGTGGGAATTGCTTTACTTACTCTACTATTTGCAGTAGGACTATATGCTGTAGCGCCTTGAGGGTGGAATATTGGACAGAGAATATCAATTACTGTAGCATTTTGCTTAGTTATTATCCTCACGGCAGGAATAATGGTTACCAATAAAAAATAACACATGGGCCTTACCAAACATGCACCTCTGCCTCTCATTAGGTATGCAATGTTGTTTCTATCTCAACTAATCTGGCCTAGTAAGAGACACTGCTGAAAACTTAAAGGACTAAAAAGCTAAGGTAATACCAAAACAACCAAATAGATTCTTGGTTTGGAAACAAAATCATAGCATGGGTCATCCCATTCCTGGGCCCTCTCCTAATAATATGCCTAGGACTAATGTTCTTATCCTGCCTAGTTAAAATTTTTCAAAGATTTGTAACTGACAGGATCATGGCCATTTCACAGACAATTACCCCAAAACATCTACAGATGGCATTACTCCTGCAGTCTATCTGAGACCTGAAAACTCTTGGTCCCCTTGTCAGCAAGAAGTAGCCAGAAAGAACATGCCACCCCTCATCCTTTTTATAACTACAGGGTCTGGATTAATAGAGCAGGAGCTTCACCATCTTGGACAAGTACTGCCATTTTTCACCTCAATCAATAACTGCCTAAATCCAAAGGGCATCAGTCTAATGACTAAGGTCAGCATGACCATAAACCACAAATAACATCTCTGACCAGATACTCTCCAAACCCCTCTATAACCAGAAACAAGCCAGCCCTGAGATAACCTCCCCCCTGGCTGGAGAGATGTCAGCCCCAAAATAACCTCCCCTCTGACCAGAGACATTCTAACCCCGCCATAAACTTCTCCCCCACACAGAAACATTTCAAACCTGTGATAAGCTGTCTCACCTTGAACGCTTAAATAATCTTAGTCTGTAAGAGAAAGTGCTCCTGAACAAAACCAGCCAGAAGCCCCTCTCAGACCTGTCTTTGACTGTTGAGCTGCTTTTCATGTTTCTTTCCTCTTTCTTTAACTCTTACAGTGACTAATATAAATTATTAAAATAGGTTAGGAACATTTTTTTGGCTCTCCCTCTCCCTCTCCCTCTCCTTCTCCCGACGGTCTCCCTCTCCCTCTCTTTCCACGGTCTCCCTCTGATGCCAAGCTGAAGCTGGACTGTACTGCTGCCATCTCGGCTCACTGCAACCTCCCTGCCTGATTCTCCTGCCTCAGCCTGCCGAGTGCCTGCGATTGCAGGCGCGTGCCGCCACGCCTGACTGGTTTTCGTATTTTTTGGTGGAGACGGGGTTTCGTGTGTTGGCCGGGCTGGTTTCCTGCTCCTAACCACGAGTGATCTGCCAGCCTCGGCCTCCTGAGGTGCCGGGATTGCAGACGGAGTCTTGTTCACTCAGTGCTCAATGGTGCCCAGGCTAGAGTGCAGTGGCGTGATCTCGGCTGGCTACAACCTCCACCTCCCAGCCGCCTGCCTTGGCCTCCCAAAGTGCCGAGATTGCAGCCTCTGCCTGGCCGCCACCCCGTCTGGGAAGTGAGGAGCGTCTCTGCCTGGCCGCCCATGGTCTGGGATGTGAGGAGCCCCTCTGCCTGGCTGCCCAGTCTGGAAAGTGAGGAGCACCTCTTCCCGGCTGCCATCCCATCTAGGAAGTGAGGAGCGTCTCTGCCCGGCTGCCCATCGTCTGAGATGTGGGGAGCGCCTCTGCCCTGCCGCCCCGTCTGGGATGTGAGGAGCATCTCTGCCCGGCTGCCCTGTGTGAGAAGTGAGGAGACCCTCTGCCTGGCAACCGCCCTGTCTGAGAAGTGAGGAGCCCCTCCGCCCAGCAGCTGCCCCGTCTGAGAAGTGAGGAGCCCCTCCACCCGGCAGCCACCCCGTCTGGGAAGTGAGGAGCGTCTCCACCCGGCAGCCACCCCGTCCGGGAGGGAGGTGGGGGGGTCAGCCCCCCGCCCGGCCAGCCGCCCCATCTGGGAGGTGAGGGGCGCCTCTGCCCGGCCGCCCCTACTGGGAAGTGGGGAGCCCCTCTGCCCGGCCACCACCCCATCTGGGAGGTGTACCCAACAGCTCATTGAGAACGGGCCATGATGACAATGGCGGTTTTGTGGAATAGAAAGGCGGGAAAGGTGGGGAAAAGATTGAGAAATCGGATGGTTGCCGTGTCTGTGTAGAAAGAGGTAGACATGGGAGACTTTTCATTTTGTTCTGTACTAAGAAAAATTCTTCTGCCTTGGGATGCTGTTGATCTATGACCTTACCCCCAACCCTGTGCTCTCTGAAACATGTGCTGTGTCCACTCAGGGTTAAATGGATTAAGGGCGGTGCAAGATGTGCTTTGTTAAACAGATGCTTGAAGGCAGCATGCTCGTTAAGAGTCATCACCACTCCCTAATCTCAAGTACCCAGGGACACAAACACTGCGGAAGGCCGCAGGGTCCTCTGCCTAGGAAAACCAGAGACCTTTGTTCACTTGTTTATCTGCTGACTTTCCCTCCACTATTGTCCTGTGACCCTGCCAAATCCCCCTCTGTGAGAAACACCCAAGAATGATCAATAAAAAGAAAAAAAAGAAAAAAAGAACTTTCCAACTATAAAAAATAAATAAATAAATAAATAAAAAATAAAAAAAAGAACTTTTTTTGTACAACATATAATCCTGAGAAGACAATCAAAACTTTATGTACATTTTGGCTACCTGAAGGGCCATCTAAACATTTATACAGAAACATTTATTTAACTGTCACTGTGTTTTTTGTTTCTTGTTTGAGATGGAGTCTCACTTTGTCACCCAGGCTAGAGTGCAGTGGTGCAATCTCAGCTCACTGCAACCTCTGCATCTCCAGTTCAAGTGATTCTCCTGTCTCAGCTTCCTGAGTAGCTGAGATTACTAGTGCATGCTACCATTCCCAGCTAGTTTTTGTATTTTTAGTAGAGACAGAGTTTCACCATCTTTGCCAGGCTGGTCTCGACTCAAGTTCTGCCAGGCCAAACTCCACCCACCTCAGCCTCCCAAAATGCTGGGATTACAGGCGTGAGCCACCATGCCTGGCCAATTGTTACTTTTAATGCATGTCTTCTGTTAGTATAAAAGCTTTCTCATGCAAGAAGTTTGATGTTACAACAATAGCTAAAAGAATATTAGAAAATATGTTTTCCTCATGGAACATTTCTGAAAAAGTCTCATAGGATAAAGATACTCATTTCACTAGACAAGTCGTAAAACTGTTAAATAAGGCATTAAAGATACAATATTATTGAGCAAAACTAAATTGACTGGATTGCCTTTGTAGTTGCAGATTGATGACAATCAGATCTATTAAGAGTGGAAAAAATGTGTTGACCCTTCTAAAATAGTTACTGGAAAGCCTATGCATGTAATAATAGAACCTCATGTATCTTCTGCTACTGAAGTCTATTATTACTAAATGCAGCAAGTCCTTAATCCATTATGACAAAGCATATTTTCACAAGGTAAATAAAGCTTTGCTTTTTTTTTTACAGTCTCACTCTGGCACCCAGGGTGCAGTGGCATGATCTCGACTAACTGCATCTTCCACCTCCCAGGTTCAGTGATTCTCATTCCTCAGCCTCCAGAGTAGCTGGGATTACATACATGCACCACCACTCCTGTCTATTTTTTGTATTTTTAGTAGAGACAGGGTTTCTCCATGTTGGCCAGGCTAGGCTGGTTTCAAACTCCTGGCCTCCAGGGATCCACCCACCTTGGCCACCAAAAGTGCAGGGATTATAGTCATGAGCCACTACACCTGGCCACTACTTACTCAGGGTAGTAAAACCTTTTATAATCTAAAATCAAGACATTGAGTCTGCTTGCCATCTACACTGCAGCAAGACTTGGACCCTTGAAATTTGGGTTTATAATGTCACAACTCAGAAGAACCCCTCTAAACTCTTGCGATTGTATACCCTTTGGAGATCTTAAGGGAAAGCTAACCAGAGAAGTTTATCTTTAAAAACAAATGGCAACTTTGATATAGATAGCTTTTTTTACAAGATCAAAAATGAAGACATGTCTGCTATTATGACACTCTTAGTTGACAAATTTTTTTCTCATGGCTCCACAAACAACAGAAATCAAAAAGAAATCTCTCATGTGCACTCATGGGGGTATTCTTTTATATGTAGAGAATTTTGCAGCCAGCTTTACATATGAGGTTTCTTACCCACATTAAGAAAGAAATTTTAATGAGACATTTGCTGCCTCATAATATCAGAAACAAAATATTGGTCTACTGCTCTTAACCTACTTCATAACTTAAAGGGAACTTCTTCAGAATAGGTTAAAGAGCATTGCCAAGGGCCATTCGACTTCTGAATGGGCATTGTTTGTTAGGTTCTCCCCACACCCCGCATGGAGTAGAGTAAATGAGGCAATGATTAGAAATGTATTTTCCATAATAGGCTCTATAACAGATTTTACTGCAAAGGCTATGGTTATACAATAGACTTTAAATTTTCTTACTAAAGTTTTGCTAAATAATAGAATTTCTCTAAATTACTGAATAAACAGAAAAGTATCTGTGCAGTTGCTAATATTTGTAGTTGCACATGGAGAAATACATTAGGTACTACATAGATTAAATTGCAGGGGATTAATAAAGAGGCTGCTTTGTTTAAATGAATAGAACATTTATCTAACTAATTATTTGATCTATTTAATTTTAGTTGGTTTGTTCATGGGGACCCTGGCTAAAAACATACTTCAAACTCTTGGTGTTATCCTCTTTATAGTAAAAATGGTAGTTTCTCTGCCACACTCTATTCTCTCAAAAGTTATAAATGTTTGAATGCAGTCATCTGTACAATATCAGATGGTCTATGTTTAACTGGAATGAAAAAACCTCAAAGGCACATACGACCATGAGGACACCATAACCTATGAATGACATGGTATAAAAAAAAAAAAAAACTCAAAATAATGAAAACTGAGAGTGGCACTACGGCCCTGAATTTTGGTCACACTCTTACCTACATGAGAACTTAACCAAAATGGGAGGAGGGGATATCTAAAATAAAATTACTGGAGGCCTTCATTCTGAACTAAGCTTGTGCACTAGGCACAGAGCAAACCAAAATGGAGTCACTTATGCTAAATGTGATGTAATCAAACTTAAAATTTAAGAAAATAGATTCTAAAACAGGCCAAGTTTTGTTTTCTGTAAACAGCAGATGTAAACACAAGGAGGTCCCCTCTATTGTAATTATTTAAAAAAATAATAACCTGAAGTCGTTGTTTCCACTTAAAAAACCCACAGTTCTGGTATTTCACAGTGGAATTTGAGACTAAATAAGTACATTTTTGATGGTGACAGAGAAATATCAATGTCTAAAGTTTGGATCTGTTTCTCAAAATTGAGAAAATAACTAAAAAAGAGAAAATGTTAATTATAGCCTAATGCTGCCCCCTTTCATGTTTAATTTTGGTCAATAGGTCATTTTGTACACAGTATACTAAAACCACACCGTATATGTAAGTAGACTGTAACCCATTCTTGTACCTGTCAGGCCTCTGAGCCCAAGCTAAGCCATCATAACCCCTGTGACCTGCACGTATACATCCAGATGTCCTGGAGTAACTGAAGAACCACAAAAGATGACATTCCACCATTGTGATTTGTGCCTGTTCCACCCCAACTAATCAACTGACCTTGTGACATTCTCCCCTGGACAATGAGTCTCATGATCTCCCAACCCTGCACCCTGTGACCCCCGCCCCTGCTCACAAGATATAACCACCTTTAACTGTAATTTTCCACTACCTACCCAAATCCTATAAAACTGCCCCACGCCTATCTCCCTTTGCTGACTCTCTTTTTGGACTCAGCCCACTTGTACCCAAGTGAAATAAACAGCCTTGTTGCTCACACAAAGCCTGTTGGTGGACTCTGTTCACACGAACTCATGTGACATTTGGTGTTGAAGACCTGGGACAGGGGGACTCCTTTGGGAGACTGGTCCCCTGTCCTCACCCTCACTCCATGAGGAGTTCCACCTATTACCTCAAGTCCTCAGACCAACCCAGGGAACATCTCACCAATTTTAAATCGGGTAAGCGGCCTCTTTTTATTCTCTTCTCCAACCTCTCTCACTATCCCTCCACCCTTCAACCCCTCCCTTCCTTAATTTCGGTTCCTTTCCCTTTCTGGTAGAGACAGAGGAGACATGTTTTATCTGCGAACTCAAAACACTGGCGCCCGTCATGGAGTCGGAAAGATAGTCTTCCCTTGGTGTCTAATTACTGAGGGGGCGCTTGCCTGATTATTCACCCACATTCCAGAGGTGTCTGATCACCTCAGGGACTCCTGCCTTGATCCTTCACCTTGGTGGCAAGTACCACCTCCCTTACAATTTGACTTCCTCTTTTCCTAATTGAATACACTTTATTTCCTTCTCCTGCCTAATTGCCCTGGCCAGAACTTCCAACACTATGTTGAATAAGAGTGGTGAGACAGGGCATCCCTGTCTTGTGCCAGTTTTCAAAGGGAATGCTTCCGGTTTTTGCCCATTCAGTATGATATTGGCTGTGGGTTTGTCATAAATAGCTCTTATTACTTTGAGATACATCCCATCAATACCTAATTTATTGAGAGTTTTTAGCATGAAGGGCTGTTGAATTTTGTCAAAGGCCTTTTCTGCATCTATTGAGATAATCATGTGGTTTTTGTCTTTGGTTCTGCTTATATGCTGGATTACGTTTATTGATTTGCATATGTTGAACCAGCCTTGCATCCCAGGGATGAAGCCCACTTGATCATGGTGGATAAGCTTTTTGATGTGCTGCTGGATTGGGTTTGCCAGTATTTTATTGAGGATTTTTGCATCGATGTTCATCAGGGATATTGGTCTAAAATTGTCTTTTTTTGTTGTGCTTCTGTCAGGCTTTGGTATCAGGATGATGCCGGCCTCATAAAATGAGTTAGGGAGGATTCCCTCTTTTTCTATTGATGGGAATAGTTTCAGAAGGAATGGTACCAGCAACTCCTTGTACCTCAGGTAGAATTCAGCTGTGAATCCATCTAGTCCTGGACTTTTTTTGGTTGGTAAGCTATTAATTATTGCCTCAATTTCAGAGCCTGTTATTGGTCTATTCAGGGATTCAACTTCTTCCTCGTTTAGTCTTGGGAGGGTGTATGTGTCCAGGAATTTATCCATTTCTTCTAGATTTTTTAGTTTATTTACATACAGGTGTTTATAGTATTCTCTGATGGTAGTTTGTATTTCTGTGGGATGGGTGGTGTTATCCCCTTTGTCATTTTTTATTGTGTCTATTTGATTCTTCTCTCTTTTCTTCTTTATTAGTCTTGCTAGGGACAACATTCTTTTATGCAGTCCTTTTCAGTTATCCCCACCTTCCCAGTTGCCTTATGAGGTTGAGACGTTTTAACAAAATTATCTGCTACACTGACTATTCCTGTACTGCAGCCCATCTCATTGCTGCTCTTCTCCCCAACTCAAAGCCTCCTTCATGTCTTCCTCTTGTATCACCCCCACCTTAACCCACAAGTGTGGGACACCTCTACTCCCTCTCTGGCAACAAATCACACACCCATTACTATCCCATTAAAACCTAATCACACTTACCCCACTCAATGCCAGTATCCCATCCCACAACAGACTTTGAAGGGACTAAAGCCTGTCCAGAATCTTCACCTTATCAACAAAATTGTCTTTCCTATCCACCTGGTGGTGCCAAACCCATATACTCTCCTATCCTCAATACCTCCCTCCACAACCCATTATTCTGTTCTGGATCTCAAAGATGCTTTCTTTATTACTCCTTTACACCCTTCATCCCAGCCTCTTTTCACTTTCACTTGGACTGGCCCTGACACCCATCGGTCTCAGCAACTTACCTGGGCTGTACCGCTGCAAGGCTTCAGGCACAGCCCCCATTACTTCAGTCAAGCCTTTCTTCATGATTTACTTTCTTTCCATCCATCTGCTTCTCACCTTATTCAATATTTTGATGACCTTCTACTTTATAGCCCCTCCTGCGAATGGTCTCAACAAGACACCCTCCTGCTCCTTCAACATTTATTCTCCAAGGGATATTGGGTATTCCCCTCCAAAGCTCAAATTTCTTCTCCATCTGTTACCTACCTCAGCATAATTCTTCATGAGAACACGTGTGCTCTCCCTGCCAATTGTGTCCAGCTGATCTCTCAAACCCCAGCCCCTTCTACAAAGCAACAACTCCTTTCCTTCCTGGGCATAGTTGTATACTTTCACCTTTGGATACCTGGTTTTGCCATCCTAACAAAGCTGTTGTACCTGAGCGAGTTAGAGAAAATGTCACACTTTGAGATGAATTAAGAGTCCATTTATTTAGCCAGCGGCCAACAGATGGCTAATGCTCAAAATTCTCTCAGCCCTGAAGAAGGGGCTAGATTTTCTTTTATACTTTGGTTTAGAAAGGGGAGGGGGCTCTAGTTAAAACAATTTTACAGAAATAAAGTAGGCAAAAAGTTAAAAGGATAAATGGTTACAGGAAAGTAAGCAGTTCCAGGTGCAGGGGCTTTAAGACTATTACAAGGTGATAGACCCAGGGCTTTGGGCGTTATCAATGGGACGAATTCCTGGGAATTGTGGATATAGCTTGCCACAGTATCTTATCAGTTAATTGCATTCTTGGATGTGCTGGGAGTCAGCTTGCACAAGTTAAGTCCTTGAGGAAGGGGGTGCCAGTGAAAGAGCCAAGATGGAGTATGTCTGGCTCTCTTAGCAAAGGGAGAGTCAATTCAGGTGGAAAAAGGCTAGGTGATTAAAGGAAAAGGGAGAGTCTAAAAACAGTGTTAGTAAAAACAAGGTTGGGCATTACATTCCTCACTTGTGTTTTTGGGGAATCAAATCGTTGATTCCTCAGTTATAGCAAGGGGGTTATACTGAGTCTTAAGATACATAAGTTTGACAGAAGCTATGCATTGTTTTACAAAATGAAGAAACTAATTTAATATGCAAGGCCCAAAAATTAGACTTAATAATAGGATGGGGAGGGGTCCGGCTAACTTAGTGATTAGAGTAGTTATCCCTGGGTTCTAGTTGAACATGCTTTGATACTAGGGGATGTTATTTTCTCATTTTTGTTGGTGCCTATCTAGATTTTCTCACACCTTTTGGAGTGTATCTTTTATGACTAAGAATGGTGGAGGAACAGTTAAATCAACTTTGTCAGGGTGTTTCTGGAACATAAGGTTACTTAGATCAGTTAAAGGCCTAATTGACTTAGGTGGGCTCTATGAGACTAAAATTTTCTTTTGGATGGTGAACATAGTTCTAACATCGAATCCTGGGATATAAAGTCTTAATCTTTATGACATGCCATAATACTATTGAACTGAATTAGGGTCATGAACTGTTATAGTAAGAGGATTACAATTTTTTTAGTACATGATTTAGGACAAGAAGCTTTAGTTATGGAATGAAGATCTGGTTGATCCTCTAGAGTAGGTGGCTAAAGTTACACATGTCTAATCAGGGCAGAAAAACTGATAAGTATATTGACAGCTAGCGTCAGGGTGATTTCTAGGACAGAGGTAAAAGTCAACATTTTGGAGTCTTTTTTTCTGCACTTTTGGAGCTTCTACATCTAGTTTGGCTCTTGGAGCGCTTAAATCTTGCTGCAAGGTCAACACTTCCTGCTCCTGGGACTGGCAGATTGTGTTGCTCTTCATGGGTACCGGCTGGCTCTGGGAAGAGTACACATAAATCAACTGCAAAGGAGACTTCTTTGGAGGTACCAGCCTTCTAAGTGGTGTTTGCAAATACACGTCCTGTTGTGAAAGAGGTGAGGAGAAAGGAGTAGGAAGATACAGAGGATTTAAAGGGCAAAAACAAACAAGTGAGGTAGATAAAAAGAATTAACCTAATGGCTTCACTTGACTTAGGCACAGTTTTAAGGGGCCTGACCTAGGCCTGGAGACCTATGTTTCTAGTTGGGCTGTGTTGGTCTTTTTGATGCAGGAGTGATGAATCTAAGCAGGAGTACCATCCACCTTCAGAGCCATTGGCATCGTGAGGATAGTGGTGTGAGGTCTTTTCTAAGCAGGAGTGAGTCCTTCTTTTTGGAACTTTTTAACAAACACTAGGTCTCCTGGCTGGAACAAATGGCAGGAACCTGTCTGGTCAGGAATTGGATTGGGATGGGCTCCTCGAACAAGTGGCAGGATGATATCTTGTACTTGTTGGAGAGACTGTAGGTACTGTAATAAATTAGCTTGTGATATTTCTGCCAATTGGGCATCTCTTAGCTTAGGCAACATAGTCAGTGCCTTCCTATACATGACTTCAAAAAGTGAGAACCTAGCCTAGTAAGGGGTGCATCTTACTTTAAGTAGGGCTAAAAGAAGGAGACTTACCTAATTTTCACCGGTTTTTAAGATTAATTTTGTAAGAGTGTTTTTTAGGGTGTGGTTCATGCGTTCTACTTACCTAGAGCTCTGGGGTCGATAGGCACCATGGAGCTTCCATTGAATGTTAAACACCTTACTGACCGACTGAGCTATGGACGAGGTGAAGGCCGGTCCATTATCAGACCTTATGGCAGCAGGCAGCCTATGTCAAGGGATGATTTCATTGAGTAAAAACTATTGCGCTGGCAGTTTCGTTTTTGGTAGCAAATGCCTCAGTGCATCCGGAGAAGGTGTCTGCTAGTACTAGAAGGTATCTGTACTTATCCTGGCGTGGTTTTACTTCTGTAAAGCCGATTTCATACTTTTCTTCTGGTGAGTTTTCTCAGAGATGGTGGCCTGGGCTGGGATTAGGACCTTGCTTGGCATTTACCTGGGCGTAGGTTGTGCACCGGAGAGCTGCTTGATCTGTTAGGCTTTGAAGACAGGGCATTCTTCTTTGTTTTTGATAGCCTTTCCTGCTGAGGTGAGTAGCCTGCACTCCTGGTAGATGGCTCCATGAACATGCACAGTAGCAAAGGCGTACCTGCTGTCAGTGTAAACGTTAATATCCTTACCCCATCGGAGAACCTGAGTGAGGGCGATCAATTCAGCTTTTTGCGCTGACGTGTTTGCTGGTAAAGCCTGAGCCTACGACACATTTGTCTCCGTGGTAACAGCTGCACCGGCCTTTCGTACTCCCTGCTCGAGAAAGCTGCTACCGTCTGTGAACACAGTGGCGTCCGCCTTCTCTAGGGCCACATCTTGAAGGTCAAGTCGGCCAGTTTCAGTAGTTTCTAACAGTTCCTGACAGTCATGAATAGTAGCTGGATTTAAACACCTTGTGGGAGAGAAAGTCAAACGAGGCTGATCTAACAGTAAACTCTGATACTGCAGGATGCGAGCATTTGACATCTATTCACCAGAAGCACTTTAAAGTAAAGTCTCTACAGCATGAGGAGCCGTAAGAGTTAAATTTTGGCCTAGAATCAACTTATCAGCCGCTTGGACTAGGCTTGCTGTAGCCGCTACAGCTCGCAGATGACTTGGCTATCCGGAGGCCACAGGATCCAGTCTCTTAGATAAATAGGCCACTGGGCATCTCCAGAGTCTTAAAGTCTGTAGTCTTAAGCTTTTTTAGCAACTTCCTGGCTTTCATGGACAAACAGGTGAAACGGCTTTGAGATATTAGGGAGGGCTAAAGCAGGGGCTTCAGTTAATGTCTTTTTCAGGTTTTGAAAAGTCTGTTCTTTTGTGTCTGTCCAAATTAATGGGCCATTTCATCCTGTACTTCTTGGATAGCCACTATTAAGATTTTTGTTTGTCTTTTGAATGCTTTATCAGTGGCCTTTTCAGCTGCCTGTGTTGCTTATTTCTGTTTTTCAAACTCTCGATTGTCAAAAACCTTTTGGGCTATTTCTAAAAGCTGACTGATATTCATTCCAGCAAATCCTTCCAGTTTTTGGAGTTTTCTTTTTAATATCTGGGGCTGCCTGAGCCACAAATGCTAAATTAGGAGGACGGCTATTTTCGGGGGCCGTTGGGTCAAAAGCTGTGTAAATCCGATAAGCCTCCTGGAGGCGCTCTAAAAACGCTCCTGGTGACTCATCGGGCCTCTGGACGACTTCAGTCACCTTAGATAAGTTTATGGGTTTCTGAGCAGCTCCTTTAATACCCGCTAGGGGATACCAGTGGAAATTGTCTAAAGCTTTCCCTCCACTTGAGGAATTTGGGTCTTAATTAGGCCGGGTAGAGGGGAAACCCTCCTCCAGGAGGTCTCTAGCTTCCTCCTCTGGCTATTGGCTGATGTGAGGTTGACAATCATCCTAGGTGGGCCGATGTGTCTGGAGTATGGACTCCATCAGTGAGGTCAAAGCCTGGGGCTTTTCAGAGAAGGGAGGATTATGGGTTTTCTAATTATACAAGTCAGAATTAGAAAGAAGGGACATAAACTAAGAAGGGGGCTGAGCGCTTGTCACCTGGAGGGACTTGTGCCTCTCTTAGTGGTAGTAGAGGGGCTACTTCCTCCTGCTGTGGCTTCAGTTGAGGGGCAATGGGTGGTGAGCCTACAGGAGGTGTCGTCGAGAAGACATGGGATGACCTTAAGGGAGCAGGCTGGTTGTAAGGCGGTGCGACTTGGTGAGGGAGACTCTCCTCTTCTTCAGAGGGAGGCAGTACAGGGGGAGCCAACCAGCCGAGGGTCGAGGCAAAAACGTGGTCTGGCTCAGGAGGACTTTGGAGGTAGAATTATTAATGGCGCATGAATGGAGCCATGGAAGAGGGCTCCTGACCAAACTCAGCCATTGATCAATGTGATCAGGGTGGCTGGGAGTTTCGGTAACAACCTGCCACACAGCTTGAACAATTGTAGGATTCAGTGACCTTTCAGGGGGCCACCTAACTCTAAACTTTGGCTATTCTATCTTGCAGAGTGTCCAGAGCTTGCCTTTTTTAAGGCAGACTGCATAATCTTTGGAAAAACTGAGAAAAATTCTGTAGCATACATTGGAGAGGGCTCTAACTTTTACAAGGCCGGGAGGAAGTGTTTCTTTTTTTTCTTTTCTTTTTTTTTTTTTTTTAAAAAGGCAATTTAACAGAATTTGAGCAGAGATATCAGATCTAACATGGACAGAGACACTCACTCCCTGGGGGGCTGGAGTATCGGAAAAACAGAATTAACATAACTAGAAAGAACAGAAAAACTACAACAGCTAATACTACTTGTCACATTGCTGTAGCTTTAAGATTGAGGGAAGGGGACTAGAGGCTAGTCTGAGGTCTCCTGGGTTGGTTGGATCTAGGCGTTCTCCTCCTTTTTCTTCTAGACCTGTACCTTAAATACCTTTGATGTCTCCACAACTCAAAGGCAAATAGCTCAAATTCAGCTCTTTCTTTTAAGGGTTCAAGGAGTGAGAGCAGAGCCAAGTCCTGGAAATGCTGAACTTGTTGTCACACCAGAAAATGAGATGTGCAGCATAGGGGGCAGGGATGAGGAGGAAAAGGACCACTCAGATCATCCTTAAGATGAGAGAGTAGCCACAGAGGAACAGAGTAGGAATCTAAACGAAGTAAAGCAGTACGGGCATAGGTTTCCTTAGACAGTGTTCTATTTAAGAGCACAGGAAAAGTTACAGAATGACAAAAGAGGTTAGCAAGGAAATCTGCAGGGTGGCTATTTTGAACCTACTACAAATTTAATCTAGAGGAGGTCTAATCACTTGGATGTGGGGTATGACAATCTAAATGCCTACAACCTCCATGGTGCCAGAAATCTTAATCTGATGAATGTTCTTCACACTTGTTCCTGTAACAACACTTGACTTGCCTCTGGCAGAAAAGACAGGACTGTGGTGGCCAGCCTAAATGATTGATGAGAAACTTAACCTCTTGTGACAAAAAATCAGCACTAAGGACCTTGAAGAAGTTTTTACCTAGACGTCTTGGGCAATACTTACATCTTGACATGCAAAACCTTGACGACTACTAAACAAGACAATAGACACTGAACAAAACAATAAACATAAAACAAACAATTGACTTTAGGGCATGTAAACAGTTATAACAGTTTTCCTATTTATTTTTTATTAGACAGACAAGGGGAGGGGGTCCTGTGATGGGATCATTCAGATGTCTGCCTGGCCTCTCTTGCTGAGGGGACTTGGGCTCCTGTTATAATTGGCAGGCCGGTGTAAACCTCTGGCTCGGATCGAGCTATGCCTGATGCTGCCTTAAGCCTTATGAGGTCACCACGGAACTGCAGGTGAGGACCCACTCAAACTCCATAGCTTTTGCTGTGGAGCTACAAACTGGAAGACAAACGCAAGCCCTTGTCTTCCCCACTCACTCACCATTCACACAGAGTTTATAACAATTTTTTTCTCTTTTCTTTTTTTCCTTCTTGGAGATTCTCCAAGAAACTTGAACAAGAGAAAGACGAGAGATGAAAAAAGAGAGAGAGAGACTGGTCTGCCAGAAACTAAGGTTCAGTTCCCCAGCATCCTGGGACGTGAACTCAGTCAAGGGAGGGCCCCCATCAGGACCACTTCCTACCTAAACCAAGACACAAAGGCACCTACGAGAAAACCAAGGCTCAACCTTTTAGCATCCTGGAGTAACGGGCTGAGTCAAAAGAGGGACGCCTTTGTCAGGGCTGCTTCCTTCTTACCAGAATCGAAGTCAAATCTGACCTACCTGAACCTGGGGTCAGAAGCTGAGGACTCAGATGTTGAATTTTAGGGCACCCACACGGTAGTTGATCCGCTCTCCTCCGGAAGACAGTCACCCTTCAGGGACCTGAAAAAAATTTTTCAGGTGGCACCTCCCCCTATAAGCCAGCCATCTGTCCTGGGGAGCCCAGAGCGAGAAAGGCTCTCGCCCAGTGGCGTTAATATCTCACTGGGGCCTCCAAATCTTGTACCTGAGTAAGTTAGAGAAAACACCACACTTTGAGAAGAATTAAGAGTCCGTTTATTTAGCCAGCGGCCAAGAGACAGCTAACGCTCAAAATTCTCTTGGCCCTGAAGAAGGGGCTAGATTTTCTTTTATACTTTGGTTTAGAAAGGGGAGGGGGTTCTAGTTAAAACAATTTTACAGAAATAAAGTAGGCAAAAAGTTAAAAGGATAAATGGTTACAGGAAAGTAAGCAGTTCCAGGTGCAGGGGCTTTAAGACTATTACAAAGTGATAGACTCGGGGCTTTGGGCGTTATCAATCAGATGAATTCCTGGGAATTGCGGACATAGCTTGCCACAGTATCTTATCAGTTAATTGCATTATTGGATGTGCTGGGAGTCAGCCTGCACAAGTTAAGTCCTTGAGGAAGGGGCTGCCAGTGAAAGAGCCAAGATGGAGTCTGTCTGGCTCTCTTAGCTAAAGTAGAGTCAATTCAGGTATAAACAAGGCTAAGTGATTAAAGGAAAAAGGAGAATCTAAAAACAAGGTTAGTAAAAACAAAGTTAGGCATTACAAAACCATTATATAAACTCACAAATGGAAACCTAGCTGACCTCAAAGATCCCAAATCCTTTCCCCACTCCTCTTTCCGTTCCTTGAAAACAGCTCTAGAGATTGCTCCCACACTAGCTCTCCCTGACTCATCCCAACATTTTTTATTACACACAGCCAAAGTGCAGAGCTGTGCAGTCAGAATTCTTACACAAGGACCAGGACTGCATCCTGTAGGCTTTTTGTCGAAACAACTTGACCTTACTGTTTTAGGCTGTCTTTCATGTCTGCATGCAGTGGCTGTTGCCACTCTAATACTTTTAGAGGCCCTCAAAATCACAAACTATGCTCAACTCACTCTCTACAGTTCTCATAACTTCCAAAATCTATTTTCTTACACTTATTGCATATACTTTCTGCCCCCCCCCCACCCCCTACCCCAGCTCCTTCAGCTGTACTCACTCTTTGTTGAGTCCTACAATTACCATTGTTCCTGGCCCAGACTTCAATCCGGCCTCCCACATTATTCCTGATACCACACCTGACCCCCATGACTGTCTCTCTCTGATCCACCTGGCATTAACTCCATTTCCCCATATTTCCTTCTTTCCTGTTCCTCACCCTGATCACATTTTGTTTATTAATGGCAGTTCCACCAGGCCTAATCACCACTCACCAGCAAAAGCAGGCTATGCTATAGTATCTTCCACATTTATCATTGAAGCTACTGCTCTGCCCCACCTCCACTACCTCTCAGCAAGCCAAACTCATTACCTTAATTCAAGCCCTCACTCTTGCAAAAGGACTGCATGTGAATATTTATATTGATTCTAAATATGCCTTTCATATCCTGCACCACCATGCTGTTATATGGGTTGGAAGAGGTTTCCTCACTATGCGAAGGTCCTACATCATTAATGCATCTTTCATAATAACACTTCCAAAGGAAGATGGAGTCCTTCACTGCAAAGGCCATCAAAGGGCCTCAGACCCCATTGCTCAAGGCAACAATTATGCTGATAAGACAGCTAAGGAAGCAGCCAGTATTCCTACTTCTGTCCCTCATGGCCAGTTTTTCTCCTTCTCATCTGTCATTCCTACTTACTCTCCCACTGAAGTTTCCACCTATCAATCCCTCCCCACTCAAGGCAAATGGTTCTTGGACCAAGGAAAATATCTCCTTCCAGCATCACAGGCCCATTCTATTCTGTCTGTCATCATTTCTTTCTTTTTTTTTTTTTTTTTTTTTTTGAGATGGAGTCTCGCTCTGTCACCTAGGCTGGAGTTCAGTGGCACGATCTCAGCTCATTGCAAGCTCCACCTCCGGGGTTCATGCCATTCTCCTGCCTCAGCCTCCCAAGTAGCTGGGACTACAGGTGCCTGCCACCATGCCTGGCTAAGTGATTCTCCTGCCTGAGCCTCTCAAGTAGCTGGGATTACAGGCATGCACCACAGGTTGTAGAGTTTGAGGGGTCAGATTCTTAACAAGAACTGATTGTTCAGCTATGGTGTCTTCATATGGCTGGGAATCTGAAGTAGGCAAGAGAAGATTAGCAGCCTGGCAAATTTCCTGTCTAGCTTGCTAGAGGATTGGAACATAGACGCCTAGAGGGCTGGTGTCTGGGATGAGGTCGGGGCCAAGCAAGAAAGTGCATCCATATAAAAGTTCAAATGGACTGTACCCTTTAGCATCTCAAGGACAGGCTCTAATTCTGAGAAGGGCAAGAGGTAAAAGTACTGTCCATTCTGTTTTAAGTTGGTGGCTGAGCTTGGTGAGGTGTGTCTTTAAAAGACCATTAGTCCGTTCTACCTTTCCAGAGGATTGAGGACGGTAAGAGGTATGAAGGTTCCACTGAATATCAAGAGCCTGAGAAACTACTGGGGTGATTTGACTAATAAAGGCCTGTCCCTTTTCAGACTGTATAGAGGTGGGAAGGCCAAACCAAGGAACTATGTCTGACAGAAGGGAAGAAATGACGGCAGTGGCCTTCTCAGACCCTGTGGGAAAGGCCTCTACCCATCCAGTGAAAGTGTCTACCCAGACCATAAGGTATTTTAGTTTCCTGACTCAGGGCATGTGAGTAAAGTCAATTTGCCAGTCCTGGGCAGGGGCAAATCCCAAGCTTGATGTGTAGGGAAGGGAGAGGGCCTGAACAATCCCTGAGAGTAGTAGAATAGCAGATGGAACACTGAGAAGTGATTTCCTTGAGGATAGCAATTTCAATTGCTCTTTTTTATTCGTGGCCAGGCATGGTGGCTCATGCCTGTAATCCCAGCACTTTGGGAGGCTAAGGCGGGCAGATCATGAGATCAGGAGATCGAGACCATCCTGACTAACATGGTGAAACCCCATCTCTACTAAAAATGCAAAAAAAATGGCGTGAACCTGGGAGGCGGAGCTTGCAGTGAGCCGAGATCATGCCACTGCACTCCAGCCTAGGCGACAGAGAGAGACTCCATCTAAAAAAATATTAAAAAAAAAAGACATTGTAGCCAACAAATACATGCAATGATTATATTTTGATTAAAAACATAATCTTTTAAAAGGAGCAATTATTTTTTATTCAATGAATCTTTGATACAGTCACTTTAAATTCTTAGGTGTTAAGCCTATAAATGTTCAATGGCTTAGGTAATGTCTTATACTGCATATCCTACATGCTAATCACTGTGACTATCAGATTCTCTTTTGTTCATAGCATTTTTTAAATATAATATTTTGTTTTTCTTATTAAAATTTATTTTTCTGTCATGCCTAAATCTTGATAAAAATAAAGAGGATGGGTTTGCCTGATTTATTCCAAAGTCAAATAGCAGTTTTGCTTTTTTCTTTTTAGTCAGTAACTCATTTGTTTCACACAATAAACATGAGAATTAAATAATTCAATTATAGTTATATCCTCATGCTAACAATGGAGAAATATTTGAGTTATTTTTTGATAGGGCTAAAATCTTATTTTATATTTTTATTACAGATTATTTCATGTCAAGTGACTAGAATATGAATTTTAATAATATACTATGAAATTAGAAAATGTGATAGTCACAGATTATGGAAGTACAGTGAAGAAATAGATTATATTAAGAGGTGATTTATTATATCTATAATAAAATGGAGTATATAAATAGCCATATAACAAGTAAAGTAAAAAGGTTACTTAAAATGTTTTTACATAAAAAGCTCAGTGTCAAGTTGCTTAAATTTTAAATTTTACCAACACTTAATGAAAAGTTGATACCAATTTCCCACAAAAACTGTGAGCAATAGAAGAGGTAACATTTCCCAATTCATCTATTAGCCAGGATTACCATGACCCCGAAACCAGACAAAAGAATCAGAAATAATGAAGACTATGGAACAACGTCCCATATAAATATAGATGCAGAAATTTTCAGAAACACTAGCAAATTAAATCCAGCAACATATGAAAATGAGTTCATACCATGAACAGGTAATATTTTTTCACAAATTTAGTGTTGACTTAATATTTAAAAAATCAACTAACATATTACAAAATAGTAATTACTCACAGGTTTTGTCCTGGTCGCTTCACCTGTGCAGGACCCAAGAATCTGCTCTGCTCTTGTTGCTCTAAGAAGCCAGGTGCTTAACCATGAGAACCAGGAGAAAGAAAGCTGAGGGAGCCAGAAGAGGAAGCGAGCTACAGAAAGAGGGGTGACAGGACCTCCAGGCGCAGGGTGCTTCGGGCAGGGAGGCGGGCAGGGCTGGCGGCTGCCTGGGTCAGGTAGCATGAGGTGGATCTGAGGGTACTCACGGACAGGATGTTCCAGCAACGAAAAGAGCAGAAGCTCCAGCTTTTAGTTGCATGGCCATTACCACGACCAAACAATGGGAAAAGGACTGACTCTCCAACAAATGGCACCAGAGAACTTCATGTTTAAATTAAAAAAAAAAAAAACAAAACTTGGGTCTGGGCGCGGTGGCTCACGCCTGTGATCCTAGCACTTTGGGAGGCCGAGGCGGGCGGAACACTGGAGATCAGGAGTTCGAGACCAACCTGACCAACATGACGAAAACCCTGTCTCTACTAAAAATACAACATTAGCTGGGCGTGGTGGCAAGTACCTGTAATCCCAGCTACTCGGGAGGCTGAGTCAGGCGAATCGCTTGAACCCAGGAGGCAGAAGTTGCAGTGAGCCGAGATCGTGCCACTGCACTGCAGCCTGGGTAACAGAGCAAGACTCTGTCTCAAAACAAAAAAACAAAAACCTTGGACCCTTTTTTTTTTGCATATTATACAAAAAATGTCTATGTATGCAAAGCAGAAACTGGAAGTAACATTTGCATACTCATGTTGATAATCATATTATTCACAAAACCAAAACTTGGAAGCTTCTTAAATGATTTTTGATGTATAATTTTTTTTTTTTAAATTGAAACAGGGTCTCACTCTGTCGTCCAAGTTGAAGTGCAGCGGCGCCATCTCGGCTCACTGCAACCTCCGCCTCCGGGGTTCAAGTGATTCTCCTGCCTCAGCCTCTGGAGTAGCTGGGATTACAGGCGTGTGCCGCCACACCCGGATAATTTTTGTAATTTTAGTAGAGACGGGGTTTCACCATGTTGGCCAGGCTGGTCTGGAACTCCCGACCTCAGGTGATCTGCCCACCTCTGCCTTCCAAAGTGCTGGGGATTACAGGCTTGAGCTCTCACACCGAGCCGTATAAATGGATTTTTAAAATGGCATATACATGCGATGGAATATAATTATACCTTATAAAAGGAAATTACGTCACATGCTACAATGAAGATAAACCTTTAGGGCCAGTGTGGTGGCTCACTCGTGTAATTCAGTTTGAGAGGGTGAGGCAAAAAAATGTTTTGAGCACAGGAGTTTATGACTAGCCGGGCAACACACACACACGCACGCACACACACACACACACACACACACACACACAAAGGATAAACCTTTAGGACATTATGTTAAGTGAATTATGCCAGGAACAAAATAACAAAGAGCATATAATTTGATTTACATGAGATATCTTCAGTAGTCAAATTAATAAAAATTGAAAGTAGAATGGTGCTTGTCAACAACTGGGGTAGGGGGTAAAAGGGGAAGTTCTTGCTTAATGGGTTTGAATTTTGAGTTTTACTTTTGCAAAATGTAAAAGTTCTAAAGGTCTTTTGCATAACTTTTTTTTTTTTTTGATACTGAGTCTTGCTATGTCGCCCAGGCTGGAGTGCAGTAGCATGATATCGGCTCACTGCAACCTCCACCTCCCGGGTTCAAGCAATTCTCCTGCCTCAGCCTCCTGAGTAGCGGAAATTACAGGCACCTGCCACCATGCCTGGCTAATTTTTTTATTGCATAACAATTTTAATACACTTAATACTACTAAACTATAAACTTCATGGTCAAATATATGTAATAACATTTTAAAAAGCATAATTATTAAAAGTATACAATTTTTAATTAAATAGGATTGACTTTGCATCTTCTTTGCTTTATGATTATGTAAAAGTTTTACTTCCATTATCATGCCAATTTTCTACCTTCTCTTTCTTTTTTTTTTTTTGTTTTTTTGAGATGGAGTCTCACTCTGTCCCCCAGGCTGAAGTGCAGAGGCATGATCTCAGCTCACTGGAAACTTTGCCTCCCGGGTTCAAGCAATTCTCCTGCCTCAGCCTCCAAGTAGTTGGGACTACAGGCACGTGCCACCATGCCCGGCTAATTTTTGTATTTTTAGTAAAGACGGGGTTTCACCATATTGGCCAGGCTGGTCTCGAGCTCCTGACCTTGTGATCCATCCTCCTAGGCCTCCCAAAGTGCCACCAATCCCGGCCATTCTACCTTCTCTTTCTAATCCTACTGAGATTTTCTTAACTCTTTTCTATTCTTGCATAATTAATAAATTCAATGCATTTCTCTGAGATTTATTGTAACAATGAAATTTTTACTTTTACTTTTTTTTTTTCTTGAGACGGAGTCTCGCTCTGTCGCCCAGGCTGGAGTGCAGTGGTGCAATCTCGGCTCACTGCAAGCTCCGCCTCCCGGGTTCACGCCATTCTCCTGCCTCAGCCTCCCGAGTAGCTGGGACCACAGGTGCCCGCCACCACGCCCGGCTAATTTTTTGTATTTTTAGTAGAGATGGGGTTTCCATGTTAGCCAGGATGGTCTCGATCTCCTGACCTCGTGATCCACCCGCCTTGGCCTCCCAAAGTGCTGGGATTACAGGTGTGAGCCACGGCGCCCAGCTAAGATTTGTTTCTTGTTCATAGAATTGTTACACAGATTAACTGCATTTTTACTAGTTTTTGTCTTTATTCCAAAATCCAGGCTGGTGAAGCGGCTTCTCTCTACATTTTACTGATTTTCATGGCTTAGAGAAAAGAAGCAGTTGGCCGGGCGCAGACGCTCACGCCTGCAATCCCAGCATTTTGGGAGGCTGAGGAGGGCAGATCCCGAGGTCAGGAGTTCAAGACCAGCCTGGCCAACATGGTGAAACACCATCTCTAGTAAAGATACAAAAAATTAGCCGAGCATGGTGGCGTGTGCCTGTAGTCCCAGCTACTTGGAAGGCTGAGGCATGAGAATTGCTTGAACCTGGGAGGTGGAGGTTGCAGTGAGGTGAGATGGCACCACTGCACTCCAGCCTGGGTGACAGGGTGAGACTCCATCTCAAAAAAATAAATAAATAAATAAAAAGAAGCGGTCAACCACACATTGACTCTTAAAATTTATGCTCAGAAGGGACACACCTTACTTTAGTCTATTTTCACTGGCCAAATAAAGTTAAATAGCCAAGTCTGATGTCTATGGGGTAAGAAAATATAATTCTCTTGGGAGGGTCATCAAATATCAGGAAACAATAATACAACTTACCACAAAACCTTCCTACTCAGCTGAATATTAAATTATAATATAGTCATTCATAAACAAAGGAACTTTGCATTTAATACTATTTATTAGTAATAATATTTAATATCTATTGTTTGCTTATTTTCTGCTAGAATCAATGATATGCATTTTATTTTTTTAATTTTTTTAGATAGGGTCTCACTCTTTTATCCAGGCTGGAGGGCAGTGGTGTAATCACAGCTCATGGCAGTCTCAATCTCTTGCTGAAATGATCCTCCCACCTCAGCTTCCTAGGTAGCTGAGATTACAGGCATGCACCACTGCACCTGGCTAATTTGTTTCATTTTTTTTTTTTGGACAGATGGGGTGTAGCTATGTTGCCCAGGATGCTATCCAACTCCTTTGCTCCAGCAGTCTACCTGTCTTGGCCTATCAGTGCTGGCATAGGCTGCTGTGCCCAGCCAATGATAAGTGGGTTTTTTTTTGTTTGTTTTTGTTTTGTTTTGTGTTGTTTTGAGACGGAGTCTCGCTCTGTGGCCCAGGCTGGAGTGCAGTGGCATGATCTTGGCTCACTGCAACCTCTGCCTCCCGGGTTCAAGTGATTCTTCTGCCTCAGACTCCCGAGTAGCTGGGACTACAGGTGCCCGTCACCACACCTGGCTAATTTTTGTATTTTTAGTAGAGACCAGGTTTCACCATATTGGCCAGGCTGGTCTCGAACTCCTGACCTCCAGTGATCTGCCTGCCTCGGCCTCCCAAAGTGCTGGGATTACAGGCATGAGCCACTACACCTGGCCCATCATAAGTATTTTATATGTGCTATTTCATTTAAATGTAAGAGGCTGGTATATAATTATCCCTATTTTAAAGATGAAGCTAGTAAAATGTAGTGAAGTTTTGAGTTGCATAAATAATGAAGTAGAGCTGCCTCTAATCCTTAGTAAATTGCCATACGCACACTAATAGTAACAATGTGTCAGTTTATAAATGCGCATGAAGTTGTACCCAAAGCTACTGATATTTTTCTTTACTAATTTGGATTATCCTTGGAGCTGCCATGAATAAAATATCCATCTAGAGCCCACAAGAGAGCAGCACATCTGAGAACAAACATGAAAACAATGAAGCAGCCACTTTTAGTGAGCTCAGCAGAACCATGGGTTCAAACTCTACTGACCATACTTATAAACCATCCAGGGCTCCAGGACAACTAAAACTGTGGCTTCTAATAATGGAGAACCACCTATGACATTTAAGGTGTGACTTTTTAAAACTGAAAAGAACAAATATGATTACTGCTAACGTTTTTATTCTGTTTATTTGACTTTGAGGATGAATGAGTAGATGTAAGAGAGGGCAATGATATGTCTTAATAGTCTTCTGAAGTAATAAATAATTTGATTTGGTCTGTCAGAAGTCTATTGGCTACTACCAAACAAACCACAGTTATCCCGCGTTCAAGCGATTCTCCTGCCTCAGCCTCCTAAGTAGCTGGGACTACAGGCGCCTGGCTAATTTTTTGTATTTTTAGTGGAGACGGGGTTTCACCATGTTGTCCAGGATTGTCTTGATCACCTGACCTCATGATCCGCCTGCCTCGGCTGGCGTGAGCCACCGCGCCTGGTTGGCTGGAGTGCAGTGGCGCGATCTCAGCTCACTGCAACCTGCGCCTCCTGCGTTCAAGCGATTCTCCTGCCTCAGCCTCCCGAGTAGTTGGGATTACAGGTGCGCAACGCCACGCACAGATACTTTTTTTTTGTATTTTTAGTAGAGACGGGGTTTCACCATGATGGCCGGGATGGTCTCGATCACTTGACCTCGTGATCCGCCTGCCTCGGCCTCCCAAAGTGCTGGGATCACATGTGAGCCACCGTGCCTAGCCCAACAGCATCATTTTTATCTAAAGCTGTAGTTCAGCAAATGCTATAAGGTGAATAATTAAATATTATTTACTACAGACCCAAGCAGTCTACTATGATTTTATTACCCTTTAATACAAATTTATTTCTTGAATTAAATAATTATTTCTCTATTTTAGTTGTATTTTCTTTGTGTCTGTTGCTAAGTTTTGCTGAAATACTACCATTTTACTTAAACTTGCCCCACAGTTTTTTATTTGTTTAAAAAACTTCAAAAAAAATATTGTAAACATGACAGCTTGCATTGGTAGTCCCAGCTACTCAGGAGGCTGAGGAAGGATAATTTCTTGAACCCGGGCAGTGGAGGTTTCAGTGAGCTGAGATGTCGCCATTGCACTCCAGCCTGGGCAGCAAGAGTGAAACTCCATCTCAAACTAAAAAAAAAAAAAAAAAAAAAGAAAAAGAAAAATGTAGAATTCAATATGCTAAAACAACTTTTTTATATCAAATATATACATCATATTGATGGTTGTCTGATACGAATATTAAGTGTTCTGTATTAGATTTTGCAAAATATATAATTTTTTTGCACGAGTCATGAGCAAAAGCCCAACTATTCAAATGGCCATAAAAAATGATTTTTTTGAAAAATAATATATGATTTTAAAAAGTTTGGGCCGGGCGTGGTACCTCGCACCTGTAATCTCAGCACTTTTAGAGGCCGAGATGAGCCGATCACCTGAGGTCAGGAGTTCAAGACCGGCCTGGCCAACATGGTGAAGCCCTGTCTCTACTAAAAATAGAAAAATTAGCCAGGCGCTGTAGCATGTGCCTGTAATTGCAACTACTCGGGAGGCTGAGGCAGCAGAGTTGCTTGAACCCAGGAGGTGGAGGTTGCAGTGATCCAAGGTCGTACCACTGCACTCCAGCCTGGGCAACAGAGAGAGACTCCATCTCAAAAAATAAATAAATAAATAAATAAATAAATAAATAAATAATAAAGAGCAAAACACCATCTCAAAAAAAGAAAATTACCATTCTCTGCTCTTTTTTTTTGGTTCGTTTTTTGGGTTTGTTTGTTTGTTTTGAGACAGAATCTCTCTCTGTTACTCAGGCTGGAGTGCAGTGGCACAATCTCAGCTCACTGCAACCTCCACCTCCCGGGTTCAAGCAATTCTCCTGCCTCGGCCTCCCGAGTAGCTGGGATTACAGCCATGTGCCACGACACCTGGCTAATTTTTGTATTTTTAGTAGAGACAGGGTTTCACCATGTTGGCCAGGCTGGCCTCGAACTTCTGACCTTGTGATCCACCCACCTCGGCCTCCCAAAGTGCTGGGATTACAGGCGTGAGCCACCACGCCTGGCCAACGGTTTTCTTTTTTACAGATGAGGGTTTGCTACATTGCCTAGGCTGTTCTCAAAGTCATTGGCTCAAGCAATGAGGCTCCTGCCTCAGCCTCCCAAAATGCTCGCTGTAATATTTAATAATACTTATATGAGTCAAGTGTGCTGGCTCATGCCTGTAATCTCAACACTTTGGAGGCTGAGGGGAAAAAATAGTTTGAGTTCAGGAGATTAAGACGAGTCTTGGCAACATCGTGAAACCTCATCTCGACTACAAATAAAAAAATAGTAAGTGGACATGGTGATACATACTACAGTACTAGCTACTTGAGAGGCTTATGTGGAAAGACCCCTTGAGCCCTGGAGATCGAGGTTGCAGTGAGCTATAATCACACCACTGCACTCCAGCCTGGGCAACAGAGTGAGACTCTATCTCAAAAATACTTATAGACAGAATGCATTTATATAATTTTGTTATTCACTGTATTGGATTAACTTATAAACAAAAAATATAATACAGTCAAAGGCGGAATCATCCCTTTCTAGTCTTTCTTTTGCCTTTCATGTTAGCTCCTCACTCCCAAAGCAACCCAGCCTGTAGGGCTAGATGTTGCCATGCTGCCAACTGTTTACATTCTTACTCTGATACCACATTAGCTTTTCTGAGCATATCTCTCAGAGAAGAATTTTGCTTTATATTTGTGTATGTAAGAGACTATAAGGTTGGCTTTCTTACTACTTCTTTTTCAATGATTAAAAACAAATCCTGGGGCCGGGCGCGGTGGCTCACGCTTGTAATCCCAGCACTTTGGGAGGCCGAGGCAGGCGGATCACGAGGTCAGGAGATCGAGACCACGGTGAAACCCCGTCTCTACTAAAAATACAAAAAATTAGCCGGGCGTGGTGGCGGGCGCCTGTAGTCCCAGCTACTCGGGAGGCTGAGGCAGGAGAATGGCGTGAACCCGGGAGGCGGAGCTTGCAGTGAGCCAAGATCACGCCACTGCACTCCAGCCTGGGTGACAGAACGAGACTCCGTCTCAAAAAAAATAAAAATAAAATAAAATAAAAAAACAAAAAAAAAAACAAATCCTGGGCCAGACGCAGTGGCTCACGGCTGTAATCCCGGTACTTTGGGAGGCCGAGGTGAGTGGATCACCCGAGATCAGGAGGTCAAGACCAGCCTTGCCAACATGGTAAAACCCCGTCTCTACTAAAAATACAAAAATTAGCCAGGCGTGGTTGGTGGCCGGCACCTGTAATCCCAGCTACTTGGCAGGAGAATTGGTTGAACCCGGGAGGAGGAGGTTGCAGTGAGCCCAGATCGCACCATTGTGCTCCAGACTAGGTGACAAGAGTGAGACTCTGTTTCACAAACAAACACACAAACAAACAAACACACAAAATCTTGGCTGCTGGCAACCAGGCACAGCCAAGTAAGGTGAGGGCAGAAAGCAGATACTTGCAATCCATGGTGCATCAGCTTTTTTAACATATTTTTTCTCCCCAACTACATAGAAAATATCCTAAGTGATCTCATGCATCTTTGAATCCAAACATCTCATTTTTTGCCTTATCCATATTACAAACGTATTCACAATTTATAATGCATAATCAATCTATTGGAAAATATTCAAAACAAATGCATTCTCTTCATGGAACCAAGTAGTACACCTGAATTAAAATTTGTATTGAGAATTATTAGTATAATAATTTTTTAAAAAATTATTAAGTACTTTTAGATGTTTAGCACTTGGAAAATATTATAAAAACCCTCTCAAAATTAACCTGGGACTCCAAAAGACATGTATGGTCCAAACAGTTCTTTTCTTCACAACACCGAGGAATGGCATACAAGGCTGTCTCCAAGAGGTCACATCTCTTCCAGACCTTAACGAACCTTAAAAATAATTTTTCATGTGCAGTGACTAGCAAGAAATCAAAGATGACAAAGCTCACAATAAATAAGACAGTGTGAAATACACCAGAAAAAAAATAACTGAAGCAAATTTGCAAAGACATCTAATATTAGAATTATCAGATACGAAAATATTAAAAACAACTACGCCTACCATATTACAAGAAGATAAAGTATTGGCAGGAAAAAAAATATTAAAAGTTTTAAAAATAACTAAGTTGTGGCTGGGCGCGGTGGCTCACATCTGTAATTCCAGCACTTCGGTAGGCTGAGGTGGATCACCTGAGATCAGGGGTTCAAAACCAGCCTGGCCAACATGATAAAACCTCATCTCAGGCCGGGCATGGTGGCTCACGCCTGTAATCCCAGCACTTTGGGAGGCCAAGGCAGGCGGATCACGAGGTCAGGAGATCGAGACCATCCTAGCTAACACGGTGAAACCCCGTCTCTACTAAAAATACAAAAAAAAATTAGCCGGGCGTGGTGGCGGGTGCCTGTAGTCCCAGCTATTTGGGAAACTGAAGCAGGAGAATTGCTTGAACCTGGGAGGCAGAGGTTGCAGTGAGCCAAGATTGCGCCACTGCACTCCAGCCTGGGGAACAAGTGTGAAACTCCATCTCAAATAAAATAAAATGACCAAGTTGTAGAATGAATAATACAATAACTAAAATGAAAAACTCGCTAGTCACATTTGAACTTATGTGCACAAGACAGAACCAGTAAACTAGATGCTAGATCAGAAGAAATTAACACATAGGCAACAAATGTCAGTCTCAGAAAACTTTTCTGGTAAGTTTTCCAGACATTCAAAATTTAAAACTGAAAAGCATAATGTTGATATTATTTAGCCTCTTCCAAAAAATAGAGTAAGTAAAAAACCCTGCATAACTTAATTCCTGAGTTAATACCAAAGCTTGACAGAAACAAAATGAGAGCAACTATAGACAATCTCATTAAGACAAATAGAAAAAAATGTTAAAGCAATTGCTAACAAACTAAATTTTGCTCTGTAAAAAATAAATAAAACCATAAGTAAGTTTGGTACAGTATAAGTTGAAATTGTAAAATCTACATGTCTATATATAATAGGCACAGAAAAAGAGTTTGGTAAAAACTTTTTAGCAAACTAGAAATAAAAGAAAATTTCATTTTATTTTCTAAATATACAAGGTATCTAAAATAAACTACAGCAAATGTAAATGTACAACTATTGAAAGCTTGTCTTTTGATGTCATAAACATGATAATGATGCTGCTGTCGACGTTTTTATTAAACATTGCATGTATGGCTCCAGCCAACAAAATAAAATGAGAAATTAGTATTACAATTATATTGGCAAAGCAGAACTAGTCAATAAACTAGTACCTAAACAACTGTTCTACCTAGGTAGATTGCATCTCTGCAAAGCAACTCACACAAAAATTGTTCACATAGATCGAGGATTTAAAACTTTTGGGAGAAAATAGAGGATAACATTGTTTTTATTAAAGGAGGAGACCACCCCTCATATTGTCTTATGCCCAATTTCTGCCTCCAAAGAAAGAAGAAGTAAAAACTAAAAGGCAGAAATGAAATCCACAGGCAGACAGCCCGGCGCCATGCCCTGGGCCTGGTTAAAGATTGACCCCTGACCTAACCGGTTATGTTATCTATAGATTCCAGACATTGTATGGAAAAGCATTGTGAAAATCCCTGTCCTGTTCTGTTCCGTTCTGATTACCGGTGCATGCAGCCCCCAGTCATGTACCCCCTGCTTGCTCAATCGATCAGGACCCCCTCACGTGGACCCCCTTAGAGTTGTAAGCCCTTAAAAGCGACAGGAATTGCTCACTCAGGGAGCTCGGTTTTTGGAGACGTGAGTCTTGCTGAAGCTCCTGGCCAAATAAAGCCCTTCCTTCTTTAACTCGGTGTCTGAGGGGTTTTGTCTGCGGCTTGTCCTGCTACATTATAACTGTGGGGTAAAAAGACTTATTAAACATATAGAAATAGTGCATAGGCTGGGCACAGTTGCTGATGCCTGTAATATCAGCACTTTGTGAGCTCCAGGTGGGTGGATTACTTCTGGTCAGAAGTTCAAGACCAGCCAGGCCAAAATGGTGAAACCCCATCTCTACTAAAAACACAAAAATTAGCGAAGTGTGGTGGCACATGTCTGTAGTCTCAGTTACTACTCAGAAGGCTGAGGCATGAGCATCACTTGAAGCAGGAAAGCAGAGGTTGCAGTGAGCTGAGATTGTGCCATTGCACTCCACCCTGAGCGACAGAGTGAGACTTCGTCTCAAAAAAAAAAAAAGCATGAAAATATGTATAAATTAGACTATATCAATTTTAAGAATGTTTAATTATCAAAATCTTATAAAAACATGTTTTAGTAAAAATAGTGGAAAAAGCACATAGTGGAAAATGTTTTAAAAACACCTATTACAGGCTGGGCCCAGTGGCTCACACCTGTAATCCCAGCACTTTGGGAGGCCGAGGCGGGTGGATCACCTGAGGTCAGGAGTTCAAGACCAGCCTGGCCAATATAGTGAAACCCCATCTCTACTAAAAATACAAAAACTTAGCAGGCGTGGTAGTGGGAGTCTGTAGTCCCAGCTACTCGGGAGGTTGAGGCAGGAGAATCGCTTGAACCCAGGAAGCGGAGGTTGCAGTGAGCCAAGATCGTGCCACTGCACTCCAGCCTGAGCGACAGAGCGAGCCTCCATCTAAAAAAAAAACAAAACAAACATGTTAAAAATATCAGCATTTAGAAAATATATATTACAGAATATGTGTGCATAAACAAGGAAATGACAAACATTTAAAATAGGACAGATGGCAAATCTTAAAACAAGAACTTATAAAAATTGCTAACTCTATTAGTAAGCATGGAAATGCTAATTGAAACTACAAATGATACACTTTCTTTTTTTTTTTTTTTTTTTGAGACGGAGTCTTGTTCTGTCTCCCAGGCTGGAGTGCAGTGGCGTGATCTCGGCTCACTACAACCTCTGCCTCCTGGGTTCATGCCTTTCTCCTGCCTCAGCCTCCCGAGTAGCTGGACTACAGGCGCCGGCCACCATGTCTGGCTAATTTTTTTTTTTTTTTTTTTTTTTTTTTTTTGAGACGGAGTCTCGCTCTGTCACCCAGGCTGGAGTGCAATGGCGCAATCTCGGCTCACTGCAAGCTCCGCCTCCCGGGTTCACGCCATTCTCCTGCCTCAGCCTCCCGAGTAGCTGGGACTACAGGCGCCCGCCACCACGCCCGGCTAATTTTTTGTATTTTTAGTAGAGATGGGGTTTCACCGTGTTAGCTAGGATGGTCTCGATTTCCTGACCTCGTGATCTGCCCCCCTCGGCCTCCCAAAGTACTGGGATTACAGGCGTGAGCCACTGCGCCCGGCCAAATTTTTTATATTTTTAGTAGAGACGGGGGTTTCACCATGTTAGCCAGGATGGTCTCGATCTCCTGACCTCGTGATCCGCCCACCTCGGCCTCCCAAAGTGCTGAGATTACAGGCTTGAGCCACCGCGCCCGGCAGATACACCTTTCTAATTTACCATTTTGTCAAATAATTATGTCTAGTAGTTTTAAGAGTTGATAAAAATGTGAAGTAATTCAAATATCCACTGGCAATAGACGTGGTTTATAAATTGATGTATGTTTGCATTATGCAACAGTAAAAATACAGAACTAAAGGCCGGGCACGGTGGCTCACTCCTGTAATCCCAGCACTTTGGGAGACCAAGGCAGGCAGATCACGAGGTCAAGAGATCGAGACCATCCTGGCCAACATGGTGAAACCCCGTCTCTACTAAAAATACAAAACTTAGCTGGGCGTGGTGGCACGCACCTGTAATCCCAGCTACTCGGGAGGCTGAGGTAGGAGAATCGCTTAAACCCGGGAAGCGAAGGTTGCAGGGAGCGGAGATTGCCACTGCACTCCAGTCTGGGCAACAGAGCCAGACTCTGTCTCAAAAAAAAAAAAAAAAAAAAAAGAGACCTATAGCTATGCAAAGCAACATGAAAAAATAGAAAAACAACATAAATAAGCAAGTCACAGATGAAAAGTTATGCTAGAATATACATACAGGCAAAAAATAGGCAACACTGAAATGTATATTGTTTATACTTAAAATTGCATAAAGTAAATGGTAACAGAGGCCGGGCGCGGTGGCTCATGCCTGTAATCCCAGCACTATGGGAGGCCGAGGCAGGCGGATCACCAGGTCAGGAGATCAGTACCATCCTGGCTAATATGATGAAACCCCATCTCTACTAAAAATACAAAAAACATTAGCCGGGCGTGGTGGCACGCGCCTGTAATCCCAGCTACTCCGGAGGCTGAGGCAGGAGAATTGCTTGAACCCGGGAGGCGGAGGTTGCAGTGAGCCGAGATCCCGCCACTGCACTCCCGCCTGGGCGATTTCAAAGCGAGACTCTGTCTCAAAAAAAAAAAAAAAAAAAAAAAAAGGGAAATAACACAAAATTCAGGTAGTGGTCACTTTGGGGTAGGAGGTTAATAGAAGACTATAGAGGTATTGACTTTACAGGAGTGTGTGACGATTTTATGCAGCAAGACTGAAAGTTTTAAAAGAGTAAAGACCAATACTTTTATTTTTTTCATTTTATTTCCTAAGGCTAGCAAAAAGTATGGCACAAAGTGTGTGCTCCACACACATTTCTAGGTTAAATGAATGAATACATCCCCTTTGTAAGCTGTCAAGCTATGCAAACCAAGACTTTATTATTATTAGTTACTATAGATTAGTTTATAGAATCAAATGAAAGGTAATGAACTGTGGGATTCAGAAAGCACTATTGAAAGTTCAATGTTACCCCAGCATTCTTAGGTAAAATAAATTAAAATTTTTAGTTTCTAAATTTGCGACCATTATAATTACATTTAATTTGCCACGTGTAGATGGAACATGAAATCTTACTTCAGGCGAGCATAATTTGAGATGAAAAGGCAAAAAGGAAAAAAATTTAAAAAGAATAAAAACTTGATTGAGTCAAATCTGCAAGTTCTACTTTATACTTAAAAAAAAAATTGTTTCCTTCTCTCCTGACCCAGAGTGAGGCTGGCTGGGGAGCCTGGGTCCCTCTGTCCTTCCCGCGGTGGCAGTGGCTGATCTCTGCTCCGGCGTGAGAGGCGCCGCCCTGCGCTAGGCCGGAGTCTGCCCGGCCCAGCCCCTCCTCACTCCCTTGGACTCTTCACGGTGTCTCCGGGCCCCTGCACAATCCTGAGCGTCCCTCACATGGAAGCCGAGGTGGTAGCAGGAAGCTGGTGGAAGGAACTGGCTCCGCAGGCAGGGAGGTCTCGCCCAGGAAATGCTCTGTTGGCCTCGGCTTCCTGCGCACGCAGCTGGGCCCGGACCCAGGGTTGGAGTCGAGACGTACCCGGGCTGGACGACCCCGGGCGTTGGCGCGCCCGCTGCTGCGGTTCGTGCTGTGCTCGGCTCGGCTGTGGAGGAAGGTTGGATCGAGGCTGGAGGCCAGAAGTGCAGGAGCCGCCTCGCAGGCGGGAGGAGTCGGTAGCCATGGTCTCTGAAAACTGGGCCCTGTAAACAATTTTCAGGCGCCAGGAACAGAAGAACCGGCAGAAACAGCCCTAGAGCTTGAGCCAAATGGACGGACTGTTGGCGCTGCTGAGGGCGAAGGTGCCCAAACTCCTCAAAGTGGAGCAGCAAAGCAACCACCAGAGATGGACAAGAAAAATGAAAAGTCAAAGAAAATTAGCAGAAATCAAAGGCAGTTGCTAAAGCAGTGAGAAACCGTTCACGCCACGATGGAAACCGAGTTGATGAAGGAGTCTGGGAAACGAATCTTTTTTTTTTTGAGACAGAGTCTCACTCTGTCACCCAGGCTGGAGTGCAATGGCGTGGTCTCGGCTCACTGCAACCTCCGCCTCCGGGGTTCAAGCGATTCTCCCGCCTCAGCATCCCGAGTAGCTGGGACTACAGGCGCGTGCCAACACACCCGGCTAATTTTTGTATTTTTAGTAGAGACAGGGTTTCACTATGTTGGCCAGGCCAACATACAGGGCAACTCACTTCTTTGGTTCCTCCAAACTGAGGCCTCACGAAGGCTCAAATATGGAGTGAGAAGGACTCAACAACAGAGCATGCAAAACAAAAAGGATGAGGTAGGATGGTCAGCTCTAAGGCTTAGGGAGTGCCTGGGGGATGCCAACATAATGATTGCAGCTATAAAGCTTACTGGGTAGAAATAAACATAAAAAGCTGAAAACACAATGGCTTGAATTTGGTAAAAAAACAGTCTCTGGAATTGTAGCAGTTGTGCCAAAATAATTGAGCAAGAATGACATGCATCTAAGGATTATTAAGGGGAATGTTTACAAGCACACAAAAATTTGTTCCCAAATCTTATTACAGTGGTAATATTATTTTCCGTAATGACAGTTTCCCCAAGCTAAAGATGCCATAGAGAGACTAAGGCAAGTGCCTAATATGTTGTAGGCAGTTAGTTTCAAAATTTAACAAACTTACAATGATTTTATGAATTCAATTGAACTGTTTCATGTATAAATTTCACTAAAAGGCACTGTCTAGTAGCTATTTCTCTCAGTTTTTCTGGAATTTTTCTGTTTCTTGATTCCAAATCAACCTTACTTGATTCCAAATCAATCTTACTTGAATCCCAGTCATTTCTAAAGCCTCAGATGTAAGAACAGAAAAACAGCAGAAATGAAGCCAAGTTACCGCAAACAGTCCACGTCTAATACATTTGGCTTCCCACATGAACCAAAAACCCCCACAAGCTAAACAACAGTGGGTTTAAAATTCAACCTAAATTCAACAATAGCAGTCACAGCCATATGTAAAAATTAGCAAATCACAATGTAGAAAACTTTAGTCTGTTATTGCATTGTTATTCTTAAATATCTACTATATTTAGACAAGACTTTCAATAAAAAGTACTTATAGCTACCATGTATGAATTAAAACAGCCCTGGGGGAAATAGTATTTTTTATTAATGATGAAGACTGAAGCTCCAAGGATGTAAAATAATTTCTACTAGGCACACAGCTAATGACCCAAATCAAGCTCATATATGTTTGATTTTAAAATTTTTAATGCTCTCACTGTTGACAATGTTGGCAAAACTTTTCAATCATAGTTTCAGTGTTGGTGCTTGGGAATAAATCACAAGTACTACTGAGGGAGGATGGGTAGTCAAGAAAGTGATCATGTCCTTGGGATGCAGCAACCACGGCGATTGCATGGTGACTGTATATTGTCAACACAATAAGTCCCAGCATTTGCTTCGTATTCCAGCTCAATCAAGCAAAGCTCTCTCCAATAGGAAAATTTTCCTGTAAAGAGCATGCACATTTTTATTTTACTTGTCCTCAGACTGACCTGACCTCTTACTCATTATTAATAGTAAAAAACCATGCCCATGGGTAGAGATTTAGAATGTCATCGAGACATGTGACATATGAAGAAGCATGTACAGCCACTGTGTATGTGCTCCAAGAGGAACACCCAGAACATGCTTACTAGTAACACCTCTCCCCTTATAAATAATTGTGTAAGGCTCCCGTAAGTGGAGTCTCCCTAGTTCCTTTCTTTCCTGTCTCATTCTTACAGCCTGTCTTGAATCCCTTTCTTTCAGGGTGTACTGGCTATTCTGCATCTAACTTTTTTTTTTTTTTTTGAGGTGGAGTCATGCTCTGTCGCCCAGGCTGGAGTGCAGTGGCATGAACTCGGCTCACTGCAACCTCCGCCTCCCGGGTTCAAGTGATTCTCCTGCCTCCGCCTCCTGAGTAGTTGGGACTACAGGCGTGTGCCACCACGTCAGGCTAATTTTTTTTTTTTTTTTTTTTTTTTTTTAGTAGAGAAGGTATTTCACCATGTTAGCCAGGCTGGTCCTGAACTCCTGACCTCAAGCAATCTGCCTGCCTCGCCCTCCCAAAGTGCTGGGGTTACAGGTGTGAGCCACCACACCTAGCCTGCACCTAACTTTTAAAAGTCTTTGTTTCGCAATAAATTACCCTATGCTGCATCTCCTTTGTTGTGTGTCTCATGTTTTTTTGTTTTTTAACTTAGAAGACAAAAACTGAGGTCTCACAACAGCCATTAACACTATCGCACTTTGTTTTGTATTTTTTATTATAAACATTTTATTCTCTGATATGTCAACATTCACATTTCAAACAGCCAACTTATATTGAAGTCTACTATATAACAATGCTAAATTGAAAATTTAAATGATCAGGTAGGGCGCGGTGGCTCAGGCCTGTAATCCCAGCACTTTGGGAGGCCGAGGCGGGCGGATCACGAGGTCAGGAGATCGAGACCATCCTGGCTAACATAGTGAAACCCCGTCTCTACTAAAGATAGAAAAAATTAGCCGGGCGTGGTGGTGGGTGCCTATAGTCCCAGCTACTCCGGTGGCTGAGGCAGGAGAATGGCGCGAACCCGGGAGGCGGAGCTTGCAGTGAGTCGAGATTGCGCCACTGCACTCCAGCCTGGGCAACAGAGCGAGACTCCGTTTCAAAAAAAAAGAAAAGAAAATTTAAATGATCACAAAATGATTTGTCATAAAAGCATGTATATTTTACAAGTTTCAGCTTTATCACACTATTCAATTTCTTAAAACAATTTCTGACACAAATAATCAAATATTTAATGATTTGGATTCAATTCCAAAATAATTTACATTCGTTTATTGTTATATGTACTTTTGACAAAGGTGGATTTGAAAACTAAGAAAAAACTAAAGCATGTTCTTATTTTTTTTTTTTTTTTTTTTTTTGAGACGGAGACTCACTCTTGTTGCCCAGGCTGGAGTGCAGTGGGGTAATCTCTGCTCACTGCAACCTCCGCCTCCCAGGTTCAAGCAATTCTCCTGCCTCAGCCTCCTGAGTAGCTGGAATTACAGGCAGACGCCACCACGCCTGGCTGATTTTTGTGTTTTTAGTAGAGACGGGGTTTCACCATGATGGCCAGGCTGGTCTCGAACTCCTGACCTCGTGTTTCACCCGCCTTGGCCTCCCAAAGTGCTGGGATTACAAGTGTGAGCCACCGCGCCCTGCTAAACCATGTTTTTAAAGGTTCAAGGGACTTAAGCTTAGAGACACAAATGCTCTGTAGTAAAATAAATAAAGCCTCATCTTTTTATCAATAATATTTTAATAGTTTTATGTCTGAGCACTTAAGCATCAAGAACACGACTCTGGATGATGTTGAGGGAATACTTAAATGGATAAAATAGAAAGTGATCATCGGAGTCTAATAAGTGATGGATACAGCAACATAATACTTGACAAAACCATTCAGGGTGTGTTTGACAAACACGGTTACATAGGAGCTGCACTGCATGATTAATGTAAAGTGTTTTGTCCCTAACTTTAGTCTTTATTCTCAATCTTACAAATATCACATACTCACATACACAGAATAATTAACTTTTTTTTCCTGGAAGGCAGTGTTTCATCTTTTATTATGTCTGTTTCACATTGCTGTAATGATGCTGTTGAAGTACACTCTTTCACCAGAAGATTACCTGTGTGAATTTGAATAGACTGACACTGGATAGGACCAGCTCAGCACACTCACTTGAACTGTCTTGCTTTTCAGGCAGTTAAAATGCCTTTGAAGAGTGAAAATATACTGACTGCTGATTATGCAGAAAGTTTTACATTAGGCCGGGCGCGGTGGCTCACGCCTGTAATCCCAGCACTTTGGGAGGCCGAGGCGGGTGGATCATGAGGTCAGGAGATCGAGACCATCCTGGCTAACAAGGTGAAACCCCGTCTCTACTAAAAATACAAAAAATTAGCCGGGCGCGGTGGCGGGCGCTTGTAGTCCCAGCTACTCGGGAGGCTGAGGCAGGAGAATGGCGTGAACCCGGGAAGCGGAGCTTGCAGTGAGCCGAGATTGCGCCACTGCAGTCCGCAGTCCGGCCTGGGCGACAGAGCGAGACTCCGTCTCAAAAAAAAAAAAAAAAAAAAAAAAAAAAGAAAGTTTTACATTAAAAAAGCTTGTCAATTGTTTGAAAATTACATCGCATGGCCTACAACTTTTAAAATGTAAAATGCATAAAAATACTGCACAACAAAATAGAAATGATGGAGTTGGCCACAAAGGACAGCCAAATCTGTATATAGCAATATAGAAATGTATCTACTGTCAGAGTGAGGTAACTTGAAGTATTTGAGAGATGTTCTCTAAGAATCTAAAATTAATTTTAGTTTCAGTGTCCATGTTTTTTAAGGATTTTTAATTTTCAAAAAATGTTTAAATGTGTCCATTGTTTTATTCCTAGAAATAAAAACGGAAGGAAAAAAGAGGTATAAAAACAAATGAAATAGAAGGAAGAAAGTGGATTACTCACAATAGCTAAGGTATAGAATCAACCTGTGTCCATCAACCAGTGAATGAATAAAGAAATTATAGTATATTTACCGAATGGAATGATATCCATTTCTTTAAAATAGAAAGCCTTGTTATTTGCAACAACATTGATAAACCTAGAGAACATTATGCTAAGGAAAATAAGGCAGCACAGAATAAAAGTATATCACATGATCTCATTTCTATGTAGAGTGTAAAAAAGTTTAAATTCATAGAAGCAGAAAGTAGAATGATAATTGCCTGGGGCTGGAGGAGATGTTGATCAAAAATAATAGGTCTTGTCTACATCTCTTAAGTTAACAAATAAGTTATTCTCCTCTCAAATTGGATTAACCAGGGAATTCAATCATACACTGAAGAATCAATACTGAAGAAATAACACATTTGTTATAGCAATGATGGTTGTATACCGAAATTTCAGAGGCTTAGCAAAATAATATATTCTCTGCTTAGATCACCATGCCCTGATGGTTTTCTTTTTCTGGTTAAGAGGACGTCTTCATGATCTTTCACGAATAATATTTTCTTTCATCTTCTATCTGCATTCTCCTTTCTTCAGCGAATGGATGAAAAAAAAACGATGCAGAGAAGACACATTTGCATCTTACCCACACATCACTTTTACTATTAGGCAAAGTGGGTAAGCAAAATAGGCATATACATGAATAAAGTGCTTGTGGTAAAATAATCATTTTGTTGATTTCTATGGAGCTCAGGTTATAGATCAAAAGCTACCAAATATAAGCAGAAAAGAGTATTATTTCAAATAAGAATACTGTGAATGACATTATTCTGTCAATAGAAAACCATAACCTTATCCTAATAGTCTCACCTATATTTGTACATCAAATTCTTTTTATTAAAAATTGTATTTCATATAAATATGCAAGTTATATCACCTTTTTTTTTTACCATTTCAATGTCTTCTTCACTCTATGTTAGTGGAAAACAGGCCAGCTGGTCCCAGGAATGATAAAGAGCACTTGTTTGGGTGATACTCCTGTGCCAAACACCGTTATTTGGCCCAAGGTACTGGTTTTCTATTTTTCTCTACATTTAGTAATAAAATAAAATTCTTAGCTAAGAAGACTTGATCTCATTCAAATATGGTTTATGGAATATGGCTGACATTTAAGAGTCTCTGACTTATCTTGAATATTGACTTTTTTATGAATTCAAATTGAGTACTATAAATAATCTTTTACTAAAAGCCTTTGCAGAGTAAGATTAATAAAATTTCTTTATAATATAAAAGGAATATGTTAACCATGCTTCCAGTAATCACTCTGACCACAGCATTCTCAATTTCCAGTATTCACCCTGAGTCACTCAGGGGAAATTGGTATTTGTAAACAGGCAGAATAAGGTGCTGTTGAGTGGAGGTGAACCACACTGCACATAATGCTTTCTACATGCACCTCTTAGGCTCTTAATTTAATTGGACTGTCATTTATATGGCTAGATACCTACTCAACCTAATCATACTATTTTTTAGCAGCTAATGACATGTGTTACCCATTAGTCCTGTACAACTATTTGACTGGCTGAAAAATATTTTGTTAATTTACTTTAAATTGAGAGACTAGATTTGCGATCTTCAATCTTTCAGTGTTAAAGCAAATCAGAGAAGCGCAATGCACATAGAATGCTCCTTCTCTTCCTTTTCCTTTTGTTGTTGTTGTTGTTGTTGTTGAGACGGACTCTCGCGCTGTGCAATGGCGCGATCTCGGCTCACTGCAACCTTTGCCTCCCGGGTTCAAGGGATTCTCCTGCCTCAGCCTCCCGAGTAGCTGGGATTACAGGTGCCTGCCACCACGCCTAATTTTTTAATTTTTTGTAGAGACAGGGTTTCACTATGTTGGCCAGGCTGGTCTTGGACTCCTGACCTCGTGATCTGCCCGCCTAGGCCTCCCAAAGTGCTGGGATTACAGGGGTGATAGAACGCATTTTCCTGCCCAACATACTTCTTCTTTACATAGAATATATTCCATTCAAACTATTTAGCCAGGATTTTAGATTTCAAAAGGTCAAGAACTTAATAATTGAGTGAAGCCAAAATATTGTCTTTGCTTCTTGTTAGCAATCTAGCCATTTCAAAAAGCACAGCAATTATGCCAAGCCATTGAAAGCATGCAGTTAACTTTATCCCATTTCAAAAATTGTTACTTTTATGTTAATTTAAGAGGAACTATCTACATAACTTTACATGCATTCAAGGAATATATATATTTGCTGGATGCAGTAGCTCACACCTGTAATCCCAGCACTTTGGGGGCCGAGGAGGTAGGATCATGAGGTCAGGAGTTCGAGACCAGCCTGGCTGACATGGAAAAGCTCCGTATCTACTAAAACGACAAAAATTATCTGGGCATAATGATGCACCTCTTTAATCCCAGCTACTCAGGAGGCTGAGGCATGAGATTCTCTTGAACCTGAGGCAGAGGTTGCAGTGAGCCAAGATTGCACCACTGCACTCTAGCCTGAGCAACAGAGCAAGACTCTGTCTCAAATAAATTTTCATATTAAGGTATTTAATATTCAATATTGTATGACAGTATAGTGGAATCCTCAAAAATGAGCATAAGTTTATTATTAATAAATTTATTAGGCCAGGTGCAGTGGCTCAAGTCTGTAATCCCAGCACTTTGGGAGGCCGAAGCGGGTGGATCACAAGGTCAGGAGTTCAAGACCAGCCTGGCCAACATGGCGAAACCCTGTCTTTACTAAAAATACAAAAATTAGCTAGGTGTGGTGGCACACCTGTAATCCCAGCTACTCAGGAGGCTGAAGCAGAAGAATCACTTGAGCCTGGTAGGTGGAGGCTGCAGTAAGCTGAGATTGCACCACTGCACTCCAGCCTGGGCAACAGAGTGAGGCTCTGTCTCAAAATACATAAAATAAATCAATCGATAAAATTATTTTTTCAAAGTTTTTCAATTGTTAAAGAATCAGGTATGCTTTTCACGATAAGTTCAATTTTAGGAGGGTACCCACTGGTCTCCATGTTATTTCTGTAATGGATAGTATAAAACTGGGTCACCAGAATTATGCAGACATGCTCATTTAATCAGAATGAGTTCAGCCTTTGTGCTGTATTGGTATCTCAGGAGCTGATCATTCACTACAACTTAGTAAATATTGCTCCATAATCCCAGCAAATTCTTTCAACCACGTTTCCTTTTTTCTCTCATTGATGTGGTCATGTTGTGGTCTCCTCTGTTTATCTTCAGCTATCCCTGATGAGAGGTGATTATTTATTGCATGAATGAGACCCCCTTTTTTTCCTCTTCCTTGGGATCCTCCTGCCCTCCCTACTGGAAGCAACATGTGAGAGGCAGGAATTATGACAATATACAAACATATTTCCTGCCAGGGGACCACTATAAGAAGCTTACAACATGACCCATCTAGAAGTCACTTACTTCCAGGCCAGCAGGGGTGTTTTTCTATGATGTGTCTTTTTCTCTTAAAAGCATCTCTAATTAAGTTTAGTCCAGTCAGGATAATCTCCCTTTTGGTAAACACAAAGTCAAAATAACCTAATTTCATGAGCAATTAATTTCCTACCACAGTAAATCACTTTTTTTTTTTTGAGATGGAGTCTCACTCTGTGGTCCAGGCTGGAGTGCAGTGGCATGATCTCGGCTCACTGCAACCTTCACCTCACAGGTTCAAGTGATTCTCCTGCCTCAGCCTCCAGAGTAGCTGGGATTGCAGGTGCCTTCCACCATGCTTGGCTAATTTTGTATTTTCAGTACAGATGGGGTTTCACCGTGTTGGCCAGGCTGGTCTCGAACTCCTGACCTCAGGTGATCCACCTGTCTCTGCCTCCCAAAGTGTTGGGATTACAGGCGTGAGCCACCGCGCCCAGCCAGTCACACTTTTTTACACTAAAAAGATAACACCGCAGGTATGCAACAGTTGGGAATCCTGGGGATCATCTTCGAATTTTGCTTATCCACCTGAACAGACTTTTCTTTTTTTTGAGATGGAGTTTCACTCTTGTCGCCCAGGTTGGAGTGCAATAGTGTGATATTGGCTCACTGCAACCTCCACCTCTCGGGTTCAAGCGATTCTCCTGCGTCAGCCTCCTGAGTAGCTGGGATTACAGGCGCCCACGACCACACCCGGCGGTTTTGCCACGTTGGCCAGGCTGGTCTCGAACTCCTGACCTCAGGTGATCCACCCGCCTGGGCCTCCCAAACTGCTGGGATTACAGGTGTGAGCCACCACACCCAGACCTGAATAGACTTTTCAAATTCTTTCAGTTGCTTTTGTTATCTAAGTAAACAAAGATATCTGCAAATAATATTAACTACTTCCCAATTTAATTCATTACAAATATCTTTTTTCTGGCTTAATTTCTTCATGTACCATTTTATAGATTCACACACACACATATATAACAATGAAAATGTATCCAATTATTCTATTTTTGTTAATTTGTATTATAAATGAGTATTAAAATAATTCTTTTTTGTTTGAAGGGTTTGTTTGTTATTGTTTTTTTTTTTTTGAGACAGAGTCTCGCCCTGTTCCCCAGGCTGGAATGCAGTGGCGGGATCTCGGCTCACTGCAACGTCCACCTCCTGAGTTCAAGCGATTCTCCTGCCTCAGCCTCCTGGGTAGCTGGGATTACAGGCGCCTGCCACCACACCCGGCTGACTTTTGGGTTTTTAGTAGAGACAGGGTTACACCATGTTGGCCAGGCTGGTCTCAACCTCCTGATCTCAGGTGATCCACCCACCTCGCCCTCCCAAAGTGCTGGGATTATAGGCGTGAGCCACTGCGCCCAGCAACACAGAACTATTTTTATAACATACAAGTCTTTCAACCAATAAATATTTAAATTATCTCTTAAAATGTGGTACAAATACACAATGGAGTACTATTCAGCCTTAGAAAGGGGTAAATCCTGTCATTTGAAATATACATTTGAAGACATTATGCTAGATGGAATAAGCCTGACACAGAAAGACAAATACTGCATAATCTCATTTATATGTAGAATCTAATAAAGTTTAACTCAAAAAAAATAGAAAGTGAAATAATGGTTACCAGAGGCTTGATGTGGTGGGAAGAAATTAGAGTTTTTGATTGAAGGGTACAAAGTTTCAAATAGACAAGGTAAGTAGTTTTTGAGATCTATTTTACAGCAGCGTGACTATAGTAAACCACAATGTAATTGTATTTTAAAATGACTAAGTAAATTTCAAATGTCTTACCACAAAGAATGATAGGTAAGCGAGTTGATAGATGTTATTTAACTCAACTCAATCATTCCATATTACATACATATATTCAAATGTCACATTTTACCCCATAAATTCATTCAACTTTGATTTGCCAATCAAAAATACTATCCATACTTTAAAGAGAAATAAACTTTAAGAAATTTGATGAGAAAAGTGTTCTTTAAAGAGAAATAAACTTTAAGAAATTTGATGAGAAAAGTGTTCATTTTAAAATCTTAGAATACATACTTTTGCATATATATATATTTCAAATGGCTTGCTCCTTTAATGATGTAAGTAAACTTTTTTTTTTTTTTTTGAGACGGAGTCTCACTGTCACCCAGGCTAGAGTTCAGTGGCATGGTCTCTCACTGCAACCTCCGCCTCCCAGGTTCAAGTGATTCTCCTGCCTCAGCCTCCCGAGTAGCTGTGATTACAGGCGCCCGCCATCATGCCCAGCTAATTTTTGTAATTTTAGTAGAAACTGGGTTTCACCATGTTGGCCAGGCTGTTCTTGAGCTCCTGACCTCAGGTGATCCACCTGCCTCGGCCTCCCAAAGTGCTGGGTTTACAGGCATGAGCCACCGTGCCCAGCCGTAAGTAAACTTTTAATATAATGAATAGTCTAAACCCAACACTCAGAAATAAAATGTTTATTTTTAATGTTCAAAATACAATACTATAAAAGACTCTAAAGCAACTGCTTACAGTACCATTATTTCTACGTTTCTAAATAAATTATTCCTTCACTTGTTAGTTATTTGAATATATATTTTAAACTACATTTCAACGTATTAAATCAAATGAACATACGTACTTGGCAATAAAAAATTTATTAAACAGGTAGACAAGAAAACAACTTGCCTTCTTTTCTAATTTTAAAACTGACAAACACTCGGCATTTAGGTGCTTATTTGTCTAGTGTTACTGGAGTGCTAAAGAGAAGTACTCAATGGGAAATCTTTCCGTATTTATATCCATGCTGGGTGTGAATATATGGGAATTTTCCAAGGGTAGTACTATAAACATTCAACTACTATTATATATAGCCCCAGATTGACTGATTAGAATAAACATGGGTTACAAACCACTGATGTGGCCACCTTGTTTTTAGGCTTAACATTGATCATGATCTAACAGAATCAACAAATGAGAGCTATATGCTGGGTGCTCTTCGGGCACCTTTATTTGCATTAATTGCTTTAATTTTACCAAAATCCTAAAGTTGGGGATGCAATCAGTAACCAGCTGACACCGAGTTTCAATCTAACCATTACGCCCAACACCCTGTCACCCAATGCTTGTTTTAAATCCTGACCTAACATTTTGGCTTTAAATTTTTTAATTTAGTAAAAATAAAGATAAATTTACAAACCACTTCTTTTTATCCATAGATAGTATGTAGAACTTAATTTTTGGTTTAAAGTATTCATTACAAAGTCTGAGACAAACACTTCAGTAAGTGAATTATAACATTATTCCTCTTATGACTTAAAAGAACCATTAATTTTACTTTTGAAATAATGAGTGTTTATATTTAAAGTTAAAATGAGCCTATTATTATATAGAAAATTTGTTGTCAGCATGAACCTTGTCATCCACTGAGTGGTCTACAGTTGCTTTCAGAAACACTAATAAGAATACTGTTTCTGATTGAATAATTAAAGAATGTTATGCTTTTTCAGTGACTAAAATAAAATAGATTGAAATTACTGATTAGTAACTTACCATGTGGTTTAAGTGTTATTTAATAAATACATGTGAAGTTTCTCTTAAACTCATTTTAACAAATGACTTCTGTTTTTCACTTCTATTAGAAAAAAGTATTAAAATTTGTTATTACAAGCCTATCAATTTTATTCAGATCTAAATATAGCGCTAATCTTAAAAGATCTGTATGCTTAGGATTATAAAAAGCCTATTCTCCATTCACACATATAAGATAAATAACTGCTTTTCAGTAAACCCAATGGGGCAACTGTGACTCACAATTATAAGCTATTAAAATATTAATACTATCACCTAGATGACACTTTTAGGTATCTGCATGTTCAAGTTGTTTAACTTATAATTCAAAAATAATTTTTTATAAACTATAAAAAATAAAAAGAATTTTATTTCTTAAATATTGTCATTATTTCTAGTTGACTTAACATTCAATTTTAGAGGCTGTGGCTTTAGAAACAAGAAATGTCATGGTTGACTCCACTTTACTTCCTGCCTTATTTCACACAAACACAGCAGCACAAAAAAGGCCAGAAATGCTACAACTTGACTGGAAATACACCAGTACCTTTCTAGGGAGAATATATGTGGGAGCATATTTACTTGAAATTAATGACATCTTTTGTTGAAGTACAGGCTTCTATATGGCAAGTAATAAATACAAAAATTTTACAGGGCAAAAGAGTAAGAGATATACTCTAAAATTACCTTCTAACCCATTATTTCTTTTTTCACTAGCATGGTTGTGACGGAATGAGCATTTGCAGCAGCTTTTTTTTTTTTTTTTTGAGATAGAATCTTGCTCTGTCGACCAGACTGGAGTGCAATGGCATGATCTCAGCTCACTGCAACCTCTGCCTCCCGGGTTCAAGTGATTCTTCTGCCTCAGCCTCCTGAGTAGCTGGATTACAGGCACGTGCCACCACACCCTGCTAATTTTTGTTATTTTTAGTAGAGATGAGGTTTCACCATGTTGGTCAGGCTGGTCTCAAACTCCTGACCTCGTGATCTGCCCGCCTCGGCCTCCCAAAGTGCTGGGATTACAGGTGTGAGCCACGGTGCCCGGCCTGCAGCACAGTCTTAAATAACCTACACTCTCTGCTTCATCATTTTTGAGATATGGCCATAAGACATTTATGATTTTATTAGAAAAAAATGTTTCCTTTTTCTAATTCAGAAATTTAGCAAAATTTCACAGGTGGATCATGAGGTCAGGAGTTTGAGACCAGCCTGACCAACATGGTGAAACCTAGTCTCTACTAAAAATACAAAAATTAGCCGGATGTGGTGGCACGTGCCTGTAGTCCCAGCTACTTAGGAGGCTGAGGCAGAGTGCAATTGTGCCACTGCACTCCAGCCTGAGCAGCAGAGAGACTCCATCTCAAAAAAAAAAAAAAAAAAAAAGAAAATTGAATCTACAATAACTGTAGTAATTATACTTTGAAATAAATTTAACCAAAAAGTGGAAAAACCTGTGCATTATAATCTAAACAATATTGAAGTACAAAATTAAATAATACACAAATGGAAAAATATTACCTATAAATGAATTAGCATTATTATTGTTAAATATCTGTATTACACAAAATAATCTACAGACATAATGCAACCTCTATGAAAATACCAGTGACACACTGGTATAAATTTTAAAACATACATCTAAAATTTATATTGTACCACAGAAGACCCAAAGTAGCCAAAGCAATAAAGAAAAAAAAAAAGTGTGCTTTGGGAGGCCAAGGCGGGTGGATCACGAGGTCAGGAGATTGAAACCATCCTGACTAACACGGTGAAACCCCGTCTCTACTAAAAATACAAAAATTTATCTGGGCGTGGTGTCGGGCGCCTGTAGTCCCAGCTACTCGGGCGGCTGAGGCAGAATGGCGTGAACCTGGGAGGCGGAGCCGATTGTGCCACTGCACTCCAGCCTGGGAGAAAGTGCGAAACTTCGTCTTAAAACAAAAAAACAAAGAACAAAACAAAAAAGGGTGAAGATATCACCCTACCTGACTTTGAAATATACTAAAAAAGCTATATTAGCTAAAACAGTATGGTAATTGAAGAAAAACAGACACATACTCCAATGGAGCAGGAACCAAAAAAAAGACAAGAAACGGCTGATTTGAAGTTACAACTAAGCCCAGCAGTAATATTTATGGCTTATTACGGAGCATCAGTTACGCAGCAAACACTCTCATGTTTCTTTTTTTTTTTTTTGAGAAGGAGTCTCGCTTTGTCACCCAGGCTGGAATGCGGTGGAGCCATCTCAGCTCACTGCAACCTCCGCCTCCTGGGATTAAGCAATTCTCCTGCTGCAGCCTCCCGAATAGCTGAGATTTCAGGCACGTGTCACCACACAGCTAATTTTTGTATTTTTAGTAGAGATGGGGTTGTGCCATGTTTGCCAGGCTGGTCTTGAACTCCTGACCTCAGGTGATCTGCCCACCTTGGCCTCCCAAAGTGCAGGGATTACAAGCATGAGCCACCATACCTGGCCTCACTGCCATGTTTCTTTTGATACATTTATATATATAAACATTCTCATGACTTATGAAACTTCCCTAGTACTTACCTAAAAAAAAAAAAAGACTCAATAAATAAGTAAATTCACTTATGTCATCTATAAAAAGTAAAAGGACAATAACTAAAGAAAAGTAGGCTTATATAGGCATCTGCAACTAAAAGAACAAAATGGAATGTTCTAAATAAAATACATTAATTATGGAATTACTTCTAAAAATTATGTGCACTACTGAATTTTATAAAAAACATTCTTATAATCACGACCAACTCATGTAATGGATACTTCATAAACTATAAAACAAAAAATTATAACAAGAAAATTATAGGTCTGGCATGAGTGCCAGGCAAAGAGTTTGTATGGCGAGATTCTGAACCTTAAGCCATAAGGTTTTACAGTAATGAATTTAATACAAAGCTGAGAGCATAAATTTGCTTTCAGCATTTTTGAGGTTTTTACTAGCTAGCAAATTAATCACCTTATTAAAATGATTTGTTCCGATATTGCTCTATTCTTCTGAAAATAGGTACAAACTCATGCTCATACAAACACACTCACTCCATAATTTTCTTTCCTAAGGTTTAGAGTAATACATGCATATTTTTAACTTTATGTAAATCAAAATTAAAAGTCTGTGTGTTTGCAGGCAGAGAGGCCACATGTTCAAATAAAAATATATAAGAAATTTATTAAAATACGTATTCAAGACTCACAAATGTATGCATTTTATTCATACTTCTAAATAATATAATCATAGAAATTACCCTGTAGTCAATGTCTATTTATTTATTCATTTTGAGACAAAGTCTCGCTCTGCCACCCAGGCTGGAGTGCAGTGGCACGATCTCAGCTCACCACAACCTCCACCTCCCAAGTTCAAGAGATTCTCCTGCCTCAGACTCCTGAGTAACTGGGATTACAGGCACTCACCACCGTGCCTGGCTAACTTTTCTATTTATAGTACAGACACTGTTTCAACATGTTGGCAACGCTGGTCTTGAACTCCTGACCTCAGGTGATCCACCTGTCTCAGCCTCCCAAAGTGCTAGGATTACTGACATGAGCCACGGTGTCCGGCCGTCAGTAACAGTTTAGTTGTACATTTTAAACTAACAAAAAGTGTAAAATTAAATTTTCTGTAATACAAAGGATAAATGCTAGAGGTGAGGCAGTCAGTAACAGTTTAGTCGTACATTTTAAAGTAACAAAAAGTGTAAAATTAAATTTTCTGTAATACAAAGGATAAATGCTAGAGGTGATAGATACCTAATTTACCATGAGGTGATTATTATATATTGTATGTATGTATCAAAATATGCCATATGTGGTTTAAATATATACACATACTATGTACCCAAAAATATTAAGTAAATTTAAATGAGAAAGAAAAAATAAAAACTTAACATACAGGAACAACATTCTTTAACTTCTTTGCAGTTTAAAGCCACTAGCAAAAAAGATTACTACAAATACTACTTTATTATGTTAACAAATAATATATTGTTACCATCTTTTACCTACACTCTAAGGTGGAATGGGTTAAGGTTAGCGGCAAAATAATGCTTCATTGAATGCACAATAGTATTTAACGTGTTAAAAACGTTAAATTAAAAAGTTAAGTCTACACATAATTTCAAAGTTTTAAAATGTACTGGATTGTATCACATAAAAGTACAATTAGTAAAATAATACACTATTAAATTTTAACTAAAATTAAAAATATTTTTCTCTCATAATGTAGAGTATTAAACTGAACACCTACTTCATGCATTGCTCAATATTATAAGTTAATCACAAAGAGCATCCCTACTTAGATTTTCATCATACATCTTACATTTTAATGTCTTTACTCTTTCATAGAAGAGAGAATATATAACGCCCACCTAATAAAAAAGAATCTCTCATATCTTTCATGCAGGAACAATTCATCACATACTTTCACATGTGAATACAATAGGAATAAAGAAACAGCATGAATTTGAGAGTTGAATTACATCATTATTCACGTATTTAAAAAGTCTATAAAATTTTTTCAAGAAAAAAGTATACTTTGGTGGACACAGTGGCTCACGCCTGTAATCCCAGCACTTTGGGAGGCTGAGCCAGGTGGATCACCTGAGGTCAGGGGTTCAAGACAACCTGCCCAATGGCCAAGACCCCATCTCTACTAAAAATACAAAAATTAGCCAGGCATGGTAGCTCATGCCTGTCATCCCAGCTACTTGGGAGGCTGAAGCAGGAGAGTCACTTGAACTGGGAGGCGGAGGCTGCACTCCAACCTGGGTGACAGAGCAAGACTTTGTCTAAAAAAAAAAAAAAAAAAAAAAAAAACAAAAGTAAAGCCTGACCAACATGGTGAAACCGTCTCTACTAAAAATACTAAAAATTAGCAAGGCATGGTGGTGCACGCCTGTAATCCCAGCTACTCAGAAGGCTGAGGCAGGAGAATCACCTGAACCTGGGAGGTGGAGGTTGCAGTGAGCCGAGATAGCACCACTGCACTCCATCCTGCACGATGGGAACAAGACTCCATCTCAAAAAAAAAAAAAAATGTAATTTGAATGTAATAACTCTCCAAAATATCTTATACACTTTTTAAAGTTATATACAAAATATTTATGTACAAACTTCAGTTCTCAATTATTTTCTAAACTCAGCCCTCTGATTTAGTGTACTGTCTGAAGTGTCAGTTCCTTAGATATACCTACTCTGAATTGACATTTACAGACTTAATTTTTTCAAATAATTTTTTATATTACTGCATCTGCAAAAACATATTTTAGTATGAACTCTCTGGTGTTTCCTAGGCTGTAGTTTGTAAAAAAATGTTTTTCCAAATTTACTACCTTTGCAGAGATTTTCTTCAAGATAAATTATCTGATGTTGAAGAAAGCTGGAGCAACTACTTCAGGGTTTTCCTCTAGAACAAAATGTGTAAAATAAGATCTGTAATACAAGTAATGGTACCACAACACTCTTCATATTAGTTTTTTTTTTTCTTTGAGATGGAGTGCAGCTGGAGTGCCCAGGCTGGAGTGTGGTGGCACAAACTCAGCTCACTGCAACCTCTGCCTCCCAGGTTCAAGCGATTCTCCTGTCTCAACCACCGAGTAGCTGGGATTAGTCATGCACTACCACACCCACCTAATTTTTGTATTTTGGGTAGAGATGGAGTTTCACCATGTTGGCCAGGCTGGTCTTGAACTTCTGACCTCAAGTAAACCACCTGCCTTGGCCTCCAAAGTGCTGAAATTACAGGCCTGAGCCACCATGCCCAGCTTACACTCTTGATATTTTAATGCTTGTCTTCAAAATAAATACTCTTCTTCACTTTAAAGGCTTATATTTTCTGAAAAATCTATTGACAGTAATTTCATCTTTAATGCTTCTATTAAGTATGAACTCTCTGATATTGAATAAGATGTGAACAGATATTAATGGCTTCTTCACATTCTTTACATTTGCATAATTTTTCTCAAGTATACATCATTTCCTGTCCAATAAAGTGTCAGCATTGGTTAAAAGTTTTGCCACATTCTTCACACTTGTAGAGGTTTCCTCTACTATATTTTACCTACAATCAAGTATGACAACCATTTAAAGGTGTTTAGAAATATTGAGGTGTTGTCAACTGCACTGTTATATCTTTCAGGTTTGTACGGTTTCTCTCCAGTAATTCTCTTCGTTGGCCAGGATGGTCTCAATCTCTTGATCTTGTGATCCACCCGCCTTGGCCTCCCAAAGTGCTGGGATTACAGGTGTGAGCCACCACGCCTGGTCCATTTTTCTTATTTGTCAGATTTTTCTACAGCATGAATTTTCTTGTGTGTAGTAAGGTTTGAGCATTGGTTAAAAGCTTTGCCACATTCTTTACATTTGTAGGGTTTCTCTCCAGTATGAATTACCTTATGTTTAGTCAGAGTTGAGGACCAATTAAAGGCTTTGCCACATTCTTCACATTTGTAGGGTTTCTCTCCAGTATGAATTATCTTATGTTGAGTAAGGTTTGAGTATTGGTAAAAAGCTTTGCCACATTCTTCACATTTGTAGGGTTTCTCTCCAGCATGAATTATCTTATGTCTAGCAAGTGTCGAGGATTGGTTAAAAGCTTTGCCACATTCTTTACATTTGTAGGGTTTCTCTCCAGTATGAATTTTCTTATGTGTTGTAAGGTGTGAGGATAGGTTAAAAGCTTTGCCACATTCTTCACATTTGTAGGGTTTCTCTCCAGTATGAATTATCCTATGTTCAGTAAGGTTTGAGGACCGCTTAAAAGCTTTGCCACATTCTTTACATTTGTAGGGTTTCTCTCCAGTATGAATTATCTTATGTGTAGTAAGTTGTGAGAACTGGTTAAAGGCTTTGCCACATTCTTCACATTTGTAGGGTTTCTCTCCGGTATGAATTCTTTTATGTGTGGTGAGGTGTGAGGATGTGTTAAAGGCTTTGCCACATTCTTCACATTTGTATGGTTTTTCTCCAGTATGAATTCTCTTATGTTGAGTAAGAGTTGAGGACACGTTAAAGGCTTTGCCACACTCTTCACATTTGTAAGGTTTCTCTCCAGTATGAATTCTCTTATGTTGAGTAAGGGTTGAGGACACATTAAAGGCTTTGCCACATTCTTCACATTTATAAGGTTTATCACCAGTATGAATTCTCTTATGTTTAGTAAGGTTCGAGGATTGGTTAAAAGCTCTGCCACAATGTTCACATATGTAGGGCTTCTCTCCAGCATGAATTATCTTATGTCTAGTAAGGGTTGATGATTGGTTAAAAGCTTTGCCACATTCTTTACATTTGTAGGCATTCTCTCCAGTATGAATTATCTTATGTGTAGTAAGGTGTGAGGATATGTTAAAAGCTTTTCCACATTCTTCACGTTTGTAGGATTTCTCTCCAGTATGAATTATCTTATGTGTGTTAAGGTGTGAGGACTTGTTAAAGGCTATGCCACATTCTTCACATTTGTAGTGTTTTTGTCCTGTATGAATTCTCTTATGTTGAGAAAGGGTTGAGGACACATTAAAGGCCTTGCCACATTCTTCAAGTTTGTAGGAATTGACAGTAGTGTGAATTCTTTTATGTTGAGTTAGGTGTGAAAGAACACAAAATGACTTGCCACATTCTTTACATTTGAAAGGATTCTTTTCAGTCTTATGTCTATTTGAATTTGAAAATTTATGAAAGTCTTTCACATATTTATCACACTGAAATATTTTGCTCTGGGTAGTTGTCAAACACTGGTTAAATCCATTATAACTTCCTTTGTGCACCTTGTACTCATCCACACTTTTATAGCCTTTTTTTAACTGTAAATTGTGATGTCCACATTTTTCATATTTTCTCAGTATTATTCTTTGCAAAGAAGCTTTTATGCTCTGCTCTGGCCGAAGGTCTTGGGCAAAATAACAACACATACCTGAAAGAAATAAAAATAACAACTTACTCCACATACTAGACTCAGATACATATTCTTTACACATCTAACCTACAAAACTATACAAACTACATAAACAAGATTGCATAAGAAGGCCAGGCATGGTAGCTAATGCCTGTACTCCCAGCACGTTGAAAGGCTGAGATGGGCAGATCACCTGAAGTCAGGAGTTTGAGACCAGTCTGGCCAACTGGTGAGACCCATCTTTACTAAAAAATACAAAAAAATTAGCCGGGCATGATAGCATGCACCTGTAATCCCAGCTACTCAGGAGGCTGAGGCAGAAGAATCGCTTGAACCTGAGCGGCAGAAGTTGCAGTGAGCTGATATCACACCAAGGCACTCCACGCTGGAGAACAGAGCAAGACTTTGACTCAAAAAACAAACAAACAAACAAAAAACTGCATAACAAAATACCAAAGACCCTAATTTCCTTATAGACATATAAATATAAGAAAAATACACAGACCAAAATACATTTGTGAAAAATTTATAAATGAGTTAAGTGTGTACAGTGCCCCAGGAGGTGAGTACAATGCAAAGAGCCACAAAGAAAAAGAGAAAAGTCTGTTATATTTACCTAACACAGCTCATCCCTCTCCCCAATATAATATAGTGCCTTTAGAAGTGAACACCCAGCCAGGCAGGGTGGCTCAGGCCTGTAATCCCAACACTTTGGCGTGCCGGGTGGGCCGATCACCTGAGGTCAGGAGTTTGGAACCACCCCGGCCAATATGGCGAAACCCCGTCTCTACTAAAAACACAAAAATTAGCCAGGTGTGGTGGTGGGCACCTGTAGTCCCAGCTACTTGGGAGGCTAAGGCAGGAGAATCGCTTGAACCTGGGAGGCAGATGTTGCAGTGAGCCGAGATCACACCACTGCACTCCAGCCTGGGCAACAGAGCAAGACTCCGTCTCAAACAAAAAAACAAACAAACAACAACAACAAAAAAAAAACCCCACCAAATCTGTTGACAATGCTATGAAAATGAAACTTATGTTGATTGTTGATGGAAACCAAGGATGCAGCCATTATTTTAAAATGTTATGTTTCACACATAATTAAAAATAGAATTATAATTAAATACAGCAATCCCATTTATTAATCTATATCCAAAGTATGCAACACAGGACCTAGAAGAGATATGTAAACATCTATCTTTATTGTACCAGCATTCACAAAAGCCAAAAGGCTGAAGTAACCCAGATGTCTTTTGATTCATAAACGTATCAAAAAATGTGACATATACATACAATGGAATTTTATTCAGCCTTAAAAAAATCGTGGCCGTGCATAGTGGCTCACATTTGTAATCCTAGCACTTTGGGAGGCAGAAGCGGGTGGATCACCTGAGGTCAGGAGTTCCAGACCAGCCCGGGCAACATGGTGAAACCCCATTTCTATAGGATACAAAAAAATTTATCCGGGCATGATGGTGGGTGCCTGTATTCCCCACTACTCAGGAGGCTGAGGTGGCAGAATTGCCTGAACCTGGGAGGCGGAGGTTCCAATGAGCCGAGATAGCACCATTGCACTCCAGCCTGGGCAACAAAGCAAGACTCCGTCTCAAAAAACAAAAAACAAACAAAAACCACTTGTAAAATTCTAAGATAAACTTTGAGAATATTTTATCACCTAAAATAAGACAGTAACAGAATGATGCATACTATATGATTCCACTTATATGAGATATGTTATAAAGAGTCACACTCATAAAAACAAAGTAGAAGAGTGTTTGTCAAGGGCTGAGGAGAGGGGAAAATGGGCAGTTGTTACTTAATGGATATTGAGTTTTCATTTTACAGATGAAAAATTTCTAGAAGTGTTTTGCATAACCAGGTGAATATACTGTCACCCAAGCTGAAATACAGTGGCAAGATTATGGCTTACTGTAGCCTCAAACTCCCAGCCTCAAGTAATCCTACCCCTTCAATTCCCCAAGCTGCTAGGACCACAGGCGCACCCCACCCCATGCCTGGTTATTTTTGAAAAAAATTTTCTAGAGAGAGGGTCTTTTTTTTTTTTTTTTTTTGAGATGGAGTCTCGCTCTGTCCCCCAGGCTGGAGTGCAGTGGCTGAATCTCGGCTCACTGCAAGCTCTACCTCCTGGGTTCACGCCATTCTCCTGCCTCAGCCTCCCAAAAAGCTGGGACTACAGGCGCCCTCCACCATGCCAGGCTAGTTTTTTGTATTTTTAGTAGAGACAAGGTTTCACTGTGTTAGCCACAATGGTCTCGACCTCCTGACCTCGTGATCTGCCCACCTCGGCCTCCCAAAGTGCTGGGATTACAGGCGTGAGCCACCACGCCCAGCCCGAGAGAGGGTCTTTACGGGTGGGCCAGGCTTGTCTCAAACTTTTGGGCTAAAGTGATTCTCTTGTCTTGGCCTCTCAAAATCCTGGAATTACAGATGTGAGCCACCACCATGCATAGTCCTAATATGTACACTTAAATAGATTTAAGATGGTAAATTTTATGTCATCTGTTTTTACAACAATTTTGTAGAAGAAGAACCGAAAAAAGTAAAGAATTATGAATCTTTTCAAAAATTAACTTCAAATAACAAAAGTGATCTGAAAGGAACACAAAGGAAATGTACATTCATTATTAAACACAGTGTAGAAATAAGATTATTTTCACAACTACTCACTTATATAAGACAAAACAACCACTGAAAACAGCTAAGAAAAAATATATACAAGATAGGCCATAACCATAATTAGGGTCATATTTATAAATAAAAAACACACACATATATAATCTGATTGTGATAGACATATAGCTCATTTATTTCTTAATTAAGCCCTATGTTGACTTAAAGTGTACAGAGTTACAAATTGTCTAAAATTTTAATATGTAAGTAAAACCAAAAACACAATAGATTCATTTTAAGAAACCAACACTAAAAAAAACACATAAAGAACTGCAAAATAATAAGGGAAATGTTTACTCAAACTCTGGTAAGCAACATTAATGGACCATTAAAAAAGAATTTGTCTAGATAACTACAATATTTGACTGTAACTGTGTACTCATGGAAGGCAGGTATTATGAATCACTGGCATTAACTATATGGTAGTTAAAATTTCAGAGAAAATGCAGTATAACCATAAATAGAAGACTCTAATGAGAAACTTTTAATAAATAAGCATTATAAAAACTAGAGGTAGTTTTCATGTTTTAAATGTATGTTATTCTTATACAAAATGAAACTGCTGTAATTCAAATTTAGAAGCAGGCCAGGCGTGGTGGCTCACGCCTGTAATCCCAGCACTTTGGGAGGCCAAGGCAGGTGGATCACTTGAGGTCAGGAGTTCGAGACCAGCCTGGCCAACATGATGAAACCCCATCTCTACTAAAAATACAAAAAACTAGCCAGGCGTGGTGGTGCATGTCTGTAATCCCAGCTACTTGGGAGGCTGAGGCAGAAGAATCACTTGAACCCAGGAGGTGGAGGTTGCAGTGAGCCGAGATCATGCCATTGCACTCCAGCCTGGGCAACAGAGTGAGGCTCCATCTCAAAAAAAAAAAAAAACAAAAAAAAACAAGTTAAATTATATTGCTAAATTAAAAAGAAATAAATATATTTTTGCAGAATATAATTAAAGCCTCTGATATATAAAACAAATATTTGGGAATAAATTATGTTTTTATTTAGATATAGTCTGAAGAAAGTGGGTGCAAATCCTGTAATTCCTATTTGCCTGCAGCAAACAAATGTATAAGTAACTATTTTAGTAAATATGGAGTGCCTACTAAGTATCTAATTTACTTCAGGCATAACATTTAAATTCTGACATATGTGTCAATCTAAAATTAATTCTGACATATGTGTCAATCTAAAATTACAGACAAATTTGAAATAGAAAATAGAAAAATGAATAGAGTGACATTAGTTTGACGGAAAAATAAAAGGTGACCTATTTTCTTAACCCGACAGCAAGAAAATTTGTCAGGAATTCCTGACAAAAATGCCTTTATGAGAGAGCCAAGCATCATGTCTCACACCTGTAATGACAGCTATATGGTACACTGAGGTTGGAGAATTTCTTCAGGCCAAAATTTCAAGACCAGCTTGGGGTATATAGCAAGTCCTCATCTCCAAAATAAGTGCCTTTAAGAGAGCTTTAAAGGCCGAGTGTGGTGGCTCACGCCTGTAATTCCAGCACTTTGGGAGGCTGAGACAGGTGGGTCACCTGAGGTCAGGAGTTCGAGACCAGCCTGGCCAACATGGTGAAACACTTTCCCTACTAAAAATACAAAAATTAGCCAGGCGTGGTGGCGCATGCCTGTAATCCCAGCTACTCGGGAGGCTGAGACAGCAGAATTGATCGAACCCAGCCGGGAGGCAGAGGTTGCAGTGAGCCAAGATCGGGCCACTGCACTCCAGCCTGGGTGACAGAGATGAGACTTCGTCTCAAAAAAAAAAAAAAAGGCTGGGCGCAGTGGCTTATGCCTGTAATCTCAGCACTTTGGGGGACTGAGGCGGGTGTCGATCATCTGAGGTCAAGGAATTCGAGACCAGCCTGGCCAACATGGCGAAACCCTGTCTCTACTAAAAATACAAAAATTATCCAGGCATGGCCGGGCACGATGGCTCACACCTGTAATCCCAGCACTTTGGGAGGCTAAGGCGGGAGGATCACCTGAGGTCAGGAGTTTGAGACCAGCTGGCCAACATCGTGAAACCCCGTCTCTACTAAAAATACAAAAATTAGCCAGGTGTGGTAGCATGTACCAGCTGCTTGGGAGGCTGAGGCAGGAGAATCGCTTGAACCTGGGAGGAGGACGTTGCAGTGAGCTGCGATTGAGCCACTGCACTCCAGCCTGGGCGACAGAGCGAGACTCCAAGCCCCACTTCCAAAAAAAAAAAAAAAAATTTTCCGGGCATGGTGGCGCGTGCTTATAATCCCAGCTACTGGGGGGCTGAGGTAGGAGGATCACCTGAACCTGGGAGGCGGAGGTTACAGTGAGTTGAGATGGTGCCACTGCACTCCAGTCTGAGGAACAGAGTGAGACTCCGTCTCAAAAGAAAAAAAAAAAGAGAGATTGAGAGAGAGAGCTTTGAGATCCAGGGAGGGAGTTGTGAAACTCTGATAATGCCCAAGACTGAGGAGCATCCTTTTCAGAAGGCAGGCATTCATTCAGGTGGTAAACTACAGGACCTCTGTTCTTGGCTACAGACTGAAAAATAGCCTACCCAACTTGGTCCCACTGAGAATACTGAACTTACCCCGTAACCATCTCAAACTCCTCCCAGTCACAGTCTGGGAGAGGTCCTGCCCTTCCAGAGGCCTGGAGGAAGACACCCATTTATAGCCATGCAGGCAGGTTTGCAAGACCTTAGCCTTTACTGTGGTCCCTGAAGCAGTTCCATGACTCAGTTCAAGGCCAGTTCTGCCTACACAGAAACCTACACAGTGACCTGGCAAAATCCTCTTTGATACTAAGTGAAAGCCATACTCATTCACATCCTGATGTAAGGCTCACCATATGCAGACCTGACTACAGAAACCTGCCTAGTGTCTGCCCTACAGATCAAAGTCCTGAAGGATATTCAGCCTGTCCAAAAATAAAATGCAAATTACAACTACACAATCCCCTTGTAACAAGGCAACTAAAGGTAAACCCTTGTGCAGACATAGCAGCCTTGTGAGCAACCTACAACCCCTCTTCATTACAAACCCATAGGGCATCCCATTATCCTGGGTGCCCAACAAAAGATCTTTTACCTCCTGTAACCAGTTTATAAAAACTTGAAGAGGTGTTTGTTTCTTGAAATTCACAGACACCAGTGCAAAACTATATTGTGCCCAGTGTCAATGCTTCTATTTTAAAATAGCACTGGAAGTATGTAGCAGAATAATTAGAACAACTTTTAAAAAGCCATTAAAATTGAAGACAAATAGGTAAAAAGTTGCTGTTTGTAGATCATATAATCTCATATATAAAAAATCATACACAGTACATTTAAACAGGTCTAAACTAATTAATATACTCAGTAAATTAGCAAAATATAAAATTAACATACATTTATAAGATACGGTTCCATAAACTTAAACTATCTGATAAAATAAAGGAGGAAAACAATCTTATTGATAATAGCATTAAAATAATAAATTTCTTAGAACAAATTTAACCAAGGATCTAAAAAGCCTTTACAATAAATGATGTATCAATGGAGGAAATTAGAAAAGACACAAATTTTAAAATATTTTGTGTGTATGGATTGAAAGAATAAATATTGTTAAAGTGCCATATTATCCAAAGTGATCTACAGATTTAATAAACTCCCTATCAAAATTCCAGTGGTATTTGTTTTCATAGTAATGAAAAACACAATCATAAAATTTACTTGAAACTTCAATAAACTCTGAATAATGAAAGCAATCTTGAGGAAAAAGAACAAAGGATGAGGACAACGTACTTTATAATTTCAAACTATATTTCAAGACTATAGTATAAAAACAGGAAGGAATGTGCAGAAAAAATGAACAAAAAAAATGAAACAGAAACCACTACTCTCACATATTTCAGACATGATGTAGAAAGAAAACTTAATAGTTTAACACAGAGTTTCTTAAAATTTCACAGATATTTATGTGTCCACCAAAACATTAAAAAAGCAGATTTTGTAGTCTTGTATATGCCAAAAAGGGGACTTTGGTTCTCACTGAAAACTTGAAGAAAGATAACGGAAGGGAAAGTATATTCCTTAGAAAAGTTAGAAGGATAAGACAAAAGATACCCCTATGTAAGAGAAAAAATAAAATAAACTATTTTATTTTCCCAGAAACTATTTTCCTTGGAGCACAACTCCCAAATTGTATTTCTTATTTTTATTCGTTTATTTATTTATTTATCTGAGACGGAGTTTCGCTCTTGTTGCCCAGGCTGCAGTGCAATGGCGCGATCTCAGCTCACCACAACCTCTGCCTCCCAGGTTCAAGCGATTCTCCTGCCTCAGCCTCCCAAGTAGCTGGGACTACAGGCATGCGCCACCACACCCAGCTAATTTTGTATTTTTAGTAAAGACGGGGTTTCTCCATGTTGGTCAGGCTGGTCTCGAACACCCGACCTTAGGTCATCTGCCCGCCTTAGCCTCTCCAAGTGCTGGGATTACAGGCATGAGCCACCACACCTGGCCCCAAATCGTATTTCAAAAACTGACTTTCTCCTTGACATTTGGACCTCTCATCTGTGTCATCTGTCATATTCACTCTCACCTACCTGGGGGTTTGGCCACCATCTCATGTCTCTCCATATTCCAGGGCTCTTTGCCTTGCTCCAGACAGGTGATCAGGTCTGGCTTAGAGACAGCAATACCTGTTTTATTAAAAATAAATAACATGAATGTTGCTCATATTCTTTAAATAATGTGCTCAGTAAAAAGGGTGTAATTAATAGAATACTAAATTAATTACAAAATACAAATTTAAAACAAATTTCTAAATATTTAGACACTATTTTAAATTTGTAGGTCCTTAATTTTACTACTTAGTAGTACTGAATCAAAAACTGGAGATGACAATTAGATTTTAAGGTATAGAAAACAATATTTTATGCCACTAAATTTCTGGAATTACCACTAATTTAGAGTGAAGGATACAGATCAGCTCAGGAATATAAAAAGTCCAGATCACAATGAAACATCTTGAATTTTTTTTTTTCTACATTGACAAATCCCCAAGATTTTCTTTCTCTCCCTTTTTTTTTGAGATGGAGTCTCACTCTGCCACCCAGGCTGGAGTACAGTGGTACGATCTCGGCTCACTGCAACCTCCATCTCCCGGGTTCAAGTGATTCTCCTGCCTCAGCCTCCCAAGTAGCTGGGACTACAGGCGTGCACCACTACACCTGGCTAATTTTTTTATTTTTTTAAGTAGAGGTGGGGTTTCACCATGTTGGCCAGGCTGGTCTTGAACTCCTGACCTCAGGTGATCCACCCGCCTTGGCCACCCAAAGTGCTAGGATTACAGGCATAAGCCACCACGCTTGGCCCCCAAGATTTTCTTAGAAATAGAGATCTGATACTCATTTATGCAAAGATCAATTACCAAAAAACATCCTACAAAAAAACAAACGAAATATTTAGGGTAGATTAGGAATTGTGTATTGAAGTTATTCTCACCCAGGAAGACCAGGTTTCTGTAGTTCTCTAACATCACGTTCCTATATAAATTCTGCTGTGCAGTGTCCAGGCATTGCCACTCCTCCACAGAGAATTCTATGGCCACATCCATAAATGTCAATGGTCCCTGAAAAGTACACACACACATATTTACGAAGTGGCCATGGGCAAAATTTTTAATTTGATTCAAGTTGAAATGAAAGACTAAGGAGTACTCATTCTGACTTATAAAAGTGAATGAAATTATCCAAATGAAGTAATTTTAAAGACAGAAATATTCTCTGATGTACTCTCTAACTCTGAGAAAAGACTAGAATAAGATCCACAACATCAATTTATATATGATACTTTTCTGGATAATAAAATATAAAATTAAGGACATGAACACAGGCATGTACATTCTGGAGTGCTATATTCACACTATAAAGAATGAGTTCTGTTGAGATGAAAGACATGTCGAGTTACAAGGTACATCTCAAATTTTAATGTGTACAATAAACTGGAAATCTTGTTATGCTTTTTTTTTTTTTGCAGAAGATCTGGAATAAAGTCTGAGTTGCTGAATTTTTAATAAGCTCACAAGTAATGCCAATGATTTTGCCCCAAAGAAAAATATTTTATCAAACATCCAACAAGTGAAATAACCTGTTTTTCCCCCCAGTTTTTATGGCCTATAAGAGAGAGATGACAGCCTTCATTTTCCAAAAACAGATATATGCAAAGAAACCCTAAGAAAGAAGAGCAGCTGTCAGATTACATTTGATAATTTATACAAATCAGCTGCACAAAGATACTTAATAATGAAGAAAAAATAATTAACTGTATAGTGAAAAAATCTGTCAGACAGCTCTTTAACCAAGTGAATCATTAGCCTCAACTGCACTAGGACAAATTTTTACGGTGTGCTAAAACACACAGAAGGACACACAGCATCACTGCTGGAATATTGTTCCCAATAAGTAAATTATAGTCTAAATTCAACCATATGGAAACATCAGTTTTATGCAAAGTTCAAGATACAGGTATCTTCTATCTTGATACAGGATATCTTAAGATACAGGAATCTTCTATTCAAGATACCTGTATCTTCTATGTTCTGTAATTTTTAATAGTGATTTTAAGTAGTCTTTCTTTAGCACCCTAGAGAACAGGTATCTCCTGATAATTTTTTTCAGAACTTTCTGAGTAATAAATGCCATCCTGTTTAAATAAGCATTTTCTTAATTCGGTTCTGCATAGGGCTAATAGCAAACACAAATGGAACTTCAACATTACATGTTCTCCATCTTTACTAAGGATCCCAGCTTTTCCCCAATAGTAATCTTGAGTATCCACACTTTTCTAAGTTCAACAGCCACAAAAAGAACACTTTTAATACTGCAGATCATAAATTAATGGTGATAATTTTGCAAGGCATATAAAAAGCCAAAATGTAAAAAATTTAGAGAAGGCTCTGGTATATAGGAAAGAAATATTTTTCTTGATTATCATAAGAATTTTAAAAAGTAGTTAAAACAAACTCATTAGGGAGAAAAAAACACAAGTATAGAAGTCAAGGTTTGCAAGTACTAAACACACAGCATTCCGGAGGCAGGGCGGATACAGCTCTTGATCCGAGACATGTTTAGCTGAAAAAAAAAAAAATGCCACTTTTTCCTCTATCTCCTCCTTCTCTTGGATTTATTTTCAGATGAGATTTTCTGGACAAATTACACCTGCATCTTGAGAAAATGCCACCTGTTTACATGCTACGACCACACCCACAGGCAGAAGGACCAAGACCCTCAGAAAAAGTCCACCCATTTCTGGGTGAATCTTCAGAAAAGATTCAGAAACAATGAAGAGAAAAATAGAAGTTTCTCCTTTCCTGTCCTTAGGTACCCTCCCCACCAAAGACACCAGCAATTTCTGCTACAATAATGGAAATATGGGCCACGCTGCCCTGTCTTTACCAAACCCAAACAGAACAGGCCCTGTGACCATCCTTCAGTGGAAAAGTAAAACTTAACTCTCATGAATGTATCTTGAACCCCTCATAGTTGATTCTGGCCTTACCTTAGAGTCACATGAGGCACTTAATTAAAACAACATAAATGTGTCCACACAAAACAATAAACAGAACCTGTGAAGAAGGCACAAGTAAAGGGATTTCTAATAATTAGCCATGTAATTTGAGTGCCTACACCTAAGTAATCCAAGTTACTTAGAATGGCAAAAACGTCAATTAACTTTTCCACCAACCTAATAGAAGTCCAGCTGATAACCATTTAGCTAAGCATTGCCTTGCAATTTTTTTTTTTTTTAGACGGTGTTTTGCTCTTGTCATCCAGGCTGGAGTGCAATGGCACAATCTCTGCTCACCACAACCTCCACCTCCTGGGTTAAAGAGATTCTCCAGCCTCAGCCTCCCAAGTAGCTGAGATTACAGGCATCTGCCACCATGCCCAGCTAATTTTTGTACTTTTAGTAGAGACGGGATTTTACCATGTTGGACAGGCTGCTCTGGAACTCCTGACATCAGGTGATCCACCCACCTCGGTCTCCCAAAGTGCTGGGATTACAGGCATAAGCCACCACGCCCAGCTGCCTTGTAATATTTAATAAGCTTATAAATCACTTGGTAACTTTGGACCTTCCCTATGTATTTTGATTCTGCAGGTTTTCAAAGGGTTCATGAATGTGCGTTTTAAATAAGTCCCCTGTCAATGCTGATGTTGCTTCTTCTAGGCTCATCATTAGAATTGGTTAGAGAAGCAGGCACAGTACAGAGTCCCTTACACTCAGCACTCTTGTCACAACACAAATACTTCCGGCACAAATGAAGACAACAAATCTCCATCTTTAAGTATCATATTCTTTGCTGGTTCTTTAAAGTTTACAGAGGCAACAGAAAGTAGCAATGCCTGAATAAGTCTGCACTTCGAAAACAACATGTACTATTGAAATGTTTATAAAGCAGGTACTATGTGCTCAAGAGTATGTTACAGAGCACTGTGCTTGGAATAACACATTATGTGATTTAATTCTCATAACAAACTGGGAGTCAGCACAGCTGTTTAATAATTCCCAGGATTTAGATTAAGGCTTAGCATTTTTATTTCATCTTCTGTTTCTCTGTCCTTGGTTTTTTTAAAAAATGTATAGAACACTAAATATAGACAGATGACAGGGATACAGAAAGGAAGAATTTAATGTAGTTTAAAGAAATTTTTATTGTGTTCATATTTACTTGTTTGTGACTTGTGGAGCAACTACTGGATCTGCAGAATAGAAAACAAGTTGCTAAATGTCCCTGCAAGCACTGGTTTAATAGAAAATTTAAAAATTAAGATGCTAAAATACATACTTTATTTTTCCAATTTTATCTGCTTTTGGGTTTCAGAAAATTGTGAGCACCAGCTCTAAAAATTTAACAGACTCACTAGTCAAAACTTCCAATCAGTTCTGTGAGGCCAGACTTCAAGGTGGGGCCAGACCGAAATAAGAAGTAAAATAGCTGATTGCTACCCTGTGAAGTTTGTAGAAATCTGAAGTGACTGGAAGCCTGAGAGGAAAAGGCCCCTCTAGAGTAAAGTTTGGCTGGAACCATATGTGTTCATATCACCTCTAGTAATTCTAGACAGTGTTTGGAAAATATAATTAAAAGAAAAAATTTCTCCAGCCCTAGAGAAACTCCAAAATGATAGAACAGAAAGTAAACTGTTTCATTACACAATTAAACCAGAATGTGACATGCATCACAGTCAATCTTCTTAAGAGATTGCAAAGACAAAAAGACACTCCCATAATTAGTCCACAAGTAAAAGAATTTATAGCACCATGTAATACATGGTTCATCCTAAATTCACCTGGTAATGGGGGAGGTGATCCATGTATGCTAATTGGTTATAATCAATGACAAAATTAACTTTTCACATCCTCATGACAGGAGGTAATTTTGCAACTTAGGGAGTTATCTTTTTGGCTATTTACATTTTAAGCAATCAATGGCTCTGTACTCCCTGAGCACTATACTCTGCTTGCCCTTTCCTGATAGCCAGTGTCCTTTCTTGACTCCTACCACAGGGCTCACAGCTGGCAGCTCACATCTTACACGAACCCCAACTGCCAGAGCAGCACTCCAGTCCCACATCAGGTAATGAAGCCTGAGCCAGCCCTCCTGGCTGAAATTGCACCTTCACGATAATGGGAATGGGAGCAGTGTTTCAGCTTCAGTTTCTATTTATAATAGTGACATGAAAAAAATACTGCTGGATTTTCAGCATCAGTCCGCATAGAGATACCTCTAAGAGTTCTCCCTGTGACAGCCCAACTCATTCATGACACCATGGGATAGTAATAGAGCTTCTGAAACAGACACCCAAAGCATTGGAGAGAAAAATCGCTCTTCATCTTAGTAAAATTATACTCAGTAAAAAAGAAGAACATCTTAAAAAAACACTCAGATTAGATATAAGATTGATCATGTTGGCCAGAAAATGTTCCCCTAAAATAAACGTCTCTCTAAACACCCAAACTGCACAGCTACTCTCAGCATGAGAAGCATGAGCATTATGAAGAAAGGGGACATATTCTCAGCAAAATTTTATAAAGTTTCTCTTTTATCTCTGTTGCTCTCTCGTCTCCTAGCCATTAAATGGAGGATTTATATTGGAATACATCTGACAATTTCCAACAGCTCCTTTTTATTTTTATTTTTTTTTTGAGACAGAGTCTTGCTTTCTCACATATGCTGGAGTGCAGTGGCATGACCTTAGCTCACTGCAATCTCCACCTTCCAAGTTTAAGCGATTCTCCTTCCTCAGTCTCCTGAGTAGCTAGAATTACAGGCACCCACCACCACCCCCCGCTAATTTTTGTATTTTTAGTAGAGACAGGGTTTCACCATATTAGCCAGGCTGGTCTCAAACTCCTGACCTCAAGTGATCTGTCCACCTTGGCCTCCCAAAGTGCTGGGATTACAGAGGTGAGCCACAGCACCCAGCCTTCACCAACGTTTTTTGATGAAGAATCAGAATCTGACTTTGTTTATATAGTAAAATATATTTGAGCTTACAACACAGCTAACTTAAAAGCTATTATATTTCTTGCATGGTCACATCACCCATCACATTTATTTGTACTGTAATAGCAGTATTCGAGTTTAGTAAAATAAAAGATACTGAAATCATGCTTACCTATATCTATTGGGTAAATTAATATGCATGTCAGGCTAATATCTACTGTAACAATTTTGTAGTGAATTTTTTTGGATATTAGATATAAATATCTAAGCATAAATAATTTTAATGTACTAGTAATAATGTAGAATTTTAAAAAATTTTCTGTAACCATAATTTAGTTATAATACTTTATATTTCAAAAGTATGACGAATATTAAAATGACTAAGACATTCATCCAAAATAAATATTGTGGTCTTATATTCATAATATTGTAGAAAATACCGTATAATTTAGGTCGGGCGCAGTGGCTCATGCCCGTAATCCCAGCTACTCAGCCGAGATCACGCCACTGCACTCCAGCATGGGCAACAGAGCAAGAACCCGTCTTAAAAAAAAAAAAAAAAGAAAATACTGTATAATTCACACAAATGCAAGTTGTCTACAAACACTACACATAACCATGCTAATTGTTTTGAAGCAGTAAATAGGAACCAAAGCATAACCAAAGACTCCACTGTTGAGTTTATACACTGAACTGTTCTTTCTTTTGCAGTGTAAGTACTTCAGCCTGCAAATATTGGATAATTACACTGGATAATCAGTTTTTTGTCAAAGAAACTTCCTCTGCATCTTTTAGTCTTTATCATTCTGTATTGCTAAGTTTAATCCTATCTTTGTGCTCCACTTTTTGTGTGCTCTTAAAATGAGCTTTAATCTAGACAAATCTGTATCTACTTTAAGAGACTGAAAACAACAACAACAACAACAACAAAACCTTGTAATCCCAGCACTTTGGGAGGCCGAGGTGGGCGGATCACGAGGTCAGGAGATGGAGACCATCCTGGCTAACACGGTGAAACCCCATCTCTACTAAAAATACAAAAAATTAGCCGCATGTGGTGGTGGGCGCCTGTAGTACCAGCTGCTTGGGAGGCTGAGGCAGGAGAATGGCGTGAACCCGGGAGGCAGAGCTTGCAATGAGCCCAGATCACGCCAATGCACTCCAGCCTGGAAGCGAGACTCCACCTCAAAAAACAAAAAACAAAAAAACCTTTGCCAAAGCAAAAACACTGCAATGGTTCTGAGGTCCTAGATAAAGACAATCCTGAGTCAGAAAGAATGACAAAAGGTTTCTTTAGCTGTAAATATGATTTACATATATTTCAGAAAAGCAGAGAATATCTACATATAAGCAAAATGCTTCAATAAAGAGAGATGAACAAAATATCCTCCCTTTTTATAAGGTAAGAAAATAAAGACTCTTATTTCTAATTTATATTTTCTCCTATAAAAGCCAAATCTCGACCAGGCATGGTAGCTCATGCCTGTAATCTCTGCACTCTACGAGGCCGAGGTGGTTAGATCACTTGAGGTCAGAAGACCAGCCTGGCCATCATGGCGAAACCCTGTCTCTACTAAAAATAAAAAATTAGCCGGGCGTGGTGGCATGCACCTGTAATCCCACTACTCAGGAGGCTGAGGCAGAAGAATCACTTGAACCCAGGAGGCAGAGGTTGCAGTGAGCTGAGATCGTGCCACTGCACTCCAGCCTGGGCGTCAGAGTGAGACTCCATCTCAAAAAACAAAAACAGCTAAATCTCTGGACAAGTTCTTGATCTCTTGGACATCTGAATTTCAGCAGACTGTAGGTTCAGGCATCTAAGGAGTAGCCTTGGGCACACTAAAGAAAAAAGCAGAAGAGAGAAAGGTGTTCTAAAAAAATCCATGAGTGCATATGAATAAAGCAAGTTCTTACGGAGAGCTATGAAGAGAGTTGGATTCTGACACAATAATAGTGGGAGACTACAACACCCCACAGACACTATTACATCATTGAAGCAAAAAAATTAACAAAGATATCAGGACCTAAACTCAACATTTGACCAAATAGTCCTAACTGGCATCTATAGAACTGTCCAACTGAAATCAACATAGTATACATTCTTCTCATCACCACGTCACATACTCTAAAATTGACCACACAATCAGAAATAAAACAATCCTCAGCAAATTCAATTTTCCCAAAGTCATACCAAACACACACTTAGGCCACAGCTTTGTAACGATATAATTCAATACAAAGAAAACCACTTCAAATTATCCAATTACATGGAAATTTAAAAACCTTCACCTGAATGACTTTTGGGTAAATAATAAAATTAAGCAGAAATCAATAAGTTCTTTGAAACAAATAAGAAGAACAAAGATACACAAACCAGAATCGCTACAACACAGCCAAGGCAGTGTTAAGAAGGAAATTTATAGCACTAACTACTCACATCAAAAACTTAGAAATCAATTTAAATACCTAACTCTACTAAAAATACAAAAATTAGCCAGTCATGGGGGCACTCGCCTGTAATCTCAGCTACTCGGGAGGCTGAGGCAGGAGAATCCCTTGAACCCAGGAGACAGAGGTTGCAGCGAGCCAAGATTGTTCCATTGTACTCCAGGCTAGGCAACGCAGCGAGACTGTTTCAATCAATCAATAAAGCAAGAGAAAACCAATTCCCAAGCTAGCAGAAGACAAGAAATAACCAAAATTAGATCTGAACTGAAGGAGATTTAGAAATGAAAAGTCATAGAAAATATCAAGTAATCCAGGAGTTAAATATTTGAAAAAAATTAAGAAGATAAACCGCTAGCAAGATTAGCAAAGAAAGAAGATCCAAATAAGCACAATTAAAAATGACAACAGGGGGCCAGGTGCCGTGACTCATGCCTGTAATCCTAGCACTTTGGAAGGCCAAGGAAGGTGGATCACCTGAGGTCAGGAGTTTGAGACCAACCAGCCTGGTCAACATGGTGAAACCCCCTCTGTACTAAAAATACAAAAATTACCCAGGCGAGGTGGTGCATGCCTGTAGTCCCACCTACCTGGGAGGCTGAGGCAAGCCAATTACTTGAACGCAGGAGGTGGAGGCTGCCTGGGCAACAGAGCGAGACTCTGTCAAAAAAAAAAAAAAAAAAAGATAAGGACAAAACCCAAAAAGGATGAAAACTGAGAATGGCACTAAGGCCCAGAGTTTTGGTCGCACTCTGACCAAAAAATGAGAATGGCACTAAGGCCCAGAGTTTTGGTCGCACTCTGACCAAAAAAGGAGACAGTTTTAAACAAAATTATTGGACGACATTATTCTGGACTGAGCTTGTGCACTAGGTCCAAACAGACAAACCTAACCAAAATGGAGTCACTGATGCTTAAATGTGACATAATGGAACTGAACATTTAAGGAAAGTGGTAGATGCTAAAACAGGCCAGGTTTTGTCTGTCTTTTGTAAACAGCAGATTTAAGCACATAATTGCTTAAACCAGGAAGGCGAAGGTTGCGGTAATCTGAGATCATTCCACCGCACTCCAGCCTAGGTGACAGAGTGGATTCCACCTAAAAAAAAAAAAAAAAAAAAAATGGCAACAGAGGCCAAGCACAGTGGTTCATGCCTGTAATCCCAGCACTTTGGGAGGCCGAGGCAGGTGGATCACCTGAGGTCAGGAGTTCAAAACCAGCCTGACCAACATGGTGAAACCCTGTATCTACTAAAAATACAAAAATTAGGCCAGGTGTGGCGGCATATGCCTGTAATCCCAGCTACTTGAAAGGCTGAGGTAGGAAAATTGCTTAAACCCCGGAGGCAGAGGTTGCAGTGAGCCAAGATCACGCCAGTGCACTCCAACCTGGGCAACAGAGCAAGACTCCATCTCAACAACAACAACAACAACAACAAAAAAAAAAGACTACAGAGACATTACCTCTGACCCCACAAAAATACAAATAGCTATTGAAGTTTACTATAGACACCTCTGTACACAAAAACTAGAAAATCTAAAGGAAGTGGATAAATTTCTAGACAAACAAATTCTCTCAAGACCAAACAAGTTGAAGCCCTAAATAGATCAATAACAAGCTCCAAAATTAAGTTAGTAGTAAATAGGCTACCAACTAAAAAAACCCAAGACCAGAAGGTTCACAGCTGAATTCTACCAAGTATAAAAAGAAAAGCTGATATAATGCCTTTTAAAACTATTACAAAAAATTAAGAAGGGACTTCTCCCCAGCTCATTATATAATAGCATCATTCTGATACCAAAACCTGGCAGAGACAAAACAACCCAGAAGAAAACCTCAGGCTAATATCCTTGATGAACATTGCTGCAAAAATCCTCAACAAAATATGGGCAAACCAAATCCAGCAGCACATCAAAAAGCTAATCTACTATAACCAAGTAGGCTTTATCGCTGGAATGCAAGGTTGGTTCAACATACAAAAATATCAATAAATCTGATTCACATAAACAGAACTAAAGAACCACAAAATTATCTCAATAGATGCAGAAAAAACTTCCAATAAAATGTAACATTGTTCATGCATAAAACCCTCAACAAACTAAGCATTGAAGATACATACTTCAAAATAATGAGTTATCTATGACAAATCCAAAGCCAACATACTAAATGGACACAAGCTGGAAGCATTCCTTCTGAAAACTGGCACAAGATAAGGATGCCTTTTCTTACCGCTCTTATTCAACAGAGAATTGGAAGTCCTGGCTAGAGAAATCAGGCAAGAGAAAGAAAGAAAATGCACCCAAACAGGAAGGGAGGAAATCAAACTATCCCTGTTTTCAGATGACATGATTCAGTATCTAGAAAACCCTAGTTTTGGCAGAAATGCTCTATAAACTGACAACTTCTGCAAAGTTTCAAAATACAAAACAAAGGTGCAGAAATAAGTAGCACCTCTATACATCAACATACAAGCCAAAAGCCAAATCAAAAACACAATCACATTCAAAAATGCCACAAAAAGAATAAGGTATCTAGGAATACAGCTAACCAGGGAAGTGAAAGATCTCTACGACAACAATTACAAAACACTGCTCAAAGAAGTCAGAGATGACACAAACAAATGCAAACTATTTGATGGTCATGGACAGAGAAGATCAATATCATTAAAATGGCCATACTGACCAGGCATGATGACTCACGCCTATAATCCCAGAACTTTGGGAGGCTGAGGCAGGCAGATTGCCTGAGCTCAGGAGTTTGAGACCAGTCAGGACAACATAAAGAAACCCAATTTCTACAAAAAAAATACTAAAAGAAAAATTAGCTGGGCACGGTGGCGTGTAATCCCAGCACTTTGGGAGGCTGAGTCGGGTGGATCACGAGGTCAGGAGTTTGAGACCAGCCTGGCCAACATGGTGAAACCCCCTCTCTACTAAAAACACAAAAATTAGCTGGGCTTGGTGGCACGTACCTGTAATCCCAGCTACTTGGGAGGCTGAGGCAGGAGAATCACTTGAACCCAGAAGGCAGAGGTTGCAGTGAGCCAAGATCACGCCATTGCACTCCAGCCTGGGTGACAGAGCGAGACTCCGTCTGAAAAAAGAAAAAGTAATAATAATAATAATAATAATAATAATACAGGCCGGGCGTGGTGGCTCACACCTGTAATCCCAGCACTTTGGGAGGCTGAAGCGGGTGGATCATCTGAGGTCAGGAGTTTGAGACCAGCCTGACCAACATGATGAAACTCCAGCTCTACTAAAAATACAAAATTAGCCAGGTGTGGTGGCACATGCCTGTAATCTCAGCTACTAGGGAGGCTGAGGCAGGAGAATAGCTTGAACTCGGAAGGCGGAAGTTGCAGTGAGCCAAGATCGTGCCATTGCACTCCAGCCTGGGCAACAAGAGCAAAACTCCATCTCAAAAAAAAAAAAAAAAAAAGAAAGAAAGAAAGAAAGAAAATATAATATGTAAATATCATGGAATACTGTATGACCATAAAAAAGGAACAAGATCATTTCATTTGCAGTCACATGGATGAAATTGAAGCCCATTATTCTTAGACAACTAATGCAGAAAGGCCAGCCATGGTGGCCCACACCTGTAATCCAAGTACTTTTGGAGGCAAGGAGGGCAGCTTCCTTGAGGTCAGGAGCTCCAGACCAGCCTGGCCAACATGGTGAAACGCCGTCTCTACCAAAAATACAAAAACTAGCCAGGCGTGGTGGCTTGCCTGTAATCCCAGCTATTCAGGAGGCTGAGGCAGGAGAATCACTTGAACCTGGGAGGCAGAGGTTGCAGTGAGCTGAGATCGCGCCACTGCACTCCAGCCTGAGTGACAGAGCGAGAGTCCATCTCAAAAAAAAAAAAAAAAAAAAAAAAAAGGTAAACTGATGCAGAAAGAGAAAAACAAATGCACTATCTCATTTATAAGTAAGAGCTAAATAATAAGAACCCATGGATGCAAAGAGGGGAAAAACAGACACAGGCCTAGTTGAGGTTGGCAGGACAAAGACCTGTTTGGGCCGGGCGCGGTGGCTCATTCCTGTAATACCAGCACTTTTGGAGGCTGAGTTGGGCAGATCACCTGAGGTCAGGAGTTCGAGACCAGCCTGGTCCACATGATGAAACCTCGTCTCTACTAAAAATATAAAAATTAGCCGGGCATGGTGGCAGGCACCTGTAATCCCAACTACTTGGGAGGCTGATGCAGGAGAATCACTTGAACCCAGGAAGCGGAGGCTGCAGTGAGCCGAGATCATACCATTGCACTCCAGCCTGGACAACAAGAGTGAAACTCCATCTCAAAAAAAAAAAAAATTAAATTAAATAAATAAAAAAAAAAAAATACCTGTTTGGTGCTATGCTTAGTATCTTGGTGAAAAAATAATCTACATCAAACTTTCATGACACAATCTTACCTATGTAATAAACCTGCATGTGTACCTCTGAACTAAAATTAAAAGTTGAAAGGAAAAAACTCGACGGGTGGGGGTAAGTGCAATATGTAAACTGAAAGATTGGTTTGTGCTATTTATTTCTGGGTCCATGCAGGCACGTGAGATTATGAACAAGTGGCCCAGAACCCTAAGTTGGTGGGGAGAACAGGTTGCTGCTGCAGATTCGGTGTCTGGGGAACAGGAATATGCCGGGAGACTCGTAGACACTTTTGAAGGATTTTTGCAAGAAATGCTAAATCAAAAATGCTGTGGTGAAGTTCCTGAGGGTGGTGCCTTGTCCTGAGAGGGGTGTGGATGCATCAGTGTCTAGTGGGCATGATTGTGAGTCGGTGGGAATCCTGTGGTGGCAACTGTGGAAAGAGAAGGTCTGTCATCAGAGATTCTTTCCTCTAAGTTTTCAGTCCTCTCTCACTCTAAGAGAAGACCTGGAATCAGAAAACAATGGGCAGTGTGACAGCCAGTACATAGGAGCAGAGCCTCCCATTCCCAGACACTCAGTTTTATTCCAGGCTAGACCTTTTATGGTATTTTTATTCTGGCACAAAATCTATAGAGTTTGCTGAACACCAAGCAACTCTCCAACACCAATTCTTTATCTAACATTTAAATTCTGACACCACCCAGAGTCAGCACAGATGCTGATTCAGGGCTTGGTCTCAAAATATTGTTCTTACTACAGTTGCCAGTAACAAACCCCATGGGCCCATTTATGCTTCTAAATTATGAGCCCATTATGAGCTACTGTTTAAAAATTCAGGACTCCCATAAACTTGCTCAAGTTCAATAACTTAATAGTGCTATACACAGTACTTAGAAAAACACTGTAGTTATGTTGACCGGATTATTATAAAAGATACAACCCAGGAAAAGTCAAATGAAAGAAATGTGTAAGACAAAGAAAAGAGGTGGGGAGAGATGAAGCACGTAGGTAATCCTGGTAAATGGCTATAATTAATAAAATTCTCCATCTTTTGTGTGCTCCAGAAACAGTTTATGGAAAGAAACACACATCCCATTATGACTTAGATGATGCACTCTTTTCTTACCTATCACATAGCCAGACATAGATTCTGCCCATTTTCTTCTTATTCTCTTAGAAAACCCAGCTGAATTTGTCTTCAGTGGTCAAAATAAAATACTACTTAATCAAACAAGTTTATCTCCTTCCCACAGCTCCTGAACTTTTGAGCTACCCTCAGTCTAAGCCAACATACAACCCCATTATATGCTCCTCCTAAGAACATTCTCTGATTTAGCCAGGTGCGGTGGCTCACGCCTGTAATCCCAGCACTTTGGGAGGCCAAGGCAGGTGGATCACGAGGTCAGGAGATCGAGACCATCCTGGCTAATATGGGGAAACCCCATCTCTATTAAAAATACAAAAAATTAGCCAGGCGTGGTGGCGGGCGCCAGTAGTCCCAGCTACTCAGGAGGCTGAGGCAAGAGAATGGCGTGAACCCAGGAGGCGGGGCTTGCAGTGAGCAGAGATCGCGCCACTGCACTCCAGACCTGGGCAGCAGAGCAAGACTCCATCTCAAAAAAAAAAAAAATTATCTGATTTAGAATCTGATTTTTTCACCCTTCATTTGCCATTCCCCTCCCACCTTGTTTCTCATCTTGGTTGCTCCTTAATATGAAAAAAACCCACCCTTGTCTGCCTAACCTTTGAGATCCTTAAAGACCTTATAATTGGTACTTCCTCCTGTTCCAATACTCCTTTGGAACTTAATTTTTTAAATATAAATCTAACTTTATATTTAAAAGTCTAGAAACGCCTCAAAGCAAGAACAACTTTATCTTCAGTAAGATCCTTTCAGTCCCATTCCATCTTAACTGCATCTGTCTGTGGGTCCTCAGCTTTCCATGGCTCTATAGCTTCTCTTCAGATAAAAGGCTTCTTCCATGGCTGGAGTGAGCAGGCTAGGAAATCTGCAGGGGAGGCTCCCCAGGAAGAACTAACTGGGCCTTTAATAACCTTCTTTTGCAGGATCAATATGAGCCTTTAGCTTGGAGTCACTGGGCTCAAGCTTTACTTTTCCAGTAAGAGTTATTCACTCAGGTTTTGAAACTCAGTGTTTGAAAAATCAAGTAAAATTACTCAAACACAGTGCTCATATAAAAGAAAAAAAATTTAAGGTGCTTAAGTTTTATACCTCAATAAGAAAAGCAAAAGAATCTAAACTTTCTTTCAGACAATAAATACTTTATTATCTCCATTATAAATCATGTAGTAAACAATTAGTCATATGGGGACACCTCTAGGAGGTACCAAGTTTTGTCTTATAAAATTTAGCATCGGCCGGGCGCAGTGGATCACACCTGTAATCTCAGCACTTTGGGAGGCCGAGGCGGGCAGATCACGAGGTCAGGAGTTCAAGAACAGCCTGGCCAACCTGGTGAAACACTGTCTCTACTAAAAATACAAAAATTAGCTGGGCGTGGTGGCATGCACCTGTAATCCCAGGTACGCTGGAGGCTGAGAGAGGAGAATTGCTTAAACCCGGAGTCGGAGGTTGCAGTGAGCCAAGATCGCACCATTGCACTCCAGCCTGGGCGACAGAGCAAGACTCTGTCTCAGGGGAAAAAAAAAAAAGAATTAGCATTAAACTCATACATCAAGATTACAGGATATAGAACAGAGATATTCACTCTCAGAAATTTACCCTGCAATAAGAGGAACTGATGTTTTTATCAATCTATGTAACTCAGCAATTATCTACCACATTTTCTTGTGAACATGTATTCATTTTCTACAGCCAAAATGGAAGAGAAATTTTCCTTATTCTTTTCCTTGATAGCTCTCTAAAAGCTAATGCTTGAAATTGTGTTTGAAAACACTCAGGCAAAAAAACACACCTGAGAAGGCTGGGCACGGTGACTCACGCCTGTAATCCCAGCACTTTGGGAGGCCGAGGTGGGCGGATCACCTGAGGTCAGGAGTTCAAGACCAGCCTGGCCAACATGGCGAAACCCCGTGTCTACTAAAAATACAAAAATTAGCTGGGCATGGTGGTGTGCACCTGTAATCCCAGCTACTCAGGAGGCTGAGGAAGGAGAATCGCTTGAACCTGGTAGTCAGAGGCTGCAGTGAGCTGAGAACATGCCACTGCACTCCAGCCTTGGCAACAAAATGAGTGAGACTCCATTTCAAAAAATAAAAAATGTACCTGAGAAAATTTCTAAACTCACAGTGGGGAAAAAAAAGTAAATGAGAATTTTTAACAATGGAATATATGAGTAGGTATTTTTTGAAACCTGTCTATTTTATGTTTTTGTAAATATTTTCTCACCTTTCAAGCTCTACTAATAAAATACAATTTACAGTTTAAAAGAGTCAATATAAGTGAACAAATCTTTTCAAGGTGACAAAACAAAGGAGTGGCAGTGCTGATTAGAAAACAGATGTGTCTGACTCATTCGTCAAGTCAGGCCATCCAATCCCTGGAGAGATTTTCCCACCCCATCCTGCTCACTTAAGTGTCCAATGACCACCTTCTCAGGAGACACTGCATTACGCCCCAATGAGTGCCCCAAGTGCATTTTACTTGGCAAGTTCTTGTACTAGCTCACTGAGATGAGGTTTTTATCTGTCTTTGGGGATACAATTTTTTTTCACAAATCTTGGAGAATCCAGCTGGCAGAAATTATTTCTGTTTTCCCCTCAATACCAGCGTCTGATCGCTGACCAGCAATATGTCTCCAAGAAATGGAAAATGGCTTGGATAAAAACAATCTTAATGTCTCAAAGGGTTAGCTTTTCAAAGGAAGAATACACCAGGAGATCCCTCTAAGCCCCAGGGCATTCACCTTCTTCTTGAGAGGCTACACTCCATACCTCAGCTTGTTCTATAAGAGAAAATGACCCAAGAGCTGATATTAACTCTAGCAGATAGACATGGTGGGTATCTTGGTTTATTCAGATAGTACAGGACCAGGAAAAAACTAAAGGGTAGCTGAGGACACATCACCCCATAAAGTTTACAAAAAACACTGACCCCCAAAGCATTATGATCTCTGTGCTTAGGGAAGATAAAAGAAAAAGAGGCACAGATATTTTTTAAAATACAGTGTCAGGGGATTACTCTTTGCTTTCTTCTCATGGAAAATATTTAAAAACAGAAAACAAATTTTTAAAATGTTTTCAATGTGTTGTCAGTAAATAATTAAAATACAGTATGAAAAATATACACTAAAGGACAAATAGTTCATAATGTGAATTAGGGAAAGAAAGTTGACAGTTCCTTGAAGTAAAGTACTAAATTTTCAGTTCTCGAGATTGTCAGAACTGGAAATTTAGTATGTATTTTTACTTCAAGCCAGAGTTAGGCTGGAGGTAAGGAGAACTGGGGGATACACGGGAGACCCTGCTTGGAACACACGTAAAAAATGCGGGGAAAATCAGTCCTCTGTGGAGTGTGAAAATAGTTAAGTGCCAGGCAATTAGTCTGAGGTGGAAATCTAGGCCCTGGATTCTTGCTTTGAAAAAAAATCTAACTCAAATGCATTTTTTTTTTTTTTGTAAATTACTACATTAGAGGAAACAAAATTCAGGCTTAACCGACTATAAACTGTCAATTAAGCTCCAATTACACAACCAGGAAATTTGTACGTTCAAGGTGGAAAATAAGAAACTGAGGCAGGGAGCACTGACTCATGCCTGTAATCCTACCACTTAGGGAGGCTGAGGCCGGTGGATCACCTGAGGTCAAAAGGTCGAGACCAGCCTGGCCAACATACTGAAACTCTGTCTCTACTAAAAATACAAAAATTAGCCGGGCATGGTGGTGGGCGCCTGTAATTCCAGCTACTTGGGAGGCTGAGGCAGGAGAATCACTTGAACCCGGGAGGTGGAGGTTGCAGATCGTGCCACTGCACTCCAGCTTGGGCGTCAGTGCAGGACTCCGTCTCAAAAAAACAAAACAAACAAACAAACAAAAAAAACTAAGAAGAAGAAAAGAGGAGAGAAACAAACAAACAAAGACAGGAAGACAGAAAGAATATAACTGTACCTAACCAATTATTGAATTTGGGATTTTTGCATCATGCACCTTATCAAAGTCCTTCAAGCCCCTCTTATAAACCAAAAACTACAACCCATAGGGGTGCTCTAAAATTTTTGAACCACTCTTTGATTAAATTATTTAATATTTTTGCAGAGACTGCCTTTTTTTTTTTTTTTTCTAGACAGAGTCTTCTTACTCTGTCGCCCAGGCTGGAGTGCAGTGGCGCGATCTTGGCTCACTGCAACCTCCTCCCAGGTTCAAGCGATTGTCCCGCCTCAGCCTCCCGAGTGGCTGGGATTACAAGCATGCGCCACTATGCCCGGCTTTTTTTTTTTGAGACAGAGTCAAGCTCTGTCACCCAAGCTGGACAGCAAATGGCGTCAGCTCGCCTCACTGCAACCTCCGCCTCCCGGGTTCAAGCGATTTTTCTGCGTCAGCCTCCTGAGTAGCTGGGATTACAGGACCGCGCCACCACGCCCGGCTAATTTTTTGTATTTCTAGTAGAAACGGGGGTTTCACCATGTTGGTCAGGCTGGTCTCGAACTCCTGACCTCGTAATCCGCCCACCTCGGCCTCCCAAAGTGCTAGCATTATAGGCGCAGGCCACTGTGCCAGACTAATTTTTATATTTTTAGTAGAGATGGGGTTTCGCCATGTTGGCCAGGCTGGTCTCGAACTCCTGGCCTCGGGTGATCCGCCCGCCTCGGCCTCTCGAAGTGCTGGGATTACAGGCGTGAACCAAAGCGCCCGGCCTGCCATAAATTTTTAATAGGGGGAAAGATGAACTGGAAACGCAGCGGACTAAAGCCCTTCCCATTCATGAACCCGCTCCCCGAGTCAGGATTCTCCCCTGACTACCCTCCCTTGGTCCCTGCACAATCTGGGAGAGACGCTGCGCTGCGGGAGCAGAGCTGCCCAGAGAGGGCTCCAGGTCAGGGCACAGTCACTGGGCGGGGAAGAGACAAGACGCCCGGGGGCCGGCTGTCAGCGAAGCCGCCATCTTATGGCTGAAGGGGACTGAGGCCCAGCTGGGCAAGGAGAACTCAGGGCGCAGTTTGTGGAGATGACTGCGGGGAGGCCCGAGTCCGCCACAGCCACTTCCCACAGGTTTCAACCAGCCCCTCCCTCTCTCTCCGGATGTCGGAGCCGCCACTCTCACCATTTCTAGGCTTCCAGGGGAGGCCCTGGCGTCTTAGCTGTGGATCTCCCAATGCTTGCAGGTCAGAGGGCCACAGAGGCTGGGCCTCTAAGAGCAGGGGACACAAAGCAGGGAAGACGAGACCAAGCGCTCCAGCTGCAGCGAGAGACAAAGGCCCCGCCAAATCCCGGAAGCCGCCCTGTCCGCTCCAGTTGCGTGCCTGATTGGACGGTCCCCAGCTCAGGGTCCCTGATTGGAAAACGTCTAAGGCCCAGCCCCTTCAGGCCTTAAGTGACAGAAGACCTGACCAAACGCTGGACTGAATGAAGAAAGAGTGACAGCCTAAGCTGCAGCGTTTTCAGGCAGGGCTTCCTCCCTGAGCTTAGCCCACCCCGGAGGGTATTTGCATTTGACCTCGTGTATGAGGTTTCATGTATTTATAAATAACATACTATACGGCTATTCACAAATGAAAAATATATAATAACAATAATTTTAAAATTTCAGTTTTTATGATCTTCCTGGCTTCTGGCATTTGAGCAAGCAGCCTGAGACTTTTTTAAAAAGGCAATCCTCTGAAATAAAATATAAGCCACATGTGAATTTTGAATTTTCTAGTAGCCAACTTTAAAAAGAAACAAGAAAAAGGTGGAGTTGATTGTAACAATTTAACTTACCCAATATATCCAAAATATTATCAGTTTAATATGTGAGCAATAATTATATATGTATATACATGTATATGTATGTATATATGTATATATGTGTGTATATATGTATATATGTATGTGTGTATATATGTATATATATGTGTGTGTGTATATATATATACATATATATATATATATATATATATATATATATATATATCACTAAATCTTTGAAACTCACTCTGTATTTTACCATTCCAGCACATCGCAGTTTAGACCAGCGACATTCCAGGCACCCAGGAGCCACACGTGGCCAATAGCTGCCATATTGAAGTGCAGCTGCGATGTCAGCTGAGTGAAGGGCCTGGACATCAGAGGTGGGGGAAAGCCTCTTCCTACCAACATCTCTTCAGTTCCCAGGGTGGAACAGATAGTGGCCATAAAAGAGCAGAAGGCAGCAAGAATAAAATAACCACACATAGACCACTGCTGGCCACCTGTTGACCACCTTCCTTCCAGATTAAACAGTGAACAACAAGTGATGGGGTGACAGGAGAAGTAAACTCTATGTCTTCATATCTGTCCAGTCTTTTTTGAGACAGACTTTCACTCTTATTGCCCAGGCTGGAGTGCAGTGAAGTGCAATGGCAGGATCGCGGCTCACCACAACCTCCACCTCCCAGGTCCAAGCAATTCTCCTACCTCAGCCTCCCAAGTAGCTGGGATTACAGGCACGTGCCACCACACCCAGCTAATCTTTTGTATTTTTATTAGAGACAGGGTTTCTCCATGTTGGTCAGGCTGGTCTTGAACTCCCGACTTCCGGTGATCTGCCGGCTCCCACCTCCCAAAGTGCTGGAATTACAGACGTGACCCACCACGCCCGGCCTTTTTTTTTTTTTTTTGAGACAGACTTGCTCTGTCACCCAGGCTGGAGTGCAGTGGCACGATCTTGGCTCACTGCAACTTCCACCTCTTGGGTTCAAGCAATTCCCTGCCTCAGTCTCCTGAGTAGCTGACATTACAGGCGCCCACCACCACGCCGAGCTAATTTTTGTATTTTTAGTAGAGACAGAATTTCTCCATCTTGGCCAGGCTGGTCTTGAACTACCGACCTCATGATCCACCCGCCTCAGCCTCCCAAAGTGCTGGGATTACAGGCATGAGCCCAGCCTTGTCCACAGTCTTGACCTCCAATGTTTATATATGAAGAAAACAGATTAAAGGCAAACTTATTTTGCTATTTGACCTTGGCCCTAATGGTCAGGCTGTGGTTATCTGTTTTATTTTGTGGTGTGGGGGGGTCTGTGTAAGTACAAATCACATGCATAAATGTCTACGTGTATTTCTGCATTACTCAGCATTATCTTACAAGACATCCAACTTTCTTTTTATTTATTTATTTTGAGACAGAGTCTCACTCTGTTACCCAGGCTGGAGTGCAGCAGCGCAATGCGACCTTGGCTCACTGCAACCTCCACCTCCCGGGTTCAAGCTATTCTCCTACTTCTGCCTCCCCAGTAGCTGGGATTATGGGTGCGTGCCACCACGCCCAGCTGATTTTTTTTGTATTTTTAGTAGAGACAGTGTTTCACCATGTTAACCAGGATGGTCTTCATCTCCGGACCTCGTGATCTGCCCACCTCGGCCTCCCAAAGTGAGCCACCGTGCCCGGCCAAGACATCCAACTTTAAATCAGAAATAAAAAATTAGAGGCTGGGCACGGTGGTTCAGGCCTGTAATCCCAGCACTTTGGGAGGCAAGGCAGGTGGATCACGAGGTCAGAAGATCAAGACCATCCTGACTAACACGACGAAACCCCGTCTCTACTAAAAATACAAAAAATTAGCTGGGCGAGGTGGTGGGCGCCTGTAGTCCCAGCTACTCAGGAGGCTGAAGCAGGAGAATGGCGTGAACCCAGGAGGCGGAGCTTGCAGTGAGCCGAGATGGTGCCACTGCACTCCAGCCTGGGCGAGACTGTGAGACTCCATCTCAAAAAAAAAAAAAAAAAAAAAGTTTGTGACTTATGTATAATCTTTAATAAGGCGACTTTAAAATTATTGGTAAAGTAGTATCAGCAATGTCTTAAATATTGTTAGCATTTTGTTAACTTTTTTGAGATGTAGTCTCACTCTGCCGCTCAGGCTGGAGTGCAGTGGCGCGATCTTGGCTCACTGCAAGCTCCCCCTCCCGGGTTCAAGCAGTTCTCTGCCTCAGCCTCCCGAGTAGCTGGTATTACAGACGCCTGCCACCATGCCTGGCTAATTTTTGTATTTTTAGTAGAGACGGAGTTTCACCATCTTGGCCAGGCTGGTCTTGAACTCCCGACCTTGGGACCCACCCGCCTCGGCATCCCAAAGTGCTGGGATTACAGGTGTGAGCCACTGCGTCTGGAACATTTTTTTAATCAAGGGGTTTTTGGCCAGGCTCAGTGGCTCATGTCTATAATCCCAGCACTTTGGGAGGCCAAGGTGGGTGGATCACTTGAAGTCAGGAGTTCGAAACCAGACTGGACAACATGATGAAACCCTGTCTCTACTAAAAATACCAAAAGTTGGCCAGGTACCATTGTGCATGACTGTAATCCCAGCTACTCAGGAAGCTGAGGGAGGAGAATGGCTTTAACCCAGGAAGCAGAGGTTGCAGTGAGCCGAGATTGCACCACTGTACTCTACCCTCACTGACAGAGTGAGATTCTGTCTCAAAAAAAAATCAAGTGGTTTTATGATTCCTCCAACAATACTATAAGATTTGCCCTAAGGGTTACAAATGATAAAGCCCAGCACATGACAGAATAACCTTTGCTTGCATATGCTTATAAAATATTGTTGGCTTAATGAAAACAGCTAAATTGTACACTTTTGGTATAAACTTTTTTTTTTTTTTAGAATGGTATGAGGTCACAGGTTGGTTTAAGAGTGTGCCCTTTCTTAAGGATGATATGCATGGAAAGGCCAAAAGCAATTTCAGGATACCAAAAAAACTTCCCCTAATTGGCACTTTAACTAGTGAGGCTGGGGTGGAAGAGCTTTTCATTGACATTCCCCTTTATTTAACAATTTATTTAGTTGAATCAAATAAGGTACTCCTTTTACTTTTACAAAGCCCGGATGGCTTCTCTACCATCCAAGGAGGTAAGAAGTTAAACTGAGAGTTTTGATTGTTTTTGTTTTTTGAGATGGAATCTTGCTCTGTCACCCAGGCTGGAGTGCAGTTGCTTGATCTCGCCTTACTGCAGCCTCTGCCTCCCAGGTTCCAGCGATTCTCTTGCTTCAGCCTCCTGAGTAGCTGGGATTACAGATGCTCACCTCCACACCCAGCTAATTTGTGTATTTTTAGTAGGGACGGGGTTTCACCATTTTGGCTGGGCTGGTCTTGAACTCCTGACCTTAGGCGATCTGCCTCCCAAAGTGCTGGGATTACAGGGATGAGCCACCACGCCCAGCCAGCTGAGAGTTTTAATCCTCTATTACACAATTGGTTTCTCTGGCAATCAATCCTGGTCCTGAGGCTGTCCAGAAGCCTCCAGCCAGAAATCATCTCATTAACATACAAAAGATGCTTCTCTTTTCAGACATTCTAAAGATTTTAGGGGCTGCATACAAAGAAACTGAGACAAACTAAATACTGACATTGATAAGAGCCTCCAGACCTGGCTCAGCTCTGGCAGTCTCTGGAAAGCTTTGCTTTACTCACCTCCTTTTAATTAGAACCTACCCCCAATAACCCTGTGGACATTCTTTATAGCAGCGGCATGTTCTGGCATTTCACATCTTTGATATAATCTTGGTGTTTGTTGTTTACTTCCTTATACTTTTGTTCCGGGGAGCTATGTCTTGTTTACACTATATTCCCAGTGCCAATCACAGGCCTCAGCCCATGGCAGGTGCTCAATGAATAGTTGTTTAATCAATGCACAATGGCATTGTCTGTAAAAGGGAAGCAAGGAGTAGGTTAGAGCACAGTTTAGCTCAGCCACTTCCTATCTGGCTGACTTTGGGCAAGTTCCTGAATTTTTTCTTCTTTCAGTCACCTTGTCTGTGACACGAGGAATCATTAAACTTACCTACAGAGTTTCTGCTGATGAAGATTTAATGAGCAAAAATATCTAAATGGCTTTGAAACACTGGCTGGCACAGCAAGAGTGCTCCACACATCAACTGTGTCGACTAAGGGTCAAACTCTTTAAAATATTTGAAGAAATTTATTGAGTCAAATATGAGTGACCATGCCCCATGACACAGCCCTCAGAAGGTCCTGAGGACATGTGGCAAAGGTGTTCTTCAAAGTGTTCATTATTAAGGCATCCATCTCCCATAACTTCAATGCACTTTGCTAAACAATGCATTATTTCTGAGGACATCTGAATCTGTTTCTGTACCAATGGTCTTAATCAGAACATCACATAAATTGCCACATCTGTGTGAGATACTCAGGACCACGGACTCTCACACACTCCAGAAGAAAAGGCACGGATTCTGCTGCTGCCCCTCCAACACCATTGTGGAAATAAAATTTCAGTAAAGGGACCACCAGTTTGACAACCTGCTTGGTGTACTCCACAAAGCAGTCAAATCAGCTATGTGCTGCAAAAGGTCACTTTTTTTTTCTTTGAGATGGAGTCTCCCTGTCACCCAGGCTGGAGTGCAGTGGCGCAATCTCGGCTCACTGCAATCTCCGCCTACCTGGTTCAAGCGATTCTCCTGCCTCAGCCTCGTGGGTGGCTGGAACTACAGGCGCCTGCCACCACGCCCAGCTAATTTTTGTGTTTTAAGTAAGATGGGGGTTTCACCATGTTGGCCAGGCTGGTCTCGAACTCCTGACCTCAGGTATCCACTCGCCTCGGCCTCCCAAAGTGCTATGATTACAGGTGTGAGCCACCGAGCCTGGCCAAGGTCACAATTCTTCCTGTGAGCAGAGACCAGGTAACAGAAGAAAATCACATCACCTGTGTGAGTGGTGCAAAGACAATGTCCTCTGGTGCCAGGACCCAGGCATAAAAGTTACATCACCTGGATGTTGGACCCAGCAATATGTCACAATGGCCCAAGTAGGCAGAGACAGAAGAGTCAGATAATGTCAGTGCAGGGCCCAGCAATGTCACAAAGTCTCCTGCAGGCAAAACCTAAAAGAAGAGAAAAGTGCTGGGCATAGCAATATGCTACAATGTTCCTGTAAGCAGGGACCAGGCAGAAGAAGACAGTCACATCGCCTAGATGCTGGGCCTAGTGATATGTCAACCATCTTTTCTGTAATAAAGACCCAAGCAGGAGAAACACATCACCTGGTTGCTGGCCACAGAAATGTGCCACAATTTTCCCTGTAAGCAGGGTGCTGGCAAAAGAGGAGAGTCACATCTCCTAGGTAATAACTGTGACATACCTGTGCAGAAGTATGTCACAATGCCCCCTTCAGGAAGGGGCCAGGTAGAGAACTCCCGTCCCTTAGGTGTTGAGCCCAGTGTCACATTTGGGTATGTCACAATACCCAAATATGTGGGGCCTGAGAAAAAGAGGAGAGTCACATCACCAAGATGCTAGGCCAATGGTATGTCACAATTTCCCTGTGAGCAGAGACCAGGCAGGAGAAGAGTAACATTACCATGGTTATGGGCATTCAGTTATGTCACAAAGCCCCCTGTAGTCAAGGCCCAGGAAAATGTTACATCACTTGGGTGTTGAGCCCAGCAATATGTAATGATGTCTAATGTGACACATTGTGCTGCAATATGGCACAACATGCAGGACATAGGTTGGAGAGTCACATAACATGGGTACAGGATCCAGCAATATTTGACAATACCCAAAATTTGTGGTGTCCAAAAAGAAGAGTCACATCACTGAGATGCTGGGTCCAGTGACACATCACAATCTTCACTTTGGGTTGAACCAAGGCAGGAACATCAAACCACTCAGGTGTGTAACAAAGACATATGTCACAATCACACCTGCAGGAAGGTCCAGTAATTAAAAATCCTGCACATGTCCCAGTTCTAGGTATCAGAGTATGTTGGGTCTAAGTATGCTAGTGACAATCTCACCAACTGGATCTGTGCATGAGAGCTGAGAGCCTTCATCCCTTCCATGAACTGTTTGGCCCTAAGCCCAGGTAGGAGAGTCAACATGTCCCCCAGCCAATTAGGGACATGTTGACTATCCTACCTAGGCTTAGACAGGTAGAATTCTCACCTATGAACTGGATTTAGAAATAAGTCATTATTTCAACTCTAGCCAGATGTTCACATATGACAGTCACAATTTTAACTGTAGACTGTGTGTGTGTGTGAGATTCAGGGCCTCACCAGTGGGCTCTGTCCATGTGTGAGGGTGACAATTCTAACAGTTGGTGGGGAGTGTATATGAGAAACAATCTCATCTGTATGCTGAACCCTGTAATGACACTCTCTGTACCACAAGAGATTTATACAGTATGCAAGAAAGTGGCAATTCTTCATGACCTTTGTACAAGGAGACCCAGAATCATATTCATGACTCTAGGCCTAGCTGTTAAGAGACAGCATCTTGGGCTGGGCACAGTGGTTCATGCCTGTAACCCCAGCACTTTGGAAGGCCGAGGTGGGCAGATCACCTGAGGTTGGGAGTTCGAGACCAGCCTAACCAACATAGAGAAACCCCATCTCTACTAAAAATACAAAATTAGCTGGGCGTGGTGGCACATGCCTGTAATCTCAGCTACGTGGGAGGCTGAGGCAGGAGAATCGCTTGAACCTGGGAGGCAGAGGTTGTGGTGGGCAGAGATCACGCCATTGCACTGCAGCCTGGGTAACAAGAACAAAACTGTCTCAAAAAAAAAAAAAAAGAAAAAAGAGAGCGAGAGCAAGAGAGAGCATCTCTCCTATTAAATACTGTGAGGTATGAGAGTAATCATTGCATCTGTGATCTAGGTCAAGATATATTTTACAGGCCAGGCGCAGTCACTCACACCTGTAATCCCAGCACTTTGGGAGGCTGAGGCAGGTGCATCACCTGAGGTCAAGAGTTTGAGATCAGCCTCACCAACATTGGGAAACCCTATCTCTAATAGAAATACAAAAATTAGCCAGGTGTGGTGGCTAGCTACTAAGGAGGCTGAGGCAAGAGAATTGCTTGAACCCAGGAAGCGGAGGTTGCAGTGAGCCAAGATCATGCCACTGCACTCCAGCCTGGGTGACAAAATGAAACTGTCTCAAAAAAAAAAAGATATATTTTACAATCCTGCCTATGAATAGGGAGAGAGGAGAGTCACATCATCTGGGTTTTTAGCCAGGAATATGACACAACCTTTTTTTTTTTTTTTTTTTTTTTGAGATGGAGTTTTGCTCTTGTTGCCCAGGCTGGAGTGCAATGGCACAGTCTTGGCTCACTGCAACCTCCGCCTCCTAAGTTCAAGTGACTGCTGTGCCTCAGCCTCTCAAGTAGCTGGGACTACAGGTGCATACCACCACGCCTGGCTAATTTTTGTAATTTTTTTCCCAAGATGGAATCTTGCTCTGCTGCCCAGGCTGGAGTGCAGTGGCATGATCTTGGCTCACTGCAACCTCCACCTCCCGGGTTCAAGCAATTCTCCTGCCTCAGGCTCCCGAATAGCTGAGTTTACAGGTGCCCGCCACCACACCCGATTAATTTTTGTATTTTTAGTAGAGACGGGGTTTCACCATGTTGGCCATCTGGTCTCAAACTCCTCAGGCGATCCACCCACCTCGGTCTCCCTAAGTGCTGGGGATTACTGGCATGAGCCACCGGGCCCGGCTTGACACAACCTTTTCTGAGGGCAGAGATCAGTCAGGAGTGTGACTGCATACTCAGCCAGGAATAAGTTACAACCTTCTCCTGAAAGCAGCACACAGGCAGCAGAGTCACATCACCTGGGTGCTGAGCCCAGCAATCAGTAACAATGCTCTCTGTGGTCCAGGCCCAGGCAGCAGAGACACATCACCTGGTACCTGGGCCAGCCACAATTTTTTCTGTGGGGCACGTACAGGCAAAAATGGAGCATCACATCTCCTAGGTTATTGATGCAGAGGTATGTCACAAGGCCCTCTGTAGAAAGAGCCCAGGTGGTAGTCTCCCATTTTATAGGTGTTGGACCTAGTAATATGTCTTAACATGAAAAATATTCAGGGCCTAAGCAAAAAAGGAGAGTCACATAACCTGAGTGCAGGGCTTAGGAATATGTCACAATGCAACATGTGGGCAGCTCCAAGGCTGGAAAAAAGAGTCACATCTTGGAGGTTCAGAGTCAAGCCATATGTCACAATCTCATTTGTGTGCTTGGCCAAGGCAGGAGAGTCAAATCACTAAGGTGCTTTGCAATGCACACAATCACACCTGCAGGAAAGTCCAGGGATTAGATTAGAAATTCCAAACATGTCCAGGTTCTAAAGGTATGAAAGTCAACACCTCCTGTATGTTGGGTCTAAGTACATGAGTCGCAATCACAATGATTGACAGAATGTGTGCAAAAGAGCCACAGTTTCTTCTGCAGACTGTATCTTCTTAGTGTAGTCACAGCCTTACATGTGCGCTGAACCTTGGTCTGGAAGTCACTAACCCACCTGTGGACCAGATCCACACATGAGAGGCAATTATCCAACTTTTGACAGCCTCTGTGAAATTCAGAACTTCAACAGTGGGATGTGTTTATGTGGGAGAATGACAATCTTTACTGTTGCCTGGGTGTGCATTCGAGAGACACTCTGTGTCACCTGAGGACTTTATACAATATGCAAGATTGATAATCCTCTATGACCTTTGCACAAGGAGCTCCAGAATCTTTCCTGTGGTTCTAAGCCCAGATATGAGAGTCAACATCTCTCTCACCAACTGAGTCCAGATAGGAGAGTCTTCACCTTCCTATGAGCTGGATTTAGAAATGAGTCACCATCCCAACTGTAGCCAGATGTTCACATATGACAGTCACAATTCCAACTGCGGACTGTGTTCACATGTAATTCAGAACCTCACTAGCAGACTCTGTCAATGGGTCAGGGTGACAACTGTAAAGGTTGGTGTAGTGTGCATAGGACAAACACAATCTCACTTGTGTGCTGGGCCCTGTTATGACATTCTCTGTAACACACTAGGGCGTAATATATGTGAGAGAGTAGTAATTCTTTATGACTTTTGTACAGAAAGACTTCCTCATTTTCCTAAGCCTGAGAGCAACATTCTCTCTGCTATTGGCTTCTTCAAGGTATGACAGTCATCATTACATCTGTACGCTTGGCCAGATATATGTCACAATCCTACCTGTATGTAAAGAGCAAATTCAAGAGTTACATGAACTGTGTGTTGGGCCAGGGCTATGTCACAATCCTCCCTGAGGGCAGGCATCAAACAGGAGAATCACATCACTGGGGGCTTGACCAGGGATGTTACAATCCCTCCTGAAAGCAGGGCACAGGTAGAAGAGTGAGATCCCTTGGGTGCTGGGCCCAGATATGACAGACAAAACGACTGGTTGCTGGGCCCAACAATATGTCAAAATCTTCCCTGTGGGCAGAATGCAGGCAAAAATACAGAGTTTTATCTCCTGCATGATGGATGCAGAAATACATCACAAAGCTGGGTGCAGTGGCTCACAACTGTAATCCCAGCATTTTGGGAGGCCAAGGCAGGTGGATCACCTGATTTCAGGAGTTTGAGACCAGCCTGACCAACATGGAGAAACCCCGTCTCTATTAAAAATAGAAAATTAGCCGGGCATGGTGGCAGATGCCTGTAATCCCAGCTACTCGGGAGGTTGAGGCAGGAGAACTGCTTGAACCCGGGAGGCGGAGGTTGCGGTGAGCCAAGGTTGCGCCACCGCATGCCAGTCTGGGCAACAATAACAAAACTCCATCTCAAAGAAAACAAAAAACAAACAAAAAAACATCACAAGGCCTCCTGTGGGAGGGACTCAGGCAGGAGCCTTCCAACCCCTAGGTGTTTGTTCCAGTTGTATATCACAATGTCTAAAATATGCAGGTCTCAGGCAAATGAGGAGAGTCATATCACCTAGGTGCTGGGTCCAGTGATCTGTCACAATCTTTTCTTTTGGCAGGCCTGAAGCAGAAGAGTCACGTTACCTAGATAATGAATAAAGAGATGTGTTATTTCCGTGGGAGCATCCATGCAGGACAGTCACATCACCTTGGTGTTGGACCCAGAGACATGTTGCAACACACAATGTATGCAGGTCCCAAGCAGAAGAGGAGAGTCATATCACCTAGGTTCTTGGTCCAGAAATATTTCATGATATTTCTGGAGGGGAGGGCCTAGGCAAAGAAGTCACATTACCTAAGTGAGAGGCCTAAAGATATGTCACAATGCCTCCTGCGGGTAGGGCTCATAAACAAGAGGAGAGTCACATAACGTAGGTGCTGGGCTCAGCTTTATGTTACAATCATCCCAGTAGGAAGGGCCCAAGCATGAAAGAAAAGTCACATCACATAAGAGCTACGTCAAGCGATGTATCACAATTCCCACTGTGGACCCCAGAAGAGGAGTCACATCATCTAGGTGATGGGCCCAAACATATATCACAGTGACTTGTGTGTGCAAGGACCAAGCAGAATAATTACATCACTGGTGTGCTTGGTCCAGTGATAAGTCACTCTCTATTCTGTGGGCACGGCCCAGGCAGTAGAGGAGTGTCAAATCACGTAGGTAAAAGAGGGCATTTATCTGTGCTTTTCCCACAGGAGAGATTGCAGTGGGTCAACAGATAGGTCACAATGCTTCCTGTGATCAGGGTTCAGGCAGGGAACTCACATCATCTTGGTGCTGGGCACAGCAGTATGTCTCAATGCCTTCCAAGGGCACAGCCAAAGCAAATAACTAACATCACCTTAGTGTTAGGCCCAGCAATATGTCACAATCTCCTTTGTTGTCAGAACCTAGAATAAAGAAAAGTCACATCAGCTAGGTGCTGGGCCCAATATGTCCCAATACCCCCTGTGAGTACAGAACAGGGAGGAATAAAAAGTCACATTTCCTGGGTGATTGGTGAAGACATATATTACAATGCCCTCTGTAGACAGGTCCAGGGTGAAGCGTTACATCACCTGGGTGTTGCACTCAGCAATGTTACAATGGCCTATGTGTTTAGGGCACAAGCAAGAGTCACATAACATACGCCCAGCAATATGTCACAATACACCTGTGGGCAGCACCAAGGCAGAAGAGGAGACTCAAATCACCTAGGTGCAATGCCCAGCGATGTCACAATGACCCCTGTGGGCTGTATCAAGGCAGAATAGAATCACATTACCAAGGGTCTGGATCCAGTGATATGGCACTGTGAGCTGGACCCAGGAAACAACAAATAACTCAGATGCTAGGCCAAGGTATATGTCACAATTACACTTGTCAAAAGGCCTTGCGATGACATTAACAATTACACACATGTCCTGAGTCAAGGGATGAGAGTCAACACCTCCTGCATGTTGGGTGTAAGTACAGGGTGGACTGGATTTGTGCGAGAGCCTCAATTTCCTTTGCAAATTGTGTGCCTTAGACTGGGCACGGTGGCTCACACCTGTAATCTCAGCATTTTGGGAGGCCGAGGTGGGCGGATCACTTGAGGTCAGGAGTTCAAGACCAGCCTGACCAACATGGTAAAGCCCCATCTCTACTAAAAATACAAAAAATTAGCCAACATGGTAGTGAGCACCTGTAATCCCAGCTACTTGGGAGAATCAGGCAGGAGAATCGCTTGAACCCAGTAGGCAGAGGTTGCAGTGAGCGGAGATCACGCCACCGCACTCCAGCCTGGGTTACAAGAATGAAACTTCATCTCTAAATAAATAAAGCTCCTTAGTGAAGTTACAGTCACAAAGGTGTGCTGAATTTTGATTAAAGAGTCACCCAAATGTGGACAAAATCCACACAAATGAGAGTCAATTTTCCAACATTCAACTGCCTCCAAAAGTGAGATTCAGAACCTCAAAAGTAGGGTGTGTTTAAGTAAATGACAATCTTTGCTATTGACTGGGTGTGAATGTAAGTTTGACAATCTCACCTGTGTGCTTGGCCCTGTAAGGGCACTCTCTTGAGGACTGTATGAGTTGCAACCTACTCTGAGAACTTTGCGCTGCTTTGGACCCATGATCTTATGTGGTCCTAAGTCTAGGTATGGGTCAACATCTCTTCAATTGGCTGGGTCCAGAGAGGAGAGTCCTCACTCACCTATGAGCTGGGTTTAGAAATGAGTCACCATCTCAACTGTGGCCACGTTTACATATGATAGTTACAATTTTAACTGTGGACTGCATCTGTGCATGAGAATTATGACCTCATCAGTGGACTTTCACCATGTGTGACGATGACAATTCTAAAAATTGTCAGGGAGCGCTTACATGAAACATGATCTAACCTGTTTGCTGGGTCCTATGATGACATGCTCTGTATCATCTGAGTGCTTTATACAATATATGAGAGTGGTGATTCGCTATAACCTTCATGCAGAGAGGAGACCTGAGATTTTACTCCTTTTTCTAAGCCTAGCTGTGAGAGACACTATCTCTTCTATTGACTGGTATGAAGTATTAGAGTCATCATCAAACCTGTGAGCTGGGATGAGATATATGTTACCAATCAACTTGTTGGCAGAAAGCACCCAGGAGAGTCGCATCACCTGGATGCTGGGCCACTGATATGTAAATTTTTTCCCTGAGGGCTGTGAAAAGCCAGGAGAGTCACATCATCTGGGTTTTCAACCAGTGACATGTTACAACTTTCTCCTGAAAGTTATGTACATTCAGGTGAGACACAACAGCTGGCGGCCAGGCCCTGCAGTGTCACAATCTTTCCTGTGGGCAGGGTACAGGCAGAAAAGGTATCACATGTTTTATGTAATGGATGCAGATATATGTCCAGATATATGTGGACAGGGCTGAGGCAGGAGCCTCCCATTTTTTAGGTGTTTGGCCCAGTGAAATGTCACAATACCCAAAATAAGTGGTTGCTAGACAGAAGAGTCTCATCACCTAAGTTCTGGTTTAAGTGATATGTCACAATCTTTCTTTTTGACAGGGTTCAGGGAGGAAAGGAGTCATATCACTGAGATGAACAAAAATAAATGTCCTAATAACCCCATGCTCAAGGTCCATGTGAGAGAGTTGAATCACCCATGTGTTGAACCCAGTGACATGTCAAAATATACAATTTATGCAGGGCCCAGGCAGGAGAAGACAGTACCTTCACCTAGGTGTCAGGCCCAGTGATACATCACAATACCTTCTGTGACAGAGTCCAAGCAGTGGAGAAGAGTCACATTACCTAGGTGCTGAGTCAAAAAATATGTCACAAAAATCACTGAAGGGAGGGCCCAGGCAGGAGTCAAACTACGTAAATTAGGGGCTCAGAGATATGTTGCAATGACCTCTGTGGGTTGGACTCAGGAGAAACAGGAGAGACACATAACCTAGGAGCTGAGTACAGCTATATGACATAATCACCCAATTTGATAAGCCCAGGCAAAAGAAGAGAGTCATATCACATAAGTGCTGGGCCAAGTGATGTGTCACAATCCTCATTATGGACAGTTCCCAGAAAGAAAAGGAGAGTTACATCATCTAGGTGATGGGTCTAGATATGTCACAATAAGCCATGTGGGCTGGGATCATGCAGAAGAATCGAATCACTTGTGTGTTAAGCCTAGTGATAAGTCACTCTTTTCTGTGGGCATGGACCAGGCAGGGTAGGACAGTCATAATATCTAGGTGCTGGGCCCAGAGATAGGTCACAATCTCTACTATTAGCAAAGCCCACGTAAGAAAAGAGTCGCCGGGCACAGTGGCTGATGCCTGTAATCCCAGCACTTTGGGAGGCCGAGGCAGGCAGATCACCTGAGGTCAGAAGTTTGAGACCAGCCTGACCAACATGGAGGAATCCTTCTCTACTAAAAATACAAAAAATTAGCTGGGCATGGTGGCAGGCACCTGTAATCCCAGCTACTTGGGAGGCTGAAGCAAGAGAATTGATTGAACCCGGGAGGCGGAGGTTGTGGTGAGCCAAGATCATGCCACTGCACTGCAGCCCAGGCGACAGTGCAAGACTCTGTCTCAATTAAAAAAAAACAAACAAAACAAAAAACCCCAAAAAAACACAAAGGAAAAAAAAACAACAAAGCTCTACTGTGTACTAAATATTTCACAAAATATTTTTTCTTTTTTTTTTTTTTTGTTTTTTTTTGAGATGGAGTTTTACTCGTTGCCCAGGCTGGAGTGCAATAGTGTGATCTCGGCTCACTACAACCTCTGCCTCTCAGGTTCAAGCGATTCTCCTGACTCAGCCTCCCGAGTAGCTGGGACTAGAGGCACCCACCACCATGCCCAGCTAATTTTTATATTTTTAGTAGAGACAGGGTTTCACAATGTTGGCCAGGCTGGTCTTGAACTCCTGACCTTGTGATCCACCCACCTCAGCCTCCCAAAGTGCTGGGATTACAGGCATGAGCCACTGCATCTGGCCCAGAAAATTTTCATAAACAGGGGCAAATATTATTACTTCTCATAAATTATTGTTGTATTGTGCATTAATATATAAAAAATTGCTAGGATAAAATTTAGTAGTCAATATAGCCCAAGAAAGATTGTTGCCAGGCATGGTGGCTCATGCCTGTAATCTCAGCAATTTGGGACTCCAAATGATCCCAAAGGATCACTTAAAGTGAGGAGTTCCAGACCAGCCTGGCCAACATGGTGAAACGTCTCTATTTAAAAAAAAAAAAAAAAAAAAAAAAAAAAAAAAAAAAAATCAGCCAGGCGCAGTGGCTCACGCCTATAATACCAGCACTTTGGGAGGCCGAGGCGGGTGGATCACAAGGTCAGGAGATCGAGACCATCCTGGCTAACAAGGTGAAACCCCGTCTCTACTAAAAATACAAAAAATTAGCCGGGCGTGGTGGCGCCTGTAGTCCCAGCTACTCAGGAGGCTGAGGCAGGAGAATGGCATGAACCTGGGAGGCAGAGCTTGCAGTGAGCCGAGATGGTGCCACCGCACTGCAGCCTGGGCGACAGAGCGAGACTCCGTCTCAAAAAAACAAAAACAGAAACAAAAACAAACAGAAAAAACATTAGCCAGGCTTTGTGGCGCGTACCTGTAATCCCAGCTACTCAAAATGCTGAGGCAGAAGAATCACTAAAACCTGGGAGACAGCAGTTGCAGTGAGCCAAGATCGCGCCACTGCACCCCATCTTGGGTGACAGAAGATGACTGTCTCAAAAAAAAAAAAAAAAAATTGTTGCCATTCTTGCTATAATGCTATAAACCTGTAAATTCTATAAAACTCTCAATTTCATATTCTCCATGAATTCTTACAGGCACACACCTGTAATCCCAGCTACTTGAAAAGCTGAGACAGAAGTATTGCTTGAACCCTGAAGACAGAGGTTTGCAGTGAGCCGAAATTGTGCCACTGCACTCCAGCGTGGGGAATAGGCAAGACTCTTTCCCAAAAAAAAAAAAAAAAAAAAAAAAACACAGAAACATAAGCCCAACCCCGGATCTCTTGAATGAGAATCTGCATCTCAAGATGATCTCCAGTTTATTGTTGCACATGATACAATTTGCAAAGTGTGCTTCTAAATCACTGACTTTTCTACCTGATAATTATACACAGCTGATTCTGGATGATTTAAAATAGCACTCAGGCCAGGTGCGGTGGCTCACACCTGTAATCCCAGCACTTTGGGAGGCCGTGGTGGGCAGATCACAAGGTCAAGAGATCAAGACCATCCCGGCCAACATGGTGAAACCCTGTCTCTACTAAAAATACAAAAATTAGCTGGGTGTGGTGGCCTGCGCCTGTAGTCCCAGCTACCTGGGAGGCTGAGGCAGGAGAATGGCTTGAACCCGGGAGGCTATGTTGCAGTGAGCCGAGATCACGCCACTGCACTCCAGCCTGGTGACAGAGCGAGACTCTGTCTCAAAAAAAAAACGTAAAAATAAATTTAAAAATATAAAAAATTAGCCAGGTGTGCTGTTGCACATGTAATCCCAGATACTCGGGAGGCTGAGGTAAGAGAATTGCCTGAACCTGGGAGGTGGAGGCTGCAGTGAGCTGAGACTGTGCCACTGCACTCCAGCCTAGGCAACAGGGCAAAGACCTCGTCTCAAACAAACCAACAAACCAACAAACAAACCAGGCTGACTTCTGCGTAAAATATTCCCTGATCTAGCATCTACTTTCACCATGTTCTATCCCTCCCCTTCCCACTTTTTTTCTGACTTTGTTTTCTCTTCCTTATGAAAGAAAGTCCTTTTCTCTCTAACCTTTAAAATTCTCCAACATCTTATAATTGGTGCTTTCCCCTTGTTGCAATACTCCTTTAAAATTAAGTAACTTCATTAGCTGGGCATGATGGCGGGTGCCTGTAATCCCAGCTACTTGGGAGACTGAGGCAGGAGAATTGCTTGAACCCGGGAGGCGGAGGTTGCAATGAGCCAAGATCACCCCATTGGACTCGAGCCTAGGGAACTGAGCGAAATGCCATCTCAAAAAAAAAAAAACAAAAAATTAAGTAACTTCTTACCAAGCACAGTGGCTCACACCTGTAATTTCAGCACTTTGGGAGGCTGAGGTGGGTGGATCACCTGAGGTCCAGAGTTTGAGAACAGCCTGACCAACATGGTGAAACCCCATCTCTACTAAAAATACAAAAATTAGCCAGGCATCAGGGCGCCTGTTTGTAGTCCTAGCTACTAGGGAGGCTGTGGCAAGAAGATCGCTTGAATCTAGGAGACAGAGGTTGCAGTGAGCCGAGATTGCACCACTGTACTACATCCTGGGTGAGAGAATGAGACTCAAAAAATTAAGTAACTTCTTACCTAAATCTAAATTTGTCATATTTTACAAAATCTAGAAACAACCTCAGAATAATAACAACTCTATTCCCAGAAAGAGCTTCCCAACCCCACTTTTGTGCCAATCCCAACTGCATCTGCCTGTGGATTTCGAGGTTTTCAGGGCTCCGTGGCTTCTCTAAGTATAAATGCTCTGTCCATGGCTATTGTGAGCAGGCCAGAACATCTGCAGGGGAGGCTCCTCAGGCAGAACTGGCTGCTCCTTCAATGATCTCACTTTACAGGCAAAGCTGTCCTTAGCTTGCAGTCACTGAGTTCAGGCTTCTACTTACCAGTCAGGGTTACTCACTTAGTTTTAAATAAGAAAATGACCAATGTAAGGCCAGGTGCGGTGGTTCAATGCCTGTAATCCCAGCACTTTGGGAGGCTGAGGCAGGAGGATCACTTAAGGTCAGGAGTTCGAGACCATCCTGACCAATTTGGTGAACCCCATCTCTACTAGAAATACAAAAATTAGCCGGGCGTAGTGGCATGCACCTGTAATCCCAGCTATCCATAAGGCTGAGGCATGAGAATCCCTTGAACCCGGGAGGCGCAGGTTGCAATAAGCCAAGATCGCACCACTGCACTCCAGCCTGGGCGATAGAGCAAGACTCAGTCTCAAAAAAAAAACAACAAAAAAAGTCAAAAAACGAAAATGACCAACGTTTCAAGAAAAGAGTAAAATCACTCCAACACATTGTTTATAGAATATTGTAAGGAAATTGTAAGACTTAAATTTTCTACTACAATATAAAAAGCTTAAGTAGGTTTGGGCACAGTGGCTCACACCTGTAATCCCAGCAATTTGGGAGGCTGAGGTGGGTGGATCACCTAAGGTCAGGAGTTCAAGACCAGCCTGGCCAACATGGTGAAACCCGTCTCTACTAAAAATACAAAAATTAGCTGGGCGTGGTGGTGCTTGCCTATAGTCCCAGCTACTTGGGAGGCTGAGGCAGGAGGATCGCTTGAACCCGGGAGGTGGAGGTTGTAGTGAGCCGAGATCATGCCACTGCACTCAAGCCTGGGTAACACAGTGAGGCTCCATCTCAAAAAAAAAAAAAAAAAGAAAAGCATAAGTATCTGTCCTTTTCAGACAATAACATGTTATTTAAATATTTCCCTGATAGACAATTTAATAAACAACTATATGTGAACATTTCTAGAAGGTGTCAAGTTCCATCTCATAAAATTTAGCATTAAACTTGGACATTCAGACAACAGAATACAGAACAGAGATACCCATCGTTACAAATTCTAGACCCTGCAAAAAAGAGGAGTTGATGGTTTGAGAAATATATACAATGCACCAATTAATCTATCACATTTGCTTGTAGAAATGTATTCACTTTCTATAGCTTTAATGGAAAAAAGATTTTTCCATTTCTCTTCTCTGACAGCATTCCCCAAAGCAAAGCCCTGGGGTTCTATTTAAAATCTTGCAACCGGCCGGGCACAGTGGCTCATGCCTGTAATCCCAACACTTTGGGAGGCTGAGGCGGGTGGATCACGAGGTCAGGAGATCAAGACCATCCTGGCCAACATGGTGAGACCCCGTCTCTACTAAAAATACAAAAAATTAGCCGGGCATGGTGGCGGGCGCCTGTAGTCCCAGCTGCTCGGGAGGCTGAGGCAGGAGAATGGCATGAACCCGGGAGGCAGAGCTTGCAGTGAACCGAGATTGCACCACTACACTCCAGCCTGGGTGACAGAGCGAGACTCCATCTCAAAAAAAAAAAAAAAAAAAAAATCATGCAACCAGAAAAAACAGACATGAGAAACTTACTACATTCACTCTGGGGAAGATAAAGGTAAATAAGAATCTGTAACAAATAACATATATGACTAGATTTTTCTGAAATATACCTTTCAAAGTCTTTGACTTTTTAAACATCATTTAAGCTCTTTTGATGAAATGTAACTTACAGTTATTAAAAAACTGAAATCAAAATAAGTGAAAAAATCTTTCCAAGGTGACAAACTCAGGAAGTGGCAGTGCTGATTGGAACACAAACATGTCTGACTCCACTGTCAAGTCAGACCATAATATCACTCAAAACATTCTCCCATCCCCACCCTGCCCATTAAATTAGTGACCACCTTCCCAGGAGACACTGTACTGTACCCCACTGTAAGCCTCAGGTGCATTTTGCTTCAGGTTCTTGCATTGCCTTACTGGGATGGGAGCTTCTTGTCCTTTGGAAAAAATTTTATTTCAAGAATCAACAGAAATCATTTCTGCTTTTTCTCATCAATAACAACATCTGATTGGCTCACCACCAACGTGTCTACTAAGAATAAAAATTAGGTTGATAGGTTGAGAGGCCGGGCGTGGTGGCTCACACCTGTAATCCCTGCACTTTGGGAAGTGGGTGGATCGCCTGAGGTCAGGAGTTCGAGACCAGCCTGGCCAACATGATGAAACCCCATCTCTACTAAAAATACAAAAAATTAGCCGGGTGTGGTGGCAGGTGCTTGTAATCCCAGCTACTCAGGAGGCTGAGGTAGGAGAATCACTTGAACCTGGGAGGCGGAGGTTGTAGTAAGCCGAGATTGGGATAATGCACTCCAGCCTGGGCAACAAGAGTGAAACTCCATCTAAAAAAAAAAAAAAAAAAAATAGGTTGAGAAGAAACTTTTTAACTGTTTACACACTTGTTCATTTTTATGTCATCAGGGAAGACCCCTCAATATATTTCAGAGTCAACGGGTAACATTTTATTTTTAATAATTTTTTTTGAGACAGAGTCTCGCTCTGTCACCCAGGCTGGAGTGCAGTGGCATGATCTCAGCTCACTGCAACCTCCGCCTCCCAGGTTCAAGCGATTCTCCTGCCTCAGCCTCCCGGGTAGCTGGAACTACAGGTGCCCGCCACCACGCCCAGCGAATTTTTGTATTTTTAGTAGACACAGGGTTTCACCATATTGGCTAGGCTGCTCTTAAACTCCTGACTTTGTGATCCGTCCACCTCCAACCTCCCAAAGTGCTGGGATTACAGGCATGAGCCACCACGCCCAGGCTTTTTTTTGTTTTGTTTTATTTTTTGAGATGGAGTCTTGTTCTATTGCCCAGGCAGGAGTGCAGTGGTGATCTTGGCTCACTGCAACCTCTGCCTCCCGGGTTCAAGCAATTCTCCTGCCTCAGCCTCCTGAGTATCTGGGATTACAGGCACATGCCACAACGCCCAGCTAATTTTTTGTATTTTTAGTAGAGACAGGGTTTCACCATGTTGGCCAGGCTGGAAATAATTTTTTACTCTGGGACTGGGTGCAGTGGCTCATGCCTGTAATCCCAGCTACTTGGGAAGCTGAGGTGGGAGCATCACTTGAATCTGGGAGGCTGAGGTTGCAGTGAGCCGAGATCGCACCACTGCACTCCAGCCTGGGCAACAGAGCGGGATTCTGTCTCAAAAAAAAAAAAAAAGGTATACTCTGCACCAGCAGCATTAACACAAAAAGTTCTATTAAACCCTGACACCCACTCAAATGTCACCTCCTTTATAAAGCTCTGATTTTCCCTCTATGTCAGTGGCACAATTGATCACTATTACCATTCAGCTCAATACCTTATGTCTTTTTATGTGCAAGTATTATTCTCCAGAATAAATTAATCATTTACACATCTATCCATGCTAATGAACTATAAACTCCTACAGGGCAGGTATGTTGAACCCTGTTCATCTGTGTAATCAAAATGTCTTATACATAATAGGTATCATATACAAGCAAAATCCCTGTCAGGGAATTATTGGAAAAGCTACCAAATTCTTTTAAGTTCAAGGGTACATGTGCAAATTTTTTACATAGATAAATGTGTGTCATGGCGATTTTTTGTGCAGATTATTTCACCACCCAAGTATTAAGCCTACTACCCATTAGTTATTTTTCCTGATCCTCTCCCACGTCCGATAGGCCCCAGTATGTGTTGTTCCCCTCTATGGGTCCATGTGTTCCCATCACTTAACTCCCACTTGTAAGTGAGAACATGCGGTAGTTTTCTATTCCTGTGTTAGTTTCCTAAGAATAATGGCTTACAGCTCTGTCCACGTTCCTGCAAAAGATATGATCTCATTTTTTGTATGGGTGCACAGTGGCATGGTGTATATGTACAACATTTTCTTTATCCAGTCTATCACTGATAGGCATTTAGGTTGATTCCATGTCTTTGCTATTGTGAATTGTGCTGCAGTGCACATACGCATGCATGAGTCTTTATAATAGAATGATTCACATTGCTTTGGGTAAATACCCAATAATGGATTGCTGGGTCAAATGGTATTTCTGTCTTTAGGTCTTTGAGGAGTTGTCACACTGTCTTCCATAATGGTTGAACTAATTTACACTCCCACCAACAGTTCATAAGGGTTCCTTTGTGAAAAAATAATTTTAATTTTCTAAGAGGTTAGCTTTTTAGACAAATAGTATACAAGAAAATTTTCCACAGGCCTAGGCCATCCAGCTGCTCTTCTGAGAGGCTACACTCTTACTCCTCAGGCTGTTCTCCAAGAGATGACCCAGGGGATGATATTCATTAGACACTCCAAGAGATATGGCCACTGTGGGTATCTTGGATTATCCCAGACCATTCTGAAACTCATGACCAAAAAAAGACTGGAGGGCTGCTGTAAAGGGCTCTGTAATTTCTCCAAAGCAAAGCTTCAACCCAAAGATTTACTAAGGTGTGTGTGCCTAGAAAAGATAAAAGGAAGAGAGGCACAGATTTTTTTTTTTCCCAGTGGAATTTCAGAGGATTATTTTCTACTTTTTTCTCACGTAAAATGTTTACAGACTTGGGAGGCTGAGGCGGGTGGATCACCTGAGGTCAGGAGTTCGAGACCTGCCTGGCAAACAAGACAAAAGCCTGTCTCTACTAAAAATACAAAAATTAGCCAGTCATGGTGGCAGAAGCCTGTAATCCCACCTACTTGGGAGGCTGAGGCAGGAGAATCCCTTGAACCTGGGAGGTGGAGGTTGTAGTGAGCTGAGATCACGCCATTGCACTCCAGCCTGGGCAACGAGAGTGAAACTGCCTCAAAAAAAAAAAAAAATGTTTACAGACAGAAAACAAATCTTTAAAAACCTGCCATTCACTGCTGTGTAAAAACATGATTAACAATTAAAACACTGTGTTTGAAATGTACAATAAAGGACAAATAGTTGATAGTGTTGTAAATTGGAGAGAGGAAGCTGTCCTCATTTCCTACATTTGAGAATGTAGGAATGAAAGCGGACATTTATAATTTTACTGCAAGCCTGAGTTAAGCTAGGAGAAAAGGTGGATTTGAAGTCCTGCTTGCCATACATTAGGAAGTCACAGAGGTAAACCAGTCCTGTGGAGTGTTGAGATAACTAAAAAGCAGGAAATTAGACTGAAGTGGCTCTAGTGCCCTGTGTTCATAAGTAAAAAATGAAAAACCTAACTCAAATTCACTTCTTATAAATTACTATTTTAGGCAGAAACAAAATTCAGGCTTAACCAATCATAAACCTGCAATTAACCTCTGATTACATAACCAGGAAATTTCCACCTGAATCATACAAATAAGGTGACTACATAACTGTAACCAATTCTCCAATTTGGTTTGCCTTCTCACACGCCCTTTATAAAACCCTTTCCTTTATGTCTCTCAGGTGGGCCACATATTATGGCTGGGTGTTTTCCATTTCACCAATCACTGCTCAAATAAACTCGTTAACGTTTTAACATTGACTCCCTTTAATATTTAATAGAAGCGGCTGGGCGCGGTGGCTCATGCTTGTAATCTTAGCACTTTGGGAGGCCATGGCGGGCGTATCACTTGAGGCCAGGAGTTCCAGACCACCTTCCACCATGGTGAAACCACTTCTCTACTAGAAATACAAAAATTTGCCAGGCGTAGTGGCGCAGGTCTGTAATCCCAGCTTCTCGGGGGCCGGGGGGGGGGGCGCTGAGGCACGGGAATCGCTTGAGCCTGAGAGGCAGAGGTTGCAGTGATCACGCCACTGCACTCCAGCCTGGGCAACAAAGCAAGACTCCGTCTCAAACAAACAAACATGTTTAACAAGAGACTGGGAGTCTCACCTGCCACAGCTCCTTCTACGCACACACGAGTCGGAATTCTGCCCTAATGACCCGCCTGGCATCCCTGAACAATCCGGGAAATACTCGGCGCTGCGTGCAGAGCTGCCCAGGGAGCTCCAGACACGGCGCCGCAGGGTCCGGGCGGGACGCCGGGGTCCCGGCTGCGGGCCCAGCCGCCATCTTACGGCGAGAGGGGTCTGGGGCGGAGCTCCGCCAGCGGAGACTCAGGTTGGCGACCCGGGAGCGGACTGTGGGGAGGCCGGTCCCGCCGGTTTCACAGCTCGCTCTCCCCTCTCGGGATGCCCAGCCCCGCACACTCACCTTTTCCCAGCTTCCAGGATGTCCTGGCATCTTAGCTGTGCGTCTCCCAGAACCTGCAGATCACAGGGCAAGAGGCTGTGACAGTCACCGGGGGCTCCCGAGGTGGAGGACGTAAAACAGCAGAGACCGATCCCAAGCTGTGGCGGGAGTGAGATACAAAGGCCCCACCAAATGCCGGAAGCCACGCCCTCCTCTCCAACTGGGCGGTTCCTGCGCTAGCGCCACTGATTGGATAAAGCACCAGCACTCTCTCTCCATACCAACCCCCTCCTCTCAGCATTAGTGCATTTTACTGACAGGAAAACAGGCTAAAGTAGGTAGGGTAAGGTGCACAGGGAATTACAGCTAATAAAGAAGTGAGCTGAGACTTGAAATGCACTTGCTCTTTCCCTTACCTGGGTTTGCTTGTATAATGCATCTTATTTACTACTTAAGGGTAAGAAAAAAACATTTGGACTTTTTTTTTTTTTTGTACCTAGTTTCGCTCTTATTGCCCAGGCTGGAGTGCAATGGTGCAATCTTGGCTCACTGCAACCTCCGCCTCCCGGGTTCAAGCGATTCTCCTGCCTCAGCCTTCCGAGTAACTGGGATTACAGGCGCATGCCACCACGCCCGGCTACTTTTTGCATTTTTAGTAGAGACAGGGTTTTGCCGTGTTGGCCAGGCTGATCTCGAACTCCTGACCTCAGGTGATTTGCCCCCCTCAGCCTCCCAAAGTGCTGAGATTACAGGCGTGAGCCACCGTTCCCGGCCCATTTGGACTTTTTTTTTGAGACGGAGTATCGCTCTGTCTCCCAGGCTGGAGTGCAGTGGCACGATCTCGGCTCACTGCAAGCTCCGCCTCCCGGGTTCAGGCCATTCCCCTGCCTCAGCCTTCCAAGTACCTGGGACTACAGGCGCCCGCCACCACGCTTGGCTAATTTTTTTTTTTTTTTTTTTTTTTTTTTTTTTTTTTTTTTTTTTTTTTTTTTTGTATTTTTAGTAGAGACAGGGTTTCACTGTGTTAGCCAGGATGATCTCGATCTCTTGACCTCGTGATCCGCCCGCCTCGGCCTCTCAAAGTGCTGGGATTACAGGCGTGAGCCACCGCGCCCAGCCCCATTTGGACATTTTAAAACAACTTTTTAATCATTTTGATAATGCAGAAAAAACCCAGCACTTTGGGAGGCTGAGGCGGGCGGATCACGAGGTCAGGAGATCCAGACCATTCTGGCCAACATGGTGAAACCCCATCTCTATTAAAAACACAAAAATTAGCTGGGTGTGGTGGTGTGCGCCTGTAATCCCAGCTACTGGGGAGGCTGAGGCAGGAGAATCACTTGAACCAGGGAGTCAGAGGTTGCAGTGAGCTGAGATCGTGCCATTGCACTCCAGCCTGGCTATAGGGCGAGACTGCGTCTCAAAAAAAAGAAAAGAAAAGAAAAGAAAACAAAACAAAAATCCTGAGATGGTGCTGCTGGATATGAGTGCTGGAAAGGGGGAGGGAATTAAGAGCTGACCAGATCCCTCCTGACTGCCCCGCAGAACAAGTGGGGGGTGGTGCTGCACTAAATGATGCCCTCCCACAGAAGATGTATTTGCATTGGTTCAATGAATATACAATGCAGAGACCTAAATGAAGACACGTGAATGGGTGTATGTGGACATCAGATTGCAGCTGGGAAACAGGTGCCTCTCATTCTCCCCAGCAAGTGTGGAAGGTGTCCATGCCCATGAGGGTATAGATCTGTCATTCTTAACTTGTATACAACTCTAGGTCAGTTCTGACTCAATGACGTGCAGATGAGATTTCTCAGATCATTTGTATGTTTGACATTGTGGCTGCTGCTTTTGCTGCCACCATCCCCAGGCCCAACCTGGCTTAAAGTCCAGGCTTTAGGTCAAAACAATGGAGGGCTTCCTGTGTTCTGGGATGGGAAGTTGGAGATCTGTGGTAGGGCTGGGGGTTGGGGTACACTTTAGTTTTGTGCAGAATGAGAGCTGCAGTGGTTTTATTAATCGTGATGATTGGCCTGGCCTGGTTGTAACTCTGGGCGGGGGGAAGGAATCAGCATTGGTTGTTCCCCAGATATTCATGTGTCCAGCCCTGGCCTTCCTGCCCTCAGACCCAGCAAAAAGTACCACCACAGACTCTGACTTGCCTGCCTACTCCCTGCACCCCAGATGGGAATACCTTGGAGGCCAGACTCTGAATGTATTATTCTCCCCATTCTAACCAGACCTGCCTAACACACAGTGAGGGAGTGAAGATAGGCAGGGTGAGGGACCTGGGGAGAACCAGAGTGGAATCACAAATCCTTGGGAAAAGTTAAAGATACAGCAGTGGGCTGGGCTCAGTGGCTCACGCCTGTAATCCCGGCACTTTGGGAGGCCGAGGCAGGCAGATCACCTGAGGTCAGGAGTTCAAGACCAGCCTGGGCAACATGGTGAAACCCGGTCTCTACTAAAAATACAAAAATTAGCCGGGCATGGTGGCGCACACCTATCGTCCCAGCTACTCAAGTGGCTGAGGCAGGAGAATTGCTTGAACCCGGAAGGCAGAGGTTGCAGTGAGCCGAGATCATGCCACTGGGTGACAGAGCGAAACTCTGTCTCAAAAAGAAAAAAAAAATTGTTCTATCTCTCAAAATTGAGAAGATGACCAATAGGGAGAAATTGTTAAATTAATTATACCCTAAAGCTGCTCCCTTTCCTGTTTAATTTTAGTCAATAGTTGTTTTTTGTTTTACATAGTAAACTGAAAACTAACTGGACATGTAAATAGACTGTACCCATTCTTGTACCAACCACTGTGGTTTGGCCAATAAAAGGATGTCAACTGTTCAAACCATGTTCAAATAAGGCAAACCCCAAGCTGTAATCAATCTGGCTGTTTCTGTACCTCACTGCCATTTTCTGTATGTCATTTTGCTTTTTCTATCCATAAGTCTTTTTCCACCTTGTGGCTGTGCTTGAAGGGGGCCTGCCCCTCCACACCTGTGGGTATTTCTCGAAAGGTGGAAATGAGAGACTGAGAAAAAAAAATAAGACACAGAGACAAAGTATAGAGGAAGAAAAGTGGGCCCGGGGGACCAGCGCTCAGCATATGGAGGACCTGCACCGGCACCAGTCTCTGAGTTCCCTCAGTATTTATTGATCACTGTCTCTACCATCTCGGTGAAGGGGATGTGGCAGGACTATAGGGTAATGGTGGGGAGAGGGTCAGCAGGAAAACATGTGAGCAAAGGACTCTGTGTCATAAATAAGTTTAAGGAAAGGTGCTGTGCCTTGATGTGCACATAGGCCAGATTTATGTTTGACTTTACACAAACATCTCAGTGCAGTAAAGAGCAATATTGCCACTAGCATGTCTCACCTCCAGCCTTATGGCGTTTTTCTCCTATTGTTGTAACCGAGCGAGTTATAGAGAAATGCCACACTCTGAGACTAATTCAGGAGTCCTTTATTGCCAGCAACTGAGAGACGGCTAGCGCTCAAAATTCTCTCAACCCCGAAGAAGGGGCTAGATTTCTTTTTATACCTTGGTCTAAAAGGGGAGGGGGAGTCTAGCTGAAGCAATTTTTACAGAAGCAAAACAGGCAAAAAGTTAAAAAATTGATGGTTACAGAGATAGTTACAGAAAAATAAACAGTTCCAGGTGCAGGGGCTTAAACTATCACAAAGAGATAATGCAGGGGCTTTGGGTACCATCCACCGAGCGCATCCCCAGGAGCTGCTGGTTCAGCTTGCCTCTATATCTTATCAGTAAGTGCATTCCTGGACGTGCTTGGAGTCAGCTTGCACTAGTTATGTCCTTAAGGGAGGGGGATAAGGGGGGCTGCAAGTGAAGAAACAAAAATGGAGTCTGTCTGGCTCTCTCAGCTAAAAGAGAGTCAATCCGGTTAAAACAAGGTAGGGTATCACACTATCTTAGTAAATAGAATGTACGATTGGGTTTTACACCGAGACATTCGAATCCTAGGGACGAGCAGGAGACAGATGCCTTCCTCTTATCTCAACTGCAAAGAGGCCTTCCTCTCTCACTAATCCTCCTAAGCACAGACCGTTTACAGGTGTTGGGCTAGGGGACGGTCAGGTCTTTCCCTTCCCATGAGGCCATATCTCAGGCTGTCTCAGTTGGGGGAAACCTTGGACAATGCACAGGCTTTCTTAGGAAGAGGTCCCTGTGGCCTTCTGCAGTGCATTGTGTCCCTGGGTACTCGAGACTGGAGAATGGTGATGACTTTTACCAAGCATACTGCCTGCAAACATATTTTTAACAAAGCACATCCTGCACAGCCCTAAATCCATTAAACCTTGAGTCAATACAGCACATGTTTCTGCAAGCACAGGGTTGGGGCTAGGGTTACAGATTAACAGCATCTCAAGGCAGAAGAATTTTTCTTAGTACAGATCAAAATGGAGTTTTTATGTCTTCCTTTTTCTACATAGACACAATAACAATCTGATCTATCTTTCTTTCCCCCACAATGCTGAAATCTCTCTGAGCCTACTCTGGCTTCACAGGCTACTCGATTTGCAAATCACTCTTTGTTCAATTAAACTCTGTTGAATTTAATTTCTCCAAAGTTTTTGTTTTATTTTAAACATTTTCCTCAAATTTTTTCTATCATTAAAATGAATAATGTGCTCTTGGGCTTTGATTTTCTAAATTCATCCCTCAGCTATTTTCCCAAATTATTTTGTCCTTTCATAATGCTTCTGCAATTTTTTTTTTTTTTTTTTTTTTTTGAGACAGTCTCACTCTGTCGCCCAGGCTGGACTGCAGTGGTGCAATCTTGGCTCACTGCAACCTCCACCTCCCAGGTTCAAGCCATTCTCCTGCCTCAGCCTTCTGAGTAGCTGGGACTACAGGCACGTGCCACCATGCCCGGCTAATGTTTTGTATTTTTATTAAAGATGGGGTTTCACCGTGTTAGCCAGGATGGTCTCCATCTCCTGACCTGGTGATTTGCCCGCCTTGGCCCAAGAGTGCTGGCGTGAGCCACCGCACCTGGCTACATCTGTTTTCTAATCAGTACTGCCACTCCCTGGGTTTGTCACCTTGAAAAGATTTGTTCACTTATATTAACATCAGTTTTTTAACTGTAAATTGCATTTTATTAGTAGAGTTTGAAAGGTAAAGTATTTACAAGGACATAAAGGCGGTGAGTTTCAGAAAAATCTAATAATATATTTCTTTGGTTAAAAATTCTCATTTACCTATTTCTTTCTTTCTTTCTTTTTTTTTTTTGAGACAAAGTCTCACTCTGTCACCCAGGCTGGAGTGCAGTGGCGTGATCTCGGCTCATGGCTGCCTCCGCCTCCCGAGTTCAAGCAATTCTCCTGCCTCAGCCTCTGCAGTAGCTGGGATTACAGGCACCTGCCACCATGCCCGGCTAATTTTTGTTTTTGTTTTTGTTTTTGTTTTTTTTTAGTAGAGATGGGTTTCACCATGTTGGCCAGGCTGGTCTCGAACTCCTGACTTCAGGTGATCCCCCCACTTCGGCCTCCCAAAGTGCTGGGATTACAGGCATGAGCCACCACACCTGGCCTACTTTTTTTCTTTCTTTCTTTTTTTTTTTTTTTTTTTGAGACAAAGGCTCACTCTGTCGCCCAGGCTGGAGTGCAGTGGGGCAATCTCGGTTCACTGTAATCTCTACCTCCCAGGTTCAAGCGATTCTCCTGCCTCAGCCCCCTGAGTAGCTGGGATTGCTGGTGCACATCACCACGCCTGGGTAATTTTTGTATTTTTAGTAGAGATGGGCTTTCACCATGTTGGCCAGGCTGGTCTTGAACTCCTGACCTCAGTGATCTGCCCACCTCGGCCTCCCAAAGTGCTGGGATTACAGGTGTGAGCCATGGCACCCGGCCTTGCCTGGATAATTTTTTAATTTTTAATAGAGACGGGGTTTTGCCATGTGGGTCAGGCTGATCCCAGACTCCTGACCTCAGGTAATCCATTTGCCTCAATCTCCCAGAGTGCTGGGATTACAGGCATGAGCCATGGTGCCCAGACTAAAAATTCTCATTTTTGCTTTCCCTGGGTGAATTTAGAAATTTTCTCAGATGTGTTTTTTTTATGGCTGGGTGATTTCCAACAGAATTCCAAGGCATAGCTATTAGAATGCTAGCTACCAAGGATAAAATAAGGGAAATCTCTCTTCTATTTTGGCTGCAGAAAATAAATACATTTCCACAAGAAAATGTGGTAGGTAATTAGTGAGTCACATAGATTCATTAAAACATCAGTTTCTCTTTTTACAAGGTAAATTCGTGACAGTGAATATTTTTGTTGTATATCCTGTGATTTTTATTTCTGAGCTTCATGCTAAATTTTATGAGATAAAACTTGAGGCCAGGCACAGTGGCTTACGCCTGCAATCCTAGCACTTTGGGAGTCCGAGGCCGGCAGATCGCCTGAGCTCAGGAGTTCGAGACCAGCCTGGGCAACATGGTGAAACCCCGTCTCTACTAAAGTATAAAAGAATTAGGCGGGTGTGGCATCATGTGCCTGTAGTCGCATCTACTGGGGAGGCTGAGGCAGGAGAATTGCTTGAACCTGGGAGGCGGAAGTTGCAGTGAGCTGAGATTGCACCACTACACTCCAGCCTGGGTGACAGAGCGAGACTCCGTCTCCAAAAAACAAACAAACAAACAAAAACTTGGTACCTCCTAGAAATGTTCACATATGACTAATTGTTTACTACATGATTTTTCATGAAAATAATGCAATAATACATTTATTATCTGAAGGGAATAGATGCTTTTGCTTTCCTTGTTGAGGTATGAAATATAAGCACCTTAAAATTTCCTTTCGGTGGGGCATGGTGGCTCACGCCTGTAATCCCAGCACTTTGGGAGGCCGAGGCGGGCGGATCACGAGGACAGGAGATTGAGATCATCCTGGCTAACATGGTGAAACCCTGTAATAAAAATACAAAAAATATTAGCCGGGTGTGGTGGCACGTGCCTGTAGTCTCAGCTACTCAGGAGGCTGAGGCAGGAGAATCACTTGAACCCGGGAGGCAGAGGTTGCAGTAAGCCAAGATCGTGCCACTGCACTCCAGCCTGGGTGACAGAGCATGACTCCATCTCAAAAAAAAAAAAAAAAAAATTCCTTTTTTTACATGAAAATAGTGTTTGAGTAATTTTGCTAGATTTTTCAAAGATTTTCAAAAACCAAGTGAGTGGCTGGGCATGGTGGCTCATGCCTGTAATCTCAGCACTTTGAGAGGCTGAGGCAGGCGGATCACCTGAGGTCAGGAGTTCAAGATCAGCCTGGCCAACATGGTGAAACCCCGTCCCTACTAAAAATACAAAACAGCCAGGCATGGTGGAAGGTACCTGTAATCCCAGCTACTCGGGAGGCTGAGGCGGGAGAATTGTTTGAACCCAGGAAGCGGTGGTAGCAGTGGCTGAGATTGTGCCACTGCACTCCAGCCTGAGCAAAAGAGTGAGACTCCATCTCAAAAAAAAAAAAAAAAAAAACCCTCTCTCTCTCTTTGATTGTCACACCCAGGCTGGAGTGTGACAAAAACAAAACTAATAGGTCAAATTCAGCATGCAGGAAGAAGCACAGGAAAATAGAGAGAGAAAAGAAAAAAGAAGAAAAACAACACCAAGTTACTCTAAGTACTGTGGAAATAAACTGAAAGTGGGGTTAGAGAAAAAAAGAAAGAAGAAGGTCCAAGTAGTTCCAGGTACTTGGGAGGCTGAGATGGGAAGACCAACTGGACGTGACCAGTGAATCACAGTCTGCATGGACCTGAATGGTACAGGCGCCAGTGAGAGCCATCTGGTCGACCTTAGACATGGCAAGCTGACAGCCAGGTCCAAAGCTCATGGCCAACATCTCTCTCAAAATAAATAAACAAAAAACCAACAGTAAATTTTAACAATAACAAAGAAATAATAACAAGCAATAAGACCAATAAATAAGTAGAAGTAAACAAACGTAAAAGGTAATTAATATCACAATTAGTTGTTCTCTCTCTGTTTCTCAGTTTCTGTCTTTCTGTTTCTCTGTCTCTCTCTCCCTTGATCTCTGTGTGTCACACTATCACACCCAGGCTAGAGTGCAGGTGTATGGTTACAGCTCACTGTTGATTGCACACCTGCACTCAAGCCATGATGTGACAGAGTGAGAAGACCTAGCTAAATAGAAATATATATAACATCAACTTCAGCATCTAGGAAGGAGCATAAAAGATTTTAAAAAGAGAGAGAGAGAACAAAGGACACAAAAGAAAAACTACGGCAACTCTCTCTAAGTACTGTTGAAGCCAACTGAAAGTGGGGCTAGAAAAAAAACAGAGGAAGAAGGTTTGAGTAGTTTTACATACTTAGGAGGCTGAATGGAAAGACCACCAGGGTGAGACTGGGGAGATCAAGGCTATAGGGAATCACAATCACATCCTTCCTTTGGACCTGAAAAGTACTGCCACTGGTTATAGCTATCTGGTCCACCTGAGACATGGCAAGCTGGCGGCCAAGTCCAATGCTCATGGCTGAAGTCTGTCTCAAAATAAATAAACTAACAACAGTAAATATTCAACAATAAAGAAATAATAAAAAACAATAATAAGACAAATAAGTGGGAGGGAACAAAGATAAAAGGTAATTAATATCACAATTAATTGTCTCTCTTTCTGTCTCTCTCTCCCTTGATCTCCATGTGTCACAGTTTCACACCCAGGCTGGAGTGCACATGTGTGGTCACAGCTCATTGCTGATCACTCACCTGCACTCCAGCCAGGGCGTGACAGAGTGAGAAGACCCAGCTAAAAAAAAAAAAAAGAAATCTAAAACATCAGTTTCAGCGTGCAGAAAGGAGTGTAAGGAAATGAAACAAAGAGAGCAAAGAACAAAGGAGAAAAACCACAGCAACTCCCTCTAAGTTCTGTGGAAGCAAACTGAAAGTGGAGTTGGAAAAAGAACAGAGGAAGATCCAAGCAGTTTCAGGTACTTAGGAGGCCGAGATGGATGGGAAGACCACCTGGGCAAGACCAGGGAGATCAATGCCACAATGAATCACAGTTGCATCTCTTTCCAGCCATGCTCAGTGGCTCACGCTTGTAATCCTGGTACTTTGGGAGGCCGAGGCGGGTGGATCACGAGATCAGGAGATCAAGACCAGCCTGACCAACATGGTGAAACCCCATCTCTACTAAAAATAAAAAAAAAATTAGCTGGGCGTGGTGGCGGGTGCCTGTAATCTCAGCTACTTGGGAGGCTGAAGCAGGAGAATCATTTGAAACTGGAAGGGGGAGGTTGCAGTGAGCCGAGATTGCGCCACTGCACTCTAGCCTGGGCAACAAGAGCAAAACTCCATCTAAAAAAAAAAAAAATTGCATCCCTCTGCCTTACCTGAGTAATATGAGCAATACTGCTGCCGGTGAGAGCTATCTGGCTGACCTTAGACAAGGCAAGCTGGCGGCCAGGTCCAATGCTCGCAGCTGACAACTGCCTCAAAATTAATAAACAAATGACCAACAGTAAATAATAATAACAGAGAAATGATAATGAACAATAATATGACCAATCAATAAATAAATAAATGGGAGTGAACAAAGGTAAAAGGTAATTAATATCACAATTTATTGTTGTCTCTCTCTGTCTCTATTTCTCTGTCTGTTTCTGTCTGTCTGTGTCTCTGTCTGTCTTTCTGTCTCTCTCTTTGATCTCTGTATGTCACACTGTCAAACCCAGGCTGAGGTGAAGGTGTGCAGTCACAGCTCACTGCTGGTCATGCACCTGCACTCCAGCCAGGGTGTGACAGAGTGAGAAGACCTAGCTAAAAAATTATATATGTGTATAAAACATCAACTTCTGCATGCAGGAAAGAGCGTAAAAAAAATTAAAAAAAAAAGAGAGACAGCAAAGAACAAAAAGAAAAACTACAGCAACTCTCTCAAAGTACTGTGGAAGCAAACTGAAAGTGGGGTTAGAAATAAAGCAGAGGAAGAAGGTCTGAGTAGTCCCAGGTACTCGGGAGGCCAAGATGGGAAGATCAGCCCCGTGAGACTGGGGAGATGCAGGCTGCAGTGAATCATGATCGCATCCCTCTGCTGGACCTGAATGGTACTGCTGCCAGCAAGAGCCAAATGGTCGACCTTAGACATGGCAAGCTGGCGACCAAGTCCAACACTCGTGGCTGACATCTGTCATAAAATGTATAAACAAGAAAACCAACAATATATATATTTTTTGAGACAGAGTCTTGCCCTCATTGCCCAGGCTGGAGTGCAATAGTGCAATTTTGTCTTTCCGCAACCTCTGCCTCCTGGGTTCAAGCGATTCTCCTGTCTCAGCCTCCCAAGTAGCTGGGATTACAGGCATGCGCCACCACGCCTGGCTAATTTTGTAGTTTTAGTAGAGATGGGGTTTCTCCATGTTGGTCTGGCTGGTCTCGAACTCCCGACCTCAGTTCATCCACCTGCCTCGGCCTCCCAAAGTGCTGAGATTACAGGCATGAGCCACCTCGCTCAGCCCATAAATATTTAAAAATAACAAAGAAATAACAATAACAAGACCAATAAATAAGTAAGTGGGAGTGAACAAAGGTAAAATGGAATTAATATCACAACTAATTGTTGTCTTTCTGTCTGTCTCTGTTTTGGTCTCTCTGCCACTGTCTGTGTCTCTGTCTCTCTGTCTATCCCTCTCTCCATCAATCTCTGTGTGTCACACTGTCACACACAGGCTGGAGGGCAAGGTCACGGTAATGACTCACTGCTGATTGAACACCTACACTCCAGCCAGGGTGTGACAGAGTTAGAAGACCTACAAAAAATAAAATTAAATTAAACATCCATGTCAGTGTGGAGGAAAGAAGGTAGCAAAAAATAAAAGAAAAAAAGAAACAGAGCAAAGAACAAAGAATAAAGGCCACAGCAACTCCCCCTAAATACTGTGGAAGCAAAATGAAAGTGGGGGTAGAAAAAAAAAAGTAGGAAGATGGACTGTGTAGTCCCAGGTAAATGGGAGGCTGAGATGGGAAAACCTTCCGGATGAGACCACGAAGATCGTTGCTGCATTGAATCATGATTGTATCCCTCTGCTGGGCCTGAACAATAGTGCTGCCAATGAGAGCCATGTGGTCAACCTTGACACCAGCAAGAGCCATCAGTTTGACCTTAGACATGGTGAGCTGGCGACTAAGTCCAACACTCGCAGCCGACATATGTCACAAAATAAATATACAAAAAAAAACAACAGTAAATATTTAACAATAACTAAGAAATAATAACAAACAATATTAAAGACTGTTGGGAACAGGCTCCCAAATCTGGCCATAAACAGGCCCCAAAACTGGCCATAAACAAAATCTCTGCAGCACTGTGACATGCTTGTGATGGCTATGATGCCCATGCTGAAGGTTTTTGGTTTACCAGAATGAGGGCAAGGAACACCTGGCCAACCCAGGGTGGAAAGCCGCTTAAGGCATTCCTAAACCATGAACAATAGCATGAGCAATCTGTGCCTTAAGGACATGTTCCTGCAGCAGATAACTAGCCAGAGCCCATCCCTTTGTTTCCCATAAGGAATGCTTTTAGTTAATCTATAATCTATAGAAACAATGCTTATCACTGGCTTGCTGTCAATAAATATGTGGGTAGCACTCTGTTTGTGGCGGTCAGCTCTGAAGGCTATCAGCCCCCTGATTCCCACTCTGCACTCTGTATCTGTGTCTGTGTCTTTAATTCCTCTAGCGCCACTGGGTTAGGGTCTCCACGACTGAGCTGGTCTCGGTAAAAGACCAATAAATAAATGAGAGTGAACAAGGGTAAAAAATAATTAATATCACAATTAAGATATTCTTCTCTCTCTCTCTCTGATTATCACACTCAAGCTGGAGTGTGACAAAAATAAAAAAAATCTAAGAGGTCAACTTCAGCATGCAGAAAGGAACATAGAAAAATAGAGAAAACAACAAAGATTTAAAACAACAGCAAGTCACTCTAACTACTGTGGAACAAACTGAAAGTGGGGTTAGAACAAAAACAGAGGAAGTAGGTCCTAGTAGTTGCAGGGACTCTAGAGGCTGAGATGGAAAGATCACCCATGTGAGAACAAGACTGAGGCTACAGAGAGTCATAATCACATCACTCTGCTGGACCTGAAACAGTATGGCCACCAGCGAGAACCATCTGGTCAACCTTAGACATGGCAAGCTGGCAGCTAAGCCCAATGCTCATGGCTGATATCCATCAGAAAATATATAAGCAAAAAAACCAACAGTAAATATTTAACAATATCAAAGAAATAATAACAAACAATACTAAACACCAGTAAATCAATAAGCAGGAGTCAACAAAGATAAAAAGTAATTAATATTACAAGTAAGATCTTCTTCACTCTCTCTCTCTCTCTCTCTTCATTTGTCACACCCAGCTGGAGTGTGACAAAAAAATCTAAAAGGTAAACTTAAGCATGTAGAAAGGTATGTAGAATAGAGAGAGAAAGAAAACAAGTAAAATAACAGCAAGTCATTCTAAGTACTCTGGAAACAAACTGAAAGTGGGGTTAGAAAAAAAAAAAGGAAGAAGGTCTGAGTAGTCCCAGGTACTCATGAGGCCGAGATGGGAAGACCACCCAGGCAAGACTGGGGAGATCTCGATCACATCCCTCTACTGGACCTGAAGGGTACTGCCACAGGTGAGAACCATCTGGTCAACCTTAGACATGGCAAGCTGGTGGCTAAGACCAAGGGTCATGGCTGGCATCTGTCTCAAAATTAATAAACAAAAATACCAACATTACACATTTAACAATAACAAAGAAATAACAATATTAAGGACCAATAAATAAATAAGTGGGAGTGAAAAAAATAAAAGGTAATTAATATCACAGTTAAGATTTCCTCTCTCTCTCTCTCTCTCCTTTTGTCACACCCAGGCTGGAGTGTGACAAATAAAAAATAACCTAAAAATTCAACTGCAATGTGCGCAAAGGACTATAGGAAAATAGAGAAAAGAACAAACAAGAAAAACAACAGCAAGTCACTCTAAGTACTGTGGGACAAACTGAAAGTGGGGTTAGGAAAAAAAAAAGGAAGAAGGTCTGAGTAGTCCAAGGTACTCAGGAGGCTGAGATGGGAAAACCACCTGGGTGAGACTGGAAAGATCAAGGCTGCAGTGAATCAGGATGGCATCCGTCTGCTGGATCTAAGTGGGACTGCTGCTTGCAAGAGCCATCTGGTTGACCTTAGACATGGTGAAACATGAGGCATCTGGAGGACCTTAGACATGGCAAGGCAAGAGCCATCTGGTTGGCCATAGACATGGCAATCTGGTGGCTAAGCCCAATGCTCACAGCCGACAGCTGTCTCAAAATAAATAAACAAAAAACCCAACAATAAATATTTAACAATAACAAAGAAATAATAACAAACAATATTAAGGAAAATAAATGAGTGAAAAAGGTAAAGAGGATAATAAATATCACAATCAATATTATCCCCTCTTTTTTTCTCTCTTTCTCCATTTGTCACACCCACGCTGGAGTGTGACAAAAAAAAATAGTTAACTTCAGCTTATAGGAAGGAGTGTAGGAAAATAGATAGAGAAAGAACAAAGAAGAAAAACAACAGCAAGTCACTAGAAATACTGTGGAAACAAACCGAAAGTGGCTTTAGAAAAAAAGAGAAAGAAGTTCCGAGTAGTCCCAGGTACTCAGGAGGCTGAGATGGGAAGACCACGCAGGTGGGACCAGGAAGACTGAGGCTGCAGAGAATCATGATCACATCCTTCTGCTGGACCTGAATGGTATTGCCACTTGGCAAGAGCCATGTGGTGAATCTTAGACATGGCAATGGAGGAGCCATCTTGTTGACCTCAGACATGTCAGGGCAAGAACCTTCTGGTCCTGCCTCCAGTTTCCCTCTCCAAAATGGATTTATGTTTTAATATATTTAATAATTCTAATATTGAAATAACTTTATTTAGTTTTTATTCATCAAAAATACTAATTTTCTGTATAATTAATGGTTAGATTTAATTTAATTAGATTTAAATGAGAAATTGCCACAATCAAAACTTTTTAAAAGTACAACTGTATTTTATAGTTATAAAATGTACAAAATATGCAAAAATTAAAAATAAATTTGTGACATATTAAAGTGTATCTGTGTCTGTAAGATTGAGAAACATAGTGGATAAGCACATTGTCTACTCCTGAAACTTTCTTTTTATAATGAGGTGACTTTAGAAATGTCATTCAGCCTTCTTTTGTTTAATATCTCCTCACCTGTAAAAAGGGAACAATAAAGCACGTTGTAGATTTATGATAAAAATACATGTAAAACTTGTTATAGTATTCTAGAGTAGTACTATAATATAGTGGGAATATATGTTTTTCTTTTTAGAACAAAACTGTTACAAAAAAAGGGGTTCAATAAAATATTTCTGAGTTGGAAACAATGGCAAGTATACGGCAGAATGTTTTGGTTTCCTCCATAAAGCAGACGTCATCTGTCCATGAAAGATCTCCTCACTTGGAATGAAATTATAAGTCACTTGAAAATAACAGATTGTCTCCAGTAATATAGCAGTAGGAATGATCTTATCTCAGACCATAGTTAAATAGCTGGGATTTTTTGTTTCTTGGCATCAGAGTTTTCTTTATTTACCACATGCACATTATGATCCACAGATTTGATTCTCAAGCACCTGACTATGGCCAACTCCTTGGTACTCTCTAAAAAAAGTCCTTTAGATGATGACTGATTTGGAGTTGAAATATTTTCTCAGTAATATTAAATAGAAAGTGTTTTCTATGTTCAGAGAGTGGCCAGAGCATGTGCATTGACACCATCTGCCTCTTGAGTATCTCCCAGGCCATCACCATCAGCCCCAAAAACCTCATGTGGGCATAGCTTAAACTACATGATTCCAAATATATTTGAATCTCTAATATCCAAATTATGTGCTGAATTCTGAATAGGCTTATAAATGTCATTTTTCCTATGTATGTTACTGGCAAATGGAACACAATAAACAACACAAAAATTATTTAAAACACTGTTCTGGAGTAGTTAATAACAGAATTCCACATTTATCACATGTTGTGCTTTTATTATTTTTTAATGTTTTGTGTTTGGAACTTTTAACCTGGGCCAGCAGCTCCATGACTTTTATCCTGTTCAACACAAGTAGTGGGGTCCAACACATTCATAGGTCCAACACCACTCCTAAATTCTCACCTGAGTCCACAGTCACCCAAAACATCTTTGTCCTAAGGAGCACCTTTGTATTATTTTACACTCTCTTCTACATCTTTTCAGTATATACGTTTTTTTTAATTTTTTTATTTTTTTATTTTTTAGTATTTATTGATCATTCTTGGGTGTTTCTCAGAGAGGGGGATTTGGCAGGGTCATAGGACAATAGTGGAGGGAAGGTCAGCAGATAAACATGTGAACAAGGGTCTCTGGTTTTCCTAGGCAGAGGGCCCTGCTGCCTTCCGCAGTGTTTGTGTCCCTGGGTACTTGAGATTAGGGAGTGGTGATGACTCTTAACAAGCATGCTGCCTTCAAGCATCTGTTTCACAAAGCACATCTTGCACCGCCCTTAATCCATTTAACCCTGAGTGGACATAGCACATGTTTCAGAGCACGGGGTTGGGGGTAAGGTTATAGATTAACAGCATCCCAAGGCAGAAGAATTTTTCTTAGTACAGAACAAAATGGAGTCTCCTATGTGTACTTCTTTCTATACAGGCACAGTAACAATCTGATCTCTTTCTTTTCCCCACATTTCCCCCTTTTCTATTAGACAAAACCGCCATCGTCATCATGGCCCTTTCTCAATGAGCTGTTGGGTACACCTCCCAGACGGGGTGGCGGCCGGGCAGAGGGGCTCCTCACCTCCCAGACGGGGCGGCTGGGCAGAGGCGCCCCCCATCTCCGGGACAGGGTGGCAGCCAGGCGGGGGCTGCCCCCACCTCCCTCCCGGACTGGGCAGCTGCTGGGCGGAGACGCTCCTCACTTCCCAGATGGGGCGGCTGCCGGATGGAGGGGCTCCTCACTTCCCCGACGGGGCGGCTGCCGGGTGGAGGGGCTCCTCACTTCTCAGACGGGGTGGCCGGGCAGAGACGCTCCTCACCTCCCAGACGGGGTGGCGGTCGGGCAGGGACACTCCTCACCTCCCAGATGGGGTGGCGGTCGGGCAGAGGTGCTCCTCACATCCCAGACGGGGCGGCCGGGCAGAGACGCTCCTCACTTCCTAGACAGGATGGCAGCCGGGAAGAGGCGCTCCTCACTTCCCAGACTGGGCAGCCGGGCAGAGGGGCTCCTCACATTCCAGACGATGGGTGGCCAGGCAGAGACGGTCCTCACTTCCCAGACGGGGTGGCGACCGGGCAGAGGCTGCAATCTCAGCACTTTGGGAGGCCAAGGCAGGCGGCTGGGAGGTGGAGGTTGTAGCGAGCGGAGATCACGCCACTGCACTCCAGCCTGGTCAAGATTGAGCACTGAGTGAGCGAGACTCCGTCTGCAATCCCGGCACCCGGGGAGGCCCAGGCGGGCAGATCACTCGCGGTCAGGAGCTGGAGACCAGCCCGGCCAACATGGTGAAACCCCATCTCCACCAAAAAATACAAAAACCAGTCAGGCGTGGCGGTGCGCGCCTGCAATCCCAGGCACTGGCAGGCTGAGGCAGGAGAATGAGGCAGGGAGGTTGCAGTGAGCCGAGATGGCGGCAGTACAGTCCAGCCTCCACTCGGCATCAGAGGGAGACCATGGAAAGTGGGAGACGGGAGAGGGGGAGGGGGAGGGGGAGGGGGAAGGGGAGGGTTCTTTTTTATAATCCAAGTTGTTGGCTTATGAAAAACTCTAAACTGATCACTGCTTGTTTTTTCTATAGTCAGGTCCATTGTTCTCATAAGCCATGACCCCAGAATATCCAGGATAACCTCTTCCTGCTATGGAAGGAATATACAGTTTCCTAAGATGATCACATAGATCTACATTTTATGTGGAATTATTTTTTTAATGTGCAGACCTTCATTCATTATTTTATGCAGAGGTTTAATTACCACAAAGAGCAGTCACATATCAGAGAACCCATGAGTCACCGACTGAGTCCCTGCCCTCATAGAATTTATTATATGGTAGCAATGACAGTTACAGACTAAATGTTTTGAATAGTTCTTTGATAATTTTCTATTTACTAAATGTTATAATAAAGAAATTTAGAGGCCAAAATTTTATTTTAAAATGGGGCCTCTAGTAATTTGGAGACATTGGAAAACTTATATGGGTATGTAGCTTTAAACTAATTAATTTAAAACGTCCACTGGGAGCTGTGGCTCATGCCTGTTATCTCAACACTTTGGGAGTCTGAGGCAGGTGGATCACCTGGGGTCAGGAGTTTGAGACCAGCCTGGCCAACATGGCGAAACCCTGTCTCTACTAAAAATATAAAAATTAGGTGTAGTGGTGTGTGCTTCTAATCCCAGCTACTCTGGAGGCTGAGGCAGAAGAATTGTTTGATCCCGGGAGGTGGAGGTTGCAGTGAGCCAAGATAGTGCCACTGCACTCCAGCCTGGGTGACAGAGCAAGGCTCTGTCTCAAAAAAAAAAAAAAAAAGCCATAACCGGTTCATAGGTACATCAAGATGGTAGAATAGAAGGCTTCACCAACCTTCCCCCCTGTAAGGACACCAATTTAACAACAACCTACATTTAAAATCACCTTCATAAGAAACAAAAATCAGGTGAGCACTCATGGTACCTGGTTTTAACTTCATATTGCTGAAAGAGGCACTGAACGGGTAGGAAAAACAGTCTTGAATCTCTTACACTATTTCTCCCACATCCCCCAACAATGGTGGCATGGTGCAGAAAGGGAGAGTTCAGCAATTGTGAGGCATTGAATTCAGTGCTTTCATGTTATAACAGAAAGAAAAACCAAACAAAACTCAGCTTACACCTGCTGATGGAGGAATTATTTAAACCACATAGTTAAATACAGTTGCTGGTAATAGTAAGTACACAGAAAATCAAATAATATTATAACACTGTAACTGTGATGTATGAACTACTCTTATGCAAGGTAGAAAGACTAAACAATAAACCAATCAAAAATAACAACTACAACAACTTTTCAAGACATAGACAGTAAAATTACATATAAATAGAAACAACAAAAAGTAAGGGAAAAGAATTAAAGCATAGAGATTTTATTATTCTTTTTGCTTCTTTGTTTATTCAAACAGTGTTAAGTTGTTATTAGATTAAAATAATAGGTTATAAGATAGCATTTGCAAGCCTCATGGTAAGCTCAAACCAAAAAACATACAAGGAATACGCAAAAAATAAAAAGCACAAAACTAAATCATATCACCAGAGAAAACTACCTTCACTAAAAGGAAGACAAAAAGCAAAGAAAGATAAAAGAGAAGACCACAAAGCAACCATAAATCAAATAAAATGGCAGAAGTAAGTTCTTGCTTATCAATAATAACATTGAATGTAAATAGACTAAACTCTCCAGTCAAGACAGAGGGGATGAATGTATATAAAAACAAGACATATTTATCCTTTGCCTGTAAGAAATTCACCTCATCTATGAAGACACACATAGACTGAAAGTTTTAGAAGTGGAAAAAGATATTCAATGTCAATGGAAACAAAAAAAATGCGGTAGTAGCTATACTTAAACATTAGAAAAATAGATTTTAAGACAAAAATTATAAGAAAAGACAAAGAGGTTACTATATAATGATAAAGGGGTAAAGTTAACGAGACTATAACAATTTTACATATAAATACACCCAACTCTTGAGCACTGAAATATGTAAAGCAAATATTATTAGAGCCAAAGAGACAGATAGACTCCAATACAATAATAGCTGGAGACTCCAACACTCCACTTTCAGCATTGAATTGGTATTCCAGACAGAATATCAACAAAGAAATGTTGGACTTAATCTGTGCTATAGATCAAATGTATCTAATAGGGATTTAGAGAACATTTCATGTAATGGTTGCAGAATATACATTCTTTTCTTTAGCACATGGATTATTTTCAAGGATAGACTATATGTTAGGCCACAAAACAAGTCCTAAAACATTCAAAAACTTGAAATAATATCAAATATCTTATTTGTCCACAATGGAATAAAATTAGAAATTAATAAAAAGAGGAATTATAAAAACTATACAAATACATGAAAAATCAACAATATGCTCCTGAATGATCAGTGGGTCAATGAAGAAATTAAGAAGAAAATTAAACATTTTCTTGAAACAAATGATAATAAAAACACTACGTATCAATATCTATGGGATACACAAAAGCAGTACTAACAGGAAAGTTTATAGGTATAAGTGCCTACATCCCCCCCCCAAAAAAATCTCAAATACACAACCTAATACTGTATCTTAGAGAACTAGAAAAGCAAGAGCAAACCAAATCTACAGTTATTAGAAGAAAAAAATCATAAAGATTAGAGCAGAAAAAAAATTGAACAAAAAATACAAAAGATCAATGAAAAAATTGGCTTTTTTGAAAAGTTAAAAATTGACAAACCTTCAACAAACTAAAAAAAATTTTAAATCCAAACGTAAAATAATTTAACAAACAAATAAACTATGATACAAGAGGGCAAATGAGTGAGGCCTACAGGCTCCAGGGCAATGTAAGAGACCTCAGAAGCCTCCTGTGCTTCCTTGTTTGCCTCCACTGTTCTGAGGTATCCAGTTAACTCACAAGTTCATCATCCCAGCCTGGAAAATGACTCTGGTTCCACTTCCAAAAAAGAACCCCAGAGCTATGACAGGGATGGTCTTCAGAGCAGTGATCTGATGCTCTGCCACATTCTACACTAGCCTGAGTGCTCAGTCCCACAAACCCCCAAGCAAATTTCTGCTCTGAAAGGCCTCCAGAGGATATGGAGAAATTTCCAAGGATCTGAGAGTACAGTGGGTAATTGATAGACAGCAAGGTCAACTCACCTTTTTGAGCGTTCGAAATTTAGATGCCACCCAGGTCAATTACTTCAATTTACAGAGAAAAATTTGAGGTTTTTCACTACTGTATTCCCCTTCATACTGTGTGTAGGGGGATTACTCCCAATTTTAATTACACAGAGCAATGAATGCAGAAACTAAGTTTTTGTCCTCTAAAAGCTTTCCTGGGGATGGCCACAGAACAGGCAGATCCATGGGAACCTTGAGGTTCCCAAGTCATCAGCCTGTTATCTTTTCTCCTCCCCATGTTATAGGTCCTGGGCATGTTACCCAGGAGACTGGGTGCCCCTACCCCGTGGCAGAGCTGCCCTCATCCTCTGTCTTCTTGTCACTCCATCAGTGTTAACTGCTCTTCTGACCTTTAACCTGAGAAGTCTGTGTGTGTGTGTGTGTGCACGCTCATGCACGGAAACCTGTGCAAGTTTAATGGTGCAGATATGAGTGTGCTCCATACGAGAAAATTGGCAGAAATTCTCAAGATCTCAGGGACTCTCATTCTCAAAGCAAACCCCGTGATAGCGATGAGCCCTGGCCTATGAGGTCAGAATGCTCTTTTATCCTCTGGACTCTGCCAACTTTATGTTCTCTGGGCCAGTCTCTGCTTCTCTCCAGACCTCAGTTTCCCAGTTATCCAGTGAGATGTTAGATGTCAAAGTGTTTAAGCCACAGCTCAGCATGCACACGGTGCAAGCTCCCTACCAACTAGGATGGGTGTAGCAGGGCTGTGATCAGGGTGTACCCAGATCTTCCTCAGTTGGACAGAAATAGATGAGTTCTGCACTGGGCAGCTGGACCTTCTGTCCAAAAAAGGTCACGCGCACAGGATCCTTCAAGGACCACAGACAATGTGCGCATATGAGACCCACCTTTATCCCCCAGCAGCTCCCACTGGAGCATACCCAATATGTCCCCTGTCCTCTGCATCTAGAAAGTGGTGACATCCTCACTTAACACATGGACTGATGGACCCTTTGTGGTGGAGTAGTCCCACAAAGAGAATCTGAGATGCTATTAACTGTACAAGGAACTATGGATGTGGGCCATATGAAGGCACTAGAACTTCAGAATTAAATCTTCCCCACTCCTGCCTCCACCACTATGCAGATAAAAAAATGGTCCTTGGAAAGTGATATGTCTTACCGAAGATTACCAGGGATTCCATGTCAAAGCTAGCACTTTGGTTAGGATTACATTTGCCTATAAGTAGAAGGATGCCCAATATAACAGTAGTGCAGACAAGATACAGAATGCTTTCTTTCTCATAAATAAGAATCTTAGAGCTGGACAGTCCATGACTCTGGACTGTGCACCAAGGCAGTCAAAAATTATCTTTTTGCTACTTTTTTTTTCTTTTTCTAACTTTTAAGTTCAGGGGTACATGTGCCGGATGTGCAGGTTTGTTACATAGGTAAAGATGTGTCATAAAGATTGGTTGTACAGATTGTTTTATCACCCAGGTATTAAGCTTACTATCCATTAGTTATTTTTTCTGCTTCTCTCCCTCCTCCCACTCTTCACCTCACAATATGCCTTAGTGCATGTTGTTCCCCTGTATGTGTCTGTGTGTTCTCATCATCTAGCTCCCATTTATAAGTGAGGACTTGCAGTATTTGGTTTTCTGTACCTTTGTTAGTTTGCTAAAGACAATGACCTCCAGCTTCATCCATGTCTCTACAAAGGACATGATCTTCTTCTTTTTTTATGGCTGCACAGTATTCCATGGTGTATATGTACTATATTTTCTTTATCCAGTCTATCACTGATGAACACATGGATTGATTTAAGGTATTTGCTATTGTGACTAGATCTGCAATGAACGTGTGCGTGCATGTGTCTTTATAATAGAAAGACTTATATTCCTTTGGGTATATACTCAGTGATGAGATTGCTGGGGTGAATAATATTTCTGTCTTTAGGTCTTTGAGGAATCATCACACTGTCTTCCACAATGGTTGAACTCATTTACACTCCCACCAACAGGGTAAAAATGTTCCTTTTTCTCCACAACTTTGCCAACATCTGTTATTTTCTGAGTTTTTAATAATAGCCATTTTGACTGGTATAAAACAGTATCTCATTGTGGTTTGGATTTGCATTTCTCTAATTATTGGTGATGTTGAGGTTTTTTCACATGCTTTATTAGCTGTGTGTATGTCTTTTGAGAAGTGTCTCTTCCTGTCCTTTGCCCACTTTTTAATGGGGTTGTTTGCTTTTTTCTTGTAAATTTAAGTTCCTTGTAGATGCTGGAAATTAAATCTTTGTCAAATGCATAGTTCACAAAAATTTTCTCCCATTCTGTATGTTGTCTGCTTACTCTGTAGGCATTTTTTTTTTTTTTTTTTTTTTGCTGTGCACAAGCTCTTCAGTTTAATTAGATCCCATTTGTCAATATTTCCTTTGTTCCAATTGTTTTTGGCATCTTCATCATAAAATATTAGCCCATGCCTACGTCCTGAATCGTATTGCCTAGGTTGTCTTCCAAAGTTTTTATAGTTTTGGGTTTTATATTTAAGTTTTAAACCATCTTGACTTAATTATTGTATATAGTGTAAGGAAGGAGTTCAGTTCTTTTTTTAAATTTTACTTTAAGTTCCAGGATGCAAGTGCAGAACATGCAGGTTTGTTACATAGGTATACATGTGCCATGTGGCTTACCGCAGCAATCAACACATCATCTAGGTTTTAAGCCCTGCATGCATTAGCTATTTGTCCTTATGCTCTCCCTCTTCTCGCCCCCCATCCCCTGACTAGCCCTGATGTATGTTGTTCCCCTCCCTATGTCCATGTGTTATCATTGTTCAACTTCCACTTATGAGTGAGAACATGTGGTGTTTGGTTTTCTGTTCCTGTGTTAGTTTGCTGAGGATGATGGAGGAAGGGGGTCAGTTTCAATTTTCTGCATATGGCTAGCCAGTTATCCCAACACCATTTATTGAATAGGGAGTCCTTTTCCCATTGCTTGTCTTTGTCAGGTTTATCAAAAATGAGATAGTTGTAGATATGCGGTCTTATTTCTGAGTTCTGTATTGTGTTTCATTGGTCTATGTCTGTTCTTGTACTAGTACCATGCTTTTTTGGTTACTGTAGCACCTTAGCATAGTTTGAAGTTGGGTAGTGTGATGTCTTCTGCTTTGTTCTTTTTGCTTAGGATTGTGTTGACTATTCAGGTTCTCGTTTGGTTCCATATCAATTTTAAAATACATTTTTCTTGTTTTGTGAAAAATGTCAGTGGTAGTTTAATGGGAATTCTATTAACTCTACACATTTACTTGGGCAGTGTGGCCATTTTAACAATATTAAGTCTTATATCATCTTTGTTTTTTTTTTTTTTTGAGTTGGAGTCTTGCTCTGTCACCTAGGCTGAAGTGCAGTGGTGTGATCTTGGCTCACTGCAGCCTTTGCCTCCCAGGTTCAAGCGATTCTCCTACCTCAGCCTCCTGAGTAGCTGAGATTACAGGTGTGCACCACCGTGCTTGGCTCATTTTTGTATTTTTAGTACAGATGTGGTTTCACCATGTTGCTCACGCTGGTCTCGAACTCCTGACCTTGTGATCTGCCCACCTCAGCCTCCCAAAGTGCTGGGATTACAGGCATGAGCCACCATGCCCTGCTCTGATTTCTTTGAGTAGTGTTTTATAGTTCTCCTTGTAGAGGCCTTTCACTTCCTTTGTTAGATGCATTCCTAGGTGTTTTATTCTATTCATGGTGATTGTGAATGGGAGTTTATTCAGGATTTTGCTCTTGGCTTGATTGTTGTTGGTGTATAAGAATGCTAGTAGGCCGGGTGCAGTGGCTCACACCTGTAATCCCAGCACTTTGGGAGGCCGAGGTGGGCGGATCATGAGGTCAGGAGATCGAGACCATCCTGGCTAAGGCAGTGAAACCCCATCTCTACTAAAAATACAAAAAATTAGCCGGCATGGTGGCGGGCACCTGTAGTCCCAGCTACCCAGGAGGCTGAGGCAGGAGAATGACGTGAACCCGGGAGGCGGAGCTTGCAGTGAGCAAAGATCGCGCCACTGTACTCCAGCCTGGGAAACAGAGCGAGACTCCGTCTCAAAAAAAAAAAAAAAAAAAAAAAAAAAAGAATGCTAGTAATTTTTGCACCTTAATTTTTCATCTTGAGACTTTGCTAAAGATGTTTATCAGCTTAAGAAGCTTTGGGGCTGAGACGATGGGGTTTTCTACATGTAGGATCATGTTGTCTGCCATCAGGCATAGTTTAACTCCCTCTCTTTCTATTTGAATGCCTTTTATTTCTTTCTCTTGCCTGATTGCTCTGACCAGGACTTTCAATACTATCTTAAATAGGAGTGGTGAGAGAGGGCATCCTTGTCTTGTGCCGGTTTTAATGGGGAATGCTTTCAGCTTTTGCCCTTTCAGTATGATGTTGTCTGTGGGTTTGTTATATATGGCTTTTATTATTTTGAGGTATGTTTTTTCAATACCTAGTGTATTGAGAGTTTTTAACATGAATGGATGTTGAATTTTATTGAAAGCTTTTTCTGCATTTATTGAGATAATCATGTGGTTTTTGTCTTTAATTCTGTTTATGTGATCAATCACATATTGATTTGTGTATGTTGAACCAACCTTGCATCCCATGGATGAAGCCTACTTGATTGTGGTGGATAAGCTTTTTTACATACTGCTGGATTTTGTTTGCCAGTATTTTGTTGAGAATTTTTGCATCAATGTTCACCAAGAATATTGGCCTGAAGTTTTCTTTTTGTGTGTATGTCTCTGCCAGGTTTTGGTACCATGATGATGCTGGCCTCATAGAAAGAGTTAGGAAGGAGACCCTCTGTTTCAATTCTTTGAAACAGTTTCAGTGGGAATTTTACCAGCTCTTCTTTGTAAATTTCGTAGCATTCAGCTGTTAATCTTTTTGGTCCTGGGGTGTTTTTGGTTGGCCGGCTCTTTATTATTGCCTCAGTTTCAGAGCCTGTTATTTGTCTTTTCAGGGATTCAATTTCTTCCTAGTTTAGTCTCGGGAGGGCATATGTGTCCAGGAATTTATCCATTTCAACTAGATTTTCTATCTTATGTGCATAGAGGTGTTTATAATATTCTCTGATGGTTATTTTTATTTCTGTGGAGTCAGTGATAATATCCCCCTTATTATTTCTGATTGTGTTTATTTGAATTTTTGATCTTTTCTTCCTTATTAGTCTATCTAGTGGTATATCTATATTATTAGATTTTTTAAAACAAACAAACAAACAGCTCCTGAATTTGTTGATCTTTTGAATGGTTTCTCATGTCTCTATCTCCTTTAGTTCAGCTCTGATTTTGGTTCTTTTTTTTTTTTTTTTTTTTGAGATGGAGTCTTGCTCTGTTGCCCAGGCTGGAGTGCAGTGGCACGATCTCAGCTTGCTGCAAGCTCCGCCTCCCGGGTTCACACCATTCGCCTGCCTCAGCCTCCCGAGTAGCTGGGACTACAGGCACCTGCCACTATGCCCAGCTAATTTTTTGTATTTTTAGTAGAGACAGGGTGTCACCATGTTAGCCAAGATGGTCTTGATCTCCTGACCTCGTGATCTGCCCACCTCAGCCTCCCAAAGTGCTGGGATTACAGGCGTGAGCCACCATGCCCAGTGATTTTGGTTATTTCTTGTCTTCTCCTAGCTCCAGGATTTCTTTGCTCTTGTTTCTCTAGTTATTTTAGTTGTGATGTTAGGTTGTCAACCCAAGATCTTTCTAGATTTTTGATATGGGCATTTAGTGCTATAAATTTTCTTCTTAACATTGCCTTAGCTGTGTCCCAGAGATTCTGGTATATTTTGTCTTTGTTCTCATTAGTTTCAAAGAACTTCTTGATATCTGCCTTAATTTCATTATTTACCCAAAAGTCATTCAGGAGCAGGTTATTCAATTTCCATGGAATTGTATGGTTTTTAGTAAGTTTCTTAGTCTTGAGTTCTAATTTGATTGTACTGTGGTCTGAGACATTGTTTATTATGATTTCAGTTCTTTTGCATTTGCTGAGGAGTGTTTTACTATGTGACTATGTGACCAATTTTAGACAAAGTGCCATGTGGTGAAGAGAAGAATATATATTCTGTTGTTTTGGGGTGGAAAGTTCTGTAAATATCTTTCACATCCATTTGATTCAGAGCTAAGTTCAGGTCCTGAATATCTTTGTTAATTTTCTGTCTCAATAATCTGTCTAATATTATCAGTGGGGTGTTAAAGTCTCCCACTATTATTGTGTGGGGGTATAGGTCTCTTTGAAGACCTCTAGAAACTTGTTATAGAAATCTGGTTGGTCCTGTGTTCAGTGCATATATATTTAGTATAGTTAGTTCTTCTTGTTTAATTGAACCCTTTGCCATTATGTAATGCCTCTATTTGTCTTTTTTGATCTTTGTTGGTTTAAAGTCTGTTTTGTTGGAAACTAGGATTGCAACCCCTGCTTTTTTCTGTTTTCCATTTGCTTGGTAAAATTTCGTCCATTTCTTTATTTTGAGGCTATGTATGTTATTGCATGTGAGATGGGTGTCTTGAAGACAGCATACCAGTGGGTCTTGGTTCTTTATCCACTTGCCACTCTGTGTCTTTTAACTGGGGCATTTAGTCCATTTACATTTAAGGTTAGTATTGTAATATGTAGATTCAATCCTGTCATCTTGATGCTAGCTGGTTATTTTGCAGACTTGTTTATGTGGTTGATTTATAGAGTCACTGGTCTGTGTACTTCAGTGTGTTTTTGTGGTGGCTGGTAATAATTTTTTCTTTCCAAATTAGTGCTTCCTTCAGGAGCTATTGAAAGGCAGATCTGGTGGTAATGAATTACCTCAGCATTTGCTTGTCTAAAGGGAATGTTATTTCACCCCAGCTTAGGCTTAGTTTGGCAAGACATACAATTCTGAGTTAAAATTTCTTTTCTTTAAGAATGTTAAATATTGACCCACAACATCTTTTGGCTTGCAGGGTTTTAACTGAGACGTCTGCTATTAGTCTGATGGGCTTCCTTTTGTAGGTGACCTGACCTTTCTCTCTGGCTGACCTTAACATTTTTTCTTTTCATTTCAATTTCAACTTTGGAGAATCTGATTTTTATATGTCTTGGGTATGATCTGTCTATGGAGTATCTCACTGGGGTTCTCTGCATTTTCTGAATTTGAATGTTGGCCTGGAAAGCAAGATTGGGGACATTCTCATGGATGATATTCTGAAATATGTTTTCCAAATTAGTTCCAGTCTCCCCAGCTCTTTCAGGTACACCAATCAGTTATAGATTTGGTCTCTTTACATAATCCCATTTTTCTCAGACCTCTGCTTGGTCTATTCTGCTATTAATACTTGTGATTGCATTATGAAATTATTTTATTGTGTTTTTCAGCTCTACCAGGTTGATTAGGTACTTCTCTATCCTAGCTACTTTGTTTGTCAGCTCCTGCAATGTTTTATTATAATTTTTAGCTTTCTTGCATTGAGTTAGAACATCCTCCTTTAGCTCAGTGAAGTTCATTTATATCCACATTCTGCGGTCTACTTCTGTTATTTCAGCCATGTCAGCCTCAGCCCCATTCTGAACCCTTGCTGAAGAAGTAATATGGTTATTTGGAGAAGGGAGGGCACTCTGGCTTCTTGAGTTTTTAGTATTCTTGTGCTGATTCTTTCTTACCTTTGTGTGCCTATCTACCTTTAATCTTTGAGGTTGCTGACCTATGAATGGGAGTTTTTGTTTGTTTGTTTGTTTGTTTGTTTTTAACTATTTGGCCATTCTTTGTAGAGCTGCTGCAGTTAGTTGGGCATCTGCCCCAGTTCCTAGTTCTTGGATTTTTCAGTATCTGGAGGTATCACCACTGAAGGCTGTGAAACAGCAAATATAGCAGCCCACTCTTTCCCTTGGGAGCTCCATCCCCAGGGGAGGTGCAGACATGTTGCTGGCCCAAACACATCTGGAGGAGGCGACTGGAGATCCCAGTTAGAAGGTCTCGCCCAGCTAGGAGGAACAGAATTGGGGACCCACTTAAAGAAGCAGTTTAGCCCCACTTTAATAGAGCAGCCATGCTGTGCTGGGGTACCATTTTTGCCCCTCATCAGGGTGGGCTCTCCCAAGCCTGGAGGCTGAAACAGCTACATTGCAAAACAGCAAAGATGTTGGCCCAACCCTCTCTCTAGGAACTATGCCCCAAAATGTTTTCAAACCTCTGTTGCCCAGAGAACATCAGTGGGAGTAGCTGGAGGCTCTGGTTGGGAATTATCTCTCAGAGATGAGGAGCATATCATAGTCCCGCTTAAAGAAGCAGTCTAGTCACATTATGGTAGAGCCACTGTGCTATGCTGGGAGATTCCTTCTGTCCCTTGATGATTTGGTCTCTCCTAAGCCCACAGGCTAGAATGGCTGAGTTGTCCAAACACCAAATACGGTGTCCCACTCCTTCCACTAGGCACTGCATCCCAGAGAGAAATCAAATCCCTGTCTGCCAGAGAATATGGGAGGGGCCGGCTGGAGTCCCTGATAGGAGGCCCCACCCTGAGACAAAAAATGTGTCAGGGTTCCACTTAAAGAAGCAGTCTGGCCACATTTTGGTAGAGCCACTGTGCTTTGCTGGAGGTTTCTTTCCATAGGCTGTCAGTTTTGTTTGGACTTTCCTAAACCCACAGGCTGGAATGACTGAGTCATCCAAACAGCAAATATGGCAGCCTGCCCCTGCCTCCAGGAACTCTGACCCATCCCAGGTAGATGCAATGCCATTGCTGGGGAGTGGCTGGAATTCAAAGCCAGTGGGTCTTATCCTGTGAAGCTCTATGAAAGTGGGGTCCACAGACTGATGCTGCTCAGCCCCATGGATTCAGCTTTCTTCCTAGGGGTGTTTACAGAGGTCCAAATTCTTGCATTTTCTGAGTAGCTTTCACCTTTGCCAGAGATCCCGGAGCCAGAGTATCTAAGGCTCCTGAGATTCTGTTTGTGCCTGAGTAGTTGCTCTGCCAAGACCATGCAGCTCTGTGTGTCAGACCAAAAGCCCTGGTGGAATGGGTTCAAGAGAAAATCTCCTGACCCAAGGATGGCAAAGATCCATGGAAGAAGTGTGGTTTTCCAGGATCACACAGTCACTCATCACTTCCCTGGGCAGGGTAGTTTCCCTTGGCTCTGTGTCATTCATGAGTGGTCAGTGGCCCTGTCCTGCTTTCCTCCATTCTCCATGGGTTGAGCTGTTTCCTTCATGAGTCCCAAGGCAAATACTTGGGTGTTTCAGTTGAAGATGCTGCATTTACTCTCTTCTTGTTCCTTTCCATGAGAGCCACACATCGTAGCTGCTTCTAATCAGGTATCTCAGCATCCTTCTCTGCTACAATATTTTGGTAGATGGTTTTTATGCTGTAGGCTGTCTCATGGCCCAAGATGGCTGTAGGAGCACCAGCCTGCACCAACCACCATGTGCATTTCAAAGAGCAAAGGAGGAGAAAAGGTGCAAAGTCAAAGTGACTCACACAGCTGTGTTAGCTTCAACTAAGGAGTCTCCCCAAAGTTCCATCAATACTTCTGCTTACACCCAAATGTCCTGAACGTCCTCTAGTCATTGTCAGCTTCAATAGGGGTCAAGAACTATAGTTTTTGTGTCTGGTAACTTGCTGTTTGAATGAAACAGAATCTCTCTTTTTAAGAATGAAAGAAAAATAAAAACTGTGGCAATGACCAGTGCTCTTTTGCTACACTAAATTCAAAGATAAAGAGAAGAAGATGGAGTTATTCTCAGGTGAAGTGGGCACTTATTTTCCAAACAAAGCCTCTTTTACTGTTTATTTATTTTCAGATTAGATGGGAAAAAGTCTTCATTCTGACAAGCACTCCCTTTATGACCAAAGGTTAGTCAAGCTTAACTGAACCTTCTTTTTGACTAAGCCAACCTTGACTTACTACCCTACTCCTGGTTTGAGAAGCTCATTTTCAGAAATCCTGCTAAGATTGCTTAGTAAGAATCCACATATTCTTTACAGCTTCTGAAAACTTAATTCCCCTTCCTTGATATTTAAGTCGTTAGCCTGCCTGTAGCCATAATCCTGTTGGAAAACAATCTCTCTTCTTTTGGTATTTTATCAAATTTCTCTCAGTAATTTTTTATCCACTGATCTATTCTTTCTATTGACTATAAATCCTGAGTTGTCTGTGTTCAGAGTTGTGATCAATTTTTGAATCCTATTAAAATGGCCATAACATCTACTGCAATAGTATTAAAGTCTTTCTTTCCAATTTTTAACAAATGTCAGAATTAATTTATTTGACAGTTGCCCAATAGGATGTTTGAGTATAAAACCAGTTTTCAGTTCCAAGAAAAATGATGTGGATAATATGTAGTTGTATCTGCAAGTGTATCTGAAAAATTATCTTCTTTTTCAAGTGGGGTGTGGGTGAAAGATTATGGAGCCAACATGTTCCTAAAATGCTGAGTCATAATTCAAACCATACAAATCAAAGAGGTAGAATGCTTGGACCCCAACATTTTTAACCTTGAGGATACTTTGATGCCCATGCTCAAAAGTATTGTGAAACTGGCGGGGTGCGGAGGCTCATGCCTGTAATCCCAGCACTTTGGGAGGCCAAGGTGGGTGGATTACCTGAGGTTGAGAGTTCGAGACCAGCCTGACCAACAATGGAGAAACTCTGTCTCTACTAAAAATACAAAGTTAGCCAGGCTTGGTGATACATGCCTGTAATCCTAGCTACTTGGGAGGCTAAGGCAAGAGAATCAGTTGAACTTGGTGGATGGAGGTTGTGGTGAGCTGAGATTGTGCCATTGCAGTCCAGCCTGGGCAACAGAGTGAGACTCTGTCTCAAAAAAAAAAAAGTATTTTTTTGTTGCTCCTATGTGTGAGCAAGAAATTTACTAAAATCACAACTGTCATTCAATGCCAAGTCAAAAATGTTTCTTTTCATTCCGATTAATATAGAAACAGAGATAAACTAGCTTTAAAGGCACTAACCAAAATTGAAAATGCTGACTAATTCCATTTAAAGCTTACATCTTTTCAGGAACTGTTTATTTTTGAACATGTGACATTGGAACACAATTTTGTAATTGGTTTGGTTGACTGAAGAAGTGACTTCTTGAATTGGGGTAGAAAAGCCAAGGTCTGTAAATTGAAGATAGACTGCAATATTGAAAGCAAATTTCAGATTCCTTTGCACACTTTAACTTGAAGGTTAACAGATATAATATATGTAGATAAACACATACAAACACATACAATATATAAATATATCTATGTAATGTCCATTTATGAGTATGTCTTATAAAAAAAAAGGTAAGTCAGAGATCATTTCCCTACTTATTCTTCTCAGGGGAGGTGAATACAAGCAACCCACTTACTCAGCCCTGATTATTTCAATCAGCCAATTAGCTCAGCCCAGTGTATTCCAATTAGCCAATTAATTTGGTCTAGGTAATTCTGATCAGCCAATTAGCTCAGATCAGGTAAATCCAATCAGTCAGTTACCTCATTCTAGGTGATTTCAATCAGCCAATTAGGTCAGCACTTTTGATTTCAATCAGTCAATTAACTCAAATCAGGTCATTACAGTCAATTAACCAATCCCAGGAGATTAAAATCAGCCAATTAGTTTAGCCCAGGTGACTCCAGTCAGCCGATATTTGAGCCCAGATGATTTTAACTGGCCAATAAGCTCAGCCCAGCTGATTTCAATGTCAGTTAGCTCAGCCCAGGTGGATTCAATCAGCCAGTTCTCTAAATTTCAACTGTAGATTAATCAAGACTGGCCCCCAGTGGTGCATGAGAATAGCTCATGCATACACTGAGAAGGAAAGCAAGGTCCAGAAATGTTAACCTGCACAGAAAGTGTTACATGACTTTACTATCAGCTTATTTCCCAAACCTTGCCCCTGAAAGTGAAGCTTTGTCTATACAAAAAACATTCTATACCTATGTTCCATTCTGACATGCTACTGAGCCAGAGAAGAGAAATAATTCTACATCTGCACCCTTAGAATATGCTAAGATACTGAAAAATGTCTTTGGAGGAACAATTTTTGTGTACATATTTACATAGAAATACTCATATAATCTTGTATATGTATCAATCTTTGTATATACATTCATACAGAACAAAGATGTAGAAGGTGGAAGAATTAATAGGTACTGGTACCAATAGTAATGCAAATAGAAACTAGGATCTCACACATGGATCAAGTCAATTGTTGAGACTACGACTCATCTATTTGGATCCAACACACAGGTGTTGACTCTCATACCTAGAACCCGGACCTGTGTGAGATTGTTAATCTCATTATTGGACCTTCCTGCAGGTGTGATTGTGATATATGCACCTTCACAGAACCTTCATGATTTGACACATCTGCCTGGGCCCAGCCCAGATGGAATTGTGACATATCACTGGACTCAGCCCCTAGGTGATATTACCCTATTCTTCTGCTTTAGCGCTGCTCACAGGGGAATTGTAACGTATCACCGGGCCTTATATCCAGGTGATGTGAATCTTCTGCTTTGTCGCTGCCCACAGGGGGCATTTCAACATATAACTGAGCCCTACACCCAAATATGTGACTCCCTTGTCTGTGTCTGGCCCATATCAGCCATTGTGACATGTTGCTTGGTCTAACACCCGAGTTATATAACTCTTGTGCCCTGGCCCTGCCTACAGAGAGCATTGTGAGATATCTCTGTGTCCACCAGAGAGGTGATGTGACTCTCTTCTCTTCGCTGTTCCCTTCTCAAATGGGTGACTATGACATATCACGGGCCAAGTGCCTAGCTTATGTGACTTTTCCTTTCTTTATTTTTTTTTCTTTTGAGATGGAGTCTTGCTGTGTCACCCACACTGGAGTGCAGTGGCGTGATCTTTGCTTACTGCAGCCTCTGCCTCAAAGGTTCAGGTGACTCTCCTGCCTCAGCCTCCTGAGTAGCTAGAATTACAGGTGCCTGCCACCACACCCAGCCAATTTTTGTATTTTTAGTAGAGACAGCGTTTTGCCATGTTGGCCAGGCTGGTCTTGAACTCCTGACCTCAGGTGATCTGCCCACCTTGACCTCCCAAAGTGTTGGGATTACAGGCCACCGTGTCCGGCCAACTTTTTCCTTCTTTACACGTTCTGCCCACAAAGAAAAGTGTAACATATTGCTGCACTCAACACAAAGATTATGTTACTCTTTTTTGGTTCTGCTCTCAAAACGTATTGTGATGTATTCCTTGTCCTACCTCTATTGTGATGTGAGTCCCCTGCCTGGTCCCTGTCCACAAGGGGCAATGTGATATATCTCTGGGCCCATCAACCACTTGATGTGACTCTGCTCTCTTACCCGAGCATTGCCCAAAAAAGAGATTGGGGCCTATCTGCGAATCCAGAGCTTAGGTGATATGACCCTTCTCTCCTGCCTGGGCCATACCTAAAACAGAGAGAGTGACGTATTGCTTAGTCCAGCATACATGTTGTGTGACACTTCTTCCTGACCTCTGCCCAAACAAGTAACAGTGACTAACTCAGGTTTTGTTACCTAAATGATGTGATTCTCTTTTTCTGGGGACCTGTCCACAGTGAAGGTTGTGACAAATTGCTTGGTCCAGCACCTATGTGATGTGACTCTACTCTCATGCCTGGGACCTGTCCACTGGGTGATTGTAACATACAGCTGAGCTCAGCTTCTAGATTATGTGACTCTCTCCTTTTTCCTGAGTTCTACCCACAGGGGGTACTGTGAGATATCTCTGGGCCCCTCACCTAAGTGATGTGGCTCTCTTGCCTGTACCCTCCCCTCAGCAGGTATGGTGACACATTGCTGGACCCAGCACCAAGGTGATGTAACTCTCCTCTACTACTTCGGCTGTGCCCAAAAAAGGATTGTATAGCTGGGCTCAACAAATGAGTGAAGTTACTATTGTCTCATGCCTCAGCTCTGTATACACTGTATATTGTGACATATTTCTGGGTCCAACACCTAGGTGATGTGACTCTCCCGCATGGGTCCTGCCCACAAAACTATTATAATATGTATTTTCATTCATCACCTAGGTGATGTAACTTTTCTTTCTGCCTGGGTCTTGCCAAAATAGAAAATTGTGATATATCATTGGATCCAGAACCCAGGTGATGTGCCTCTCGTTTTTTTTGCCTGGGCCCTGCATAATTTGGGTATTGTGACATATCATTGGGCTCAACCCCTAGCAGGTGGAAGGCTTCAGTCTGGACCCTGCCCACAGAAGACCTTGTGACATGTCTCTGCATCCATCACATGACTCTCGTCTTCTGCCTGCATCATACCCACAGGAAAGATTATAACATATCACTAGGTTAAGAAACCAACTAATGTGTTTTGACTGCCTGAGTCTTTCATACAGGGGGCATTTTGACATATCTCTGGCAACACCTACTATCTGATATTACTCCTCTTTTTTACCTGGGTTTTGCCCATGTAAAAGATTGTGACATATCTCTTGACCCAGCGCTTAGGTAATGTGACTCTGCTCTTCTGCCTGGGCCATGTCCACAGAAATGAGAGTGACTTATCACTAGGGCCAGCACACAAGTGATGTGATTCTTCTGCCTGGTCTCTGCCTAAAGAGGTCATTGTGACATGTCTCTGGGCCTATCATCATGGGGATTATGACATATCACTTTGCCCAGCATCTATGTGCTTTGACAGCCTTCTCTTTAATGGACCTGCCCACTAGGGTGATTTGTGTCATGGAGCAGAGCCCACCTTCTAGGTTATGGGACTTTATTCTTTTTTGTGAATACCCAAAAATGGAATATCTCTGACATTCTCACCAAGGTGACTCTCTTTTCCTGGGCCCTCTTCTTAGGGGCATTTGTGACATATTGCTATACCCAGAACCTAGGTAATGTGACTCTTTTTTACTGCTTGGGCTTTGCCCAAGAAGTGCTTGAGATGTATTGCTGGGCCTAGCACCTAAGTAATGGTGACTCTCCTCTCCTTCCAAAATACTGCAGACATTGTGATATATTGCTGAGTCCAACACCTAGAAGGTGCAACTTTTCTGCAGAAGCACTGCCCAAAGGAGAATAATGACATATCTTTTCATTCATCATCTAGATGATGTGACTCTTCTCTTCTGTCTGGGCCCTGCCAAAAAAAAAAAAAAAAAGGTTATTGTAACATATCAATGGATTGAGCACCTAGGTAATGTAACTCTTCTCATTTCCCTGGGCCCTGCATATGTTGAATATCATGACCTAATGCTGGTCCCAACTTATACTGTATGAGAGACTCCTGCCTGGGCGATGACCACCAGAGGCCTTGTGACATATCTTTGCACCCATCACCTAATAGATGTGACTCTCTTCCTCTGCGTTCATGCTGCTTATAGAAAAGATTGCTACATATGGTGGAACCCACGAACCAGGTGATGTGTCTTTCATGCCTGGGTATTACCCAAAGGTAACAGTGTGACATATCATTGAGCCCTGAATCAGGGTGATGTGCTGCTGTTGTCTGTGCCCTGCTTTTAGTGTGGAATTGTAACATATCCCTGGCTGAGAACCCAGGTGATGTGTCTCTTTTTTCTGGTCCCTTCTTTCAGAAAAGTTTGTCACATATCTCTGGCCCAGAACTTAGGTGATGTGACTCTTCTGTTTGCTCCCTACACACAGGTAGGATTTTGACATATATATTGGCTCAGTGCACAGGTGCAATAATGACTCTAATATTTTGAACTGGCTAAGAGGACAAATACTGTCTGTCATAGCTAGGTGTAGAAAAATGGGTAAGATCCTGGGTTTCCTTTCTGTATGGAGGTTATAAAAGGTTACCACTCTCTCGCATATTGTATAAAGCCCTTGGGTGGTAGAGAGAGTGTCATCACAAGGCCCAGCGTGCAGATGAGATTGTGTTTCTTGTGTGCTCATCCTGACAACCATTAGGATTGTCACCCTCACACATGGATGAAGCCCACTGGTGAGGTACTTAATCTCACACATGGATGCAGTCCACAGTTAAAATTGTGACATTCATTTGTGAATTTCTGTCCAGAGTTGTGATGGTGACTCATTTCTAAACCCAGCTCTGGCAGGTGAGGACTCTCCTATCTGGACCCAGCCAATCAGAAAGATGTCGACTGTCATACCTGGGCTTAAAGCTACAGACACTATCATGAGTCCATAACAGCACAAAGGATTTAGAGGAAGTTGTGACTCCCATGCATACCATATAAAGCCCTTGGGTGATAACAGAACATGTCTTAACATGGCCCTGAACAAAGGTAAGATTGTGACACTCTTACACACACACAGCAAAGAGTAAAGATGATCATCCTTTCACAGCCCACTGTTGAGCTTCTGAATCTCATACCTGGAGACAGTCAAAAGTTGGAAAATTGACTCTCATGAGTGGATCTGGTCCACAGGTTGACTGCTGTCTCTCAGATCAAAATCTAGCACACCTGTGAGACTGTGATTCTAATAAGGGAACACAGTACACAGAAAAAATTGAGGCTCTCATGAGTGGATTCAGTCCATTGTAGAGATTGTGGCTCATGTATATAGAAGCAACATACAGGAAGCATTGACTCTCATACCTAGAATTTGGACCTTTGTGGAATTTTTAATCTCATCCTTGGACCTTCTTGCACGTGTGACATGTGCCTCTTCCCAGCACCCAAGTGATTTGACTCTCCTTATGTGGGCCCAGCCCACAGAAGGGATTATGACATATCACTGAACCCAGTAGCTAGGTGATGTGACTCTACTCTTTCCTTGACAATGTCCACAGGGGCATTGTGACATACTGGTAGGCCTTGCCCCCCAGGTGATGTGAGTCTCATGTTCTGCCTTGGTGATGTCTACAGGAAGCATTGTGACATATCGCTGGACTCAACACCAAGGTGATGTCACTTTTTTGCCTTAGCTCTGCCTTCAAAAGGCACTATTACAAATTACTTGGACTATTACCAAGGTGAGTTGAGTTTCTTGCTTGGACCGTCCCCACAGTAGGCATTGTGACATATCACCTGGAAAATGTGACTCTTCACCTCTGCCTACACCCTGACCACAGAAAGAATTTTGACATATCACTGGATCCAGAAACCAGATGATGTGTTTCTTTTGCCAGGACCTGGGTCATAGAAAATATTGTGACTTATCTGTGGGTCTCTTACCTAGGTGATGTGACTCACTCTCTTGCCTGGGGCCTTCACTCAGAGGGTATTGTGACATATTGCTGGACCAAGCATTTAGGTGATGTGACTTTCTCAACATCTTGGACTCTGACCAATAAGGAATTTGTATGTGTTGATGTGCGCTGCATCCAGGTGATGTGACTCTCCTCTCCTGCCTGGGCCCTGCACATATTGTGTGTTGTGACATGTTGCATGTTATCACACCTAGGTGATGCTACTTTCTCGCATAAGTCCTGCTCACAGAGGCATTACGATATATTTTTTATGTCTATTTCCTACGTGATGTGTCTCTCCTCTTCTGCCGGTCTTGCCAAAAGTGGGGATTGTGACATATTACTGGACACAGATTCTAGGTAACATGACACTCCTCTTTTGTCTGGGCCCTGGATATTTAGGGTATTGTGACGTATTTTTGCACTAAACATCTAGAAAATAAAAGGCTCCTGCCTGGGCCTTGCCCACAGGAGGCCTGTGACATATCTCTACATCTATCATTTAGGAAATGTGACTCTCCTCTTTGGCCTGCACCCTGTGCACAGGGGAGATGGTGACACATCACTGAGCCTGCTCAGCAGGTGATATAACTCTCTTTTCCTGCCTGGCCCCCACGTATATTGTGTATTGTGAAATGTGGCTGGGTCCAACACCTAGGTGACGTGACTCTCCTGCATGGGTCCTGCCCACAAGGTTATTATGGTGTGTCTTTTGTTCATCACTAGGTATTTCAAATTTTGTCTTCTGCCTAGGCCATGCCAAAAAAAAAAAAAAAAAGTACTGTGACACATCACTGGAGCCAGCAGTAGGTAATGTGCCTTTGCTGATTGGGTCTAGCCACAGAAGACTTTGTGACATATCGTTAGGCCCAGCAACCAGGTGAAGACACTCTGCTGCCTTAGTCCTGCTTTCAGGAGGGGATTATACCATATCCCTGGCTGAAAACACAGGTACTGTGACTCTCTTGCTGGTCCCTACTCTCAGGAAAAATTATGACATAACCCTAGCCCAGCAACAACGTGATATGACTCTCCTGCCTGGTCACTGCCCTCAGAGACGGTTGCAAATATCTCTGGCACAGCACCCAGATGGTGTGATTCTCCTGCTCACTCCCTCCTTACCCAATTGTGGGACTGTCATATATATCTTAGTTCAGTTTACAGGTGTCACAATGACTCTCATAACTTGAGCCAGCCAATATGAAAGATACTATCTCTCTTAGCTGGGCTTAGGAAAATGGGTCAAATCTAGGTCTCATTTTTGTATGAAGGTCATAGAGAATTAACCACTGTCTCGCATTTCATAGAAAGTCCTTGGGTGATACAGAGAGTGTCAACACAGAGTCCAAGACACAGGTGAGGTTTTGTTTCTCATCATTTTCTCACTTGAACAAAGCCCATTATTGAGGTCCTGAATCTTATAGGTGGACACAGTCTAGAGTTGAGATTGTGACTATCATACATAAACATGTAAGCACAGTTGGGATGATGACTCATTTTAAGGTCAGCTCATAGGAAGGTGAACATTCTTCATTCTGGACTCAGCTAATTGGAGAGATGTTGACTCTCATACTTGGGCTTAAGGCCACAGGTACAATCATGATTCATACCAGCACAAATGTCTCAGAGCAGATTGAGAATCTCATGCATCAGGTATAAAGCCCTAGGGTGATACATAGGTGAGATTGTGAGACTCACCAAGTCGACAGAAAAGATTGTCATCTTCCCACATGAACACAGCCCATTGTTAAGGCTCTGGATTTCACAACCAAAAGCAGTCAAATGTTGGAAAATTGACTCTTATATGTGAATCTGGTCCACAGGTAGGCAGGTGATTCTAAGACCAATATTCAGCACACCTGTGAAGCTGTAACTTCACCCAGATAAAACAGCACACAGGAAAGATTGTGCCTCTCATGCACAGATCCAGTTTATTGTTGAGATGAACTCATGTACTTAGACCCAACATATATGAGGTGTTAACTCACATACTTAGAAACAGGACATGGCTGGATTGTAAATATCATTCTATGACTTTCCTACAGGTGTAAATGTGATATATGCCTCTGGCCAGCACCTGAGTGATTTGACCTACAGTCTGGGACCAGCCCACATACAGGATTGTGACTTATTTTTGGACCCAGCACCTAGGTGATGTGACTCTATTATCCTGCCTTGGTGCTGCCCACAGGGCACATTGTTGGAACTCACTTCTCCTGCCTGGTTCCTGCTCACAGGGGGGATTGTGACCTGTGACTAACCCAGCACCTAGCTGATGTGACTCCTCTTCTTTTTATGTTCTTCCCTCAGGGGAGACTGTGATGTATCAGTGGGCCCGGAAGCCAGGTGATGTGTCTCTCCTTCATGTTCCTTGCTAACAGAGAACATTGTAATTTACTGCTGGGCTTGGCATCCAGGTGAGGTGACTTTGCTGCCCGTGTCCTGCTTTCAGGAGGGGATTGTAACATTTATCTCTGGCCCAGGTGAGATTGTGACACTCTTATGCACACAAAACTCATAGTAAAGATTTTCATTCTTGCCCATGAATTCAGTTTACTGCTTAGGTTCTGAATCTCACATTAGGAGGAAGTTAAAAGTTGGATAATTGACTCTCATACATGGATGTAATTCACAGGTGGGTTGGTGAATCTCAGACTATGATTCCATGAATAAGACACAGTCCACAGAAGGGATTGAAGTTCTCATGCACAAATTCAGTCCACTGTTAATATTGTGAATTTTGTACTTAGACCCAACATACAAGAGGTGTTTGCTCTCATAGCCAGAACAGGGACACGTGTAGGATCTTTAATCTTATCCTTGAACCTACCTGCAGCTCTGATTATCACATACACTTCTGCCAAGTACCTGAGTGAGAATGTCACAATACAGGCAAATACCCTAGGTGTAGGTCCATGAATGTCACATGGAATTGTGACATATATTCCTGCCCCTAGCACCTAGGGTGTATGTTTTTTATTCTTTTGTCTTGGCATTGCCCACATTGCATCTTGTGACATATTCCTAGGTCTAAAACCCAGGTGATGTGAGTCTCCTGCCTAGATTCTGCGAACAGGGGGAATTGTGACATATTTCTGGACCCATTATCTATTTGATGTTATTCTCCTCTCTTACTTGGTATTTGCCAACAGGTGACATTGTGACACATCTCTGGGCCCACCTAGGTAATGTGACTCTTCTTTTCTTCCTGGGCTCTGATCACAGAAGGGAGGGTAACTTGTCCCTGGATGCAGCCCACAGGAGATGTGATTGTTCTTGCTGGTTCCTGTCCATAAAGACAAGAGATACACACATTGTGATGTATCTCTGCGACCATAAACTAGATTATGTGACTCTCCTTTATTTCCAGAGACCTGTCCACAGTGCGAGTTGTGACATATCACTTGGCACAGCATCTGTGTTATGTGACTCTCCTCTCATGCCTGGGCCCTGCTCACTGAGGTTGTAACTGCAGCTGGCCCCAGCCCCTAGGTTATTTTTCTCTTTTCTTCATCCTGAGGCTTACCCACAGAAGGCATGTTTACATATTTTTGGAACCCTCCCCAGATGACGTAACTCTTCTTCCTGGGCTCTTTTTTCAGGGTGTATTGTGCCATATTTTTGGGTCCAGCAGCAAGGATTACCTCTACTGCTTGGGCTTTGCCCTAAAAGAGATTGCAATTTATTGCTGGGCACAGCACCTAGGTGATGTGACTGTCCTCTCCTTTCTGGGCTCTGCATATATTCTGTATTGCAAAATATGCAGCACCTATGTGGTGTGACTCTTCTCTCATGTTTGAACTCTTTTCACTGGAGTGATTGTGACATATACGTCAGCCCACCTATTAGGTTATGCAACTTCCCTCTTCATTCTGATCTTTACCCACACAGAAAATTGTGACATATTTCTAGGCCTCTCACCTAGATGATGTTATCGTTTTACATGGGCCCTCCTCTCAGGGGTCAGGTATTGCTGGACCTAAAGCAGGTGGTGTAACTCTCTTTGACTGCTTAGCCTTTGTTCAAGGAAAAATTGTAATGTTTCAATGGATTCAAGACCTAAATGGTGTGACTATCATCTCTTGCCTGAGGTATTGTGACATATGGCTGGGTCCAACACCTAGGTGATGTGACTCTCTTGCATGGGCCCTGCCAACAGAAGGCATTATGACATATCTCTGGGCACACCAATTATTTGATGTGACTCTGCTGTTTTACCTGGACTCTGCCCATAGAAGAGATAGTGACGTATCTCTGGGCCAAGCAGCTAGGTGTTGTGACTCTTCTCTTTTGCTTGTGTCAGGCCCACAGAAGGGATAATGAATTACCACTAGGCCCAGCACACAAGCAATGTCATTCCTCTGCCTGGTTATTGTCCACAAGGGCCACTGCAACATATCTTTGGGCCCATGACCTGACCTAGGTGATGTGATTCTCGTTTTCTTTCTTGGACCTGTCCACAGTGGAAATTGTGACATATTGCCTGGTGCAGCACCTACATAATATTACTCTCCACTTTTGTCTGAGCCCTGCCCATGGGTGTGATTGTGGCAGATAAGTGAGCACTGACTCTATGTTATATGAGGCCTCTCTTTTTTTCTAGCCCTACCTACCAGAGACATTGCTACATATTTCTTGTCCCCTCACCAAGGTCATGTGACACTTCTGTCTAGGCCTTTCTCTCAGGAAGTATTGTAGGAAATTTTTGTACCCAGAACCTAAGTAATGTGACTCTTCTCTACTTCTTGGGCTCTGCTCAAGGAGGCATTGTGTGTATCCCTGGATGCAGCACCTAGGGGATGTTACTCTCCTCTCCTGCCTTTGCCCAACATACATTGTGTATTGTAATAAATGGCTGGACTCAACAAGTAGGTGATGCGACTCTTCTGCATGAGCCCTGAAGACAGGGGTATTATATGATACAATTTATTCATCACCTAGGAGATGTGACACATTTTTGTTGCCTGGGACCTGCCAAATAAGAAGATTGTGACATATCACTTGACCCAGCATCTAGGTGAGGTGATTTTTTTTTTTTTTTTGCCTGGTCCCCACATGTTTTGGGTTTTGTGACATATTGCTGGGCCCAATACCTAGAAAATGGAAGGCTCCGCCTGGGGCCTGTCCACAGTGGATCTGGTGACATATCTCTGCATTAATCACCTAAGAGATGTGGCTGTCTTCTTCTCCCTGAACCCTGCTTACAGGGAAGATTGTGACATATTGCTGGCATCAGCAAACAGACGATGTGTCTCTCGTAATTGGGCCTTGCCCACAGAAAGCATTTTGACATATTGCTGGGCTTATTACTGAGGTGAGGTGACTCTGCAGCCTGCACCCTGCAGGGGTTGTAACGTATTCCTGGCTGAGTACCCAGGTGATGTGACTCTTCTGCCTGGTCCCTTGTGTCAGGGAAGATTGTGACATATTCCTGGCCCAGAATACAGGTGATGTGACTCTCCTGTTTGCTCCCTACCCACAGGTAAGACTGTGACATATATCTTGGTCCAACTAACAGTTGCAATAACGACTCTCATGCCACACATCAGCCAATAGAAAGGATACTGTCAGTTTTAGCTGGGATTAGAGAAAAGGGTAAGATCCCATGTCTCCTCTTTGTATGAAGGTTATAGAAAATTACCACTTTCTCATACATGGTGTAAATCCCTAGTGTGGAACAGAATGCCATCACAGAGCCCAGCATCCAAATGAGATTGGGTTTCTCATATTCTTACACTACCATCCATTGGGATTTTCACCCTTACACGTGGACAGAGCCCACAGGTGAGGTCCTGAATCTCACAGGTCGACACAGACCACAGCTGGAATTGTTTCCGTCAACACAGACCACAGCTGGAATTGTTTCCGTCATATGCTACAGTTGGGATGGTGACTCATTTCTTTTCTTTTCTTTTTTTTTTTTGAGGCGGAGTCTCGCTCTGTCGCCCAGGCTGGAGTGCAGTGGCGCGATCTTGGCTCACTGCAAGCTCCGCCTCCCGGGTTCATGCCATTCTCCTGCCTCAGCCTCCCATGTAGCTGGGACTACAGGCACCCGCCACCATGCCTGGCTAACTATTTTTTGTATTTTTAGTAGAGACGGGGTTTCACCGTCTTAGCTAGGATGGTCTCGATCTCCTGACCTCATGATCTGCCCGCCTCGGCCTCCCAAAGTGCTGAGATTACAGGTGTGAGCCACCGCGCCCGGCCAGGTGACTCATTTCTAAACCTAGTTCATAGGTAGGTGAGGATGCTCCTATTTGGACCTAGCCAATTGGAGAGAAGTTGACCCAGACAAGAGCTTAGGGTAAAAATTATAAACATGGGTCCACACCAGCAGGGAGATCTCAGAGCATATTGAGACTCTCATGCATAAAGCCCTCTGGTGCTACAATGAGTTTCCTGACAAGGCACAGCACAGGTGAGATTTTGACTCTTGTATGCACATCCAGTTGACAATAAAGATTGTCATACTGCCACGTGAACACGGCCAACTTTTGAGGTTCTGAACGTCACATTTGGAGGCAGTCGAAACTTGAAAAAGTGACTCTTATATGTGGATCCAGTCCACAGGTAGGCTGGTGACTCTCCGTCCAAGATTCAGCACACCTGTGAGGCTGTGACTCTACTAAGGAGGCATAGTGCACAGAAGAAAGCGAGGTTCCCACGCACAGACCTAGTCCACCATTAAGATTGTGACTCATGTATTTAGACCCAACATAGAGGAGATGTTGACTCCCATACTTAGAATTGGGTCATGTGCAAGAATTTTAATTTTATCCCTATATCTTTCTGCATGTGAGATTGTGTGACATACACCTCTGTCCAGCAACTAAGTGATTTGACCCTTCTGCCTGAGCCCATCCCACAGATGGAATTTTGACATCTTGCTAAACCCAGTACCTTCATGATGGGACTCTAGTCCACTGCCTTGGCACCGCCCACAGACAGCACTGTGACATATCACTGTCACTAGGCCTTATATTCAGTTAATATGAGTCTACCCTTCTGTTTTGTCACTGTGCACAGAAGGCATTGTGACACCCAAGTTATGTGATTCTCCTGTCTGTACCCTGCCCACATGGCCCATTGTGATATATTACTGGGTCCAAAACTCAGATGATATAACTCTCCTGCCTGGTCCCTGCCTACAGGAGGCATTGTGACATCTCTGCATCCATTACCTAGGTGATGTGACTCACTTCTGCCTGATCTCTGCTCACAGGGGATATTGTGACTCATCACTGGGCCCAGCATTGAGTTGATGTGACTCTTCTATTCTTTTTAGGTTCTGCCTGCAGGAAAGGTTGTGATGTGTCTCTGGACCCAACGGTAAGGTGATGTTACACTTTTGCCTTGGTTCTGACCTCAGAAAGCTTTCTGACATATTGCTGGGCTCAGCACCAAGATGATGTGAGTCTCTTGCCTGGACCCTGCCCACAGGGGGCATTGTGACATATCTCTAAGTTCATGAACTATTTGATGTGACTCTTCTTGCTTACTTGGTCTTTGCCATTAGAAGAGATTATCACGTCTCTGATTCCAGTACCTAGGTGTTGTGACTCTCCTTGTTTGCCTGCGCTATGCCCACAGAAGGTAGAGTGAATTATCCCTAAGCCCAACACACAGGTGATGTGATTCTACTGCCTGGTCATTGCCCACAGGGGTCACTGCAATGTATCTCTGGGCCCATTACCTAGATGGTGTAATTCTCCTTATTTTTCTGCTTCTGTCCCCAGTAGGGATGGTGACATATTCCTTCACCCAACATTTATGTGATGTGATTCTCCTCTCATGTCTGGACTCTGATCACTGTTGTAATTTTGACATAGGGCTGGGCTCATCTGTCTAGGTTATGTGACAGGTTATGTGACTCTCTTCTTTCTTCCTAAGCCCTACCTACAGGGAGCATGGGTACATAGCTCTGGGCCCCTCACCTAAATGATGCAATCCTCATTCTTGGGCCCTTCACTCAGTGAGTACTGTGACATATTGATGGACTCAGCACCTAGGTGAGGTAACTCTCTTCTACTTCTTGGGCTCTGACCAAGGAGGTATTGTGACGTATCGCTGAGCCCAGCACATAGGTAATGTTACTCTTTTCTCCTGCCTGAGCTCAGCATAAATTGTGTATTGTGACATATGGCCTATCTTAACAACTATGTGGTGCAACTCTTCTGCATGAGCCCTGCCCATAGGGGTATTATGCCATACCTTTTTGTTTATCACCTGGGTGATGTGACACATTTATTTTTCTGCCTGGGCTCTGCTAAAGAGGGTTATTATAACATATCTTTTGGCCCAGCACCTATGTGATGTGACTGTCCTTTCTCCCAGGCCCCAAATATTTGGTGTATTGTGAAATAACACTGGGTCCAACACCTAGAAAATAAGAGGCTCCTGCCTGGGCCCTGCCCAGTGGGCCTTGTGACATATATCTGCATACACTACCTAGGACATGTGACTCTTCTTTTCTGCCTGCACCCTCCTAACAGAAAAGATTATGACACATCACTGGACCCCGCGACAAGGTGGTGAGGCTCTTTTGACTGAGTCTTGAATACGTAGATCATTGTGACATATTGCTGAGCCCTCACAGAAGATTGTGACATATATCTGGCCCCAAACCAAGGTAATGTTACTCTCCTGCTTACTCCCAATCCATGAGTGATTGTGACATATATCTTGGCCCAGCTCACAGGTGATGATGACTCTCATACCTTGAACTAGCCAATGAGAGAGATACTGTCTCTTATAGCAAGGCTCAGGGAAAAAGGTAAGATCCTGGGTGTCCTCTTTGTACAAAGGTCACAGAGGTTTACCACTCTCTTGCATGTTGTATAAAGCCCACAAGTGGTACAGAGAGTGTCATCACAGGTCCAAGGACACAAGAAATACTGTATTTCTGGTATGCACACCCTGCCAATCCTTAAAATAGTCATCCTCACACATGGACACAACCCACTGGTGAGATCCTGAATCTCACACGTAGACACAGTCTACAGATGGAATTGTGTCAGTCATATGTGAACATCTGGACACTTATGGGATAGTGACCCATTTCTAAACCCAGCTCATAGGCACATGAGTACTCTTCTATTTAGACACAGCCAATTGGGGAGGTGTTGACTCTCATACCTGAGCTTAGACTGACACGTACAATCATGGGCTCATATCAGCATGAAGGTCTTAATGCAGATTGCAATTCTCATGCATATCATATTGTATTAGTTCATTTTCACACTGCTATAAAGAACTGCCCAAGACCAGGTAATTTAGGTAGAAAAGGGATTTAATTGACTCACAGTTCCACATAGCTGGGGAGACCTCAGGAAATTTATAATCATGGCAGAAGGAGAATCAGGAACCTTCTTCACAAGGTGGCAGGAGGGAGAAAGTGAATAAAGAAGGAACTTCCAACACTTATAAAACCATCAGATCTCTGAGAACTCACTCACTATCACAAAAACAGTATGGGGGAAACTGTCCCATGATCCAATGACCTGCCTGCTTTGACACATGGAGATTACAATTGTAGATGAGATTTGGGTGAGGACATAGAGCCAAACCATGTATCTCATAAATTCTTTGGGTGGTACAGAGAGTGTACTAACAGAGCCCAGCTCAAAGGTGAGATTGTAATACTAGTAAGCAGACACAGTCAAGAGTAAAGATTGTTGTCCTCTCACATGAGCATGGCCCACTGTTGAGGATTTGAATCTTATATCTAGAGGCAGTCAAAAGTTGCAATGTTGACTCTCATACATGGATTTTTGTTATGCATGGATTTGTTGACCTTCAAACCATAATTTAGCACACGTGTCAGGCTGCGACTTATCTAAGGGGACACAATGCCCAGAAAACATTGAGAAGCTGCTGCACAGATCCAGTTCACAGTTGAGATTGTGACTCATGTACTTCACACAACATACAAGACATGTTGACTCTCATACCTAGAACCAGAACATGTGAGGGATTGATAATCTCATCTGTGGATTTTTTGAAGGTGTGATTGTGACATACGCCTCAGCCAAACACCTGATTTGACTCTCCTGCCTGGGCTTCGTTCACAAGTAGAATGGTGATATACTGCTGGACCCAGAACCTAGGCGAGATGACTCTATTCTCAAGCCTTGGTGCCTCTTACAGGAGGCATTGTGGCATATCGCTGGGACTTGCACTCAGGTGACGTAAGTTTTCTCTCCTACCTTGGTGCTGCACAGAAGGGACATTGTGACACATCACTCATTCTAACACTTAGGCGATGTGACTCTTCTGCCTGGGCCCAGCCTAAAAAGGGGATTGTGATATCTCCCTGCACTCCTCACCCAGGTAATGTACTCTCATCTCTTGCTTGGAGGGATGGTGACATATCCCTGGGCTCAGCACCTAGCTCATGTGACACTTCTCTTCTTCCTAGGTTCTGCCCACAGGGGAGATTGTTACATATATCCTGGGCCCAGCTCCAAGATGTTACTCATTTGCCTTGGCCCTGTCTTCAGAAGGTATTGTGACCTATTGCTGGGCCCAGGACCAAGGTGATGTGACTTTCTTGCCTTGACTCTGTCAAAAAGGGGGCATCTGTGGGTCCATAAATATTTGATGTATCTTTCTTTTCTTACCAGGGTCTTGCTTATAGAAGAGATTGTTACATATCTCTGTTCCCAGCATCTAAGTGATGTAACTCTCCTCACCCGCCTGGGCCACGTCCATAGATGAAATAGTGGCTTATCCCTGGGCCCAGAACACAGGCAATCTGATTTATTTCTCCTCATCTCTTTCTACAGGGGGCATTGAGAAGTATCTCTTAGCCCATCAACTATTTGATGTGTATCTCTTCTCTTACCTGGGCTTTGCCCATAGGGGATGTTGTAACATATGGCCCAGCATGTAGGAGATGACACTCTCCTCTGATTGTTACATATTGCTTTGCTCACCACCTACTTGATGTGACTCTCCTCTCATGCATCGTCCCTGCCCCTTGGGGGTGATTGTGACATATAGCTGGCTGTAGCCCCTAGGTTACGTAACTTTCCTCTTCTTCCTGAGCCCTACCCACAGAAGGCATTGTGCCATATCTCTGGGGCTCTCAAACCTAGGTGATGTGGCGCTCCTGCTTTGGTCTTCCTCTCAGAAAGTATTGTGATGTATTGCTGGACCTAGAACCTAGGTGATATGGCTCTCCTCTACTGTTTGGTCTCTGACCAAAAAGGGATTGTGATGTATCACTAGGCCCAGCACCTAACTGTTGTGGCTCTCTACTTTCTCCTAGGCACTGCATACATTGCCTATGGTGACATATGTCTGGATCCAAAACCAAAACAATGCAACTGTTTTGCATTGGCAACGTCCACAGGTGTATTACCACATATCTTTTCCTTTAGCTCTGAAATTGAGCTCTGAAATAATCTGGATTTTTTATCTGTGTGTCTCTCCTGTTGAGTTTGAACTTTAATCCAAAAGCCATGAAAAGAGTCATAATTACTGTCACAAAGTGATAACTTTTTTCTCCTCCTCCTCCTTTTTCCTCCTTTCCATCTCCTCCATTCCTTTTCGTCTTCTCCTCCTCACTTTTCTCCTCCTCTCCTCATCTCTTCTTCCTCCCCATTCATGTTCTCCTGCTCCTTTTTCTTTCTCCCCTCTTCTTCCTCACCTCCTCCTCCATTTCTCCCCCACCTCCTCCTCCACTTCTCCCCCACCTCCTCCTCCACTTCTCCCCCACCTCCTCCTCCACTTCTCCCCCACCTCCTCCTCCACTTCTCCCCTTTCTTCCTCCTCCTCTCCTTTTCTTCCTCTCATCTTTCTTCCCTTCCTCCTCCTCTCCTTTTTACTCCCCTCCACCACCTCTCCTCTTCCATCTCTCCTCCTCCTTTTCCTCTTTTTCTCCTCGTCCTTTCTCCTTTTTGTTTCCTCCTCCTTTCCTCATCCTCCCGTTTTTTTCTTTTCTTCCTCCTCCCCTCCCCTTGTCTCCTTTTCCTCTCCTCCTTTTCAGTTCTTCCTCCTTTTCCTTCGCCTCTCCTCCTCTCCACCTTTTTCTCTTCCTCCTTCTCCTATCCACATTCTCCTCTTCCTCTTACTTTTCCTTTCTCTCCTTCTTCTCCTCTCCTTTCTCCTCTCCTCCTGTTCCTTTTCTTCTTTCTTCTCTCCTCCTCCCCTCCTTCTCTTCCTCATCTTCCTTTTCTCCATCTTCTCCTCGTCCTCCTCCTCCTCTCCCCCTCCTTTCCTCCTCTTCCCTTCCTCTTCCTCCTACTCTCTTCCCCCTCCTTTTCTTTGTTCCTACTTTCCTCCTTCTCCCCATTCTTTTCCTTTTTTCTCCTCTACTTCTCTGTCCTCTTCTCCTCCGTCTTCTTCCTATCATCCTCCTTTTCCTTTCTTCTCCTCTACTCTTCTCCTCCTTTTCCTTTTTCTCTCCTCTTCCTTTTTCCTTTTCCTCTTCTCTTCCTCCCATCCTCCTTTTCCTTCTTTTCCTCCTCCTTTTCTCTTCTCCTTTCTCCTCCTCCTTCTCTTCTCCTCTCCTCCTCCTTTCCTCTTCTCTCCTCCTCCTCTACTTCTCCTTCTTTATCCTCTCCTCCTTCTTTTCTTCTACGCCTTCTCCTCATTCTCCTCTCCTCTTTTTCTCATTCTTTTCGTCTCCTCCTTCTCTTTCTTCTTCCTCCTTCTCCTCTTTTTCTACTCCTCCTACTTTTCCTTTTTCTTTTCTCCCATCCTTTTCCTCCTCCTATTCTTCTCCTCTTCGTTTCCTATTTTTTCTCCTCCTCTCCTCTTTCTCCACTCCTTTCTTTTCTCCTCCTCCTTCTCTTCTCCTTTCCTCCTCCTCTCCTTCACCTCTTCATCTCCTCCTCCTTCTTCTGCTCCCGATTCTCCTCCTCTCCTTTCTCTTCGTCTTCTCCTCTTCCTTGTCCCCTCCTCCTCCTTGTCCATCTCCTCTACTCCTCCTTCTCCTCCTCCTCCTTCTCTTCCTTTCCTCCTTTCCTCTTTTTCTCATCCTCTCCTCCTCCTCTCGTCCTCTTCTCTTTTCCTCATTCTTTTCTTCTTCTCCTCCTTTTTTCTCCCTACTTCCTCCTAGCTTCCCTTTTCTCCTCTCCTCTCCTGGTCCTGTTGTCCCCCTCTCCTTTTTTTCTCCACTTCCTCTCTTCTTACTATCTTCTTCTCATTTTCTCTTCTAGTTCTTCTCTTTCCTCCTCCTTTTCTTCTCTTCTCCTCCTCCTCTTTCTTCACTCCTCCACTCCTACTCCTTCTCTTACTGTGCCACTGGCCATGCCAAACAGCACCCAGCACAAGTAGTGGCACCCTCTTCAGCGCTGCGCTAGAAAGAACTGATGTGCATTTATATTAGCTTTTGGAGGATAGTACTAATCCGGCCTAACTCAGGCGGCCAAGTATATATATATATATACGTATATACATATGTATGTATATACGTATGTATACATATATATATACACATATATATTTATAGATATATTCTATGAGAAATAATCTTGCTCTGTCACCTAGGCTGCAGTGCAGTGGCACAAGATTATGACTCACTGTAGCCTCAAGAGATCCTCTCACCTCACCCTCCCGAGTAGCTGGGACTACAGGCGTGGCCCATCACACCTGACTAAATTCTTTTTTAGTGACGGGGTCTCAACACGTTGCCTAGTCTGGTCTGAAACTTCTGGGCGCAAGCTCTCTAATGTTTTTGCATTCATAGTCTCCCTTATTTTAATTTCTCAAGTTTTTGCAAAATTGTTACATAACTATCCGCCCTTTTCATAGAGCGCTGTTTCTTGAGCCAGGTCTTCTGTCCATGCATGTCCTCTTGAGAGAGTGGATGTCAGCCAGCTACCCTGGCTGAGAGGGATGGGGATAATACAGGGATGCAATAAAGGAGACAGTGATAATTTATATGATCTGGGACCCCAGGCCTCACACCAGAACTGTCTAGTATACTTTTAGCAAACAAGTGCCACTGATCTGAGCCTTGTTCTGCCCTTCCACTTTCCACTTTATTACACAAGCAGGAGATAGGCAAGGGAGAAGGCAGGATGATGAGGAGACTAAATTCCAGAAAAGAAAGGGCTGCGTGCAGTAAGCAGACAGTTGCCCCCAAAGTGGTCTGGGCTCCCACTTACCTTAGAGACATGTGCAACACTTGTGAATAGTTGTTTTACAATTCTTAAATCAGTGGACAGACTGTAAGCATCCCATTGGTGTCAGTTGCCAGGTGCCCAATGCCTGTTCTCTGCAGCAACCTTTGTGGTCCCATACCTGGGCGTGAGTTCTGTTCCTGCAGAGTGCCCTGTGCATTCTGGTGCTTTTGTGCCCTCTCCTCTAACCTATAAACTGACAACTCTAACTCTATATTTTCACTTACAATTTTTCTGAAGCAGTGATCTTTTGTCATCTTGATCACACTACAAGTCGCTCACCCTGCAAGTACTTGTAAAAATGAAAGTAATCTCCATTCCTTCTGGAAGGTGATTGCCATGTACACAACCTACTAGGCCAGGAACATTACTGATGGCTGTCCTGATGCATGTCTCTCTCACCCCCATGTCCAATCAGTCACCAGGCTCTCCCCAAAACCATGCTCCGGTCACTGACTTTGGCTGTTTAATCACTTCTGACCTAAGGTCCTCATTGAGTCATAAGTACCTCTTGAGTTAATTTTCTGCCTCCAGTTTCTCTCTACTGCTGTTTATCTTCCACCCTGCTGCCAGAGTCATCATCCTCAAAAATGAAAGCTGCTCTCATTGTTTGCCTGCCTAATAACATCTCTTCCCTCCCTGTTGTCTACAAAAAGAAAAATCCAAACTCCTTCACTTGTTTTACAAAGACCCTCATCTGCTTCCAAACCAAATTGCTAGTCTTGGCTCTTGTCTCTGTCTTCCACATCACTGCCACACTGAATAATTCTTTACTGCCTCTGTTGTTGCACGGGTTGTTCTTTTTGTTTTGTCTCCATCCCCTTCCCCCAGCAAAGAATATTTACTCTTTACTCTTCTGTTGAGACCCATCTCAAATACTACCTTTTCTAGGGAAAATTAGGCCTTCTGTTCCTAATAACTTTTACCCCCATCTATCAAGTCTGTCTGCTGTAATTTATCTGTTAACATGTTTCTCCCACCTCAAGAATATTTTTTCCATCTTCTGTACCTAGCACAATTGCATGGTTGGTGCTCACTGACTACTACATGTTGATTTATTTATTTTACTTGTTTGAGAGGTGGAGTCTTGCTCTGTTATCCAGGCTGGTGTGCAGTGATACAATCTTGGCTCACTGCAGGCTCTGCCTCCCGGTTTCAAGCAATTCTCCTGCCTCAGCCTCCCAAGTAGCTCCGATTACAGGCACCCACCACCACGTCCAGCTAATTTTTGTATTTTCAGTAGAGACAGGTTTCACCACATTGGTCAGGCTGGTTTTGAACTCCTGACCTCAGGTGAGCCGCCTGCCTTGGCCTGGCAAAATGCTGGGATTACAGGCATAAGACACCATGCCTGGACTTGCATGCTGATTTCCGATATAAAAATGAAATTTTTGAAGATTTTGGAGAATACCATCATGTAAATTGGAAGCTAAGGCCTAACTATTACTACACATTCAGCAAAGGAAGTGGGTATAAACTAACAACTTTGGCACATCTGTCATGCAGTAGTTTGCTGCAAGGTGGAAAAGATTTTGGTGCTTTGGTGGGAAATACTGTTGAATTACAGAAATTCTAAAACAAAAGCTGGCTCAGCTTAAAGAGAAAAGAAAATGCTTGCTAATGCCTGCTTGCACTAAAAGCTGTCACACTGTGGCCTTTAATAATTCTAAACATTTTTAATGGATTTTGGTTTGAACTTCAAATTCAATAGGAAAAATAAATGCACAGATAAAGGACCCAGATCATTTCAGAGCTCCAATGTGTGAACCCGTTTTCTCTACTTATTTAGAGTTTTGTTTCACTAGTGGCATGAGTTAATAGGAGTGTTGCTTTGTACATAAATTCTCTTTATTCCATAATTCTTGGTTTTAAAAATTGAATGCAATACCAGAAACCTACAGGGTATAAATCTTGCTTGATGTGTGTGCAATGTACATACTTGATAATAATTGATTATATATCATATTTATAAAAAGAATCATGTGTACTGTTTTAGGAGAACATACTTTACCCTGATACTTTATTGTTAAAAACAACAAAGCATTGTTCTAACTACTAAAAATCAAAAATTTAACTTTCTTTTAAAAGAGGTACATGTATCTTCAGAAATAAAAGGGATACCCAGAAGATAAGGTAGGTGTTCTGAAACACGAGGTGAAACATTTGAATGGGTTTTTTTTGTCAAACAATAAATTTTTAACAAAGAAAAAGTTTGCATTATGGGTGAAGTATCCTTAGTATCTTTATACAAGATGAAATCCTGATTGATTAAAGATACGTTACTAACTTTAAATGTCTTTTAATAAGTGCTTACATGCTAACTAGTATTTAGACTCATACCTGGCAGATACATTTAGACATAAGATTCTAACTTAGTTTCATTTCTGAGGAGGCTTGTGTATTTTCCTCTGTGATACAGAAAATAGATTTTTTTAAGCCATTTTATCTTTTACTTTAGAGTTTTAATTGTTTGTTAAGTGGTTTATAATGGTTTAATTAACAACCCGAACAGGTTTTCTGTGATTTGGTTGGTTAAATCTATATGTATTTGGTTAAAATATTCTACGTCAAAGTTTTAAACCAAGAGTAACTTAAAGGAGTCTTAACTTGTGTTTCTCTGAATTTGATTTGTGTTTAAATTATGAAATTAAGTTTTCAAAGAACGATTTTTGTGTTCAAAAGCTTAAGGTTTCACAACTTAATTTTCCTAAGTACAATTTTTTTCTATCGGACTTAGCCTCCTTTTAGAAGACAGTTTTTTACTACCAAATTTACCATTCCCATTTTTTTTTTTACTTTTACAGATCTGTATTTAGTCCATAAATATCCAAATATCTGCTTGTGAAGGTTCTGTCTTTACCACCAAGCCTACCGGTATGGCAAAGACATACAGTTGCTAATCTCATTAAAGATAGATCACAATGAGAGAGACTCATCTAGCCATGAACAGGTCACTTCTATCAGTGTTAACTGCTCAAAGTTAAGTATGACAAGAAGCTATGAAGTAAAGTTTGGCCTTTGTGTATGGGAGAGGAATGGAGGATGCCAGGATGCAGGTCAAGGAAGGCATCCTGTGGAAGTAACATTTGAGCTAATATCTGAAGGATGTGTGATAGAAGGAAAAAGAATGCTTCAGAGAACAGCTGGTACAAAAGCCCTGAGGTTGAAAAGGTGGATGTGTCAGGGAAATGGGGGAAGTACAGTGTCTGGAAGAAGAAAAGACACTGAATGAGGTGAATGACAGGAATGATGAAGTAGATAGGGGCTAGAGCAGATTGTAAGAACTCTGGAAAGCTTTGAAAACTGTTGGGCCAAAAAGTAGTATGATGAAATTTGCATGCTAAGGACTATTTTTACCCAAGTAGTAAATAGACCAGGTAGAAGGAAATAATGATTGGCCTTCTGTTTGGAAGATCAGTTAGAAGGCTAGTTTATGAAAACTTTGAAAAGCAGTGATGGCCTGCAGCATCGTGACAGTAAAGATGGGAGCTCAAATGGATTTGATAAAGGTTTAAGAGGTAAGAGAGGCTTGCTGATTGGATGGTGTGGGGAAGGGATAGATAACTTCCTGATCTTGGATTTTATAGCTGGGTGGATGGTGGTGCCTCATTGAGACTGGAATGCTGGATTAAGCAATGTATATGAACAGGGCATGTTCCCTACCCTTTAAAGAGTTATGTATATGTTTTCCATGTTTTTAGCTATTTCTCCACTTGTAATGTGTTTTAGTTGGTTAAAAATTATGTACCTGGCATGGATGACGCATTAAATGTACTTATGTAACTGATAAACCAATGTTACATTCTTGAAAATAAATTACATTCTATGAAAATAAATGGCTTTCTCCTATTCTTTTCCTTCTTTCAATTTTTTGATACTAAAATGCAAAGAAAAGATTTCTTGTAGATGACCTGAGCTTTTGAATGATTTTCAGATGAGATGTACACCTAAATGTTAAGAGTGTTGAAGTTTGTATTTGATTTAGTGATGCTTTATCTGTTTGACTTGGAAGCATAGGATTCATGAGAAGAGACTTCGGGTAGGAAGCAAGCTAGGACTCTCAGGATGGCTTAAGCCCATCAGAGCAGTTCTGATGCTAATTAGGAGCATCAGAACTCCTTTCAAGGCCTGATTTTTCAAGTCATTTCTTAATTGAAAGCCCATGAAGAACATAAGTGGTCTTGTGATATGCTTAATGTCTTAGAGATGTATCAATATTTTGCTTCAGCAGTAATCTGTGAAAATAAAGTTTATGTAGTAAACGGAAGTTGCTGTTTATCTACTGGATGCTAAGATCTTCACTAGCTCTGTCAGTGCCAAAGAAAATGATTCATTTTACCCCTTTCACAAAGAGTGAAACTTATTTCCACAGAGTATTTGTCTAGCCAGCATTTAAATACTTCTGGTGATGACAGACTTTCTACCTACCCCTAAGCAGTCCTTGAGATTGTACTATATTTTTTAATGGCAAACAAAGTACTGTGTATTTTAATGGCAAACAAAATAGTGATGTTGTCTGCTGAGTTGGTACATGCTAGAAGCTGGAGTGCAGGCAGGCTGTCCTGTGCTTTATGCAACTCAGGGAGACAGCATGCAATCTGACCCCCAGAGAGTTCCATCAAGGCATGCCTCAACTACTCAGCGAGTGACCATCTTCTACCTTAAGATTTCTGCTCCTGAGAAAAAATATCTGTCTCACTTGGCTGCACAGCCATCCTCTTCCGTGTGAATTAGGCCACCATCTTCTAAGACCATCTCACATAAAAGTTTTACTGGGACTCGCGGCCAGGCATGGTGGCTCATGCCTGTAATCCCAGCACTTCTGGAGGCTGAGGCGGATCACCTGATGTCAGGAGTTCGAGACCAGCTTTGTCAACATGGTGAAAGCTCGCCTCTACTAAATATATAAAAATCAGCCGGGTGTTGGGGCGGGCGCCTGTAATCCCAGCTACTCGGGAGGCCGAGGTGGGAGAATCACTGGAACCTGGGAGGTGGAGGTTGCAGTGAGCCGAGATTGTGCCACTGCACTCCAGCCTTGGCAGCAGAGCCAGACTTCGTCTCAAAAGAAAAAAAAAAAAAGAAAGAAAGTCTTCTAATACCATCTCACATGAAAGTCTTATTGGGATGCTCATTTTGGGTAATGCTTGTCTCTGATGTCATCCACATGACTCACCAGAATCGGAGGTGAGCCCCACTGTGCTCCAAAGATGGTCCTCTGTTATGGTATTAATCCTGACAGATGTAACCTGAACATCCCTTTGGGCCCCTGGTAGCACTGATTTTCCCATTTTGGGGAGAATATGATTTTTCATCTCTTGCTTGAGCCCATGGATAATTCTGCATCACCACACCATAAATATCATTAGGATGGACACCATGCTTTATTCCATTTCTATATGGGATAAGAGAAACTGAATATAAAGGAATAATACTTTAAAAAGCCCTCCCTACTCCTCACTTTAAAAAATTGAAATAGCTTGGTGAAGGGATGCTGGGAAGAATACTTCTAAAGCTAAGCTTAAATATGGTTTTTGAAAAGTTAAATCTTAAGGTACTCTACAAATAACTCAGAGTTTTTGCCTCACTGTGACCCAAGCGTATGCATGCATTTAGAAGTCTAATTACAAGTTAGTCATAAATATATCTTACCAGATAATTACCATGTTGTGAATATCCAAAATTGGAATCAATAGTATGTTCAGAAACAATTTGTGGTGACAAGTATATATAAGGCAACTTTTAGATAAGCCACTCATAGCTACTTATTTTGGAGAGTGCTGGATAATGGTGACCATACATGCTGTCTGTTGGGTGATGTAAGTTTTCCTAAATATTTGTGTATTTGCACTGTTATAGTGCTGCTTCCTCAAGGCCCTGGTGTGTTACATTTTCTATGCTTTGGGGTATGGGCATGTCTTACATATGGCTGTCTTCTGTATATGTTAGACCTTCTATTGTGGTAAGACTAAGTGAATGAAAGTTGAATATATTTTCTGTGAAGTCCCTGAGGAAATTAATTAAGTTAATAAAGAAATACAAGTTTGAAATTTGAGTTTACTTCAGAGAAGTAATTTGAGTTTACTTCAGAGAAATTAAAAATTATATCTGGTAATACAGGCCATGCGATGTGTCTTAGGGTTGTCTGTAATATGCCTATTCTTTGCATGCCCAAAGCCAGTGTCATGTTGCTAAGAATGTGAGATCAGGATATATGCTGTAAAATTACTCTTTCTTCAGGAAAGCGGATGCTGTGCCTCAGAATGAGAGTGTGTGTGTATGTTTGGTCTTCTTGTGACAGTAAGTGCTGAAAACAGGGTAGTCACTCATCTTCTCCGTTTCTCATGGATTTGGCTTTTTTTAAGCAGCTCTAGATGTAGATGTGGTGAACATGGTGGTCTGTGTGTTCTGAAGCTTGCTGTGCGCCTTTGTTACTCTGTTCTGCACTGGAGAGTGGATAGTGTGTGGTCATGTGTTTGTTTTGTGTTATGCTAAGAGAAAGGGAGAAGTATCAGTGTATTGGAGAAGTGGAGTGGTTAACACTGGTCAAATTCTTATGTTTAGAGATTATTATTTATTTCATTATTATCTTTACAGTAAATGGAGTTTTGTAAGGGCTCATTTGCCCAGCTTGTCTCTAAGAAGTCTGATAGTAGCTAGGGCTGTCTCTGGTGTCTCTTCAGAAAATTAAATAAACAGAAATCCAGTCCTAACCAGAAACTATGACATGCTTCTATTACAAACAAATCTGTCTAGAGTACTTTTAAATAAGTTTAACCTACAATATTCAAGTTGCAGACAAACTTTGGTGAAAACCATTTCTTAGCCAGGTTTGTTTGTATTTGCATTAAATCATATAAACCAGAAGTTAAATCTTTCTGTTTCTCTTCTACCTGTGCTAGACCTATTATTAATCGATAGGAATCCAGTCTGTAAGTCAATAATCAAAAGTTGAACTTTAATTTTCACCCTTTGTTGGTTGTTAGCTTTTTTACATAGAAACACACTCACCATGATGGCAGTAAGAGCAGAAGTCATAAGATCTAACAATTACTGACCACTAGCTACCAGCATCCTAATTTTTTTTTTAACACATCATCTTTTTCATTCATTACATGACAGAGGGATGTAGATGTAATTATTATCCTCAGGATTCACGTGAGAAAACAGAGACCCAGGGAGGCAGCCAGCTATTAGAACTCAAACTGTTAAGTTTGTCTCCAGGGCTGTGCTTCTGACCCCTGCCGGACTACCTACCATAGAGACACGATTCGTTCACCAAACAAATACTAACTGAAAATCTCCTGTGTGCAGAGTTCTCCCTGTTAGGCACATCAAGCGAAAAGATGGGCACCCCAAGGAAAAAGTATAAGTGTGCCAGGACAGGGTCCTGATTTCCAGAAATAAATCACAGCTTACCTAGTCAACACCTCATTTTACCTAATATTTGACGACATAAGTGGGACCTTCCCTTCTGTGATGATCAGGAATGGAGATTGGTATTCTGTGGACTGAGGGGCTTGCATAGGTCGTGTTACTACATGAACTGACTGACTTGGATTTGTGTGCCCTTAAAGAGGGGAGGTTCAACAAGACACTAAAGCAGAATACTAGCAGGCTGAGACCCAGTGGGAAAGAAGAGTGAAACCCTGAACAAAGCCTGTCAAGGATCAAATTTTTACCATGTTCTCATTGCAAAGGATAATGTGTGAAAAAGAGGTGGTCTTTCACATGGTGGGAAATATTCCAGAAGTGAAAAAGGGTGGGCATGGACTCTGCGATTCTGCTGGTCCTCTGTGTGGTGGATCATGGGGGACTCTCTTATCTTTTGAAACCTTTTTTGTGGACACCCACTTTTAACCTCACTGGAAGTGCTGAGCCCTATTCAAGGACCCATATGAAACCTCCTTTTGAAGAGATTTCAAACTGTACACTCATAAGTGTTTGGGAAATTTAGTTTTGCTTTGGGTAGGCCCAACGCCTTGAGAACAGGTCTATTGGTTTGTTATAATAGGTTATTGTTACTTTACATATTATAGAAACTCAAGGTTTTGCCTCAGAATTTGCATTGGGGTGATCCTAAAAAGTTCATAACGTGATATGAGCCAAGTAAAGGCAACAATTGAATTGGCTTGACTACTCATCTAATCTAAAGATTTGTCCAAGCTCAACTGTGATAGCCTCTGGGAGGTATTATTTCTTTGTTGTTTTGCTTTTTAAGCAGGAGGAGCCACATGTACTGGAGGACAGTGAGAGGAAGACCTTCTGTGTTTTGAGTATGTTTGAGATGGGGTCACCAGTGTGCCTAGATTCTTTTATGAGGGTGCCTGAACAAGTTATGAAATTGGGAAATCTTGCATTGTGATAAGCACTTGAGGGTCTGTTTCCTGTTTCTTCCTATCTGTGGATAAGGACTATTTTGAAACTAGGAATAAATAGAGAAATGAAGTCATGCATGCTACCAGCTCAATTTTAACTGACTTGTCTTCTCTATTTACTGCTAGTATTATTATTATCATTGTTATATTTCTCATGACATTGGGAGAGTTTCAGCAAAGCAATAGTGGAAAGCAATGTGGATTAGCAGACCAGCATTCTGGCTCCTTTCTTTTGTCATCTGTTGAATATCACTTTCAGCAAGCTTGGATTGGGAACCATTTTTTGATGCCCACACCTGGTACCAGGCTGCGGAACTATAAAGATTGATATAATATGGTTCTAGTTCTAAAATTCACCAGTGACTCACAAACAGCAAGAACAAGTGGAGAACTGGCAAGTGAAAAGTTGCAGTGCAAAGAAAAGGTGATACCCTCAAATGTACATGTTTTCCATGTGTAGAGGAAGAGTGTGGGAAAGAAGAAATGTAAATTTAGGCAAAAAAGTAGTTTAAGTACAGGACTTGAAGTATTAAAATATAAGGCTTATTTGAGGACAGGGTAGGACAAGAAGTAGAGTGTGACAAGAGAATATAGTTTGGAAGTGTTGTGTAGAGTTGGCATGATGAGAGATACTGGCCTTAGGAAAATGGATGAGGGGCTCAGCTGTGTAGGCTGTTATGAGCCATCAAATGTTTTGGAGCAGGGCTGTAATGTGAGCAGCTCTGTGTTTCAGAGGGAACACTGCTAACGTTTTAGAAAGTTTAAGCTTGAAAAAAGACAATGTGTTCAGCAACGTGCAGTGCAAACTTGTAATTTGGTACCCTTTTTGATAGAATACATTTTCCCTTTTTAAAAAGAGACTTTTCAGCCCAGAATGTATTGGCTGCCTTCCTATACATGGTTAAATAATAATAGAAGGTGAGAAACATTTATTTTCCACAAATCAAATTCAATTAGACAATGTTTAAACTTCCCTAATTGTATTTACTAATTGGTACTTATTTAAACTCCTTAGAGAGTAGACAATTTTAGAAGGGACGGACTTCTTTTCTCTCAAAAACATTGAATATGAACACTAGGAGCTGAATGGAGATATATGTAAAATAATTTTGAACAAATGATTATTATAATGGGGTTACCAAAAGCTTATACAAATCAGTAAAAAGTTAAATAATTCAGTAGCAAAATAAGCAGAAGACCTTACTAGGTAATTCAAAAGTAGTACACTAAACATATATAAAACCAAGTTACCTAAATAGTTACTAAAATGCATATTAAAATAATGAGACGCCAGTTTTTCACATACCAAAAAAGAATTTTTTTAACTGGAATTTTTTAAACTTTTTATTTATTATTCTTTAAGTTCTAGGGTACATGTGCATAGCGTGGAGGTTTGTTATAGTCAGGAACCTCAGGCTTCAGGTCTGTTGGAGTTTGCTGGAGGTCCACTCCAGACTCTGTTTGCCTGGGTACCAGTAGAGGCTGCAGAGCAACAGATATTGCAGAACAGCAAATGTTGCTGCCTGATCCTTCCTCTGGAAGCTTCGTCTCAGAGGGGCACCCGGCTGTATGAGATGTCAGTTGGCCCCTACAGGGAGTTGTCTCCCAGTTAGGCTACTCGGGGGTCAGGGAGCCACTTGAAGAGGCAGTCTGTCTATTCTCAGATCTCAAACTCTGTGCTGGGAGAACCACTACTCTCTTCAAAGCTGTCAGACAGGGATGTTTAAGTCTGCAGAAGTTTCTGCTACCTTTTCTTCAGCTATGCCCTGCCCCCAGAGGCACAGTCTACAGAGGCAGGCAGGCCTCCTTGAGCTGCAGTGGGCTCCAACCAATTCAAACTTCCCGGCTGCTTTGTTTACCTAGTCAAGCCTCAGCGATGGTGGACGCCCCTCCCCCAACCTCGCTGCCACCTTGCAGTTTGATCTCGGACTGCTGTGCTAGCAGTGAGCAAGGCTCCATGGGCATGGGACCCTCCGTGCCAGGCACAGGATATAATCTCCTGGTGTGCCGTTTGCTAAGACCGTTGGAAAAGTGTAGCATTAGGGTGGGAGTGTCCCAATTTTCCAAGTACCATCTGTCACGGCTTCCCTTGCCTAGGAAAGGGAATTCCCCGACCCCTTGCGCTTTCTGGGTGAGGTGATGCCCTACCCTGCTTCAGCTCACACTCCATGGGCTGCACCCACTGTCTAACAAGTCACAGTGAGATGAACCCAGTACCTCAGTTGGAAATGCAGAAATCACCTGTCTTCTGCGTCACTCATGCTGGGAGCCGTAGACTGGAGCTGTTCCTATTCGGCCATCTTGGAACCCCGGAAAATACTTTTTAAAATAACATGTTCCATTAAACTCTTCATAAATGATAATTGTAGGGAAACAAGAGCTTTCTAACACTGTTACCGGAAGTACAATTTGATGTCATATTTGTATATGGCAGGTTTTACACTGTGCATCAGCAGCCTTTAAAATGTGCTACATTTCTTAATATAGTAATTTTAACTAATATATTAATTTTAACATAATGAAGTGGAATCACTTGTTTGGGGTGAATGCCTGAGGTTCATCATCTCATACCAAGGAAATCGAGTACATGGACACAGAAAAACTTGGTTTAGGAGCAGAGGTTTAATAGGCAAAAGAAAGAGAAAGGAGAATAGCTCTCTCTCCTGAGAAAGAGTGGGACTTTTAGCTTGCAGAGAAGTGCACTGGATTTTACAGACTGCCTTCAGGAGGCAGTGTCTGATTTACATAGGGGCCAAAGATTGGCTGGATCAGGTATGGATGTTTACACAGCTTAGGAGGAAGCTAGCTAATCTTCAATTATGCAAATGGAGCACTTGCCAGCACCATGTTGCCTGTTCGTTACTCTACACGTGGTTTACAAAGAAAAGGGAAGATGGAGCCACCATTTTGAACATGTGTCCTTTCCAGGTAGCTCCTTTTCCTATTAGCAGAGCTGCAGGCATTTATTCATGCAAGCTTCCAGCTCGCTTATCTATGTCTGCAGCTCAATCTTACAGGCTGCTCTTTGTTAAAAAGAAATAATTTGGGGGTTTTTATTAAAAGGAAAACTTTACCAAGGACTGTTTTTGCCCTCACTCACTATCTGCCTAAATTATTTATTTATTTATTCATTTTTGTTTTTGTTGAGATGGATTCTCGCTGTCGCCCAGGCTGGAGTGCAGTGGCGTGATCTCCGCCCACTGCAGGCTCCGCCCCCCAGGTTCATGCCGTTCTCCTGCTTTTAACTCCTGTATCAATAATAGTTAATGTCATGGGAAACATTTATAACGTATTTGTATGTATGAATAAGCAAGATAGCAAGTTTTAACTAGTGGTTGTGTTTAATTTATTTATACAAATGTGTTGGGTGCAAGTATAATTTAGTTACATGCATAGATTGCATAGTGGTGAAGTCAGGGCTTTTATGGTATCCATCACTCGAATAATGTACATTATAACTATTAAGTAATTTCTCACCATCTACCCCACCCTACCTTCTTACTCTTTCATGTCAGGTGTGCTGGCCCTCAATGACCAACACAACAAAGATAAATTTATTGTTTTCTGAGACTTAGACTTAGACTTAGAATTCAAAATCAACCTAAGAGAAAAGATGACCCCGAGCCAATAAAACATTTGTTTTATATATATATGTATTTATAAACACACACATACACAGACATGTATATATATGTGTGTGTGTATGTGTGTGTGTATATATATATATTTGTTTATACTGAAGAAACTCATACAGAGTCTTTCCCACTGCACAAACCCAAAAGTAAAGCCACATGGCCCTATGCAATAAACATTATGGTAATAACTTCAAAAAAAAAAAAAAACTTCCTCCAATGAATGTAAATTCGAAAATAAAATGAAACAACTATTTCTCCAGATGTGCAGAAATCAATATAAAGACACATAAAGACACAGGAAACACAGAAAAGCAAGGCTTATGACACTTTCAAAGGAACACAATAATTCTCCAGTACTCTAAGAAAAAAAAATTCATTGAAATGGCTTTAAAATACTTTAAAAAGACTTCAAAATATAGATTTTAAAGAAACTCAAAGAGAGGCAAGAGAAATCTGAAAACCAGTACAAAAATAAATAAATAAATTTAGAGTCCAAATGGGAAATGTTCCAAGGAGATAGATATCTTTTAATAGAAACTGAAACAAAAATTATGGAACTGAAGATTTATTGCAGGCAAAAGAAAATACATTCAAAGATTCAATAATAGACTGGAAGAAACATAAAAATAATTTTCAAACCTTTAAACAGGTCTTTTAAAATAATACACTCAGACAAAAATAAGGAGAAAAGAATAAAAAAGAATGAAGACTTTGTTTCCAACTACATGAAGTAACTAAACTTTAAAATTATCAGTGTTTCTGAGGAAGAAAAAACATCAAAAAGTTTAGAAAACCTATTTAAGAAAACAATTGATGAAAACTTTCCAACTCTAGCAATAGAATTAGACATACATACACAGGAAGCTCAGCAAACAAAATACAACAAAATATAAACAAAATATATTGCAAAACAGACATCATAATGGCACATGATAATCAGAATATCTAAAGTCAAAGTGAAGGAAGTAATTCTAAAATAAGCAAAAGAAAAGCATCTAGTAATTTATAAAGAAAACCACATTAGATTAAAAGCAGACTTCTCAGCAGAAACTTTACTGACCAGAAGAGAATGGGATGGCACTTTTAGAGTGTTGAAAAAAAAGAAAACTGCCAGCCAAAAATTTTATATCAAGCTAGAATAACCTTCACAAATGAAGAATATAAAGTCTTACCCTGACAAATAAATGCTGGGGAAACTAATTACCACTAGACTGGGCCTATGAAAGATGTTAAAAAAAATTCTAATATAAAAACAAGAGATTGATATTCACCATTATTAAAATATATAAAAGTATAAAACTAACAGGTCTTACAAAACAAAACAAAGTGAAATAAATCAAATCACAACATGACAGAATTTTATTAAACTACAAAGACAGATAAAAAAATAAGACAAGAAAATAATTAACATTATGATAGTAACAAAACCTTACATATTAATATTTACCTTGAATATAAATAAATTAAATCCTTCATTGAAATGTATAGATTTGGTTGGGTGCGGTGGCTCACGCCTGTAGTCCCAGCACTTTGGGAGGGTGAGGTGAGGGTATCACGAGGTCAAGAGATCAAGACCAGCCTGGTGAATATGATGAAACCCCGTCTCTTCTGAAAATACAAAAATTAGCTGAGCGTGGTGGTGTGTGCCTGTAGTCCCAGCTACTCAGGAGGCTGAGACAGGAGAATCACTTCAATAGGGGAGGCAGAGGTTGCAGTGAGCAGTGGGACGAGATCGCGCCACTGCACTCCAGCCTGGCGATGGAGCAAGACTCCGTCTCAAAAAAAAAAAAAAAGTATAGATTTATGAAATGAATGAGAAAAAATAACGCAAATCTATGTTGCCTACAAAAATCTCACCTTACTTGTAAGACACATATAGATTAAAGGCAAATGGGGGGGAATATATTAACACAAACAGAAACCAAAAGTAAATAGGAGTATCTATACTTACATCAAATAAAACAGACTTTAAATTAAAAAGCTGTAACAAAAAAGGATAAAGATCATCATCCAATAATAAAGAAATCATTTCAGCCAAAAGATATAACAATTCTAAATATATATGAACCCAACATCACAGCACCCTGATTTACAAAGAAATATTATTAAATCTATAGAACGAGATAGACAGTAATACAATAATAGTGGAGAAATTCAACATTCTACTCACAGCATTAGAGAGACCATTGAGATAGGAAATCTGGCAAATCAACAAAGTATCCCCCCAAATCAAAATTATACGAACTACCTACTTAGACCACAGTAGAATAAAACTACAAATCAGTATCAAGAGAAATTTCAGAAACTATAAATTTACAAAGAATTTAAATAACATACTCCTCAACAGTGACTATGTAAATGAAGTAATTATGATGGTTGACCAGGGGTGGTGGCTCCCACCTGTAATCCCAGCACTTTGGGAGGCTGAGACAGGTGGACCACCTGAGGTAAGAAGTTTAACACTAGCCTGGGCAACATGGCAAAACCCTGTCCCTACAAAAAAAAATATGAAAAAATAGCTAGGTGTGGTGGTGTGCACCTATGGTCCTAGCTACTCGGGAGGCTAATATAAAACGATCGTTTGAGCCTGGAAGGCAGAAGTTGCAGTGAGCCAACACTGTGCCACTACACTCCAGCCTGGGTGACAGTGTAAAACCTATCTCAAAAAAAAAAAAAAAAAATTAAGATGAAAATTAAAAATTTGTGGGAAAAAAGATGGAAATAGAAACACAATATAATAAAACCTGTGAGATACATCAAATGTAGTACTAAAAGGGAAGTTAATAGCCTAAAGGCCTGCATCAAAAAAATAGAAAGCTTACATATTAAGGACCTGACATCACATTTCAAAGAACTAGAAAATTAATAACAAATCAAATCCCAAGTTAGAAGAGGAAATAAATAAAAATCAGAACACAACCAAATGACATGAAGTCCAAAAACAATAAAAATGACCAACAGAATAAAGAGTTGGTTTTTCAAAAAGACAAAATTGGTAAATTGCTAGCTAGATTAACCACAAATAGAATAGAAATCTAAATAAACAAATCAGATATAAAAGAACAGACATTACAATGGATACAACAGTAATACAGAAGATCACTAGAAACGATTATAAACAACTAGACACTCACAAACCTGAAAACCTAGAAAGAATGAATAAATCCATGGAAACAAACAACCTCCCAAGATAGAGTCGGGAAGAAATAGAGTACCTGAACAAACCAATACTGAGTAGCATGATTGAGTCAGCAATAAAAAAAAATGTCTTGACAAAGAAAAGCTCAGGACTAAATGCACAGCAAAATTCTACCAAGTGTACAAACAATAATAATCCTCCTGAAACTCTTACCAAAAATTGAGGATAATAAAACTCTTCCTAAGTCACTCAGAGGTCAGTATCACCCTGATACCAAAACTAGCCAAGGACACAACAAAGAAAACTATTATTAAATTATTATTTATTATATTATTATTATAAAAAATAGACAAATGGAAATCAAACTAAAAGTTTTGGCACAGAAAAAAAAATCAGCAGGGTAAATATGCAAGCTACAGAATAAAAGAAAATATTTGCAAACTACGTGCCAACATGGAACTAATATTCAGTACTTACAAATAACTCAAACAACTCAAAAATATAATAATAGTAATAATAAAGAATTCTATTGACAATTGAGCAAATAACATTACTAATCATTTTTCAATAAAGACATACAAATAGCCAACACGCATATGAAAAAAATGCTCAATCTCAACTAAAAATAAAACTGCCATTTTTTTTTTTTTTTTTGAGACGGAGTCTTAGTTGTCCAGGCTGGAGTGCAGTGGTACGATCTCAGCTCACTGCAACCACTGACTCCCAGGTTCAAGCAATTCTTCTGTGTCAGCCTCCTGAGGAGTTGGGGCTGCAGGCAAGTGCCACCACGCCTGGCTAACTTTTGTATTTTTAGTAGAGACGGGGTTTCACCATATCGCTCAGGCTGGTCTCAAACTTCTGACCTCATGACCTGCCCGCCTCTACCTCCCAAAGTGTTGGGATTACAGGCGTGAGCTACCACGCCTGGCCAGAACTATCATTTGATTCAGAAATCTCATCATTGGGTATCTACCCAAAGAAAAATAGTTTATTATATGAAAATGATACGTATACTTGCACATTTATTGCAGCATGCTCACAACAGCAAACTGTATATATCAGAAAAGCTTAATATTCAAAATATATAGAAAATTCAAAGCAAAAGCAAGTATAATAATAACAATAATAATCCAACTAAAAAATGGTTGAAAGAGTGAAAAAAATATTTTGCCAACAAATATATACAAATGACCAATAGATATATAAAAAAGTGCTCAATATCACCTACCAAAAGGCAACTGCAAATGAAAACAATGATGAGCTATCACTCGAAATCTGTTAGGATTGCTAATATTAAAAAAAAATAGAGAAGTAACATCTGTCATTCATGTTCCTGTGATTTCTGAAACAAATCTTAATATCACCACTCCTCTTACACATTTCAGACATGATGGGAAAAGAAACGTTAAATGATCTAACATGCAGTTCCTCTAAAATACTCAGAAATATTCTTATACTCCCCCAAAACAATGGAAGAGCAGGCATATCATGCAGCACCTTATAAGCCATAAAGAGGACTTTAGCTCTCACGGTACCCTCTAAGGAAAATCACTAAATAGGAAGTAGGATCCTTAAAGAATTTAAGGGTATGGGACAAAAGATGCTCCTATTTGGGAGCTAGAGAAATAAATGGCTTTTTAGGAAACCTTTCCATGGAAGCAGAGCATTCTATACCACATTTTAAGGTCTGAAATTCTTTCTGACCTTCGTATCCCTCGTCTCTGTTATCTGCTTCATTCATGCTTACCTACCTGAGAAGCTGACTACTGTCTCATGTCTCTTCACATTCCAGGGCTCTTTTATTTGCTCAAAGCAGGATATCAGATCAGAGTTAGAGACAGCAAGGCCTGTTTTGTTAGAAAAATTAGCATGACTTTCTGGGATCCTCCAGTTACCAACCTAGTACTATGTTCAGTAGAGAGGAGAGAATATTATGAAAGATTCTAGAAATTTAATTCCAAAATACTGTTTTCTGACAGAAACTTTTGAATATTTAAAACATACGTGACATTTCTGGGTCCTTAGCTCTACTATCCAATACTGAATATAAAATTAGTGCTGGATATTGGATTTTAATATTTGTGCAACAGTATTTAATGCCACTGAATTTCTAGAATTATCATTAATCTAGAGTGAAGGATACAGATTAGCTCAAGAGAGGGGAAGGTTCCTATTAAGATAAAACATCTTGAAGATTTTCTTATCTATTCCAATAAACCTTCAAGTTTTTCTTAAAAGTACTGATCTAAAAATAATTTATGCAGAGCAAAACCTCCCAAAATCATTCTACAAAGGGAGAAAATAGAAGCCTGATGGTATATTAGAAAATCTGGGGTATATTTATTCTCACCGAGAGACCAGGTTTCTATAGTTCTCTAACATTGCATCTCTACACAAATTTCACTGAGCAGGATTCAGACATTCCCACTCCTCTTGAGAGAATTCTATGGCCAAAGCCTTGAATGTTAACATTTCCTAAACAAACCCAAACACCCACACATATTTAGCAAATGGCCATGGGCAGAATTGTTAATTTTACTCTAGGTGTTTGAGAGTTACAGAGACTGGAATTATCCAATAAAATATTGTTAAATAGAGAAAGATTCTGTAATATATTTTTGCATTCTGAGGAAAGAAAATGAAAAAAGATCCACAAAACCACTGTAGGTACTGTAGTTTTCTGAATAATACAGCATAAAATTTATGGCATAAACACAAGCATATACAGTTTTGAGTGCCATATTTACATTATACACAGTAAGTTCTGTCCAGTTCTCATATGGAGAAGTCACAGTAAGTTAGAAGGTACCTCTCCAATTTTAACGTATATATCAATGAGCTGCAGATTTTGTTAAAATATGGATTCCAATTCAAGAGATCTGAGATGAGACCTGAGTTACTGCATTGCTAACAAACTCACCAATGACATAAATGATTCTAACTTAAGGAAAATAGTTTGTAAAACATCTAGTGATAGAACCTGGGTTTTGTCCCCATGTATATGACCAGTGAACAAAGATGACAGCCTTCATTTTCCAAAGCAAGATATAAACAAGAGAAACTATTAAGATAAGGGATGTAAGAAAAATGGATGTGCTGTGGTCAATAATAAGCTGAGGTAAACATCTGGTTCAGCATGACTCAGTGAGTTTGAGTGCAGGTGCACAATTCTGCTCATTATGTAACCTAGTTCTGTAAGCTCATACTTGGCTTTGAGCCACTATCGTGTGTAAGGAGTACACAGACAGGTAGACAGGAGGGGAAGAGAGAGAGTAAAGCCGCTGACCCTGCACACATGGCTCATGCCCAGGCTTCTGCCCAGAGAGATAATAAAGCCATATCAAAACTGCCCACAATTCCTCGAGTGTTTTTCCAGCAACCCACCACTCGCCCACTGACTTCTATCAGACCTCAGCTTGGGCTGGAACCTGACACTTAGCATGACAGGGGAGCTTTCAGATTAAATGTGATTGTTTCTGCACATTAGTCAGAAAGTCTCTCGAAAATACCTGTTAATAATACAGTTTTTAGAAAGTAATTTTAAAGTGAAGAATTCCTTCAGGAAACATGCTAACCAAGTGAATAAAATGGACAGATTGGCATCAGGTGCGGATGCATATATGAGGATGCAACATGACTTCTGTGAGATTACTGGCCAAAAATCATAAATTATTATTATTTATTTATTTGTTTTGAGATGGAGTCTCGTTCTGTCACCCAGGCTGGAGTGCAGTGGCGTGATCTTGGCTTACTGCAAGCTCCACCTCTCGGGTTCACGCCATTGTTCTACCTCAGCCTCCCGAGTAGCTGGGACTACTGGCGCCCGTCACCATGCCTGGCTAATTTTTTATATTTTTATTAGAGACGAGGTTTCACCGTGTTAGCCAGGATGGTCTCGATCTCCTGACCTCATGATCCGCCCGCCTCGGCCTCCCAAATTGCTGGGATTACAGAGGTGAGCCACCGCGCCCGGCAAAAAACATAAATTATAATCTGAATCTAATCATGAAAAACATGTTTTATGCAAAGTTCAAGCCACATATGATGCCCATGTTTTGTAATTTCTAGCAGTCTATTTAAATACTGTCTCTTTAGCATTCTAGAAGACACATTTCTTTGAATTAATTCCTTTACATACACATCTTTCTAAATTATTCCAGGCTATTAATTCCATCCTTTTTCAGTGGGGATTTTAAAATTATGTTCTTCAGAGAGCTGATGAAGCATTCAGATGGAACCTAAACGGTGCACTTTTCTCCCTCACTGATATCTGAGGACCCAGCAGCAACCCCAATAAGAATGTTTTATATCCCTGAAAGATTCTCCCGAAAACTTAAGGGAATGAATAACTCCTCCTTCCACAGGCCTAGTCCAAAGGCACAAAGCCCCTTGCACCAGCAGCGTGCGTCAGCAAGAGAGCGGAAGCAGGAACAGTTGGCAGGAAGACACATACCCCCTGAAGATCCAGAGGGAGGCCATCTGGGTACAGCAGCTGGACAAAAGAAGCTCCTCAGCCTCCAGTCGCCTGTCTGTGCATGCCCCTCGGTCACTGATCTCACCTACCAGTAAGTATCCTGGGAGCCCAGTTAACAGGGAAAAATCCACACAGCCTCTCTTGCTCTCTCCAGTCCAAAAATCCAATGTTGGCCCAAGAAGGCTCTGGCATGTGCCAGGCACTTGCTGATCTTTTGGTCTTAGGGGGATGCCTCTAAGCCATTTGATCCCGTTCTAGGAACAAAAAAGGCAGTGGTGACAATCGCTCCTTTTATCATCTCCCTCCAGCTTCCCAGGATGGTCCCCTTTTCCCTGTTCTCTCTAGCCTAACCTCGGTTATGGGAAATCTCAAGTTTTCCATTCCAAAGGACATCCTTCTAGGCTGCCTCATAAAAAAACCTACAAACCTCAGGCCTCAGTCAAGATATCCGTGCCTTGTCTTGTTTTACAATTCAATCTGGCCACAATACGAATTGGATAATGGGTCCAAATGGCCCACAAACGGAACATTGGACTTTACAATTTTAACTGACTTAATCAATTATTGCTGATGACTGGAAAAATGAGGAGAAATTACTTATATCCAGGCCTTTTTTGCACTCAGATCACAACCCAACCTCTGCAATTCTTGCTCATGTGTTCAAATCCTCCTCCTCTGTTCTCACCACCCAGATTGCCTTCCTCTTCCCGACCCTACCTCTTTTTCCTCTTTGGATCCAGCAGACTGCTGTCCACCCTCCCAGCCCCTACCTCTCCCTCTCAACCATCTTCTTTCACCCCCAAGCCTTTTCTTTATCTTCTCAGCCACAATCTTCTCAGTCACCATCTTCTCAGCAGCAATATTCCCAGCCACCATCTTCCCAGTCAGCAGTATCCACTTCTTTTCCTATATCGTCCCCTCCTCAGGACAATTCTAGTATTGCCTGTACCCACTGACCTCCCCCACCGCCCTCTCCTGAGGCTTGTAAACCCATCCCGCCACTTTACACTCCTATCTATCCTCCACTGCCTGTTAACTCAACCCCCCTCCCCTGTTCAAACCCTCAGCAGGAACCACTTCCAGGTTCCTCCTTCTCTCCCATCCACACTTGCTCAGGCGCCACCTTTAGCCCATGCCCCACTCTTACTTCAGCGGCTGTGCTACAGTGCCCCCTTCAGGAAGTGGCAGAAACTGAACATGTTGTTAGAGTTCACATTCCCTTCTCCCTCACTGATATCTCTCAAATTAACAAAAAGACTCAGTTCATTTCCAGAAGACCCTACCTCTTATATTAGAGTTTCAGTACCTCACCCAGTGTTATGAACTAACTTGGCATGACCTCTACATTATCCTCTCTGCCACCCTCTCCCCAGAAGACGAGGACCGTATCTAGACCCCAGCTCAGGTGCATGCCAATACAATTCATCACCAGGCTCCTGCCCAGCCTACTGGTGCACAGGCAGTTCCCAACCAGGACCCCACTGAGATTATCAAGATGTGGTCCCTGGATGCCACCATCGAGACAACATGATTGTGTGTCTCCTTGCAGGACTCAAAAAGGGTGCCCATAAAGCGGTAAACTATGAAAAACTTTCAGAAATCACCCAAGGTCATAACAAAAACCCAGCCCTTTTTCTCTCTTGTTTAACTGACGCCATGAGAAAGTATACCAACGTAGACCCAGCTATCCCAGAAGGAACCACTAAACCTTTCTCCCTCTATACCGATGAATGGTGTGGAGTTGCAGTAGGTGTTCTAACCTAGTATAAGGGACCCACCCTCCAGGTTTTTGCCTACCTCTCTAAACTGCTTGAAGCCACAGTTCTCAGATGGCCTGTCTGCCTCTGAACATTGACGGCAGCTGCTGTCCTTGCCCTTGAAAGCCTAAACTATCTCTCCATGCCAACTTAACAGTTTATTCAATCCATAACGTCAAAGAAAGACATGCTAGCTCACCGCAGTTTCCTCTCTCCCCCACGGCTCCTCCAACTGTATGCTCTATTCATAGAAGCTCCGCACATCACCATGGTAACCAGCTCCCATCTAAACTTGGCCACGCCAAAGATCCTACATACTTCTGTATCAACACTGTTCAAACCTTTCTTATACCTTTTCCAAACCTAACAGACCAACCCCTTCCAGATGCCTCTTTACTTGGTTTGTAGATGGCAGCTCCTTCCTACATCAAGGATGCCGGCATGCTGGCTATGCTATAGTGTCACCCCCCCTACACACTGTTCAAGCCAATATGCTCTTCCTAGGCACCACCTCCCAAAAAGCTGAACTCATCACCCTCATTCGAGCTCTCACTCTAGCAGCCAGTCAACAGATCAACATATATTTAAATTCTCATTATGCGTTCCACATAGTGCATTCACACTCGTCCATCTGGAAAGAATGGAGTTTCCTAACTGCAAAAAAACACTCCTGTCATAAATGACTCTATCAGCAAGCTCCTTCAAGCTGCCAGACTCCTGCAGAAAGCTACCGTCATTCATTGCAGGGACCATCAAACCCCAGACAATCCTATTTTGGTGGGAAATCTAGCAGATAGAGAAGCCAAACAAGTAGCCCTACAACCTGTACAAGGCCAGTTTCTGTGCCTGTCCTCGTTCTCTCCTCTTTACTCTCCAGAAGAAAAGGAGGACTACCAAGCCCAAAACCTTCAAAAACAAGGACCATGGTATGTCAAGGAAGGGTGCTTCCTTCTTCCTCACTCTCAAACAATCTCTATCCTCCAAAGCCTCCACAACTCTTTCCATGTCAATTACAAACCTCTCCTGCAACTTCTCCACCCTATCCTCACTTGTCTTCACCTTTCCAGCCGTGTTTGAGAGATTACCCAGTCCTGCTCTATCTGCCACTCAGTATCACCCCACAGTTCCCTTTGGCCACTGCCTTTTCCTACCCACTAAGCCCAGGGCCAGGTACCCAGGCAAGATTTTCAAGTAGACTTCACTCACATGCCACCCAATAATGGCTCTGCTATCTTCTAGTCTTTGTCCGTACTTTCTCTGGGTGAGCAGAAGCATTCCCAACAACTTCAGAAAGTGCAAATGTCATCACACAAACTCTCAACATGCATATAATTCCCAATTTTGGACTGCCAACATCCATCCAGTCCAATAATGGGCCTGCCTTCCTCAGACAAATTACCCAAGGCATCTCTATATCCTTAGGTATAAAATGGGTTCTCCACACACCCTACAGGCCTCAATCTTCAGGCAAAGTTGAAAAAAATTACCTCTCTTGTTAAACTCACCAAGTTGGCTCTAGTAACCCTCCAGTGGTGGACAAAAAAATCTCCCTTTTTCCCTCATGAGATTCTGTGCAACACCAAAGGCACACTCTTTTTATAGTCCCTTTGAAATCATGTATGGCTGAATGTTGCGGGAAGTCAGGGACCCTGAACGGAGGGACCAGCTGAAGCCGTGGCAGAAGAACATTAATTGTGAAGATTTCATGGACATTTATTAGTTCCCAAAATTAATACTTTTATAATTTCTTACACCTGTCTTTACTGCAATCTCTGAACATAAATTGTGAAGATTTCATGGACATTTATCACTTCCCCAATCAATACTCTTATAATTTCCTATGCCTGTCTTTACTTTAATCTCTTAATCCCATCATCTTTGTAAGCTGAGGATGTATGTTGCCTCAGGACCCTGTGATGATTGAGTTAACTGTACAAATTGTTTGTAAAACATGTGTGTTTGAACAGTATGAAATCTGATTGTAAAACGTAGGTGTTTGAGCAATATGAAATCAGGGCACCCTGAAAAAGAACAGAATAAGCGATTTTCAGGGAACAAGGAAAGATAACCATAAGGTCTGACTGCCTTATGGTTATCTCTATTCTGCAGTCTGACTGCAGAATACAGCCATATTTTTCTTCTCACAGACAGCCTATGGATGGACGTGTGAGTAGGATAAATATCACTGAATTCTTTTCCCAGCAAGGAATATTAATAATTAATAACCCTGGGGAAGGAATGCATTCCCAGGGGTAGGCCTACAGATGACTGTTCTGGGAGTGTCTGTCTTATGCGGTTGAGAGAAGGGATGAAATACACCCTGGTCTCCTGCAGTGTCTTCAGGCTTGCTAGGATTGGGAAATTCCAGCCTAGTGAATTCTAGTCAGACCAGTTCTCTGCTCTTGAACCCTGTTTCCTGTTAAAATGTTTATCAAGACAATGTGTGCCTAGCGGGACATGGACACTCATTGGTAATTCTAATTTTGCCCTTGCCTTGTGATCCTGCTCTACCCTTTTGCCTTGTGATCTTTTATTGCCCTTTGAAGCATGTGACCTCTGTGACTCACTCCCAATTCGTACGCCCCTCCCCTTTTGAAATCCCTAATAAAAACTTGTTGGTTTTGTGGCTTGGGGTCGCCATCATGGTCCTACCAATATGTGATGGCATCCCTGGAGGCCCAGCTGTAAAATTTCTCTCTTTATACTCTTTCCCTTTATTTCTCAGACCAGCCGACACTTAGGGAAAACAGAAAATAACCTACATTGAAATATTGGGGGCTGGTTCCCCCGATAGCCAAACTTTTGTCTTGGGGCCTCTACCCTTCCCAGATTCTGAGCCATTCAGGAATTACCTCCCCTCCTTAATCCAGACATGGTCTTTCATTCGTGAAGCGGCAAATGAGGCCATGCCCCTTCCTGTCAACACCTCCTTGTCCTCTCAACATAACTGTCTTGCAGGCACAGATGTGTTTATCTGCCAACCCGAGCCTCACAAAAACCTACAACTGAAGTGGACAGGCCCCTACACTGTGATACGCAGCATGCCAACTGCAGTGAGAGTCCAAGGACTCCTCAACTGGATTCATCGCACTAGGGTCAAGCTCACCCCCAAGGCTACTCCTTCCTCCAAAACATTAACGTGGGCAACACTCTCGGAGTACCTGTATGTAATAATAATTTAAAACAAACAAACAAACAAAAACAACCATGATCCATAAAGGCAGGAGGAAGCCAAAGATGGCAACAGGATGAATGGCCTCCGCAACGGATCATCGAATATTAACAGTCCTGCCACTTGGACTGAGGATAGTTCATGGGGTTATTGCACTCCCATATATACTCTAAATATAATAATTAGACTACAGGGGGTTCTAGAGATAATCACTAACCAAACCGCCTCAGCCTTGGAAATGCTCACGCAACAAGAAAACCAAATGCGTGCAGCAATTTATCAAAACAGGCTAGCACTAGACTACTTATTAGCAGAAAAAGGTGGGGTCTGTGGTCAGTTTAATATCTCCAATTGTTGTCTTAACATAGACGATAACAGAAAAGCAGTACTAGAAATCACTTCAAACATCAGAAGAGAAGCCCATGTGCCAGTCCAAACCTGGAAGGGGTGGGGCCCAACAAATCTTTAAGGAGGGTGGTTCTCTAATTTAGGGGGATTTAAAATGCTGGTAGGACCAGTAATCTTCATCACTGGGTTCCTCCTGTTTCTCTCCTGTGTTATCCCACTAATAATAAAAGCCATTAAAACTCTTATTGAAACTAAAGTTAGCTGCCAGACAATCCAGACCATGCTCCTGCTACAATGACACGATGGATACCAACCCGTCTCTCAAGAATACCCCAAAAATTAAGTTTTTATTTTGCGAAGGTGCCCATGCCACCCCTATGTCATGCCTGAAGTAGTTATTGAGAAAGTTGTCCCTTTTTTCTATAACCAAATAGACAGGAATGAAAGATTCTCCCTGGGGTCTGAACGCTTAAGGGAATGAATAACTTCTCCCTCCTCAGGCCCAGTTCCAAGGTGCAAGGCCACTTGTCCAAGTAGCGTGCATCAGCAAGATAGCAGAAGCAGGAAGAGATATGGCCAGGAGACACATTCCACCTGAAGACTGAGAGGGAGGCTGTCCGGTACCATGTAACAGTTGCGTCAGACTGGGACACTTCCTTTTTACAGAGGACTATAAAACCCCTGCCCTGTCCTTACTTGGGGCTGATGCCATTTCAGGCCTCAGCCCGCCTGCACCGAGATGCTCATTAAAACAGTGTGTTGCTCCACATTGCCTCATCTTGTCTGTTGGCACGCTCTCAGGGTTCGAACCAATATAAGAGCCTTGCAATCCGCACCTGCCCAAGCTGATCTGTCAACAAAGAAAATACTTTCATGCCGGGCACGGTGGCTCATGCCTGTAATCCCAGCCCTTTGGGAGGCCGAGGTGGACGGATCACCTGAGGTCAGGAGTTTGAGACCAGCCTGGCCAACATGGTGAAACCTCATCTCTACAAAAACACAAAAATTAGCTGGGCATGATGGCGCATGCCTGTAATCCCAGCTACTTGGAGGCTGAGGCAGGAGAATTGCTTGAACCCTAGAGGAAGAGGTTACAGTGAGCCAAGATCACACCACTGCACTCCAGCTGGGGAGACAGAGCAAGACTCAACCACAGAAAAAGAAAAAAAAAAAAAAGAAAGAAAAGAAAAGAAAAATGCTTTCAATACTTCAGGGTATAAATTCAAGTGAGTATTATTTGTGATATGTAAGAAGGCTGGATGGAGAGAGTTAAGGCTCTGATAAATCGGGGAGAATTATTTTAAAGAGATCCTTTCACTGTCATGAGAAGAAAAGGGAAAAGGTAGTTAAAATAATCTTGTTAGGCAAAAGCATCAGAAGTAGAAATGTAAATGATTGCAATTCTAAATACATGACATTGTAGAAGAAAATGTGAACAGTTTTGACCTGGGACACACTTATCTAAGAATCAACCATTTTTTCTCTCTTCTCTAATTCTTTCTCAGGTGAGATTATCTGAACAAATCACCACCTTCATCTTGAGAATGTATCTTCAAAGGCATTAGGATAGACCCTCTGAAGGAAATAGACCGCTCCTGCAGGACCCGGGAGACACCCTAAATACTGTGAGTGCCCCAACTGCAGAAATGGGAAAGGGAGACCCTCCTCTCCTGAACACACACCCCCATACAGGGTGGAGGAGGCAGTAGGGAGGCCCTGGGAGCTCGCTGAATCCCGAAGCAGCCCATTCCTGCTGGATACCACAGGAATCCATCAGGAGGGAGGACAGAGGAGCAGGGTGTAAAACACTGAAGGGAGAAGGACTTCCCTAGCTCAACTTTGCAAGAATTTGAATGAGGCAAGAAGCCTCCTGGCCAGAACCCAGGGGAAGGCGAGAACCTGGCTTGCAGACTTCACAGGCAGGGAAAAACTAAAGCCCTGTTCTTTCCCAGCTGGGAGGCAGGAAGCCTTAAGAAATTTTCAAGCCCAACTTGCCCTCCACCTGGAAACAGACTCGGGGCTGTTGTGGGGGCAAAGTGAAAGTGAGACCCGCTCTTTGGTTTGCATGGGAGCTGAGTGAGGCTTATGACTGCCGGCTTTCCCCCACTTCCCTGACATCCTGTATGACTCAGCAGAGACAGCCATAATCTTCCTAGGTACAAAACTTTAGTGACCTGGGAATCTCACCCCCATCCCCCATAGCAGCCGCAGCAAGACCTGCCCAAGAAGAGTCTGAACTCAGACACATCTAGCACCTCCCGCACCCAATGATTCTTCCCTACCCAACCTGGTAGTGGTAGACAAAGAACATATAATCTTGGGAGTCACACCACTGCACTCCAGTCTTGGAGACAGAGCAAGACTCTGTCTCAAGAAACCACACAAAACACCAAACTATGCAGGCAACAAAGAGCATGATGAATGCAATGGTACCACACATTTCAATATTAACATTGAATGTAAATGGCCTAAATACTCCAATTAAAGGACACAGAACTGCAGAATGAATAAGAACTCACCAATCAACTATCTGCTGTCTTCAGGAGACTCAGCTAATACATAAGGACCCAAATAAACTTAAAGGGGTGGAAAAAGGCATTTCATGCAAATGGACACCCAAAGCAAGCAGGGGTAGCTATTCTTATACCAGACAAAACCAACTTTAAAGCAACAGTGATTAAAAGAGACAAAAAGGGACATTATGTAATGGTAAATGGCCTGGTCCAACAGAAAAACATCACAATCCTAAACATATATGCACCTAACACTGGAGCTCCCAAATTTATAAAACAGTTACTAATAGACCTAAGAAACAAGATAGACAGCAACACTGTAATAGTGGCAAACTTCAATACTCCACTGACAGCACTAGACAGGTCATCAAGACAGAAAGACAACAAAGAAACAATGGATTTAAACTATACCCTGGAACAAATGGACTTAACAGATATTAGAAAACATTTCATCCAACAACCGCAGAACACACATTCTACTCAACAGTGCATGGAACTTTCTCCAAGATAGATCATATGATAGGCCATAAAATAAGCCTCAATAAATTTAAGAAAATTGAAATTATATCAAGCACTCTCTCAGACCACAGTGGAATAAAACTGGAAATCAACTCCCAAAGGAACGTTCAAAACCATGCAAATTCATGGAAATTAAATAATCTGCTCCTGAATGAGCACTGGGGCAAAAACAAAATCAATATAGAAATAAAAAAATTCTTCAAACTGAGTGACAATAATGACACAACCTATCAAAACCTCTGGGATACAGCTAAGGTGATGAAGAGGAAACTTCACAGCCCTAAATGCCTACATCAAAAGGTCTGAAAGCAAAAACGGAAAATCTAAGGTCACAACTCAAGGAACTAGAGAAACAAGAACAAACCAAACCGAAACCCAACAGAAAAAAAGGAAATAACCAAGATCAGAGCAGAACTAAATAAAATTCAAACAAAAAAATACAAAAGTAAATGAAACAAAAAGTGCTTATTTGAAAAGATAAATAAAACTGATAGACCATTAGCAAGATTAACCAAGAAGAGAGAAAATCCAAATAACCTCACTGAGAAATGAAACAGGAGATATAATAACTGACACCACTGAAATACAAAGAATCATTCAAGACTACTATGAACACCTTTACACACATAAACTAGAAAACCTAGAAGAGATGAATAAATTCCTGGAAAGATACAACCCTCCTAGCTTAAATCAGGAGGCATTAGATACCCTGAACAGACCAAAAACAAGCAGTGAGATTAAAATGGTAATTTAAAAATTACCAACAAAAAAAGTCCAGGACCAGATGGATTCACAGCAGAATTCTACCAGATATTCAAAGAATTACTACCAATTCTTTTGACACTATTCCACAAGACAGAGAAAGGAGGAACCCTCCCTAATTCATTCTATGAGGTCAGCATCACCCTAATACCAAAACCAGGAAAAGACACGACCAAAGAAGAAAACTACAGACCAATATCCTTGATAAACATTGATGCTAATATCCTTAACAAAATACTAGCTAACAATATCCAAAAACATGTCGAAAAGAATATCCAACAACATGTCGAAAAGATAATCCACCATGATCAAGCTGATTTCATACCAGGTATGCAGGGATGGTTTAACACACACAAGTCAAGAAATGTGATACACCACATAAATAGAATTGAAAACAAAAATCACATGATCATCTGAATAGATGCAGAAAAAAAAATTGACAATATTTAGCATCCCTTTATGATTAAACCTCTCAGCAAAGTTGGCATACAAGGGACACAGCTTAATGTAATAAATAAAAGCTATCTATGACAAGCCCACAGCCAACATAATACTGAATAGAAAAAAGTTGAAAGCATTTCCTTTGAGAACGGGAACAAGACAAGGATGCCCACTCTCACTACTCCTCTTCAACATAGCCCTGGAAGTCCTAGCCAGAGCAATCAGACAAGAGAAAGAAATGAAGGGCATCCAAATCAGTAAACAGGAAGTCATACTGTCCGCTTGCTGATGATGTGATCATTTACCTTGAAAACCCTCAGGACTCCTCCAGAAAGCTCCTAGAACTGATAAAACAATTCAGCAAAGTTTCAGGATACGAGATTAATGTACACAACTCAGTAGCTCTTCTAATAACCAACAGCAACCAAATGGAGAATTAAATCAAGAACTCAACCTCTTTTACAATAGCGGGAAAAAAATTATATGAATATACCTAACGAAGGAGTCGAAAGACCTGTACAAGGAAAACTACAAAACACTGCTGAAACAAATCATAGACAACACAAAGACATGGAAACACATCCCATGCACAAGCATGGGTAGAATAATTTGTGAAAATGACCATACTGCCAAAAGCAATCTATAAATTCAACACAATCCCCATCAAAAAACCACCGTCATTCTTCACAGAGTTAGAAAAAACAATTCTAAAATTCATATAGAACCAAAAAAGAGCCTGCACAGCCAAAGCAAGACTAAGCAAAAAGAACAAATCTGGAGGCACCATACTACCTGATTTCAAACTATACTGTAAGGCCATGGTCACCAAAACAGCATGGTGCTGGTATAAAAATAGGCACATAGACCAATGGAACAGAGAACCCAGAAATAAACCCAAATAATTACAGCCAAGCAATCTTCAAAAAAGCAAACAAAAACATAAAGTGGGGAAGTATACCCTTTCAACAAATGGTTCTGGGATAATTGGCTAGCCACATGTAGAATGAAACTGGATCCTCATCTCTCACCTTATAAAAGAAACCAACTCAAGATGGATTAAGGACTTAAACCTAAGATCAGAAACTATAAAAATTCTGGAAGATAAAATTGGAAAAAAACCCTTCTAGGCATTGGCTAGGCAAAAATTTCATGACCAAAAACCCAAAAGCAAATGCAATAAAAACAAAGATAAATAGCTGGGACCTAGTTAAACTAAAGAGTTTTTGCATGGCAAAAGGAACAGTCAGCAGAGTAAACAGACAACTCACACAGTGGGAGAAAATCTTCACAATCTATACATCTGACAATGGATTAGTATCCAGAATCTACAACAAACTCAATCTATACCTCCGACAAAAGATTAATATCCAGAATCTACAACAAACTCAAGCAAATCAGTAAGGAAAAAAACAATCGCATCAAAAAGTGGGCTAAGGACATGAATAGAAAATTCTCAAAAGAAGATATACAAATGGCCAACAAACATATAAAAAATGGTTACCATCACTAATGATCAAAGAAATGCAAATCAAACCCACAATGCGATACCACCTTATTCCTGCAAGAATAGCCATAATCAAAAGATCAAACAACTAGATGTTGGCATGGATGTGGCAATCAGGGAACACATCTATACTGCTGGTGAGAATGTAAACTGATAGAGCCACCATGGAAAACATATAAATGCATATGGAAAACAGTGTGGAGAGTCTGTAAAGAACTAAAAGTAGAACTAGCATTTGATCCAGCAATCCCACTACTGAGTATCTACCCAGAGAAAAAGAAATGATTATTTGAAAAACGTACTTGCAGATGCATGTTTCTAGCAGCACAATTCACAATTGTAAAATCGTGGAACCAACTGAAATGCCCAGGAATTAACGCGTGGGTAAAGAATCTGTGAAATATATATATGTGTGTGTATATATATATAAATATATAAACACTTAAAATGTATATATACACACACATGCACACACACATACATATATATATGTTGGAATACTACTCAGTAACAAAAAGGAATGAATTAACAGCATTTGCAATGTCCTGGATGAGATTGGAGACTATTATTCTAAGAATGGTAAACCAAATATCGTATGTTCTCACTGATATGTGGGAGGTATGCTATGAGGATGCAAAGACATAAGAATAATACAATGGACTTTGGGTACTTGCGGGGAAGAGTGAAAGGGGAAGGGATAAAATACAGCATATATGGTGCAGTGTATACTGCTTGGGTGATGGATGCACCAGGATCTCACAAATCACCACTAAAGAACTTACTCAACTAACCAAATACCACCTGTACATAAGTAACTTATGGAACAATAAAATTTTAAAAAAGTATTTTTATAATTACAGACAGGCTCACATAATGAATTCTTCATAAACTATTACACAGGCCAGCCGGGCCTGGTACCTCATGCCTGTAATCCCAGCACTTTGGGAGGCCGAGGTGAGTGGATCACCTGAGGTCAAGAGTTGGAGACCAGTTTGACCAACATGGTGAAACCCTGTCTCTACTAAAAATACAAAAATTAGTCCAGGCGAGGCGGCTCACGCCTGTAATCCAGCACTTTGGGAGGCAGAGACGGGTGGATCACGAGGTCAGGAATTTGAGACCAGCCTGACCAAAACGGTGAAACCCCGTCTCTACTAAAAATACAAAAATGAGCCGGGCGTGGTGATGCATGCCTGTAATCTCAGCTACTCAGGAGGCTGAGGCAGGAGAACTGCTTGAACCTGAAAGGCGGAGGTTGCAGTGAGCCCAGATTGCACCATTGCACTCCAGCCCGGGAGAAAGATTAAGACTCTGTCTCAAAAACAAACAAACAACAACAACAACAAACAATTAAGCAAACAAAAAACCTATTAAACAACAACAACAAAAAATTATGGGTCTAGCATGAGTACCAGTCAAGTTAAAACAGAATTTGCATGGGGAGACTCTGAACCATAAGCCAAAAGATTGTACAGCAAGAAATTCAATACAAAGCAGAGTATAAATTTGCTTTCAGCATTTTTGAGAATTTTTGTTTTGTAGTAAATTAGACACCTCCTTAAAATGATTTTGTTCCAATATTGCTTTTTTCTGCTAAAAATAGTTTCGAACTTAAACACACTCCATAATTTATTTACACCTAAGATTCATCTTAGACTAACAGATGTGTATATTTAACTCTATGTAAATCAATACTAACAGTCCATATGTGCTTGCAGGCAGAGGCCACATGTTCGAAGAAAAATATATGAAAAAATTAAAAAAGATTTATTCGGGACTCAGAAATATATGGATTTTACTTATGTTTGTATATAAGTTTTATTATGACCATAAAAATAATCCTGTAGTCAACAACAATTTAATTGTACATTTAAAAATAACTAAAACTGTAGAATTGAATTATTTGTAATACAAAGAATAAATGCTAGAGGTAATGGAGACCGCATTTAGTCTAATGCGATTGTTATATATTGTGTGTCCGTATCAAAATATGCCACATATGGCATAATATGTACACATATTAGGTATCCACAAAAATTAAGTCAAATACATTTAAATGAGAAAATAAAAATAAAAATTTAGCCTATGGGAACAATATTCTTTAACTTAATGGCAATTAAAACTCACTGGCAAAAAAAATCACTAGAGATGTCAGTCCATTATCTTACCAAATAGTGTATTTTTACCATCTTTTACCTACACCCTTGAGTAAGGTGGAATAGGTTAAAGTTACTGGCATAATAACACTTCATTGAATTCATGATAGTATTTAACATGTTAAAACTGTTTGGTTGAAAAGTTCACATGCAATTTATAATTTAAAAATATGCTACATATATTTCATAAAAATACAATAAATCATACTAAACTTTAACTAAAATTAAGAATGTTTTTCTTTCATAATAATGCAGAATATTAATCTGAACATCTACCTCATGCATCACTCGATATTATAAGTTAACCATAAAGATCCTCTCTACTTAAATTTTCATCATGCATCTTACATTTTTAATGTCCTTACCTTTCCATAGAAAAGGTCATAAATAATGCCTCTTCATATTTGTAATGCTTTTTCAAAATACTCTTCTGTACTTTAAAGACATATTTTCTGATCAGTCGTTTGACAGTAATTACACTTCTTATTTAGTATGAACGCTCTGAATTTGAGTACGATGTGAGCAGGTATTAATGGCTTTTTGTCTATATTTGTTCACTTTTTCTCAAGCATAAATGCTTTCCTATGCATTAAGGTGTGAGCATTAGTTCAAAGCTTGGCCACATTGTTCACACTGGTAGTTTTCTCCAGTATGAATTATCTTACCTACGATCAAGTGTGACAATCATTTAGAGGCTTTGTCACATTCTTCACATTTCTAGGATTTCTCAGCAGCATGATTTTCTTGATGTTTAGAAAAGTTTGACTTGTCAAAAGCGTTGGCACATCTTTCAGGTTTGTAGAGTTTCTCTCCAGTATGAATAATATTATGTCTGTTAAGAATTCAGGACTTTTTATAGACTTTACCACATTATTCACACTTGTAAGATTTCTCTCCAATATGAGTTATCTTATCTGTAGTAAGGTGTGAAAACTGGTTAAAGGCTTTGCCAAATTTTTCCTGTTTGTAGGGTTGCTGTCCAGTATGAATTTTCTTATGTCTGGTTAGGGCTGAGGACCAGAAAAAGGATTTGCCACATTCTTCACATTTGTAGAGTTTTACTCCAGTATGAATTACCTTATGTTTAGTAAAGGTTGAAGACCGGTTAAAAGATTTGCCACATTCTTTATATTTGTAGGGTTTCTCTCTAGTATGAATTTTCTTTTTTTTTTTTTTGAGACGGAGTCTCGCTCTGTCGCCCAGGCTTGAGTGCAGTGGCGTGATCTCGGCTCACTGCAAGCTCCGCCTCCCGGGTTCACGCCATTCTCCTGCCTCAGCCTCTCGCATAGCTGGGACTACAGGCGCCCGCCACCACGCCCGGCTAATTTTTTGTATTTTTTAGTAGAGAAGGGGTTTCACTGTGTTAGCCAGGATGGTCTCCATCTCCTGACCTCGTGATCCGCCCGCCTCGGCCTCCCAAAGTAGTGGGATTACAGGTGTGATAGTATGAATTTTCTTATGGTTAGTAAGGATTGAAGACTGGTTAAAGGCTTTGCCACATTTTTCACATTTGTAGGGTTTCTCTCCAGTGTGAATTATCTTATGTTTAGTAAGAGCTGAGGACTCTTTAAAGGCTTTGCCACATTCTCCACATTTGTAGGGTTTCTCTCCGGTGTGCAACCTCTTATGTCTAGTTAGGGTTGAAGATTGGCTAAATGCTTTGCCACATTCTTCACATTTGTAGGGTTTCTCTCTAGTATGAATTCTCTTATGTCCATTTAGGGTTGAGGATGATATAAATGCTTTGCCACATTCTTCACACTTGTAAGGTTTCTCTCCAGTATGAATTATCTTATGTGTAGTAAGCTTTGAGGATCGATTAAAAGCTTTGCCACATTCTTCACATTTGTATGGTTTCTCTCCAGTGTGCATCCTCGTATGTCTAGTTAGGGTTGAGGATTGGCTAAATGCTTTGCCACATTCTTCACATTTGTAGGGTTTCTCTCCAGTATGAATTATCTTATGTTCAGTAAGAGTTGAAGATTTCCTAAAAGCTTTGCCACATTCTTCACATTTGTAGGGTTTCTCTCCAGTATGAATTATCTTATGTGTAGTAAGGGTTGAGGATTGGCTAAAAGCTTTGCCACATTCTTCACATTTGTAGGGTTTCTCTCCAGTGTGCATCCTCTTATGTGTAGTAAGGTGTGAAGGCTGGCTAAATGCTTTGCCACATTCTTCACATTTGTAGGTTTTCTCTCTGGTATGAATTCTCTTATGTTCAGTAAGGGTTGAGGACCAGATAAATGCTTTGTCACATTCTTCACTCTTGGAAGGTTTCTCTTTAGTATGAATTATCTTATGTGTCGTAAGATTTGAAGATTGATTAAAAGCTTTGCCACATTCCTCACATTTGTAGAGTTTCTCTCCAGCATGTATTATTTTATGTTTAGCAAGGGCTGAGGAGTGCTTAAAAGCTTTGCCACATTCTTTACATTTGTAGGGTTTCTCTCCAGTATGAATTGTCTTATGCTTAGTAAGGGTTGAGGAACGGCTAAAAGCTTTGCCACATTCTTCACATTTGTAGGGCTTCTCTCCAGTGTGTATCCTCTTATGTCTAGTTAGGGTTGAAGACCATATAAATGCTTTGCCACATTCTTTACATTTGAAGGGTTTCTCTCTAGTATGAATTCTTTTATGTTTAGTAAGGCTTGAGGACCAGTTAAATGCTTTGCCACATTCTTCACACTTGTAAGGTTTCTCTCCAGTATGAATAAACTTATGTATAGTAAGATTTGAAGATCGATTAAAAGCTTTGCCACATTCTTCACATTTGTAGAGTTTCTCTCCAGCATGTATTATTTTATGTTTAGTAAGGGTTGAGAGTCGCTTAAAAGTTTTGTCACATTCTTTACATTTGTAGGGTTTCTCTTCAGTATGAGTTATCTTATGATTAGCAAGGGTTGAGGAATTGCTAAAAGCTTTGCCACATTCTTTACATTTGTAGGGTTTCTCTCCAGTATGAATTCTCTTATGTTTAGCAAGGGCTGAAGAATGGCTAAAAGCTTTGCCACATTCTTCACATTTGTAGGGTTTCTCTCCAGTGTGTATCCTCTTATGTCTTCTTAGGGTTGAGGACCATAGAAATGCTTTGCCACATTCTTCACACTTGTAAGACTTCTCTCCAGTATGAATTATCTTATGTGTAGAAAGACTTGAGGAATGATTAAAAGCTTTGCCACATTCTTCACATTTGTAGAGTTTCTTTCCAGCATGAATTATTTTATGTGTAGTAAGGGTTGAGAATTGCTTAAAAGCTTTGCCACATTCTTTACATTTGTAGGGTTTCTCTCTACTATGAATTATCTTATGTTTATTAAGGGTTAAGGATTGTCTAAAAGCTTTGCCACATTCTTCAAATTTGTAGGGTTTCTCTCCAGTATGAATTATCTTATGTTTAGTAAGGGTTGAGGATTGCCTAAAAGCTTTGCCACATTCTTCACATTTGTAGGGCTTCTCTCCAGTGTGTATCCTCTTATGTCTAGTTAGGGTTGAAGACCATATAAATGCTTTGCCACATTCTTTACATTTGAAGGGTTTCTCTCTAGTATGAAATCTTTTATGTTTAGTAAGGCTTGAGGACCAGTTAAATGCTTTGCCACATTCTTCACACTTGTAAGGTTTCTCTCCAGTATGAATAAACTTATGTATAGTAAGATTTGAAGATCGATTAAAAGCTTTGCCACATTCTTCACATTTGTAGAGTTTCTCTCCAGCATGTATTATTTTATGTTTAGTAAGGGTTGAGAGTCGCTTAAAAGCTTTGTCACATTCTTTACATTTGTAGGGTTTCTCTTCAGTATGAGTTATCTTATGATTAGCAAGGGTTGAGGAATTGCTAAAAGCTTTGCCACATTCTTTACATTTGTAGGGTTTCTCTCCAGTATGAATTCTCTTATGTTTAGCAAGGGTTGAAGAACGGCTAAAAGCTTTGCCACATTCTTCACATTTGTAGGGTTTCTCTCCAGTATGAATTCTCTTATGTTTAGCAAGGGTTGAAGAATGGCTAAAAGCTTTGCCACATTCTTCACATTTGTAGGGTTTCTCTCCAGTGTGTATCCTCTTATGTCTAGTTAGGGTTGAGGACCATAGAAATGCTTTGCCACATTCTTCACACTTGTAGATTTTCTCTTTAGCACAGATTATTTTATGTGTAGTAAGGGTTGAGAGCTGCTTAAAAGCTTTGCCACATTCTTCACATTTGTAGGGTTTATCTTCAGTATGAATTTCCTTATGATTAGTAAGGGTTGAGGACCAATGAAAGGTTTTTTCACATTCTTTACATTTACAGGACTTCTCTGTAATATAAACGCATTTATGTTGGGTTTTGTGTAAACGGATGCAAAATGACTTGACACATTTTTTACATTTGAAGCATTTCTTTCCAGTATGTCTTATCGTATGTCTGTTTGAATTTAAAAATTTATAGAAGACTTTCAAATATTTCCCACATTGAAATACTTTGCTCTGGGCAGTTGTGAGACACTGGTTAAGTTTATTATAACCTTCTTTGTGCACCTTACACTCATCCACACTTTTACAACCTTTTCTTAACTGTAAATTCTCATGTCCACATTTTTCATATTTTCTCAGTAATACTTTTTGAAAAGAATCTTCCATGCTCTGCTCTGGCCAAAAGTCTTGAGGAAAATGAGGACATATACCTGAAAAAAAAAAACTAAAAATAATAAATTACTCCACTCACCTAGACTCACATGAATATAGTTTAAAAATCTTACCTACAAAATTATACAAACTACATAAACAATATGGCACTGCAAAATACCACAGGCCCTAATTCTATTTTTGTTTTTTTGTTTGTTTGTTTTTGAGACGGAGTCTCGCTCTGTCACCCAGGCTGGAGTGCAGTGGTGCAATCTTGGCTCACAGCAAGCCCTGCCTCCTGGGTTCACGCCATTACCCTGCACAGGCCCTAATTCTTTCATAGACATATATATGTAACAAAAACATACAGATCAAATTACATCTATGGAAAATTTATGAATGAGTTAAGTGTGTGCAGTGTCTCAGGGGAGCACAATGCAAAAAACCACACAGAAAAAAAAGAAAAGTCTGTTAAATTTACTTGACACAGCTTTTCCTGCTTCCCATTATAACAGAGTGCCTTTAGAAGTAAATTGCCAACTCCTGGTTTATGTTTTAAAAGAAAGGTAAAATAGTAGCCCATTCATTTTTATTTACAGCTTTTAGGGGCTTTTCCTGACACTGATTTCCCTCTCTCATGACATAAGTGTTGAAAGAAACCGTGGCATAATTTGGAATGAAAGTTTGAGTCTGCTGAGACCAAAGAAAAATGTTACAGCAGCAGAGAGACTGCAGTACCACAGAAAGGAAACAGGCATAGCAAGTGATTACTGACTCCTACAAAGTAACATAAGTAAACACTCTTAATTAAGACATAAACACAAAATTTCAGACAACACATATCCTAAGAACATATTTGAGAAATTCCCATAATCATTAGACAAGACAGTTGTTTTCAAACTATGCCAGGACAAAACTACATTATAAAGACTTTGACAGTTAGCTTTTTTAAATGTCCAAATCTCAATCAAAGATTATAATGTATACAAAATAGGGCAATATGATGCCACCAAAATATTATAAAATTTTCTGAAAGAAACCATAAAAGAGATGTATACATTAATTTTATGAATTGGTAATGAATAATACTCACTGATTAAAATAGGAACAGAGACAACTATGGAAAATCGGAAAAATGAGGATGAGAACAAAAATATTTAAGATTTCAAAAAAGCAGAAATTGTGGAGGTAAAAATATAAAAACTGATAGATCCTAAAAGTAAGAAAAAATGATGTAAAAATAAAGAAGCTCAACAAACTAGGATCACAGAAAGATATTTATAACAAACACATATATAAGCACAATTTCAAAAGTCACAGACAAAAAAAAAATCTTTGAAGCTGCAAAATAAAAGTGATGTGCCAGGCCAGGCCAGGCATGGTGGCTCACACCTGTATTTTAGGCACTTTGGGAGGCCAAGGAGGACAGATCACCTAAGGTCAGGAGTTCAAGGCCAGCCTGGCCAACATGGTGAAACCCCGTCTCTACTAAAACTACAAAAATCAGCCAGGTGTGGTGACACATGCCTGTAATCCCAGCTACTTGGGAGGCTAAGGCAGATTATGAGGTCAGGAGTTTGAGATCAGCCTGACCAACATGGAGAAAACCCCTCTCTACTAAAAATACAAAATTAGCTGTGCGTGGTGGCACATGCCTGTAATCCCAGCTACTCAAAGACTGAGGCAGGAGAATCACTTGAACCCGGAGGCAGTGGTTGTGGTGAGCCGAGATCGCGCCATTGCACTCCAGCCTGGGCAACAAGAGCAAAATTCCATCTCAAGAAAAAAAAAATGGTAGTTGTTTAATATGTATTAAGATTTAGCTTGCAAGGTAAAAACATTTTAGCAATATGTTGCATGAAAATTTCAAGATGATTAATATGACTAAATTAAATATTTATTTTCTGGTAAATTTTGTTTTTTTTTTGACAAGTAAAAATAATAATAACTAAAAGTACAGAGTTATGATAGTTTTAAATTATATTCACATTTAAAAGTGTTTCTCCCATAAAAAAATATAGATTCAGAAATAAATAGGATGTTGAAATTATAAGAATTTTATGACTACTCAGCTACACAGGATTAGAAAATCACTCACAACAAACCCACACAACAAATATACAAGTTATAAAAAATACAACGATAATATTTATACAGGCAAACAAACATAGAGATAATTCTATTGGAAAAAGACATATGGCTCAATCATATTTGATGTTGCTCCAGACTGTCTTAAATTGCATAAAGTTAAATATTGACATGCACAATTATTATACTAAAATATCAAAGCACAATTAACAGATGTGTAGTGGCATACCCTAAAATATATAACACAAAAATATACAATTGCAAAACCAAATTAAAACATGGAATGTAAACTTTATTAGGCACCATCAACTAGATTAACATATTCATTAAAAAATCTTAGAAGAAGAATATGGGAAAAAATAATACAGAGATTACTTGAAAATAAAAAAAGGTGAGAAATTCCCAAATTTTGATGTAATAAAAGAAAAAAAATTCTAACTAAGAATACTTGATTTAAATTTATTTCACTTTAAAAAGAAGATGAAAATAAAAAATTTCCAAAATAAAAAGTGAGCGTGTTCATCACCACTAGCACAGTTCTACAAAAAAAAAAAAAAATGCTACATGGTGTCCAGGCACCGTGGGCTGATGCCTGTAATCCTACAGTTTTAGGAGGCAAGCCTGTCAGAACACTAGAAACCAGGAGTTTCAGATCAGCCTGAGTAATGTGAGACTCTGTAAATAACAATAAGAAATGCTGAAATGAGTCAGTAAAATGAGTCAGTTTTGTTTTAAAAAAATACTGGACAGTATCATAAAACCATATATAAAATAAAGCTCTCTATTAAATGTAAATACACAGACAAATATAGAAGTCTTTTTTTTTTTTTTAATTGATCATTCTTGGGTGTTTCTCGCAGAGAGGGATTTGGCAGGGTCATAGGACAATAGTGAAGGGAAGGTCAGCAGATAAACAAGTGAACAAAGGTCTCTGGTTTTCCTAGGCAGAGGACCCTGCGGCCTTCCGCAGTGTTTGTGTCCCTGGGTACTTGAGATTAGGGAGTAGTGATGACTCTTAACGAGCATGCTGCCTGCAAGCATCTGTTTAACAAAGCACATCTTGCACCGCCCTTAATCCATTTAACCCTGAGTGGACACAGCACATGTTTCAGAGAGCACAGGGTTGGGGGTAAGGTCATAGATCAACAGCATCCCAAGGCAGAAGAATTTTTCTTAGTACAGAACAAAGTGAAAAGTCTCCCATGTCTACTTCTTTCTACACAGACACAGCAACCATCCGATTTCTCAATCTTTTCCCCACCTTTCCCCCTCCTCTATTCCACAAAACCACCACTGTCATCATGGCCCGTTCTCAATGAGCCGTTGGGTACACCTCCCAGACGGGGTGGTGGCCGGGCAGAGGGGCTCCTCGCTTCCCAGTAGGGGCGGCCGGGCAGAGGCGCCCCTCACCTCCCGGATGGGGTGGCTGGCCCGGCGGGGGCTGACCCCCCCACCTCCCTCCCAGATGGGGCGGCTGGCCGGGCGGGGGGCTGACCCCCATACCTCCCTCCCAGACGGGGCGGCTGGCCTGGCGGGGGGCTGACCAGAAGTCTTTACTATCATAATGATGATGCTTAAAATCCTTAAAGATCTTCTATAGAATATTTAAAACAGAATAAAAATGGTAATTGTAGACACCAAAATCCCATTTTCGATAAATAGAAGATTCATATAAAAATGAATAAGAAAACAGAAAACCTAGACAACATTATACACTGATTTATCATTCTGCATATAGAGGAATACCTGAGAATGGATAATTTATTAAAAAACCAAGTTTATTTGGCTCACAATTCAGCAGACTGTATAAAAAGTCTGTGCCAGCATCTGCTTCTGGTGAGAGTGTCAGCAAGCTTACAATCACGGTTGAAGGCGAAGATTAACTGTACACACCACAAGATAACAGACAGAGCAAGTACGAGGTGAAGGAGCCAGGTTCTTCTAACAAACCAGCTTTCATTTGAATTAATAAAGTGCACACATTTTGATTACCAAGAGGATGGTGCCAAACTATTCATAAGGACTCTGCCCCATGACCCAAACACCTCCTACCAGGTCCGACATCTAACATCAAGAATTACATTGCAGCATAAGGTTTGAGTAACATCAACATCAATACCATATTATAGACCAACTAGGTTTAACAGACATGTACAAAACTTTTCAGTCAAAAGCAAGGGAATATGCAATATTTTTATTTGCACCTGGTGTATTCTGTTACGACACATACTAAGTTTTATTAAATTTAAGAATGCCAGGTGGGTGGTGTAGCTCATGCCTATAATCCCAACACATAGAGAGACCAAGGTGTGAGGATCACTTACAGCTAAAAGTTTCAGGCCAGCCTGGGCAACATAGTGAGACCCTATCCCTACAAAATAATCAAATAATTATTCAGACATGGTACTTTGTTTGTAGTCCCAACTACTTGAGAGACTTAGGTGGAAAGATAACTTGAGCCCAGTAGGTTGAGGCTGCAGTGAGTCAAGATTATGCCAATACACTCCAGCCTGGGTGACAGAGTAAGATCCTGTCTTCAAACAAAAACAACAAACACAAAAAAACAACAAATAAATTTAAGAATATCAATATTATCCACTTTGTGTTTTCTGACCAAAACTCAAACTGGAGATTAAAACTGAAAAATCCAAAAATACATGAAAATAAAAAACTCTTCAACATATTTTTGCACAGGAATAAAAAAATTAATTTTTCAAAGATGTCAATACAACCAACAGTGGTACACAAATTCAATAGAATCTTTATAAAAATCCCAACAGTAGTTTTTTAAAGAAATACTGTTTGAGATGTTAAAATTTTGTTACGAACTATAGCCAAACACCCATGGAAAAAAAACAAAGGCATTATAACTTCTGATTTTGAAACGTACTAAAAGCAACAATAACAAAAACAATGAGGTACTCACACAGATAAACAGATGAAAGAACAGAGTAGAGAGGCCAGAAATGAACCCTTCTGTATATGGCCAAATAATCTCCCACAAAATTGACATGAGCACACAATGGAAGATAACCTTTTCAAAAAATTCTGTTAGAAACTGAATATCCATTCTGATAAAATAAAGATTATTTCCTTAAACCATATGTGAAAATCTTTTAATTAGACATAAGAAGGTAACTTTGTTGTTGTTGCTGTTTTGTTATTGTTGTTTTTTGAGATGGAGTCTCACTGTTACCCAGGCTGGAGTGCAGTGGCGCAGTCTCGGCTCACTGCAACCTCTGCCTCCCGGGTTCAAGCGATTACCCTGCCTCAGCCACCCGAGTAGCTGGGATTACAGGCACCGGGCACAGCGTCTGGCTAATTTATGTATTTTTAGTAGAGACAGGGTTTCACCATGTTGGCCAGGCTGGTCTCGAAATCTTGACCTCGTGATCCACCCACCTCAGCCTCCCAAAGCGCTGGGCGACGAGGCCCAGCCGCATAAATTTTTAATCTCTTAAACACATAGAGGGGAGGCAGGGCACTGTGGCTCATGCCTGTAATCCCAGCACTTTGGGAGGCTGAGATAGGTGGATCACAAGGTGAGGAGTTCAAGACCAGACCAGCCTGAACAAGATGGTGAAAACCTGTCTCTACTAAAAATACAAAAATTAGCCAGGCGGGGCGGCACGTGCCTGTAGTCTCAGCTACTCAGGAGGCTGAGGCAGAAGAATTGCTTGAACCCAGGAGGTGGGGGTTGCAGTGAGCCAAGATCACACCATTACACTCCAGCCTGGGTGACAGAGCGAAACTCCATCTCTCTCTCTCTCTCTCTCTCTCTCTCTCTCTCTCTCTCTCTCTCTCTCTCTATATATATATGAAACACATGACATTAGTCTTGGTGCCAAATTCTTAGATACAACATTAAATGCATGAGCAACAAAGAAAAAAACCAGAATAATTTAACTACACTACACTTCAAAATTTCTGCATACTTAAGTAAACATTTAATAGAGAAATAATGCCTCCTATAAAATGGATGAAAATATTTACAAATTACATGTGATAAGTGTGAATATCCAAAAAATATAAACAACTTTTAAAACGGAACAATAAAGTTAAATAACTTTATTTAGAAATAAATAATTAAAATAAATTTTCATAAAAAAACACAAATAAAAAAACATTTGAAAGGACACACAAAATTACTAATTTGTAGAGAAATGCATTAAAATCACAATGAGAAACAAAATCCCCTCACACCCACTTAAATGGTCACTATCCATTTTTTAAAAGCACCAAATCTCTTGATAATGCAATCAAAATGAAACCCTTGGCTGGGCACAGTGGTTCACACCTTTAATCCCAGCACTTTGGGAGGCCGTGGCAGGCAGATCACAAGGTCAGGAGTTCAAGACCAGCCTGCTAAACGTGGTGAAACCCTGTCTCTACTAAAAATACAAAAATTACCCAGGTGTGGTGACGTGTGCCTGTAATCCCAGCTAGTCAGGAGGCTGAGGCAGGAGAATCGCTTGAACCCAGGAGGCAGAGGTTGGAGTGTGATAGGATCGTGCCATTGCACTCCACCCTGGGCGACAGAGCAAGAATTTGTCTCAGAAAAAAAAAAACAACGCCCGGGAGGGAGGTGGGGGGCAGCCCCCACCCGGCCAGCCGCCCCGTCCGGGAGGGAGGTGGGGTGCGCCTCCGCCCGGCCGCTGCCCCGTCCGGGAGGTGGAGGGCGCCTCTGCCCGGCCGCCCCTTCTGGGAAGTGAGGAGCCCCTCTGCCCGGCCACCACCCCGTCTGGGAGGTGTAACCAACAGCTCATTGAGAAGGGGCCATGATGACGATGGCAGTTTTGTCGAATAGAAAAGGGGGAAATGTGGGGAAAAGATAGAGAAATCAGATTGTTGCTGTGTCTGTGTAGAAAGAAGTACACACAGGAGACTCCATTTTGTTCTGTACTAAGAAAAATTCTTCTGCCTTGGGATGCTGTTGATCTATGACCTTACCCCCAACCCTGTGCTCTCTGAAACATGTGCTGTGTCCACTCAGGGTTAAATGGATTAAGGGCGGTGCAAGATGTGCTTTGTTAAACAGATGCTTGAAGGCAGCATGCTCGTTAAGAGTCATCACCACTCCCTAATCTCAAGTACCCAGGGACACAAACACTGCGGAAGGCCGCAGGGTCCTCTGCCTAGGAAAACCAGAGACCTTTGTTCACTTGTTTATCTGCTGACCTTCCCTCCACTATTGTCCTATGACCCTGCCAAATCCCCCTCTCCGAGAAACACCCAAGAATGATCAATAAAAAAAAAAAAAAAAAGCAAAAAACAAACAAACAAACAAACAAAACTTATATTGATTGTTGGTGGAAAGCAGGATGCACCCATTATTTTATAATGTTATAAATGTACTTTAAATAAAATTATTATCAAATACAGCAATTCCATTTATGAATCTATATCTAAAATATGCATCATAAGACCCTGAAGACATATTTGATACAACGGAGTATTATTCAACCTTAAAAAAAAACACAAAAAACTTGTCACATTTAAAGATACACTTTGAGATTATGTCAACTGAAATAAACTAGTAACGAAACGATAAATGTTATGATTTCACTAAGATATATAAAATAGTCACACTCATAAAAACAGAAAGTGGAAGGGTGTTTGTCAAGGGCTAGAGAGAGCATAAAATGGTCAAATGTTATTTAATGGGCATTTCATTTTAATTTTGCAAGATGTAAAATTTCTAGAAGTCTTTTGCATAACAATGTTAATATTAACAGGCCTGAAATATACAGTTTTGTTTAGTTTTTTGAGACAGGGTCTCAATCTGTCACACAAGCTTGAGTAGAGTGGCACATTATGGCTCACTGCAGCCTTACACTCCCAGGCTCAAATAATCCTGCCCCTCAATCTCTCAAGTAGCTGGGACCACAGGTACACACCATCATGCCTGGATATTTCTTACATAAAAATGTTTGTAGAGAGGGTGTCTCCATATTTTGCCCAGGCTGGTCTCAAACTTTTGGGCTCAAGCAATCCTCCTGTCCTGGCCTCTCAAAATCCTGGTCTTACAGAAGTGAGCCACCACCATGCCTGGCCCTGACATGTACATTGAAATAGATTTAAGAAGGTAAATTATATGTTATGTGTTTTTACAACAATTATTTTAGGAAAAAAGACAGAAAAAATAAAGAATTATAAATTTTCTTGAAAATTACCTTCAAATCACAAAAACTTTTTTTCACACAAAGGAAATACATATTCATCATTAAACACATGGTGAAAATAATGCTATTTCAAAGGCTACTCACTTACACAAGACAAAACCAACATTGAAAGTGAACTAAGAGGCTGGGCAAGGTGGCTGACACCTGTAATCCCAGCACTTTGGGAGGCCACGGCAGGCAGATCACCTGAGGTCAGGAGCTCAAGACCAGCCTAACCAACATGAGAGAAACCCTGTCTCTACTAAAAGAAAAATACAAAATTAGCCGGGCATGGTGGTACATGCCTGATATCCCAGGTACATTAGAGGCTGAGGCAAGAGAATCGCTTGAATCTGGGAGGTGGAGGTTGCAGTGAGCCAAGATCATGCATTGCACTCCAGCCTCAGCAACAAGAGCAAAACTCCATCTCAAAAACAAAAAAGAAAAAAAAATGAGATAAGAAAGAATATATACAAGATAAGCTATAACCAAAACTGGGGTCATATTTGTAGACATAAAAACACACATATATAATCTGATTGTGATAGACATATGGCTCATTTATCTTTTAATTAAATCCCACACTGACTTAAAGTATACAAACAGAATTGCAAATTGTCTAAAATTATAATACATAAGTAAAACCAAAAAACAATAAACTCATATTAAGGAACTTACACTAAAAAACACACTAATGTAGAACTGCAAGAAAATAATGAAAGAAATGTTTACTCATAAAATCTAGTTGGCAACATTAATGTACGTTAACAAATAATTTGTCTAGAAAACGGCAATGTTTGACTAACTGTGCAGTCATGGAAGGCAGGCACTTTAAATTACTGGTATCTATTGTATGGCAATAAAATCCCAGAGAAAATGTAGTACAATCATAAATAGGAGATGCTAATGAGAAACTTAATAGATAAGCATTTAAAAGAAACTAGTGTCAATTTTTATGTTTTAAATATGTGCTATTTTTACACAAAATAAAATTACTGTAATTCAAGTTTAGAACCAACTATAGCCTTAAATTGCTAAATTATGTATATATTTAGCAAAATATGGTTAGAGCTTCATGTATAAAACAAATATTTGAGGAATACATTATGTTATTATTTAGTTACAGGCTGACAAAAGTGGCTGAAAATTCTGTAATTCCTATTTGCCTGCCTGTATACTAATTACCTAACTCACACACAACATGTACATTCTAGTATATTGTCCTAAATGTCTGAATCCAAAACTACAGACAAATTTGAAGTAGAAAATAAAAATAAAAATTTATATGGAGAGTGACATTAATAAGATAAAAAAAAAAAGATGCCCTATTTGCTTATCTCCTGACAGCAAGAAAATTTGGCAGCCATTCCTGACAAAAATGCGTTTGTGAGAGAACCAGGCATCATGGTTCACACCTGTAATGACAGCTACATGGCACATTAAAGTTGGAGAACTGCTTCCGGTCAAAATATTAAGACCTGCCTGGGTTATGTTGCAAGACCCCATCTCAAAAATAAGTGCCTTTAAGAGAGCTCTGAGATCCAGGATGGGAGTTATGAAACTCTGCTGAAGCCCAAGATCGAAGGTAATCCTTTTTAGAAGGCAAGCCTCATTCAGGCAGCAAACTACAGGACTACTGTTTTTGGCTACAGACAAGAAAATATTCCACTTAACTTGGTTCCACTGAGAATTTTGAACTGTACTCTGTAACCATCCCAAACTCTTCCCAGCTACAGACTTGGGGAGGTTCTGCCCTTCCAGAGGCCTGGAGGAAGACACCCATTTATAGCCATGCAGCAGGCCTGCAGACTTTGGCCTTTACTGTGGTCCCTGAAGCAGGTCCATGATTCAGTTCCAGCTCTCTGAGCCACAGTTCATGGCCGGTTCTGCCTATGTAGAAACCCAAAGTAACGTGGGAAAATCCTCTCTTGTACTAGATGAAAGCCATGCTCATCCACATCCTCATATAAAGCCCACCATATGCAGACCTGACTGCAGAAACCTGCCCTTGGGTCTGCCCTGCAGAGCAAAGTCCTGAAGGATATTCACTCTGTCCAAAAATTAAATGAGAATTATAACTATCCAAGCCCCTTTTAACAACACAACTAAAGGTGGACCCTTGTGCAAACCCAGCAGACTTAAGACCAAGCTACAACCCTTCTTCACTACAAACCCAGATGACATTCTATCACTCTGAGGACCCAATAAAAATAGATTTTTACTTTCTGAAACCAGTCTATAAATACTTGAACAAGTGTTTGCTCCTTCTTTACAGTCACCGATGCAAAACTATTGTTTCTTATTGTCAATGCTTCTATTTTAACATAGCACTCAAAGTATGTGGAAGACAAAACAGTCAAAAGAAAAATTTAAAGTCATTGAAATTGAAGACCAGTAAGTAAAATGTTGCTTTTTGTAGATCATGTAATCTTATATATATATATATATATATATATATATATATATATATAAATAAACAGTACTTTAAAACCTGTTTAAACTAATGAATACACTCAGTTAATTAGCAAAATGTAAAATGCAAAAAATTAGCAAAATGTAAAATTAGCAAAATGCACTCTTTTCTATGCCATGAACAGTACTCTGGCTGTCACTGTAAACTTGAAGAAAGATCATTGAAGGGAAAGTAGAATTCTTAGAGATTTTATAAGCATTAACAGAAGTGATAGCATAATTTAAAAAAAAAATTCAGGCTTCCCAGAAACTATTTCCTTTGGAACACAGCTTCTCAGATCACTTTAAAGACCTGCTTTCTTCTTGACTTTGGGCCTCTCATCCTTGTCGTCTGTTGTATTCACTCTCACCTACCTGTGGGTTCATCCACCATCTCATGTTGCTTCATATTCCAGGGCTCTTTTCCTTGCTCCAGATAAGTAATCAGGTCTGGCTTAGAGAGAGCAATACCTGTTTTATTAAAAATAACTAACATGAGTCTTGCTCATATTCTCCACCTGCCAACTTAGTAATGTGCTCAGTAAAGAGCATATAATAGAATATTCTAATAAATTGTCCCAATATACTAATTTGTAACAGAAATGTTTAAATATTTAGAAGATATTTTAATTTTATAGGTTCTTAATTTTACTGCTTGGTACTACTGTATCAAAAACTGGTGATGGCAATTAGATTTTAAGGTGTGAGTAACAGTATTTTATGCCACAAAACTTCTGAAATTACCACTAATCTAAAGTGAAGGACACAGATCAGCTCAGGAATGTGGAAAGTTCAGGTCAAGATGAAACATCTTGAGGAAATTCTTTTCTAAACAAACAAATCCCCAGGATTTTCTTGAAAACAGAAATCTGAAAGCATAAATTTCCAGAAAACATTCTACAAAACAGAAATGAAGCCTGTAATCCCAGCACTCTGGGAGGCCAAGGCGGGCAGATCATGAGGTCAGGAGATCGAGACCATCCTGTCTAACACAGTGAAACCCCGTCTCTACTAAAAATACCAAAAAAAAAAAAAAAAAAAAAATTAGCCGGGCATGGTGGTGGGCGCCTGTAGTCCCAGTTACTCCGGAGGCTGAGTCAGGAGAATGGTGTGAACCTGGGAGGCAGAGCTTGCAATGAGCCAAGATCTCGCCACTGCACTCCAGTCTGGGCAACAGAGCAAGACTCTGTCTCAAAAAAAAAAAAAAAAAAAAAGAAAAGAAGTAAAACCATTAGTTTATATTAGAAACTTAGTATTAAAGTTTTCCTTACCCAGGAAGGCCAGGTTTCTGTAGTTCTCTAACATCACATTCCTATATAAATTCTGCTGTGCAGTGTCCAGACATTGCCACTCCTCCGGAGAGAATTCTATGGCCACATCCCTAAATGTCAACAGTCCCTGAAAAACACACACAAACACACATATTTACAAAGTGGCTATGGGCAGAATTTTTCATTTGACTCAAGGTAAAATCAGAAAGTGACTAGAACTGGTTCTGACTTATAAGAGTGGCTGAAATTATCCAATAAAATAATTGTCAACACACAAACGTTTTGTAATGTATTCTCTAACTCTGAGAAAAGAGAGTGGCATAATACCCACAATATCAGTGTATATATGATACTTGTCTAGATGATAAAGTGTAAAATTGAGGGCATAAATATTAACAAGTACATTTTTGAGTGTTATATTTACATAATACAGAATGACTTGTGTATTTTTTTCAGGTGAAAAAGGCATAGTTGTTATATATTTCAGACACAATAGACACGTTGAGTTAGAAGGTACCACTCAAAATTTTTTTTTTTTTTTGAGACAGAGTCTCACTCTGTTGCCCAGGCTGGAGCACAGTGGCGCAATCTCAGCTCACTGCAAGCTCCGCCTCCCGGGTTCCGTGATTCTCCTGCCTCAGCCTCCCGAGTAGCAGGGACTACAGGTGCCCACCACCACGCCCGGCTAATTTTTTGTATTTTTAGTAGAGACAGGGTTTCACTGTGTTAGCCAGGATGGTCTCGATCTCCTGACCTCGTGATCCTCCCGCCTCGGCCTCCCAAAGTGCTGGGATTACAGGCATGAGCCACCATGCCTGGCCAGTACCACTCAAATTTTAATGTGTATGATAAACTAGACATCTTGTTAATGCAGATTATTTTTTCAGGAGATCTGAAATAAAGTCTGAATTACTGAATTTCTAAAAAGTTCACTAGTAATGCCAATGTTTTGACCCCAAAAGACTATTCTGTCAAACATCCAGTAAGTGGAACAGCCTGTGTTTTTTTCAGTTTTTCTGGCCTGTAAACAAAGATGAGAGCTTTCATTTACCAAAAAAAGATCAATGCAAAGAAAACCTAAAAAAAAAAGGGCAGCTGCCAGATTAAATGTGATGTTTTATGCACATCACCTGCATAAAGATACTTAATGATGAAGAGAAAAATAACTCTGTAGTGAAAAAATCTGTAAGAGAGCTTATTAAGCAAGTGAGTTATTAATACCAATTGCACTAGGACAAGTTTCTATAGTATGCTGATGCACCATATTGCCCCCACTAAAGTAAATTACAGTCTCAATTTAACCATAAGAAAATATCAGTTGCATGGAAAGTTCAAGGTACAGGTATCTTCCGTGTTCTACAATTTTTAATAGTGATTTTAAGTACTTTCTTTAACACCCTAATAAGCAGCTATATCCTGATAATTTTTTCCAAACTTTCTGGGTAATAAATGCCATCCTGTTTAAATGAGCACTTTCTTAATCCTGTAATGCACAGAGATAATAAAAAAACAGAACCTCAACATTATATGTTCTCCATCTTCACTAAGAATCCCAGGTTTTCTCCATAGAAATAGATTATCCACACCTTTCCATGTTCAACAGCCACAAAGAGAACATTTTTAATATTGCAGATCACAAATTCATGGTGAGAATTCTGCATGGCATATAAGAAGCCATCATGCAGAGAAGGCTCTGGTAGATAGAAAAGAAATATTTTCAGAGATCCTTGACTATCATAAGCTTTTTTTTTTTTCTCTTTTTTTTTGAGACGGAGTTTTGCTCTTGTTGTTGCCCAGACTGGAGTGGAATGGCACGATCTCGGCTCACCACAAGCTCTGCCTCCCGGGTTCAAGCAATTCTCCTGCCTCAGCCTGCCGAGTAGCTGTGATTACAGGCATGCATCACCACACCCAGCTAATTTTGTATTTTTTGTAGAGACAGGGTTTCTCCATGTTGGTCACACTGGTCTCAAACTGCCAACCTCAGGTGATCTGCCCGCCTCGGCCTCCCAAAGTGCTGGGATTACAGACGTGAGCCACCACGCCTGGCCTATCATAAGCATTTTTAAAAGTAGTTAAGACAAACTCATTAGGGAGAAAAAATACAGGTACAGAAGTAAAAATTTGCAAGTACTAAACGCGTGGCATTCCACGAGGCAGAGTGGACACAGCTCTTGATCTGAGACATGTTTAGCTGAAAAAAAGCCATTTTTTCTCTTTCTCCTCCTCCTCTCAAATTCTTTCTCAGATGAGTTTTTCTGGACTAATTATGTCTGCATTTTGAGAATTTGCCTTTAATAATTTGAGCACATGTTTACCTATTACCACCACACCCAAAGGCAGAAGGCCCAAGACACAAAAACTCTACCCATTTCTGTCCTGAATAACAGAAAAGATTCAGAACAATGAGCTGCTCCACAGAGATAAAAATATAAGTTTCTCTTTTTTTTTTGTCCTCAGGTGCCCTCCCCTGCTACGGACATCAGCAATTTCTGCTACAGTAATACAAATATTGGCCACACTGTCCTGTCCTTACCAAATCCAAATAGAACAGGTTCCTGGACCACCCTTTAGTGCAAAGGTGGAACTTAACTCTCATGAATGTATCTTAAACTTCTCATACTTGATTCTGGCACCTTAGAGTCACAGGAGACACTTAATTAAAACAAATAGATGCTATCTTCAGAACATTAAACAGAAACTGTGAAAAGGGCACAAGAGAGTTCTGTGAATTGGCCATGTGCTTCTAATTAGAATCCTGAGCTTATAACCACTTACCTAAGCATTGCCACTCAAGCTTTAATTAGCTTATAAATCACTTGGTAAACTTGGCCCCACTCTATGTAATGTGATTCTGCAGGTTTGGAAATGGTCCATAAATGGGTGTTCTAAACAAGTCCCCTGTCAGTGCTGATGTCACTCTCTCTGGTCTCATTATTAGCATTTGTTAGAAAAATGAGGCACAGCACAGAGTCCCTTACACTCAGCACTCCTGTCACAACACAAATACTTCTGATACAAATGAAGACAACCATTCTCTATCTTAAAGTATACTACTTGCTGGCTCTTTAAAGTTCACAAAGAAAACAGAAAACAGCAATTTCTGAGTAAGTCTGCATTTGGAAAACAACATGTGCACATGTACTAATGCAATGTTTATTAAGCAGGTACTATGTAATCAACAGGATGTTACAGAGCACTGTGATAATTCATTATTTGATTTAATTCTAATAACACCCTGTGAGTTGATACTAAGTGTTGAATAATCCCAAGGATTTAGAATAAGGATCCAGCATTTTTATTTCTTCTTCTGTTTTTGTCACTCATTTTTTTAAAAAAATGCATAGAATAAAATCTAAATATAGACAGATGAGAGGGATACAGATAGAGTGTAATGTAATTTAGATGAATTATTATGTTTATATTTACTATTTTGTGACTTGTGAATCAACTACTGTATCTGCAGGAACAGAAAACAAGTTGCTAAATGGAATGTCTCTGTAAACACTGGTTTTAATATAAAATTATTAAATTAAGACCCTATAATACATGTTATTTTTCCATTTATCTGCTATTGGGTTTCAGAAAAGTGTGAGCACCAACTCTAAAAAGGCAACAGGATTCATTACCCAAAACTCTGATCTCTACTAGTTAGTTCTGCGAGGCAAAACTCCAGGGTAGGGCAAGACTTAAATAAGGCCTTCAAAAAGGGTGAATCTAAACAGGGCTGAAGCAGGGTGTAGAGTTGATGTAAAATTCTGTTCTTTATGCCACTGGGGAGTATTTTTAGTTCCGTTTCTTTTTTTAAACTTAGCTAAAAAACAAAAACGAAAACAGAAACTTAAATCTCAGAGTTTGTGTAATTTTAATCTTTTTTAGCCCCACTGCCCTTTCAATTTTATATCACATACTAATAAGCAATTTAAACAAATCCCTTAAGGTTTTCTAGAATAATTTTTTAGATGATAAATAAGTATTCTTAGCAGGGCATAAAAAATACAAATAATAACTTTTTTGTTTATTAATATATGTTCAGGTGTAGACATCACAAGTCACAAAAATATAAAGAAAACGGCCCAAATAAAGCCCATATTTTTGCACACATCTATTTATTGTACCCAACCTTTTGATGCATAATTAAACCACTTATCCAGTTGCTAGTCTAGACTAAAAGTTCTTGCATGGTAGGGACCATGACTGCTTCATCTATTTTTCTAATGACTATATGAATTGGAAGCAATTAGTTTATTTGTTTGAGTCTCCAGACCTCCTCATCATTTTTCACTCAAGTACCAGGGAACTAGAGAAACTCTCACCTGGGTACCAACCAAAGACATCTCTTGTATGAGGGGAGGAGCAAACACAGGATGACTCATTTCTTTTACACTAAGTTAGAAGCAAAATTAACCACTCTAGTCAGCCTGACACAATTCTGTTCTGGAGATTCTCAAATGTCTCAAAGATACCTAGGTGACTGTGAGAGCATTTCCAGTGACCCTGGGCTGATGGTCCAATAATAAGCCAGCAAGAGAGACTCAGGCTGATTCTAAATAGAAAATGAAACTACCAAATAGGCAGAGACACAATTCTGCCTGCATATTTAGGTGACAGCACACATTTTACAGCGTAACTGTGAGTTGACTGGAAGCCTGAGAGGGAAAGTCCCCTCTAGAGTAGAGCTTGGTTGGCACCTTATGTGTTTATATTATGTCTGGTAATTCTACACAGTGTTTGGGAAATATAATTTTTATTAATTCTCTTCAGCACCAGAGAAACCACAGTAATAGAACAGAAAGAAAACTGTCTCATTACACAATTAAGTCTGAATGTCACATGCATTACAATCCATCTGCTTAAGAGATTGAAAAGAAATAAAGACGGTTACCGTAATTAGTTCACAAGTAGAAGAATTTACAGCGCCATGTCATAGGTAGTTCATCCTAAATTCACCTGGTCATTGGGGAGGTCATCCATGTATGCTAATTGGTTATATTCAATGACAAAATAAGCTTTTCACATCTTCATGGCAGAAGGTAGTTTTGCAACTTGAAGCCAGGTGCCTGCTTAAGGTAGACTTTCACTCTTCTACAAAAGTGGTTGAATAGGGTGCTATCTTTTTGGCTACTTGCATTTTAAAGCACTGGCTCTCTACTCCCTGAGGACTTGACTAGTGCACTCCTGCTTCCCCTCTTCTGGTGGCCAGTGTCCTCTTTTGTTTCCTACCATCTGCCACTGTGGTACAGCCCACAGCACACGGCTCACAGCTGGCAGCTCACATCTTAGATGAACGACAATTGCCACAGCAGCACTTTAGTGTCACATCAAAGAGTGAAGTCTGGCCGGGTGCGGTGGCTCATGCCTGTAATCCCAGCACTTTAGGAGGTTGAGGTGGGCAGATCATGAGGTCAAGAGTTCAAGAGCAGCCTGGTCAACATAGTGAAGCCCCATCTCCACTAAAAATAAAAATAAAAAATTTGCTGGGCATGGTGGTGGGCACCTGTAATCCAAGCACTCAGGAGGCTGAGGAAGGAGAATCCCTTGAGCCCAGAAGGCGGAGGTTGCAGTGAGCCGAGATTGCGAGATTGCACCATTGCACTCTGGCCTGGGCAATGGGGGGAAAATCCGTCTCAAAAAAAAAAAAAAAAAAAAAAAAAAAAAAAAAAAAGAGTGAAGCTTGAGCTGCAGAAGGAGAGCTTGCAGGCCTCCCGGGTAGAATCGCACCTTCACAATAATGGGAATGCGAGCATTATCTAAGCCACAGTTTCTATTTATAATGGTGACATGGAAAATATACTGCTGGGTTTCCAGCATGCATCCAGATAGAGATAGCTCTAAGAGTTCTCACTGTGACAGCCCATGTCTTTCACAGACATTATGGGATACTAATAGGGTTTCTAAAACAGATACACAAAGCATTAGAAAGAAAAACAGCTCTCATTCCGAGAAAGATTATATTGAGAGAAAAAAACAAGTTAAAAGCGTCTTAAGAAAAAACTGAGATTACATATAAGATTGATCAAGTCAGCCAGAAAATATTCCTCTAAAAATAATTTCTCTCTAAATATCCAAAGTGCATAGCTACTCACAGCATGAGAAACATGAGTGTTATGAAGAAAGGGCACATTATCAGCAGAATTTTAGAAGATTTTTTTCTATCTCTGCTGCTCTCTAATCTGCTGCCCATTAAATGTGGAATCTATATAGAAATATATCTGACAACTACCACCAGCACTTTTTGATTAAAAAAATTAAAACCTGTGTTAATATAATGGAATATATGTGAGCCTGCAACATAACTAACTAAACAGCTATACAGTTTTGGGGTGGCCAAATCACCTGCCTTTATTTGTCCTGTAATAGCAGCATTCCAATTTCTGAAATGAAAGCCACTAAAATTATACTTACCTATAACTATCCCTATTGGTTAAATTAATAAGTATATCAGACTAATCTCTACTGTAACAATTTGGTAATACATTTTCTTTGGATATTAGATATAAATATGTAATTATGAATAATTTTAATATACTACTCATAATGTATGTAGGATTTTAAAAAATTTTCTGCAACTATAATTCAGTTGAAAAACTACATTTCAAAACTATGAATCACAATATTAAAACAACTATTTAAGGAATTCATTCAAAGTAAATATTGTGGCTTTATATTCATACTCTTGCAGAAAATACTATTGAATGTATATGAATGCAGGTTGTCTACAAACATTATACATTACTATGCTAATTGTACTGAATAAATAGAAACAAAGGTATGACAACACACTCCACTTTTCAGTTTATAAACTGAACTCTTTTTTTCTTTCTCTTTTTTTTTTTTTTTTGAGACTGAGTTTTGCTCTCATTGCCCAGGCTGGAGTGCAACGGCATGATCTCGGCTCACCTCAACCTCCACCTCCTGGATTCAAGTGATTCTCCTGCCTCAATCTCCCGAGTAGCTGGATTACAGGCGTGCGCCACCATGCTCAGCTAATTTTGTATTTTTAGTAGAGACAAGATTACTCCATGTTGGTCAGGCTGGTCTATAACTCCCAACCTCAGGTGATCCGCCCGACTTGGCCTCCCAAAGTGCTGGGATTACCAGCATGAGCCACCGCGCCCAGCCATAAACTGAACTCTTTTTTCTTTTGTAGTATAAATACTTTAGCCTGCAAATAATCATCATGGATAATCAGGTTTCTGTCAAACAACTTACTCAGTATCTTTTAGTCTTTATAATTCTTTATTGCTAAATTTAATCCTATTTTTATGCTCAACTTTTGTGTGCTTTTAGAATGAGCAAGACTGAACAAATCTGTGTCAACTTTAAAAGACTAAAAATTGTAAGAACAATCTTTTGCCAAAGCAAAAACGAAGCAATTAATCTCGGGTCCCAGATAAAGACAATCCTGAGACAAAAAAAAAAAAAAAAAAAATGACAAAAGGTTTATTCAGCTGTTATTTGATTTATATATATTTCAAAAAAAGGGAGATAAAATATATACGTAATCTAAATGTTATAAGAAAAGAGATTTTAGTAAGATATTTTCTTACTTTTATGTAGACTAATTAAGCCTCTTATTTCTAATTTATATTTTCTTTTACAACAGCCAGGTCTCTAAACATGTTCTTGAACTCCTGGACATCTAAATTTTGCACACTGTGTGCACATGAAAGAATGTTTATGGAAGAAAAAACAGAAGAGAGAAAGGTGTTACATAAAATTCATAGGTTCAGATGAATAAAGCATGTTCTCAGAGACCTATGAAGAGATTTAGATTCAGACACAATAATAGTGGGAGACTACAACATCCCACAGGCACTAATAGACAGATAATTGAAGAAGAAAATTAACAAAATATGAGAACCTAAACTCAACACTTGACCAAATATTCCTAATAGGTATCTACAGAACTCTTCATCTAAAAATAACATAACATACATTCTTCTCATCGCCACGTGGCACATACTGACCACACAATCAGAAATAAAAAAATCCTCAGGAAATTCAAAAATCTCAAAATTATACAAACCAAACACACAGAGATATTACCACTGACCCCACAAAAACATCTTGAAGTCTATTATGAACACCTCTGTGCACACAAACAAGAAAATCTAGAAAAAATGAAAAAAAGTATTAAGGAATACATCCTTCCAAGAATGAACAAAAAAGAAATCAAAGCCCTAAACAGATGAACAAGAAGCTCAAAAACTGAACTGTAATAAATAGCCTACCAACCAAATAAAGCCAAGGACCAGACATTCACAGGTGGACCAGACGTACAAAAAAGTGCTGGTATTATTTCTACTAAAACTATTTTAAGAAATTAAGAAAAAGTAACTTCTCTCCAACTCATTATATAAGAACAGCATTATTCTGATACCAAAACCTGGCAGAGATAAAACAAACCAATAAAATTCAGGCCAGTATCTTTGAACACTGATACAAAAATCTTCAACAAAATCATGACAAAATCCAGCAGCATATCCAAAAGCTAACCCACTATGAGCAAGTAGAATTTATTTTGGGAATGCAAGGTTGGTTCAACATACACAAATTAATAAATGTGATTCATCACATAAAAAGAACTACTAAAGACAGAAACCACAAGATTACCTCAGTAGATGCAGAAAAAGCTTTTGGTAAATTTTAACATCTTTCATGTTAAAAATCCTCAACAACCTAGGCATTGAAGGTACATGCTTTAAAATAAGTTATCTATGACAAACCCTCAGCCCCAATATACTGAATAAACAAAACCTGGAAGCGGATGGGTACAGTGGTTCAGTCCTGTAATTTCAGCAATTTGGCAGGCCAAGGCAGGTGGATCGCCTGAGGTCAGGAGTTTGAGATCAACCTGGCTGACATAGCAAAACCCCATCTCTACTAAAAATGCAAAAATTAGCCAGGTGTGGTGGCGGGTGCCTGTAATCCCAGCTACTCAAGAGGCCGAGGAAGGAGAATCGCTTGAACCCAGAAGGCAGAGGCTGCAGTTGGCCAAGATTGTGCCCCTGCACTCCAGCATGAGAGACAAAGGGAGACTACCTCAAAAAGAAAAAAAAAAAGCTTGAAATATTCCTCCTTGAAAACTGGCAAAAGGCAAAAGATGCCTTCTCTTAACACTACTATTCAACATAAAATTGGAAGTCCTGGTCAGAGCAATCAGGCAAAAGATAAAAATAAAAGGCATTTGGCTGGATGCAGTGGCTCACACCTGTAATCCCAGCACTCTGGGAGGCCAAGGCGGGTGGATCACGAGGTCAGGAGTTCGAGACTAGCCTGACCAACATGGTGAAACCCTGTCTCTACTAAAAATACAAAAATTAGCCAAGCGTGGTGTCACGTGCCTGTAATTTCAGCTACTCACGAGGCTGAGACAGGATAATCGCTTGAACCTAGGAGGCAGAGGTTGCAGTTAGCGAGATCGTGCCACTACCCTCCAGCCTGGGCGACAAAGCAAAACTCCATCTAAAAAAAAATTAAAATTAAAATTAAAGGCGTTTAAACAGGAACAGAGGAGGTCAAACTATCCCTGTTTGCAGACAACAGGTTTCCACATCAGGAAAACCGTAGAGACTTGGCAGAATAGCTCTTTAAACTTACAAATAACTTCAGTATAATTTCAGGATACAGCCCTCCGCGCCCAACCAATCCCGGGCTGCAAGGGACCTGGGGAGCTGCAGCCTGGCCAGGGCAGTGCACTCAGGTGGCCTCGCTTCCCTGCAGGTCACCGCCCACCACGCCGGAACCGCGCACAGCTAGAGCCACTTCTGAAGCCACTTGAGAAAAATTTGACAGTTCCTAACGAAAAAGATTCTTCAGAAACATATACCATCTGTGAAAAAAGTTGCCCTTTCTTCCGCTTGCAAAACAGACATTCTCAAATTCCAAAATGCCAGCCAAGGCCCCAATTTACCTGAAAGCAGCCAATAACAAGAAAGGAAAGAAATTTAAACTGAGACATTCTGTCTCCCGATATCATCAGTCCCCCTCTTGGAGGCTTTTGCCATACCATCCAAATCGGCAAAGAGGGCCAAGCATGACGTCTTTGGAGATATTTCCTTTCTTCAAGGGAACAATGAGCTTTTACCTGGAAACTAGGAGAAAGCACACCTGGGTCAGCTCCCCGGGCATAGTAAGTTCTTCCGGGCCAACAGCACCTCAGACTCTGTGTTCACAGAAACACCCTCCTCAGTGGTCAAAAATACCATCTCCCTCACGATCACTGGAGGGTCCCAAGCTCTCATGTTGCTCTTATTGTCACCGGTGAACTTTAATTCCAAACAGGAGTCCTTTCGGCCAGCAAAGTTGCCAAGGCTTAGCTGCGAGCCCGTCATGGAGGAAAAAGGTCAGGAGAAAAGCAGTCTGTTGGAGAACGGGACAGTCCACCAGGGAGACACCTCATGGGGCTCCAGCGGTTCCGCATCTCAGTCCAGACAGGGCAGGGACAGCCACTCCTCCAACCTGTCCGAACAGTACCCCGAATGGCCAGCCGAAGACATGTTTCACCATCCCGCGTCATGCAAGCTCATCAAGGGAAAGACTAAGTCAGAGGAGTCCCTCTCTGATCTTACAGGTTCCCTCCTCCCCCTGCAGCTTGATATTGGGCCCTCACTTTTGGATGAGGGGCTGAATGTCACGGAAAAAAATAAGTAACAGGATGCGAACTTATTTCCTTTGGGGTAGAAGGTACAAAAACAAACTAAACTAACTGCAGTTGAACAGAAGGGCTTCTGAAGCTGTATTTGCAGTTTTGTGATGGGTTTTCTAAAATAATATTCTTATAAAGCATTTTTATTTTTTACCTGTTATAGCTTGTTTGCAAAAACAATTTAGAAAAAAAAAATCCTGTCTTGGCAAAACGAGGAAATCTGTCAGTCAGAATCCATTTTCAGCAGGCATTGGTGATGTTTGGCTCAGATATTGTTTGCAGACACACAAGAAATCTAGCTTGGCCAGGATTGGCACTAGCTACAAAGGGCTGGACGTGTCACATTAGAAATTTACAGAACTTTACAGCACTCCAACATTTTCTGAGCAAGAGGAAGTAAAAACATATTTAACACCTCAGCCTTTTTTCTAGACTCTTTTCTATATATTGCTTGGGCTCACCGTAGAGAATTCTCCAGTGTTAAAACTTTTCTGTTTTCACATTTGAATTTTACGGGTTTTGGAGATTTTCTTGTAGTTCTTATATATCCCTATATATTATATCTACATTGCAAAATTTTAACTGTCAGCTACATGTTGGTAAGATACAGGCAAAGTACTACTGTAACTAAGTTATTTTTAAAGTAAAAATATATTTTTACATGCCTTTGGAAAAAAATAATTTTAGGATACAAAATAAATGGACAAAAATTAGTAGCATCCCTGTGAATCAACAACATCCAAGCCAAATGTGATCATAAACATAATCCCATTCACAATTGCTGCAAAAATAATAAAATATCTAAGAATACAGCTAACCAGGAAGGTGAAAGATCTCTATAAGAATTACAAAACAATGCTTAAAGAAGTCAGAAATGGCACAAATGGAAAACAACTTTATGCTCATAAATAGAAAAAATCAATATCCTAAAAGTGATCATACTGTCCTCCAAAATTTACAGATTTAATGCTGTTCGATATCAAATGACCAAAATATTTTTAACAGAATGAAAAAAAAACTGTTGTAAAATTCATATAAAACCAAAAAAGAGTCTGAATAGCCAAAGTAAACATAAGCAAAACAACAAAGCTGAAGGCATTACATTACCTGTTTTCAAATTATACTGCAAAGCTACAGTAAACAAAGCAACATGGAACTGGTACAGAAACAAACTCATAGATGAATGTAACAGAATAGGGAGCCCAGAAATAATGCCACACACCTACAACCATCTGATCTTCACCAAAAGTAACAATAGAAATGTGGAAAGAATTCCCTATTTAATAAATGGTTGTGGAATAACCAGCTAGCACTATGGAGAAGACTAAAACTGGACCCCTTTATTACACCATACACAAAAATCAACTCAAGATTAATTAAAGACTGAAATGTTAATTTTAAAATGATAAAAAACCCTGGAAGATAACCAAAGAAATACCATTCTAGACACAGAAACTGGCAGAGATTTCATGATGAAAATACCAAAAGCAATTACAACAAAAGTAAAAATTGACAAATTGGACCTAATTAAACTAAAAATCTCCTTCAAAGAAAAGGAAACTATCAACACAGTAAACAGACAACCTACGGAATAATAGAAAATATTTGCAAACTATGCTTCTGACAAACGTCTAATATCCAGAATCCATAAGGAACTTAAACAAGTTTACAAGGAAAAAATACCTCATTAAAAAGTAGACAAGAAACATGAAAAAGATGCTTTTCGAAAGAAGACAAACATTTGGCTAACAAGCATGCAATAAAATGTTCATCAATAATCATTAGAGAAATGCCAAGAAAAACCATGAGATACCATCCACACCAGTGAGAACAGCTATTAAAATGTCAAAAAATAGATACTGTCAAGGTTTCAGAGAAAAGGGAATACTTATACATTGCTGTTAACAGTGTACATTAATTCAACCATTGTAAAAAGCGGTGTGGCAATTCCTCACAGAACTAAAAACAGAATTACCATTTCACCAAGCAACCTCATCACTGGGTATATACCCAAAGAAATACAAATTATTCTCTCATAAAGACACATGCACAAGGGTGTTTCACTGCAGCACTATTCACAATAGCAAAGACATGGAATCAACTTGAATGCCTATCAATGGTAGACTGAATAAAGAAAATATGGTATGATCAGGCACAATGGCTCATGCCTGTAATCCCAGCACTTTGAGAGGCCAAGGCAGGTGGACTGCCTGAGCTCAGGAGTTTGAGACCAGCCTGAGCAATATGGGAAAATCCCATCTATAAAAATGCATCTCTAAAAAAAATACAATAAGAAAAATTAGTTAGGCATGGTGGCACACACCTGTGGCCCCAGCTACTTGGAAGGCTGAGGAACAAGAGTATTGCTTGGCCCACCACGATGGCTCATGCCTGTAATCCCAGAACTTTGGGAGGCCAAGGTGGGTGGATCACCTGAGGTCAGGAGTTCAAGACTAGCCTGGCCAACATGGTAAAACCCCATCTCTTCTAAAAATACAAAAATTAGTCGGGCATGGTGGTGGTGGGCATCTGTACTCCCAGCTACTCAGGAGGCTGAGACAGGATAATTGCTTAAACCCGGGAGGCAGAGGTTGCAGTGAGCTGAGATGGCACTATTGCACTTCATTCTAGACAACAAGAGTGAGACTGTCTCAAAAAAAAAAAAAAAAAAAAAAGGCCAGGCACAGTGGCTCATGCCTGTAATCCCAGCACTTTGGGAGGCAGAGGTGGGCAGATCACTTAAGGTCAGGAGTTCCAGACCAGCCTGGTCAACATGGTGAAACCCCGTCTCTACTAAAACTACAAAAATTAGCAGGGCGTGGTGGCGCACACCTGTAATCACAGCTACTCAGGAGGCTGAGGCAGGAGAATTGCTGGAACCCGAGAGGCGGAGGTTGCAGTGAGCCAAGATTATGTCACCGTACTTCAGCCTGGGCAACAGAGTGAGACCCTGTCTCTAAAATAAAATAAAATATATAATAAAAAAATATGATACATAAACATCATGGAATACCGTGTGGTCATAAAAAACAAACAGAAAACAATAACCAAAAACATTGTTTTTGTATAATTCATATAAAACCAAATTGTAAAATTCATATAAAACCACAACAGAGGCTGAATAGCCAAAGTAAACATAAGCAAAACAACAAAACTGAAGGCATTACATTACCTGTTTTCAAATTATACTACAGAGCTACAGTAAACAAAGTAACATGGAACTGGTACAGAAAAAAACAAGATTATGCCCTTTATAGCAACATGAAGCTGGAGACCATTATTCTTGGAAAACCAATGCGGAGGCCAAATGCAGTGGCTCACGCCTGTAATCCCAGCACTTTGGGAGGCCAAGGCAGGCAAATCACCTGAGGTCAGGAGTTGGAGACCAGCCTGGCCATTATGGTGAAACGCCATCTCTACTAAAAAATACAAAAATTAGCCAGGCATGGTGGTGGGCACCTGTAATCCCAAGCTACTTGGGAGGCTGGGGATGGAGAATTGCTTGAACCCAGGAGGTGGAGGTTGCAGTGACCAAAGATCACGCCATTGCACTCCAGCCTGGTGACAAGAGTGAAACCATCTTTTAAAAAAAAAGAAAGAAAGAAAACAAATGCGTAAATGGAAAACCAAATGCATGTTATTTATAAGTAAGAGCTAAATAATAAAAACATGAACACAGAGGGGAACAACAGACACTGACGCCTAGTTGAGGGTGGAGGGTGGCAGGAGAAACAGGGTCAGAAAAAATACCTCTTTGGTGCTATACTTAGTACCTTAGTTACAAAATAATCTATACACAAAACCACCATGACACAATTTTAGCTGTATAACAAACCTGCATGTGTACCCCTAAACCAAAAATAGAAGTTTAAAAAAAAAAACTCCCTGGGTAGGGAAGAGTACACTCCAGGTAGAAAGACTGGTTTGTGCTACAGATAGTGGCCCAGGTGGGGCTGTACTCTGATTTATTTCTGGGTCCATGCAGGCAGATGAGTTTATAAACAGGTGGTCCAGAACCCCAGGCTGGTGGACAAAACAGCCTGCTGCTGCAGATTCAGTGTCTGGAGGTGGGAATATGCCAGAAGACTTGGAGATACTTCTGTAAGTTTTTGGCAAAAAAAAAAAAAAAACACTAGGATCAAAAATGCTGTAGTAAAATTCCTGAGTGTGGTTCCCTGTCCTGGGAGAGGTGTGGACACATTAATGTCTAGTGGGTATGTTAGTGAGTGGGTGAAAATCTTGTGGTGGTGGCTGTGGCAAAAGGGGATCTGCCATCAGAGCTCCTTTCCTCTAAGTTTTAGGTCCTCTGTCACCCTGGAAGGGGAGCTGGAATCACAGAACAAGGGACAGTGTGACAGCCTGTGTAGAGTGCACAGCCTCTCATTCCTGGACACCCAGAGGTTTATACTAATCCAGGAGTCTGTGGTATCTTTCTTCTGGCACCAAATCTGTAGAGTTTGCTAAACACCAAGCAATTCTCCAACACCAACTTATTATCTAAAACTTCAATTCTGACACCACCCAGAGTCAGCACAGACCTTGATTCAGGGCTCAGTCTCACAACATTGTCCTCACTGCAGATGCCAGTCACAAACTCTATAAGCCCATCTATGCTTCTGAGATACTGTTTAGAAACTGGGGACTCCCATAATGTTACTGAAATTTACTAATTTGTTAGAGCTACTCACAGAACTCAGCGGAACACTGTAGTCATATTTACCATTTTCACATAAAAGATACAACCCGGGACAGGCGCGCCAGCTCACTTCTGTAATTCCACCACTTCGGGAGGCTGAGACAGGCGAATCACCTGAGATCAGGAGTTCAAGACCAGCCTGACCAACATGGAGAAACTCTGTCTCTAGTAAAAATGCAAAATTAGCCAGGCATGGTAGCACATGCCTGTAATCTCAGCTACTTGGGAGGTGGAGGCAGGAGAATTGCTTGAACCCGGGAGACGGAGGTTGTGGTGAGCCGAGATTGTGCCATTACACTCCAGCCTGGGCAATTAGAGTAAAACTCCGTCTCAGAAAAGAAAAAGGTACAACCCCAACAAAGTCATGTGAAAAAAATGTATAAGACCAAGAATAAAGGTGGAAAAAGATGAAGCACATAGATGATAAACAGCTGTGATTAATAAAATTCTCTATCTTTTGTGTTCTCCAAGAACACTTTATGGTGGGGGGGCGGAAAAACCCTTTTCATTATGATGCCCACCACCACCACGCCCGACTAATTTTTGTATTTTTAGTAGAGACGGGGTTTCACCATGTTGGCCAGGCTGGTCTTGAACTCCTGACCTCAAGGGATCCACCCACCTTGGCCTCCCAAAGTTCTGGGATTACAGGCATGAGCCATCGTGGTGGGCCAAGCAATACTCTTGTTCCTCAGCTGTCCAAGTAGCTCTGACCACAGGCGTGTGCCACCATGCCTAATTTTTCTTATTGTATTTTTTTTTAGAGATGCATTTTTATAGATGGGATTTTCCCATATTGCTCAGGCTGGTCTCAAACTCCTGAGCTCAGGCAATCCACCTGCCTTGGCCTCTCAAAGTGCTGGGATTACAGGCATGAGCCATTGTGCCTGATCATACCATATTTTCTTTATTCAGTCTACCATTGATAGGCATTCAAGTTGATTCCATGTCTTTGCTATTGTGAATAGTGCTGCAGTGAACACCCTTGTGCATGTGTCTTTATGAGAGAATAATTTGTATTTCTTTGGGTATATACCCAGTGATGGGGTTGCTTGGTGAAATGGTAATTGTTTTTAGTTCTGTGAGAAATTGCCACACTGCTTTTTACAATGGTTGAATTAATGTACACTGTTAACAGCAATGTATAAGTATTCCCTTTTCTCTGAAACCTTGACAGTATCTATTTTTTTGCTCTCTTTTCTTACCTATCACACAGCCAGAAAAACGCTTTGTGCATTTTCTCCTCTTCCTCATTAAAAATCAGCTGACTTTGTCTTCAGTGGTAAACATAAAATACTTCTTAATCTAACTGAACTTAAGTTTATTTTCTTCCCACAGGCTCCTGAACTTTGAGCTACCCTCAGTCTGAGCCACCATACAACCCCATTTTATGTTTATCCTAAGAACATGCTGACTTCAGGGTAAAACATTCTCAAAATCTGATTTTATTACCCTCTGTTTAAACATTCCCCTCCTACCTCCTTACTAATCTTGTTTGCTTTTCCCTAGGAAAAAAAGCCACTGTCTGCCTCATCTTTGCAATCTTTAAAAATCTTATAGTCACTACTTCCTCCTGTTGCAATACTCCTTTGAAATTCAAGTTTTTACATACATCTAACTTTTATTTTAAAAAGTCTAGAAACTGCCTCAAAACAATAACTTCATCTTCAGTAAGACCCTCCCAATACCCTTTTATATTAATCTTAACTGCATCTGCGTGTGGGTTGCCAGCTTTCCAGGGCTCTGTAGATTGTCTCAGTATAGGGGCTTCTTCCATAGCTGAGGTGAGCAAGCTGGGACATCTGCAGGGGAGGCTCCCCAGAAGGAACTAAGTGGGTCTTTAAAAACCTCCTTTTGCAGGCTCAAGCCTGCAAAAGGCTTAGCTTGGAGTCACTGGGTTTAAGCTTTAATTTCTATGTCAGAGTTATTAACTTGGCTTTTGAAACTATAACTAGGTGGTAGAATAATTCAGCAAAATTATGCAAACACAGTGTTCATACAAGGGAAGAAAAGTTTAAGGTGTTTACATCTTATACCTCAGTAAGAAAAGCAAAAGTATTTATTCCTTTCAGACAATAAATATATTATGTTATTATTTGTATCAAAAATCACGTAGCAAACAATTAGTCTGCCGGGCACAGTGGCTCATGCCTGTAATTCCAGCACGTTGGGAGGCTGAGGTGGGTGGATCACCTGAGGTCAGGAGTTCGAGACCAGCCTGGCCAACATGGTGAAACCCCGCCTCTACTAAAAATACACAAATTAGCCGGGCGTTGTGGCAAGCGCCTGTAATCCCAGCTATTTGGGAGGCTGAGGCAGGAGAATCACCTGAACCCAAAAGGCAGAGGTTGCAGTGAGTTGAGATTGCACTACTGCACTCCAGCCTGGGTGACAAGAGTGAAACTCCATCTCAAAAAAAAAAAAAAAAAGAAAAAAAAATAGTCACATGGGAACACTTCTAGGAGGTATCAAGTTTCATCACATAAAATTTAGCATTAAACTCAAAAATCAAAATACCAGGATATAGAACCAGGCACGACAGCTCACATCTGTAATCCCAGCACTTTGGGAAGCTAAGGTGGAAAAATCATGAGGGCAGGAATTTGAGAGCATCCTGGGCCACATGGTGAAACCCCATCTCTACTAAAAATACAAAAATTAGCTGGGAGTGGTGGTGCACGTCTGTAATCCCAGCTACTGGGGAGCTGAGACAGGAGAATTCCTTGAATGTTTGAATCCAGGAGGCAGAGGTTGCAGTGAGCTGAGATCACACCATTGCATACCAGCCTGGGCGACAGAGCAAGATTTCGACTCATAAATAAGACAAAAAAAAACCCTTAGGTCAAAATAAGTGAACAAAGCTTTTCAAGATACAGATATGTCTTCCTCATGTGTCAAGTCAGGCCATTCAATTACTTGAGAGATTGTCCCATCCCATCCTGCTCACTTAAGTGCTCAATAACCCCCTCTCAGGAGACTCTGAACTATGCCCCAGTGAGTGCCTCAGGCACATTATACTCTGCAAGTTCTTACGCCATCTAACTGGGGTCAGTTTTTTGGTTTTTTGGGTTTTTTTTTGTTTTTTGTCTTTTGGAGTGCTGGGTATTTTTTTTCTAGAAATTTTTTTACTATTTTTCTTGCACTATTTTTCTGCCCCCTAAAGGAATCCAGGAGGCAGAAATTATTTGTTTTCTCCTCAATACTAGTATCTGATTGGCTGGCCAGCAATGTGTCTCCAAGAAATGAAAGCTGAATTGGGTGAAGGCAATATTAATGTCTCAAGGAATTAACTTTAAAAAAAAGTGCACCAGGAAATGCCTCTCAGCCTCAGGGCATCCACGTCCACACTTGAGAAGCTAAACTCAATACCTCAGGTTGTCCTATGAGAGAATATGACCCAGAAGCTGATATTCACTAGACACTCTAGCACACATAGCCATGGTGGGTATCTTGGTTTATCCCCATACAGTACTGAAATCTAGGTCCAAGAAAAAACTGAAGGGTGACTGAAGACACATCACCCTATACAGTTTCCAAAAGGAAAACCTGACCCAAAAACATTCTGGTAAGATAGCTGCGTCTAGGGAAAATAGACGAAAAAAACGCACAGAGATATTTTACCATACAGTGTCAGGAGATTATTCTTTGCTTTCTTCTCACAGGGAGTATTTACCAAAAAAAACAAATCTTTTTAAATGTGCCATCAAATGCTTTGTCAAAAAAAAAATTAATTGGCCAGATGCGGTGGCTCACGTCTGTAATCCCAGCTCTTTGGGAGGCCGAAGTGGGCAGACCAGCTGAGGCCAGGAGTTCGAGACCAGCCTGGCCAACATAGTGAAACCCTGTCTGTACTAAAAATACAAAAATTAGCCAGACGTGGTCGTGGGCACCTGTAAGTCCAGCTACTTGGGAGACTGAGAGAGGAGAATCATTTGAGCCCAGTAGGCGGAGGTTGTAGTGAGCCTAGTGCGTCACTGCACTCCAGCCTGGGTGACAGAGCAAGGCTCTGTCTCAAAAATTAAAAATAAAAATGATTAAAATCGGTATCAAAATGTACACTACAGGACAAATAGTTGATAAAGTGAATTAGGGAGGGGAAATTGGCATTTGGGAATGTCAGACGAAACTGGAAATTTAGTATTTTACTGCAAGCCAGAGTTAGGCTGGAGGAACAGGGGATGAGGGGTGGACTTGAGGCCCTGCTTGAGACACATGTAAAAAATTCAGGGAAAAATCGTCCCCTTTTGAGTGTGAGAAAAATTAAGTGGCAGGCAATTAGATTGAGGTGGCTCTAGTCCTCGGATTTCTACTTCTAAAAATAAAAATCTAAACTCAAGAGCATTTTTTGGTAAATTACTACATTGGCAGAAGCAAAATTTAGGCTTAAGCAACTATAAACTGCCAATTAAGCTCTGATTACATAAGAAGGATATTTCCACCTAGATTGTAAAAATTAAGAAACTAGGCCAGGTGCGGTGGTTCACGCCTGTAATTCCAGCACTTTCGGAGGCCAAGGTGGGTGGATCACCTAAGGTCAGGAGTTCCAGACCAGCCTGGCCAACAAGGTGAAACCCCGTCTCTCCGAAAAATAAAAAAATTGGCCTGGTGTGGTGGCAGGCGCCTGTAATCCCAGCTACTAGGGCTGAGGCAGGAGAATCGCTTGAACCCGGAAGGCAGAGGTTGCGGTGAGCCGAGATCACGCCACTGCACTCCAGCCCGCGCGAGAGAGCAAAACTCCTTTTCAAAAAACAAAACAAAACAAAACCTACATAACTGTACCTAGCAAATTACTGAATTTGGTTTTCTTTACCATGAACCTTATAAAAATATCTCCTTCAAGGCCTTTCATAGACCACAAATTACAAACCATAGCTGGGTGCTCTACAATGTTTGAATCACTCTTTGATTAAATTATTTAATCTTTTCGCGGTGACGCCCATAAATTTTTAATAGAAAAAAAGAGGCCCTGGGAACCCCACGGACTAAAGTGCTTCCTATTCATGAGCCAGCACCTCCAGTCAGGATTCTCCCCTGACGACCCTCCCGTGATCCCTGCACAATCTGGGAGAGACGCGGCGCTGCGGGAGCAGAGCTGCCCAGAGAGGGCTCCAGGCCAGGACACAGTCACTGGGCAGGGAAGAGACAGGACGCCCGGAGCCCGCCTGTCAACGCAGCCGCCATCTTATCGCTGAAGGGGACTGAGGCCGAGCTGGGCAAGGAGAACCCGGGCACGGATTGTGGAGCTGACTGAAGGAAGGCCTGAGGCTCGCCACAGCCGCATCCCACCGGTTTCAACGAGCCCCGTTCCCTCTCTCGGGACGTCGCACCTGGCAGTCTCACCATTTCTAGGCTTCCAGGGGTTCCTGGCATCTTAGCTGTGGCTCTCCAATACCTGCAGGTCACAGGGCCACACAGGCTGGGCCTCCTGGAGCAGAGGACACAGAGCAGTGAAGTCGAGACCTGGAAACTCCGGCGGCAGCGAGAGACAAAGGCCCAGCCACATCCCGGAAGCCGCCCTGTCCGCTCCAGCTTTGTGCCTGATTGGACAGTTCCCAGCCCAGCGTCCCTGATTAGATAACGTTTAAGGCCCCGCCTTCTCAGGCCCTGAGTGACAGAAGATGTGATCAGACACTGGGCTGAATGAAGAAAGAGTGACAGCGTAGGCTGCAGCCTTTTCAGGCAGGGCTTCCTCAGCTCAGCCAGGCCCACCTCAGAGCATGGGAAAATCCTCTCTCTTCTTTGCTCTCTTTCAATGTATTCAAAATGTGAACAAAAATATTTGATGTATATTAATAATACATAAAATTTTTGTTCCAGAGAAAATCAACTTTTACTTTATTGTGTATTATCAATAATAAAGCTAATTTGATAAAACATTGTAAGTCTCTCAGCCGGGCGCCGTGGCTCACACCTGTAATCCCAACACTTTGGGAGGCCGAGGCAGGTGGATCTCCTGAGGTCAGGAGTCCGAGACCAGTCTGGCTAACATGGTGAAACCCCATCTCTACTAAAAATACAAAATTATTGAGCATGGTGGTGCGTGCCTGTAATCCCAACTACTCGGGAGGCTGAGGCAGGAGAATTGCTAGAACCCGGGAGGCCAAGGTTGCAGTAAGCCTAGATCGCGCCAATACATTCCAGACTGAACAATAAGAGTGAAATTCCATTTCAAAAAAATGAAAAATAAAATATAAAAATTAGCTGAGCATGGTGGCACACGTCTGTAATCCCAGCTACTCCGGAGGCTGAGGCAGGAGAATCGCCTGAACCCGGGAGGCGGAGGTTGTAGTGAGTTGAGATCATGCCACTGCACCCCAGCAAAAAATAAAAATAAAAATACATTAAAATTTTTTTGACCTCTCTAGATTTTTATACATATTTTATGATCTCTTATAATTTTTTAATTTTTTTTTTTTGAGACTGAGTCTTGCTCTGTGGCCCAGGCTGAAGTCCAGCGGCACGATCTCGGCTCACTGCAACCTCTGCCTTTCAGGTCCAAGGGATTCTCCTCCCTCAGCCTCTGGAGTAGCTGGGATGACAGGTGCACCACCACACCTGACTAATTTTTTGTATTTTTAGTAGAGATGCGGTTTCACCATGTTGGCCAGGCTGGTCTCGAACTCCTGGCCTCAGGTGATCCACCTGCCTTAGCCTCCCAAAGTAGTGGGATTACATGGGTAAGCCATGATGCCGGTCCATTGTTTAACTTTTTATATTTCATTTTAATCTACATTATTTTTACTTTTTCAATTTGAAGGAACCTTTAAGTAATTTCAAAGCAGACAAATGTTTCTAACTTTCTTCATCAAAAGCATATTTTGCTTTTGTTTATACTCTCTCTATTTTCTTTTAATTTCCAAGAGAGAAGCTTGTTCTGTCACCCAGGCTGAAGTGCAGTGGCATGATTTCAGCTCACTGCAACCTCCACCTCCCAGATTCAAGCGATTCTCCAGCCTCAGCTTCTGGAGTAGCTGGGATTACAGGCGTGCGCGATCATGCCCGGTTTATTTCCTTATTTGAAGTAGTGACTGGAATTTGCCATGTTGCTCAGGCTGGTCTCGATCTCCTAAGCTCAAAATGATCTGCCTATCTCGGCCTCCTAAAGTGTTGGGATTACAAGGCGTGAGCCACAACACCTGGCCTTAAACATTCTCTTTGAAGAATTAGTTTTTTTACATCTAGTGGTCTTTTATTAATTACATTAACCCTTAACAAACTAATTTTTAGTGAAATCCCTAGGAAGTAATTTTGAACTGTTTTATATTAATATTTGTAGATAAAAAACATTTATATATTTTAATGTTAAATACAGTGAGTTCTAAATTGCTCTTCAAAGAATCAGTATGTCAGTATATTCAGCTCCCTGTTCTTCATTCTCCATTTTAAAGTTTAACTTCTTTGTTGTTTTTGTCTCCAGTTTTAGTAAACAACCTTCCCGCCAGTTCTAATCAGTAGTTTACATCTGTACCCCTGGTCACCTGCTCCATCCTGAGTCACCCCTGGTCACCTGCTCTGACCTGAGTCACCTTGGTCACCTGTTCCATAACAGTAGTTCCCACCCAAACTGCTCACCCCACCACTCTGGCTTGTACTCCTCCTCTCTTTAAAATAGCCAATGGGAATTAGCTTAGACTGTGCAGTCCAACCCTAGCCAATAGGGGAATGACACAGCAGTAGGGGCTACCTGCATCAGGGCTAAGAACTCCTTTCCCTCCCTTGTTCAGGTGTGCTCTTGCCATTGCTCCATTCGCAAGATGCACCCTTCTATAAAAGTAAATATTGTCTTGCTGAGAAAATTTACATTCAAGTACTATTTCCTTTGCGGCATCAAAAATTTGCTTCTAACATTTAATAAAAGATTTTTTTTTTAATTTTCTGTAAACGAATCTAAATATAGTTAGCTTTTTTATAACATATTAAAGATTCTGGGCTGGGTGCAGTGGCTCACGCCTGTAATCCCAGCACTTTGGGAGACTGAGGTGGGTGGATCATGAGGTCAGGAATTCAAGACCAGCCTGGCAAATATGGTGAAACCCTGTCTCTGCTAAAAAATACAAAAATTAGACAGGCATGGTGGCGTGCTCCTGTAGTCTGAGCTACTCAGGAGGCTGAGGCAGGAGAATCACTTGAACCCAGTAAGCAGAGGTTGCAGTGGGCCGAGATCGCACCACTGCACTCCAGCCTGCTGACAGAGTGAGACTCCGTCTCAAAAAATAAAAAGTAAAATAAAATAAAAAAATTATAGTCAGGCATGTTGGCTCATGCTTATAATCCCAGCACTTTGGGGGAGCAAGTAATGAAGACTGTTTAAGCCCAGGAATTTGAGACCAGCCTGGGCAACATGGCAAAAACACATGTCTAAAAAAAATTTAAAAATTAACTGAGCATGGTAGCCTGCACATTTAGTACCAGCTATTCAGGAGGCTGAGGGAGGAAAATTGCATGAGCCCAGAAGTCGAGGCTGCAGTGAGCCCTCATTGAGCCACTTCACTCTATTCTGGGTGACAGAGACCTTTTCTAAACAAAACAAAACAAAACAGCCAAAACATAGAAAGTTAAACTTACGGGGTTTTGTGTTTTTTTGTTTTTGTTTGTAATTATTATTACTTCCAAAGTTTTTAAGGTACAGGTGATGTTTGGTCACATGGATAAGTTCTTTTGTAATCATTTCTAAGATTTAGGTGCACCCATCTCCCAAGCAGTGTGCACTGTACCCAATATGTAGTCTTTTATCCCTCACCCCTCTCTCCCGCCCTTTCTGCTGAGTACCCAGAGTCCATTACATAATTCTTATGCCTTCGCATTCTCATAGCTTAGTTCCCACTTATAAGTGAGAACATACAATGCTTGGTTTTTTATTGCTGAGTTACTTAGAATAATGGTCTCCAACTAAATCGAGATTGCTGCAAATGCTATTATTTTATTCCTCGTTAGGGCTGAGTAGTATGCATTGGTATATATATGCCACATTTTCTTTTTCCACTCATTAGCTGATGGGCATTAGGCTGCTTCCATATTTTTGCAATTGCAAATTGTGCTGCTATAAACATGTGTGTGCAAGTGTCTTACACATATAATTTCTTTTTCTTCATGTAGATACACAGTAGTAGAATTGCTTAATCAAATGGTAGCTTTACTTTTATTTAATGAATCTCCATACTGTTTTTCATAGTGGTTGTACTAGTTTACATACCCACCAGCAGTGAAAAAGTATTCTTTTTTCACCACAGCCACGCCAACATGTATTATTTTTTGATGTTTTAATCATGGCCGGTTTTGCAGGAATATATTGGTTTGGTTCAGAAAGGCGGGACAACTCAAAGCGGGCGGCTTCCAGGTAAATTTAAATATTTTGTGGTTGACAAGTGGTGGAATCTGAAGACCTGGGATCAATGAAAGGGAAGGTTTAGGTTAAGGTAAAGGATTGTGGAGACCAAGTTTTATTGTACAGAGGAATCTCTCAGATAGGTGAATTAAAAGAGAGAGCAGTTTGTAAAATGTTTATTAGACCTAAACGGGTGCCTGGCTCTTAGTTGATTATCTCCTGGATCTGCAAAGAAAAAAAGGAAAACAAAAGGGGAAGGGGATTCTCTACAAGGCCTAGGCATGAGAGGAGAGTCACATCAAGTTAAGTACTGGGCCACGTGACATATCACAATCCCCATGTGGACACATTCCAGTAAGACAACACCTAGGTGCTGGGCCCAGGAACATATGACTGTGTCTTTTATAGGCAAACACAGGGTAGAAGAGGGGAGGGGATAACAATCAAACATCTGATGGGCCAAGAGATATGTCACAATGCCCCCTGTGGGCAGGGTCCAGGCTGGAGACACATATCACCTTGGCGTTGGGCCCATGAATATGTGACAGTGCCTTCTGAGGGCAGGCCCAAGGCAAAAGAGTAACATCATTATGCGGCTGGGCCCAGTGGTTTGTTACAATCTCTGCTGCAGTTGAAACCTAGAAAGAAGAGAAGAATCAGGCCAGGTGCAGTGGCTCATGCCTGTAATTCCAGTACTTTGGGAGGCCGAGGCAGGAGGATCACCTGAGGTTAGAAGTTCGAAACCAGCCTAGCCAACATGGCGAAACCCTGTCTCTACTATAAATACAAAAATTAGCCGGGCGTGGTGGCACATGCCTTTAATCCCAGCTACTTGGGAGGCCAAGTCAGGACAATCGCTTCAACCTAGGAGGCAGAGGCTGTAGTGAGCTGAAATCATGCCGCTGCACTCCAGCCTGGGCAACAGAGTGAGACTCCATCTCAAAAAAAAAAAAAAAAAAAGGAAAGAAAAGAAAAGAAGAGTTACACCAGCTAGGTGTATTGGGCCTAGCAATATGTCACAAGTTGTTTTGTGAGAAGGAACTAAGCAGTAAAAGGGAATCATATTACCTGGGTGATGAGCATAGAGATATGTGACAATGACTCCTGCAGGCAGAACCCAAACAAGAGAGTGACATTACCTGGGTTTTAGACCCAGCAATATGTCACAGTGACCCATGTGGGCAAAGCAGAGGCAGGAGAGTAACATAACCTAGTGGGGAGGGCAGCAATATTTCACAATTTTCATTGTGGACGGCACCAAAGCAGGAGAGAAAACTCCCATCACTTGGGTGCAAGGCCCAGTGATATGTCACGATGCCCCATATAAAAACACAGAGGCAAGAAAATAGAGTCACATCACCTAGTTTCTGGTACAGTGATATGTCACGATTCCATCTATGGGTTAAATCCAGGCAGGAGAGTAAACTCACTCAGGTTCTACACAGAGGCATGTGTCACAATCACAAGTGCAGGAAGATCCAAGATGAGATTAACAATCCTGTACATATTCCGCTTCTGTGTGCAGCAGCAAGGCAGAAGAGGAGACTCACATTACCTGGGTGTAAGGCTCTGAGATATGTTACAATGTCTTTTTCGAGTAGCACCAAGGCAGAAGAATAGAGTTACATCACTTAGGCACTGGGTCCAGCAGTGTGGCACAATCCTATTTGTGGGCCGGGCCAATTCTGAAGAATCACATTACTCAGGTGCTGGGCAGAAGTGTGCGTCAAAATCACACCTGAAGGAAAGACCAGAGATGAGATTAACAATCCTGTACGTACCCTAATTCTTGGTATGAGAGTCAACACCTCCTGTATGTTGGGTCTAAGTACATAGTCACAATTTTTAGAATGAGCTGAATCACTGAATGAGAGACTCAATCCCTCTTACTGGCTGTGTCACCTTAGTGGAATCAGACAAACAGGTGTGTTCAATCTTGGTCTGAAAGTCACCAACTTACCTTTGGACTGGATTCACTTATGAGTAAATTTTACAACTTGCAACTGTCTCTGCATATGAGATTCAGAATTTCCAGTGGACCGTTCTTGTGAAAAGATGATAATCTTTACTGTCGACTGGGTATACAGGAATGTCAAAACAGCTGTACACTGAGTCTAGCTAGAATACTCTCTGTACCAACCGAGGATTTATAAGGTATGCATGAGAGTCACAATCTTTTGTGACTAGGAAACATTTGTGCTGGTATGGGCCCATGATCATACCTGTGGCTCTATGCTCAGATGAGAGAGTCAACATCTCTGTAATGGCTGGGTCCAGATATGAGAGTTGACACCTGCCTATAAGCTAGGCTAATGAGTCACCACCTCATGTTGCCTGATGTTCACATATGACAGTCACAATTTTAACTCTGCACTGCATCCACATGTAAAATTTAAGACCTCACCAGTAGGCTCTGTCCATGGATGAGGGTGACAATCTTAACAATTGGCAAACTGTGCAAATATAAAACAATCTCGTTTTCTGGACCCTGTTATGACACTTTCTGGAGCACTGGAGGGCTTTATACAATATGGGAGAGACTGTAATTTTCTTTAACCTTCCTACAAAGGGGAGAGCCAGAATCTTACCCATTTTCCTAAGCCCACATATGAGAGATAGTATGTCTCCTATTGGCTGATTTCAGATATGAGAGTCAACATTGCACCAATGATCTGAACAAAGATATATGTCACAATCTCCCCTGTGGATAGGGAGAGAGCAGGAGACTTATATCATCTGTGTAATAGGCCAGGTATATGTCACAATCTTCTCTGAGAACAGGCACAAGGCAGAAGAGTTAAAAACTGGGTGCTTAGGCATATAAATTTTCTCCTGAAATCAGGGCACAGAGAGTAGAGTCACATTACCTGGGTGCTGAGACCAGAGATATGTCACAATGCTTTCTATGAGCAAAGCTCAGGCAGGAGAAACACATCACTTGATTTCTGTGCCAGAAGATGTGTCACAATCTCTCATATGAGGAAAGCCTTGGTAGAAAAGGAGAGTCACATCAAATAGTTGATGCTCTTAAAGATATGTCACAATGCTCTGTTGTCAGGGTCCATACGGAAGACTCATGCCACCTTGTTGCTGGGCCCAGCAATATGTCACAATGCCTTTTCAGGTACAGGCCAAGGCAGAACAGTAATGTCACATTGGCGTAGAGCCCCACAATATGTCTCAGTCTTCCTTGCTAGCAGAACCTATGATGGAAGAAGAATCACACTTGTTTGGTACTGAGCCACATGATATGTCGCAACTCCCCCTGTGAGCAGGGACCAGGCAGGAGAAGAAAGTCACATCATGTGGGTGAGGTGTGAAAATATATGTCACAATGCTCCTTGTGGGTAGTAGAGTTGCATTACCAGGGTGTATGTCCCAGCAATATGTCACAATTGCTTATGTGGTCAGGTGACAGGTAGGAAAGTCAAAAAACCTGGTGTGGGGCCCAGAGATATGTGACAATGCATTCTGTGGGCAGTGCCAAGGCAAAGGAGACTCACATCACCTAAGTGCAAGGCCCAGCGATATGTCACAATGCCCCCTGTGAGCAGCACCAATGCAGAAAAAGAGAGTCAGTTCTGGGTTCAGCTATATGTCACTATTCCATCTGTAGGCAAGACAGTCAGATCACTCAGGTGCTGGGCAGAGAAATATGTTCCAAGTAAACCTGTGAGAAGGTGCAGGGATCAAATTAACAATCCCACACATGTTCCGGTTTTAGGTATAGGAGGTTAACCCTTCCTATATGTTGTGTCTAAGAACAGGAGTTACAATCTCAACAGTAGACAAAATTTGTACCTAACAGCCCATACTCCTGCTGTGGACTTAGTCTAATTAGTGAAGTCACAGCCTCATAGGCGTGCTGATTCTTGCTCTGAATGTCACCAACTCACCTGTGGACTGGATCCAAATATGAGAGTCAAGTTTTCCACCTTTGACTTCCTCTATGTGTGAGATTCAGAACTCACAATGATGATGTGTACTGTTTGATGGGTGTTCATACAATGGTAAAAGTCTCCTCTGTGTGCTGGGTCTTGTTAGTACACTTTTTTTCTTTTTTTTTTTTTTGAGATGGAGTCTCACAATGTCGCCTGGGCTGGAGTGCAGTGGTGCGACCTTGGCTCACTGCAACTTCTGCTTCCCGAGTTCAAGCGATTCTCCTGCCTCAGCCCCCGGAGTAGCTGAAATTACAGGCGCCTGTGAGGGATCAGTCAGAATGGTAAGAAAAACTATAGGGAAAGGACGCAAACCTTCTGAAAGTTCGGAAGGTTCTGCAAAGACCCAGGGGAGAATAGCTGAAGGCAGCTGCTTTATAACCCTGAGGCAGAGGGCCAGGAGTAGGTACAGTGGAGTGTAGGGGAATTTATCTTAAACAGGCTTGTTTACTTATATTGACCAGGAACTGACCTTTGATCATCCACGGGAGTGACGATCCCTGAAAGGAGAACAATAAATGTTAATTACCTGCAGGTTGTGTTTGCTCCAGGTTTTTGGCATTGTGCCTGCACTGAAAGAAAGCAAGCAGCTCCAGCTTCTTGGGGCAGCTCTCTGGCCACTAGAGGCAGGCCATTATCTAGCTGCTGTTACACTGCATACCTGTGTCTGAGTACTAATTCTATCCATCAGCCAGGGCCTGCAGGAAAGGCCCAGTAGGCGGCCACATCCATGCTCAGCTGATTTTTTGCAATTTTAGTAGAGGCAGGTTTTCACCATGTTGGCCAGGCTTGTCTCAAACTCCTGACTCATGATCTACCTGCCTCAGCCTCCCAAAGTGCTGGGATAACAGGCATGAGCCATGGCGCCCAGCTAGTACACTCTCTATACTACTCAAAGGCTTTATCCAGTATAAATAAGAGTCACAATTTACTCTAAAGTCATGTTTGTAAGCACCCATGACCATACTTGTGGCTCTAAGTCCAGGTATTAGAGCCAACATCTCTCCAGTTGGTAGGGTTTATATAGTAGAGTCCTCATCTGCTATGTTCTGAGTTTAGAAGTGTGTCACCATCTCAACTGTGGCCGGAGGCTCATATATGACAGTCACAATTCCAACTCTGGACAGTGTTTGCATTTGAGATTCAAGACCTCAGCAATGGGCTCTTTTCATGTGTAAGGGTGATAATCCTAATGGTTGGTGAGGTGTGCATATAAGAAACAATCTCACCTTTGTGCTGTGTGCCTTGGGATAACACTCTTTGTAACACTCGAGGGCATTATATGATATGTTGGAGGGTGGCAATTCTGTATGACCTTCATAAAAAGAGAAGACCAAGAATGTGACTCATTTTTCTAAGTCGAGCTATGAGAGACAGTATTTCTTCTAATAGCTGACTAGAGGTATGAGAGTCATCATTACACTTATAAGCTGACTACAGTACATGCCTCCATTTAACCTGTAGGTAGAGAGTTAGCAGGAGAGTCACATCACCTGGGATTTCAGCCAAGGGTATCTCACAATCTTCCCTGAGGGAAAGAACCAAGCAGGAATATCACATCACCTGGGTGCTCATCCAGGGATATGTTACAGTTCTCTCCTGAAAGCACAGCATAGGCAACAGTCACAACACCTAAGTGCTGAGCTCAGCATTATGTCACAATGCTCCCTGGGGGCAAGACAGAGGCAGGAGAGCCACATCACCTGGTGTCTGCTTCCAGGGAGAAGTCGCAATCTTTCCTGTGCAGGGCAGGTTGCAGGCAAGAAGTGTCACATCTTTTAGGTCATGGATGCAGATATATGTCACAAGGTCACTGTGGGCACAGCCCAGGCAGGAGCATGCAATCTCATAGGTAGTGGGCCTAGTAATATTTACAATACCAAAAATATGTGAGGCCGAGGAAAAACAGGAGAATTGCAACACCTAGTTGCTGGGTCTAGTGATATGCCACAATCCTCCCTTGCCCTCTGTGAAAATGCCCTCTGTGAAATAAGAATAGACTCACATTACCTAAATGCTGGGTCCAGCAATGAAGCACAATCCCATCTGTACGCTGGGTCCAGGCAGGAGAGTCAAATTACTCAGGTGCTAAAAAAAGGTGTATGTCACAAACACAGCTGAATTAAGGTTGAGGTATGAGATTAACAATTTCACACATTTTTTAGTTCTAGCTGAGACATAATTCCCTCTGTATCTTGGGTGTAAGTACCTGAGTGACAATCTCAATGATAGTCTGAATTTGCATATGAGAACCTCAATCCCTCCTGCAAATTGTGTCATTTTAGTGAAGTCACCGACTCACAGGTGTGCTGAATCTTGGTGTCAGAGACACTAACATCTCTATGGATCGAATTCACATAATGAGATTCAATTTTCCAACTTTTGACTGCATCTGCATAAGAGCTTCAGAACCTCAACAGTGAGCTGTGTTTATGTGGAAGGATGACAGTCTTTACTGTTGGCAGGCTATGCATATGAGTGTCACAACCTCCTCTGTGTGCTGAGTTCTGTTAGGACATTCTCTGTACCTCTTGACAACTTTACACAGTATGTGACAGAGTGTTCTTTATGACCTTCATACAAAGAGGAGACCCAAGACATTACTCATTTTCCTGACCCTGGCTATGAGAGATAGTGTATCTGCTATTGGTTTTTTCGAAGTTTGAAAATCATTATTGCACCTTTAAGTTTGAACAAGATATGCATCACAATCCCACCAATGAAAAGGGACTGACTAGTAGACTCACAGCACCTGCATTTTGGGGCAGTGATATGTCAGAATCTCCTCTGAGGGCAGGGACAGGGCAGAAGTGTCACACCACCTGGGTGCTCAATTAGGGATACGTTACAGTCTCCTCCTGAAAGCAGAATACAGTCAGCAGTCACATCACCTGGATGCTAGGCCCAGTGATATGTTACAATGATCTGTGGGCAAGGACCAGGAAGGAAAAACAGATCACCTGATTCCTGAGAACAGTGATTCATCACAATCTTTCCAGTGGTGAGGGTGCAGGCAGAAAAGGGGGGTTAAATCTCAAAGATAATGGGTACAAAGATATGTCACAAGGCCACTTATGTGCTGGGCTCAGGCAGAAGCCTCCCATCTCATGTCTGTTGAACTCAATGATACATCACTATATCCAAAATATGCCAGAAATAAGAAAAATAAAAGGGTCACATAACCTAGGTGATGGAAAGGAGACATGTCATAATACTTCCGTGGGCAGTTCCCATGTCATAAAGTTGTATCACCTAAGTGCTGAATCCAGGCATATGTCACAACACACAATGCATTTAGGGCTTAGGCAGAAGAGGAGAGTCATAACACATAGGTGGTGAGTCCAGCAACACATCACAAATCCCTGCTTGGGCAAAGCCATAGAAAAGAGTCGCATCACCTATGTACTGGGCTCAGTAATGTGTCACGCTACCCCCTTAGGAGGAGGGCCCATGCAAGAGAGTCACATCACCTATGTAACGGGTTCAGCAATATGTCACAGTACCCATTCTGGCGCAAAAGAGTCACATCTTCTAAATTATGGGCAACAGAGCCAGGCTCCATCTCAAAAAAAATAAAGAGTCACATCACCTAATAAGCGGTCTCAGAGATAAGACACCATGGCCCTCATGGGTAGGGCTCAGGAAGAAGTGTGAAGTCACATAACCTTTGAGCTGGGCCCAGCTATGTGTCAAAATTACTTCAGTGGGCAGGGCCCAGACCTAAGAAAAGAGTCATATCATGTAGGTACTTGGCCAAGCAATATGCCACAATCCCCACTGTGGACAGGTCCCAGGAGAAGAGTCACACAATCTCAGCAATTGGCCCAGATATATCTTACAGTGACTTTTGGGAGCCAGCAGAAGAATCTATCACCTGTATGCTAAACTCAGCAATAAGTCACTCTCTCTACTATGGGCAAGGCCCACGCAGAAAAGGAGAGTCAAATCACCTTGGTGCTGGGCCCAAAGATATGTCACAATCTCTTTTTGGGCAATGTCCAGGTAAGAGAGTAGAGTCACATAAAATAGTCAAAAAGGGCCAAGCGAAATGGCTCACCCCTATAATCCCAGCACATTGGGAGGCTGAGTCGGGCAGATCGGCTGAGGTCAGGGGTTTGAGACCAGTCTGGCCAACATGGTGATACCTCGTCTCTACTAAAAATACAAAAATTAGCCAGGCGTGGTGGTGCACACCTGTAACCTCAGCTATTCAGGAGGCTGAGGCAGGAGAATCACTTGAACCCAGGAGGCAAAGGTTGAAGTGAGTTGAGATCACACCACTGCACTCCAGCCTGGGTGACAGAGTGAGACTCTGTCTCAAAAATAAAATTAAAATAAATAACATAAAATAAATAAAATAGTCAAAGGGCCCCAGATATGTTACAATACACCTTGTAAGCAGGGTCCAGGCAGGAGACTCATATCACATTTGTTCTGGGCCCAGCAATATATCACCATACCTTCTGAGGGCAGTGCCATGACAAAAGAGTAATGTCACCTTAGTATTAGGCCTAGTGACATTTCACAATATCCCCTGCAGGCAAAACACAGGAAGAGGAGAAAAGTCACATTAGCTAGGTGCTGAGCCCAGTGATATGTCACAATCCCTTCTGTGAGCAGGGGCCAGGCAGGAGAAGAGAGTCACATTACCTGTGTGATGGGTGCAGGGTTATATCACAATGTCCGCTGTAGGCAGGACCGAGGCAGTAGAGTTACATCACCTGGGTGTTGGACCCAGCAATATGTCACAATGGCCTACATGGGTAGGGCACAGGCAGGAGACTCACATAACCTATGTGTGGGGCCCAGCAATATGACACAATGCCCCCTGTGAAAGAGCCAGGCTGGAGAGAAGATTCACACCATCTGGGTACAAGACCCAGTGATATGTCACAATGCCCACTGTGGGAAGTGCCAAAGCAGTAGAACAGTTACATCACTTTGGTGCTGGGTCCAGTGATATGTCACAATCCCTTCTGTAAGCTGGGCAGGAGCATCAACTCACTCTGGTGTCGGGTAAAGTCATATGTCATAATTACACTATCAAAAATGTTCAGGGATGAGATTATACATCTGGACTGGGAAGAATCAACACATCAAAAATATGACCAGGCCGGGCACAGTGGCTCCCGCCTGTAATCCCAGCACTTTGGGAGGCCGAGGCGGGCGGATCACCGGAGGTCGGGAGTTTAGACCAGCCTGACCAACATGGAAAAACCCCGTCTCTGCTAAAAATACAAAATTAGCCAGTGTGCTGGCACATGCCTATAATCCCAGCTACTCGGGAGGCTGAGGCAGGAGATTTGCTTGAATCCAGGAAGCGGAGATTGTGGTGAGCCGAGATTGCGCCATTGCGCTCTAGCCTGGGCAATGAGAGTGAAACTCCATCTCAAAAAAAAAAAAAAAAAAAAAAAAAAATGACCAAACCAGGCACAGTGGCTCATGCCTGTAATCCCAGCAGTTTGGGAGGCCAAGGCGGGAGAATATCTGGAGCCTAGGATTTTGAGACTATCCTGGGGGCCACATGGTGAGACAACACCTATATTAAAAAATAATAATTACAGTTAAAAAAATATATATATATATATGACCAGCGCCTGAAAAACATAGCAAGAACACATCTCTACTGAAAAAAAAAAAAAAACATAGATGATTGATTGGTAGACAGAGAGACACACAGATAGACAGATAGATAGATATAGATAGAACCAGTCATGGTGGCTCACGCCTGTAAGCTCAGTAATTTGAGAGGTCTAGGCCAGCACATCGTCTGGCTGCAGGAGTTTGAGATCAGCCTGGAAAACATGATGGGACCCTATCTCTACAAAAATAAAAAGTAAAATATACAAAATAAAGCGCCAGTGTGGTGGCGCATGCCTTTAGTCCCAGCTACTGGGAAGTGGGGTGTCTGAGACGGGAGGATCACCTGAGCCCAGGGAGGTCGAGGCTGCAGTGAGCTGTGATCATGCACCTGCACTTTAGCCTGGGTGAAAGAAATCTAAAACAACAGCAACTTCAGTGTACGGGAAGGAGCAAGAGAGACAAAGAGAAAAAAAGAAAAAAACAACAGAACTCAATGTACTGTGAAAACAAACTCAAAGTGGTGCTAAAAAAAAAAAAGGAAAAGAAAAAGAAACAGAAAGATCCTGAGAGCCCCAGCTATTTGGGAGGCCAAAATAAGAGGATCAACTGGATGAGCCTAGGAAGGTAAAGAGTGCAGTGAGCCATCATTGAACTCCTCTGCTGGACCGAAGCTGTACTGTCCCGGTGAGAGCCATCTGGTCCACCGTAAACATTTCCAGCTGGCAACCAAGTCCTACGCTCGTGGCCCACATCCTGTACACCTGGCAGCCAGAAAGAGAAGCCAGCTGGTGGTGGAGGCAGAAGCAGAAGCCCACTGTGTCTACCGTACAGGCCACATGTGGCACTCGCGGCCTGAAGCTGTCCCTGTTGGAACCTTATTTCCCCCAAGGCGGCCCACCTCCGCAGCCAGCCTCTAAGTCTGCCGACCTTCCTTCCTAAGCTTTGAATCCCTGGTCCACCCAAACGAGAGGCCAGCAGCCACAACTACTGGCCACAGCTCGCCACCCACATCTGGTCACCCGGTGGCCAGACCGAGAAGCCAACGTGTCCACCCTGCAGGCCATGTGTGGCGCTCGCCCCTGAAAACGTCCCTCTGGCGTCTAAGTCTGTGAGCTTCCCATCACTCCCTGGGTGACAGAGTGAGACTCCATCTCGGAAAAAAAAAAAAAAAAAAAAAAAAGATGATGGGGAAGAAGGGAGGGAGGGAGGGAGGGAGGAAGAGAGGAAAAGGAAGAATGAAAAGGAAAAACAAGAAGAAAATAAAAGAGGACAGAGCATGGTGGCTCAAACCTGTAATCTCAACACTTTGGGAAGCTGAAATGGGAGAATTGCTTGAGCACAGAATTTTGACACCAGCCCTGGGAACACAAAGCAGAAGGAAAGGAGGAAGGAGAGAAGAAAGAAAGGTAGGAAGGAAGGAAAAATAAAACCAAAAAAGTTCAGGGAACATCACTCGCACTGATGATCAAAGGTCAGTTCCTGGTCAATAAAAGTAAACAAGCCTGTTTAAGATAAATTCCCCTATACTCTGTTGTACCTACTCCTTGCCCTCTGCCTCAGGGTTATAAAGCAGCTGCCTTCAGCTATTCTCCCAGGAGGCTTTGCAAAACCTTCTGACTAGAAATACAAAAATTAGGTGGGTGTTGATGAGCCTGCTTGTAGTCCCAACTACTAGGGAGGCTGTGGCAGGAGAATGGCTTGAATCTGAGAGACTGAGGTTGCAGTGAGCCGAGATCATGCCACTGTACTACAGTGTGAGTAACAGAATGAGACCCTGGCTCAAAAAAAAAAAAAAATAAAATAAAAATAAATAAATAAATAACTTCTTACCTAAATCTAGATTCATCATATTTTACAAAATCTAGAAACAACCTCAGAACAATAACAACTCCATTCCCAGAAAGAGCCTCCCAACCCCACCTTTGTGCCAATCCCAACTGCATCTGCCTGTGGATTTCAAGGTTTTCAAGGCTCTGTGGCTTCTCTAAGTATAAAGGCTCTGTCCATGGCTATTGTGAGCAGGCCAGGACATCTGCAGGGGAGGCTCCTCAGGCAGAAGAGCTGCTTTTTCAATGATCTCCCTTTGCAGGCAAAACTATCCTTAGCTTGCAGTCACTGAGTTCAGGCTTCTACTTCCCAGTCAGGATTATTCACTTAGTTTGAAATAAGAAAATGACCAATGTATGGCCAGACATGATGGCTCACGCCTGTAATTGCAGCACTTTGGAAGGCTGAGGCAGGTGGATCACTTGAGGTCAGGAGTTCGAGACCAGCCTGGCAAACATGGTGAAACCCTATCTCTACTAAAAACACAAAAATTAGCCGGGCGTGGTGGCATGCGCCTGTAATCCCAGCTATTCAGAAGGCTGAGGCACGAGATTCCCTTAAACCTGGGAGGCTCCCTTAAACCTGGGAGGCGCAGGTTGCAGTGAGCCAAGATCGTGCCACTGCACTCCAGCCTGGGTAACAGAGTGAGACTCAGTCTCAAAAATAAATAAATAATAATAATTAAAAAAATGACCAATGTTTCAAAAAAGTGCAAAATCACTCCAACACACTGTTTATAGAATAGTGTAAGGAAATTGTAAGACTTAAATTTTCAACTACAATATAAAAAGCTTAAGTAAGGCTGGGCATGGTGGCTCACACTTGTAATCCCAGCACTTTGGAAGGCCGAGGCAGGAGGATCACCTGAAGTCAGGAGTTCGAGACCAGCCTGGCCAACATGGTGAAACCCATCTCTACTAAAAATACAAAAATTAGATGAGTGTGGCAGCTGGCAACTGTAATCCCAGCTACTAGGGAGGCTGAGGCAGGAGAATCGCTTGAATTCAGGAGGCAAAGGTTGTACTGAGCCGAGATTGTGCCAATGCACTCCAGCCTGGGCAACAGAGCAAGATTCCATCTCAAAAAAAAAAAAAAGCATCTGTCCTTTTCAGATGATAAACATCTCATTTAACTATTTCCATGATAGATAATTTAATAAACAATCATATGTGAACATTTCTAGAAGATGTCAAGTTCCATCTCATAAAATTTAGCATTAAACTTGGACATCTAGACAACAGAATACAGAACAGAGATTATCCACTGTTACAAATTCTAGACACCACAAAAAAGAGGAGCTGATGGTTTGAGAAATATATACAATGCACCAATTAATCTATCACATTTGCTTGTGGAAATATATTCACTTTGTATAGCCATAATGAAAAAAAGATTTTTCCTATTTCTTTTCTCTGGTAGCATTCCCAAAGCAAAGCCTGGGGTTCTATTTAAAATCATGCAACCAGGAAAAGCAGACATGAGAAACTTACTACACTCACTCTGGAGAAGATAAAGGTAAATAAGAATCTTTAATACATAAAATATATGAGTAGATTTTTCTGAAATATACCTTTCATAGTCTGACTTTTTAAACATCTTTTAAACTCTTCTGATAAAATATAAGTTACAGTTATTAAAAAACTGAAATAGAAATGTGAAAAAATCTTTCCAAGGTAAAAAACTCAGGAAGAGGCACATGCCACAATGCCTGACTAATGTTTTTGTATTTTTAGTAGAGACGGGGTTTCACCATGTTGGCCAAGCTGGAAATAATTTTTTACTCTGCGGCCAGGTGTGGTGGCTCATGCCTGTAATTCCAGCTACTTGGGAGGCTGAGGTGAGAGAATCGCTTAAAGGCGGAGGGAGGCTGAGGTGAGAGAATCGCTGGGAGGCAGAGGTTGCAGTGAGCCGAGACTGCACCACTGCACTTTAGCCTGGGCAACAGAGAAAGACTGTCTCAAAAAAAAAGCATACTCTGCACTAGCAGCATTAACACAAAAAGTTCTAGTAAACCCTGACACCCACTCAAATGTCACATCCTCTATAAAGCCCTCCTTGATTTTCCCAGTGCTATGTCACTGGCAGAATTGATCACTATTACCATTTAGCTCCTCAATACTTTATAAGTCTTTTTATGTACAAGGGTTATTCTCTCCAGAATAAATTAATCATTTACACACCTATCCATGCTAATGAACTATAAACTCCTATGGGGCAGGTATGTTGAACCCTGTTCATCTGTGTAATCCAAATGTCTGATACTTAATAGGTGTCATATACACATAAAATCAAAATGCTGTCAGGGAATTATTGGAAAAGCTACCAAATTCTTTTTTTTTTAACTTTTAAGTTCAAGGGTATATGTTCAAGTTTTTTACATAGGTAAACGTGTGTCACGGGGGTTTGTTGTGCAGATTATTTCATCACCCAAGTATTAAGGCCTAGTACCCATTAGGTATTTTTCCTGATCCTCTCCCTCCTCCAATAGGCCCCAGTATGTGTTCTTCCCCTCTATGGGCCCATGTGTTCCCATCATTTGACTCTCACTTATAAGTGAGAATATGTAGTAGTTTGTTTTGCTTTTTTTTTTTTTTTTGAGATGGAGTTTCGCTCTTGTCACCCAGGCTGGAGTGCAGTGGCACTATCTCAGCTCACTGCAACCTCTGCCTCCCGGGTTCAAGAGATTCTCCTGCCTCATCCTCCTGAGTAGCTGGGATTACAGGCATCTGCCACCACGCCTGGCTAATTTTTTGTATTTTTAGTAGAGATGAGGTTTCACCATGTTGCTCAGGCTGGTATCAAACTCCTGACCTCAGATGATCCACCTGCCTTGGCCTCCCAAAGTGCTGGAATTACAGCTGTGAGCCACCACATCCAGCTAGTATTTAGTTTTCTATTCCTCTGTTTGCTAAGAATAATGTCTTATGGCTCTATCCACGTTCCTGCAAAGGACATGATCTCATTTTTTTTTAATGGGTGCACAGTACTCCATGGTGTATATGTACTACACTTTCTTTATCCAGTCTATCATTAATAGGCATTTAGGTTGATTCCATGCCTTTGCTATTGTGAATTGTGCTGCAATGCACATATGCATGCATGTGTCTTTATAATAGAATGATTCACATTGCTTTGGGTAAATACCCAATAATGGATTGCTAGGTCAAATGGTATTTTGTCTCTAGGTCTTCAAGGAGTTGCCACACTGTCTTCCATAATGGTTGAACTAATTTACACTCCCATCAACAGTGTATACGCGTTCCTTTGTGAAAAAATAATTTTAATTTTCTAAAAGGTTAGCTTTCTAAGACAAATGGTATGCGAGGAAATTTCCACAGGCCTAAGCCATCCAGCTGCTCTTCTGAGAGGCTACACTCTTCCTCCTCAGGCTGTCCTCTAAGAGATGACCCAGGGGATGATATTCATTAGACACTCCAAGAGATATGGCCACTGTGGGCATCTTGGGTTATCCCTGACGGTTCTGAAAATCATGAACAAGAAAAGACCGGAGGGCTGCCACAAAGGGCCCTGGAATTTCTCCAAAGCAAAACTTCAACCGAAAGACCTACTAACAAGGTGTATGCACCAGGGAAGATAAAAGGACAGTCACAGAGATTTTTTTTCTTTTTAACAGTGGAGTTCCAGAGGATTATTTTCTCACGTAACATGTTTACAGACTTCGGAGGTTGAGGCGGGTGGATCACCTGAGGTCAAGAATTCAAGAGCAGCCTGGCCAACATGAGGAAACCCTGTCTCTCCTAAAAATACAAAAATTAGCCGGGCATGGTGGTGGGAGCCTGTAATCCCAGCTACTTGGGAGGCTGAGGCATGAGAATCGCTTGAATCTGGGAGGCGGGGATTGCACTGCACTCCAGCCTGGGCAACAAGAGTGAAACTCCATCTCCAAAAAAAAAAAGAAAAAAAAAATTGTATACAGACAACAATTATTTTAAAACCTGCCATCCACTGCTGTGTAAGAACATGATTAATAATAAAAACACTGTGTTTGAAATGTAAAATAAAGGACAAATAGTTGATAGTGTTGTAAATTGGAGAGAGGAAGTTGTTCTCATTTCCACTTTTGAGAATGTAGGAACAAAGGTGGAAATTTATAATTTTACTACAAGCCTGAGTTAAGCTAGGGTAAAAGGGTAGTGGATTAGAAGTCCTGCTTGCCATACATTAGGAAGTCACAGAGGAAAACCAGTCCTCCTGTGGAGTGTTATTTAAAAAGCAGGAAATTAGACTGAAGGGGCTCTAGTGCCCTGTGTTCATAAGTAAAAAATGTAAAACCTATCTCGGATTCACTTCTTATAAATTATTTTAGGCAGAAACAAAATTCAGGCTTAACCTGCAATTAACCTCTGATTACATAACCAGGAAATTTCCACCCGAATCATACAAATAAGGTGACTACATAAACTGTAACCAATTCTTGAATTTGGTTTGCCTTCTCACACGCCCTTTTCAAAACCCTTCCCTTTTTGCCTTTCAGGTGGCCCACATATTATGGCTGGGTGCTTTCCATTTCACTAATCACTGCTCAGATAAACTCGTTAACGTTTTAACGTTGACTCCCTTTACTTTGCAAGAGAAGAAGCTGGGCGCGGTGGCTCATGCTTGTAATCTTAGCACTTTGGGAGGCCGCGGCGGTGGGGGGATCACTTGAGTCCAGGGGTTCCAGACCAGCTTCCACCATGGCGAAACCACTTCTCTACTAGAAATACAAAAATCAGCCAGGCGTGGTGGTGCAGGTCTTTAATCCCAGCTTTTCGGGGGGCTTAGGCACGAGAATCGCTTGAACCTGGGAGGCGGAGGTTGCAGTGATCACGCCATTGCACTCCAGCCTCGGCGACAGAGCAAGACTTTGTCTCAAACAAACCAACAAAATGTTTAACAAAAGAGACTGGGAGCCCCACCGGCCACAGCTCCTCCTACGCACACACGAGTCGGGATTCTGCCCTGATGACCCGCCTGGCATCCCTGAACAATCTGGGAAACACTCGGGGCTGCGTGCAGAGCTGCCCAGGGAGCTCCAGATAGGGCGCCGCAGGGACTGGGCGGGACGCGCGGGTCATTGCTGCGGGCCCAGCCACCATCTTGCGGCCAGAGGGACCTGGGACGGAGCTGCGCCAGCAGGGACTCAGGTCGGCAACCCAGGAGCGGTGAGGAGGCCAGTCCCGTCGGTTTCTCAGCCAGCTCTCCCCTCTCGGGATGCTCAACCCCTCACACTCACCCTTTCCCACCTTCTGGAATGTCCTGGCATCTTAGCTGTCTGTGCACGTCCCAGGACCTGCAGATCACAGGGCAACAGCCTGTCACCGGCTGGGGCGAGAGGGGGGCAGAGGTGGAGGACGTTGAATAGCAGAAAGCGATCCCAAGCTCTGGCTGCAGCGAGAGACAAAAGCCCCGCCAAATGCCGGATGCCACGCCCTCCTCTCCAACTGTGCCACTGATTCGATAAAGCACCAGCACTCGCCCAGTACCACTCCCTCCACCCCCAGGAAAACAGGCTAAAGCAGGGAGTGTCAACCATAGGGAATTACAGCCAATTAAGAAGTAAGCTGAGACTTGAAATGAACTTGCTCTTTCCCTTACCTGGGTCTGCTTGTATAATGCATCTTATTTGCTACTTAAGGGTAAGAAAAGAACATTTGGATTATTTTTGTTTGTTTGAGACTGAGTTTTGCTCTTATTGCCCAGGCTTGAGTGCAATGGTGTGATCTTGTTTCACTGCAACCTCTGCCTCCCAGGTTCAAGTGATTCTCCTGCGTCAGCCTCCCGAGTAGCTGGGATTACAGGCGCATGCCACCACACCCAGCTACTTTTTGTATTTTTAGTACAGACGGGGTTTCGCCAAGTTGGGCAGGCTGGTCTCGAACTCCTGACCTCAGGTGATCCTCCCACCCCAGCCTCCCAAAGTGCTGGGATTACAGGCGTGAGCCACCATGCCTGGCCCATTTGAACATATTTTAACAACTTTTTAATGATTTTGATAATGCAGGAAAGACCCTCATCCCATCCCTGAGTACCTCTCTCATCATGCTATACCACGCTGTTGACCACATCGTGGGATGGCCATTAGGAATGGGGCAGGGGTGGGGGAAAGCGGTGGCTGAGAATGGTTAAGCAAAAATTATGTTACCCAAATTTGTTTATTTTAGAAAGACTTCTCAATCATTCTGTGTGAAGTGTGTATTCCAGGGTAATTGTGCCCTGACTGCACTGCATCTCAATCTGACTTCTCTTTTTTAAAATCACTGGATTACTGTCACTAATGGGGTATTTTATTTTCTATTTTATTTCTATTTGAAAATGGCCAACTGTCCTTTGTGGGTGTCCTGATTTGATTTGCTGGGTTAGACCATGGAGGTAAGAGTGAGGAAATATTGGGTCACATCAGAATAACTTATTCTCATTTAGAGAATATATAGGAATTTTTTCTTTTTTGAGATGGAGGTTTGCTTTTGTTGCCCAGAAGGGAGTGCAATCGTGTGATCTTGGCTCACTGCAACCTTCTTCTCCTGGGTTCAAGCGATTCTCCTGCCTCAACCTCCCGAGTAGCTGGGATTACAGGCTCCCACCACCATGCCCTGGGTCTGTCAGGGTTTCATCATATTGGCCAGGCTGGTCTTAAACTCCTGACCTCAGGTGATCCACCTGCCTCGGCCTCCCAAAGTACTGGGAATACAGGCATGAGCCACCGCGCCCAGCCAGGAATTTCTTAATAATATATAACAGTTTTCTCAATACCCATTTTATATGTATATGTATGTGTATATATATATATATATATATATATATATATATATATATATATATTTTTTTTTTTTTTTTTGAGACAGTGTTTCACTTTTGTTACCCAGGCTGGAGTGCAATGGCATGATCTCAGCTCACCTCAACCCCCACCTCCTGGGTTCAAGCGATTGTCCTGCCTCAATCCTCCCAGCCTCCCGAGTAGCTGGGATTATAAGAATGCGCCACCACGCCCGGCTAATTTTGTATTTTTAGTAGAGATAGGGTTTCTCCGTGTTGGTCAGGCTGGTCTTGAACTCCTGACCTCAGGTGATCCGCCCACCTCGGCCTCCCAAAGTGTTGGGATTACAGCCATTTGCCACCGTGCCCGGCCAATACCATTATATTTAACAGTGATAGCTTACAGGGCAGGGAGGGGACACATATGACACAACCTTAGAATTTTAATTTGGTCGTAAGTTTTTTTGTTTTGTTTTGTTTTTGGAGACAAGGTCTCACTCTGGTACCTAGGCTGGAGTACAGTGGCACAACCATAGCTAATAACTTGGTTGTAACAGTTCCTTAAAAAATATTTTTGGCAGAGTTTGATGGCTAACACCTGTAATCCAAACACTTTGGAAGACCATGGTGGAATGATTGCTTAAACCTAGGAGTTCAAGACCAGTCTGGGCAATGTAGTGAGATTCAGTCTCAACAAAAACGTTAAAAATTGGCCTCATGTGGTGTTGCATGCCTGTAGTCCCAGCTACTTGAAAGGCTGAGGTGGAACCATCACTGGAGGTTGAGGCTGCAGTGACCAGTGACCCATCATTCAGCTACTACACTCCAGCCTGGGTGACAGAGTGTATACACACACACACACACACACAGAGACACATACATATATATATACACACATATATATGTACCCTATGTATATAATCAAAATAATATGTATGTTGAAAGAAATTCAAGCACAGAAGAAAAGTGAAAGACCCTGGTTGGGAATGTGGTAAAAGATGAGCATGGCTCTTACGGCTCAGTGAGATTTGTTTTTCCATCTTGAGGAACTGCTCTCCCACACTGAAACCACAACCCAGCACATGCCAGTTCTCACACTATTTATACTTTGCTCAAAGGCAGCAGAAATAGGCCAACATCATGGTTTCTGACATGGAAGTCTATTCCCCACTGAGACATTTTAAAAATGTTATTCTCCCTCTCCCTCTCCCCCTCCCCCTCCCCCTCCCCCCCATCCCTCTCCCCACGGTCTCCCTCTCCCTCTCTTTCCACGGTCTCCCTCTGATGCCGAGCCGAAGCTGGACTGTACTGCCGCCATCTCTGCTCACTGCAACCTCCCTGCCTGATTCTCCTGCCTCAGCCTGCCGACTGCCTGCGATTGCAGGTGCGCGCTGCCACACCTGACTGGTTTTCGTATTTTTTTGGTGGAGACGGAGTTTCACTGTGTTGGCCGGGCTGGTCTCCAGCTCCTAATCAGGAGTGATCCGCCAGCCTCGGCCTCCCGAGGTGCCGGGATTGTAGACGGAGTCTCGTTCACTCAGTGCTCAATGTTGCCCAGGCTGGAGTGCAGTGGCGTGATCTCGGCTGGCTACAACCTCCACCTCCCAGCCGCCTGCCTTGGCCTCCCAAAATGCCGAGATTGCAGCCTCTGCCCGGCCGCCACCCCGTCTGGGAAGTGAGGAGCGTCTCTGCCTGGCTGCCCATGGTCTGGGATGTGAGGAGCCCCTCTGCCCGGCTACCCAGTCTGGGAAGTGAGGAGCACCTCTTCCCGGCACCATCCCATCTAGGAAGTGAGGAGCGTCTCTTCCCGGGCGCCGATCGTCTGAGATGTGGGGAGCGCCTCTGCCCCGCCGCCCCGTCTGGGATGTGAGGAGCGCCTCTGCCCGGCCGCGACCCCGTCTGGGAGGTGAGGAGCGTTTCTGCCCGGCCGCCCCGTCTGAGAAGTGAGGAGCCCCTCTGCCTGGCAGCCACCCCGTCTGAGAAGTGAGGAGCCCCTCCGCCCGGCAGCCGCCCCATCTGGGAAGTGAGGATCGTCTCCGCCCGGCAGCTGCCCCGTCCAGGAGGTGGGGGGCAGCCCCCGCCCGGCCAGCCGCCCCGTCCCGGAGGGAGGTGGGGGCCAGCCCCCGCCCGGCCAGCCGCCCCGACCCGGAGGGAGGTGGGGGCCAGCCCCTGCCCGGCCAGCCGCCCCGTCCGGGAGGGAGGTGGGGGGCTCCTCTGCCCGGCCGCCGCCCCGTCCAGGAGGTGGGGGGCGCCTCTGCCCGGCCACCCCTTCTGGGAAGTGAGGAGCCCCTCTGCCCGGCCGCCACCCCATCTGGGGAGGTGTACCCAACAGCTCATTGAGAACGGGCCATGATGACGACGGCAGTTGTGTTGAATAGAAAAGGGAGAAAAGGGGGAAATGTGGGGAAAAGATAGAGAAATCAGATTGTTGCTGTGTCTGTGTAGAAAGAAGTACACATAGGAGACTCCATTTTGTTCTGTACTAAGAAAAATTCTTCTGCCTTGGGATGCTGTTGACCTTACCCCCAACCTGGTGCTCTCTGAAACATGTGCTGTGTCCACTCAGGGTTAAATGGATTAAGGGCGGTGCAAGATGCGCTTTGTTAAACAGATGCTTGAAGGCAGCATGCTCGTTAAGAGTCATCACCATTCCCTAATCTCAAGTACCCAGGGACACAAACACTGTGGAAGGCCCCAGGGTCCTCTGCCTAGGAAATCCAGAGACCTTTGCTCACTTGTTTATCTGCTGACCTTCCCTCCACTATTGTCCTATGACCCTGCCAAATCCCCCTCTGTGAGAAACACCCAAGAATGATCAATAACAAAAAAAAGAAAAAAAATGTTATTATATTAAGCCCTCTTCCTTCTAATAAAGTCTATACAAATACACACATACAAGCCTGAAACTACTCTAAATAAAATATCAGGTTTTTAAAATCCCATAAAGAAACAAGCAAACACAAAATCAGCCACTTTGATTGAGGAGAGAGTGGGATGGAGGGGGTTAGGAGGCTGCCCGTATCACCTCCGGGCGGCATGTGGAGGAGCAGATGGAGTCTAGGAAGACCCTGGGGAGTCACTTGTTCTGACTGGGCTTTCTCCTAGCTCGACACTTTGCTAACCATTTCCTGGGAAGAGCTTAGGAAACTCCTGTGCTCTAGTGAGGCAGAGCCTCCCCTCACAGGGTATTGGCAAGGAGGCATTCTGAGACTGTGATTGAGAAGCTAGCACAGTGCTTGACAAGTACCTGTGGGAACTGTCATCCTCTGTAACTATCATGTGGCCTTGGAGTGTTCAGATGGCCTGGCCTGGCCTGGGGCTTGGTGGAGATGTTTGAGGGTCAGCTGCTTTAGGCTCCCACTTTCTCCTCAATCAAAGTGGCTGTTTTTGTGTCTCTTTATTTATGGAATTTAAAAACCTGATATATAAATAGAAAGTGCAGCTGGAGGTGCCGAGGCTCAGTGTCTAGAACTGTGCTGCTTGGGCTTGCTTGCTGGCCTGTGGCCAGGTGAACTCTGGGTGTGAGGTGCTTCCCACCCTGGATCTACGATCCCCACTACCTCTCCCAGGCCCTGAGTAACCAACACAAGGCGGTGCTAAAGAGCCGGTGAGTGACAGCCATGAAGCCCATCAAGGAAGATTTGAATGCTATCTGGGCTAGGGCTGTCAGGGGTAGGAACTATGGTGGCCTTGTCTTATCATGGCCCCACCCACAGATGTGACTGCCTGTGCTGCTTCTCCAGCAGCCAGCTGTCTGTGGCCCTGAGCCTGTCGTACCATGCCTGCTTCCTCATGCTGTTCATGTTTAAAAAAAAAAAAATCTGAGATGGCGCTGCTGGATGTGAGTGCTGGAAATGGGGCGCCACCTTTGTCCTAGGGAATTAGGAGCTGACCAGATACCTCCTGAGTGCCCCCTATAACAAGTGGGGAGTGGTGTTGCACTAAATGATGTCCCCCCTCCTCCCACCACCGAAGATGTGTTTGTATTGGTTCAATGAATATACAATGCAGAGACCTAAATGAAGACACATGAATGGGTGTATGTGGACATCAGCTTGCAGCTGGGAAACAGGTGCCTCTCATTCTCCCCAGCAAGTGTGGAAGGTGTCCATGCCCATGAGTGTATAGATCTGGCCTTTTTCTTAATTTGTTCACAACCCCAGGTCTGTTCTGAGTGAATGATGTGCAGATGAGATTTCTCAGGTCATTGGTATGTTTGACCTTGTGGCTGCTGCTTTTGCTGCCACTACCCCCAAGCCCAACCTGGCTTAAAGTCCAGGCTTTAGGTCAAAAAGACGGAGGGCTTCCTGTGTTCTGGGATGGGAAGTTCTCGATCTGTGGTAGGACTGGGTGTTGGGGTACACTTTAGTTTCGTGTAGGATGTGAGCTGCAGTGGTTTTATTAATTGTGATTGCCCTGGCCTGGTTGTAGCTCCGGGTGGGGAGAAGGAATCAACAGTGGTGTTTCCCCAGATATCCATGTGCCCAGCCCTGGCCTTCCTGCCCTCAGACCCAGAAGTAAGCACCACCACAGACTCTGACTTGCCTCCCTACTCCCCATACCCCAGATGGGAATACCTTGAAGGCTACAATCTGGAAGTATTATTCTCCTCATTTTAACCAGACCCACATAAACACACAGTGTGGGAGTGAGGGTAGGATGGGTTGGGGACCTGGGGAGAACCAGAGTGGAATCATAAATCCTTGGGAAAAGTTAAAGATACAGAAGTGGTGGTAACCTCTCCATGAAGCCCAGCTCCCTACCTGATTTTTGCCACACAGTCCCTCCTACAGACACTGTAGGGTGGCTCTGGGGGTTGTTGGGGATCCCTATAGGCCTGGGCTGCTCTCTGTCCCCACCTGCCTGTGCTCCTTCTCTCTTTTGTTGTTGTTGTTGTTGTTTGTTTGTTTTGTTTTGTTTTTCAGATGGCAGTTTCATTCTTGTTGCCCAGGCTGGAGTGCAATGGCACGATTTTGACTCACTGCAACTTCTACCTCCTCGGTTCAAATGATTCTCCTGCCTCAGCCTCCTGAGTAGCTGGGATTACAGGTGCACACCACCACACATGGCTAATTTTTGTATTTTTAGTAGAGAAGGGTTTTCGCCATGTTGACCAGCCTCATCTCAAACTCCTGACTTCAGGTGATCCGCCTGCCTCAGCTTCCCAAAATGCTGAGATTACAGCTGTGAGCCACCACACCCGGCCCCTGTGCTCCTTCTCTTTGCCTGCTGTCAGGGCCCTAACGTGGAGAAGGAGGCAGGTCCTCAGCCTCAGGTATAGCTGAATGTCTTTTGGAGTGTTTGAAGCATGCTTTATGTCTTAGAAATTCTAAAAAGTAAAACGAATTCCAATTGTAATGTCTGTTAGTTTTCCTGAGCCAACTGGAAGAAAAGGATTTTTCACCTGAAATTTTTAAATGACACCCAAGGATAGCCACCAGTGTCTTGGCCATGGAAACCTCCTATGTGCTTCCCACCCCTGGTTTGATTTGCAACCTCATGATTGTGTTGCCCTGAACATACTTTCCTCTGGTGAATATGGTTCACATGGTTAACACCACTTCATGAGAGGGGGGCATCATGTAGAGATGAGAATGGATTGTCTTTAGTTACCATTGTGCCTCTTTGTCACCTGAGAGGCTCACTTTTCCTGGCTGATTCCATAAGTGTGTTAGTGTTGTCAGACACCTCTGGACAACTCAAATGACAAGGGGCTGTTGTTTTATAAAGGAAACAAAGGCTTTGGATGTGAAATCCTTCTTTTCTTTTTCCCTTCTTTTAGGTGAAATACTTCAGTTTTTTTCTTAAGGGTAAACAGTGGTATCTTAGCAGGTTTAGCGTAAGAATTGGCATGTGCTAGGTTGTGGTTTCAGTGTGGATGGGCAGTTCCCAAGATGGAGAACCAGGTCTCACTGAATTGCAGGAGCCACACTTTCTCTTTTTCATATCCCCCACCATGTGCACGTGTGTGTGTGTGTGTGTGTGTGTGTGTGTTTACACATACAGGTCTCACTCTGTAACCCAAGCTGGAGTGCAGTGGCTGAATGATGGGTCACTGCAGCTTCAAACTTTCAGTCTTAAGTGATCCTCCTGCCTCAGCCTCCCCAGTAGCTGGGACCACCGGCATGCACCAGCCTGCCTGGTTCTTTTTTTTTTTTTTTGGTATTTTTTTAAAGTAGAGACAGAGCCTTGCCATGTTGGGTAGGCTGGTCTTGAACTCCCGAGCTCAAGCAATCCACCCGCATTGGCTTCCCAATGTACTGAACTACAGACATAAGCCACTGTGCCCGGCCTAGTTTTATTATCTGATTACACAAGTATATTTCTTCATAACAATTCACTGAGCTTTACTTGAATGAAGAATTTCTTCATGTATTTCTCTATGCATGTTACATATCAATAAAAAATTACATAGTACATATTTGCACAAAATGCTAACTCACTATCTCAAAATAACAGCAGTAATTTTTTTTTGCTTGTTTCATGGTGAGACACACTCAGAACATGATCATACTTCTCTGCTATCATGACACACTTATTTCACAGTTTTTTATGGCTCTACAAACAATAGAAATAAAGAAGGGGTCTCTTGTGTGCACTTATGGGGTATACTTAAATGTAGAGAATTTTGCAGCCAACATTATATATGAAAAAACTTACACCTTGATAGGTAAAAGATGAAGGGCCAGCCTGTGTGAGAAATTTTTATGGGATATTTGTTCCCTCACAATATCAGAAACAGAATATTGGTCCACTGCTCTTAACCTACTTCATAAGTTAAGGACAACTTTTTCACAATAAGTTAAGGAGCATTTCCAGGATGCCCTTACTCTTCTGAATGGCCATGATTTGTTAGGTCTTTCTTTCCATGGTATAAAGTAAATGAGGCAATGGTTAGAAATGTATCCCCCCAATAGGGCTCTATAGAAGATTATACTGTAAAGGCTATGATTACACAATAGATTTTAAATTTACTTACTAAAGTTGTGCTAAATAATATTATTTCATTCTTTCTTTTTTTTTTTTTTTGAGATGGACTCTCGCTCTGTCGCCCAGGCTGGAGTGCAGTGGCTCGATCTCGGCTCACTGCAAGCTCCGCCTCCCAGGTTCACGCCATTCTCCTGCCTCAGCCTCCTGAGTAGCTGGGACTACAGGCGCCCACCACCATGCCTGGCTAATTTTTAGCATTTTTACTAGAGATGGGGTTTCACCATGTTAGCCAGGACGGTCTCGATCTCCTGACCTCGTGATCCACCTGTCTCAGCCTCCCAAAGTGCTGGGATTACAAGCGTGAGCCACTGCGCCCAGCAATAATATTATTTCTTTTAATTACTTATTGGATGAACAGAGAAGTACCTATGAAGTTGCTAACACTTGTAGTTGCACATGGAGAAATACGTAGTGTAGGCTCCCTGAGCCTACTCTGCATCCACGGAGATGCAGTTGCAGCGGATTAATGAACAGTGTGCTTGGTTGAAATGAGTAGACCACTTATCTAGCTAACTATTCGGCCTATTTAATTTTAGTTGGTGTTTCGTGGGGACCCTGGCTAAAAAGCATGCTTCAAACTCTTGGTATCATTCTCCTGATAGTTGAAATAGTAGTGTCTCCCTACTTCACCGTATTCTCTCAAAAGTTATAAATGTTTGCATGCAGTCATCTCCAAAATGTCAAATGATCTCTTTTAAACCAGAATGGCAGAAACTCAAAGACACATGTGACTACGAAGACACCATAACCTATGAATGACATGATAAGGACAAAAACCCAAAATAGGACAGGTGCGGTGCCTGTAACCTCAGCACTTTGGGAGACTGAAGTGGGTGGATCATGAGGTCAGGAGTTTGAGACAAGCCTGGGCAACATAGTGAAACCCCATCTCTTCTAAAAATACAAAAATTGGCCTGTTGTGGTGGCTCAGGCCTGTAATCCCAGCACTTTGGGAGGCCGAGGTGGGTGGATCATGAGGTCAGGAGATGGAGACCATCCTGGGTAACACGGTGAAACCCTGTCTGTACTAAAAATACAAAAAATTAGCCAGCCGTGGTGGCATGGGCCTGTAGTCCCAGCTACTCGGAAGGCTGAGGTGGGAGAATTGCTTGAACCCAGGAGGTGGAGGTAGCAGTGAACTGAGATAGTGCCACTGCACTCCAGCCTGGACAACAAAGCGAGATTTCATCTTAAAAAAAAAAAAAAGACAGAAAAAAAGATAATGGAAACAGAGTGGCACTAAGGCCCTGAGTTTTGGTCACACCGTGACCTATGTGAGAGCTTACAAATAGGGTAATTTTTTTTTTTTTTTGAGATGGAATCTTGTTCTGTTGCCCAGGCTGGAGTGCAGTGGTGCAATCTCGGCTCAATGCAAACTCTGCCTCACGGGTTCAAGTGATTCTTCTGCCTCAGCCTCCCGAGTAGCTGGGACTACAGGTGTGCACCACCACGCCCGGCTAATTTTTGTATTTTTACTAGAGACGGGGTTTCACCATATTGGCCAGGATGGTCTGGATCTCCTGACCTTTTGATCCGCCAGCCTCAGCCTCCCAAAGTGCTGAGATTACAGACCTGAGCCACTGAGCCCGGCCTGGGGTGAATTTTTTAAACAAAATTATTTATGGCCATCATCTGGACTGAGCATGTGCACTCTTCCCAAACAGACCAAAACAAAACAAAATGAGTCACTCATGCCAAAAGTGAGCTAATCAAACCTAAAATTTAAGAAAATAGCTAGATCTTAGACCAGTTTTTCTTTGGGAGGCGGAGGCGAGTGGATCACCTGAGGTCAGGAGTTCGAGACCAGTCTGACCAACATGGAGAAACCCCTGTCTCTACTAAAAATACAAAATTAAAGCCAGGCGCGGTGCCTCATGCCTGTAATCCCAGCACTTTGGGAGGCTGAGGTGGGTGGATCTTATCAACTTTAGCATCCAGGAAGGAGCATAAAAGATTTTAAAAAGAGAGAGAGAGCAAAGAACACAGAAGAAAAACCACAGCAACTCCCTCTAAGTGCTGTTGAAGCCAACTAAAAGTGGGGCTAGAAAAAAAAACAGAGGAAGAAGCTTGAGTAGTTTCACGTACTCGGGAGGCCGAATGGAAAGACCACCTGGGCAAGACTGAGGAGATCGAGGCTGCAGGGAATCACAATCGCATCCTTCTCCTGGACCTGAAGAGTACTGCCACTGGTGACCGCTTTCTGGTCTACCTTAGACATGGCAAGCTGGTGGCCAAGTCCAATGCTCATGGCTGAAGTCTGTCTTAACATAAATAAACTAACAACTAACAGTAAATATTTAACAATAATAAGTAATAACAAATAATAACAAGACAAATAAGTGAGAGGGAACACAGATAAAAGGTAATTAATGTCACAATTAATTGTTGTCTCTCTTTCTCTGTCTCTCTCTTCCTCAATCTCCATGTGTCACACTTTCACACCCAGGCTGGAGTGCACGTGTGTGGTCACAGCTCATTGCTGATCACTCACCTGCACTCCAGCCAGAATGTGATACAGTAGGAAGACCTAGCTAAAAATAATAATTTTATATATATATATATATATATATATATATATATATATATCACGTCAATTTCAGCATGCAGAAAGGAGCATAAGAAAATAAAAGAGAGAGAAAGAGCAAAGAAGAAAGGAAAAAAAAAAAAACCACAGCAACTCACTGTAAGTACTGCGGAAGAAAACTAAAAGTGGAGCTGGAAAAAAAAAAGAACAGAGGAGGAAAGTCCAAGTATTTTCAGGTACTCTGGAGGCCAAGATGGATGGGACGACCACCTGTGAAAGACCAGGGAGATTAATATCGCAGTGAATCACAATTGCATCCCTCTGCCTTACCTGAACACTACTACTGGTGAGAGCTATCTGGTAGACCTTAGAAGTGGCAAGCTGGCAGCCAAGTCCAATGCTCGCAGCCAACATCTGCCTCAAAATTAATAAATAACCGACAGTAAATAATAAGAAAGAAATGATAATGGACAATAATATTACCAATAAATAAATAAGTGGGAGTGAACAAAAATAAAAGGTAATTAAAATCACAATTAACTGTATCTCTCTCTGTCTCTATTTCTCTGCCTCTCTCTGTCTTTCTGTTTTAGTCTGGGTCTCTGTCTCTCTGTCTTTCTGAATCTCTCTTCCCTGATCTCCGTGTGTCACACTGTCAAACCCAGGCTGGAGTGAACGTGTGTGGTCACAGCTCACTGCTGATCATGTACCTGCACTCCAGCCAGGGTGTGACAGACTGAGAAGACCTGGCTAAAAAAATATATGTGTATATATAAAACATCAACTTCAGCATACAGGAAAGAGCGTAAAAAAAAATAAAATAAGAGAGAGAGAGAGAATGAGAGCAAAGAACAAAGAAGAACAACTATAGCAACTCTCTCTAAGTACTGTGGAAGCAAACTGAAAGTGGGGTTAGAAATAAAACAGAGGAACAATGTCTGAGTAGTCCCAGGTACTCGGGAGGCCAAGATGGGAAGACCACCCGGGTGAGACTGGGGAGATCCAGGCTGCAGTGAATCGTCATCACATCTCTCTTCTGGACCTCAATGGTACCACTGCCAGCAAGAGCCAAATGGTCAACCTTAAACATGGCAAGCTGGCGGCCAAGTCCAACACTCGTGGCTGACATCTGTCTAAAATGTATAAACAAATAAACAAACAATATTTTTTTTTTTTGAGCTGGAGTTTCGCTCTTGTTGCCCAGGCTGGAGTACAGTGGCGTGATCTTGGCTCACCGCAACCTCTGCCTCCCAGGTTCAAGTGATTGTCCTGCCTCAGCCTCCGGAGTAGCTGGGATTACAGGCATGCGCCACCACGCCTGGCTAATTTTGTAGTTTTAGTAGAGTTGATGTTTCTTCGTGTTGGTCAAGCTAGTCTGAAACTCCCGACCTCAGCTGGTTTGCCCGCCTCGGCCTCCCAAAGTGCTGGGATTACAGGTGTGAACCACCTCGCCTGGCACATAAATATTTAACAATAACAAAGAAATAACAAACAATGATAAGACCAATAAATAAATAAGTGGGAGTGAACAAAGGTAAAATGTAATTAATATAACAACTAATTGTTGTCTGCCTCCCTGTCTCTCTCTGTTTCTGTCTCTCTGCCACTGTCTGTTTGTGTCTCTGTCTTTCTGTCCCTCTCTCCATCGATCTCCATGTGTCACACTCTCACACACATGCTGGAGGGCAGGGGCATGGTAACGGCTCACTGCTGATCCAGCACCTACACTCCAGCCAGGGTGTGACAGTGAGAAGACCTACCAAAAATCAAATTTAAACATCCACGTCAGCGTTCAGGAAGGAGGGTAACAAAAAAGAAAAAAGAAATGGAGCAAAGAACAAAGAAGAAAGACCACAGCAACCCCCTCTAAATACCGTGGAAACAAAATGAAAGTGGGAGTAGAAAAAAAAAAGAAGGAAGATGGCCTGAGTAGTCCAAGGTAAATGGGAGGCTGAGATGGGAAGTCCTCCGGGTGACATCGGGAAGATCGTTGCTGCATTGAATCATGATGGCATCCCTCTGCTGGGCCTGAACAATACTACTGCCAGTGAGAGCCATCTGGTCAACCTTATCACCAGCGAGAGCCATCTGTTTGACCTTAGACATGGCAAGCTGGCAACTAATCCAACGCTCGCAGCCAACATCTGTTACAAAATAAATATACAAAAAAACCCAATAGTAGATATTTAACAATAACTAAGAAATAATAGGCTGGGCGTGGTGGCTCATGCCTGTAATCCCAGCACTTTGGGAGGCCGAGACGGGCGGATCACGAGGTCAGGAGATTCAGACCATCCTGGCTAACATGGTGAAACCCCGTCTCTACTAAAAATACAAAAAATTAGCTGGGCATGGTGGCGGGCACCTGTAGTCCCAGCTACTTGGGAGGCTAAGGCAGGAGAATGGCATGAACCTGGGAGGCAGAGCTTGCAGTGAGCCAAGATCGAGCCACTGCCCTCCAGCCTGGGTGACAGAGTGAGACTCCGTCTAAAAAAAAAAAAGAAATAATAACAAATAATTTTAAAGACCAATAAATAAATGAGAGTGAAAAAGGGTAAAAGGTAATTAATATCACAATTAAGATCTTCTTTATTTTTCTCTCTCTCTGATTGTCACACTCATGCTGCAGTGTGTCAAAAAAAAATCTAAGAGGTCAACTTCAGCATGCAGAAAGGAACATAGAAAAATAGAGTGAGAAGAACAAAGATTTAACACAACAGCAAGTCACTCTAAGTACTGTGGAAGAAACTGAAAGTGGGGTTAGAACCAAAACAGAGGAAGTAGGTCCTAGTAGTCCCAGGTACTTGAGAGGCTGAGATGGGAAGACTACCCTTGTGAGACCAAGATCGAGGCCACGGTGGATCATAATCACATCCCTCTGCTGGACCTGAAACGGTATGGCCACCAGCGAGGCCATCTGGTCGACTTCAGACATGGCAAGCTGGCAGCTAAGCCCAACGCTCATGGTCAATGTCCATCACAAAATATATAAACAAACCAACAGTAAATATTTAACAATATCAAAGAAATAATAACAACAAACATTAAACACCAGTAAATAAATAAGTGGAAGTGAACAAAGGTAAAAAGTAATTAATATTACAATTAAGATCTTCTTCACTCTTTTTCTCTCTTTCTCTCTCTTCATTTGTCACACCCAGCTGGAGTGTGACCAAAAAATCTAAAAGGTAAACTTTTTAAAAAATTTTTATTATTATTATACTTTAAGTTTTAGGGTACCTGTGCACAATGTGCAGGTTAGTTACATATGTATACATGTGCCATGCTGGTGTGCTGCACCCATTAACTCGTCATTTAGCATTAGGTGTATCTCCTAATGCTATCCTTTCCCCCTCCTGCCACCCCACAACAGTGCCCAGAGTGTGATGTTCCCCTTCCTGTGTCCATGTGTTCTCATTATTCAATTCCCATCTATGAGTGAGAACATGCGGTGTTTGGTTTTTTGTCCTTGTGATAGTTTACTGAGAATAATGATTTCCAATTTCATCCATGTCCCTACAAAGGACATGAATTCATCATTTTTTATGGCTGCATAGTATTCCATGGTGTATATGTGCCACATTTTCTTAATCCAGTCTATCATTGTTGGACATTTGGGTTGGTTCCAAGTCTTAGCTATTGTGAATAGTGCTGCAATAAATATATGTATGCATGTGTCTTTATAGCAGCATGATTTATAATCCTTTGGGTATATACCCAGTAATGGGATGGCTGGGTCAAATGGTAATTCTAGTTCTAGATCCCTGAGGAATCGCCACACTGACTTCCACAATGGTTGAACTAGTTTACAGTCCCACCAACAGTGTAAAAGTGTTCCTATTTCTCCACATCCTCTCCAGCACCTGTTGTTTCCTGACTTTTTAATGATTGCCATTCTAACTGGTGTGAGATGGTATCTCATTGTGGTTTTGATTTGCATTTCTCTGATTGCCAGTGATGATGAGCATTTTTTCATGTGTCTTTTGGCTGCATAAATGTCTTCTTTTGAGAAGTGTCTGTTCATATCCTTTGCCCACTTTTTGATGGGGTTGTTTTTTTCTTGTAAATTTGTTTGAGTTCATTGTAGATTCTGGATATTAGCCCTTTGTCAGATGAGTAGGTTGCGAAAATTTTCTCCCATTTTGTAGGTTGCCTGTTCACTCTGATGGTAGTTTCTTTTGCTGTACAGAAGCTCTTTAGTTTAATTAGATCCCATTTGTCAATTTTGGCTTTTGTTGCCATTACTTTCGGTGTTTTAGACATGAAGTCCTTGCCCATGCCTATGTCCTGAATGGTAATGCCTAGGTTTTCTTCTAGGGCTTTTATGGTTTTAGGTCTAACGTTTAAGTCTTTAATCCATCTTGAATTAATTTTTGTATAAGGTGTAAGGAAGGGATCCAGTTTCAGCTTTCTACATATGGCTAGCCAGTTTTCCCAGCACCATTTACTAAATAGGGAATCCTTTCCCCATTGCTTGTTTTTCTCAGGTTTGTCAAAGATCAGATAGTTGTAGATAAGCGGCATTATTTCTGAGGGCTCTGTTCTGTTCCATTGATCTATATCTCTGTTTTGGTACCAATACCATGCTGTTTTGGTTACTGTAGCCTTGTAGTATAGTTTGAAGTCAGGTAGTGTGATGCCTCCAGCTTTGTTCTTTTGGCTTAGGATTGACTTGGTGATGTGGTCTCTTTTTTGGTTCCATATGAACTTTAAAGTGGTTTTTTCCAATTCTGTGAAGAAAGTCATTGGTAGCTTGATGGGGATGGCATTGAATCTATAAATTACCTTGGGCAGCATGGCCATTTTCACAATATTGATTCTTCCTACCCATGAGCATGGAATGTTCTTCCATTTCTTTGTATCCTCTTTTATTTCATTGAGCAGTGGTTTGTAGTTCTCCTTGAAGAGGTCCTTCACGTCCCTTGTAAGTTGGATTCCTAAGTATTTTATTCTCTTTGAAGCAATTGTGAATGGGAGTTCACTCATGATTTGGCTCTCTGTTTGTCTGTTATTGGTGTATAAGAATGCTTGTGATTTTTGTACATTGATTTTGTATCCTGAGACTTTGCTGAAGTTGCTTATCAGCTTAAGGAGATTTTGGGCTGAGACAATGGGGTTTTCTAGATATAGAATCATGTCATCTGCAAACAGGGACAATTTGACTTCCTCTTTTCCTAATTGAATACCCTTTATTTCCTTCTCCTGCCTAATTGCCCTGGCCAGAACTTCCAACACTATGTTGAATAGTAGTGGTGAGAGAGGGTATCCCTGTCTTGTGCCAGTTTTCAAAGGGAATGCTTCCAGTTTTTGCCCATTCAGTATGATTTTGGCTGTGGGTTTGTCATAGATAGCTGTTATTATTTTGAGATATGTCCCATCAATACCTAATTTATTGAGAGTTTTTAGCATGAAGGGTTGTTGAATTTTGTCAAAGGCCTTTTCTGCATCTATTGAGATAATCATGTGGTTTTTGTCTTTGGTTCTGTTTATGTGCTGGATTACATTTATTGATTTGCATATATTGAACCAGCCTTGCATCCCAGGGATGAAGCCCACTTGATCATGGTGGATAAGCTTTTTGATGTGCTGCTGGATTGGGTTTGCCAGTATTTTATTGAGGATTTTTGCATCAGTGTTCATCAAGGATATTGGTCTAAAATTCTCTTTTTTAGTTGTGTCTCTGCCCGGCTTTGGTATCAGGATGATGCTGGCCTCATAAAATGAGTTAGGGAGGATTCCCTCTTTTTCTATTGATTGGAATAGTTTCAGAAGGAATGGTACCAGTTCCTCCTTGTGTCTGTGGTAGAATTCAGCTGTGAATCCATCTGGTCCTGGACTCTTTTTGGTTGGTAAGCTATTGATTATTGCCACAATTTGAGATCCTGTTATTGGTCTATTCAGAGATTCAGCTTCTTCCTGGTTTAGTCTTGGGAGAGTGTATGTGTCGAGGAATTTATCCATTTCTTCTAGATTTTCTAGTTTATTTGCGTAGAGGTGTTTGTAGTATTCTCTGATGGTAGTTTGTATTTCTGTGGGATCGGTGGTGATATCCCCTTTATCATTTTTTATTGCGTCTATTTGATTCTTCTCTCTTTTTTTCTTTATTAGTCTTGCTAGAGGTCTATCAATTTTGTTGATCCTTTCAAAAATCCAGCTCCTGGATTCATTAATTTTTTGAAGGGTTTTCTGTGTCTCTATTTCCTTCAGTTCTGCTCTGATTTTAGTTATTTCTTGCCTTCTGCTAGCTTTTGAATGTGTTTGCTCTTGCTTCTTTAGTTGTTTTAATTGTGATGTTAGGGTGTCAATTTTGGATCTTTCCTGCTTTCTCTTGTGGGCATTTAGTGCTATAAATTTCCCTCTACACACTGCTTTGAATGTGTCCCAGAGATTCTGGTATGTTGTGTCTTTGTTCTCGTTGGTTTCAAAGAACATCTTTATTTCTGCCTTCATTTCGTTATGTACCCAGTAGTCATTCAGGAGCAGGTTGTTCAGTTTCCATGTACTTGAGTGGTTTTGAGTGAGTTTCTTAATCCTGAGTTCTAGTTTGATTGCACTGTGGTCTGAGAGACAGTTTGTTTTAATTTCTGTTCTTTTACATTTGCTGAGGAGAGCTTTACTTCCAACTATGTGGTCAATTTTGGAATAGGTGTAGTGTGGTGCTGAAAAAAATGTATATTCTATTGATTTGGGGTGGAGAGTCCTGAGGATGTCTATTAGGTCTGCTTGGTGCAGAGCTGAGTTCAATTCCTGGGTATCCTTGTTAACTTTCTGTCTCATTGATCTGTCTAATGTTGACAGTGGGGTGTTAAAGTCTCCCATTATTAATGTGTGGGAGTCTAAGTCTCTTTGTAGGTCACTCAGGACTTGCTTTATGAATCTGGGTGCTCCTGTATTGGGTGCATATATATTTAGGATAGTTCACTCTTCTTGTTGAATTGATCCCTTTACCATTATGTAATGGCCTTCTTTGTCTCTTTTGATCTTTGTTGGTTTAAAGTCTGTCTTATCAGAGACTAGGATTGCAACCCCTGCCTTTTTTTGTTTTCCATTTGCTTGGTAGATCTTCCTCCATCCTTTTATTTTGAGTCTATGTGTGTCTCTGCACGTGAGATGGGTCTCCTGTATGCAGCACACTAATGAGTCTTGACTCTTTATCCAATTTGCCAGTCTGTGTCTTTTAATTGGAGCACTTAGTCCATTTACATTTAAAGTTAATATTGTTATGTGTGAATTTGATCCTGTCATTATGATGTTAGCTGTTTATTTTGCTTGTTAGTTGATGTAGTTTCTTCCTAGTCTTGATGGTCTTTACATTTTGGCATGATTTTGCAGTGGCTGGTACTGGTTGTTCCTTTCCATGTTTAGTGCTTCCTTCAGGAGCTCTTTTAGGGCAGGCCTGGTGGTGACAAAATCTCTCAGCATTTGCTTGTCTGTAAAGTGTTTTATTTCTCCTTCACTTGTGAAGCTTAGTTTGGCTGGATATGAAATTCTGGGTTGAAAATTCTTTTCTTTAAGAATGTTGAATATTGGCCCCCACTCTCTTCTGCGTTGTAGAGTTTCTGCTGAGAGATCCGCTGTTAGTCTGGTGGGCTTCCCTTTGTGGGTAACCCGACCTCTCTCTCTGGCTGCCCTTAACATTTTTTCCTTCATTTCAACTTTGGTGAATCTGACAGTTATGTGTCTTAGAGTTGCTCTTCTCAAGGAGTATCTTTGTGGCATCCTCTGTATTTCCTGAATCTGAATGTTGGCCTGCCTTGCTAGATTGGGGAAGTTCTCCTGGATAATATCCTGCAGGGTGTCTTCCAACTTGGTTCCATTCTCCCCATCACTTTTAGGTACACCAATCAGATGCAGATTTGGTCTTTTCACATAGTCCCATGTTTCTTGGAGGCTTTGTTCATTTCTTTTTATTCTTCTTTCTCTAAACTTCCCTTCTTGCTTCATTTCATTCATTTCATCTTCCATCACTGATACCCTTTCTTCCAGTTGAATGCATCGGTTCCTGAGGCTTCTGCATTCTTCACGTAGTTCTCGAGCCTTGGCTTTCAGCTCCATCAGCTCCTTTAAGCACTTCTCTGTATTGGTTATTCTAGTTATACATTCGTCTAAATTTTTTTCAAAGTTTTCAACTTCTTTGCCTTTGGTTTGAATTTCCTCCTGTAGCTCGGAGTGGTTTGATTGTCTGAAGCCTTCTTCTCTCAACTTGTCAAAGTCATTCTCTGTCCAGCTTTGTTCCATTGCTGGTGAGGAACTGCTTCCTTTGGAGGAGGAGAGGTGCTCTGCTTTTTAGAGTTTCCAGTTTTTCTGCTCTGTTTTTTCCCCATCTTTGTGGTTTTATCTACTTTTGGTCTTTGATGATGGTGATGTACAGATGGGTTTTTGGTGTGGATGTCCTTTCTGTTTGTTAGTTTTCCTTTTAACAGACAGGACCCTCAGCTGCAGGTCTGTTGGAGTTTGCTAGAGGTCCACTCCAGACCCTGTTTGCCTGGGTATCAGCAGCGGTGTCTGCAGAACTGTGGATTTTTGTGAACCGCGAATGCTGCTGTCTGATCATTCCTCTGGAAGTTTTGTCTCAGAGGAGTACCCGGCCGTGTGATGTGTCAGTCTGCCCCTAGTGGGGGGTGCCTCCCAGTTAGGCTGCTCGGGGGTCAGGGGTCAGGGACCCACTTGAGGAGGCAGTCTGCCCATTCTCAGATCTCCAGCTGTGTGCTGGGAGAACCACTGCTCTCTTCAAAGCTGTCAGACAGGGATATTTAAGTCTGCAGAGGTTACTGCTGTCTTTTGGTTTGTCTGTGCCCTGCCCCCAGAGGTGAAGCCTACAGAGGCAGGCAGACCTCCTTGAGATGTGGTGGGCTCCACCTAGTTCGAGCTTCCCAGCTGCTTTGTTTACCTAAGCGAGCCTGGGCAATGGTGGGTGCCCCTCCCCCAGCCTCGCTGCCACCTTGCAGTTTGATCTCAGACTGCTGTGCTAGCAATCAGCGAGCCTCCATGGGCGTAGGACCCTCCGAGCCAGGTGCGGGATATAATCTCCTGGTGCGCCGTTTCCTAAGCCCATTGGAAAAGTGCAGTATTAGGGTGGGAGTGACTCGATTTTCCAGGTGCCGTCTGTCACCCTTTTCCTTGACCAGGAAAGGGAACTCCCTGACCCCTTGTGCTTCCTGAGTGAGGCAATGCCTCGCCCTGCTTTGGCTCACGCATGGTGCACTGCACCCACTGTCCTGTGCCCACTGTCTGGCACTCCCTAGTGAGATGAACCTGGTACCTCAGATGGAAATGCAGAAATCACCCGTCTTCTGCGTCGCTCACGCTGGGAGCTGTAGACCGGAGCTCTTCCTATTCGGCCATCTTGGCTCCTCCCACCCTAAAAGGTAAACTTAAGCGTGTAGAAAGCTACGTAGGAAAAGAGAGAGAGAAAAGAAAAAAAAAAGCAAAAGGACAGCAAGTCATTCTAAGTACTCTGGAAAAAAACTGAAAGTGGGGTTAGAAAAAAAATAGGAAGAAGGTCTCAGTAGTCCCAGGTACTCAAGGAGGCCAAGATGGGAAGACCACCCGGGTGAGACTGGGGAGATGAAGGCTGCAGTGGATCACAGTTGCATCCCTCTGCTGGACCTGAACGGTACTGCCACAGGTGAGAGCCATCTAGTGAAACTTAGACATGGCAAGCTGGCAGCTAAGTCCAAGGGTCATGGGTGGCATCGGTCTCAAAATTAATAAACAAAAATACCAACAGTAAAAAAAAATTAACAATAACAAAGAAATAACAAACAATATTAAGGACCAAAAGTAAATAAGTGGGAGCGAAAAAAAAGGTAATTAATATCACAATTAAGATCTTCTCTCTCTGTCTCTCTCCTTTTGTCACATCCAGGCTGAAGTGTGACAAATGAAAAATAACCTAAAAATTCAACTGCAATGTGCATGAAAGACCATAGGAAAATAAAGAAAAGAACAAACAAGAAAAACAACAGCAAGTCACTCTAAGTACTGTGGAACAAATTGAAAGTGGGGTTAGTCTGTAATATTGTTTGTTATTCTTTCTTTATTATTGTTAAATATTTACTGTTGGGTTTTTAAATTTATTTTGAGACTGATATCAGCCTCAAGGCTTGGACTTAGCTTCCAGCTTACCATCTTTAAGGCTGACCAGATGACTCTCGCTATGCCATGTCTAAGGTTGACTGGATGGCTCTTGCTGGAGGTAGTACCATTCAAGTCCAGCAGAGGGATGCCATCGTAATTCACTGTGGCCTCATCTCTCTGGTCCCACCCAGGTGATCTTCCCATCTCAGCCTACCGAGTACCTGGGACTACTCGGACCTTCTTCCTCTGTTTTTTTTTTTTTTTTCCTAAACACACTTCCAGTTTGTTTCCACAATACTTAGAGTGACTTGTTGTTGTTTATCTTCTTTGTTCTTTTGTCTCTCTATTCTCCTATGCTCCTTCCTGTATGCTGAAGCTAATCTTTGTTTTTTTTTTTTTTTTTTGGTCACACTCTAGACTGGGTGTGACAAAGAGACAGAGAGAGAGAGTGTGTGTGTGTGAGAGAGAGAAAATAAATCTTAATTGTGGTACTAATTACCTTTTACCTTTGTTCACTCCCATTTATTTATTTATTGGTCTTTAATATGGTTTGTTATTTTTTGTTATCGTTATATATTTACTGTAGGTTTTTAAATATATTTTGAGACAGATGTCGGTTGCAAGCATTGGACTTAGCTGCCAGCTTTTCATGTCCAAGGTCGACCAGATGGCTCTGGCCTTGCCATGTCTAAGGTCATCCATATGACTCTTGCCAGTGGCAGTACCGTTCCGGTCCAGCAGGAAGATACGATCATGATTCACTGTGGCCCTTGACCTCCCTGGTCTTGCCCAGGTGGTCTACCCATCTCTGCCTCTTGAATATCTGGGGCTACTCGAACCTTCTTCCCCTGTTTTTTTCTAACCTCACTTTCAGTTTCTTTCCACAGTACATAGAGTGATTTGCTGTTGTTTTTCTTCTTTGTTCTTTTCTCCCAGTATTTTCCTACACTCCTTCCTGCATGCCGAGGTTGACGTTTTGTTGTGTGACTACCTGGATAAGACTGGAAAGATCAAGGCTGCAGTGAATCAGGATTGCATCCCTCTGCTGGAGCTGAATGGGACTGCTGCTGACAAGAGCCATATGGTTAACCTTAGACAGCAAAACGTGAGCCATCTGGAGGACCTTAGACATGGCAAGGCAAGAGCCATCTGGTCGACCATAGACATAGCAATCTGGTGGCTAAGTCCAATGCTTACAGCCAACAGCTGTCTCAAAATAAATAAACAAAAAACCCAACAGTAAATATTTAACAATAACAAAGAAATAATAACAAACAATATTAAAGAAAATAAATAAGGAGGAGTGAAAAAGGTAGAGTACAATAAATATCACAATGAAGATTTTCTCCTCTCTCTTTCTCTCCATTTGTGACACCCAGGCTGGAGTGTGACAAAAAAAAAAAAAGAAAGAAAGAAAAGAAAATAGGTTAACTTCAGCTTACAGGAAGAAGTGTAGGAAAATAGAGAAAAGAACAAAGAAGAAAAACAATAGCAAGTCACTATAAGTACTGTGGAAATAAACTGAAAGTGGGTTGAGAAAAAAACAAACAAACAAACAAAAACAGAAAAAGAAGTTCTGAGTAGTCCCGGGTACTTGGGAGGCTGAGATGAGAAGAACACGCAGGTGTGACCAGGGAGATTGAGGCTGCAGTGAATCACGATCACATCCTTCTGCTGGAACTGAACAGTACTGCTACCAGTGAGAGCCATGTGGTGAATCTTCGACATGGTAAGGGAAGAGCCATCTGGTTGACCTAATACATGTCAGGGTGAGAACCATCTGGTCAACCTTAGACATGGCAAGCTGGCAGCTAAATCCAATGCTCACTGCCAATGTCTCTCAAAATAAATAAACAAAAAAAGTAAATATTTAACAATAACAAAGAAATGATAACAATATTAAACACCAATAAATAAATGAGAGTTAACAAAGGTAATTAATATCACAATTAAGATCTTTCTCTCTCTCTCCTCTGTGTGTGTGTCTCTCCCCTTTGTCACACCCAGGCTAGAGTGTGATAAAAAAATATTTAAAAGGTCAACTTCACTGAGGAGGAAGGAGCATAGGAAAACACAGAAAAGAGCAAAGAAGAAAAACAACAGCAGGTCACTGTAAGTACTTTGGAAACAAACTATCAGTAGGGTTAGATAAAAAACAGAGGAAGAAGGTTGTTTCAGGTACACGGGAGGCCAAGATGGATAGATCACCCAGGTGAGACTGGGAACATTGAGGTCACAGTGAATCACGATCGCATCCCTCTGCTGCACATAAACTGTACTGTCACCAGCGAGAGCCATCTGCTCGACCTTATACATAGCAAGGCAAGAGATACCTAGTTGACCTTAGACATGGCAAGCTGGCAGCTAAGTCCAATGCTTGTGGCTGAGATCTGTCAAAAAATAAATACACAAAAAACAACAGTAAATATTTAACAATAAAGAAATAGTAACATACAATATTATTGACCAATAAATAAGTGGAAGTGAACAATAATAAAAGGTAATTAATATCACAATTAAGATCTCTTTTCTCTTTCTCCCTGTATGTCACACCCAGGCTACAGTGTGATAAAAAAATCTAAAAGTCAACCTCAGTGTGCAGGAAGGAGTGTAGGAAAATACTGAGAGAAAAGAACAAAGAAGAAAAACAACAGCAAATCACTCTATGTACTGTGGAAAGAAACTGAAAATGGGGTTGGAAAAAACAGAGGAAGAAGGTCCGAGTAGTCCCAGGTATTCAAGGGGCCGAGATGGGTTGACCACCTGGGCAAGACCGGGGAAGTGAAGGCCAGAGTGAATCACCATTGTATCCTCCTGCTGGACCTGAACGGTACTGCCACTGGTGAAAATCATATGGACGATCTTAGACATGGCAAGGCGAGAGCCATCTGGTCAACCTTAGACATGGAAAGCTGGAGGCTAAGTCCAACGCTTGCGACTGACATCTGTCTCAAAATAAATTTAAAAACCTACAGTAAATACATAACAACAAAAAAAATTAAAGACCAATAAATAAATAAATGGGAGTGAACAAAGGTAAAAGGTAATTAGTGTCAAAATTAACATTTATTTTCACACACACACACACACACACACACACACTCTCTGTCTCTTTGTCACACCCAGTCTGGAGTGTGACCAAAAAAAACAAACCAAAAGGTCAGCTTCAGCGTACAGGAAGGAGCATAGGAGAATAGAAAGAAAAAAGAACAAAGAAGATAAACAACAACAAGTCACTCTTAAGTATTGTGGAAACAAACTGGAAGTGTGTTTAGGAAAAAAACAGAGGAAGAAGGTCCGAGTAGTCCCAGGTACTGGTAGGCTGAGATGGGAAGATCACCTGGGTGGAACCAGGGAGATCAAGGACGCAGAGATTCACAATCGCATCCCTCTGCTGGACCTGAATGGTACTACCTCCAGCGACAGCCATCCAGTCGACCTTAGATATGGCAAAGCGAGAGTCATCTGGTCAGCCTTAAAGATGGTAAGCTGGAAGCTAAGTCCGAGGCTCGAGGCCGATATCAGTCTCAAAATAAATAAACAAAAAAACCCAACAGTAAATATTTAACAATAACAAAGAATAACAACCAATATTACAGACCAATAAAGTGGGAGTGAACAATGGTATAAGGTAATTAATATCACAATTGAGATCTTCTCCTTTCCTCTCTCTTTTTTCTCTCTCTCTCTCTCTTTTTTCCATTTGTCACACCGAGGCTGGAGTGTGACAAAAAATAAAATCTAAAACTTCAATTTCAATGTCCAGGAAGGAGCTAAGGAAAATAGAGAAAAGAACAAAGAAGAGAAACAACAACAAATCACTCTAAGTACTATGGAAACAATCTGAAAGTGGGGTTAGAGAACAAACAGAAGAAGAAAATGCGAGTACTCCCACGTACTACTCGGAAGGCCAAGATGGGTAGACCACCTGGGCAAGACCGGGGAGATGGAGGCCACAGTGAATCACGATTGCATCCCTCTGCTGGACCTGTGTGGTACTACCGCCGGCAAGAGCCACCTGGTCGACTTTAGACAATGCAAGCTGTTGGCTAAGTCCAACACTTGCGACCAACATCTGTCTCAAAATAAATTTAAACACCAACAGTGAATATATAACAATAACAAAAAATAGCAAACAGTATGAAAGACCAATAAATAAATGAGTGAACAAAGGTAAAAGATAATTAATATTACAATTAAGACCTTCTCCCCTTACTCTCATTTTTTCTCTCTCTCTCTTTCTCTCCCTGTTTGTCACACTCAGGCTCGAGTGTGACAAAAAAATAAACCAAAAGGTCAACTTCAGCATGCAGGATGGAGCATAAAAGAATAGTTTGCGGGTTAGGGCTCAGAAATGGAAGGAAGGCTGGGAAATGCAGGACCACAAGAAATGAAAAGCTGTGTTCATTCTCCCCTGGTGACCCTATGCTCAGCAGGGACTAGCAGAAACTGAGGGTTTTGTGATTTGAAAGGGAGGATGAGTCCAGCCACATACCCCTGGCTGTTACCTAATGTGTGGGCTTCACTAACATTAGATAGTAATTTGGGGAAAAGAGTAGAAATAGATCATTTGTTTGTCTCCATGTAATTTTTTTTTTTTAAGACAAAGTCTCACTCTGTCACCCAGGCAGGAGTACAATAGTGCAATCTTGGCACACTGCAACCTCTGCCTCTGGGGCTCAAGCAATTATCCTGCCTCAGCCTCCCAAGTAGCTGGAACTACAGGCGAATGCCACCGTGCCCAGCTAATTTTTATATTTTTGTAGAGACGGTGTCTCACCATGTTCCCCAGGTGATTCACCCTCTTCTGCCTCCCAAAGTGAGCTCAGGTGATTCACCCTCTTCTGCCTCCCAAAGTGCTGAGCCACAATGCCCAGACTTCATATAAGAGTTTTCAGTGTGAGTTTTTTTTTTCTTCTACTGGTCAGCATAGAACCTTTTTTCAACATGTGAGTTTCTTCCTAATTACTGGATTGTGGCACCAAAAAAAAGGCATATTTGAAGTTCTAAATGTCATATTATACATTGTGAAGTGACTTCTCAGGACTGATCTTATCTAAGAAAGAAGTCTGGAGAAAGAGAGAAAAGAAAGAGACATGAAGAATGGCAATATCAACCCAGGTGATAGTCATTCTTGGTTGATTATCTTCTTAATGCAGTGCTGTGTTTAGCACTGACTAACCTTTGATTCTGCAGTCTCCTACCTGACACATTGGCTTGCACTCACCCAGGACCTTACCTCAGTCTCCTCCCATCTTTATTTAACTGTCATTTCATGAAATGGCACTTGTGAAAAGGCTCTGTATAGATTGTCTTGGGCAAAGCTTCACTCCAGACCTAGATTGAGGACACGGAGTGGGCTCTGTGGGTTCAGTAGAGTTGAGCTGCAGGGATTGTTTAGGGGCCACATCTGGAGGTACCATCTGCTTTCTCTGAACCAAAATTAAACAAAATGCACATGTAATGGTGCATTAATATCCAGGAAGACCTGGGGAATCTTAGACAACAAATATTGATACCAAAAAACTGGCTAAGTTTGACTTCATAATGCATTTGAAGCTAACCCAAGTGAATTAGTGCTGTTTGAGCCTCAAAGTAGAATCCATAAAACTCTACAATTACAAATATAAGCCAATTCCATCTTTAAATTAAATTTGTTGTAGGTTGTGCCTTGTCTGAAAAAGTAACTCTTCTGTTCCAGAAACTGACCACTGCCAAAACCATGCATAAGGTGTGAAATAATTACTAACTCATAGGCTGAAATTGTGGAAAGAATATAATATCAAGAACATAAGCCATTCCATAACTGATCATAATTTAATATAATGTAATTCTCAGTGGTCCTCATTGTTGCTTTGTGATGTATAAAGATATGGAATATGTTTTATGAAAAGTTCTTCAATACATTTTGACTATTAATCCGCTAACTCTTATTTTCTCTACAAGAGTCAGGAATGACTCCAAGATTAGTAGATATATTTCTCCAATACCTTCATGCATATAAAGTGCATAGAATGTAGCTGATTGAATTATCTTATTCTTTTCAAAAATATTAAATGTAGGTTTTTTGTTGTGTTATTTTACCTGCTAGGGCATATTATATACTTAAGAAAGATCATAATTGGATGGCGACAGAAAACATCTGGTCTTTGTCAATTATGATAAGACTATTTGCTTCATTAAATCAGGGAAGGAGGATTCAAGGAAAGGTAACTTGATGACCTTAATGTTTTCACATTAGAAAAAAAAAAGCATGGATTTCAATTGTTTTCAGAATTGAATAGTTTGTGACATTTCTTCTTGGTTTAAAAATATTCTAAAGCCGCAGCCTGGCCAACATAGTGAAAGCCCATCTCTACTAAAAATGCAAAAATTAGCCGGGCATGGTGGCATGTGCCTGTAGTCCCAGCTACTTGGGAGGCTGAGGCAGGAGAATCACTTGAACCTAAGAGGCGGAGGTTGTGGTGAGCCAAGATCGTGCCACTGCATTCTAGCTTGGGCAACAGAGGGAGACTCCGTCTCAAAGAAAAAAAAAATTCTAAACCCTTGCCAGGCTTAATATTCAACTATTTCAATTATTTAAGTAAATAAGTATCTGTGCCTCCAGTTTTCCTCTCCAAAATGGATTTGTTTTAATATATTTAATGATTCTAACATTGAAATAACTTTATTTGATGTTTTCATTCACTAAAAATACAATTTTCCCTGTAATAAATGGTTAGATTTAATTTGGTTAGATTTAAATGAGATCGCTACAATCAAAACTCTTTTAAAGTACAAATATATTTTATAACTGACAAATATGCAAAATTAAAAATAACAAATTTGTGACATATTAAAGTGTATCTGTGTCTGTAAGATTGAGAAACATAGTGGATAAGCACATTGTCTACACCTGAAACTTTCTTTTTACAATGAGGTGACTTTAGAAATGTCATTCAGCCTTCTTTTGTTTAATATCTCCTTACCTGTAAAAAGGGAACAATAAAGCACATTGTAGATGTATGATAAAAATACATGTAAAACCTGTTATAGTATTCTAGAGTAGTGTTATAGTATAGTGGGAATATATATGTTTTTCTCTTTAGAACAAAAGTATTGTGAAATAAAAGTTTCAATAAAATATTTCTGAGTTGGATACAATGGGAAGTACACAGTAGAATGTTTCTATTTTCTCCATAAAACAGACCTCATCTGTCCATGAAAGATCTCCTCACGTGGAAATGAAATTATCAGTTACTTGAAAATATCAGATTGTCTCCAGTAATATAGCAGTAGGAATGATCTTATCTCAGACCATAGTTAAATAGTTGGATTTTTTTTCTTCCTTGACATCAGATTTTCTTTAATTACCAGATGCACATTGTGATACACAGATTTGACTCTCAAGCACCTATGGCCAACTCCTTGGTACTCTCCAAAAAGGTCCCTTAGACAATGACTGATTTGGAGTTGAAATATTTTTTCAGTAATATTAGATAGAAAGTTGTTTTCTGTATTCACAGAGTGGCCACAGCATGTGCATTGGCACCATCTGCCTCTTGAGTATCTCCCAGGTCATCACCATCAGCCCCCAAAACCTCAGGTGAACGTAGCTTAAACTACATGCTTCCAAATATATTTGAATCTCTAATATCCAAATTATGTGCTGAATTCTGAATAGGCTTGTAAATGTCATTTTTTCCTGTGTATGTTACTGGTAAGTGGAACACCATAAAGAACACAAAGATTATTTTAAACACTGTTCTGGAGTAGTTAATAACAGAATTCCACATTTATGACATGTCATGTTTTTATCATTTTTTAGTGTTTTGTGTTTGGAAATTATAACCTGGGCCAACAGCTCCATGACCTTTATTCTGTTCAACACAAGTGGTGGGTCCAACATATTCATAGGTCCAACACCACTCCTAAATTCTCACATGAGTCCAGAGTCACCCAAAGCATCTTTGTCCTAAAGGAGCACCTTTGTATCATTTTACACTCTCTCCTACATCTTTTCAGTATATATGGTTATTTTGTATAATTCAAATTGTTGGCTTATGAACAACTCTAAACTGATTACCGCTTGTTTTTTTCTATAGTCAGGCCCATTGTTCTCCTAAGCCATGACCCCAGGATAAACAGTATAACCTCTTCATGCTGTGGAAGGAATATACAGTTTCCTAAGATAATCAGATAGATCTACATTTTATGTGGAATTATTTTTTAAATGTGCAGACATGTATTCATTATTTTATGCAGAGGTTAAATTCCCACAAAGAGCAGTCACATATCAGAGAACCTGTGAATCACAGACTGAGTCCCTGCCCTCATAGAATTTATTGTATGGTAGCAATGACAGTTACAGACTAAATGTTTTGAATAGTTTTTTGATAATTTTCTATTTACTAAATGTTATAATAAAGAAATGTAGAGGCCAAAAATTTATCTTAAAATTGGGCCTCTAATAATTTAGACAATGGAAAGCTTATATGGTTATGTAGCTTTAAACTAATTAAGTTAAAATGTCATAGATGGCTCATAGGTACATCAAGATGGTAGAATGGAAGGCTTCGCCAACCATCCCCCCTGCAAGGACACCAATTTAACAATGACCTACATTTAAAAAGCACCTTCGTAAGAACCAAAAGTCAGGTGAGCACTCATGGTACCTGGTTTTAACTTCATATTGCTGAAAGAGGCACTGAACGGGTAGGAATAACAGTCTTGAATCTTTTACACTATTTTTCCCACATCCCCCAACAATGGTGGCATGGTGCAGAAAGGGAGAGTTCAGCAATTGTGAGGCATTGAATTCAGTGCTTTCCTGTTATAACGGAAAGAAAAAGCAAACCAAACTCGGCTAACACTTGCTGATGGAGGAATTATTTAAACCATATAGTTAAATACAGTTGCTGGTGATAGTAAGTACACAGAAAATTAAATAATATTATAACACCGTAACTGTGGTGTGTGAACTACTTTTATGCAAGGTAGAAAGACTAAACAATAAACCAATCAAAAATAACAACTGCAACAACTTTTCAAGACATAGACAGTAAAATTACATATAAATAGAAACAACAAAAACTGAGGGAAGAGATTTAAAGCATACAGTTTTTATTATTCTTTTTGCTTCTTTGTTTATTCAAACAGTGTTAAGTTGTTATTAGATTAAAATAATAGATTACAAGATAGCATTTGCAAGCTTCATGGTAACCTCAAACCAAAAAACATACAAGAATACACAAAAAATAAAAAGCACAAAACTAAGTCACATCACCAGAGAAAACTACCTTCAATAAAAGGAAGACAAAAAGCAAAGAAAGATAAAAGAGAAGACCTCCTTCACTAAAAGGAAGACAAAAAGCAAAGAAAGATAAAAAAGACCCCAAAGCAACCATAAAACAAATAAAATGGCAGAAGTAAGGTTTTGCTTATCAATAATAACATTGAATGTAAATGGACTAAACTCGCCAATCAAGACAGAGTGGATGAATGTATATAAAAACAAGACATATTGATCCTTTGCCTGTAAGAAATTCACCTCATCTATAAAGACATACATAGACTAAAAATTTTAGAAATGGAAAAAGATATTCAATGTCAATTAAAAAAATGCAGTAGTAGCTATACTTACATCAGAAAAATAGATTTTTAGACAAAATTTATAAGGAAAGACAAAGAGGGCTGGGTGCGGTGGCTCACACCTGTAATCCCAGCACTTTGGGAGGCCAAAGTGTGTGGGTCACGAGGTCAGGAGTTCGAGACCAACCTGGCCAATATGGTGAAATCCCATCTCTACTAAAGCTACAAAAATTATTTGGTCGTGGTGGCATGCACCTGTAGTCCGAGCTGCTTGGGAGGCTGAGGCAGGAGACTTGCTTGAACCTGGGAGGTGGAGGTTGCAGTGAGCTGAGATTATGCCACTGCACTTCAAGAGCAAGACTCCATCTCAAAAAAAAAAAAAAAAAAAAAAAAAGACAGAGAGGTTACTATGTAATCATAAAGGGGTAAATTTAACAAGAGGGTATAACAATTTTAAATATAAATACAACCAACTCTTGAGCACTGAAATATATAAAGCAAATATTATTAGAGCCTGAGAGAGATAGACTCTAATACAATAATAGGTGGAGACTCCAAAAACCCACTTTCAGCATTGAATAGATGTTACAGATATTCCAGACACATTATCAACAAAGAAACATTGGACTTAATCTGTTGCACTATAGACCAAATGTACCTAGTAAATATTTACAGGACATTTTATCTAATGGTTGCAGAATGCATTCTTTTCTTTAGCACATGGATTATTTTCAAGGATAGACTATATGTTAGGTCACAAAAAAGTCCTAAAACATTCAAAAACTAGAAATAATATCAAACATCTTATTTGTCCACAATGGAATAAAATTATAAATTAATAAGAAGAGGAATTATAAAAACTATACAAATACACAAAAATAAACAATATGCTTCTGAGTGATTATTGGGTCCATGAAGAAATTAAGAAGAAAATTAAAAATGTTCTTGAAACAAATGATAATAAAAGCACTGTGTATCAAAATCTATGGGATACACAAAAGCAGTACTAACAGGAATGTTTATAGGTATAAGTGACTACATCCCAAAAATGGGAACATTTTCAAATAAACAACCTAATAATGTATCTTAAAGAACTAGAGGCCGGGCGCGGTGGCTCACGCCTGTAATCCCAGCACTTTGGGAGGCCGAGGCGGGCGAATCACGAGGTCAGGAGATCGAGACCATCCCGGCTAAAACGGTGAAACCCCGTCTCTACTAAAAATACAAAAAATTAGCCGGGCGTAGTGGCGGGCGCCTGTAGTCCCAGCTACTTGGGAGGCTGAGGCAGGAGAATGGCATGAACCCAGGAGGCGGAGCTTGCAGTGAGCCGAGATCCCGCCACTGCACTCCAGCCTGGGCGACAGAGCGAGACTCCGCCTCAAAAAAAAAAAAAAAAAAAAAAAAGAACTAGAAAAGCAAGAACAAACCAAACCCACAGTTATTAGAAGAAAAAAATCATAAAGATTAGAGCAGAAATCAATGAAAAAATTTGGCTTTTTTGAAAAGTTAAAAATTGACAAACCTTCAGCAGACTAAACAAAATTTTAAAATCCAAATTTAAAACAATTTAACAAACAAAAAAATAAACTAAGAAACAAGAGGGCAAGTTAGTGAGGCCTACAGGCTCCAGGACAATGTAAGAGATCTCAGAAGCCTCCCATGCTTTCTTGTTTGCCTCCGCTGTTCTGAGGTATCCAGTTAACTCACAAGACTCCATCATCCCAGCCTGGAAAATGACTCTGGTTCCACTTCCAAAAAAGAACCCCAAAGCTATGACAGGGATGGCCTTCAGATCAGTGATAGGATGCTCTGCCATGTTCTATACTAAGCTGAGTGCTCAGTCCCACAAACCGCCAGGCCAATTTTTGCTCTGAAAAACCTCCAGAGGATAATAGAGAAATTTCTAAGGATCTGAGAGTAGAGTGGGTAACTGATAGACAGCAAGGTCAACTCACCTTTTTAAGCCTTTGAAATTTAGAGGCCACTCAGGTCAATTACTTCAATTTACAGAGAAAAAAGTTTGAGGTTTTCACTACTGTATTCCCCTCCATACTGGGTGTAGGGGGATTCCTCCCGGTTTTAATTACAGAGAGCAGTGAATGCAGAAGCCAAGTTTTTGTCCTCTGAAAGCTTTCCTGGGGATGGCCACAGCCCAGGCAGATCCATGGGAACCTTGAAGTTCCCAAGTCATCAGTTATAGGTCCTGGACATGTTACCAGGAGACTGGGTGCCCCTACCCCATGGCAAAGCTGCCGCCATCCTCTGTCTTCTTTCTTCTCGTCACTCCATCAGTGTTAACTCTTCCTTTAACCTGAGAAGTCTGTGTGTGTGTGTGTGTCTGTGTGTGCACACGTGCATGCAAAACTGTGCAGGTTTAATGATGCAGACATGAGTTTGCTGCATATGAGAAAATTGGCAGAAATTCTCAGGATCTCAGGGACTCTCATTCCTAAAGCAAACCCCATTATAAGGATGAACCTTGGCCTATGAGGTCAGAATGCTCTTTTATCCTCTGGACTCTGCCAACTTTATGTTCTCTGGGCCATTCTCTGCTTCTCTCCAGACTTCAATTTCCCAGTTATCCAGTGAGATGTTAGATGTCAAAGTGCTTAAACCACAGCTCAGCCTGCACATGGTGCAAGTTCCCTACCAACTAGGATGGGTGTAGCAGAGCTGTGATGAGGGTGTGCCCAGATCTTCCTCACTTGGGCAGAAATAGATGGGTTCTGCACTGGGCAGCTGGACCTTCTGTCCAAAAAGTCATGCACACAGGATCCTTCAAGGCCCACAGACAATGTGTGCATGTGGGACCCACCTTTATCCCCCAGCAGCTCCCACTGGAGCATACCCAATATGTCCCCTGTCCTCTGCATCTAGAAAGTGGTGACATCCACACTTAACACACGGACTGATAAGCCCTTTGTGGTGGAGTAGTCCTACAAAAAGAATCTGAGATGCTATTACTGTACAAGGAATTATGGAGGTGGGCCATATAGAAGCACTAGAACTTCAGAATTAAATCTCCCCACTCCTGCCTCCACCACTATGCAGATAAGAAAATGTCTTAAGAAAGAGACATGTCTTACCGAAGATTACCAGGGATTCCATGTCAAAGCTAGCACTTTGGTTAGGATTACATTTGCCTACAAGTAGAAGGATACCCAATATAATAGTAGTGCAGACAAAAGACAGAATGCTTTCTTTCTGATAAATAAGAATCTTAGAGCTGGACAGTCCATGCTGACTCTGGACTGTGCACCAAGGCAGTCAAAAATAATCTATCTTTTTGCTACAACTTTTTTTCTAACTTTTAAGTTCAGGGGTACATGTGCAGGATGTGCAGCTTTGTTACATAGGTAAATATGTGTCATAAAGATTGGTTGTATACATTGTTTTATCACCCAGGTATTAAGCCTACTATCCATTAGTTATTTTTTCTGCTTCTCTCCCTCCTCCCACTCTCCACCTCATGATATGCCCCAGTGCATGTTGTTCCTTCTGTGTGTTCTCATCATCTAGCTCCCACTTGTAAGTGAGAAAATGTGGTATTTGGTTTCCTTTTCCTGCATTAGTTTGCTAAAGATAATGGCCTCCAACTTCTTCCATGTCTAAAAAGGACATGATCTTGGTTTTTTTTTTTAATGGCTGCATAGTATTCTGTGGTGTATATGTACTACATTTTCTGCATCCAGTCTATCATTGATGAACACGTGGGTTGATTTAATGTATTTGCTATTGTGAATAGGTCTGCAATGAATGTGTGTGTGCATGTGTCTTTATAATAGAATGACTTTATAATAGAATGACATATTCATTTGGGTATATACTCAGTGATGAAATTGCTGGGTTGAATTTTATTTCTGTCTTTAGGTCTTTGAGGAATCATCACACTGTCTTCCACAATGGTTGAACTCATTTACACTCCCACCAACAGGGTAAAAACGTTCCTTTTTCTCCAAAGTTTTACCAGCATATGTTATTTTTTGACTTTTTAATAATAGCCATTTTGACTGGTATAAAACAATATCTCATTGTGGTTTGGATTTGCATTTCTCTAATGATCAGTGATGTTGAGGTTTTTTCATATGCTTTTTTAGCTGCATGTATGTCTTCTTTTGAGAAGTGTCTCTTTTTGTCTTTTGCTCACTTTTTAATGGGGTTGTTTACTTTTTTCTTGTAAATTTAAGTTCTTACAGATGCTGGAAATTAAATCTTTGTCAGATGCATAGTTTGCAAAAATTTTCTCCCATTCTGTACGTGGTCTGCTTACTATGCTGATAGTTTTTGTTTTTTCTTTTCTTTTCTTTTTTTCTTTCCTTTTTTTTTTTTTTTGCTGTGCAGAAGCTCTTTAGTTTACTTAGATCCCATTCATCAATATTTCCTTTGTTTTAATTGCTTTTGGCATCTTCATCATAAAACATTTGCCCATGTGTATGTCCTGAATTGTATTGCCTAGGTTATCTTCCAAAGTTTTTATAGTTTGGGGTTTTACATTTTAGTCTTTAAACCATCTTGAGTTGATTATTGTATATGCTGTAAGGAAGGAGTTCAGTTTCTTTTTTTAAATTTTACTTTAAGTTACAGGATACAAGTGCAGAATGTGCAGGTTTGTTACATAGGTATACATATGCCATGGTGGTTTGCTGCACCTATCAACCCATTATCTAGGTTTTAAGCCATGCATGCATTAGCTTTTTGTCCTTATGCTCTCCCTCTCCTCACCTCCCATCCTCCGACTAGCCCTAGTGTATGTTGTTCCCCTCCCTGTGTCCATGTGTTATCATTGTTCAACTCCCACTTACAAGTGAGGACACGTGGTGTTTGGTTTTCTGATCTTATGTTAGTTTGCTGAAGATGATGGAGGAAGAGAGTCCGTTTCAATTTTCTGCCTATGGCTAGCCAGTTATCCCAGCACCATTTATTCAATGGGGTGTCCTTTTCCCATTGCTTGTTTTTGTCAGTTTTGCCAAAAATCAGATAGTTGTAGCCATGTGGTCTTATTTCTGGGTTCTCTATTCTGTTTTATTGGTCTGTGTGTCTCTTCTTGTACCAGTACCATGCCTTTTTGGTTACTATAGCCCCGTAGCATAGTTTGAAGTTGGGTAGCATGATATCTTCAGCTTTGTTATTTTTGCTTAGGATTGTCTTGAGTATTCAGGCTCTTGTTTGTTTCAATATATAATTTTTTTAATTATACTTTAAGTTCTTGGGTACGTGTGCAGAACGTGCAGTTTTGTTACATAGGTATATATGTGCCATGCTGGCTCACTGCACCTAGCAACCAGTCACTTACATTAGGTATATCTCCTGATGTTATCCCTTCCCTAGCCCCCGACAGCCTGACAGGCCCCAGTGTGTGATGTTCTTCTCATTATGTCCATGTATTCTCATTGTTCAACTCCCACTTATGAGTGAGAACATGAGCTGTTTGATTTTCTATTCTTGTGATAGTTTGCTGAGAATGATGGTTTCCAGCTTCATCCACGTCTCTGCAAAAGAAATGAACTCATCCTTTTTTATGGCTGCATAGTATTTCATGGTGTATATGTGCCACATTTTCTTTACCTAGTCTATTATTGATGGACATTTGGGTTGTTTCTGAGTCTTTGCTATTCTGAATAGTGCTGCAGTATATGTGTGCATGTGTCTCTATAGTAGGATGATTTATAATCCTTTGGTTATATACCCAGTAATGGGATTCCTGGGTCAAATGGTATTTCTAGTTCTAGATCCTTGGGGAATTGCCACACTGTCTTCCACAATGGTTGAACTAATTTACACTCCCACCAACAGTGTAAAAGCATCCCTATTTCTCCACATCCTCTCCAGCATCTGTTGTTTCCTGACTTTTTAATGATCACCATTCTAACTGGCATGAGATGGTATCTCATTGTGGTTTTCATTTGCATTTCTCTAATGACCAGTGATGATGGGCATTTTTTCATACGTCTGTTGGCTGCATAAATGTCTTCTTTTGAGAAGTGTCTGTTCATATCCTTTGCCCACTTTTTGATGGTTTTTTTTTTCTTATAAATTTGTTTAAGTTCTTTGTAGATTCTGGATATTAGCCCTTTGTCAGATAGATAGATGGCAAAAATTTTCTCCCTTTCTGTGGGTGGCCTTTTCACCCTGATGATAGTTTCTTTTGCTGTGCTGAAGCTCTTTAGTTTAATTAGATCTCATTTGTCAATTTTGGCTTTTGTTGCCATTGCTTTTGGTGTATTAAACATGGAGTTTTTGCCCATGCCTATGTCCTGAATGGTATTGCCCAGGTTTTCTTCTAGGATTTTTATGGTCCTAGGTTTTATGTTTAAGTCTTTGATCCATCTTGAGTTGATTTTTGTATAAGATATAAGGAAGGGGTCCAGTTTCAGTTTTCTGCATATGGCTAGCCAGTTTTCCCAACACCATTTATTAAATAGGGAATCTTTTCCTCATTGCTTGCTTTTGTCAGGTTTGTCAAAGACCAGATGATTGTAAATGTGTGGCATTATTTCTGAGGCCTCTGTTCTGTTCCATTGGTCTATATATCTGTTTTGGTACCAGTACCATGCTGTTTTGGTTACTGTAGACTTGTAGTATGGTTTGAAGTCAGATAGCATGATGCCTCCAGGTTTGTTCTTCTTGCCCAGGAGTGTCTTGGCTATGTGGGATCTTTTTTTGGTTCCATATGAAGTTTAAAGTAGCTGTTTACAATTCTGTGAAGAAAGTCAGTGGTAGCTTGATAGGGATAGCGTTGAATCTATAAATTACTTTGGGCAGTATGGCAGTTTTCAAGATATTGACTCTCTCTATCCATAAGCATGGAATATTTTTGCATTTATTTATGTCCTCTCTAATTTCCTTGAGCAGTGGTTTGTAGTTCTCCTTGAAGAGGTCCTTCACATGCCTTGTAAGTTGTATTCCTAGGTATTTTATTATCTTTGTAACAATTGTGAATGGGAGTTCACTCATGATTTGGCTGTCAGTTTGTCTGTTATTGGTATATAGAAATGCTTGTGATTTTTGCATATTGATTTTGTATCCTGAAACTTTGCTGAAGTTGTTTATCAGCTTACAGAGATTTTGGGCAGAGACAATGGGGTTTTCTAAATAGAAAATCATGTCATCTGCAAACAGAGAGAATTTGACTTCCTCTCTTCCTATTTGAATATCTTTATTTGTTTCTCTTACCTGATTGCCCTGGCCAGAACTTCCAACACTATGTTGAATAGTAGTGGTGAGAGAGGGTATACTTGTCTTGTGCCAGTTTTCAAAGGGAATGCTTCCAGTTTTTGTCCATTCAGTATGATATTGGCTGTGGGTTAGTCATAAACAGCTCTTATTATTTTGAGATACGTTCCATCAATACCTAATTTATTGAGAGTTTTTATCTTGAAGGGGTGTTGAATTTTGTCAAAGGCCTTTTCTGCATCTATTGAGATAATCATGTGGTTTTTGTCTTTGGTTCTGTTTATATGATGGATTACGTTTATTGATTTGTGTATGTTGAACCAGCCTTACATCCCAGGGATGAAGCCCACTTGATCATGGTGGATAAGCTTTTTGATGTGCTGCTGGATTGGGTTTGCCAGTATTTTATTGAGGATTTTTGCATTGATGTTCACCTGGGATATTGGTCTAAAATTCTCTTTTTTTGTTGTGTCTCTACCAGGCTTTGGTGTCAGGATGATGCTGGCCTCATAAAATGAGTTAGGGAGGATTCCTTCTTTCTCTATTGATTGGAATAGTTTCAGAAGGAATGGTACCAGCTCCGCCTTGTACCTCTGGTAGAATTCGGCTGTGAATCCGTCTGGTCCTGGACTTTTTTTGGTTGGTAGGCGATTAATTATTGCCTCAATTTCAGAGCCTGTTATTGGTCTATTCAGGGATTCAACTTCTTCCTGGTTTAGTCTTGGGAGAGAGTATGTGTCCAGGAATTTATCCATTTCTTCTAAATTTTCTAGTTTATTTGCATAGAGGCATTTATAGTATTCTCTGATGGTAGTTTGTATTTCTCTGGGATCAGTGGTGTTATGCCCTTTATCATTTTTTATTGCATCTATTTGATTCTTCTCTCTTTTCTTCTTTATTAGTTTTGCTAGCTGTCTATCAATTTTGTTGATCTTTTCAAAAAACCAGCTCCTGGATTCACTGATTTTTTGAAGGGTTTTTTGTGTCTCTATCTCCTTTGGTTCTTCCCTTATCTTAGTTATTTCTTGCCTTCTGCTAGGTTTTGAACGTGTTTGCTCTTGCTTCTTTAGTTCTTTTAATTGTGATGTTAGGGTGTCAATTTTAGATCGTCCCTGCTTTCTCTTGTGGGCATTTAGTGCTATAAATTTCCCTCTACAAACTGCTTTAAATGTGTCCCAGAGATTCTGGTATGTTGTGTCTTTGTTCTCATTGGTTTCAAAGAACATCTTTATTTCTGCCTTCATTTCACTGTGTACCCAGTAGTCATTCAGGAGCAGGTTGTTCAGTTTCCATGTAGTTGAGCAGTTTTGAGTGAGTTTCTTAATCCTGAGTTCTAGTTTGATTGCACTGTGGTCTGAGAGACAGTTTGTTATAATTTCTGTTCTTTTGCATTTGCTGAGGAGTGCTTTACTTCCAAATATGTGGTCAATTTTGGAATAAGTGTGATGTGGTGCTGAGAAGAATGTATATTCTGTTGATTTGGGGTGGAGAGTCCTGAGGATGTCCATTAGGTCTGCTTGGTGCAGAGCTGAGTTCAATTACTGGATATCCTTGTTAACTTACTGCCTCATTGATCTGTCTAATGTTGACAGTGGGGTGTTAAAGTCTCCCATTATTATTGTGTGGGAGTCTAAGTCTCTTTGTAGATCTCTAAGCACTTGCTTTATGAATCTGGGTGCTCCTGTATTGGGTGCATATATATTTAAGATAGTTAGCTCTTCTTGCTGAATTGATCCCTTTACCATTATGTAATGGCCTTCTTTGTCTCTTTTGATCTTTGTTGGTTTACAGTCTATTTTATCAGAGACTAGAATTGTGACCCTTGCCTTTTTTTGTTTCCCATTTGCTTGGTAGATCTTCCTCCATCCCTTTATTTTGAGCCTATGTGTGTCTCTGCACATGAGATGGGTTTCCTGAATACAGCACACTGATGGGTCTTGTCTCTTTATCCAATTTGCCAGTCTGTGTCTTTTAATTGGAGCATTTAGCCCATTTACGTTTAAGGTTAATATTGTTGTGTGGGAATTTGATCCTGTCATTATGATGTTAGCTGGTTATGTTGCTCGTTAGTTGAGGCAGTTTCTTCCTAGCATCAATGGTCTTTACAATTTGTCATGTTTTTACAGTGGCTGGTACCGGTTGTTCCTTTCCATGTCTAGTGCTTCCTTCAGCAGCTCTTGTAGCGCAGGCCTGGTGGTGACAAAATCTCTCAGCATTTGCTTGTCTGTAAAGGATTTTATTTCTCCTTCACTTATGAAGCTTAGTTTGGCTGGATACGAAATTCTGGGTTGAAAATTCATTTCTTTAAGAATGTTGAATATTGGTCCCCTCTCTCTTCTGGCTTCTAGAGTATCTGCTGAGAGATCCGCTGTTAGTCTGATGGGTTTCCCTTTGTGGGTAACCCGACCTTTCTCTCTGGCTGCCCTTAACATTTTTTCCTTCATTTTAACTTTGAGGAATCTGACAAATATGTGTCTTGGAGTTGCTCTTCTCGAGGAGTATCTTTGTGGCATTCTCTGTATTTCCTGAATTTGAATGTTGGCCTGCCTTGCTAGATTGGGGAAGTTCTCCTGGATAATACCCTGCAGAGTGTTTTCCAACTTGGTTCCATTCTCCCCATCACTTTCAGGTACACCAATCAGGTGTAGATTTGGTCTTTTCATATAGTCCCATATTTCTTGGAGGTTTGTTCATTTCTTTTCACTCTTTTTTCTCTGAACTTCTCTTCTCACTTCATTTCATTCATTTGATCTTCAATCACTGATACCTTCTTCCAGTTGATCGAATCAGCTACTGAAGCTTGTGCATTCGTCACGTAGTTCTTGTGCCATGGTTTTCAGCTCCATCAGGTCATTTAAGGACTTCTCTGCACTAGTTATTCTAGTTAGCCATTCATCTAATCTTTTTTCAAGGTTTTTAGCTTCTTTGCATTGGGTTCGAACTTCCTCCTTTAGCTCGGAGAAGTTTGATCATCTGAAGCCTTCTTCTCTCAACTCATCAAAGTCATTCTCTGTCCAGCTTTGTTCTGTTGCTGGAGCTGCATTCCTTTGGAGGGGGAGAGGTGCTCTGATTTTTAGAATTTTCAACTTTTCTGTTCTGTTTTTTCCCCATCTTTGTGGTTTTATCTACCTTTGGTCTTTCATGATGGTGACTTACAGATGGGGTTTTGGTGTGGATGTCCTTTCTGTTTGTTAGTTTTCCTTCTAACAGTTAGGACCCTCAGCTGCAGGTCTGTTGGAGTTTGCTGGAGGTCCACTCCAGACCCTGTTTTCCTGGTATCAGCAGCAGAGGCTGCAGAACTGCGAATATTGTTGAACAGCAAAAGTTCCTGCCTGATCCTTCCTCTGGAAGCTTCATCTCAGAGGGGTACCCGACCATGTGAGGTATCAGTTTGCCACTATGGGGGGGTGCTTCCCAGTTAGGCTACTCAGGGGTCAGGGACCCACTTGAGGAGGAAGTCTGTCCGTTCTCAGATCTCAAACTCTGTGCTGGGAGAACCAGTACTCTCTTCAAAGCTGTCAGACAGGGGCATTTAAGTCTGCAGAGGTTTCTGCTGCCTTTTGTTTGGCTATGCCCTGCCCCCAGAGGTGGAGTCTACGGAGGCAGGCAGGCCTCTTTGAGCAGCAGTGGGCTCCACCCAGTTTGAGCTTCCTGGCCACTTGTTTACATACTCAAGCCTCAGCAATGGCGGGCGCCCCTCCCCTAGCCTCACTGTGGCCTTGTTGTTTGATCTCAGACTGCTGTGCTAGCAATGAGTGAGGCTCTGTGGGCGTGGGACCCTCTGAACCAGGCACGGGATATATTCTCCTGGTGTGCCATTTGCTAAGACTGTTGGAAAAGTGCAGTATTAGGGTGGGAGTGACCCGATTTTCCAGGTGCCGTCTGTCACCCCTTCCCTTTGCTAGGAAAGGGAATTCCCTGACCCCTTGTGCTTCCCAGGTGAGGTGATGCCTTGCCCTGCTTCAGCTCACACTCGGTGGGCTGCACCCACTGTCCTGCCTCCACTGTCTGACAAGCCCCAGTGAGATGAACCTGGTACCTCAGTTGGAAATGGAGAAATCACCCATCTTCTGCGTCACTCACACTGGGAGCTGTAGACTGCAGCTGTTCCTATTCGGCCATCTTGGAACTGCCTCCCATTTTGATCTTTACCCACACAGATAATTGTGACGTATTTCTAGGACTCTCACCTAAATAAAGTTATCCTTTTACCTGGGCTCTCCTCTCAGGGGTTATTGCAAGGTATTGCTGGACGTAAAGCCTAGGTGATGTGACTCTTCTAGACTGCTTAGCCTTTGCTCAATACAAAATTGTAATGTTTCAATGGATCCAAGACCTAAATGATGTGACTATCATCTCTTGCCTGAGCCCTGAATACATTGTGTTTTGTGACACTGTGACTCTCTTGCATGGGCCCTGCCAACAGAAGGCATTATGACATATCTCTGGCTGCATCAATTATTTGATGTGACTCTGCTGTTTTACCTGGACATTGCCCATAGAAGAGATTGTGACATATCTCTGGGCCAAATAGCTAGGTGTTGGTGACTCTCCTCTTTTGCCTGTGCCAGGCTCCCAGAAGGAATAATGAATTATCACTAGGCCCAGCACAAATGCAATGTCATTCTTCTGCCTGATTATTGTCCACAAGGGCCACTGTGACATATCTCTGGGCCCATGACCTAGGTGATGTGATTCTCATTTTCTTTCTGGGACTTGTCCACAGTGAAAATTGTGACATATTTCTTGCTGTAGCACCTACATTATATTACTCTCTACTCTTGCCTGAGCCCTGCCTACTGGTGTGATTGTGACAGATAAGTGGGCACTGACCTTATGTTATGTGATTCTTATCTTTTTTTCTAGCTGTATTTACCAGGGACATTGTTACATATTTCTTGTTCCCTCACCAAGGTGATGTGACACCTCTGCCTAAGCCTTTCTCTCAGGAAGTATTGTGGCAAATTGTTGTACCTGGCACCTAAGTAATGTGACCCTTCTCTACTTCTTGGGCTCTGCTGAAGGAGGCATTGTGATGTATCCCTGGACACAGGGCCTAAGGGATGTTACTCTCCTCTCCTGCCTGGGCCCGGCATACATTGTGTGTTGTAATATATGGCTGCACCCAACAAGTACGTGATGCAACTCTACTCTACGGTCCCTGAAGACAGGGGTATTATATGATACTGTTTGTTCATCACCTAGGAGATATGACACATTTTTGTTGCCTGGGACCTGCCAAATAAGAAGATTGTGACATATCACTTGATCCATCATCTAGGTGATATGAGTCTCTCTCTCTCTCTTTTTTTTTTTTTGCCTGGTCCCCACATGTTTTGGGTATTGTGACATATCGCTGGGCCCAATACCTAGAAATGGAACGCTCCTGGCTGGGGCCTGTCCACAGTGGACCTGGTGACATATTTCTGCATTTATCACCTAAGCAATGTGGCTCTCTTCTTCTGCCTGCACCCTGCCTACAGGGAAGATTGTGACATGTTGCTGGCCTCAGCAAACAGATGATAAGTCTCTCCTAATTGAGTCTTGCCCACAGAAAGCATTTTGACACATCGCTGGGCCCATTAACAAGGTGATGTGGTTCTGCAGTCTACATCCTGCATCCAGCTTTCAGGAGGGGATTGTGATTGTAACATATTCCTGGCTAAGTACCCAGGTGATATTATTCCTCTGCCTGGTCCCTTCTGTCAGGGAAGATTGTGACATATTCCTGGACCAGAACATAGGCGATGCGACTCTCCTGTTTGCTCCCTACCCACAGGTAGGGACATATATCTTGGTCCAGCTAACAGTTGCAATGATGACTCTAATACCACACACCAGCCAACAGAAAATATACTGTCTGTTTTAGCTGAGGTTAGAGACACGGGTAAAATCCCATGTCTCCTCTTTGTATGAAGGTTATAGAAAATTACCACTTTCTCACACATTGTATAAAGCCCTAGTGTGGAACAAAATGTCACCACGGAACCCAGCATTCAAATGAGATTGTGTTTCTCATATTCTCACCCTACCATCCATTAGGATTTTCACCCTTACACGTGGACAGAGCCCACAGGTGAGGTCCTGAATCACACAGGTTGACACAGTCCACAGCTGGAATTGTTTCTCTCATTTGCTAAGTTGGGATGGTGACTCATTTCCAAACCTAGTTCACTTCTGTTTGGACTGAGCCAATTGAAGAGAAGTTGACTCTGAGACAAGCGGTTAGGGTAAAAATTATAACCATGGGTCCATACCAGAAGGGAGGTCTCAAAGCATATTGAGGCTCTCATGCATAAAGCCCTCAGGTGCTACAAAGTGTTTCCTGACAAGGCACAGCACAGGTGAGATTTTGACACTGGTATGCACATCATACTGCCACATGAACACAGCCAACTTTTGAGGTTCTGAATGTCACATTTGGAGGCAGTCGAAACTTGAAAAAGTGACTCTTATATGTGGATCCAGTCCACAGGTGGGCTGGTGACTCTCCGTCCAAGATTCAGCACACCTGTGAGGCTGTGACTCTACTAAGGAGGCATAGTGCACAGAAGAAAGCGAGGTTCCCACGCACAGACCTAGTCCACCATTAAGATTGTGACTCATGTATTTAGACCCAACATAGAGGAGATGTTGACTCCCATACTTAGAATTGGGTCATGTGCAAGAACTTTAACTTTATCCCTGTATCTTTCTGCATGTGAGACTGTGTGACATATGCCTCTGTCCAGCAACTGAGTGATTTAACACTTCTGCCTTGGCCCAACCCACAGATGGAATTTTGACATATTGCTAAACCCAGCACCTTCATCATGGGACTCTATTCCACTGCCTTGGCACTGCCCATAGACAGCATTGTGACATATCACTGTCACTAGGCCTTATATTCAGTTAATGTCAGTCTCCTCTTCTGTTTTGTCACTGTGCACAGAAGGCATTGTGACGTTGGGCCCCACACCCAAGTTATGTGATTCTCCTACCTGTACCCTGCCCACACGGCCCATTGTGATATGTTGCTTGGTCCAGAACCCAGGTGATGTAACTCTCTTGCCTTGGCCCTTCCTACAGGAGGCATTATGACATCTCTGCACCCATTAGCCAGGTGATATGACTCACTTCTGCCTGATCGCTGCTCACAGGGAATATTGTGACTCATCACTGGGCCCAGCATTGAGTTGATGTGACTCTTCTATTCTTTTTAGGTTCTGCCTGCAGGAGAGATTGTGATGTGTCTCTGGACTCAATAGTAAGGTGATGCTACACTTTTGCCTTGGTCCTGACCTCAGAAAGCTTTGTGACATATTACTGGGCTCAGCAACAACATGATATGAGTCTCTTGCTTGGACCCTGCCCACAGGGGGCATTGTGGCATATCTCTAAGTTCATGAACTATTTGATGTGACTCTTCTTGCTTATGTGGGCTTTACAATTAGAAGAGATTGTGACATGTCTCTGATTCCAGCACCTAGGTGTTGTGACTCTCCTCGTTTGCCTGTGCTATGCTCACTGGATGTAAAGTAAATGATCACTAGGCACGACACACAGGCAATGTGATTCTACTGCCTGGTCATTGCCCACAGGGGTCACTGCAACATATCTCTGGGCCCATTACCTAGATGGTGTAATTCTCCTTATTTTTCTGCTTCTGTCCCCAGTAGGGATTGTGACATATTCCTTCACCCAACATTTATGTTATGTGATTCTCCTCTCATGTCTGGACTCTGACCACTTGTAATTTTGACATAAGGCTGGGCTCATCTGTCTAGGTTATGTGACAGGTTATGTGACTCTCTTCTTTTTTCCTAAGCCCTACCTACAGGGAGCTTTGGTACATAGCTCTGGGCCCCTCACCGAAATGATGTAATCCTCATTCTTGGGCCCTTCACTCAGTAGGTATTGTGATATATTGATGGACTCAGCACCTAGGTGAGGTAACTCTCTTCTACTTCTTGGGCTCTGACCAAGGAGGTATTGTGATGTATCGCTGAGCCCAGCACATAGGTAATGTTACTCTTTTTGTTTATCACTTGGATGATGTGACACATTTTATTTTTCTGCCTGGGCCCTGCTAAAAAGGGGGATTACAACATATCATTTGGCTCAGCACCTATGTGATGTGACTCCTTTCTTCTAGGCCCCACATATTTGGTGTATTGTGAAATAACGCTGGGTCCCACACCTAGAAAATAAGAGGCTCCTGCCTGGGCCCTGCCCACAGGGGGCCTTGTGACATATATCCACATACACTACGTAGGAAATGTGACTCTTCTTTTCTGCCTGGACCCTCCTAACAGAAAAGATTATGACGTATCACTGGACCCTGCAAGAAGGTGGTGAGTCTCTTTTGACTGGGTCTTGAATACATAGATCACTGTGACATATTGCTGAGCCCTTAGAGAAGACTGTGACATACATCTGGCCCCAAACCCAGGTAATGTTACTCTCCTGCTTACTCCTGATCTGGAGGAGTGATTGTCACATATATCTTGGCCCAGCTCACTGGTGTGATGATGACTGTCATACCTTCAACTTGCCAATGAGAGAGATACTGTCTCTTATAGCTAAGCTTAAGGAAAAAGATAAGATCCTGGGTGTCCTTTTTGTACAAAAGTCACAGAGGTTTACCACTCTCTAAAGTCCTCTAGTGGTACAGAGAGTGTCACCACAGGTCCAAGGACACAGGAGATATTGTATTTCTGGTATACACACCCTGCCAATCCTTAAGATAGTCATCCTCACACATGGACACAACCCACTGGTGAGATCCTGAATCTCATACGTAGACACAGTCTACAGATGGAATTGTGTCAGTCATATGTGAACATCTGGACACATATGGGATAGTGACCCATCTCTAAATCCAGCTCATAGGCAGATGAGTACTCTTCTATTTAGACACAGCCAATTGGGGAGGTGTTGACTCTCATACCTGAGCTTAGAATGACAGGTACAATCATGGGCCCATATCAGCATGAAGGTCTTAATGCAGATTGCAACTCACATGCATATCATATTGTATTACTTCATTTTCACACTGCTATAAAGAACTGCCCAAGACCAGGTAATTTATGTAGAAAAGAGGTTTAATTAACTCACAGTTCCACATGGCTGGGGAGGCCTCAGAAAACTTACATTTATGGCAGAAGAGGAAGCAGGGACCTTCTTCAACAGGTGGCAGCAGGGAGAAAGTGAATGAAGAAGGAACTTCCAACATTTATAAAACCATCAGATCTCCTGAGAACTCACTCACTATCACGAAAACAGCATGGAGGAAACTGCCCCATGATCCAGTTACCTTCCTGCTTTGACACGTGGAGATTACAATTGTAGATGAGATTTGGGTGAGGACATAGAGCCAAACCATGTATCTCATAAATTCTTTGGGTGGTACAGAGAGTGTACTAATAGCCTAGCTGAAAGGTAAGATTGTGACAGTAGTAAGCAGACACAGTCAAGAGTAAAGATTGTTGTCCTCTCACATGAGCATGGCCCACTGTTGAGGATTTGAATCTTATATCTAGAGGCAGTCAAAAGTTGCAATGTTGACTCTCATTCATGAATTCGTTATGCATGGATTTTGTGACCCTTAAACCATAATTTAGCACACGTGTCAGGCTGTGACTTTTCTAAGGGGACACAATGCCCAGAAAACATTGAGAAGCTGCTGCACAGATCCAGTTCACAGTTGAGGTTGTGACTTGTCTACTTTACCCATCATACAAGACATGTGGACTCTCATACCTAGAACCAGAACATGTGAGGGATTGGTAATTTCATCCCTGTATTTTTTGAAGGTCTGATTGTGACATACACCTCTGCCAAACACCTGATTTGACTCTCCTGCCTGGCTTGGTTCACGGGTAGAATTGTGATATATTGCTGGACCCAGCACCCAGGTGAGATGACTCTATTCTCAAGCCTTGGTGCCTCTTACAGGAGGCACTGTGACATATCGCTGGGATTTGCAGTCAGGTAATGTAAATTTTCTCTCCTACCTTGGTGCTGCCAATAAGGGGCATTGTGTCATATTGCTCATTTTAACACCCAGGTGATGTGACTCTTCTGCCTGGGTCCAGCCTAAAGGGGGGATTGTGACATCTCTCTGCACTCATCACCCAGGTAATGTACTCTCATCTCTTGCCTGGTTTCTGTTCACAGGAGGGAAGGTGACATATCTCTGAGCTCAGCACCTAGCTAATGTGACACTTCTCTTCTTCCTAGGTTCTGCCCACAAGGGAGATTGTTACATATATGCTGGGCCCAGCTTTAAGATGTTACTCATTAGCCTTGTCCCTGCCTTCAGAAGGCATTGTGACCTATTGTGGGACCCAGGACCAAGGTGATGTCACTTTCTTGCCTTGACTCTGTCAAGAGGAAACATCGTGACGTATCTCTGGGTCCATAAAATATTTGATGTATCTTTCTGTTCTTACCAGGGTTTTGCTTATAGAAAAGCTTGTTGCATATCTCTGTGCCCAGCATCTCAGTGATGTGACTCCCTCTCCTGCCTGGGCCATGTCCACAGATGAAAAACTGGCTTATCCCTGGGGCCCAGCACACAGGCAATCTGATTTATTTCTCCTACTCTCTTTCTGCAGGGGGCATTGTGAAGTATCTCTTAGCCCATCAACTATTTGATGTAAATCTCTTCTATTACCTGGGGCTTTGCCCATAGGGGAGGTTGTAACATATCTCATGGCCCAGAATGTAGGAGATGACACTCTGCTCTGATTGTTAATATTGCTTTGCTCACCACTTACTTGATATGACTCTCCTCTCATGCATTGTCCCTGCCCCTTCGGGTGATTGTGACATATAGCTGGCTGTAGCCCCTAGGTTATGTAACTTTCCTCTTCTTCCTGAGCCCTACCCACAGAAGGCATTGTGCTGTATCTCTGGGGCTCTCACCTAGGTGATGTGGCTCTCCTGCTTTGGTCTTCCTCTCAGAAAGTATTGCGATGTATTGCTGGACCTAGAACCTAGATGATGTGGCTCTCCTCTACTGTTTGGTCTCTGACCAAAAAGAGATTGTGATGTATCACTAGGCCAGCATCTAAGTGTTGTGGCTCTCTGCTCTCTCCTAGGCACTGCATACATTGCGTATGGTGACACATGGCTGGATCCAAAACCAAAATAATGCAACTCTTTTGCATTGGCAACGTCCACAGGTGTATTACCACATATCTTTTCCTTTAGCTCTGAAATTGAGCTCTGAAATAATATGGATTTTTTATCTTTGTGCCCATCTCTCCTGTTGAGTTTAAACTTTAATCCAGGGCTGGGCACGGTGGCTCACGCCTGTGATCCCAGCACTTTGGGAGGCCCAGGTGGGTGGATCATGAGGTCAGGAGATTGAGACCATCCTGGCTAACATGGTGAAACCCCGTCTCTACTAAAAATACAAATAATTAGCCTGGCGTGGTGGTGGGCGCCTGTAGTCCCAGCTACTCGGGAGGCTGAGGCAGGAGAATGGCGTGAACCCGGGAGGCGGAGCCTGCAGGGAGCCGAGATGGCGCCACTGCACTCCAGCCTGGGCGAAAGAGCTAGACTCCATCTCAAAAAATTAATTAATTAATTAATTAAATAAAATAAACTGTAATCCAAAGCCATGAAAATAGTCATAATTACTGTCACAAAGTGATAACTTTTTTCTCCTCCTCCTTCTTTTCTCTTCCTCCTTTGCATCTCCTCCTTTCCTTTTCCTCTCTTCCTCCTCCTCTCATCCTTCTCCTCCTCTCCTCCTCATCTCTTCTTCCTCCACTCTTCATGTTCTCCTCCTCTTCTTTTTCTCCTTTCTCCCCTCCTTTTCTTCCTCTCCTCCTCTTCCACTTCTCCTCTTTCTTCCTCCTCCTCTCCTTTTCTTCCTCTCATATTTCTCCCCTCCTCCTCTTCCACCTCCTACTCTCCTTCACTTCTCTTCGTTTCATCCTCCTCTCTTCCTCCTCCTCTTTCTCCTCTCCTTCTCTCCTCCTCACTTTTTCCTCCTCTTCCTCTTCTCTTTCTCCTCCTCCTCTCCTCCTTCTCCTCATGTCCTCCTTCTCCTCCTCCTCTCCTCCTTTTCCTCCTCTCCTCCTTCTCCTCCTCCTCTCCTCCTCCTCCTCTCCTCCTTCTCCTCCTTCTCTCTTCTCCTCTCCTCCTCCTCTCCTCATCTCTTCCTCTCCATTTTCTCTTCCTTCCCCTCTCCTCCTCCTCTGCCTTCTCCTCTTCTTCTCCTTTCCTCTTATTTTTCTCCTCCTCATCCTCTCATTCTCCTCCTCCTCCACTACTTTTCTCCTATTTCTCCTCTCCTCCACTGCTCTTCCTCTCCATTTCCTCCTCCTCTCCTTCTTTTTCTTCTCTCCTCCTGCTCCTCTTTCTACTTTTCTCCTCCTCCTTCTCCTCTCCTCCTGCTACTCCTCTTCTCCTTTTCTCCTTCTCCTTCTCCTCTCCTCCTCCTACTTCTCCTTCTCCTGTCCTATTCCTCCTCTCCTCCTCCTTCCCCAAAACTCTCCTCCTCCTTCTCCACTCCTCCTCCTAGTACTCATCTTTTACTCCCCATCCTCTCCTCATCTCCTCCTCCTCTCCTCTCCTTATTTTTCTCCTCCTCCTTCTCCTGTCCTCTTCCTTCTTCTCTCCTCTTTCCCCTCTTTTTACTTCTCCTCTCCTCATTCTTTTCTCCTCCTCCTTCTCTTCTCCTCTTCCTTCTCTTCTCCTCCTCCTTCTCTTCTTTTCTTCTCTCCTCTTCCTCCTCCTTTTATTCTCTTCTCCTTTTCCTCTCCTCCTCTTCCTTCTTCTCCTCTTTCTTCTTTCCCTCTTTTCCTCCTCCTTCTTCTTTTTCTCTTTTCCTCCTCCTTCTACTCCTTCTACTCTCCTTCTCCTCTCTTCCTCCTCCTCCTCTCCTTTTCCTCCTCTCCTTCTCCTCCTCCTCCTCTTCCACTGCTCCTCCTTCTCTTCTCCTTCCCCTCTCCTCCTCTTTCTCCTTTCCTTCTGTTCTTTTAATCTCCTCCTCCTCTCCTCCTCCTTCTCCTCTCCTCTTTATTCTACGCTCCCCCTCCTTCACCTCTTGTCTTCCTCCTTCTCATCTTTTACTCCTCTTTCTCTTCTACTTCTTCTCCTCTCCTCCTCTCCTTTCCTTTTCTTTCTCCTGCTCCTTCTCCTCTCCTCCTCTTCTTCTCTCCTCTTTCTCCTTTTTTCCTCCTTTCCTTCTCCTCTCCTCCTTCGCCTCTTCTCCTTCTCCTACTCATCTTTTACTCCTTCCTCTTCTTCTTTTCCTCTCCTCCGTTCCTTTTCTTTCTCCCTTTCCTCCTTCTCCTCTCCTCCTCTTCTTCTCTCATCTTTCTCCTTCTTTTTTCTCCTATCCCTCTCCTCTCATCCTCTGCCTTCTCTCATCTTTCTCCTTCTTTTTTCTCCTATCCCTCTCCTCTCATCCTCTGCCTTCTCTCTTCCTCCTCTGCTTTCTCCTCTCTTCCTCCTCCTTCTCTCTTCCTCCTTTTTCTCATCTCCTCTTCCTTCTCCTTTCCTCCTCCTTCTCTTTCTTCCCCTCCTTCCCCTCTCTTCCTCTTCTCCTCCTCCTATCCTCCTTCTCCTCCTCCTTCACTCCTACTCGTGTTCCTCTCTTCCTCCTTTCCTCCTCCTCCTTCTTGTTCTCTCCTTCTCCTTTTTCTCTCCTCTTCCTCCTCCTCCTCTCCTCTTTCTCTCCTTCTCTTCTCCTTTTTCATTCCTCTTTCTTTCTACTCCTCTCTTCTTCTCTCTCTTCTCCTCCTCCATCTCCTCTCCCCCTCCTTTTCCTCCATTTCCTCTTCCTTCCCCACTCCTCCTCCTTCTCCTCTTCTTTTCCTCTTCCTTCTACTCCTTCTTCTACTCTCCTCCTCCTCTGCCTCTCCTCCTTCTCTTCTCCTCTCCTCCTCCTTCTTCACTCCTCCTTCTCCTCTCTTCCTCTTTTTCTTCCTTCTCTCTTTTTTCGTACTTCTCCTCTCCTCCTCCTTCTTAACTCCTCCTTCTCCTCTCTTCTTTTTCTTCCTTCTCTTTTTTGTACTTCTTCTGCATTCCCCCTCCTCTCCTTTTTCTCCTCCTCACCTACTTTTTCTGCTCTCCTCCTTCTACTCCTTCTTCTCCTCTTCTCCTCCACTTCTTCTTTTACTCCTTCTCTTTTTCCTCCTGCACCTTCTCCTCTCCTCCTCCCCTCCTTTTCCTTCTTTTTCCCTCCTTTTTCTCTCCTCCTCCTTTTCCATTTCTCCTCTCCCATCCTCCTCCTCCACTTCTCCTCTTGTCCTTCTCTTCTCCTTCTTCTCCTCTTTTCCTCTTCCTCCTTCTCCTCTCCTCTTCCACTTCGTTTTTCTCCTCTCCTGCTCCTCTTCATTTTCCCCTCCACCTCCTTTTCTTCTTCTTCTCCTCCTCCTCTCCTCTTGCTCCTTCTCGTTCTTCCCCCCTTTTTCTTTTCCCTTCCTCCTCCTCCTCTCCTTCTCCTTTTTACTCCACTCCACCACCTTTTCTCCTCCTCCTCTATTTTCCATCTCCTCTCTTCCTTTTCCTCTTCTTTTTCTCCTCTTCTTCCTCTCTCCTTTTTCTGTCTCCTCCTCCTTTCCTCGTCCTCCCCTCCTTTTTCTCTTTTCTTTCTCCTCCTCTCCTTCTCCTCTTCCTCCTCCCTTCTCCCTCCTCTCCTTTTCCTCTCCTCCTTCTCCTTTCTTCCTCCTTTTCTCCTCCTTTTCCGTCTCCTCTCCTCCTCCTCCTCTTCTCCTCCCCTCCTCTTCTCCACCTTTTTCTCTCCCTTCTTCTCCTCTCCATCTTCTCTTCCTCTCTTACTTTTCCTTTCTTTCCTCTTTCTTCTTCTGCTGTCCTCCTCCTTCTCCTCCTATATTTCTCCTCTCCTCCTGTTCCTCCTCTTCCTCTCCTCCTCCCTTTTTCCCTCTCCTCTTTCTCCTCCTCCTTTTTTCTTCTCTCTTTTGGCTTCTCTCCTCCTTCTTCCCTCCTTCTCCTCTTCCTCCTCATTTTCCTCTTCTCCTTCTTCTCCTCATCCTCCTCTCCTCCTCCTTTCCTCCTTCCCCTCCTCCTCTTCCTCCTACTCTCTTCCCCCCTTTCTCCTCTTCTTTTCTTTTTCTCCTACTTTCCTCCTTCTCCTCAATCTTTTCCTCCTTTTTAGCTCCTCTACTTCTCTCTCTCTTCTCCTCGTCCTCCTTCTCTCTTCCTCCTCTCCTCATACTCCTTTTCCTCTCCTCCTTCTCCTCCTCCTCTACTCCTTTTTCTCTTCATCTCCTCCTTTTCCTTTTTCTCTCCTCTTCCTCTCCTCATCCTCCTTTTCCTTTTTTCTCTCCTCTTCCTCCCATCCTCTTTTTCCTTCTTCTCTTATCCTCCTTCTCCTTCTCTTTTTCTCCCCTTCTCTTTCTCCTCCTTCTCTTCTCCTCTCATCCTCATTTCCTCCTCCTCTTTTCCTCCTTCTCTTTTTCTCCTCTTCTCCTCCTCTTCTAATTCTCCTTTTCTTTCTCCTCTAATCCTCCTCATTCTCCTTTTTTTCTACTCCTCCTTCTCTTCTCCTCCTCCTCTCCTTTTTTCTCCTCATTCTTTTCATCTCCTCCTTCTCTTTCATCTTCTCTTCCTCCTTCTCCTCCTCCTCTTCCTCCTCCTTTTCTATTCCTTCTCCTCTCCTCCTAAATTTCCTTTTTCTTTTCTTCCATCCCTTTCTTCCTCCTTTTTTCTTCTCTTCTTCTCCTCTTCATCTCCTACTCCTCCTATTTTTCTCCTCCTCTCCTTTCTTTTTCTCCCCTCCTCTTTCTTTTCTCCTCCTTCTTCTCTATTTCTCCTTTCCTCCTCCTCTCCTTCACCTCTTCATCTCCTCCTCCTTCTGCTCCCCATTCTCCTTCTCTCCTCCTTTTTCTCTTCGTCTTCTCCTCCTTCTTCTTGTCCCCCCCTCCTTCTCCATCTCCTCTACTCCTCTTCTCCTCCTCCTCTTCTTCTCCTCCTGTCCTCCTCCTTCTCTCCTTCTTTTCCTCCTTTCCTCCTTTTTTCTCCTCCTCTCCTTCTCCTCCTTCTTTTTCCTCATTCTCTTATTCTTCTCCTCCTTCTCCTTCTCTCTCTTTTTAATCTACTTCCTCCTAGCTTCCCTTTTTTCCTCTCCTCTCCTGGTCCTGTTGTCCTCCTCTCTTTTTTTTTCTCCACTTCCTCTCTTCTTCCTATCTTCTTCTCCTTTTCTCTTCTAGTTCTTCTCTTTCCTCCTCCTTTTCTTCTCTTCTCCTCCTCCTCTTTCTTCACTCCTCCACTCCTACTCCTCCTCTTACTGAGCCATTAGCCATGCCAAGCAGCATCCAGCACACGTAGTGGCAGCCTCTTCAGCGCTGCACTAGAAAGACCTGATGTACATTTATATTAGCTTTTGGAGGATAGTATTAATCCAGCCTAACTCAGGCGGCCAAGTATATATATGTAATCTATCTATCTATCTATCTATCTATCTATCTATCTATCTATCATCTATTCTATGAGAAAGAATCTTGCTCTGTCACCTAGGCTGGAGTGCAGTGGCACAAGATTATGATTCACTGTGTCCTCAAGAGATCCTCTCACCTCAGCCTCCCGAGTAGCTGGGACTACAGGTGTGGCCCATCACACCTGACTAATTTTTTTTTCAGTGACCGGGTCTCAACATGTTGCCTAGACTGGTCTGAAACTTCTGGGCGCAAGCGCTCCCTCTGTCTTGGCCTCCCGGAATACTGGGGTGAATTTATTTCTTACAGAACCGCCCTGATTCAGATGGTGCAAGCCTCGCAGGCCAGAAACATCTTCCTGACGCTGCTCCCCACCTTCTGCCCTCTCTTTCCCAGCATCCTTCCCCTGTGGAAAGAGAAACTTTCCTTCTAAGGTCTTTCCAGCCCCTCCCTGGCAGGGAAGCCTGGAAACTAGGGCCCCTGCTTTCCCCTGCAGTCGCAAAGCATCTGGGTGCTGGCCAGGAGGTGGCCTCCTGGGGTGCTCTCACCAGGGTGTTTGGTGGAAGCCCCTGACGCACCCTGCTCTGTGGATTTGATCTTCCTGGGCAGAGGACACTGGCTTCGAGGGGGCAGCAGGCAGCCCTGCGCCCTGGCCCTTTCCTGGCTGGCGGTTTTGGTGTGGCTGACTACCTACCACCTTGGGCGCCCAGGAAAGAAGGGGGCCAGGGCCTGGCCATGGGGGCGCCTATCGGTCCTTGCCCTTCCGTTGGCTAAGTGCGTGTTTTACAGAGATCCGTCGGTGTGGATTGCACCTTCCTTGTTTTACAGGGATCCGTCGATGTGGAGTGCACCTTCCTTGCAGTCGGGGGCTCGGTGCCGGGTGCCGTCGTTAGTCCAGGAAGAAGGCGGGGAGCTTCTCCCGCTCGAACAATTTGCAGCTAGTTCCGGGGCTTCCCTTCCTCCTCCCACACCGGCCCGCATCCTAGTGTTGCTTTCTCTGCCCCCAGCACCAGCCTCTTCTTGGGCTCCCTCCTCCCCTTCCCACTCGCGTCTCTTAGGAAACTGCGACCCTAGTGTTTGCTAAGGAGCAGGGGAGGTCCTTCCCGTCGCCGACGCCCCCCGCCCGGAAAGCGGCGCGTTTTCTGGGCCGAGGGCGCATCGAGGATGTGACCCATTCCCTGGCCAAGGGTGTGGGTGGGGAACGGCAACCGATCTCACTGCCTGGCGGGGCAGCTTCCTTTCCAGGCAAGGCGGAGACCTGCAGGGCGTGGAGACCCCGCCCGGCGCAGAACGCGCTGGCCAGTGGGCAGCTTGACAGGGTCCCCGTGTGCCTAGCGACCCTCTTCAGCGCTGCATCCATGAGAGGTTATAAATGAGGCGGAAAGAATTTTTCCCTGCTCAGCGGATTTGTCCTTTTTCTCTCCTGACTGGATAGGAGATAGAACACAGATACAGCCCAGATCCGGGGCAGCAGTTCACACTCCATTACAAAACTCTACACAGCTTCCGAGCTAGCAGCAGCACACATTCAGGGAACATTGGAGGGATTTTCTTCTTCTTTTGTGGGTGGTAATGTTGGTGGTTGTGGAGAGAGATAGAAGAGTGAATAAGAAAAGTATAACGATTTGGTAGGCTGAAAAACCTGTCTGGGATTTTCATTAATAGAAAATTGAACTCTTGTCCTTGTTTAAGAGTTCAGATTTAAGCTTAGCCCTTTCAAAGTCAATGGAAACAAAGTTTGCCTTTTAGATAGGAATGCTGAAAATAATGAGACACTTCTGTCTGGAGGAAACAAAATGATTTCTGCAAAGGCAGAGTCGCCAGTCCATCCCCATATATTTGAGGGTTTTTTCCTTTTTTAGATATGTGTGGTCTCTGCACCTATGCACAATGTTACTGAAGTATATTTAATAGAAGTGGAAAGTGAGGGAAAGGGAATTGCAAATAGAAGAATGTGATTTTGTTTTCATTTTTTTCATACCTGTGAAAAGCATTCTCTAGATTTGATGCTTTTTCAAGTAGGCAGTATAGTTTCTAAACCCTATTTTAATCAGGGAGTCTGTTAGAGACCACAATCTTGGCTAAAACCTCTTTGGAAACACACACACACACAAATGCTTAATTCTGTGCTACCTTCAAGAGTTGGCAGAATTTTTGCAGGAATGAGTATGAGTTCCTTCTAAAGGATCTTGTGCTCCATTTTAGGTAAATGAAGTTGCCCTATCTTATTTTATTTTATTTTATTTTATTTTATTTTATTTTATATTTTATTTTATTTTATTTTATTTTATTTTATTTATTTTTGCGACGGAGTTTTGCTCTTGTTGCCCAGGCTGGAGTGCAATGGCACGATCTTGGCTGACTGCAACCTCCGCCTCCCAGGTTCGAGTGATTCTCCTGTCTCAGATTTCCCAGTAGCTGGGATTACAGGCATGCACCACCAAGCCCTGCTGATTTTTGTATTTTTAGTAGAGACAGGGTTTCTCCATGTTGGTCAGGCTGGTCTTGAACTCCCGACCTCAGGTGATCCGCCCACCTCGGCCACCCAAAGTGCTGGTATTGCAGGCATGGGCCACCGTGCCCAGCCCTTATCATTCTTAAAAATACTGCTAAACTGGTTGCATATTAGGATATCTCATTTTTAAAGGGTTTGCTGGATGTGCGAGACTTTTAAGAAGTGCTACTGATGCTTATGGATATATGGAATATCATTCTCTGGGGTTTTCTATATACCACTTTATTTCTCATCAGAAATTCAGACTCAAAGCCCTTAGCGTGCCAGACACGAGTTTGTTATGTGATGGTTAACACGCATTTCACTGAGCTGGTACAGGTGATACATTCATACCTAACTTGTTACACCATCTAAGTGACCGTTTGATGAAAGGGTCTTTTATTTTAAGTTTATTCAGGCAGACTTTTGAGGTCTTATTTGCATCTGGCAAAGGTACAGCATGTTGAAGGAGAAAAAATAAACCTTACCTTATTATTCCTGCATTAGATCAATAGCTGTTTATTGGCCACCTGGTCTGTGCCAGGCACTGTACAACATGGGTGACCTAGTAATAAATGGATGGTAATAAATGTAGTTGCCAGCCGGTCATGGTGGCTTGCACCTGTAATCTCAGCACTTTGGGAGGCCTAGGCGAGTGGATCACTTGAGGTCAGGAGATCAAGACCAGCCTGACCAACATGGTGAAACCCCATTTCTACTAAAAATACAAAATTAGCCGTGCTTCTTGGCTCATGCCTGTAATCCCAGCTACTCGGGAGGCTGAGGCAGGAGAATCACTTGAACCCGGGAGGCAGAGATTGCAGTGAGCTGAGATTACAGCACTACACTCAATAAATAAATGAATAAACATTGTTGCCCTACATCAGGAGTCCTCAACACCCAGGGCACAGACTGATACCAGTCTGTGGTCTGTTATAAACCAAACCGCACAGCAGGAGGTGAGCAGTGGATGAGCGAGGCTTCATCAGGATTCACAGCCACTCCCCATCACTCGCATTACAAATCAGCAGCAGCATTAGATTATCGTAGGAGTGCAGACCCTATTGTGAACTGCGCACGTGAGGGATGTAGGTTGTACACTATTTACGAGAATCTAACGCCTAAGGATCTCTCACTGTCTGTCATCACCCCTAGATGGGAACCTTTAGTTGCAGGAAAACAATCCCATGGCTCTCACTGATTCTACGTTATGGTGAGCTGTATAATTATTTCATTATATATTATAATGTAATAATAGAAACAAAGTGCACAGTAAGTGTAATGCGCTTAAATCATACCAATAGAAAACCATCTTGCCACATCCGTGAAAAAATTGTCTGTCACAAAACCAGACCCTGGTGCCAACAGGGTTGAGGAGCACTGCCCTACATTGTACAGTGCCTGACATACACCAGGTAGCCAAAAAAATTCTTAGTGGGGTTAATTAGAGCTTTTAAAAACTGTATTTGTCTTTCCCTAGCTTGCTTTGTATTTTCTCTTTTTTCCGTGTTCTCAGAGACAATGGGGTAGGACTATATAAATGTGTGATATTTCTGGTAGTTTAATTACTTTAAAATGTTCTTTATTCATTTTGATGTACCTTCTTGGACTAAGTTATTTTCACCCTGCTTCTTTGAAATCATTCAGGAAAGATTCCATGTTTATACTCAGAACAACACTATTAGGGTTGGGTGGGTATGTTGACCCATTTTATAGCTGCTTTATGAGGTACCCAGTGGCTGGCAATAAATTAAGCTCAGCATCCACAATTCCTAACTACCATCTAGCTCCATGGAACACCTGCTTTATAGAGTCAGCTTGATCTCAAAAAAAAAAAAAATCATAGATTTAAATGTATACTGCTTATTTACCTCTGTGTATGTGTGTTGTTATTTTTAATAAAGACCTTTTTTTTTCAAAATAAATTTGATTGAATTTGAAGGTATAAGGGAATTTCAAATGAAACTTTAGCCTCTGGTGACGTTGCCATTGATGAATATGATGATAGACATCTTTTCAGTAGCCTTTCTACCTCATGGGATTGTTGTAAAGATAAATAAATGTTCCAGAAACTCAAAACCTACATATGGAATAAAGTGGTTTATTTTGAGATCAGGAAGTTTTGTGGGTATCCACTGTGGATTTCCTTTCCAGAATTTTGAATTTTTGAGTGATTTGCTTTGGGGAAGGGTGCTACTGGCCTTAAGTATACAGACACTAGAAATGCTGCTCAGCATATTACAATGCACAGGATAGCCACAAATGTCAGCAGAGCTGAAGTCAAGCAAGCCTGCTTGAGAGGTGTAGTAGTGGCCTTTATTGCATCCACAAGCACAGTGGGTGCATTCCCTGTATTGCATGTGCTATATTTAGAAATCTGAAATTCCATAAAGTAAGTAAGCTTTTATTTGCCTCTAAGATGCCATGGTTGGCAAGGTCAAAGTTTTACAAGAAGCTTGGGATTGAGGAAAACATTAAGTGGTATTCAGTGTATTTGAAAACTCCATAGTAAATAAGAGCTCTAGAACTCATCAGCTTCTTCAACAAATGAGATGCATTGGCTCTGTAAAGTTGTTTTGGTAGGTGGCTCCTACCTGAGTTATTTAGGAAATTCGCTCTGATGCTGTCATCTGCCAGTCTCCCTCATGTTTTCAGTTACGTGGAGTATATCTTTTAAAAAAATTCTTTGAACTAGCTCTTACTAGCTTGATAGTTAATGTTTTTGCATTCATAGTCTCCCTTATTTTAATTTCTCAAGTTTTTGCAAAATTCTTACATAACTATCTGCCCTTTTCATAGACTGGTGTTTCTGAGCCAGGTCTTCTGTCCACACATGTCGTCTTGAGAGAGTGGATGTTAGCCAGCTGCCCTGGCTGAGATGGATGGGGACAATACAGGGATGCAATAAAGGAGACAGTGATAATTTATATGATCTGGGACCCCAGGCCTCACACCAGAACTGTCTAGTATATGTTTAGCAAATAAGTGCCACTGATTTGACCTTTGTCCTGCCCTTCCACTTTCCACCCTACTACACAAGCAGGAAATATGCACGAGATAAGGCAGGAAGATGAGGAGACTGAATTCCAGAAAAGAAAGGGCTGCCTGCAGTAAGCAGACAGTTGCCTCCACAGTGGTCTGGGCTCCCACTTACCTTAGAGACATGTGCAACACTTGAGAATAGTTGTTTTAAAATTCTGAAATCAGTGGACAGACTGTAAGCATCCCATTGCAGTCAGTTGCCAGGTACCTGTTCTCTGCAGCAACCTTTCACCTCCCATACTTGGGAGTGAGTTCTGTTCCTGCAGAGTGCCCTGTGCATTCTGGTGCTTTTGTGCCCTCTCCTTTAACCTATAAACTGACAACTCTAACTCTACATTTTCACTTACAATTTTTCTGAAGCAGTAATCTTTTGTGATCCTGATCACACTACAAGTCCCTCACCCTGCAAGTACTTGTAAAAATGAAAGTAATGTCCATTCCTTCTGGAAGGTGATTGCCATGCACACAACCTACTAGGCCAGGAACATTACTGATGGCTGTCCTGATGCATGTCTCTCTCACCCCCATGTCCAATCAGTCACCAGGCTCTCCTCAAAACCATGCTTCAGTCACTGACTTTGGCTGTTTAATCACTTCTGACCTAAGGCCCTCATTGAGTCATAAGCACCTCTTAATTTTCTGCCACCAGTTTCTCTCTACTGCTGTTAATCTTCCAGCTTGCTGCCAGAGTCATCATCCTCAAAAACAAAAGCTGCTGTCATTGTTTGCCTGCCTAATAACATCTCTTGCCTCCCTGCTGTCTGCAAAAAGAAAAATCCAAACTCCTTCACTTGTTTTACGAAGACCCATATCTGCTTCCAAACCAAATTGCTAGTCTTGGCTCTTGTCTCTGTCTTCCACATCACTGACACACTGAATAATTCTTTACTGCCCCTGCTGTTGCATGGGTTGTTCTTTTTGTTGTGTCTCCATCCCCTTCCCCCAGCAAAGAATATTTACTCTTTACTCTTCGTTGAGACCCATCTCAAATAGTACCTTTTCTAGGGAGAATTAGGCCTTCTGTTCCTAATAACTTTTACCCTCGTCTATCAAGTCTGTCTGCTGTAATTTATCTGTTAACATGTTTCTCCTACCTCAAGGATATTTTTTCCATCTTCTGTACCTAGCACAATTGCATGGCTGATGCTCACTGACTACTGCATGTTGATTTACTTATTTTATTTTACTTGTTTGAGAGATGGAGTCTTGCTCTGTTGCCCAGGCTGGAGTGCAGTGGTGCAATGTAGGCTCACTACAGTCTCTGTCTCCCTGTTTCAAGCAATTCTCCTGCCTCAGCCTCCCCAGTAGCTCAGATTACAGGCACCCACCACCACGTCCAGCTAATTTTTATATTTTTAGTAGAGACAGGTTTCACCACATTGGTCAGGCTGGGAAATGAAGGGATGGGCCAAATTAAAGGAATAGGTTGGGCTAATTAACTGCAGCAGGAGCATGTCCTTAAGGCATAGATCACTCATGCTATTGTTTGTGGCTTAAGAATGCCTTTAAGTGGTTTTCTGCCCTGGGCGGGCCAGGTGCTCCTTGCCCTCATTCTGCTAAACACACAACCTTCCAGTGTGGGTGTTATGGCCATCATGAACATGTCACAGTGCTGCAGAGATTTTGTTTATGGCCAATTTCAGGGCCAGTTTATGGACAGATTTTGGGGGGCTTGTTCCCAAAAACTGTAAATGAAGTAATTAAAATGGCCAGCCAGGAGTGGCGGCTCATCTCTGTAATCCCAGCACTTTGGGAGGCTGAGGCAGGTGAATCACCTGAGGTCAGGACTTTGAGACTAGCCTGGGCAACATGCCACAACTGTATCTCTATAAAAAATTTTAAAAAATAGCTAGATGTAATGGTGCGCACCTATGGTCCTAGCTACTCGGGAGGCTGAGATAAAAAGATGGTTTGATCCTGGAAGGTGGAGGTTGCAGTGAGCCAAGATTGTTCCACTGCCCTCCAGCCTGGGTGACAGATTAAAACCCATTTCAAAAAGAAAATTAAGATAAAAATTAAAAATGTGTGGGAAAAAAGATGGAAAGACAAACACAATATAATAAAACCTGTGAGATAAAGCAAATATAATACTAAGAGGGCAGTTTACAGCCTAAATGACTGCATCAAAAAAGTAGAAAGCTTACATATTGAGCACCTGACATCACACACTCTTCAAGGAACTAGAAAATTAATAATAAACAAAATTCCAAGTTAGAAGAAAAAAATAACAAAAATCAGAACAGAACCAAATGAAATAGAGATGAAAAACAATAAAAATGATCAACAGAATAGAGTTGGTTTTCCAAAAAGACAAAATGGGTAAATTGCTAGGTAGATTAACCACAAACAGAATGAAAATCTAAATAAACAAAATCAGTTATGAAAGAAGACATTACAATGGATACAACAGTAATACAAAAGTTCACTAGAAATGATTATAAACATCTAGACACTAATAAACCTGAAAACCTAAAAAGAATGAATAAATTCATGAAAACATACAACCTCCCAAGATAGAGCCAGGAAGAAATAGAGTACCTGAACAAACCAGTAATGAGTAGCATGATTGAGTCAGTAATAAAAAGTATCTCGACAAAGAAAAGCTCAGGACTGGATAAACGCACAGCCAAATTCTACCAAATATACAAAGAATAATAATCCTCCTTAAACTCTTCCCAAAAATTGAAGATAATTAAATTCTCCCTAAGTCACTCTGAGGTCAGTATCACCCTGATACCAAAACTAGCCAAGGACACAACAAAGAAAACTATTATTATATTATTATTATAAAAAATAGACAAATGGGACACAAAAGAGTTTTTGCACAGTAAAAAAAAAAAAAAAAATCAACAGGATAAATAGGCAACCTACAGAATAAAAGAATATATTTGCAAACTATGGGCCAACATGAAACCAATATTCAGAATTTACAAATAACTCAAACAATTCAAAAATATCATAATAATAAGAAATCCCATTGAAAAATGAGCAAATACTACTAAGCATTTTTCAATAAAGACATACAAATAACCAACACGCATATAAAAAACATGCTCAATCTCAACTAAAAATAAAACTACGATTTGATTCAGAAACCTCATCATTGGGTATCTACTCAAAGAAAATTAGTTTATTACATGAAAATGATACCTAATATCACCTACAAATAGGCAACTGCAAATGAAAACAGTGATGAGGTATGACTTCAAATCTGTTAAAATTACTAATATCAAAAAGAAAAAATAGAGGCTGGGCACGGTGGCTCACGCCTGTCATCCCAGCACTTTGGGATGCCAAGGCGGGAGGATCACTTACGTTCGGAAATTCAAGACCAGCCTGACCAACATTGGGAAACACCATCTTTACTAAAAATACAAAATTAGCTGGTCATGGTGGCACATGCCTGTAATCCCAGCTACTCCAGAGGTTGAAGTGGGAGAATCTCTTGAACCCAGAGGAGAATCACTTGAACCCAGGAGGGGAAGATGGTGGTGAGCTGAGATCATGCCATTGTACTCCAGCCTGGGCAACAAGAGCAAAACTCTGCCTCAAACAAACAAACAAACAAACAAACAAAAACAAAAAGGAAAGAAAGAAAAGAAAAAATACAGAAATAGCAAGTAACATCTGTCATTGATGTTCCTGAGATTTCTGAAACAAATCTTAATGTCACCACTGCTCTCACACACTTCAGATATGATGGAAAAAGAAAACTTCAGAAATGATCTAACATGCACTTCCTCAAAATACTCAGAGATATTCTTATATCCCCCCTTGAAGCAATGGAAGAGGAGGCATATCATGCAGCACCTTATAAGCCATAAAGAGGACTTTAGCTCTCACGGTACCTTCAAAGGAAAATCACTAAATAGCAAGTAACGTCCATAGAGAATTTAATGGTATGGGACAAATGATGCTCCTATACAAAAGCTACAGAATAAAAAATGGCTTTTTAGGAAACATTTCCACTGAAGCAGAGCATCCCATACCACATTTTAAGGTCTGCAATTCTTTTTGACCTTTGTACCTCTCGTCTGTGTTATCTGCTTCATTCATGCTTACCTGCCTGAGTATTTGACCACTGTCTCATGTCTCTTCACATTCCAGGGGTCTTTTATTTGCTCAAGGCAGGAGATGCGATCAGGTTTAGAGACAGCAAGGCCTGTTTTGTTAGAAAAAAGTAACATAACTTGCTGAGATTCTACAGTTACCAACCTTGTACCATGTTCAGTAGAGAGGAGAAAATATGAAAGATTCTAGAAATTTAATTCCAAAATACTGTTTTCTGACAGAAACTTTTGAATATTTAGAACATATTTTACATTTCTGGGTCCTTAGCTCTACTATTCAATATTATTGAATTTAAAATTGGTGCTGGATATTGAATTTTAATATTTGGGCAAGAATATTTAATGCCACTGAATTTCTAGAATGACCATTAATCTAGAGTGAAGAATACAGATTAGCTCAAGAAAGGGGAAGTTTCCTGTTAAAACATCTTGAAGATTTTCTTTTCTGTTCCAGTAAACCTTCAAGTTTTCCTTAAAAGTGTTGATCTAAAAATAATTTGTGCAGAGGAAAAACTGCCAAAATCATTCTACAAAGGGAGAAAATAGAAGCCTTAGGGTGTATTAGAAAACCTGGGGAAAATGTATTGACACCGAGAGACCAGTTTTCGGCAGTTCTCTAACACTGCATCTCTGAACAAATTTCACTGAGCAGTATTCAGACATTCCACACCTCCTGAGAGAATTCTATGGCCACAGCCTTGAAAGTTAACATTTCCTAAAATAAACCCAAAGACCCACACATACTTAGCAAGTGGTCATAGGCAGAATTATTAATTTTACTCTAAGTGTTTGAGAGTTAAGAGAACTGGCTCTGTTTCACATAAGAGACTGGCATTATCCAATAAAATATTGTTCAATAGAGAAAGATTCTCTAATGTATTCCTTCATTCTGAGGAAAGAGGATGAAACAAGATCCACAAAACCAGTGTATGTATTATAGTTTTCTGAATGACACAGCATAATATTTATGGCAAAAACACAAGCATTTACAGTTTTGAGTGCCATATATACATTATACAGAGTAAGGTGTGTACAGTTCTCATATGGAGAAGTCACAGTAAGTTAGAAGTTACCTCTCGAATTTTAATGCATACATTAATAAACTGGAGATTTTGTTAAAATACGTATTCTAATTCAAGAGATCTGGGATGAGACCTGAGTTACTGTATTGCTAACAAACTCACCAATGATGTCAATGATTCTAGCTTAAGAAAAATACTCTGTAAAACATCTAGTAAGTGATAGAACCTGGGTTTTTTCCCCATGTATATGACCAGTAAACAAAGATGACAGCCTTCATTTTCCAAAGCAATGTATAAACAAAGAGAAACTATTAAGAAAAAGAGTGTAAGAAAAATGGATGTTCTGTGGTCAAAAATAGGCCATGGTAAACGTCTGGTTCAGCATGACTCAGTTAGTTTAGAGTGCAGGTGCACCATTCTACTTATTATGTAACCTGGTTGTATAAGCTCATACTTGGCTCTGATCCACTATTGAGTGAAAAGAGTACACAGACAGGTGGACAGGAGGGAGAGGGAGAGTAAAGCTGCTCACCCTGTACACAGGGCTCGTGCTCAGGCTTGTGCCTAGAGAGAAAAAAAAGCCATCTCAAAAATTCCCATAGTTCCTTGATTGTTTTTCCAGCAACCCACCACTCACCCACCCACTCCTGTTAGACCTCAGATTAGGCTGGAACCTGACACTTGGCATGATAGGGGAGCTTTCAGAGTAAATGTGATTGTTTATGCACATTAGTCACCTCTCCAAAATACCTATTAATAATACAGTTTTTAAAAAGAAACATTATAGTGAAGAAATTCTTCAGAAAACACGTTAACCAAGTTAATAAAATTAATGGGACAGATTGGTATCAGGTGCTGATACATATAGGAGGATGCAACATGACTCTGTGAGACTACTGGCCAAAAAACATAAATTATAATCTGAATCTAATCATGAAAAATGTGTTTTATGTAAAGTTCAAGCCACATATGTTGCCCATGTTTTGTAATTTCTAGTAGTGTATCTAAAAACTCTTTTAGCATTCTAGAAGGCAAATTTCTTTGAATTCATTCCTTTAAATATCTTTCTAAATTATTCCAGGCTATTAATTTCATCCTTTTAAAGTGTGCATTTAAAAATTATGTTCTTCATAGAGCTGATGGAGCCCTCCGATGGAACCCAAAAGGTGCGGTTTTCTCCCTCACTGATATCTGAGGACCCAGCACCATCCCCAATAAGAATGTTTTATATCCCCACCTGCCCAGGCTGATCTGTCAACAAAGGGAATACTCTCAATATTTCAGGGTATAAATTCAAGGTATTAGTTGTGATATGTAAGAAGCCTGGATGGAGAGAATAAAGATAAGGTTCTGATATATAGAAGTGAATTATTTTAATGAGGTCCTTTCACTGTCACGAGAAGACAAGAGAAATGTAGTTCAAATAATCTTGTTAGGCAAAAGCATCAGAAGTAGAAATGTAAATTATTGCAATTCTAAATACATGACATTCTAGAAGAAAATGTGGACAGAATTTTGACCTGGGACACACTTACCTGACAATCAACCATTTCTTCCTCTCTTCTCTGATTCCTTCTCAGGAGAGATTATCTGAACAAATCACCATTTCATCTTGAGACTGTGTCTTTAAAGGCATCAGGACAGACTCTCTGAAGGAAGCAGACTGCTCCTGCAGGACCCTGGAGACACCCCAAATACTGTGAGTGCCACAACTGCAGAAGTGGGAAAGGGAGATCCTCCTCTCCTAAACACACAACCCCACTGGAGAAGCTGAAAGTCTGTTTGTGGGAGAAGTTTCTAACTACCTGGAGCTGCGTCAAGTTAGAGAGCCAAGCTGAGTGAAATACAGGGGTGTAGGAGGCAACAAAGAGGCCCTGGGAGCTCGCTGAATCCCCAAGGAGCCCATTCCTGCCTAGCACCACAGGGATCCATCAAGGGGAGGACAGAGGAGCAGGGGGTAAAACTTCCAAGGGGAGAAGGACTTCCCTAGCTGAACTTTGTAACAATTTGAATGGGGCAAGAAGACTTATGGCCAGAACTTGGGGGAAGGCATGAATCCGGCTTGAAGACTTCACAGGCATGGAAGAACTAAAGCCCTTTTTTTTCCCGCAGCTGGGAGACAGAAAGCCTGGGGAAATTTTCAAGCCCAACTCGCCCTCCACCTGGAAACAGACTCAGGTCTGTTATGAAGGGCACAGTGAGAGTGAGACCAGCCCTTTCGTTTGCATGGGAGCTGAGTAAGGCCTGTGACTGCCAGCTTTCCCCCACTTCCCTGACACCCTGCATGACTCAGCAAAGACAGCCATAATCCTCCTAGGTACACAACTCCAGTGACCTGGGAATCTCACCCCCATCTGCCACAGCAGCTTCAGCAACAACCACCCAAGGAGACTCTGAACTCAGGCATGCCTAGCACCCCCCGCACCCATTGGTCTTTCCCTAAACACCATGGTAGCAGAAGAAAAAGGACATATAATCTTGGGAGTCCTGGGTTCCCACCCACTGCTAGTCCCTTTCAACAGTACTACAGCTGATGCTTTCTGGAAAGCACTATCTCCTGGCAGGAGGTCTACCAGCACAAAAATAAAGCATTAAACCACCAAAGCTAAGGACACCCATGGAGTCCATTGCACCCTTAGCCACCTCCACCAGAACAGGCACTGGTATCCATGGCTGAGAGACTCATAAACACTTCACATCACAGGACTCTGTGCAGACAACCCCAAGTATCAGTCTGGAGCTGGGAAGACTCATTGGGTGGCTAGATCCAGAAGAGAGACAACCAATCACTGTAGTTCAGCTCACAGGAAACCACATCCACAGGAAAAGGGGGAGAGTACTACATCAAGGGAACACCCTGAGGGATAAAAAAAAAAAATCTGAACAACAGTTTTCAGCTCTAGACCTTCCCTCTGAAAGGGACTACCCAAATGAGAAGGAACCAGAAAAGCAAACCAGGTTGTATGACAAAAGGAGGTTTGTCAACACCCCACAAAAAAAAAAAATCACACTAGCTCACTGGCAATGGATCCAAACCAAGAAGAAATCCCTGATTTATCTAAAAAAAGAATTCAGGAGGTTAGTTCTTAAGCTAATGATGGAGAGACAAGAGAAAGGTGAAGCCCAATGCAACAAAATAAAAAAAAAATCATATGAGAAGTGAAGGAAGAAATATTCAACAAAATATATAGCTTAAAGAAAAAAAAATCAAAAATTCAGGCAACTTTGCACAGACTTTTAGAAATACGAAATGCTCTGGAAAGTCTCAGCAGTAACAAGTAGAAGAAAGAAATTCAGAGTTCAAAGACAAGATATTTGAATTAACCAAATTCAACAAAGACAAATAAAAAAGAATAAGAAAATATGAACAAAGCCTCCAAGAAGTCTGGAATTATGTTAAATGACCAAACCTAAGAATAATTTGTGTTCCTGAGGAAGAAGACAATTCTAAAAGCTTGAAAAATATATTTGAGGGAATAATCAAGGAAAACTTCTCTGGCCTTGCTAGGGACCTAGACATGCAAATACAAGAAGCACAAAGAACACCTGGAAAATTCATTGCAAAGAGATCTTCGCCTAAGCACACTGTCATCAGCTTATCCAAAGTAAAGACAAAGGAAAGAATCTTAAGAGTTGTGAGACAGAAGCACCAGGTAACCTATAAAGGAAAACCTACCAGATTAACAGCAGACTACTTAGGAGAAACCATACAAACTAGAAGGGATTGGGGCCCCATCTTCAGCCTCCTCAAACAAAACAATTATGTGCCAAGAATTTTGCATCCAATGAAACTAAGCATCATATATGAAGGAAAGAAACAGTTGTATTTTTAGTAGAGAAGGGGGTATCTCCATGTTGATCAGGTTGGTCTCAAACTCCTGACCCCAGGTGATCCACCCGCCTTAGCCTCCCAAAGTGCTGGCATTATAGGAGTGAGTCACTGTGCCCAGCCCAGAAACTCTTTAAAGCATAAATCAAACAAGACTTATAAAATAAAAATACAAGTTAAAAAAAAATACCCGATGCAGTGGCTCACACCTGTAATTCCAGTAAGCACTTTGAGAGACTGAGGTGGGTGGATCACAAGGTCAGGAGTTCGAGACCACCCTATCTGATATGGTGACACCCTGTCTGTACTAAATATACAAAAATTAGCCCGGTGTAGTGGTGAGCACCTGTAGTACCAGCTACTCAGGAGGCTGAGGCAGGAGAATCACTTGAACCTGGAAGACGGATGTTGCAGTGAGCCAAGATCGAGCCACTGCACTCCACCATGGGTGACAGAGCAGACTCCATTCCAAAACAACAACAACAACAACAGCAACAACAAAACACCAAAGTATGCAGCCAACAAAGATCATGATGAATGCAATGGTACCTCATATTTCAATACTAACATTGAATGTAAATGACCTAAATGCTCCACTTAAAAGACACAGAACGGCAGAATGGATAAGAACTCACCAACTATCTGCCATCTTCAGGAGACTCACCTAACATAAAGACTCAAATAAAGTAAAGGGGTGTAAAAAGGCATTTCATGCAGATGGACACCAAATGTAAGCAGGGGTAGCTATGCTTATATCAGACAAAACAAACTTTAAAGCAACTGTGGTTAAAAGAGACAAAGAAGGACATTATATAACGGTAAATGGCCTGACCCAACAGGAAAACATCACAATCCTAAACATATATGCAATCCTAAATATACAAACATCACACTGGAGCTCCAAAATTTATAGAACAATTACTAATAGACAGAAGAAATGAGATAGACACCAACATCATAATAGTGGGGGACTTCAATACTCCACTGACAGCACTACACAGGTCATCAAGACAGAAAGTCAACAAAGAAACAATGAATTTAACTACACCTTGGAAAAAATGGACTAACAGATATACACAAAACATTTCATCCAACAACCATGGAACACACATTCTGCTCAATAGCGCATGGAACTTTCTCCAAGATAGATCATATGATAGGCCATAAGACAAGCCTCAATAAATTTAAGAAAATTGAAATTATTTCAAGCACTCTCTCAGACTACAGTGGAATAAAACTGGAAATCAACACACAAAGAAACTTTCAAAACCATGCAAAAACATGGAAATTCAGTAACCTGCTCCTGAATGAGCACTGGGGCAAAAACAAAATCAATATGGAAATTAAAAACTTTTCTAACTGAGTGACAATAATGACACAGCCTTTCAAAACCTCTGGGATACAGGAAAGGTGGTGCTAAGAGGAAAGTTCATAGCCCTAAGTGCCTACATCAGAAAGTCTGAAAGAGCAGAAACAGACAATCTAAGGTCATACCTCAAGAAACTAGAGAAAAGAGAAACAAGAACAAACCAAACCCAAACCCAGCAGAAAAAAAGGAAATAACCAAGATCAGAAAAGAACTAAATGAAATTGAAACAAAAAAAAATACAAAAGGTAAATGAATGAGACAAAAAGCTTCTCCTTAGGAAAAATACATAAAATTGATAGACCATTAGCAAGACTAAGAAAGAAAAAAAGAGAAAATCCAAATAACCTCACTGAGAAATGAAACAGGAGATATTATAACTGACACCACTGAAACACAAAAAAATCATTGAAGGCTAGTATAAACACCTTTACAAAAGAACTAGAAAACCTAGAAGAGATACTTAAATTCCTGGAAAAATACAACTCTCCTAGCTTAAATCAGGAGGAATTACATACCCTGAACAGACCAATAACAAGCAGGGAGATTAAAATGGTAATTTAAAAATCACCAACAAAAAAAAGTCCAGGACCAGAGAGGTTCGCAACAGAATTGTACCAGATATTCAAAGAATCAGTACTAATACAGAGAAAGAAGGAAATCTCTCTAATTCATCCTATGAAGCCAGCATCACCCTAATACCCAAACCAGGAAAAGACACAACCTAAAAAGAAAACTACAGACCAATATCATTGATAAACATTGATGCTAAAATCCTTAACAAAAAATTAGCTAATTAAATCCAACAACATGTCAAAAAGATAATTCACTGTGATCAAGTGGATTGCATACCAGGATGCAGGGATGGTTTAACACACACAGGTAAAACAATGTGATACACCACATAAATAGAATTTAAAACTAAAATCACAAGATCATCTCAATAGATTCAGAAAAAGCATTTGACAAAATCCAGCATCTTTTATGATTAAAACTCTCAGCAAAGTTGGCACACAAGGGACACAGCTTGATATAATAAAAGCTATCTATGACAAACCCACAGCCAACATAATACTGAATGGGGAAAAGTTGAAAGCATTCCCTCTGAGAACGGGAACAAGACAAGGATGCCCACTCTCACTACTCCTCTTCAACACAATCCTGGAAGTCCTAGCCAAAGCAATAAGACAGAAAATAAAGGGCATCCAAATCAGTAAACAAAAGGTCAAACTGCCTCTGTTTGCTGATGATATAATCATTTACCTTGAAAACCCTAAGGACTCCTGCAGAAAGCTCCTAGAACTGATAAAATAATTCAGCAAAGTTTCTGGATACAAGATTAACCTACACAAATAAGTAGCCCTTTTGTTCACCAACAGCAACCAAACGGAGAATTAAATCAAGAACTCAACCCCTTTTACAATAACTCAACAAAAATAAAATACTTAGGAACACACCTAATGAAGGACTCAAAAGACCTCTACAAGGAAAACTACAAAGCACTGTTGAAAGAAATAATAGATGACACAAATGGAAACACATCCCATGCTCATGGATGAGTAGAATCAATATTGTGAAAATGACCATACTGCCAAAAGCAATCTACAAATTCAACACAATCCCCATCAAAATACCACCATCATTCTGAAGATGGTGAGTTAGAAAAACAGAGTTGGAAAAAACAATTCTAACATTCATATGGAGCCCACATAGACAAAGGAAGGCTAAGCAAAAAAAAAAAAAAAAAAAAAAAAATGAAGGCACCACACTACCTGATTTCAAACTATACTGTAAGGCCATAGTCACCAAAACAGCATAGTACTGGTATAAAAACAGGCACATAGACCAATGGAACAGAGAACCCAGAAATAAACCCAAATAGTTGCAGCCAACTGATCTTCAACAAAGCAAACAAAAACATAAAGTGGGGAAAGAACACCCTTTTCAACAAATGGTGCTGGAATAATTGGCTAGCCACATGTAGGAGAATAAAACTGGATCCTCATCTCTCACCTTATACAAAAATCAACTCAAGATGACTTAAGAACTTAAACCTAAGACCTGAAACTGTATAAATTTTGGAAGATAACATTGGAAAAACCCTTCTAGGCATTGGCTAGGCAAAAATTTCATGACAAAAATCCAAAAGCAAATGCAGTAAAAACAAAGATAAATAGCTAAGACCTAATTAAATTAAAGAGCTTTTCACGGCAAAAGGAACAGTCAGCAGAGCAAACAGACAACTCACAGTGTGGGAGAAAATCTTAACAATCTATACATCTGACAAAGGACTAATATCCAGAATCTACAATGAACTCAAACAACTCAGTAAAAAAAAAATTCCCATAAAAAAGTGGGCTCTTGATTAGACAACTCTCAAAAGAAGATATACAAATGGCCAACAAACATAGATTTAAAAAAGCTCAACATCACTAATGATCAGGGAAATGCAAATCAAAACCACAATGTAATACCATCTTATTCCTGCAAGAATGGCCATAATCAAAAGATCAATAAACTGTAGATGTTGGCATGGATGAAGCAATCAGGAAACACTTCTACACTGCTGGTGGGAATGTAAACTAGTACAGCCACTATAGAAAAGAGTGTAGAGATTCCTTAAAGAACTAAAAGTAGAACTACCATTTAATCCCACCACTGGGTATCTACCCACAGGAAAAGAAGTCATTATTTGAAACATAGAACAATGAAACAGAGAACCCAAAAATAAACCCAAATACTGATTATAGAAAAACATACTTAAACATTCATGTTTCTAGGAGCACAATTCACAATTTCAAAATCGTGGAACCAAACAAAATGCCCATCAATCAACGAGTAGATAAAGAAGGTGTGGTGTGTATATGTGTGTGTATATATGTGTGTATATATATATATATGTTGGGATACTACTCAACCACAAAAAGGAATGAATTAACAGCATTTGCAATGACCTGGATGAGATTAGAGACTATTATTCTAAGTGAAGTAACTGAGGAATGGAAAACCGAACGCTGTGTGTCCTCGCTGATATGTGGGAGGTAAGCTATGAGGACACAAAGGCATAAGAATGATACAATAGACTTTGGGGACTTGGGGGGAAGAGTGGGAAAAAGGAGGGATAGAAGACAACATATATGGTGCAGTGTATACTGGTCAGCTGATGGGTCTATCAGGATCTCACAAATCACTAAAGAACTTACTCATCCAACCAAGTATCACCTGTACCCCATTAAATTATGGAACAATGAGATTTTAAAAAAAATTATTCTTATAATTACAGACTAGCTCACATAATGAATACTTCATAAACTATTACACAGGCTGGGCACAGTGGCTCATGCCTGTAATCCCAGCACTTTGGGAGGCCAAGGTGGGTGAATCACCTGAGGTCAGTAGTTTGAGACCAGCTTGACCAACCCTGTCTCTACTAAAAATATGAAACTTAGTTGGGCATGGTGGCAGGCACCTGTAATCCCAGGTACTTGGGAGGCTGAGGTAGAAGAATTGCTTGAAAATGTCATGCCAAGGTTGCAGTGAGCCAAGATAGCACCATTGCACTCCCGCCTGGGCTATACAGCAAGACTCCGTCTCAAAAAAAAAACAAAAAAAAACTATTAAACAAACAAACAAACAAAAATTATGGGTCTAACATGAGTAATAGTCAACTTAAAACAGAGAATTTTCATGGGGAGATTCTGAAGCATAAGCCAAGGATTATACAGTAATAAATTCAATACAAAGCAGACAGAATAGATTTGCTTTCAGCATTTTTGAGAATTTCTTTCTAGTAAATTAGACACCTTCTTAAAATGATTTATTTTGCTCCAAAATTGCTTTTTTCTGCTAAAAATAGTTTCAAACTTACAATAACACAAATACATTTACTCCAAAATTTATTTACACCTAAGATTTATCTTTAGACTAATAGATGTATATTTAACTCTGTAAATCAATACTAACAGTCCATATGTGCATGCAAGCAGAGGCCACATTTTACTTATGTTTCTACATAATTTTCATTATGACCATAAAAGTGATCCTGCAGTCAATAACAATTTAATTGTACATTTAAAAATAACTAAAACTAGTTAGTTATTTGAAGAAATGAATTGCTTGTAATACAAAGAATAAATGCTACAGGTAATGGATAACTATTTTCCTCTAATATGATTACATATTGCATGCCTGTATCAAAATATGCCATATATGGCATATGCATATACACATATTATGTATCCACAAAAATTAAGAAAAATAAATTTAAACGTGAAAATAAGAATAAAAGTTTCACCTATAGGAACAATATTCTGTAACTTATTGACAATTTAAAGCCACTGGCAAAAAAGATTACTAGAGATTTCAGTCCATTATCTTACCAAATAATATATTGTTACCATCTTTTACCTACACCCTTGAGTAAGGTGTAATAGGCTAAAGTTAGTGGCATAACACTTCAATGAATTCATGACAGTATTTAAACTGTTAAAAATGTTTAAATGGAAAGTTGACATAAAATTTATAATTTAAAAGTATAATTAATATTATTCCATAAAAGTACAATTAATAAGATAACATACTAACTTAAACAAAATTTAAAAGTTTTTCTTTCCTAATAATGCAGATTACTCTGAACACCTACCTCATACATCACTCAATGTTATAAGTTAACCACAAAGAGCCTCTCTACTTAAATTTTCATCATGAATCCTACATTATAATGTCCTTACCCTTCCATAGAAAAGGTCATAAATAACACCTACCTAAAAAAAAGAATCTTTCGTATCTTTTATTCAGCAATGTTTAGTCACATATTTTCACATGTGAATACACCAGGAATGATGAAACAGCATGAAGTAATTTAAGACATTAATTCCATTATTATTCACTTTTTAAAAATTCCATATTTTCACAAAAAGTATACTTTGAGTGTAATTACATCTCTCCAAAATTTTTTTTTAAAGTTATATACAAATAATGTTTATATGAACTTTAGTCTGTATTTTTTATACTCAGCATTCTGATTTAGTATAATGTCTAAAGTTTGAGTGTCCTAGATATTTCTACTGTGAATGATTCCCTGATAGTTACATAGAACTAACTAACTTTGGACTGAATATCTTTCATATTTAATGCATCTGCAAAAATACATTTTAGTATAAACTCTTTGGTGTTTTATAATTTGCAGTTTTTGAAAAAAATGTTTTTCCAAATTTATTACATTGGCAGGGTTTTCTTCAGTATAAACTCCTTGATGTTGAACAAAATTTTAACAACTGCCTCAAGATTTTCCTCTAGTACAAAATGTGTACAATACGATCTGTGATACAAGCAAAGATATTACAACCCTCTTCATATTGGTAATGCTTTTTCAAAATAAATACTCTTCTGCACTTTATAGACATATTTTCTGATAGATCTTTTGATAGTAATTAAACTTTTAATGCTTTTATTTAGTATGAATTCTGATTTTGAGTAAGATTTGAGCAGGTATTAATGGCTTTTTTGTCAATATTTGTACATTGGTTCTCAAGTATAAATGCTTTACAGTGCAATAAGATGTGAGCATTGGTTAGAAGCTTGGCCACATTGTTCACACCGTCAATTTTCTCAGCATGAATTATCTTATCTATAATCAAGCGTGACAATCATTTAAAGGCTTTGTCACATTCTTCACATTTCTAGAATTTGTTGGCAACATGTTTTTATGTTTAGAAAAGTTTGAGGTGTTGTCAAAAGCATTGTCTTTTCTTTCAGGTTTGTAGAGTTTCTCTCCAATATGAATAATCTTATGTCTGTTAAGAATTGAGGACTTTTTTAGGCTTTCCATATTATTAACACTTGTAAGATTTTTCTCCAATATGACTTATCTGTAGTAATAAGTGAGGACTGGTTAAAGGCTTTGCCAAATTTTTTCCATTTGTAGGGTTGCTGTCCAGTATGAATTTTCTTATGTGTAGTTAGGGATGAGGATGAGAAAAAGGCTTTCCCACATTCTTCACATTTGTAGGGTTTTACTCCAGTATAAACTACCTCAATGTTTATTAAAAGTTGAAGATAAGTTAAAAGATTTGCCACATTATTCATATTATCAGGGTTTCTCTACAGTATGAATTTTCTTATGGTTAGTAAGAATTGAAGACTGGTTAAAGGTTTTGCCACATTCTTCACATTTGTAGGGTTTCTCTTCAGTATGAATTATCTTATGTTTAGTTAGATTTGAGGACCATTTAAAGGCTTTGCCACATTCTTCACATTGGTAGGGTTTCTCTCCAGTATGAACAATTGTATGTTTCGTAAGATTTGAGTAACGATTAAAAGCTTTGCCACATTCTTCACACTTGTAAGGTTTCTCTCCAGTATGAATTATCTTATGGTTAGTAAGGATTGAAGACTGGTTAAAGCTTTTGCCACATTTTTCACATTTGTAGGGTTTCTCTTCAGTATGGATTATCTTATGTTTAGTAAGAGTTGAGGACGAGTTAAAGGCTTTGCCACATTCTTCACATTTGTAGGGTTTCTCTCCAGTATGAATCATCTTATGTGCAGTAAGGGTTGAGGATTGTCTAAAAGCTTTGCCATACTCTTCACATTTGTAGAGTTTCTCTCTAGTATGCATCCTCTTATGTATAGTTAGGGTTGAAGATCGGCTAAATGCTTTGCCACATTCTTCACATTTGTAGGGTTTCTCTCTAGTATGAATTTTCTTATATTCAGTAAGGGTTGAGGACCATATAAATGCTTTGCCACATTCTTCACACTTGTAAGGTTTCTCTCCAGTATGGATTATCTTATGTGCACTAAGATTTGAGAATCGATGAAAAGTTTTGCCACATACTTCGCATTTATAGGGTTTCTCTGCAGTGTGCATTCTCTTATGTTTAGTTAGGGTTGAGGACCATACATATGCTTTGCCACATTCTTCACATTTGTAGCGTTTCTCTCCAGTACGAATTATCTTATGTGTAGTAAGGGTTGAGGATTGGCTAAAAGCTTTGCCACATTCTTCACATTTGTAGGGTTTCTCTCCAGCGTGCATCCTCTTATGTTTAGTTAGGTTTGAGGACCATACATATGCTTTGCCACATTCTTTACATTTGTAGAGTTTCTCTTCAGTGTGCATCCTCTTATATATGGTTAGGGTTAAGGATTTGTTAAACGTTTTGCCACATTCTTCACACTTATAAGGTTTCTCTCCAATATGAATTATCTTATGTGTAGTAAGATTTGAGGATAGACTAAAAGCTTTTCTATATTCTTCACATTTGTAGGGTTTTTCTTCAGTATGAATTTTCTTATGATTAGTAAGGGTTGAAGACCAATTAAAGATTTTTCCACGTTCTTTACATTTGTAGGACTTCTCTGTAGTATAAATGCTTTTATGCTGGGTTTTGTGTGAAAGCATGCAAAATGATTTGACACATTTTTTTACATTTGAAAGGTTTCCTTCCAGTGTGTCTTATGTCTGTTTGAATTTACAAATTTATAAAAGACTTTCAAACATTTACCGCATTGAAATACTTTGCTCTGGGTAGTTGTGTAACACAGGTTAAGTCCATTATAACCTTCTTTGTGCACCTTAAGCTCATCCACACTTTGAGCCTTTTCTTAACTGTAAATTCTGATGTCCACATTTTTCATATCTTCTTGGTATTACTTTTTGAAAAGAATCTTCCATACCCTGTTCTGGCCAAAGGTCTTGAGCAACATGAGAATGTATAACTGAAAAAAAATTTTTATAAATTACTCCACTTACTAGACTCACATGAATATAGTTTAAAAATCTTACCTATAAATTTATACCATCTACATAAATAAAATGGCTTTGCAAAATACCACAGGCCCTAATTCTTTCACAGACATACAAATGTAACAAAAATATAGAGACCAAAATACATCTGTGGAAAATTTATAAATGAGTTGTGTGCAGTGTCCCAGATGAGCACAATGTGAAAAACCACATAGAAGAAAAAGAGAAGTCTGATAAATTTACCCAACACAGCTTTTCCTGCTTCTCACTGTAACATAATGCCTTTAGAAAGGGCAGCCTGGCCAGCATGGCGAATCCCCATCTCTACTAAAACTACAAAATTTAGCTGGGTGTGGAAGTGTGTGCCTGTAATCCTAGCTACTCAGGAGGCTGAGGCTGGAGAATCGCTTGAACCTGGGAGGTGGAGGTTGCAGTTAGCTGAGGTTGCACCAGTACACTCCAGCATGTCGGGAGGATAGAGTGAGGCTCTGTCTCCAAAAAATAAAAATTAAAAGGAAACAGTGATGTGCCATTTACAAACACAGTCTTACGAGATAATCTGTGAAGAGTTAACAAAAATTTTGCAGGCCATAAGGGAACTGTGTGATGTAGTCATAAAAAAGTTGTGAGAAAAAGCAGCTATTAAGTGAGAATAATACCATCAGTGAATCTGTTCTGCCAAATAAAAATATAGAAACTTTCCAAAATAAACAAGTTTTAAAAAAGTATATTGGTACTGCTTATGTCCTACATATAAAGGGTGCTGAAAATATTTTACTGAAAATAACATGATTCAAAAAAACACCACATAATCATACAAAAATAATTTTCTGGAAAACATACACAAATAAACAAAATTAGAATTTCTGAGCATTATCCTAGTGGTGCAAAAAACATTTCTAATTATTCTCTGAAATTTGAAAGAAAAAAGTATAGAAATAATTATAAATATCTGTTAATGAATATACAACACAAAAAGACATAACTAGCAATGTCAATGAAACTTGAGGGAAGATGAAAAAGAATTTTTGTATGCAACTTATTTTTTTACCAGATTAAAATATATTGTTGTATTTTTCAGAGGTTATATGTAATCCCCAAAGTACCACAAACATATTCGTATAAATACACAAAAGAGGTTGGGTGCTGTGGTTCATGCCAGTAATCCCAGCACTTCGGGAGGCCGAGGCAGGTGGATCACAAGGTCAAGAGATTGAGACCACCCTGGCCAACATGGTGAAACCCCGTCTCTACTAAAAATGCAAAAATTAGCCAGGCGTGGTGGCAGATGCTTGTAGTCCCAGCTACTCAGAAGGCTAAGGCAGGAGAATCACTTGAACCCAGGAGGCAAAGGTTGCAGTGAGCCGAGATCATGCCACTGCACTCCCACCTGGGTGAAAGAACAAAACTCCATCTCAGAAAAGAAATTTAATGGTTAAAAAAGACTGGAAGTAGACATTCCATGCAAACATTAATCAGAGGACAGCATAAACAGTCAAAATAATCATACACAAGCTCCATCTTAAGTCAAAAAGTATAATATTTTATAAAATGTACTTGAAATTAAAACTCCAAAGAAACAAAGAAGAACATCAAAAAATAATCGATTCATTAACTGGGAACCTATTACAAATTTCTCTGTGTGTGTGTGAGTGTGTGTGTGTGTATGTGTCTCACATTAGTGTTCCAAATATATAAAGCCAATATTGACAGAATGGAAGAAACACAAAGAAAGCAGTATTATTATAGAAAGATATTTTAATACCACACTTTCTGTAACAAAAATAAAACAAGAATGTTAATAAGGGAATAGACTACTTAAAGGCAGTATAAAACAATTATTCCGAACAGAGTGATGGAGAACATTCCTCAACAACATCAGAATACATACCCTTCTCAATAGCTCATATAACATTTTCCTTGATAGACCACATCTTAGGCCACAAAGGAAGTCTTACCAACATTTTTAAAGGTAAAATTCCATGAACTACTTTCTATGACCAAAATGATATGAGAGTATACTATGATGAGAACAAAAATGAAAAATTTACAAATACACAGAAATTAAACAAAACACTCTTAAGTGTGCTCTTACACAAAAGTTGAAATAGTTAAATTGTGAAGAGGTCCATTGTGCTCAATGCAATTTACATATTTAATGCAATGTTTTCCAAATTTCTCATTGCATTTTTGAAGAAATAGAAACAACAACCCCAAAAGTATATAGAATCCCAAGAGACTATAAAGTGCCCAACAATCTTCAAAAAAAAGAAAAAAATGCTGGAGGCATTTAAGTTCTTAATTCAAAATACATTACAAAGCTACAGAATTAAAATGATTTGCTATTAGTATAAAGGTAAAAAAGTAGACATAAAATAGAATGCAGCACACATATAAACTTTCACATATATGGTCATATAAGGAGTCATTTACATACTCATAATTATTGCAGCATTGTTACTGTAAGCCAACAGGTGAAAGCAACCCAAATTTCTTTCACCAAATCATTCAGCAGATGTAATTTGAAATATAAAAATTGTGAGGCCAGGTGTGGTGGCTCAAGCCTGTAATCCCAGCACTTTGAGAGGGTGAGGCGGGCTGATTACCTGAGACTGAGAGTTCAAGACCAGCCTGACCAACATGGAGAAACCTAGTCTCTACTAATAATACAAAATTAGCGAGGCGTCGAGACACATGCTTGTAATCCCAGGTACTTGGGGGGATGAGGCAGTAGAATCGCTTGAACCTGGGAGGCAGAGGTTGCGGTGAGCCAAGATCATGCCATTACACTACAGCCTGGGCAACAAGGGGGAAACTCCATCTAAAAAATGAAATAGAAAAACGAAAAAAAATTCTGGAATATCACTCAGTATTCAAAAAGAAGGAAATATTCTGCCAACTATAAATATAAATCTTGATTGCATTATGCAAAATGAAATGAGTCAGCCACAAAAAGAGACTGTATGAGATATATGAAGGAGTTACACTTTTAGAAACAAAGAACAGAGTGATATTTGAAAAGTGCCATAAAACAGAAAAAACTGGGGCCAGGCATGGTGGCTCACACCTGTAATTTCAGCACTTTGGGAGGCCAAGGCAGGTGGATCACCTAAGCTCAGGAGTTTGAAACCAGCCTGGCCAACATAGCAAAACTACGTCTACTAAAAATGCAAAAATTAGCCAGGCATGGCAGTTGGCACCTGTAATCCCAGCTACTCAGGAAGCTGAGGCACTAAAATTGCTTGAACCTGGAAGGTGGACGTTGCAGTGAGCTGAGATCGTGCCACTGCTCTCCAGTATGGGTGACAGAGCAAGACTCTGGAAAATTTGGTAGACAATGGAAAAATTAGTAGTTGTTTAATATGTATTAAGATTTAGCTTTACAAGATAAAAATGTTTTAGCAATATGTTCCATGACAATGTCACGATAAACTGAATATTTAAAAATATTTTGTGGTAAATTTTGTTATGTTTTATTGACAAGTAAAAATAAACAATAATACCTAAAAGATACATAGTTATGATAGTTTTAAATTATATTCAAAACCAAATGTGTTTCTCCCATGCAAAAATCACATATATTCACAAATTAATAGGATGTTGAAATTACAAGAATTTCATGACTTCTCATCTACACAGGATTAAAAAACTATTCACAACAAACCTTCACAACAAATATACAAGTTATAAAAAAAAACAAGGATAACATTTTTCCAGGCAAATAGAGATAATTCTATTGGAAAAGACATATGGCTAATTCATATATGATTTTGCTCCACAATGTCTTAAATTGTACAAAGTTAAATATTGGCATGCACAATTAGAATATATACTAAAAAATCAAAACACAATTAACAGATGTGTTGTGACATACCCTCAAATACATATATATATTTTATATACAAAAATATAAAATTGCAAAATAAAATTAAAACATGGAATGTAAAACTTATTAGATACCATCAACTAGATCAATATATTCATTAAGGAAGAAGAATATGAGAAAAAAATAATAGAGGTTACTTGAAGATAAAAAAGGGTGAGAACTTTCCACATTTTGACGTAATAAAAGAAAAAATTCTAACCAATAATATTTGATTTAAATTTATTTTACTTTAAAAAGAAGATGAAAATAAAAAAATCCAAGATAAAGGATGAGGGTGTTCATCACCACTAGCACAGTTTTATGAAAAAATGCTACATGGGGGCAGGCACTGTGGGCTCATGACTGTAATCTTATAGTTTTAGGAGGCCAAGGCTGTCAGAACACTAGAGACCAGGAGTTTCAGATCACGCTGAGTAATCCAGGGAGACTCTGCATATAACCAAAAAAATGCTAAAATGAGTCAATTTTGTTTAAAAATAAAATACTGGACAGCATCATAAAACCATACATAAAACAGAGCGCTCTATTAAATGCAAATATACAAATATAGAACTCTTTACTATCATAATGATGATGTATACAAGTCTTAAAGCTATTCTGTAGAGTATTTAAAACAGAAAAACCGGCATAAATGTTAATATACAATATAAAATAATTTTTAATATTAATAACAAACTGAAAAATATAGAGGTAAAATTTTTATATTCAATTTAAGTTGTCATGAGATTTAAATATATTGTTTTAATTTTAAGATGTTTCATGTAAACTCCATTTTTTAAGATGATATGGTTTGGCCATGTCCCAACTCAAGTCTCATCTTTAATTCCCACATGTTGTGGGAGGAAAGTGGTGGAAGGTAATTGAATCATGGGGGCAGGTCTTTTCTGTGCTGATCTCACGACAGTAAATAAGTCTCATGAAATCTGATGGCTTTATAAGGCAGAGTTTTCCTCCACAAGCTCTCTTTCTTGTCTGCCAACCAGGTGAGACATGCCTTTCACCTTCCAGCATGATTGTAAGGTCTCCCCAGTCATATGAAACTGTAAGTCCAATAAACCTCTTTCTGTTGTAAATTGCCCAGTCTCGGGTTATATCTTTATCACCAGCATGAAAACAGACTAATACACAAGATGGTTATGAAGACAATATTTATAGAAACTATGCAAAACAAAATGTAAAAAATAATTGAAGCACGTCACTACACAATTAAAATAAAATTTAAGGCAATAAAACAATATATTAAAAAACCCACTGAGGAATACATAAAACAATAACAATAAAACTAATAACTTCATTTTAATAAATAATTTTAAATATAAATTAATTAAACTACTTAATAGAAAGAAATGTAATCTCAGGACTTTCGGAGGTTAAGGTGGGCTAATTACTGGATCTCAGAAGTTTGAGACCAGCCTCGGCAATGTGGCAAAACTTTGTCTCAACCATACATACAAAAAACCTAGCTGGGTGTGATGCTACACACTACCTGAGAGGCTACACACAACTACCTGAGAGGCTGAAATGACAGAATCTTCTGAGTTTGGGAGGTTGAGGCTTCTGTGAGCCATGATCACAACACTGCAAACCAGCCTGGTTGAGAGTGAGACCTATCTCAAAAATAAATGAATAAACAAGTAATTAAATGAAATTATAAAAAGAAAAAATAAAATGCCTTAGTGGCTTAAGAAAAAGCCACCTACAAGGGACTCATTTTAGCACTGAGTTAAATAGGCTGAAAACCACATGGTGAAAAAAAAATTTATTTTATGAAAATAGTAACTACAATTGGGTATTAGACATAATATCCTTTAAGTCAAGTGCTAACGTGAGACAAACATTGATAGTATATATTAGTAAAATGAATTGATTTACCACAAATCTATAACTATTCTTTCTTTCTTTTCTTCTTTCCTTCTTTCCTTCTTTTTCTTTCTTTTTCTTTCTTTCTTTCTTTCTTTGTTTCTTTCTTTCCTTTCTTTATGTATGTGTATATATAACATCAGGCTCCAAAATATATAAAGCAAATATTAACAAAAGTAAAGCAAAAAATACATAGCAACATAATAATTGTAGACATCAAGACCCCATTTTCCATCATAGAAAACTCACATAGAAAAATCAATTAAAAAACAGAAAACCTAGACAACATTATAGACTGTATTATTTTGCATATAGAGGAATACTTGAGAGTGGATAATTTATAAAGAAATAATGACTTCACCATTTCTGCACATATAAATACAGATAAATATTTAATAGGGGGATAATGCCTCCTAGAAAATGGGTGAAAATATTTACAAATCATATGTGATAGGAGTCAATATTCAAAAAATATAAACAACTTTTAAAACCGAACAATAGCCAGGTGCGGTGGCTCACATCTGTAATCCCAGCGCTTTGAAAGGCCGAGGCAGGCAGATCACGAGGTCAGGTGTTCAAGACCAGCCTGATCAACATGGCAAAACTCCATCTCTACTAAAAATACAAAAGTTAGCCAGGTGTGGTGGCATGCGCCTGTTATCCCAGCTACTCAGGTGACTGAGGTGGGAGAATCACTTGAAACCGGGAGGTGGAGGTTACAGCCTAGGCGACAGAGCAATACTCCATCTCAAAACAAACAAACAAAACAATAAAGTTGAATAACTTTATTTAGAAATAGGCCAATAATTGAAATAAATTTTCATCAAAACATTTGAAAGGACACACAAAACTAATTTGTAGAGAAATGCATAAAAATCACAATGAATGAAAAACAAAATCCCCTCACACTCATTTAAATGGCCACTATCAATTTTTTAAAAACACCAAACCTGTCGATGATGCAATAAAAATGAAACCCTTGGCCGCGCGTGGTGGCTCAAGCCTGTAATCCCAGCACTTTGGGAGGCCGAGGCGGGCAAATCATGAGTCAGGAGTTCAAGACCAGCCTCACCAACATGGTGAAACCCCATCACTGCTAAAAATACAAAGTTAGTTGGGTTGATTGTCGGTGGAAAATAAGGATGCACCCATTATTTTATAACGTTATAAATGTACTTCAAATAATTAAAAATAAATTATCAAATACAGCAATTCCATTTATGAATCTATATCTAAAATATGCAACATAGGACCTTGAAGACATGTTCGATACAATGAAATATTATTCAGCCTTAAAAAAAAATCTTCTCACATTTAAAGATACACTCTGAGAATATTATGTCAACTGAAATAAGCCATAATGAAATGATGGATGTTATGATTTCACTTATTTAAGACATATAAAATAGTCTCATTCATAAAAACAGAGTGTGGAAGGGCGGTTCTCAAGGGATGGAGAGAGTGTAAAATGGATAAACGTTATTTAATGATACTGAGTTTTAGTTTTACAAGATGTAAAATTTCAAGAAGTCTTTTGCATAACAATGTGAATATACATGACATGCCTAAAATATACATTTTGTTTTTGTTTTTGTTTTCAGACTGGGTCTCAATCTGTCACCCAAGATTGTGTGCAATGGCGCAATTATGGCTCACTGCAGCCTCAGATTCCCAGGGTCAAATAATCCTGCCCCTCAATCTCTCAAGTAGCTGGGACCACAGGTGCACACCACCGTGCCTAGCTATTTCTTAGAAAAAAAATATTATTAGAGAGGGTGTCTCCATATTTTGCCGAGGCTGGTCTCAAACTTTTGGGTTCAAGAAATCCCCCTGTCCTTGCCTCTCAAAATCCTGGTTTTACAGATGTGAGCCACCACCATGCCTGGCCCTGACATGTACATTTAAATAGATTTAAGAAGGTAAATTATGTTATGTGTTTTTACAACATTTTTTTTTTTAAAACTGGAAAAAATACAGAATTATAAATCTTTTTAAAAATTACCTTCGGATCACAAAAGTGTTTCTCTCACACAAAGGAAATACATATTCATCATTAAACACATGGTGAAAATAAGACTATTTCCAAGGCCACTCACTTAGAAAAGATAAAACCAACATTGAAAATGAGCTAAGAGGCAGGGCAAGGTGGCTCATGCCTGTAATCCCAGCATTTTTGGTGGCCAACGTGGGCAGATCATCTGAGATCAGAAATTCCAGACCAGCATGACAAACATGGAGAAAGCCCATCTTTACTAAAAAAAAAAAAAAAATACAAAAGTATCTGGGTGTGGTGGCATATACCTGTAATCCCAGCTACTAAGGAGCCTGAGGCAGGAGAATCACTTGAACCAGGGAGGCGGAGGTTGCAGTGAGACGAGATCCTGCATTGCACTCCAGGCTCAGCAACAAGAGCAAAACTCCATTTCCAAAAAAAAAAAAGAAAGAAAATGAGCTAAGAATGTATGAATGTATACAAGATAAGGTATAGCCAAAATTGGGGTCATATTTGCAGATAAAAACACACACATATATATAATTTGATTGTGATACACATGGCTCATTTATCTTTTAATTAAAACTTACATTAACTTAAAGTATACAAACAACTGCTAATTGTCTAAAATTATAATACTTAAATAATAGCAATAGACACAATAAACTGATGTTAACAAACTTACACTAAAAAGCACACTAACTGCAAGTACAACTGCAAGACAATAATAACAGAAATGCTTAGTCATAAAATCTAGTTGGCAACATTAATGTACATTAACAAATAATTTGTCTAGATAACTGCAATGTTTGACTGTAACTGTGCATTCATGGAAGGCAGGCATTTGAAATTACTGGCATCCATTTTATGGCAATAAAATTTCAGAGAAAATGCAGAACAATCATAAATGGGAGATGCTAATGAGAAACTTTTAATAGATTTAAGCATTTAAAAAAACTAGTGCCAATTTTTACGTTTTAAATATACGCTATTTTTAAACAAAATATAACTACTGTAATCCAAGTTTAGAAGCAAAGAAAATCCTTACACTGCTTTTATATATATATACACATATATATGTATATATATACACATATGGTCAGAGCCTCCTATATAAAATGAATATTTGGGGAATAAATTATGTTATTATTTAGATATAGGCTGATAAATTTGTTGAAAATTCTATAATTCCTTTTTGTCTGCCTGCACACTAATTATCTAATTTAATTCAGGCACAACATGTAAATTCTAGTATAGTACCCTAAATTTCTGAATCTAAAATTACAGACAAATTTGAAGTAGAAAATAGAAAGTAAAAATGTATATGGAGAGTGACATTAATAAGATTTTTTTAAAAAGGTGCCCTACTTGCTTATCCCCTGAAAGCAAGAAAATTTGTCAGCCATTCCTGATAAAAACGCCTTTATGAGAGAACCAGGCATCATGGTTCACACCTGTAATGACAACTACGTGGCAAAATAAAGTAGGAGAATTGCCTGCAGTCAAAATATTAAGACCTTTCTGGGTTATGTAGGAAGACCCCCATTTCAAAAATAAGTGCTTTTAAAAGAGCTCTGAGATCCAGGAAGGGAGCTGTGAAACTCTGCTGAAGCCCAAGACTGAAGGTAATTCTGTTTAGAAGACAGGCCCTCATTCAGGTGGCAAACTACAGGACTACTGTTTTTGGCTACAGACAAGAAAACGTTCCACCTAACTTGGTTCCACTGAGAATTTTAAACTTACTCTGTAACAATCCCAAACTCTTCCCAGCCATAGTCTGGGGGAGGTCTTGCCCTTCCAGAGGCCTGGAGGAAGACCTGCATTTATAGCCATGCAGTAGGCCTACAGACCTTTGCCTTTACTGTGGTCCCTGAAGCAGTTCCATGATGCAGTTCCAGCTCCCTGAGCCACAGTTCATGGCCGGTTCTGCCCATGTAGAAACCCAAAGTGACCTGGGAAAATTCTCTCTTGTACTTGGTGAAAGCCATGCTCATCCACATCCTGATATAAAGCCCACCATATGCAGGCCTGACTGCAGAAACCTGCCCTTGGGTTTGCCCTGCAGAGCACCTAAGTCCTGAAGGATATTCACTCTGTCCAAAAATTAAATGAGAATTACAACTATCCAAGCCCCTTTTAACAAGACCACTTAAATGGATTCTTGTGCAAATCCAGAAGGCTTAAAACCAACCTAAAACCCCTCTTCACTACAAACCCAGAGGCATTCTATCACTCTGGTGGCCTAATAAAAATAGATTTTTCCTTTCTGAAACCAGTTTATAAAATCCTGAAGAGGTGTTTGCTCCTTCAAATTTACACACACCAATGCAAAACTATTGTTTCTTATTGTCAATGCTTCTATTTTAACATTGCACTGAAGGCATGTGAAAGAAGAAATAGTCAAAAGAAAAATTTAAAGTCATTGAAGTTGAAGTGCAGTAAGTAAAACGTTTGTTTGTAGATCATGTAATATTAATATATAAAAAATAAAAAGTACATAAAAACCTGTTTAAACTAATGAATACACTCAGTTAATTAGCAAAATATAAAATTAACATACAATTCTGAGTAATCATTCCATACACTTAAAACAAACTCTCTGACAGAGGAAAAAACAATCTTATTTATGATAGCATAAAATAATCCATTTTAGAACAAATTTAATTAAGCAGCTCATAAATCTTTTTTTTTTTTTGAGACAAGAGTCTTGCTCTGTCACCCAAGCTGGAGTGCAGTGGCATAATCTCGGCTCACTGCAACCTCCACCTCCCGGGATCAAGCAATTCTCCTTCGTCAGCCTCCTGAGTAGCTGGGATTACAGGTGCCCGCCACCATGCCCAGCTAATTTTTGTATTTTTAGTAGAGACGGGGTTTCACCATCTCACTGGTCTTGAACTCCTGATCTCATGATCCACCCGCCTCGGCCTCCCAAAGTGCTGGAATTACAGGAGTGAGCCACCAAGCCAGGCCAAGAGCTCATAAATCTTTTAAATGAAAGATATATCAATAAAAAAATTAGGAAACAAATAAATTTAAAAATATTTTATTTCTATTGAAAGAATAAGAATTGTGAAAATGCCATATTATCCAAAGTGATCTCTAGATTCAATAAACTCCCTATCAAAATTCCAGATGTGATGCAAAAAGAGAACTTAAAAATAGTTTAGGCCAGGCATGGTGGCACACGCCTGTGTTCCCAGCACTTTGGGAAGGCAAGGTGGGCAGATCGCCTGAGGTCAGGAGTTTGAAACCAGCCTGGCCAACATGATGAAACTTCATCTTTACTAAAAATACAAAGTATTAGCCGGGTGTGGTGGCGTGTGCCTGTAACCCCAGCTGCTCAGGAAGCTGAGGCAGGAGAATCACTTGAACCTGTGAGGCAGAGGTTGCAGTGAGCTGAGATTGCGCCACTGCACTCCAACTTTGGCAACAAAAGCAAAGGTGCCTCTCAAATAAAATAAAATAACATAAAACAAAATAAAATGGTTTAACAGAGTATCTCAAAATTATGCAGATATGTATCTGTCCACAAAAACAAGAAGTCAGATTGTGCACTCTTTTATATGCCATGAACAGTACTTTGGCTGTCACTGTAAACTTCAACGAAGATCACTGAAGGGAAAGTAGAATTCTTAGAGATTTTATAAGCATAAGCAGAAGATGGCCCTATGTGAGAGTGTAATTTTTAAACAATTTCAGGCTTCCCAGAAACTATTTCCTTAGGAACACAGCTTCCCAAATCGCTTTAAAGACTTACTTTCTTCTTGACTTTGGACCTCTCATCCATGTCGTCTGTTGTATTCACTCTCACCTACCTGGGGTTTCATCCACCATCTCATGTCGCTTCATATTCCAGGGCTCTTTTCCTTGCTCCAGACAGGTGATCAGGTCTGGCTTAGAGAAAGCAATACCTGTTTTATTAAAAATAGCTAACATGAATTTTGTTCATATTCTCCAATTACCGACTTAGTAATGTGCTCAGTAAAAAGGATATAATAGATTATTCTAATAAGTTTATCCCAATATACTAATTTATAACAGAAATTTTTAAATATTTAGAAAATATTTTAATTTTGTAGGTTCTTAATTTCAGTGCCTGCCACTGCTGAATAAAAAAATTGGTGAAGCAGATAGATTTTAAGGTGTGAATAATATTTTATGCCACTAAGCTTCTGAAATTACCACTAATCTAAAATGAAGGACACAGATCAGCTCAGGAATGTGGAAAGTTCAGGTCAAGATGAAACATCTTCAATAAATTTTTTCTAAACAGACAACTCCCCAGGATTTTCTTGATAACAGAAATATGAAAGCATAAGTACCAGAAAACATTCTACAAAGAGAAATGAAATTTTTATTTTATATTGAGGAATTTTGTATTAAAGTTATCCTCACCCAGGAAGGCCAGGTTTATGTAGTTCTCTAACATCATCTTCCTATATAAATTCTTCTGTGCAGTGTCCAGGTACTGCCACTCCTCCAGAGAGAATTCTATGGCCACATCCCTAAATGTCAACAGTCCCTGGAAAACACACACAAACACACATATTTACAAAGTGGCTATGAATAGAATTTTTTATTTGACACAAGGTAAAATCAGAAAGTGAATAGAACTGGTTCTGACTTAAAAGAATGATTGAAACTATCCAATAAAATAATTGTCAACACACAAACGTTTTCTAAGGTATTCTCTAACTATGAGATAAGAGAGTGGCATAATATCCACAACCTCAGTGTATATGTGATACTTGTCTGAATGACAAAAGTGTAAAATTGAGGGCATATCACGAACATGTACATTTTTGAGTGCTATATTTACATAATAGAGAATTAGTTGTGTATATTTTTCAGAAGAAAAAGACATAGTTTATATATTTCAGACAAAATAGACATGTTGAGTTAGACGGTACCACTCAAATTTTAATGTGTACAATAAACTGGACATCTTATTAAGGCAGATTATTTTTTCAGGAGATCTGAAATAAAGTCTGAGGTACTAGGCTCTACCAAGCTCACCAGTTATGCCAATGGTTTGGCACCAAAATACTATTTTGTCAAACATCCAGTAAGTGGAAGAGCCTGTGTTTTTTTTCAGTTTTTCTGGCCTGTAAACAAAGATGAGAATTTCATTTACCAAAGAAAGATAAATGCAAAGAAAACCTTTAAAAAAAAAAAAAGCAGCTGCCAGATTAAATGTGATGGTTTATGCACATCAACTGCATAAAAATACTTAATGAAGAGAAAAATAACTCTATAGTGAAAAACTCTGTAAGAGAGTTTATTAAGTGAGTTATTAACATCAACTGCACTAGGAAAACTTTTTATAGTGTGCTGATCCACCCAGAAGGACACAGCATCACTACTGAGATATGGCCCCTACTAAATTACTGTCTGAATTTAACCATAAGAAAACATCATTTTTATGGAAAGTACAAGATACAGGTATCTTCCATGTTCTACAATTTTTTTTTTTTTTTTTTTTTTTGAGACAGAGTCTCGTTCTGTCGCCCAGGCTGGAGTGCAGTGGCATGATCTGGGCTCACTGCGAGCTCTGCCTCCCGGGTTCACGTCATTCTCCTGCCTCAGCCTCCCGAGTAGCTGGGACTACAGACGCCGGCCACCAAGCTAACTTTTTGTATTTTTAGTAGAGACGGGGTTTCACCGTGTTAGCCAGGATGGTCTCGATCTCCTCGCCTCGTGATCCGCCCACCTCGGCCTCCCAAAGTGCTGGGATTACAGGCGTGAGCCACTGTGCCCGGCCTATGTTCTAACATTTTTAACAGTCATTTTAAGTAGTTCTTTCTTTAGCACCCTAATAAGCAGTTATCTCCTGGTATTTTTTCAGAACTTTCCAGGTAATAAATGCCAACCTATTTAAATGAGCATTTTCTTAACCGTGTAATGCATAGAGTTTGAACACAGTATAAGAAATTCTTCTTCAAATGTTTAGCTAGCTTAAGTTTCTTTGCCCTTCTGTTCCCTGTTTTCAAGGCCAGACTTTCTTATTCTGTATGTTCCCCCTGCCCTGGTAAACAACCTTCTCCCAGTTTTTATCTATGGAGCCCACATTCCAAATCTATTATCGACTCTGTGAATTTCCCCTCCCATCGCAATGGCTACTTCCGCCGAAACTGATCTTCCTGCCTTCCCAACCGTATAACTGCATTCCTGCATTTTTCAAGTTAGCCAAATGGGTTTAGTTTAGATTATGCAGTCCAACTCCAGCCAGCGGAGGCAGGACACAGTAACAAGAAAAAGCTGCATCAGAGGTAATAAAAAACCCCTACTTTCCTTTGTTCATGTGCACCCTCCTGCAGCGTAAGCTTTAATTTCCATATCAGAGTTATTAACTTGGTTTTTGAAACTAAAACTAAGTGTTAGAAACATTCAGCAAAATTACTCAAACACAGTGTTCATGTAACGGAAGAACATTTTAAGGCGCTTACACTTTATACCTCAAAGAATAGCAAAAGTATTTATTCCTTTCAGGCAATAAATGTATTATTTTATTATTTGTATTAAAACTCATGTAGGAAACAATTAGTCAGCCAGGTGCGGTGGCTTACGTCTGTAATTTCAGCACTTTGGGAGGCTGAGGTGGGTGGATGACCTGAAGTCAGGAGTTCGAGACCAGCCGGGCCAATGTGGTGAAATCCCCATCTCTACTAAAAATACAAAAATTAGCCGGGCATGGTGGTGGAAGCCTGTAATTCAATCTACTCGGGAAGCTGAGGCAGGAGAATCGCTTGGACCAGGGAGGCAGAGGCTGCAGTGAGCTGAGATTGCACTATTGCACTCCACCTTGGGCAACAAGAGCAAAACTCCGTTTCAAAAAAAAAAAAAATTAGTCACTTGGAAACACTTATAGGAGGCACCAATTTTCATTACATAAAATTTAGCAATAAACTCAAAAATCAAAATAACAGGATACAGGGCCAGGCATGGTGGCTCACGCCTGTAATCCCAGCACTTTCGGAAGTCGAGGTGGATGTATCACTTGAGGCCAGGAGTTCAAGACCGGCCTAACATGGTGAAAACCCATCTCTGCTAAAAACACAAAACGTAGCCGGGTGTGGTGGCACATGTTTGTAGTGCCAGCTACTCAGGAGGCTGAGGCAGGAGAATCGCTTGAACCTGGGAAGCGAAAGTGGCAGTGAGCTGAGATTGCACTCCAGCCTGGGCATCGTTGTGAGACTCTATCTTAAAAAAAAACACACACACACACAAAAACAGGATATAGAACAAAGATATTCACGGTCAAAAATTTACCCTGCTAACAAAAGGAACTGAAGTTTTCAGGAATCTATGTAACTAACCAGTTACCAACCACATTTTGTGTGTGTGTGTGTGGAAATGTATTCATTGTCTATAGCTGAAATTGAAGAGAAATTTTTCTTTGTTTTCTTCCTTGGTAGCTACCATTCTAAAAGCTAGATGGACTGTATGAAATCACTCTGCCATAAAAACACACACCTGAGAAAATTTCTAAACTCACTCTGAGAAAGAAAAAAGTAAGTGAAAATTTTCAACAAACAAAATGTATTATTAGATATTAATGTTTTTAAGACTCACCTGCCAGGCGCGGTGGCTCACGCCTGTAATCCCAGCACTTTGGGAGGCTGAGGAGGGCGAATCATCTGAGGTCAGGAGTTCGAGACCAGCCTGACCAACATGGAGAAACCCTGTCTTTACTAAAAATATAAAAAATTAGCCGGGCTTGGCAGCATATGCCTGTAATCCCAGCTACTCAGGAGGCTGAAGCAAGAGAATCACTTGAACCCAGGAGGTGGAGGTTGCAGTGAGCCAAGATGGCACCATTGCACTCCTGCCTGGGCAACAAGAGTGAAACTGTCTCAATTAAAAAAAAAAAAAAGACTCACCTTTTTTATGTCCTTTGTAAATATTTTCTTACCTTTCAAGCTCTACTACTAAAATGCAATATACAATTAAAAAAAAACAGCTGGGCACAGTGGCTAACACCTGTAATCTCAGCACTTTGGAAGGCCCAGGCAGGTAAGTCACTTGAGGCCAGAAGTTTGAGATCAGCCTGGCTAACATGGTGAAACTCTGACTCTACTAAATATACAAAACCCAGCAGGGAGTGGTGGTCAACACCTGTACTCCCAGCTACTTGGGAGGCTGAAGCATCACCCGAACTTGGGATTTAGAGGTTTCAGTGAGCAGAGATGGCACCACTTCACTCCAGCCTGGGTGACAGAGGAAAACTCTGTCTTAAAAAATAAATAAATAAACCTTAGGTAAATTAAGTGAATAAATCTTTTCAAGGTACAGATATGTCTTATTCATGTGTCACATCAGGCCATTCCGTTACTTGAGAGATTGCCCCACCCCACCCTGCACACTTAAGTGCTCAATAACCCTGTCTCAGGAGACTCTGAACTATGACCCAGAGAGTGCCTCAGGCACATTTTACTCTGCAAGTTCTTACACCATCTCAATGGAGTCAGCTTTTTGGGGTTTGGTGGTTTTCTTGTCTTTGGAGTGCTGATTTTTTTTCTAGAATTTTTTTACTGTTTTTCTTGTACTATTTTTCTGTCCCCTAAAGGAATCCAGGACACAGAAATTATTTTTCTCCTCAATACTGGTATCTGATTGGCTGACCAGCAATGAGTCTCCAAGAAATGAAAGTTGGGTTGGATGAAGACAATATTAATGTCTCAAGGGGTTAACTTTGAAAAAAAAAAAAAGTACACCAGGAAATGCCTCTTAGCCTGAGGGCATCCATGTGTGCACTTGAGAAGCTACACTCAATACCTCAGGTTGCCCTATGAGCAAATAAGCCCCAGGGCTGATATTCACTAGAGACTCTAGCAGACATAGTTATGGTAGGTATTGTGGTTTTTCCCATACAATACTGAAATCCAGGTCCAAGAAAACCGGAAGGGTGACTGAAAACACATCACCCTATAATGTTTCTAAAAAAAAAACTTGACCCAAAAACATTCTGATAAGATATCTGTGTCAACGGAAAATAGAAGGAAAAAAAACCCACAGAGATATTTTACAATAGTGTCAGATTATTCTTTGCTTAACTCTCATAGGAAATATGTACAAAAAAAATCTTTTTAAATGTGCCATCAAATGCTTTGTCAAAAAATAATTAATTAGCCAGGGGCAGTGGCTCAGGTCTGTAATCCCAGCTCTTTGGGAGGCAGAGGCAGGTGGACTTCTTGAAGCCAGAAGTTCAAGACCAGTCTGGCCAGTATAGTGAAATCCCGTCTCTACCAAAAATACAAAAATTAGCCAGGCATGCTGGCGAGTGCCTGTAATTCCAGCTACTTGAGAGATTGAGACAAGAGAATTGTGCCGGGCGCGGTGGCTCATGCCTGTAATCCCAGCACTTTGGGAGGCAGAGGTGGGCGGATCACGAGGTCAGGAGATCGAGACCATCCTGGCTAACACAGTGAAACCCCGTCTCTACTAAAAATACAAAAAATTAGCTGGGGTCCCAGCTACTCGCGAGGCTGAGGCAGGAGAATGGCATGAACCCGGGAGGCGAAGCTTGCAGTGAGCCAAGATTGCGCCACTGCACTCCAGCCTGGGCGACAGAGCGAGACTCCGTGTCAAAAAAAAAAAAAAAACAAAACAAACAAACAAACAAAAAACAGAATCGTTTGAGCCCAGGAAGTGGAGGCTGCAGTGAGCCTAGATGAAGCCACTGCACTCCAGCCTGGGCAACAGAGCAAGGCTCTATCTCAAAAGTTAAAAAAAAAAAAAGATTAATTAAAATAGGTATTAAAATGTATACTAAATGACAAATTGTTGATAAAGTGAATTAGGGAGGGGAAATTGGTATTTGGGAATGTCAGACGAAACTGAAAATTTAGTATTTTACTGCAAGCCAGAGTCAGACTGGAGGAATAGGTGATGAGGAGTGAACTTGAGGCCCTGCTTGTGACACGTGTGAAAAATTCAGAAAAAAAATCAGTCCCCTGTGGAGTGTGAAAATCAGTAAGAGGCAGGAAATTAGATTGAGGTGGCTCTAGTCCCTGGATTTCTACTTCAAAAAAAAAAAAAAATCTAAACTGAAGAGCATTTATTGGTAAATAACTACATTGGAGGAAACAAAATTCAGGCTTAACCAACTATAAACTGCCAATTAAGCTGATTACATAACCAGCTTTACCTTGATTATAAAAATTAAGAAACTATGCTGGGCGCAGTGGCTCACGCCTGTAATCCCAGCACTTTGGAAGGCCGAGGTGGGTGGATCATCTGAGGTCAGGAGTTCCAGACCAGCCTGACCAACATGGTGAAACCCTGTCTCTACAAAAAATAAAAAAAAAAAAAATGGCCAAATGTGGTGGCGAGCGCCTGTAGTCCCAACTACTAGCGAGGCTGAGGCAGAAGAAACGCTTGAACCTGGGAGGCGGGGATTGGGGTGAGCCACTGCACTCCAGCCTGAGTAACAGAGAGACTTTGTCTCAAAAAATAGAAAATCAAAACAAAACAACAAAAACAAAAAACTACATAACCGTACCAAGCCAATTATTGAATTTGGTTTTCTTATAAAAACCTTTCCTTCAAGCGCCTTCCATGAATTGCAAATTACAAACTACAGCAGGGTGCTGCTCAACAATTTTTGAATCACCCTTTGATTAAGTTATTTAATATTTTCGTGGTGATGCCCATAAATTTTTAATAGAAAAAAAGGGCCTGGGAATCCCACGGACAAAAAGCTCTTCCCATTCGTGAACCTGCACCCCGAATCAGGATTCTGCCCTGACCTTCCTCCCATGGTACTTGCACAATCTGGGAGAGATGCGGGGCTGCGGGTCCAGAGCTGCCCAGAGAGGGCTCCAGGCCAGGACATGGTCACTGCGCAGGGAAGAGACAGGCCGTCTGGGGGGCCCGGCTGTCAGTGCAGCCGCCATCTTATGGCTGAAGGGGACTGAGGCCGAGCTGGGCAAGGAGAACTCTGGGCGCAGATTGTGGAGATGACTGCGGAGAGGCCTGAGTCCCATCAACCGCTTCCCACCGGTTCCAACCAGGCTCGTCCCTTCTCTCGGGATGTCGGACTCAGCACTTTCACCATTTCTAGGCTTCCAGGGGGTCCTCGTGTCTCAGCTGTGAATGTCCAATACCTGCAGGTCACAGGGCCACAGAGGCTGGGCCTCTAAAAGCAGAAGACACAGAGGAATGAGGACAACACCAGGAGGAACGACTGAAGCCAGAGGCAAAGGCCCCACCAAATACCGGAAGCCGCCCTGTTCCCTCCAGCTGTGTGTCTGATTGGACAGTTCCCAGGACAGCGTCCCTGATTGGATAACGTTTAAGACCCCCGCCTTCTCAGGCCCTGAGTGATGGAAGATGTGGTCAGAGGTTGGACTGAAAGAAGAAAGATTGACAGCCTAAGTTGTAGCCTTTTCAGGCAAGGTTTCTTCCCTGAGCTGAGCCAGGCCAATCCCAGAGCACGGGAAAATTCTCTCTCTTCTTTGCTCTCTCTTTTTTTCAATGTATTCAAAATGTAAACTTTTTTTTTTTGAAACGGAGTTTCGCTCTTGTTTCTCAGGCTGGAGTGCAATGGCACGATCTCGGCTCACTGCAACTTTCGCCTGCTGGGATTAAGCGATTCTGCTGCCTCAGCCTCCAGAGTAGCTGGGACTACAGGTGCACAACACCACACCCGCTAATTTTTGTATTTTTAGTAGAGACGGGATTTCTCCATGTTAGCCAGGCTGGTTTCGGCCTTCTGATCTCAGGAGATGCACCCGCCTCAGCCTCCCAAAGTGCTGGGATTACAGGCGTGATTCACCACATCCGCCAACTCGATATTATCTTTAAAGCAAAATTAGGAATGCCTCTGTTCTCCAGATATTGGGATATCTAGACAGTCCTAAGTCTGGTTCTGCTTAGTAAACATTAATTCGTTCCCTTAATCGTAAACATCTAGAGGCTAGGAATGTCTAACTTGCTGAGAATGCAGCCCAGCAAGTCTCAGCATCATTTTCCTAGCCCTCTCTCAAAATGGAGTAGCTCTGGTATAAATGCTTCTGACATATTTTCCCCCTTGTTTTACAAGAGGATCCTTAATCCTAAGAGTTGCAGAGAGACAAAGATTCACCTTCTGTAAATTTTTCAGGCTGAGTAGGGGCGATGATATTCCTGACTAACTGTTGGGGCCTCTTGCATTCAGAGTAGAGAGAAACTCAGTCAGACAGTGTTTGTATAGTGAAGGTCGTTCATAACTTCAAGTTCCAAAAAAAGGTGATTACTGGAAGACTAATAAATGTCCAATTCAAGAAAGCATTTAGTGAGCTTGTCTTGCATTTCTACACAAAGAGTAAAACCACAATATATTTCACAACAGCAAAGCAAAATTAGTAAAATTATCCCAGGTAAACTAAACAGGAAGGCTCTGCAAGAAGTGGGCAGTTGTTGGAACCAAGCTGATACGTGGTTGACTGATAGTGCATAAAAATGGCAGAGATATGAGTGCTTAAAACTTTTATAGCCTGGGTAATATTATGTGAATAGTCTGAAGCATACACACAACATTTGGTTTTGATCAAAGCACAGGTTTCCTTTTGGGTCTCTGTTAAAATGTCTGCATGCCCAACAGTTTGTTTGATTATGTAGAGAGGATGAAGTCTGTGCTCACTCAGTAAATAAGTTACTCTCTGCATGATTCCAACTTATACCCAAAAGTAGAATGCCAGTCTATATCTTTATGTTACCTATCCCTTTCATTTCTTCTGAACAGGAGTCAAAGGTCACTGGCTCATGGGAATAAACAGGATCAGTCTCTTGTGTTCCGCCAGCCTATAGGACTTCATAAGAGACAGGTTTAATTTGAGATAAGTGGACCCAGCTGTTTATTCCCAGAATTTTTAACTGCAGTTGGGGTACTAAAGAGAACTTGGTAAGGTCCCTTCCATTTTGGGGAAAGTTGACCTGCTGGGGATCCTTCTTTCCAAGTTTTTCATAGGACCAAATTTCCTGGCTGGGTTATAAAAAGATTATCTTCCTTAGTTGGGAAAGGGAGTCTTTGATTTTCATATTCAGAGTGTGTTTTGTGCTTGTCACATAATTCTGTAGCTTGAAAGTATCTGTGTCTATTAGAAGGTATGTAGCTGAGAAAGGCCTTGCATGCATTATTTCAAAAGAGCTGAGCTGCAGATTTCCCTTAGCGGCCACTGGAATCTGTAATAAGGCTACAGATAGTAAAGACAGTGAGGTCTTTGATGTTTCTTGGCATAGCATAGCAAGAGTCCTCTTTTGAGTTTGATTAGCTATTTTTACTTTCACCAAAGACTGTGGCCTTCATGCTGAGTGAAGGCATTACTAAATTTCTAGGGCTCAAGATATGTTCTGTGTAATTGTCACTGTGAAAGATAGGCCTTTATCTCTCTGTAAGCTCTTAGGCAGCCCAAATCTAGGAATTATTTCTTTTTCTTTTCTTTCTTTCTTTCTTTTGTTTTTGAGATGGATTTTCTCTCTTGTTGCCCAGGCTAGAGTGCAGTGACATGATCTTAGCTCACTGCAACCTCCGCCTCCCTGGTTCAAACAATTCTCCTGTTTCAGCCTCCTGAGTAGCTGGGATTAGAGATGCCCGCCACCATGCCTGGCTAATTTTTTATATTTTTAGTAGAGACAGGGATTTCATCATGTTGGCCAGGCTGGTCTCCAACTCCTGACCTCAGGTGATCCACCCGCCTTGGCCTCCCAAAGTGCAGGGATTACAGGCATAAGCCACCGTGCCAGGCGAAATTATTTCGTTTAGTAGGAATTTAGGAACCTCAATTGCCTTTTCAGACCGGGTAGGAAAAGCCTTGATCCAAACAGTAAATGTGTCAATGAATACTAATAAATATTTAAACCTTTTACATGGGGGCATCTAAGTATAGTCTATTTGCCATCTTTACCACGGTACATTCCTCTATGCTGAACAGGCCTTACTAAAGGAGGAGATAAACATTGGTTGGTCATTTGCGTTATTCCAGGCACATAGTTCACAGGCTCGAATTACCGGGTTTACTGTTTTAAGTAATCCTTTTTCTATAAAAGGCCAACATTAATTGAAACAGGGAATCTCTTCCCAAATGAACAGAGTCATACAAATGTTTAACTATTTTTCACTGATTAGCACCTCGCATCAACAGTTTATCAGGAGTGTCTAGCAAAATGCCTGATATTTCAATAAGCATCCCCCTGTCATCCACTGGTGTCCTTTAGCTTCTAGGACTCCTTGTACTTGGTGTGGGTTTAAACCTCAGGGTGTTGTTCTAAAGCCAGTTTATTGGCTTTATCTACCAAAAGAGAAGTTGCTGCAACTGCCCTGAGGCATCCAGGCATGACAAGAAAGTTATGTAAGAAAACCAAAGTCTCTAAAAAACAGCTTACAGAATAGATAAAATGGCATCTATGGGCTTCTCAATCTATCCCTGTGACCATACAGTTTTGGGGTGACAGAAACCCATTATAATGGGTCAAAACAGAGTAAGCAGTACAGAAGAAAGTTTATATATATATATATATTTTTTTTTTGAGATAGAGTCTTGCTCTGTTTCTTAGGTGGAGTGCAGTGGCACAATCTCAGCTTACTGCAACCTCTACCTCTCGGGTTCAAGCAGTTTCTGGCTTTTTTTTTTTTTGCATTTTTATTAGAGATGGGAATTCACCATGTTGGCCAGGCTAGTCTTGAACTCCTGACCTCAAGTTATCCACCCACCTTGGCCTCCCAATATACTAGAATTATAGGTGTGAGTCACCATGCCTGGTGAAAGTTAATATTCTTACCTGCCATGGTGAAGGTTACCAAGGCTTCTCCAGATAATATGGCTAGTTGTCTGATTGGAGCTTTGGTGGAAGGTCTCGGGCCCCATCACTTTTGGGCACTTGCCTGGCTGTTTAACTCATCATTAGTTAGGGTGCCGATGGCTCTCTTCAGAACACTGGATTATCCCTCTTCCAATGGCCAGTTTTCTTACAGTGTGCACCCTGATTTATGCCCAAGGCACAGTGACTCAGATGGCCAGCTTTGGTCTTCCCACCTTTCAGTTTCTATTGTTCAGGCCAAGACTCAGGAGGCAGCCCCATGTGGGAGGTTAGCTTAAGGTTGCAACCAAGAGCTGCACCTTGTGGGAGGTCCTTCTTGCTCTTTTTGCTTCCTCTACTTTTTCCCTGTTATTAAAAACTAAAAATGCCATATCCAAAGCTGTTCCATAGAAGTTTGGGGACCCACAGCTGCTTTTACTAGTTTTCTATGGTATCAGGGGCAGACTGGGTTATAAAATGGACTCCCAGAAGTGTTTATCTTTTCCTTGAGGCAGGATCACTGTTAGTATATCTCCTGGTTGCCTCAACTAAACACTATTGAAACAGAGCTGGATTCTCATCTTTGCCCTGAGAAACTTCGTTAACCTTTTCACTTTTAACAGGCTATTTCATGCCTTTCTTCATCTCTTCCAAAAAACAAGTGACCATATGATCTCTTCTCCCAAGTCCTCACTGCCCCTGTGATAGTTCCACTCTAGAACTTGATCTGGAACTGCTATACCTCCTGTCTGATATATATTATGGTTCTGGTTGTGAGCCAATATCTCATCTGCATGGGTCCTAGCTGTCCTGAAAATGCATTGTTTCTTTTCCACTGTATAACACAGAGACAACAAAACATACAGATCCTGCCAAGTTAAACTAGAGATCAAAGTTAACTTCTCAAACTCATCTGTGAATTTTCCTGGATATTCAGAGAAATAACCAAACTTGTCTTATATAGAGCCAAACCAGACATAGAAAAGGGGCCATGTCTTCTCACAGGCCTTTTTCTCCATTTGCAACCTCTCTAAGTGGACAAACATTTCCCTTTGGAGGTTGATAGGCAGCTCCACTATGAGTAGTACTCACTGAGCTCAGTTATTCAAGGAGTGGTGGGTATAGAATGGGACTAGATGGGTAAGGAAGAGGGATGAAGGGTCCTCAATAGAACTTTCAGGTGGACTAGGGGTAGAAAGGATGGACACAGCTGAACCTTTAGAGCTGACAGAAAGAGGTTCTGTTTCACCCCAAAATGCCCACTGAACCAAGTGGCCGGGGGTGGGGGGGGGCTTGCAATAAAGGATCAGCTTGTCTGTCTAAATTTTTTTCTTCTACTTCTCTCAGGAAACATGTCCATGCCTGCTGCAGGGTTTCATTCTGACTGAGCAGCAAAAATGCTTGAACATGAAGTATTTTATCCTATTTTCCCTACCACTTACAGAACAAATCGAGTTGAACTACAGTATAAGTACCCATTAGAGGCAATTTTTCTTGTATCTTTCTGAAATTGTTTGCTGCTTTTCCATGCAGATCATCCTTAAGAAAGTGTACAATCTTAGCCCAATCTGCAATCTCTGTTCCTGAGGTTTTAGTAACATGATGTTTCTCTTTTGTTGTAGACAGCACTGAAGATGAGTTTTCATCCCAGGGAACAGAAAGACAAAAGGTCAAGATGTGCTTCAAAAAGCTGGTGAGGGGCATTGGGTCAGGAAAGGCCAGGCTGTCTAAGCATTCAGAGACCCCCTGTGCAACTGTCCTTGCAATTAGGAGCCAGGCCCCAAAAACCTTCCCACTGCGTGTGTCTTTGACCTGTGCTAGGTCCTGCTGTTGATTAGTGTTCCCTACTGAGCAGTTAACCTATGGTTTGAGTATTTACACCCAGGAGAATGTTGCAGGCCAGCCCTCAGTCAACTTAAAATAATCAAAAAGGTTAAAATGTAATCTGAAATACATTTACTCAAGGTCAGATATTGAGGATGACCACCAGGAAAACAAATTTAAGTTGCCCTGGATATATATTTCAATTAGCAGCCATTCAAAGCAAGTCTTTTCAAAAAAATGAGAAGGCAGTTCCTAAGTTGTTAACCAAGAATTCATATTTAAATGCATAAGCTATTGATTGGCTATATATATTCTTTTGTTTTACAAATTCCAGAAATAATGGATGAGACTGCTAGTCAGAAACAAAATGTCTATAAACAATTGCCCCTAATCCCAGCATTCTGGGAGGCCTAAGTGGGCGGATCACCTGAGGCCAGCAATTGGAGACCAGCCTGGTCAAAATGGTAAAACCCCATCTCTACTAAATATACAAAAATTAGCTGGGTGTGGTTTCATGTGCCTGTAATCCCAGCTACTTGTGAGGCTGAGACAGAAGAATCATTTGAACTCAGGAGGCAGAGGTTGTAATGAACCAAGATCATGCCACTGCAGTCCAGCCTGGGTGACAAAGTGAGACTTCATCTCAAACAAACACACAAAAAAAGAATTTCCCCTGTGTAAAGTTCCACACTTTCATCTCCCTGGTCTTGATAAATTGTGCAGACCTTACAGAGCTGAGACTGCTCTGAGCTATTTTTATTTTCACCTCCTTGCTCCGGACACATGAACTATTAACAATAAAAAGAATTTACATAAGAATCTTGGCAAGCCACAAGAATAATGCCAGGAGGTGACCTCCAGGAACCTGGCTGTCACCTTCTTTTCCCACCTTACCCTCCACTCCTCTTACACACACACACCCTGGATCACAAGACCAACAAAACCACTCCATCAGCCACAGACAGAGAAGCCACAGAAGAACCCAGAACCACTGCATGGCCCCCTTGGACCACCCTAGAATGAACAGCCATTGTTAACATTCAGGAGCCGTTTATTCCCATCTTCACACTACACTAAATAACTTTCAAGAGTCACAAGATAAACTGGCTGAAAGCTGATGCTTGGAACATCCCACATCCCCCAGGAGCTCAGTGCTGCAGTCTCAGGTACAAACCTGCCCATCAGCCATTCAAATGAAACAATTGTTATCAAGAGAGCAGAGTCCCTGCAATGGTCCATTAATTTAGAAAGTTTATTTTGCCACAGTTAAGTAGGAGCCTGTGACACAGCCTCAGGAGGTCCTGATGAAATGTTCCCAGGGTGGTTGGGGTACAGTTTCTTATACATTTTAGAAAGTCATGAGACATCAATCAATATGTTTAAGATGTACATTGGTTTAGTCAGGTATGATGGGAAAACTTGAGGTTGGGGCTTCTGCATCACAAGTAGATAAGAGAAAAAAGAATAAATGTATTTGAGCCCTTGATAAGTCTCCCACTGAGTACACAATTTAGTCTGGCTCAGTGAATCTGCATTTTGATATTAACAATAGAGCAGAGAAAGTAAGCAGATATGTATTTGTCTCAGGTGAGCCTCAGAGGGATGACTTTGAGTTCTGTCTGTCGTCTACTCAGTAGAAATATTCTTGTCAGCAAATTGTGAGGTAGGTGTATAGCTTTTTTATCTGCATAGCTATCTTATTTAAGAATAAAATAGAAGACAGCTTTGCTTGACATAGTTTCCAGCTTGACTTTTCTATTGGATTAGTAATTTTGACATCCTGAGATTTATTTTTCTTTCACAGCGGGGAACTTTTGATTATCAAGTGTATCTGTTTAAACTTGACAATAAAACAATGTATCTATTCAGAAGTAACAAATAGAGGTTAATGGAAAACTTATAAAACAAATATAACTATTTGTCTTTATAATCTTTCACAATAGCCCATCTTAGGTCTTCCATTTCTTATTCACTATAATTTAAATAAAATTTTTTCATAATGTTATAGTTGATCTCTTTGTCTGCGGCATTAAAACGAGGGTGATTCCATCTTGAATAGTGTCAGGTAAAATGAGGCTGAGACCTATTGGGCTGCATCCTCAGGTTAGGCATTCTTAGTCACAGGATGAGATAGGAGGTCAGCACAACTTACACTGTATTTAGCAATATGTCACAATCATCCCTGTAAGCAGGGTGCAGGCACAATACAGGAGTCAGATATTTAGGTCATGGATGCAGAGATATGTCACAGAGTCCCCAGGGGCAGGGTCAAGAAAGGAGCTTTCTATTCCCTAGGAGTTGAGCCCACCAATATATCACAATACCCAAAATATGTGAGACCCACCCCCCCCAAAAAATAAAGAGAATCACATCACCAAGGTGCTGGGTCAGGTGATATGTTGCAATTGCCATTTGTGGCAGACTCCAGCCATAAGAACAGAGTCACAACACCTAAGTGATAAAACGATATTTCATAATACCCTTCTGAAAACAGTCCATGCAGAAGACTCATATTACGTAGGTGCTGGTTTCAGCCATACATCACAATGCACAATGTATGCAGAGACCAGGCAAAAAAATGAGTCACATCTTGGGCAGAGCCAAAGCAGTAAATGAGAGTCACATCACCTAGGTTCTGGGTACAGAAATGTCACAGTACCCTCTGAGGAAAGAGCCCTGGCAGAAAAGTCACATCATCTAGGTGAGAGACCCAGAGATATGTCACAATGCACCCTGTGAGTAGGGCTCAGAAAGAAGAGAAAGATCACATAACCTAAGAGCTGGACCCAGCTACATATCACAACCACCTTAGTGGGCAGGGCCAAAGCATGAGAAGAGCCACATCATGTAAGTACTTGACCAAGTGATATGTCACAACCTTCACTGTGGACAGGCCCCAGGAAAGAGAGTAGAGTCACATCATCTAGGTGATGGGCCCAGAGATATGTTACAATAACTTCTGTGGACAGGGACCAGACAGAAGAATGACATAGCCTGTGTGCTGATCTCAGGGATAAGTCACTCTCTTTTATGGGAGCATGGCCGTGAGAGGAAAGGAGAATCACATCTTCTAAGTGCTGCCCCCAGAGATAAGTCACAATCTCTCCTATAGGCCAAACCCAAGTAAAAGAGTCATAGCACTAAGATGGTAGGTTCACAGATATGTCACTATGCCTGCTGTGAGCAGAGTTTCAACAGACGGCTCACATTACCTTGTTCAGTCCAGCAGTATGTCATGATCTACATTGTGAGCAGAACCTATTTAGAAGAGAAGACTCACTTCAGCTAGGTGCTGGGACCAGTAATAGAAAAAAAATCATTTATGTGTGAAGGGACCTGGTAGAAAAAGAGAGTCACATTACTTCAGTGATTGGTACAGAGGTGGGTCATAATGCTTCCTGTAGGCAGGACCCAGGAAGGAGAGTTACATCACCTGGATGTTGGACATAGCAATATGTCACAATAATCCATAATTGCAGGGCACAATCAGGAGAGTCACATAACCAAGGTGTGGGTCTCAGTCACATGTCACAAAGCCCTCTGTGGGCAGTGTCAAGGCATATGTACAGTCATACCACCTAGGTGTTGGGTCCAGCGATATGTCACAATCCAATCTATAGGCTGGGCACTAGGCAAGAGAATCAAATTACTCAGGTGCTGGTCAGAGGTGTATTTCACAATTACAGTTGCAGTAAATGTAGGGAAAAATTAACAATCCTGCACATGACCCATTTCTAGGTATTAGAATCAACACCCTTTGTAAGTTGAGTTTGAGTACATCAGTTACAATCTCAATGGTGGACTGAATACATGTATAAGAGTCTCAATCTTTGCTGTGAACTGTGTCCCCAGTGAAGTCAAAACCTCACTGGTATGTTGAATCTTGGTCTGAGACTCATCAACCCACATATAGACTGAATCCATGTGTGAGAGTCAATTTTTCAACTTTTGGCTACCTCCAGGTGTGAGAATCACAACTTCAACAGTGAGCTGTGTTCATGTGGAAAGATGTCAATCTTTACTGTTTGCTGGGTGTGCGTATAAGTGTCACAATGTCACCTGTGATGGACCTCATTATAAAACTCTCTGTACCACCTGAGGTATTTATACAATATGCATGATAGTCACAATTTTCTCTGAGACTTTTTCCTAGTATGGACTCATAATTGTACCTGTGGAACTAAGCCCATGTATGCGACTCAACAGCTCTCCAAGTAGCTGGGTCCAGAGAGAGAGTGTTCACCTGCCTATGACCTGGGTTTAGAAATGAGTCACCATGTGAACTGTGATGGCATGATCACACATGACAGTCAGAATTTTTACTATGGACTGCATTCACCTGTGAAATTCAGGATCTCTCCAGTGGGCATCACATTCTCTGTACCATCAAAACACTTTATACAAAATGTGAAAGAATAGTAATCCTCTATGATGTTATTATCTAGAGAAGACCCAGGAATATACCCATTTCTCCAAGTTTAGTTACAAGTGCCAGTATCTCTCCTTTTGGCTGATTCATGGTATTAGTGTCAACATCACAACTGTGAGCTTGGCTAAGGTATATGTCGCAACCCAAACTGTAGAAAGAAAACAGGAGAGTAGCATCACCTGGGTGCTGGGACAGAAATATGTTACAATTTTTTTAGGGCAGGGGCCAAGCAGAGAGTCATATCACTTGGTTGCCTGGCCAGGGTTATGTTACAATTCTCTTCCAAAAGCAAGGCACAGAAAGCAAAGTCACATTAATTGGGTAATGGACTCAGCTATATGTCACAATTTTCTCTGCAGTTAAGACATGTGTACAAGAAAATCACCACCTGGTTGCTGAACTCAGAGGCATGCCACAATCTTCTGTGTGGGCATGGTGCAGATGGAAGAGGAGAGTCACACCTCCAAAGTAATGGATGAAGAGCTATGTCACAAGGCCTCTTGTAGGCAGAGCCCAAGCAAGAGCCTTTCACCCACTTGGTTTGACCCAGCAATATGTCTTAATACCTAAAATACACAGGGCCGATTTGAAAGATGAGAGTGATAAGGCCTGGCAAAATGGCTGACACCCATAAGTTCAATACCTTGGGAGGCTGAGGTGGGCAGATTTCTTGAGGTCAGCAGTTCGAGACCAGCCTGGCCAACATGGTGAAACCCTGCCGTTACTAAAAATACAAAAATTAGCCAGTTGTGGGTGTGCACACCTGTAATCCCAGCTACTCAGGAGGCTGAGGCAGGAGAATCACTTGAACCTGGGAGGTGGAGTTTGCAGTGAGCCAAGATGATGCTACTGCACTGCAGCCTGGGTGACAGTGTGAGACTCCATCTCAAAAAAAAAAAAAAAAAGAAAGAAAGAAAGAGGGATATCACTCGATGCTGGGGCCAGTGATTTTACAATCCCCCCTTTATACAGGGCTCAAGTAGAAAAGGACAGTTAAATCACCTAGGTGATAAACAAAATATGTCATAATTTCCTTATCAGAAGGGCTCATGGGGGAGAGTCACATCACCTAGCTGTTGGACACAGCCATACTTCAATATACACAATTTTAAATATACATAATATACAATTTGTATATTGAAATATGGTTGGGTCCAACACCTAGCTGATGTGACTCTCCTGCATAAGCCCTACCAACAGGGGACATATGACATATTATTTTATTTATCACCTAAGTGATGTAACTCTTCTTTCTCACCTGAACCCTGTAGAAGGAGAGGAGAGTCACATCACCAAGGTGCTGGGCCCAGTGATATATCACAATCCCTCCTTGGGCAGAGCCCAAGCACTAGAAAAGAGTAACATCAGCTTATTGCTAGGTCAGTAAAATATGGGACAAAACTCCCTAAAAAACAAAAGGCCCATGCAGCAGTCTACCTAATTTAGAGCTTCAGAGATATGTCAAAATGCCCTATGTGGGTGAAGTTCAGGTCAAAGAGAAATGTTATATAACCTAGGGCCTTCACCTAGTTATATGTCACAGTCACCCCAGTGGGCAATGCTCAGGCATGGGGAAAATGTTAAGTAGGTGCTGAGACAAGTGATCTGTCATAATCCCCACTGTTGACAGGTCTCAGAGACAAAAAAAAAAAAAAAAAAGTCATATCATCTAGTTTAGTGGGCCAGGGACATTCACTATGTCCTCTGTAGACAGGTATGAGACAGAAAAATTACATCACCTGTATACTGTGCCTAGGGACTAGTCACTCTCCCTTCTGTGGTCAGGGCCCAGGTAGGAGCAAAGGGTAACATCATGTAGGTGCTTGGCCCAGATATGTTACAACGTCCCCTATGGAAAAGCCCATGTAAAAGTGGAGAGTAACATCAAATAGATGATGGGTCCAGGAATGTGGCAAAATGTCTCCTGTAGCCAGGGTCTAGGTAGGAGATTCACATCACATGGGTGTTAGACCCAGCAATATGTTACAACAGCCCATGTGGGCAGGGCACATAAATGACAAACACATTACCTGGGTGCAGAGACCAGTGATATGTCACAATGCCCTCTTTGGCAGCACCAAGGCATGAGTACAGGGTCACATCATCCACATACTTGTTCCAACAATATGTCCCAATCCCATCTGTGCACTGGCCCCAGGCAGGAGAGTCAAATCACTCAGGCTATGTGCAGAGACATGTTTGACAATCACACATGCAGAAAGGCTCAGGGATAACATGAATAATTTTTCACATATTCCCATCCTAGGTATGAGAGTCAATACCAGGCCGGGCATGGTGGCTCATGCCTGTAATCCCAGCACTTTGGGAGGCTGAGGTGGGTGGATCACAAGGTCAGGAGTTCGAGACCATCCTGGCCAACATGGTGAAACCCTGTCTCTACTAAAAATACAAAAATTAGCTGGGCATGGTTCCGTGCACTGTAGTCCCAGCTACTCGGGAGGCTGGGGCAGGAGAATCGCTTGAACCCAGGAGGTGGAGCTTGCAGTGAGCCTAGATCGTGCCACTGCACTCCAGCCTGGTGACAGAGTGAGACTCTGCTCCAAAAAAAAAAAAAAAAAAAAAAAAAAAAAAGAGAGAGTCAAGACCATTTGGAGGTTGGGTCTAAGTACACAAATCACAATCTCAATGTGGATGGATTCCTGAATAAGAGCCTCAATCTCTCCTTCAGACTGGGTCTTCTCAGTAAAATCATAGCCTCAGAGTTGTGCTGAATCTTGGTCTGAATTACCAGCCCAGATGTGGACCAGATCCACATACGAGAGTCAATGTTGCAACTTTCCACTCCCTCCAGGGTTGAGATTCAGAACTTCAGAAGTAGGTTGTGTTTATCTAAAAGGATGGCGTAGTTACTGCTGACTGGTTTTGAGTACCAGTATCACAATGTCACCAGTGTGCTTGGTCATGTAAGGGCATTCAATGTATTACTGAGGGCTTTATTGCCAGGTGTGTCCCACAGATTCTGGTCTATGGATTAAATTAGTACTCAGACACAGGTATGCAGTGTAAGAGCAGCTAAGGGAATGCCAGGCTTTAGTAGCCAAAGTGCAGCCCTAAGAAGCTGGAGCCACTTGCTTTTTTCAGTGCAGGCACAATACCAAAAACCTGGAGCCAACACAAGCTGCAGGTAATTAACATTTATTGTTCCCCTTTCAGGGAATGTCACACACGCAAATGATCAAAGGTCAGTTCCTGATCAACATAAGTAAATAAGCCTGTTTAAGATAAATTCTTCCACACTCCCTTGTACCTACTGCTTGCTCTCTGCCTCAGGGTTATAGAACAGCTGCCTTCAGCTATTCTCCCCTGGAGCTCTGCAGGACCTTCCAACATTTCAGAAAATTTGCGTTCTTTCCCTATCCTTTTTCCACCACTCTGACCAATCTCCCACATCTCCCCTTTTTCTGTTTTTTTGCATCAGGTTTTGTTGATTGAAGCATACAGATCTGAGCAGCGACAGGTTTGACTGGTGCAATGGTTACAGTTTGTGTTCCAGCTTTGCACCCTAGAACCAGTAAATAACATAAGACAAACATGAGTATAATCAATATTATTCTTTTCCAATCAAGGATTGATATGTAATGTTACTTGGCACCTGAGTCCAATGTGTGCCATTACTGAGGGACCCCACCGGGGGTAAGTCAATACCTCCCAGCCAATTGGTCACGTTGTCAGAGGCTGAGAAGGGGGTACCTTCCCAAGTAAAATGCCGTAAGAAAGGCAGATCTAGAAGATGGGCCCAATAGTTTATAGCAGGTGTGGGTTGCAGGCAAAAAGAGAGAATAAGAAGAATCAGTATTCTATAAGAGTTGCAATGTGGAATAAAAAGCATAGCAAAGAACAAATTATATGGATTGAATGGTATCTGTGTCTGAAGCAGATTTGTTCAGCCTCCTGAGTTGTGTTCTTCAGCATTCCCCAGGTAATGTCTGGGGCCTGTGTCATCCAAGGAAGCCACATCATCCAGGGTTGTGGGTTCTGCATCGTCATTTCCTTTATTTCTGGTAGCAGGTTGGGCCCTAGTCATGCCGTGGTAAGGTTTGATGCATCATGCTGGAATCCAAAGAGGACCTAAGGGGCTGTGAACACAAGCATATCCCCTTTCCCACGTTAGCAAATCATTTGGACCACACCGTACATTACTATTTACACCTTTCCATAAAACTGAAGGCTTTCTATTTTGAGAGGTTTTTGCAAAGTGCTTATCTATGGCTCATTGAAATGTATCATCTAAATTTAAGAAATTAAGAGTAAATAAGGCTTGTGCTAGTAGTGTTGTAAGGTCCCTACTCATATTCACCCTTTTTTGATTTTAAGCGTATTCTTAAGGGTGGAATGGGCACGTTTCACTATGACCTAAGTTAAATGATTGATAAATTCAACAAATGGCTCCTGGGGCCCTTGTCATACATTTAGAAAAGATCACTGTTGAACTCCACCTTTGAGAATTTGGTCCCAGGCCCTGTGAGTGCACTGACTCTGTGCATAGGCTGGGGGAAAAATTTAATTGTTGTTGTACATTTACATAGGGACCCCTCCCCTGGAGTATAGCAGCTGTTATGTTTTGCCTGGCCAATTGATTCTGGTTAGCTTGTTGTTCTCATAACTCATCATGTTATGCCCTCCAGAGGAGGTATTGACTGGCCTCTGAAGTTGTTTTAGCTAGCACTAACCAGTCCCATGGGGTCATGTGGAAGTTATATGCTATGGCCTCAATTAATCCTTTCATAAATGGGCTAGTGGCTCCATTTTCTCTAATGCTCTTTCTTATTTCTTTATAAGTCTTGAAAGCAATGGGTTCATGTACATGATTGCCTTGTTGATCTTCCATCATCAGGCAAGCCAAGAGCTCCCCCTCTAATGCTGCTTGCCTAAGACAGGGTCCCATAACTGTAGTGTATCCCTTGTCTTTTTCTCAATTTACTGGGGGAGGGGCTCAGGGAAAATCTATGTCTCCTCTGTGGCACCTTCACTCGGTAATGGCGGGGCTGAGAGAGGAGGAGATAGTAAGGTAGGTGATGATTCTTCCTCCCTTCCCATTTTATGCTCTTCTGTGTAGAGTGGGGCCAAAGCAGTCCTAACTTAAGGCCCATAACATTAAAGAACATTAAAGATGCTACTGGGACTCATTGTCCTTGTGCATAATGTCATTTAAGATTTCTTCCCACTTGTTCCCAGAGCTCTAGGTCTAGTGTGCCTTCTTCTAGGAATTATTGGTTACAGAAAATAACAGTTTGCATTAGGGCCCTTAATTGAGCCTTTGAAACCGAGGCTTCACTAGCTTTAAGCAGTTGTTTCAATACTTTTATATACTGTTGCTGTTGAGCTGATTACTGTTGTCTCATGATGAAACCCTAGGTTGAAAAATCCCCCAAACTTGGAAATCCCCAGCGGGCATCAATTACTTACTGTGCAGTAACTTCACTTTCGTTTTTGAGGGTTCCATCATGATGCATTTCATTGCTTCTTACATGGGGCACCACCTGCTGGGTCTGTCCCACAGATCCTGGCAGACAGTTGAAATGAGTACTCAGACACAGGTATGCAGTGTAAGAGCAGCTAGGGGATTGCCCAGCTCTAGTGGCCAGAGTGCAATCCAAAAAACTGGAGCTGCTTGCTTTTATTCCATGCAAGCACAATGCTGACAACCTGGAACCAACACAACCTGCAGGTAATTAACATATATTGTTCCCCTTTCAGAGAACGTCATGCAGATGATCAAAGGTCAGTTCCTGGTGAACACAAGTAAATATGTAAAGAAGTCTCTTTAAGATAAATTCCCTCACACTCCCTTGTATCTACCCCTTCTCCTCTGTCTCAGGATTATAAAACAGCTGCCTTCAGCTATTCTCCCCTGGTGCTCTGCAGTACCTTCTGACCTTTCAGAAGGTTTGCATCTTTCCCTATAATTTTTCCACCACTCTGACTGATCCCCCACACTTTATACAATATGCTTGTGAGTAGCAATCCACTCTAAGGCATTTGTGATGGTATGGACCCATGATAGTACATGTGGCTCTAAGCCCAGGAATGAGTCAACATCTCTCCAATTGGCTGATCCATATAGGAGGTGCCTCACCTGCCTATCACCTACATTTAGAAGTGAGTCATCATTTGTAGCTTTAGAAATGAGCCATTTCTGGCTGTATGTTTGCACATCACTGTCACAATTCCAACTGTGGACTGCATCTGCATATGAGATTTAGGACCTCACCAGTGGGCTCTGTCTATGTAGAGATTACAATTGTAATGTGTGGCAGGATGTTCTTTTAAGAAACACAATCTTGGGCTGGGCATGGTGGCTCACACCTGTAATCCCAGCACTTTGGGGGGCTGAGGCAGGTGGATCACCTAAGGGGTGGAGTTTGAGACCAGTGTGGCCAACATGGTGAGTGAAACCCCTAAAAAAATTAGCTGGGCTTGGTGGCACGTGCCTGTAGTGCCAGCTACTTGGGAGGCTGAGGCAGGAGAATCACTTGAACTCAGGAGGCAGAGGTTGCAATGAGCCAAGATTGTGCCACTGCACTCTAACCTGGGTGACAGAGTGAGACTCTATCTCCAAAAAATAAATAAATAATAAATAAAAGAAACACAATATCATCCGTGTTTTTGTCACTTGATGACACTCTTTGTGCCACCCAAGGGCTTTGTACAATATTTGAGAGAGTGGCAATTCTCTATGAACTCAGTGAAAAGAAAAGACAGGATCGTGTTCATTTTCCTAACACTAGCTAGGAGGGAGTGTAACTTTTTTTGGGGGGTGGGGGAAGGAGTCTCACTCTGTCACCCAGGCTGGAATGCAGTGGCGTGATATCGGCTCACTGCAACCTCTGCTGCCCGGGTTCAAGATATTCTCCTGCCTCAGCCTTCCAAGTAACTGGTATTACAGGCACCTGCCACCATGCCTGGCTAATTTTTGTATTTTTAGTAGAGACGAGGTTTCACCATCTTGGTCAGTCTGGTCTCGAACTTCTACCTCATGATCCACCCACCTCAGCCTCCCAAAGTGCTGGGATTACAGGTGTGAACCACTGCATCCAGCTGAGTGTAACTCTTTTATTGCCTTGTTCAAGGTGTGAGAATCATCATAGCAATTGCGAGCTGGGGCAAGATATATGTCACAATTACACTAGTGAGTAGGGAGTGAGCAGAAGGGTCACATCACCTGGGGGTGGTCTAAAGGTATGTCACGATCTCTTCTGAGGGCAAGAACCAGACAGGAGAGTCATAACACATCACCTAGGTGCTTAGCCAGGGATGCATTAAAATCAATTCCTATAAGGCAGACTTGGGTGCTCTGGCTCATGCTGGCAATCTCAGCACTTTGGGAGACCAAGGCAAGTGGATCACCTGCCAGCCAAGGCAACATGTTGGAACCCCACCTCCACTAAAAATACAAAAATTAGCCTGTTGTGGTGATGCATGCCTTTAATCCCAGCTACTTGGGAGGCTAAGGCAGGAGAACCACTTGAATCCAGGAGGCAGAGGTTGAAATGAGCCGAGATCACATCACTGCACTCCAACCTGGATGACAGTGTGAGATTCTGTCAAAAAAAGAAAGGAAGAAAGAAAGAAAGAGAGAAAAGATGGGCATAGGCCACAAGTCACATCACCTGGGTGCTGAGCCCAGTGATATGTTACAACGCTGTCTTTGAGCAACACCCTGAGAGGTGAGACACACACCTGGTGGCTGATCCCACTGACATGCTACAATCTTTTCTTCGTGCATCGTACATGTAGGTGAGGAGAGTCACATTTCATAGGTGGTGGATGCCAAAATATGTCACACGGTACCTGTGGGCAGGACCCAGGCAGGAGCCTCTCATCCCCTAATGTCAGACTCTGTGATATATAACAATATGCAAAATATGCAAGGTCCAGTCAAAAGATGAGTTACATCATCTAGGTGCTGGGCCCAATGATACGTTACATTTCCTACTGTGGACAGGTCCAGAAAGATAAGGAGACACCTATCACTTAGGCCATCCAGAGATATGTCACAATGACCACTTGGGCAGGAACCAAGAAGAATCAAATCCCCTGTGTGCTGGGCCCAGCAATAAGTCACTCTCACTTCTGTTAGCATGACCCAGGCCCAAAGATATATTATAATCTAACCATGGACAAAGTGAAGATAAGAGAGGAGAGTCACATAAAATAGTTGATGGACAGAAAACTCGCATCATCAGGGGTAGGGCCCAGCAATATGTCACAATGTCTTATGTGTGCAGGTCCAAGAAAAAAAAAAGTAATATCCCTTTGGTGCTTAGTTCAGTAATATTGTAAATATTGTACAATTTTTCCCACAGGAAAAACTAAAAAATAACAGAAAAAAATCAGCTACATGCTTTGAAAGGTCACAATTCTCCCTATGAGCAGAGACCTGGTAACACAAGAGAGTCATATCACCTGTGGGACTGGTGCCAGAGATATCTTTTTTTTTTTTTTTTGAGATGGAGTCTCACTCTGTCACCCAGGCTGGAGTGCAGTGGCACGATCTTGGCTCACTGTAACCTCTGTCTCCTGAATTCAAGTGATTCTTCTGGCTCAGCCTCCCTAGTAGCTGGGACTACAGGTGCCCATCACCATGCCCGGCTGTTTTTTGTATTTTTTTTTTTTTTTTTTTTTAGTAAAGACAGGGTTTCACCATGTTGACTAGGCTGGGCTCAAACTCCTGACCTTGTGATCCATCAGCCTCGGCCTCCCAAAGTTCTGGGATTACAGGCATGAGCCACCGTACCCAGCCACAAAAAACATTTTAAAATGCCTCCTGTAGCCAAGGCCCAGGCATAAAATTTACATCACCTGAGTGTTAAACTCAGCAATATGTCACAATGGCCCAAGTGGGCAAATTGCAGGCAGTTGAGTCACAAATTGTCAGTGCAGGGCCCAGCAATATGTCACAATGTCCCCTGACACCAAAACCTAAAAGAAGAGAAGAGTCACATAAGCTAGTTGCTGGGTGTAGCAATATGCTACAATTTCCCTGTAAGCAGGGACCAGCAGAAGAGAGTCACATTACCTGGATGCTGGGCCCTGTGATATGTCAACCATCTTTCCTGTAATAAAGACCCAGGAAGCAGAAACACATCATCTGGTTGCTGGCCACAGCAATATGCCACAACTTTCCGTGTAGGAAGGGTGCAGGTAGGAGAGTCACATCTCCTAGGTGAGGAATGCAGAGACATGTCACAATGCCCCTGTAGGAAGAGCACAGGTAGGAGACTCCCATCCCTTAGGTGTTAAGTTTAGCAATATGTCACAATACCCAAATATGCAGAGCCTGAAAAAAAGAGGAGAATCACATCACCTAGATGCTAGGCCAGTGATGTGTCACAATTTCTCTGAGCAGAGACCAGGCAGGAGAAAAGAGTAACATCACCATGGTGATGGGCACTGAGTTATGTCACAAGGTCCCCTGTAGGCAGACCCAGAAAAAAAAGTTACATCACCTAGGTGTTAAACCCAGAAAAATGTAACAATGTCTAATGTGATATATTGAGCCCCAATATGACACAACATGTAAGACACATTTGAGAGAGTCACATAACTTGGGTGCAATGTTGGTAGCAAGCCGTAAGCCTATCATAAATAGGTCTTAAAGATACTGGCCATAAACAGGATTTCTGCAGCAATGTGACATGCTTGTGATGGCTGTCATGCACACTGCTAAAAGTTGTTGGTTTACTGGAGCAGGGCAAGGGACACCTGGCCCAGCCTGGATGGAAAAACTGCTCAAACTGCAAATGATAGCAGGAGCAGCCTGTGCCTTGAGAGCATGTTTTTGCTGCAGATAATCAGCCAGAGCCTGTTTCTCTGCTCCTTTCTGAGAATCCTTTGTTTCCCATAAGGAATGCTTTTAGCTAATCTATAATCTATAATCTATAGAAGCAATGCTTATCACTGGCTTTCTATCAATAAATGTGTGGGTCAAACTCTGTTCAAGGCTCTCAGCTCAGAAGGCTGTGAGACCCCTGATTTCCCACTCCACACCCTATATTCTGTGTATGTGTCTTTAATTCCTCTAGCACTGCTGGGTTAGGGTCTCCACGATCGAGCTGGTCATGGCAAGCAGTGCCCAACGTGGAGGCTCAAACCCAGGTCAGTGTGTCACCAGAGCGACAGTTGGAGAACATAGAACTAAGTTGGAGGACACCTGAGTACTCTTTTTTTTTTTTTTTAGGGTTTTCAAAATAAAATTTTTCTTTTTTTTTTTTTTTACAGGTGAATTACATTTATTTATTTGCCATATTGTTCCTGTTTTTATCATGGTGAATTAGAAGCACAATTGTGAAATGATGGTTTAAGGCTTTTTCCCTCCTGGACTTTTCTTTTTTTTTTTTTTTTAATTGATCATTCTTGGGTGTTTCTCACAGAGGGGGATTTGGCAGGGTCATAGGACAATAGTGGAGGGAAGGTCAGCAGATAAACAAGTGAACAAAGGTCTCTGGTTTTCCTAGGCAGAGGACCCTGCTGCCTTCCGCAGTGTTTGTGTCCCTGGGTACTTGAGATTAGGGAGTGGTGATGACTCTTAACGAGCATGCTGCCTTCAAGCATCTGTTTAACAAAGCACATCCTGCACCGCCCTTAATCCATTTAACCCTGAGTGGACACAACACATGTTTCAGAGAGCACAGGGTTGGGGGCAAGGTCATAGATCAACAGCATCCCAAGGCAGAAGAATCTCTCCTAGCACAGAACAAAATGGAGTCTCCCATGTCCACTTCTTTCTACAGAGACAAAGCAACAATCTGATTTCTCTATCTTTTCCCCACATTTCCCCCTTTTCTATTCCACAAAACCGCCATCGTCATCATGGCCCGTTCTCAATGAGCTGTTGGGTACACCTCCCAGATAGGGTGGCGGCTGGGCAGAGGGGCTCCTCACTTCCCAGAAGGGGCGGCCGGGCGGAGGCGCCCCCCACCTCCCTCCCGATGGGGCGGCTGGCCGGGCGGGGGCTGCCCCCCACCTCCCTCCCGGATGGGGCAGCTGGCCGGGCGGGGGCTGCCCCCCCACCTCCCTCCCGGACGGGGCGGCTGCCGGGCGGAGACGCTTCCTACTTCCCAGATGGGGTGGCTGCCAGGCGGAGAGGCTCCTCACTTCTCAGAAGGGGCGGCTGCCGGGCAGAGGGGCTCCTCACTTCTCAGATGGGGCGGCTGCCGGGCGAAGGAGCTCCTCACTTCTCAGACGGGGCGGCCGGGCAGAGATGCTCCTCACCTCCCAGACGGGGCGGCGGGGCAGAAGCACTCCCCACATCTCATGATGGGCGGCCGGGCAGAGATGCTCCTCACTTCCTAGACGGGATGGCGGCTGGGAGGAGGCGCTCCTCACTTCCCAGACTGGGCAGCCGGGCAGAGGGGCTCCTCACATCCCAGATGATGGGTGGCCAGGCAGAGACACTCCTCACTTCCCAGACGGGGTGGCAGCCGGGCAGAGGCTGCAATCTCGGCACTTTGGGAGGCCAAGGCAGGCGGCTGGGAGGTGGAGGTTGTAGCTAGCCGAGATCACTCCACTGCACTCCAGCCTGGGCAACACTGAGCACTGAGTGAACGGGACTCCATCTGCAATCCCAGCACCTCAGGAGGCCGAGGCTGGCAGATCACTCTCGGTTAGGAGCTGGAGACCAGCCCGGCCAACACAGCGAAACCCCGTCTTCACGAAAAAAATACAAAAACCAGTCAGGCATGGCTGCGCGCACCTGCAATCGCAGGCACTCGGCAGGCTGAGGCAGGAGAATCAGGCAGGGAGGTTGCAGTGAGCAGAGATGGCAGCAGTACAGTCCAGCTTCGGCTCGGCATCAGAGGGAGACCTTGGAAAGAGAGGGAGAGGGAGACCGTGGGGAGAGGGAGAGGGAGACCATGGGGAGAGGAAGAGGGAGAGGGAGCCACCTGAGTACTCTTAATCAATCCCCATGGTGAGTAAGAAAGGGAGCTCAGAAGCATCAGGGTAACAATGGACAAGTGTGGGCTCTGGTTCGTTCCACCTTGGAACATTTTCACAATAATGATGAGGAGGAAGGAAAGTATAACAAAGTAACAGAAGAGGTAACAGAGCAGGTTTGTTTGCCAGCTAAAGCTAAAGCCTCAAAGGAGGAAGAGGTTCATCCCTAGCCTTCTGCACCCCATTATTTTGAAGAAAAAGAGTGGCCTGACCCTCCAGATCTTTCTTTTCCCGAGGACACTGGGCAAAAAGTAGTTGCCCCAGTGACTGAGCAGCACCTTGAGTGACCGCTCTCAGTTCTATTCAGGCAGGAATCCAGCAAGCTAGAGAGGGTGATATGGATGCTTGGCAGTTCTCTGTTAGAATATACCCACCTGATCAATAGGGAAATATTATGGCTATGTGTGAGCCTTTTCCTTTTAAAATACTTAAAGAATTTAAACAAGGTATTAATCAATATGGACCAGGTTCTACTTTTGTAATGGGACTGTTAAAGAGTGTTGCTGTCTCCAGTCAGATGTTGCCAGCAGGGATGGTAGGATTATTTCTAGGTAGGTCTAGTTTAAATTTAAAAGGAGTACAAGTACATACAGGAATCATTGATTCAGATTACAATGGGGAAATTCAAAATGTTATATCTACTTCTGTTCCCTGGAAAGCAGAGCCAGGAGAGTGTATAGCACAGCTTCTGATTGTGTCATATGTGGAAATGGGGGAAAATGAAACTAAACAGACAGGAGGATTTGGCAGAAAAAATAAACAAGAGAAAGCCACCTACTGGGTAAATCAAATTACTGATAAGCATCCTACCTGTGAAATAACTATTCAGGGAAAGAAATTTAGAGGTTTGGTAGATACAGGAGTGGACATTTCAATCATTTCTCTACAGCACTGACCATCCGCACGGCCAACTCAACCCTCTCAATTTAACATAGCTGGAGTTGGTAAAGCCCCTGAAGCATATCAAAGTAATTATATTTTACATTGTGAAGAACCTGATGGACAATCTGGGACTATTCAGCCAATTATAACTCTCTACCTATAAATTTATGGGGGAGAGATTTATTACAGCAATGAGGAGCAGAAGTTCTAATTCCAGAACAATTATATAGCCCTCAAAGTTAGCATATGATGCAAGAAATGGGGTATGTACCTGGCATGGGATTAAGAAAAATTTACAAGTGTTAAAGAAACTGCTTCAAGTGGGAGGACAAAATTCTCATCAGGGTTTAGGATATCATTTTTGATGGTGGCCATTGTTAAGCCTCCAGAACCTATAATTTCAAAATGGTTAACAAATAAGTCAATTTGGATAGAAAAATGGCCACTGAGTAAAGAGAAACTGGAGGCTTTAGAGAATTTAGTTACCGAACAATTAGAAAAAGGATGCATAGCTCCAACATTTTCCACCTGGAATTCTCCAGTCTTTGTTATTAAGAAAAAAATCAGGTAAATGGAGAATTAATTCAGTTACACAACCTATAGGAACATTACAGCCAGGATTGCCTTCTCCAGCTATGATTCCAAAAAATTGTCCTTTAATAGTCATAGATTTAAAAGACTGTTTCTTTACTCTCCCCTTAGCTGAGCAAGACTGTGAACGGTTTGCATTTACAATTCCTGTGGTAAACCATCTGCAGCCTGCTAAGCGTTTTCATTGGAAAGTCTTACCACAAGGCATGTTAAACAGTCCAACAATTTGTCAGACTTATGTAGGACAAGCAATTGAACCTACTTGTAAAAAATTTTCACAGTGTTACGTTATTCATTATACAGACGATATGCTTTGTGCTGCCCCACTCAGGAAATATTATTCCAATATTATCACTTACAAAACTCGGTTTCTTGAGCTGGTTTAATTATAGCTCCTGACAAAATTCAGACTACTACTCCTTACTCCTACTTAGGGACCTTAGTAAATGACACTACAGCAGTGCCACAGAAAGTAACCATACATAAGGATCAATTAAAAACATTGAATGACTTTCAAAAATTACTAGCAGACATTAATTGGATATGACCTGCTCTAGGCATTCCTACCTATGCCATGAGTAATCTATTTTCTATCCTTAGAGGAGATCCTAATCTCACTAGCCCTCGGCAATTAATAAATGAGACTGAGACAGAGTTACAGCTGACTAAAAAGCAAGTGCATAAAACTCAAATAAATAGAATAGATCCAGAAAAGACTTTAGACTTATTGATTCTTCCAACTCAGCATTCACCTACTGGTGTTATTGTTCAAGAGCAAGATCTTGTAGAATGGCTTTTTCTTCCACATACTAATTCACAGACTCTATCTCCTTATTTGGATCAAACTGCTACTCTGATAGGAAATGGGAGGACTCAAATCATTAAATTGCATGGATATGATCCTGGAAAAATTATCGTCCCTCTTACAGAGGCACAAATACAACAAGTCTTTATAAATAGTCTTAATTGGCAAACCATTTAGCTGATTTCATAGGTGTTCTTGATAGTCACTTTCCAAAGACAAAATTATTTTAATTTTTAAAATTAATGAATTAGATTCTCCCTAAAATAACTAAATTTAAACCAATTGAAGGTGCTGGAAATGTTTTTACAGATAAGTCTACTAATGGTAAAGCTTCTTATTCTGGATCAAAAAGTAAAGTTTTCTAGACACCCTATACTTCAGCTCAAAAAGTGGAGCTTGTAGCTGTAATTGAGGTGCTGACTGCTTTTGAGATGCCTGTCAATGTAATTTCTGATTCTTCATATGTGGTTCATTCCACACAATTAATTGAAAATGCTCAGTTATGATTTCATACAGATGAACAACTAATGACTGTATTTACCCAATTGCAAACAGCAGTTAGGAATAGAATGCATCCTTTTTACATTACTCATATTAGAGCTCATACACCTCTTCCAGGACCTTTGACTGCAGGGAATCAGATGGCTAATTGCCTAGTTGCTACTGCAATATCTAATGCTAGACACTTTCACAATTTAACCCATGTTAATGACTCTGGTCTCAAACACAGGTACAGTATTACTTGGAAAGAGGATAAAGCCATTATTCAACAATGTCCAACTTGCCAAATGGTGCATTCTACATCTTTTACAGGAGTTAATCTTTGAAGATTGGTACCTAATTCTCTTCGGCAAATGGATGTCACTCATGTTCCTTCTTTTGGTAAATTGGCTTATGTACATGTATGTGTAGATACATTTTCTCACTTTATTTGGGCTACATGCCAAATAAGGGAATCTTCTGCCTATGTTAAATGGCATCTCCTGCAATGCTTCACAGTCATGGGCATTCCAGCTTCAGTTAAAATGCACAATGCCCCAAGCTAGAGCAAAGCTCAAGCTACATTTTTCTCTATATGGAATATTAAACACATTACTGGTATCTCATATAATTCTCAAGGACAAGCCATAGTGAAAAGAACGAATCTCTCATTGAAACAGCTGTTGCAAAAGCAAAAAGGGGGATAAACAGGGACTATGGGACACCTCATATATACAATTGAATCTAACATTATTAACCTTAAATTTTTTGAGCCTGCCCAAAGGCCAGATGTTATCAGCAGATGAACAGCATCTACAGAAACCAGTTGCAATGACAGAAGCAGAACAACTGGTTTGGTGGAGAGATCTGATAACAAAAAGTTGGAAAATAGGTAAAATAATAACTTGGGGTAGAGGGTATGCTTATGTTTCTCCAGCAACCGATTTGGATACCATCAAAACACCTGAAACCTTACCATGAGCCAGATGCTGAGGAAGAGATTCTGGGAGGATCCCAAGGACCCCCTGGTTGCAGTCATGTCAAGACTGATGCTGAGGAGGACCCCAACTATCATGAGCAACACCCATCAAATACAGCCACCTACCTGGGGACAGATCAAGAAGCTGTCACAGATGGTGGAAGAAAACCTGAGGAAAGCAGGCACGGTGAGTAATTTAATGATAGCTATGATAGCAGTGATCACCATTGCCATGAGTATTCCTTCAGCAAGGGCTAACACAGAGAACAGTTATACTTATTGGGCATATTTATCAATCTTGGCTGGCAATAATGCCTGGATGTAATCACTCTATGATGCATTTACACGTGCTTTCTGGTCTCAGCATTTACCATAATAAATCTGCTCCTATAACTGAGGCATACCACCCTCAAAAACCTATTTGTAAACAGAATTAAACCTGACCAGAAGAAATGAACATACTTGTTTGGGAAGATTGCATTGCAGAACAGGCAGAGGTGATGCGCAACGATTCCTATGGAATCATTATTGATTAGTCCTCTAAGGGGACGTTTAGCTTGAATTGCACCTCTCAGTCTGTGTGCCATGGCCACACTATGTTCAGCTGGTCTGAACAAAATGGTCAGATGGTAGAAATGGTAAGAAGTGCGGCAAGAGTTCCTATTATCTGGAAACATGGCAGTATAGTGGCACCTCAACCTCAAATGATATGGCTCACTCTGGGAGCTAAACATAAGGATTTGTGGAAACTATTAACAGCTCTTAATAAGATCAAGATTTGGGAAGGAAAATATACTATGCCATCAGAATATAATCCTAATTACATTTTAGAACTTTTTGAAAACAATACAATGTGAATACAAAGTTGTGTTCACCCTCCTTTTCTGTTGGTAATGGGTGATCTAAAGTTTGACATCTCTAATTATCATGTAACTTACCAGGAATGTAGATTGTTCTCTTGTGTGAACTCTTCCTTGTTTAGTACTATTCATTCTATCCTAGTAGTGAGAGCTCAAGAAGGAGTATGGTTACCAGTGAAGCTTTCCCATCCTTAGGAAGCCTCTCTCTCTCTCCATATTACTGAAATTCTTCAGAAAATTCTGAGATGCTCTCAGTGTTTCATTGTTACTTTAATCTTGATTATTATAAGACTGATCACTGTCACAGCTACTGCTGCAGCAGCTGGAGTTGCACTACATTCATCAGTGCAAACAGCAGATTTTGTAAATAAATGGCAAAAGAATTCTACTCTGCTGTGGAACTCTCAAACTAAAATAGACCAAAAGATAGTTAATCAAATCAATGATCTCTGACATACTGTAATGTGGCTAAGAGATCAAATAGCTAGTTTAGAATATAGAATGCAGCTAAAATGCGACTGGAATAATTCTGACTTTTGTATCACTCCTCACCCTTGTAATGAATCAGAGCATGAGTGGGAAAGAATTAAGAAACATTTAAAAGGTCATACTGGAAATTTATCTTTGAATATTGCAAAACTGAAGGAACAAGTATTTCAAGCTTCTCAGGCACATCTGATGCTAATACCAGGAACTAAAGTGCTTGAAGGAGCTGTGGACAGGTTAGCAGCTATTAGCCCATTAAAATGGAATGGGTGGGAATTGAACAATGGGAACACATGGACACAGGAAGGGGAATATCACACACTGGCGCCAGTTGTGGGGTGGGGGGAGGGGGGAGAGATAGCATTAGGAGACATACCTAATGTTAAATGATGAGTTAATGGGTGCAGCACACCAACATGCCACATGTATACATATGTAACTAACCTGCATGTTGTGCACATGTACACTAAAACTTAAAGTATAATAATAATAAAAAAGAAACTTGGAAGTTCTGTGATTTCAATGATGATTGTGCTTTTAATCTGTGTTGTCTTTGTATAGTCTGTAGATGTGGATCCCGAATCCTGCAAGAAGTAGCCCTCCATGACAAAGCTGCCTATGCCTTTATTGCTTTGCAGAAACATAAAGGGGGACTTGTTGGTTGCAAGCCCTAAGCCTATCATAAACAGGCCTTAAAGAAACTGGCCATAAACAGGATTTCTGCAGCAATGTGACATGCTCATGATGGCTGTCATGCACACTGCTAAAAGTTGTTGGTTTACTGGAGCAGGGCAAGGAACACCTGGCCCTGCCCAGAGCAAAAAACCACCCAAACCACAAATGATAGCAGAGTGGCCTGTGCTTTGACAGCATGTTTTTGCTGCAGATAATCAGCCAGAGCCTGTTTCTCTGCTGCTTGCTGAGAATGCTTTGTTTCCCATAAGGAATGCTTTTAGCTAATCTTGCTTATCACTGGCTTTCTGTCAATAAATGTGCGGTTCAAACTCTGTTTGAGACTCAGCTCTGAAACCTGGGAGACCCCTGATTTCCCATTCCACACCCTCTATTTCTGTGTGTGTGTCTTTAATTCCTCTAGTGCTGGGTTAGGGTCTCCATGACCGAGCTGGTCTCAACAGGTGCAGGATTCAGCAACAATTGACAATACCCAAAATTTGTGGGGTCCCCCCAAAAAGAGGAGAGTCAAATCACTGAGGTGCTGGATACAGTGATATATCACAATCTTACCTTTGGACTGGGCCCAGACAGCAACATCAAACCACTCAGGTGCTGAACATAGGCATATGTAACAATCATACCCGCAGGAAATTCCAGTAATGAATTAACAATCCTGCACAGGTCCCAGTTCTAGGTATGAGAGTCACCACATTTTCTATGTTGGGTCTAAGTATGGTAGTGAAAATCTCACCAATGAATTGGATTGGTGCATGAGAGCTTTCATTCCTCCTGTAAACTGTGTTCACTCTGGCCCTAAGCCCAGATAAAATTTTCACAGATTCAGATAGAATTCCCACATGCCAATGAACTGGGTTTAGAAATAAGTCATCATTCCAACTTTGGCTGGATGTTCACATATGACAGTTACAATTTTAACTGTGGACTGTGTCTGTGTGAAATTCAGGGTCTCACCAGTGGTCTCCATCCATGTGTGAGGGTGACAATCCTAACAATTGGTGGGGTGTACACATGAGAGCCACAATTTCACCTGTGTGCTGAACCCTGGAATGACACTCTCTGTACTACAAGAAATTTATATAGTATGCAAGAAAGTGACAATTCTCTATGACTTTATACAAAAAAAAGAAGACCCAGGATCATAACTACAACACTAGGCCTAGCTATAAAAGACAGCATCTCTCCTACTAGATGGTTTGAGGTACGAGAATCACCATTGCATCTGTGAGCTAGGCCAAAATATATTTTACAATCCCATCTGTGAATAGACAGAGAGAAGGAGAGTCACATCACCTAGGTTTTTGGCCAGGAATACATCACAATCTTTACTGAGGGCAGGGACCAAACAGGAGTATCACATCACTTTAATACTCAGCCAGGAATATGTTGCAACCTTCTCCTAAAAGTAGGACACAGGCAGCAGAGTCACATCACCTGGGTGCTGAGTTCAGCAACAGGTAACAATGCTTTATATGGTCAAGACCCATGCAGGAGAGACACATCACCTGGCACCTGGGCCTAGTGATAATTCACAATTTTTCCTGTGTGCAGAGTGCAGGCAAAAATGGAGAGTCACATCTCATAGGTGACTGATGCATAGATATGTCAGAAGCCCCACTGTAGAAAGGGTCCAGGCAGAAGCCTCTTATTTTATAGGTGTTGGATCTAGTAATATGTCCTAACATGGAAAATATTCAGGGCTTAGGCAAAAAAAAAGGGCGGGGTCACATAACCCGAGTGCAGAACTTAGCAAAATGTAACAATGCACCATGTGGGCAGTGCCAAGGGAAGAAAAAAGACTCACATCACCTGGGTGGACGGCCCAGGCATATGTCACAATGACACTTGTGGGCAACACCAAGGCTGGAAAAGAGGGTCACATCTTTGAGGTGAAGAGTCAAGATATATGTCACAAGCTCATCTGTGGGCTGGGCCAAGGCAGGAGAGTCAAATCACTAAAATGCATAGCAGACACAATCATACCTGAAAGTCCAGGAATAAGATTAGAAATTCCATACATGTCCATGTTCTAGATATGAGAGTCAACACCTCCTGTAATGTTGGGTCTAAATACATGAGTAACAATCTCAATAGCTGACAAAATTTTTGCAAGAGAGCCACAATTTCTTCTGCAGACTGTGTTCTCTCAGTGTAGGCACAGCCTCATATGTGTGCTGAAGTTTGGTCAGAGTCACCAGCCCACCTGTGGACCAGATCCACATATGAGAGTCAATTCTCCAACTTTCAACAGACTCCATGTGTGAGCTCCAGAACCTCAACAGTGAGATATGCTTATGTGGGAGAATGACAATCTTTATTGTTGCCTGAGTGTGCATTCAAGAGACACTATCTCACCTGTGTGCTGTGCACTCCTATGACACTCTGTGTCACCTGAGGGCTTTATACAATATGCAAGAGTGGTGATCCTCTGTGATCTTCAAACAAGAAGGAAATCCAGATTCTTTTCATTGGTTCTAAGCCCAGAGTCAACATCCCTCTAATTGGCTAAGTCCAGATAAGAGTCCTCACCTTCCTATGAGCTGGGTTTAGAAATGAGTCACCATCAGCTGGGCATGATGGGTCATGCCTGTAATCCCAGCAATTTAGGAGGCTGAGGCAGTTGGATCACCTGAGGTCACAAGTTTGAGAACAGCCTGACCAACATGGTGAAAGCTCATCTCTACTAAAAATATAAACAATGATCTGGACGTGGTGGCAGGTGCCTGTAATCCCAGCTACTTGGGAGGCTGAGGAAGGAGAGTCGCTTGAAGCCAGGAGGCAGAGGTTGTAGTGAGCTGAGATCACACCATTGCACTCCAGCCTGGGCAACAAGAGGGAAACTCCATCTCAAAAAAAAAAAAAGTCACCATCTCAACTGTGGCCAGATGTTCACATATGACAGTCAGAGTTCCAACTGTGAAATGGATTCATGTGAGATTCAGGACCTCACCAGTGAGCTCTGTCCATGTGTGAGGGTGACAATTCTAAAGGTGGGTGGGGTGTGCATAGGAGAAACACAATCTCATCTGCATACCGGACCCTGTTATGACATTCTCTATAACACACTAGGGCTTTACAGATGTGAGAGAGTGGTAATTCTCTATGACTTTTATACAGAAAGAAGACCCAGGATCATCTTTGTTTTCCTAAGCATAGCTATGAGCAACATGATCTCTCCTACTGGCTTCTTCGAGGTATGAAAGTCCTCAGTACATCTGTGTGCTTGGCCAAGTTATATGTCACAATTCCACCTGTGGGTAAAGAACAAGCACTAGAGTCACATCAACTGTGTGCTGGGCCAGGGTTATGTCACAATCTTCCCTGAGAGCATGCACCAGACAGGAGAGTCATATCACAGGGTTCTCAACCAGAGATGTTACAATCCTCTCCTGAAAGTAGGGCACAGGAAGAAGAGTAAGATCACCTGGATGGTGGGCCAGGAGATATGTTACAAGGATCGCTGTGGGCAAGGCCCAGAAAGGACAGACAAAACACCTGGTTGCTGGGCCTGTCAATATGTCACAGTCATCTCTATGGCAGAATGCAGGCAGAAGTAAAGGATTTCATCTCCCAGGTGATGGTTAAAAAAATACATCCCAAAGCACTCTGTGGGAAGGCCTCAGGCAGAAGCCTTCCAACTCCTAGGTGTTTGTTTCAGTGATATGTCACAATAACCAAAATATGCAGGTCTCAGGCAAGTGAGGAGGGTCACACCACCTAGGTGCTAGGTCAAGTGATCTGTTACAATCTTTTTTTTTTTTTTTTGGCAATGCTCAAGCAGAATAGAAAAGTCACATCACCAAGATAATGAACAAAAACATGTGTTAGAATATTTCTGTGTGAGAGCCCATGCAGGAAAGTCACATCACCATGTTGTTGGATCCAGAGATAACGTTGTAATACATGATGCATGTGGGTCTCAGGCAGGAGAGGAGAGTAACATCACTTAGGTGCAGGGTGCACCTAAATTCACATCACAATTTCCCCTTAAGCACACCCCAAGCAGTAGCAGAGAGTCACATCACCTAGGTTCTTGGTCCAGCAGTATTTCACAATACCCCTGAGGGGATGGCCTAGGCAAACAAGTCACATTACCTAGGTGAGAAGCCTAGAGATATGTCACAATGTCCCTTGTGGGTAGGTCTCAAAAACAAGAGAAGAGACATAGCCTAGGTGCTGGGCTCAGCTTTATGTTCCAATCACCCCAGTTGGAAGAAGCCAAGAATGAAGAGGAGTCACATCACATAGGAATTATGTCAAGTGGCATATCACAATTCCCACTGTGGACAAACCCCAGAAGAAAGGAGTCACATTATCTAGGTGGGAGGCCCAAACATATGTCACAGTGACTCCTGTGTGCAGGGACCAGGCAGAATAATACACCACTGTTTTACTTGTCCCAGCAATAAGTCCCTCTCTATTCTGTGGACATGGCCAAGGCAGGAGAGGAATGTCACCTCACATAGGTAAAAAGGGCATCTACCTGAGCTTGGTCTATAGGAGAGATTGTAATGGGTCAAGAAATATGTCACAATGCTCTCTGTGGTAAGGGTTCAGGCAGAGGACTCACATCATCTTAGTACTGGGCCCAGTAGTATGTCCCAATGCCTTCTAAGGGAACAGCCAAAGCAAAAAAAGTAATATCACCTTACTGTTAGGCACAGTCGTATCTCATAATCTCTTTTGTGAGCAGAAACTTAAAAAAAGAAAAGTGTCAGCCGGGCGCAATGGGTCATGCCTGTAATCCCAGCACTTTGAGAGGCTGAGGCAGGTAGATCACCTGAGGTTGGGAGTTCGAGACAAGCCTGACCAACATGGAGAAACCATGTCTACTAGAAATACAAAATTATTTGGGCATGGTGGCACATGCCTTTAATCCTAGCTACTCGGGAGGCTGAAGTAGGAGAATCACTTGAACCTGGGAGGCAGAGGTTGTAGTGAGCTGAGATCACTCCATTGCACTCCAGCCTGAGCAAGAAGAGTGAAACTCCGTCAAAAAGAAGAAGAAAAAAGGAAAGAAAAGTGTCATATCAGCTAGGTGCTGGGCCCAACAATATGTCCCAATACCCCCAGTCATTGGGGAACAGGCAGGAAAAATAAGTCACATTTCCAGGGTGATTGGAAAGATGTATCTTACAATGCCCTCTGTAGAAAGGTCCAGGATGAAGCATTACCTCACCTGGCTGATGGACTTAGCAATATGTCACAATGGCCTATGTAGGTAGGGCACAAGCATGAGAGTCACATAATCAAAGTGTGAGACCCAGCAATATGTCACAATAAACATGTGGGCAGCACCAAGGCCAAAGAGGAGACTCACATCACCTGGGTGCAAGGTTCAGCAATATGTCACAATGACCCCTGTGGGCTTTACAAGGCAGAATAGAGTCTGGTTCCAGGGATATATCACTGCGAGCTGGGCCCAGGGAAGAGAGTCAAACCATTCAGATGCTGGGCTGAGGTGTATGTCACAATCACACCTGTAGGAAGGTCCTGTGATGACATTAACAATAACACACATGTCCCGAGTGAAGGGATGAGAGTCAACACCTCCTCCATTTTGGGTCTAAATACAGGAGTCAGTCTCAATGGTGGACTGGGTTTGTGCATGAGCCTCAATTTCTCTTGCAAACTCTGTGCCTTAAAGTTACAGCCACAAAGGTGCACTGAATCTTGGTTAAAGAGTCACCAACCCAACTATGGAAAGAATCCGAGAGTCCATTTTCCAACATTCAACTGCCTCCAAAAGTAACATTCAGAACCTCAAAAGTGGGTTGTGTTCATTTAAGTAGATGACAATCTTTGCTATTAACTGGGTGTGAATATGACTGTCGCAATCTCACCTGTGTGCTCAGCCTTGCCAGTACACTCTTTTTACCACCTGGGTGCTTTATATGGTATGCAGGAGAGTTGCAATCTGCTCTGAGACCTTTGTACTTCTGTGGATTCTTAATCTTATGTGGTCCTAAGTCTAACTATGAGAGTCAACATCTCTCATATTGCCAGGGTCCAGACAGGAGAGTCCTCACTTGCCAATGAGCTGGGTTTAGAAATGAGCCAGCATCTCACCTGGGCATGGTGGCTTACACCTGTAATCCCAACAGTTTGGGAGGCTGAGGCAGGCGGATCACCTGAGGTCGTGAGTTCAAGACCAACCTGACCAACATGGAGAAATACTAAAAATACAAAAAAAAAAATTATCCAGGTGTGGTGGCACTGCCCGTAATCCCACCTACTTGGGAGGCTGAGACAGGAGAATTGCTTGAATGCGGGAGGCGGAGGTTGCAGTGAGCAGAGATCACACCATTGCACTCCAGCCTGGACAACAAGAGGGAAACTCCATGTTAAAAAAAAAAAAAAAAAAAAAGGGTCAGCATCTCAACTGGCCAGATGTTCAGATATGATAGTTACAATTTCAACTGTGGACTGGATCTGCATGTGAGAATCATGACCTCATCAGTGGGCTCTGTCTATGTATGAGGGTGACAATTCTAAAAATAGGCAGAATGTGCTTACAAGAAACATAATATTTAGGCCAGGCATGGTGGCTCATGCCTGTAATCCCAACACTTTGTGAGGCCAAGGTGGACAGATCATGAAGTCAGGAGATCAAGACCAACCTGGCTAACATGGTGAAACCACATCTCTACTGAAAATATAAAATATTAGCCATGCATGGTGGCACGTGCTTGTAGTTCCAGCTACTCAGGAGGCTGAGCCAGGAGAATTGCTTGAACCCGTGAGGTGGAGGTTGCAGTGAGCTGAGATTTCACCACTGCACTCCAGCTTGGGTGACACAGCGAGACTCTGTCTCAAAAAAAGAAAAAAACATGATCCAACCTGCTTTGCAGCCCTAACCAGGACTGAGGCAGGAGCCTCCCATTTTAGGAGTCTGGCTCAGTAAAATGTCACAGTACCAAATATGCAGTTCTCAGGCGGAACAGAAGAGTCACATGACCTAAGTTCTTGTTCCAGTGATATGTCCCAATCTTGCCTTTTGGCAGGGACCAGGGAGAAGAGAGCAGTCACATCACATAGGTGATGAATGAACATATATGTCCTAATACCCCCATGTACAGAGAAAATGCAGGACAGTTGCATCAGCTATTTGCTGAACCCAGTGATATGTCAAAATATGCAATTTATGCAGGGCCCAGGCAGGAGAAGAGAGTATCATCACCTAGGTGTCAGGCACAGTGACACATTACAATATCTTCTTGAGAGTCTAAGCAGTGGAGAAGAGCGACATCACCTAGGTGCCGAGTCAAAAAATATGTCAGTCAGGCATAGTGGCTCATGCCTGTAATCCCAGCACTTTGGGAGGTGGAGGCAGGTAGATAACCTGAGGTCAGGAGTTAGAGATCAGCCTGGCCAACATGGTAAAACCCTATCTCTAACTAAAACTATGTGGGGGTTCAGTCAGGATGGTGGGAGAAATTGTAAAATTATAGGAAATAAAGACAAACCCTTGTGGAAGGCCTGGGGATTTGCATAAACTGTTTGGCTGAAGGCAGCTGAATTCTCCTAAAAGTTCAGGGCATAGATACATAGGAATGTAGACTAGTTTACCTAAATAACTTATTCACAAATGTGGTTCTAAAACTAACCTTTGATAGCTCGTGGGCAGGATGGCTCTTTTAGAGGGGAAGGCGACCAGGTTGATTACCCTCTATTAGTGTTGACTCAAAGCGTTTGTCATTTAATGTGTGCTGAATAAATGCCAGCAGGGCCAGTGAGTCAGGGCCATGGCTGCAACTCTTTACAGCCCTCTCCTTGGAGTCTGTAAGTGGCCCGGACCCTCAGCCGATCTGAGAAGCACAATATCTGTGTCAGTGTACATTATTCATCTGTCATTGTGTCAGGGTCTGCAGGACAAACCCCTGCAGCTGGTGCCCCATGTGAGGAATGCTGTGCAGGGAGCACGACGGACCCCCAAACAATGGTAAAAAAGGAACTGCACAGTCAGTGAGTAATCGGTAAGTCATTGGTGCCCACATGAGATTTCCAAGTTTGGCGGGGATTGTTCAGGCTGAGGTTTCATCATGGGACAACAGTTACCAGCTCAGCGGAAATAGTATATAAAAGCATTGAAATAGCTGCTTAAAGCTAGTGGAGCCTCAGTTTTGAAGGCTCAATTAAGGGACCTAATGCAAACTGTTGCAACCCATAACCCACGGTTCCCAAAAGAAGGCATGCTGGACATAGAGCTCTGGGAACAAGTGGGGAGAAATCTTAAGCAACACCATGTGCAAGGGTAACGCATCCCAGTATCATCTTTAATATTATGGGCTCTAGTGAGGGTGGCCTTGGTCCCATTATACACAGAAGAGCCTAAAAAGGGGAAAAAGGAGGAATCATCACCTGCCTTACCACCTCCTTCTCCCTCAGCCCCAAAATAACAAAGAAGAAACAGAGGTTTTACCTAAGCCTCCTCCTCAAATAAATAGGAAAAAAGATGAGGGATACACTACAGCAATGCAACCCTGTCTTAAGCAAGTAGCATTAGAACGGGAGCTATTAGCCTGCCCAGTAATGTAAAATCAATGAGGAAACCAGTTACATAAAGAGTTGAGAGACCAGGCACGGTGGCTCACCCCTGTAATCCCAGCATTTTGGGAGGCTAAGGCAGGCAGAACATGAGGTCAAGGGATCGAGACCATCCTGGCCGACATGATGAAACCCTGTCTCTACTAAAAATACAAAAATTAGCTGGGAGTGGTGGCACACGCCTGTAATCCCAGCCACTCAGGAGGCTGAGGCAGGAGAATCACTTGAAAACCCGGGAGGCAGAAGTTGCTGTGAACCAAGTTTGCACCATTGCACTTCGACCTGGCCCAGCCTGGTGACAGAGCAAGACTCTGTCTCAAAAAAAAAAAAAAAAAAAGAGTTGAGAAAAGGCATTAGAGGCCACAGCTGTGCAGCCAAGCAGGCAGCGGGCAGAAGAAAAGGTTTGGCAGCAGGGAAGCTCACAGACATGGTGCCAGCAAATGCTCCCAAAAACAGCCTGTGTGGTGTCGAGGATGGGGAGCCAGGCCCAGCATGCCAGACCTAGCCTGCTAAGGAGGGGTGGAAGGCGTGCACGGGAAGGTCTGCCAAGCCAGCAGCAGCCTGGTGGTGGGGGAAGGGAGCAGCACAAGCGAAAAGTGGCACAGGCAAAAAGTGGCGCCTAGGCAAGTGCAACATGACAGCCACCCCAGGACCCGCGCTGCTGCCCTCCAACTCCACGGGCAGCCCACAGCAAAATTTCATGTGTTCCTTGTATACAAGCTATCAGGCCTCTGAGCCCAAGCCTGCAAGTACACATCCAGATGGCCTGAAGCAACTAAAGAACCACAAAAGAAGTGAAAATAATTCCTGCCTTAACTGATGACATTCCACCATTGTGATTTATTCCTGCCCCACCCTAACTGGTCAATTGACCTTGTGAAATTCCTTCTCCTGGACAATGAGTCTCACAACCTCCCCACTAAGCACCTTGTAACCCCCATCTCTGCCTGCAAGAGAAAAACTCCCCTTGACTGTAATTTTCCACTACTTGCCCTAATCCTATAAAACTGCCCCACTCCTATCTCCCTTTGCTGACTCCTTTTTCGGACTCAGTCTGCCTGCACCCATGTGATTAAAAAGCTTTATTGCTCACACAAAGCCTGTTTGGTTATCTCTTCACACAGACATGCGTGACATTTGGTGCTGAAGACCCGGGATGGGGGACTCCTTCGGGAGACTGGTCCCCTGTCCTCACCCTCACTCCATGAGGAGATCCACCTACAACCTCGGGTCCTCAGTCCAACCAGCCTAAGGAACATCTCACCAATTTCAAATCAGGTAAGCGGTCTTTTCACTTTCTTCTCCAGCCTCTCTTACTACCCTTCAATCTCCTTGTCCTTCCAATTCCAGTTCTTTTTCATCTCTAGTAGAGACAAAGGAGACACATTTTATCCATGAACCCAAAACTCTGGCACCAGTCATGGACTCAGGAAGACAGTCTTCCCTTAGTGTCTGATCATCATGGGGATGCCTGCCCTGATTATTCACCCACATTCCATTGGTGTCTGATCATCGTAGGGATGCCTGTCCTGATCACCCACATTCCATTGGTGTCTGATCACCGCAGGGATGCCTGCCTTGGTCATTCACCCACATTCCCTTGCTGGCAAGACAATTGTGGGGATGCCTGCTTTGGCTGCTCACCCATGTTACAGCCCAGGGCTGCTCACCCCACACCCTTCTCCACATCTCTACCCTTCTCTTCAAACTTCACTATGGGTTACCTTCCACCCTCCATTCCCCCTTCTTCTCCCTTAGCCTGTGTTCTCAAGAACTTAAAACCTTTTCAACTCACACCTGACCTAAAACCTAAATGCCTTATTTTCTTCTGCAACACTGCCTGGCCCCAATACAAACTTGACAATGGTTCCAAATGGCCAGAAAATGGCACTTTTGATTTCTCCATCTTACAAGACCTGGATGACTTTTGTCAAAAATGGGCAAATGGTCTGAGGTTCTAGACATCCAGGCATTCTTTTACACATCGGTCCCTCCCTAGTCTCTGCTCCCAATGTGACTCATCCCAAATCTTTCTTCTTTCTCTCCTGTCTGTTCCTTCAGTCTCCACCCCAAGTTCTGAGTCCTTTAAATCTTCCTTTTCTAAGGACCCATCTGACCTCTCTTCTCCTCCCCAGGCTGCTGCTCACCAGGATGAGCCAGGTCCCAGTTCTTCCTCAGCCTCTGTTCCCCGACCCTATAATCCTTCTATGACCTCCCCTTCTCACACTTGGTCCAGCTTACAACTTTGTTCCACAACTAGCTCTCCCCCACCTGCCCAAAAATTTCCTCTTAAAGAGGTGGCTGGAGCTAAAGGCATAGTCAAGGTTAATGCTCCTTTTTCTTTATCCGACCTCTCCCAAATCAGTTAGCATTTAGGCTCTTTTACATCAAATATAAAAACCCAGCCCAGTTCATGGCCCGTTTGGCAACAACTCTTAGATGCTTTACTGCCCTAGACCCAGAGAGGCCAGAAGGCCGTCTTATTCTCAATATGCATTTTATTACCCAATCCACTCCTGACATTAAAAAAAGCCCCAAAAATTAGATTCCAGCTGTAAAACCCCACAACAGGACTTAATTAACCTCACCTTCAAGGTGTACAGTAATAGAGAAGAGGCAGCCAAGCGGCAATGTATTTCTGAGTTGCAATTACTTGCCTCTGCTGTGAGAGAAACCCCAGCTACATCTCCAGCACACAAGAACTTCAAAACTCCTAAACTGCAGGGGCCAGGTGTTCCTCCAGGACCTCCTCCCCAGGATCTTGCTTCAATTGCCAGAAATCCGGCCACTGGGCCAGGGAATGCCCGCAGTCCAGGATTCCTCCTAAGCCGTGTCCCATCTGTGCAGGACCCCACTGGAAGTTGGACTGTCCAACTCACCTGGCAGCCACTCCTAGAGCCCCTAGAATTCTAGCCCAAAGCTCTCTGACTGACTCCTTCCCAGATCTTGGCTTAGTGGCTGAAGACTGATGCTGCCCAATTACCTCGGAAGCCTCCTGGACCATCACAGATACTTTGAGTAATCTCTTATAGTGGAAGGTAAGTCCATCCCCTTCTTAATCAATATGGAGGCTACCCACTCCACATTCAAGAGTCTGTTTCCTTTGCCTCCGTAACTGTTGTGGGTATTGATGGCCAGGCTTCTAAACCTCTTTAAACTCCCCAAATCTTGTACCAACTTGGACATTCTTTTATACACTCTTTTTTAGTTATCCCCACCTGCCCAGCTCCCTTATTAGGTTGAGACATTTTAACTAAATTTTCTGCTTCCATGACTATTCCTGGGCTACAGCCACACCTCATTGCCCCCCTTTTCCCCAGTTCAAAGCCTTCTTTGCATTCTCCCCTTGTGTCTCCCTACCTTAATCCACAAGTATGGGATACCTGTACTCCCTCCTTTGTGATCGATCATGCACCCCTTACCATCCCATTAAAACCTAATTACCCTTACCCCACTCAATGCCAGTATCCCATCCCACAATAGGCTTTAAGGGGACTAAAGCCTGTTATCACTCGCCTGTTAGAGCATGGCCTTTTAAAGCCTACAAACTCTCCTTACAACTCTCCTATCCTACCTTTCCAAAAACCAGACAAGTCTTACAGTCTCGTCCAGGATCCGCATCTTATCAACCAAATTTTCTTGCCTATCCACCCCATGGTGCCAAACCCATATACTCTCCTATCCTCATTTCCTCCCTCCACAACCCATTATTCTGTTCTGTATCTCAAAGATGCTTTCTTTACTATTCCTTCACACCCTTCATCCCAGCCTCTTTTTGCTTTCTCTTGGACTGACCCTTACACTCATCAGTCTCAGCAACTCACCTGGACTGTTCGCCCCAAGGGTTCAAGGAGAGCCCACACTACTTTGGCCAGGCCCTTTCTCATTATCTGCTTTCTGTTTGCTCATCTGCCTTCCACCTTATTCAATATTTTCATGATCTTCTTTGTAGCCCCTCTTACCAATCTTCCCAGCAGGACACTATCCTGCTTCTTCAACATCTCTACTCAAAGGGATACAGAGTATCCCCCTCCAAGACACAAATTTCTTCCCCTAGCATTACCTATCTCAGTATAATCTTCCATTGACATACACGTGCCTTCCCGTAGACCAGGTTCAGTTAATCTCCCAGACCCCAATCCCCACCACCACACAACTCCTTTCCTTCTTAAGCATTGTTGGTTATTTCTGACTCTAGATACCAGGTTTTGCTATCCTAACCAAACCACTTTACAAACTCACAAAGGGTAACTTAACTGATCCCACAGACCATAAGTCTTTTCCCCATTCTTCTTTTCACTCTCTCAAAAAGGCCCTGGAGGCAGCTCCTACACTAGCACTCCCCGACTTATCCCATCCTTTTTCCTTACACACAGCTGAAATACAAGGCTGTGCTGCTGGAGTCCTCACACAGGAGCCAGGCCCATGACCTGTTGCCTTTCTATCAAAACAACTTGACCTCACAATTCTGGGGTAGCCCTCATGTCTATGTGCAGAAGCTGCCACTGCTTTAATACTTTTAGGCACCCTCAAAATCACAAGCTATGCTCCACTTACTCTCTACAGTTCCCATAGCTTTCAAAATCTATTTCCCCCTTTCCTGTTCCCCACCCAGACCACACTTGGTTTACTGATGGTAGTTCTTCCAGGTCCAATTGCCAATCACCGGCAAAGGCAGGTTATGCTATAGTGTCTTCCACATCTATCATTGAGGCTACAGCCCTGCCCCCTTCCACTACCTCTCAACAAGCAGAACTCATTGCCTTAACTTAAGCCCTCATTCTTGCAAAGGGACTAGCTGTCAATATCTATACTGATTCCAAGTATGCCTTCCACATCCTTTACCACCATGCTGTTATATGGGCAGAAAGAAGTTTCCTCACTACACAGGGGTCCTCCATCATTAACACCTCCTTAATAAAAACTCTTCTTAAAGCTGCTCTACTTCCAAGGAAGCTAGGGTAGTTCACTGCAAGGGCCATCAAAAGGCATCAGATCCCATTGCTCAGGGCAACGCTTATGCTGATAAGGTAGCTAAAGAAGCAGTTAGCATTCCAACTTTGGTCCCTCATGGTCAGTTTTTCTCGTTCTCATCTTTTCACTTTACATTTCCAGTTATGCCTTACAAAGGTCCCTTCTTCCTCTGTGGCTCCTCCACCTACATGTGTCTACCTATTAATTGGACAGGCACATGTACACTAGTTTCCTTTACTCCCAAAAATCATTTCACAAATAGGACTGAACAGCTTCCTGTTCCCCTCATGACACCAACACTTCACCACTATTTTGTTTTATTTTTCTTATTAGTATAAGAAGACAGAAATAGGCCTTGAATTACTGCTGAAAAAGGAGGACTCTAAATTTTTAAATGAAGGGTGTTGTTTTGACCTAAATCAATCTGGCCTGGTATAGGACAGCATAAAAAAATCACAAGGATTGAGCCCCAAAACTCACCAACCAAGCAAATAATTACACTGAACCCCTTGGGCACTCTCTATTTGGATATCCTGGGTCCTCCCCAATTCTTAGTCCTTTAATACCTGTTTTTCTCCTTCTCTTATTTGGACCTTGTGTCTTCTGTTTAGTTTCTCAACTCATACAAAACTACATCAAGGCCATCACCAATCATTCTATATGACAAATGCTCCTTCTAACAACCCCACAATATAACCCCTTGCCCCAAAATCTTTCTTCAGTTTGACCTCTCCCACTCTAGGTTCCCACGCCACCCCTAATACCACTTGAAGCAGCCCTGAGAAACATCACCCATTATCTCTCCATACCATCCCCCAAAATTTTCACCACCCCAACACTTCACCACTATTTTGTTTGTTTTCCTTATTAATATAAGAAGACAGGAATGTCAGGATTCTGAGCCCAACCCTGCACATACGTATACATCCAGATGGCCTGAAGCAACTAAAAAACCACAAAAGAAGTAAAAATAGCCAATTCCTGCCTTAACTGATGACATCCCACCATTGTAATTTGTTCCTGCCCCACCCTAACTGGTCAATTGACCTTGTGAAATTCCTTCTCCTGGACAATGAGTCTCAGAACCTCCCCACAGAGCACCTTGTAACCCCTGCCCTGCCTGCAAGAGAAAAACCCCCTTTGACTGTAATTTTCCACTACCTACCCAAAGCCTATAAAATTGCCCCACCCCTATCTCCCTTTGCTGACTCCTTTTTCAGACTCAGTCTGCCTGCCTCCAGGTGATTAAAAAGCTTTATTGCTCACACAAAGCCTGTTTGGTCATCTCTTCACACGGACATGCATGACACAACTGATATCCCAGATTATAATTCTGTGCTAAGATTTAAGTAAAATTTAAGAATTTAAAAGACCTCTTTCTAATAATGGCCACTGTTTTTATCTCTCTCTTACCCCTAATGTGACTCTCTCCATTTCCAATTTAAGTAAAGCAGTAGCCTCTGAAGGTAGAGAAATTACAAATGGCTCATGAATTACTTGAAAAGCAAGTAAAAGCTGGGCATGTAGAACCATCTAATAGTCCTTAGAATTCACCCATTTTTGTCATCCCCAAAAAGTCAGGTAAATGGAGGCTTTTACATGACCTACATGCTATTAATGCCAACTTGCAACCTATGGGACCCCTTCAGCAGGGGTTCCCTTCCCCATGGCAGTTCCTCAAGATTGGCCTATAATCATTATTGACTTAAAAGACTGTTTTTATATGATTCCCCTAGCAGAACAGGACAAAGAAAAATTTGTGTTTACAATACCAGCTATCAATAATGAAAGGCCAGCTTGTCAATTTTATTGGAAAGTGCCTCCTCAAGGAATGCTAAACAGTCCTACCATGTGCCAGTATCCTGTAAATAAAGCTTTGCTCCCCAGTATAAAAGAATTTCCTGATTGCAAGATTATTCATTTGATGGATGATATATTACTAACAGTCCCAATGGAGCTGCTACTTTTAAATTTATTTACCTCTATCATAAAGAATACAGTTAAGAGGTTTACTCATAGCACCTGAAAAAGTACAAATGTCCTCTCCTTGGAAACATCTTGGGTACATACTAACTTCCAAGTCAGTAAGACCTCAAAAAGTTAAACTAAATACTAGCAACTTACATACAGTAAATGATTATCAGAACTTACTGGTCAATATTAACTGACTCTACCCCACTTTGGGGATTCCTACTGATAAGTTACAAAACCTGTTTTCTATCTTAACGGGCAATACAGCCCTAGATTATCCCAGAAATTTAACCCCTGCAGCAAACAGGGGAAATTGAGGAAATAGAACAATCCATCTCTCAGAGGCAGCTAGATTGCATATATCCAGGCTACTCAATTCAGTAAAACACTCCCCTAGAGGGTTAATAGGAGAGATAACCCCAGAACTGTGCTTCCTAGATAGTTTTTTTGCTCATATACTGGGACTAAAACACTCTTTCCCTATATCCAATTACTCAGTAAAGTCATCTATTCAGGCCACAAACGATGCAGTCAGTTGCTAGATTATGATCCTGATATCATCAGGATTCCTTTAAGTAAAAGGCAATTCAAAGCAGTATTGCCAGTATCTATCGATCTGCAAATAGCTCTCTCTGATTACCCAGGACATATAGAGCATGTCCTTCCTGCTAATAAACTCCTTCATTTCTTATCTTGTACTCCTGTGATTTTGCCTACAAAAATAGTTCACTTCCCCATACCTAATGCTTTAACACTGTTTACTGACGGTTCAGGTAAACATGGAAAAGTGGCAGTGTGGTGGAGACCATAAAATTCACTCACTCAATCTGGGTTTACTTTCACTCAGAGAGCTGATATTGGGGCCCTGATATTGGCCTTGGAAACTTTTTCCACTCAGCTCATCAATATTGTGAGTGACTCTGCTTACTCTGTTTACTTATTGCAGAATCTTGAGACAACCTTAATTAAGTCCACTCTAAAGTCTGCCCTGTGTGCTCTTTTTCTCTGACTTCAGCAATTGCTAGATCAATGTACACATCCTATTTTTATGGGCACACATTCGATCCCACAGCTCACTGCCTTGCCCATTAACTTATGGCAATTATCAAGCAGACCTTCCTGTTATAACATCACTGCTTAACCAAGCCAGCAAATCACATCAATTCTTCCACCAAAATTAGAAAAACTTATCTAAACAATTTCAACTTACCCAGAGGCTGGCTAAACAAATTATCCTGCAATGCTCAGCTTGCCAGCTTACAGGCATGTCCCCTCCTTCAACAGGTCTAATTAGTGCACACGCCCTTCCCGGAAAGTCCACTCAATATGTCATTAAACATCTTTTAACTTTTGTGTTTATGGGGTGGCCCACAACAATTAAAACTGATAATGGTCCAGCTTATGCCAGCTCACAATTTCAACAGTTTTGCCACACGTGGAATATCCAACATTTCACAGGCATCCCATATAATCCCCAAGGACAAGCCATAGTAGAATGTGCCCATTCCACTCTTAAAAATATGCTCAAAAAACAAAAAAGAGGGAGTATGGGTAAAGACCCTGGAACACTATTGGCACAAGCCTTATTGACCCTTAATTTTCTAAATTTAGATGATAAATTTCAATCAGCTGTAGAAAAGCACTTTGCTAAAACCTCTCAAGACATAAAACCTGCAGTTTTTGTTAACGTGGGGAAGAGGATATGCTTGTGTTCATACCCCCTCAGGTCCTCTTTGGATTCCAGCACGATGCATCAAACCATACCATGGCATGCCTAGGACCCAACCCCATATCAGAAATGAAGAAACTGACCTTACAGTACCCGCAGCCCTGAACAAAGCAGCTTCCACAGATGACACAAGCCCCGGACCTGGGGGATGCTGAAGAGGACAACTCAGGAGGCTGAACGAATCCTGCTCTGGACACTGACACCAATTACTCCAGGAAATTTTTTCCTTGCTATGCTTTCTGTGTATATTGCAACTCACATAGGGTATTGATCCTTTTTGTACTCTTGCTTTGCTGGCCACCTGTACCTGCTACACTCTATTAGGCTCATACTTGAACCCACCTTTCTTTTGCCCTGTCACCTGGGGAGACATCCCCTTCCCAGCCTTTAATAATGTAACTGCTGGCCGGGCGCGGTGGCTCACGCCTGTAATCCCAGCACTTTGGGAGGCCGAGGCGGGCGGATCACGAGGTCAGGAGATCGAGACCATCCTGGCTAACACGGTGAAACCCCGTCTCTACTAAAAATACAAAAAATTAGCCGGGCGTGGTAGCGGGCGCCTGTAGTCCCAGCTACTCGGGAGGCTGAGGCAGGCGAATGGCGTGAACCCGGGAGGCGGAGCTTGCAGTGAGCCGAGATCGCGCCACTGCACTCCAGCCTGGGCGACAGAGCGAGACTCCGTCTCAAAAAAAAAAAAAAAATAAATAAAATAATGTAACTGCTTGGCTAAGAGGGATAGATTTACTCCTAGTAGGGCTCCATAGTAACAGCACACATAGAACTGAAGTGTCAAATAACACTACAGGTCACTCTTTGACTGGAAAAAAATGTTGCTAATTATACTCATGATTGTCTTATGTTATTTGCTAATTCTAGGATGCAAAGTTGGAATAAGAGCAATGACCACCTCTCCTGAGAGACCTGTTTGTTCCCACATCTGTACTCTTCAGTCAACAGAACCTGATGCAAAGAACAGAAAAGGGGAAGATGTGGGGGATTCAGTCAGGATGGTGGGAGAAATTGTAAAATTATAGGAAATAATCACAAACACTTGTGGAAGGCCTGGGGGTTTGCATAAAATGTTGGGCTGAAGGCAGCTGAATTCTCTTAAAAGCTTAGGGCATAGATACACAGAAATGTAGTTTATCTAAATGACTTGTTTACTTATGTGGTCCTAAAACTAACCTTTGATAGTTTATGGGCAGGATAGCTCTCTCAGGGTAGGGGGAGGGCAACCAGATTGATTACCCACTGATGGTGTTGACTCAAAGCCTTCGTCATTTAATATGTGCTGAATAAATGCCAGCAGGGCCAGTGAGTCAGGGCCACAGCTGCAACTCTTTACAGCACTCTCCTTTGAGTCTGTAAGTGGCCTAGACCCTCAGCCGGTCTGACAAGCATAATATCTGTGTTAGTGTACATTATTCATCCATCGTTGGGTCAGGGTCTGCAGGACAGACCCCTAGAAAAATAAAATAAAATTAAAAATAGCCGGGTGTGGTTACACACACCTGTAATCCCACCTACCTGGGAGGCTGAGATAGAATCGCTTGAACACAGGAGGCAGAATTTGCAGTGAGCCGAGATCATGCCACTGCACTCCAGCCTGCGCAATAGATTGAGACTCTATCTCTATATATATATATGTGTGTGTGTGTGTACGTGTGTCACAGGAGAGTCACGTAACCTAGAAGCTGGGTAAACCTATATGACATAATCATCCTTGTGGACAGGGTACAAGAAGAAAGTCACATCACATAAATCCTTCACCAAGAGTCACACCATTTAGGTGATGGGACCAGAGATGTGTCACAATAGTCCATGTAAGCAGAGATCATGCAGAAGGAAGAAATCACCTGTGTGTTGGGTGTAGCAATAAGTCACTCTATTTTCTGTGGGCATGGCCCAGACAGAAGGGGAGAGTCACATCATCTAGGTGCTTGGCCCAGAGATACGTCACAATCTCTACTATGGGCAAAGCCAAGGTAAGAAAGGAGAGCCACATCAAATTGTTGATAGGCCAAGAAATATGCCACAATGCCCCAAGTAGGCAGGGTCTGAGCAGGAGACAAATGACATTCATGTTGGGCACTGCAATATGTCACAATGTCTTTTGAGGGCAGGCCAGGCAAAATAACCTTGGTGTTGGGCCCAGCAATACGTCAGTTTTCTTGCAGAAGAGAAGAATCACATCAGCTCAGTGCTGAAACCAGCAATACATATCGTTATCCCCCAGTGAGCAGGGATCAGTCCAGTGAAAAGATTCACATCACCTATGTGATCCACACAGAAATGCATCACAATTTCCCTAGAAGGCAGTGCCCTGGAAGAACGGTTACATCACGTGGGTATTGAAAGCAGCTATACTTCACAATGGTCTATGTAGGCAGGCCATAGGTGGCAAAGACCCATCACCTGGGTGCTGAGTCCAAGGATATGTCAGAATTTTCCTGAGAGAAAGGCTCAGGTGGGAGAGAAACACCTTCTAATTGCTGGGCCCAGTGATATGTCACAATCTTCTCTGTGGGAAGAATGCAGATAAAAGAGGAGAGTCACACCTTTCTAGGTAATGAAGACAGAGACATGCCATCAAGCCTCCTGTGGGCAAGGCACAGGCAGAAGCCTCTCATCCCCTAGGTGTTGGGCCCAGAGATATATCACAATACTCACAATATGCCATGCCCTGGCAATAGAGGTAAGTCACATTACCTAGGTGCTGGGTCCAGAGATATGTCACAATCCCTATTTTGTCAAGGCCCAGGCATAAATGGAGAGTCACATCACCTGAGTGAAAAATGAAAAGATATGTCATCATACCCTTGTGGGCTAAGCCCATGCGGGAGGGTCACTTCACGTAGGTGCTGGCCCCAGTGATGTGTCACAATACATAATGTATGCAGGGCCAAGGCAACAGAAGAGTAACATTACCTAGGATACTAGCCCAGTGATATATCAAAATCTTTTTCTGTCAGTAGAGAGTCACATAACCTAGGTTCTTAGTCCAGCAATATGGCATAGTACCCCTTGAGGGGAGGGCCTAGGCAGGAGAGTCACATCACTTAGGTTAGCAGCCAAGAGACATGTCACAATGTCCACTGTGGGAAGGGTTCAAGAAAAGAGGAGAGTAACATAACCTAGCGGCTAGGCTATGTGTGATAATCACCTCAGGTGATCCACCCGCTTCGGCCTCCCACAATCCTGGGATTACAGGCATGAGCCTTCTGCCTTGTTTTAGATGGAGCCTCACTTTGTCACCCAGGCTGGAGTGCAGTGGCATGGTCTCAGCTCACTGCAAACTCTGCCTCCCAGATTCAAGCAATTCTCCTGCCTCAGCCTCCCGAGTAGCTGGGACTACAGGCACGTGCCACCATGCCCAGCTAATTTTTTGTATTTTTAGTGGAGACAGGGTTTCACTGTTTTAGCCAGGATGCTCTCAATCTCCAGACCTCATGGTCCGCCCACCTTGGCCTCCCAAAGTGTTGGGATTATAGGCGTGAGCCACCTTGCCAGGCCTGCCCTTCTTTTAAGAAGAAACTGTGGCTGGTCACAGTGGCTTATGCCTGTAATCCCAGCACTTTGAAAGGCTGAGGCGGGCAGATCACCTGAGGTCAGGAGTTCGAGACCAGCCTGGCCAACATGGTGAAACCCCATCTCTACTAAAAATACAAAAAATTAGCTGGGTGTGATGGTGCAGGCCTGTAATCTCAGCTACTTTGGAAGCTGTGACAGGAGAATCACTTGAACCCAGGAAGCGGAGGTAGCAGTGAGCTGAGATCACGCAACTGCACTCCAGCCTGGGCAACAAGAGCAAAACTCCATCTCCCCCCACCCCCAAAAAACAGAAAAGAAAAAGAAAAAGAAAAGAAAGAAGGACAGAGGCAGTAGAGTCACGTCACGTGGGTGCCGGGCTCAGTGATATGTCACAATGCTCCCTGTGAGCAAAGCCCAGGCAGGAGAAACACATCACCTGATTTCTGGGCTGAAAAATATGTCACAATCTCTTCTTTATATAAGCAAAGCCTTGGCATAGCAAGAGAGTCACAACAAATAGTTGATTTTCCCAAAGGTATTTCACAATGCTCTGTTGTCAGGGTTCTGACAGGAGACCCTCATCACCTTGTTATTGGGCCCAGAAATATGTCACAATGCCTTTTGAGGTCTAGGCCAAGGCAGAACAGTAATTTCACATTGGTGCTGAGCCCCACAGTATGTCCCAATCTCTTATCCAAGCAAAACTTATGATGAAAAGAAGAGTCACCCTGTTGGTAGTGGGCCAAGTGATATGTCACAATCCCTAGTTTTTGGAGAAACCAGGCAGAAGACAGTCACATCACCTGGGTGATGGATGGAAAGATATGTCACTATGCCCCTTGATGGCAGAACCCAGGCAGTAGAGTTAAATTACCAGGGTGTTTGACCCAGCAGTGTTTTACAATTGCTTATGTGGCAAGGCACAGCAAGGTGTCACAATGTCCCTTGCAAGCAGCACTAACACAGAATAGAGTCATATACCCTCAGTTCTGGGTTCAGCAAAATGTCACTATCCCATCTGTGGGCTGGACCATGCAAGAGTCAGATCACTCAGCTGATGAACAGAGAAAAATGTCACAATTAAACCTGCAGGAGGTTCAGGGATGAAATTAACAATCCCACACATGTCCCGGTATTAGGTATAGGAGGTTAACACTTCCTATATATTGTGTCTAAGAACAGGAGTTACAATGGCAATGGTTGACTGAATTTGTGCATGAGAGCCTCAACTCCTCCTGCAGACTGTCTAATTAGTGAAGTCACAGCCTCATAGGTGTGCTGAATCTTGCTCTGAGTGTCACCAACTCACCAGTGAACTGGATCCACATCTGAGAGTCAAGTTTCCGGCCTTTGACTGCCTATAGGTGTGAGATTCAGAACCTCAAAAGTGCGCTGTGTTCATGTGGGAAAATGACAATGTATACTGTGTGTGGGTGTGCATACAACTGTCACAATTTTCCCTGTGAGCTGGGCCCTGTTAGTACACTCTCTATACTACCCAAAGGCTTTATACAGTGTCAATGAGAATCACAATTCAGTCTGAGATCTTCATCTTTGTTTCCCCAAGGGAGAATCTTTTCCCCCCCCACCAAGATGGAGTCTTGCTCTGTTGCCCAGGCTGGTGTGCAGTGGCACGATCTCAGCTCACTGCAACCTCTGCCTCCTGGGTTGAAGCAATTTTCCTGCCTCAGCTTCCCGAGTAGATGGGATTACAGGCATCCACCACCATGCCCAGCTAATTTTTGTATTTTTAGTAGAGATGGGGTTTCACCATGTTGGCCAGGATGTCTTGAACTCCTGACCTCATGATCTGCCCGCCTTGGCCTCTCAAAGTGCTGGGGTTAAGTCGTGAGCCACCGTGTCTGGCCAGATCTTCATCTTTGTATGCAACCACAACCATACCTATGGCCCTATGCCCAGATATTAGAGTCAACATCTCTCCAATTGGCTGGGTCCAGATAGTAGAGTCCTCACTGCTTATGTTCTGGGTTTAGAACTGTGTCATCATTCAAACAGTGGTTGGATGCTCACATATGACAGTCACAATTCCAACTATGGGCTGTGTTTGCATGGGAAATTCAAGACCTCAGCAATGGGCTCTTTCTCTGTGTGAGGGTGATAATCCTAATGGCTGGTGAGGTGTGCATATAAGAAACAAAATCTCACCAATGTGCTGTGCCCTGTGATAACACTCTCTCTAACACTTGAAGGCATTATATTATAGGTGGGGTTGTGGCAATCCTGTATGACCTGCATACAAAGAGAGGACCCAGGATGTTGCTCATTTTTCTAAGTCGAGCTATGAAAGACAGTATCTTTTCTAATAGCTGATTTGATTAATGAAAGCCATCATCACATTTGTAAGCTGACAACAGTGTATGTCATAATTAGGTAGGGACCTAGCAGGAGAGTCACATCACCTGGATTTCAGCCAAGGATATCTCACAATCTTCCCTGAGGGAGGCAGCCAAGCAGGAGTGTCACATCACCTGGGTGCTCAGCTAGGGATATGTTACAATTCTCTCCTGAAAGCACAGCACAGGCAACAGACTCATGTCACCTGGGTGCTGAGCTCAGCACTATGTCACAATGCTCGCTGGGGTCAAGACAAAGACAGAAGAGCCACATCACCTGGTGTCTGGTTCCAGGGATATGTCACAATCCTTCCTGTGAAGGGGATTATAAAATGTCATATCTTCTAGGTCATGGATGCAGATATATGTCACAAGGTCCCTGTGGGCAGAGCCCAGGCAGGAACATACTATCCTATAGGTGTTGGGCCTAATGATATTTTAAAATAACCAAAATATGGGAGGCCCAGGCAAAACAGGAGAGTCACATCACTTACATGCTGGGTCCAGTGATACGCCACAATACCCCTTTTTGGCAGGGCCTAGGCAGAAGACCATTACATTGCCTAGTTGATGAATGAAAAGATATGTTATGTCCGGGCACGGTAGCTCAAGCCTGTAATCCCAGCACTTTGGGAGGCCGAGGCAGGTGGATCACAAGGTCAAGAGATCAAGACCATCTTGGCCAACATGGTGAAACCCCGTCTCTACTAAAAATACAAAAATCAGCTGGGCATGGTGGCAGGCACCTGTAGTCCCAGCTACTGGGGAGGCTAAGGCAGGAGAATCGCTTGAACCTGGGAGGTGAAGGTTGCAGTGAGCCGAGATTGCACCACTGCACTCCAGCCTGGCAACAGAGCGAGACTCCGTCTCAAAAAAGTAAAAAGGAAAGATACGTTATAATACCTCTGGGCTCAAAAATATGTCAAAATGCCTTATGTAGGTAGGGCTCTGGAAAAAAAAAAAAATCACATGACCTAAGGGCTGGGGTCAGCTACAAGTAACAAACTCCCTAGTTGGCAGGACCCATGCATGAGAGAAGAGTCACATCACTTAGGTGCTGGGCTCAGCGACATGTAACAAAGCTTTTTGGCAGGGCCCAGGCAGAAGAGGAGTGTCACATCACCTAGGTGATTAATAAAATGATAGCTCATAATACCCCTATGGGCAGGGCCCACGCAGGAGAGTTGCATTATCTAGGAGGTGGAGTCAGTGATATGTGTCAACACACAATGTGTGCAGGTCCCAGGCTGGAGAGGAGTCACCTCATCTAGGTTATTGACCCAGTGATACATCACAATTATTTTTTGGGCAGAGACCAAACAATAGAGAAGAGTCACATCACCTAGATGCTGGGCCCAGCTATGTATCACAACACCCTGAGAAGAGGGCCCAAACAAAAGATTTGCATCACCTAACTGAGGGTCTCAGACATATGACACAATTCCCGCTGTGGGTAGGGCTCAGGAAGAACTGTAGAGTCACATAACCTTGGAGCTGGGCCCAACTATATGTCAAAATCATCTCAGTGAGTGGGGACCAGGAATAAGAGGAGAGTCAAATCATGAAGGTGAAGGGCCAAGCAATGTCACACTCCCCAGTGTGGACAGGTCCCAGGAGGAAGAGCCACATAATGTCAGTGATGGGCCCAGATATATGTCACAATGAATTCCGTGAGCCAGAAGAAGAATCACATCACCCGTGTGCTAAACTCAGTAATAAGTCACTCTCTCCTCTGTGGGCAAGGCACAGGCAGGAGAGGAGAGTCACATAACCTCTGTTCTGGGCCCAAAGTTATGTCACAATCTCTTTTTGGGCAACATCCAGGTAGAGAGAAGAGTCACATAAAATAGTAAATGGCCCAGAGATGTATCTTGTAGGTACCTTGCAGGAAGGGTCAGGAAGGAGACTCACATCACATTGCTTCTGGGCCCAGCAATACATCACCATGCCTTCTGAGGGCAGTGGCAAGGCTAAAGAGTAACGTTACTTTAGTATTAGACCCAGTGACATGTCACAGTATCCCCTGCAGGCAGAACCTAAGACAAGGAGGAGAGTTATGTCAGCTAGGTGCCAAGCCCAGTGATATGTCACAATCCCTTCTGTGAGCAGGAGCCACGTAGGAGAACAGAGTCATATTACCTGTGTGATGGGTGCAGGGATGTCACAATGTCCTCTGTAGGCAGGACCTAGGCAGTATGGTTACCTCACCTGGGTGTGTGACAGAGCAATATGTCACAATGACCCACATGGGAAGAGCACAAGCAGAAGAGTCACATAACCTGAGTGTGGGGCCCAGCGATATGACACAATGCCCCCTGTGGAAGAGACAAGGCAGGAGAGAAGATTCACACCACCTGGGTACAAACTCAGTGATATGTCACAATGTCCTCTGTGGGCAGTGCCAAGGCAGTAGAATTGTCACACCACCTCTCTGGGTCCAGGGATATGTCACAATCCCATTTGTGGCCTGGGCCCAGGGAGGAGCATCAAATCACTCTGGTGCTGGGTAAAGTGATATGTCATAATCACACCAGCAGGAATGTTTAGGGATGAGATTATGCATCTGGACTGGAAAGAATCAACACATCAAAAATATTACCAGACTGTGCAAGATGGCTCATGCCTGTAATCCCAGCACTTTGGAGGCCAAGGTGAGGGGATATCTGGAGGCCAGGATTTGGAGACTATCTTGGGGGCAATGTGGTGGACGAGACCTCTATTGAACAATAATAATAAAAGTTTAAAAAAGAAGCTGGGTGTGGTGGCTCACGCCTCTAATCCCAGCTACTCAGGAGGCTGAGGCAGGAGAATCGCTTGAACCTGGGAGGTGGAAGTTGCAGTGAGCTGAGAATGCACAATTGCACTCCAGCCTGGGGGACAAGAGTGAAACTCCTTCCCCCCAAAAATGAATGAATGAATAAATAAATAAATAAATCCGAGGTCAACTGGGTGCAGTGGCTCATGCCTGTAATCCCAAAACTTTGGGAAGATGAAGCAGACAGATCACAAGGGCAGGAGTTCGAGACCAGCCTGGTCAATATGGTGAAACCCCATCTCTACTAAAAATACAAAAATTAGCCAGGCGTGGTGGCGGGTGCCTATAGTCCCAGCTACTCAGGAGGTTGAGGCAGGAGAATCGCTTGAACCTGGGAGGTAGAGGTTGCAGTGAGCCGAGATCATGCCACTGCATTCCAGCCTGGGAAACAGAGTGATACTCCATCTCAAAAAATATATATATTAATATTAATAATTCTGAGGTCCTAGAGAAAAACAGTCTTGAGTCAAAAATACAAAAGACCTATTTAGCAGTTAGAATAGTTTGTATATATTTCAACTAGGCAGGAAAAGAATTTACATACAAAAGTTTTGTACAGAAAATGATTTAAGAAAAGAAAAGAGAAAAATCTCTGCCCTTATTTTCAAGAAGGGTGAAGCCTGTATTTGTAATTTGTATCTTTTTTTACAACATCCAGGTCTAGGGCCATAATCTTGAACTCATGGACATCTGAATTCTAGTAGGTGCTAGATTCAGGAACCTGAGGGCTGGCCTTGGGCACATTCTGCACATCAAAAAGTGTTTGTGGGGAAGTAAAAGACAGAAGAGGGAAAGATGCTATCAATAACTCATTAATAGGGGACAGTGCATGGTAACTGGGAGGACTCTTATGCTACAGATACTAACCAAGGCAGGGCTATATTCTGACATATTCCTGTGTCCATGCAGGCAGATGAGATTACGATTGGTGGCTCACAAGCCCAGGTTGATGAAGAGATCAGGTTGTGCTGCAGTTTCACGGTCTGGAATAGAGATTAGCCAGGAGTCCTCTATGAACTTGTATAATTTTTTGGTGAGAAATTCTAGGGGCAAAGGCACTATACACATAATTCCTGAGAGTCAAAGTACACTTATGGTATGTGTACACTTATGGTACACAAAGTACACTTATGGTATGTGAAATACACTTATGGGGTTGGGCACGGTGGCTCACGCCTATAATCCTAGCACTTTGGGAGGCCAAGGCAGGTGGATCACCTGGGGTCAGGAGTTAGAGACCAGACTGGCCAAAATGGTGAAACACTGTCTCTACTAAAAATACAAAAAATTAGCTGGAGGTAGTGACACATGCCTGTAGTCCCAGCTACTCATGAGGCTGAGGTAGGAGAACTACTTGAACCCAGGAGGCAGAGGTTGTAGTGAGCGAAGATCATGCCATTGCTCTCCAGCCTGGGTGACAAGAGCAAGACTCCGTCTCAAAAAAAAAAAAAAAAAAAAAGAAAGAAAAAGAAATACACTACTTATGGATTTCCTGAAGGTCAAAATACACTTATGGTATAGTGTTGTATGTTGGAGAGAGGAAGATGGCCTCATTTCCAAAATTTGAGAATGTAGGAACAAAAGTGGAAATTTACAATTTTACTGCAAGCCTGAGTTAGGCTAGGGGAAAACGGTGGTGGCTTAGAGGCCCTGCTTGTCATACATTAGAAAGACCAGTCTTCCTGTGGAGAGTTAAAATAATTAAACCACTCTCCCTCTCCCTCTCTCTCTCCCTCTCCCTCTCCCTCTTTCTTCTGTCTCCCTCTGTTGCCGAGGCTGGACTGTACTGCTGTGGTCTCGGGTCACTGCAGCCTCCCTGCCCCGGGCTCCCGTGGTTCTCCTGCCTCGGCCTGCTGAGTGCCTGGGACTGCGGGTGCACGCCGCCACACCTGACTGATTTTTGTATTTTTGGAGGAGACGGGGTTTCGCCATGTTGACCTGGCTGGTCTCCAGCTCCTGACCTCTAGTGGTCTGCCCACCTCGGCCTCCTGGGGTGCTGGGATTGCAGACGGAGTTCTCGCTCACTCAGTGCTCAGTGTTGCCCAGGCTGGAGTGCAGTGGCATGATCTCGGCTCGCCACAACCTCCACCTTCCAGCCGCCTGCCTTGGCCTCCCAAAGTGCTAAGATTACAGCCTCTGCCCAGCCGCCACCCCGTCTGGGAAGTGAGGTGCACCTCTGCCCAGCTGCCCCATCAGGGAAGTGAGGAGCACCTCTGCCCGGCCGCCCCATCTGGGAAGTGAGGAGCCCCTCTGCCCGGCCGCCCCATCTGGGAAGTGAGGAGCGCCTCTGCCAGGCCACCCCATCTGGGAAGTGTACCCAACAGCTCTGAAGAGACAGCGACCATCGAGAATGGCCCATGATGATGATGGCAGTTTTGTCAAAAAGAAAAGAAGGAAATGTGGGGAAAAGAAAGAGAGGTCAGATTGTTACTATGTCTGTGTAGAAAGAAGTTGACATAGGAGACATCATTTTGTTCTGTACTAAGAAAAATTCTGCCTTGGGATGCTGTGAATCTATAACCTTAACCCCAACCCCGTGCTCTCTGAAACATGTGCTGTGTCAACCCAGGGTTAAATGGATTAAGGGCAGTGCTTAAACAGATGCTTGAAGGCAGCATGCTCATTAAGAGTCATCACCACTCCCTAATCTCAAGTACCCAGGGACACAAACACTGCTGAAGGCCACAGGGACCTCTGCCTAGGAAAACCAGAGACCCCTGTTCACGTGTTTATCTGCTGACCTTCTCTCCACTATTATCCTATGACCCTGCCACATCCCTCTCTGAGAAACACCCAAGAATGATCAATAAATACTAAAATAAATAAATAAATAAATAAAAATAATTAAACAGCGGGAAATTAGACTGAAGTGGCTCTAGTGCCCTGTGTTCATAAGTAAAACATCTAAAACCTAACTAATGCATTTCTTATAAATTACTCTCTTAGGGAGAAAAAAACTCAGGCCTAAGTGATTATAAACCTGCAATTAACCTCTGGTTACAAAACCAGGAAATTTACACCTGGATCATACAAATAAGGTAACTACATAACTGTAATCCATTCTTGAATCTGGTTTGCCTTCTCAAGCACTTTATAAAACCCTTTTTTTTTATCCCCCTCAGGTGGACCACAAATCAGGGCCGGGTGCTTTCCATTTCACCAATCACGGTTTGTTCAAATAAACCCGTTAATGTTTTAACATTGACTCCCTTTAGTTTTAACAGAAGAGACCATGCACCTGGTGGCTCAGGCCTGTAATCCCAGCACTTTGGGAGGCCGAGGTGGGCAGGTCACTTGAGGCCAGTAGTTTCAGACAAGCCTGGTCAACATCGCAAAACCCCGTCTCTACTAAAAATACAAAAATTAACCAGGCGAAGTGCAAAGGTAATCCCAACTATTCGAGAGGCTGAGGCATGAGAATTGCTTGAGCCTGGGAGGAGGTTACAGTAAACCAAGATCGCACCACTAAAGTTTACTCTGGGAGACAGAGTGAGCCTCTGTCTCTCCATCTTAACAAAAAAAAAATAACAAGAGAGAATGAAGACCCCATGGGCCACAGCTCCTCCCATGCACACACCAAGTCAGGATTCTGCCCTGATGACCCCCCTGGCATCCCTGAACACTCTGGGAAATACTCGGGGCTGCAGGTGCAGAGCTGCCCAGAGAGCTCCATGTAGGGCGCCCCCCAGGCACCAGGTGCGATGCCAGGGTCCTGGCTGCAGGCCCACCTGCCATCTTGCAGCCAGAGGGCCTGGGGAGGAGCCGAGCCAGTGGGGACTCAGGACGGCAACATGGGAGCAGACTCTGGGGAGGCCGGTCCCGTGATTTCACAGCCTGGTCTCCCCTCTCTGGATGCCCAACCCTGCATACTCACCATTTCCCAGCTTCCAGGATGTCCTGGCATCTTAGCTATGCGTCTCCCAGGACCTGCATCACAGGGCAACAGAGGCTGTGACAGAGTCACTGGGGGCTCCCAAGGAGGAGGACGCAAAACCGGAAGAGGACGCAGAACAGTGGAAATGAATTCCAAGCTCTGGAGGGAGGGAGAAAAAGGCCCACCAAATGCTAGAAGCCACGCCCTCCTCTCTGAGAGCCTGATTGGGCAGTTCCCATGCCAGCACCACTGATTGGATAAAGCTCCAGGACCCACATCCCACCTCCACCCTCCCCAGCATTACTGCATTTTATGGACTGGGAAACAGGTTCAAGTATGCAGGGTCACATGCCCAGAGTACTGCAACTAATTAAGAAGAGAGCTGAGACTTGAAATGCACTTGCTTTTTTCCTTACCTGGGTTGGCTTGTATAATGCACCTTATTGGCTAATTAAGGGTAAGAAGAGGAATATTTAGACAACTTTTTTAAAAAGTTTTTTTTTTTTTTTTGGCCAGGTTCAGTGGCTCATGCCTGTAATCCCAGCACTTTGGGAGGCTGAGGCAAGCTGATCATGAAGTCAGGAGTTCAAGACCAGCCTGGCCAAAATGGTGAAACTCCATCTCCACTAAAAATACAAAAATCAGCTGGGCCTGGTGGCTGGCACCTGTAATCCCAGCTACTCAGGAGGCTGAGGCAGGACAATTGCTTGAATCCAGGAGTCAGAGGTTGCAGTGAGCTGAGATCGCGCCATTGCACTCCAGCCTGGGCTGTGAATCCAGCAGGACCAGCCACCCAACAGTCAGCTCCCAGTCGTGACCTGAGTCCCTGGTGGTGCAGCTCTGCTCCAGGCCCCTCTGGCTGCAAGATGGTGACTGGGCCTGCAGCTGGGACCCTTGCATCCTTCCCCATCCCTGCACGGCCCCCTATCTGGAACTCTCTGGGCAGTGTTAGGTACAGTGAGTTCCTCTTCAAAGAGTCAACTTGTTCAGCTTCCTTGTTCTTTGATCTCAATTTTCAAAGCCTAACTTCCTCATTCTTTGCAGCTCCTTGCCCCTAGTTATGGTAAACAACCTTCCCACCAGTCCTAATCTATAACTCACATCTGTTCCCTTGATTACCCGCTCTGTAACTGACCTTCTGTCCAAACTGCTCTTACTGCCACTGTAACCCACACCTCTGCCCCATTTGAAATAGCCAATCAGGATTAGCTTAGATTGTGCATTCCAGCCCCAATGACACAGCAACGGGGACTAACTGTTTTAGGGATAAAAGCCCCTTCCCTTCCTTGTTCGATATGCTCTTGCAATTGTGACTGGCACAAGCTGCAACCTTCTGCAGAACTAAATTGCCTTGCTGAGAAAGCTTTTTGCCAGAGTGCTGATTCTCCTTTGTGGGACTGAGCATTTGTTTCTAACAGCAGCTCTGCACCTGCAGATTGTTCCCAGAGTCTTCCCAGAGTGTTCAGAGATGCTAGACAGGTCATCAGGGCAGAAACTCAACTCAGTGTATGTGTGGGAGGAGCTGCAGCCCTGGGGTCCCCAGTCTCTCTGGTGTCGAGACCAGCTTGGCCGGGGAGACCCTAACCCAGTGGCACTAGAGGAATTAAAGACACACACACAGAAATATAGAGGTGTAAAGTGGGAAATCAGGGGTCTCACAGCCTTCAGAGCTGATGTGGGCAGCAAGTCACCCAGGTGCCAAGGCAAGAGACCGAGGACACAAGCTGTTCCAGTATAATAAAGTATAAAACAAGAATAGTTATACCAGATATACATCTTAGATATGATTATATATGAATATCATTGATCATTAGTTTGTAGCAATTACTCTTTATTCCAATATTATAATAATCCTTGCTCTATAATCATAACCTAGGAAAAACCAGGCCGTACAGAGATAGGAGCTGAGGGGACATAGTGAGGAGTGACCAGAAGACAAGAGTGCGAGCCTTCTGTTATGCCCGGACAGGGCCACCAGAGGACTCCTTGGTCTAGTAGTAATGTCAGCGTCTGGGAAGACGCCCATTGCCGAGCGGACCGTGGTCTAGCGGTAGCCTCAGTGTCAAGGAAAAACACCGGCTACTTAGCAGACTGGGAAAGGGAGTCTCCCTTTCCCCGGGGGAGTTTAGAGAAGACTCTACTCCTCCACCTCTTGTGGAGGGCCTAACATTAGTCAGGCTCACCTGTGGTTATCCTGAGGCCTAACCATCTCCCTGTGATGCTGTGCTTCAGTGGTCATGCTCCTAGTCCACCTTCGTGTTCCATCCTGTACACCTGGCTCTGCCTTCTAGATAGCAGTAGTAAATTAGTGAAAGTATTAAAAGTCTCTGATATGCAGAAATAGTGGCATAAGCTGTCTTTCTCTCTGTCTCTGCTCCCTCTCTGCCTCAGCTGCCAGGCAGGGAAGGGCCCCCTGTCCAGTGGACATGTGACCCACATGACCTTACCTATCATTGGAGATGACTCACACTCTTTACCCTGCCCCTTTTGCTTTGTATCCATTAAATAACAGCACAGCCAGACATTCGGAGCCACTACCGGTCTCTGTGACTTGGTGGTAGTGGTCCCCCAAGCCCAGCTCTCTTTTCTTTTATCTCTTTGTCTTGTGTCTTTATTTCTACACTCTCTCACCTCCACACATGGGGAGAGACCCACCGACCCTGTGGGGCTGCTCCCTTCAGCTGAGAGCCTCGAACAGAGATTTACCCACATATTTATTAATAGCAAACGAGTCATTAGCATTGTTTCTGTAGATATTAGATTAACTAAAAGTATCCCTTATAGGAAACAAAGGGATGGGCTGAAATAAGGGGATGGGTTTGGCTAGTTGTCTGCAGCAGTAGCATGTCCTTAAGGCACAGATCACTCATGCTATCATTTGTGGTTTAAGAATGCCTTTAAGTGGTTTTCTGCCCTGGATGGCCCAGGTGTTCCTTGCCCTCATTCCAGTAAACCCACAACCTTCCAGCATGGGCATCATGGCCATTTTGAACATGTCACAGTGCTGCAAAGATTTTGCTTATGGCCAGTTTATGGCCAGATTTTGGGGGGGGGCCTGTTCCCAACATGTCCCCTTTCTTTGATTTGCAAAGCGATAAAAGCAAGGGCAGCTTTGTCACGGTGAGCTACTTCTCACAGGAGTCAGGATCCACATCTGCGGACTATACAATGACAAACAACACAGATTAAAAGTACAATCATCATTGAAATCACAGAGTTTCCAAGTGTTTTTATCCATTTTAATGGGTTACTAGCTGCTAATCTGTCTGCAGCTCCTTTAAGCACTCCAGTTCTTGGCAGTAAGGTCAGGTGTGCCTGGGATGCTTTAAATATTTGTTCTTTTATCCAAAAACAAGTTTGTAGAGTGTCTTTCTAGATGCTTTTTTATTCTTTCCCAAATTTTGATCTTATTAAGCCACAAATCCTTATGTTTAGCTCCTACAATGGGCCATATCTTTTGAGGTTGAGGTGCCACTATACCACCATTGTTCCAGATAATAGGAACTCTTGCCATACTTTTTATCATTTCTACCATCTGACCATTTTGTTCAGACCATATGAACATAGTGTGGCCATGGCACGCAGACTGAGAAGTGCAATTCAAGCCAAACATCCCCTTAGGGGACCAATGATTCCATAGGAATCATTGTGCAGCACCTCTGCCTGTTCTGCAATGCAATCTTCCTAAACAAGTACATTCATATTTTCTGGCCAGGTCAATTTTGTTACAAATAGGTTTTTGAGGGCAGTATGCCTCAATGTAGCAGCAGATTTATTATGGTAAATACTGAGATCAGAAAGCATGTGTAACTGTGCCATAGAGTGATTACATCCAGGCATCATTTCCAGCTAAGATTGATAAATATGCCTAATAAGTATAATTGTTCTCTGTGTCAGCCTTTGTTGAAGGAATACTCATGGCAGTGGTGATCATTGCTATCATAGCTGCCATTAAATTACTCATGGTGACTGGTTGTCCCACTTTCCTCAGGTTTTCTTTCACCATCTGTGACAGCTTCTTGATCTGTCCCCAAGTGGGTGGCTGTGTTCAATGGGTGTTGCTCATGACAGTTGGGGTCCTTCTCAGTGTCAGTCTTGACATGGCTGCAACCAGGGGGTCCTTGGGATCCTCCCAGAGTCTCTTCCTTGGCATCTGGCTCATGATAAGGTTTCAGGTGTCTTGATGGTATCCAAATCGGCTATTGCTTTTGGCCTGGAGAAACATAAGCATAACCGCTACCCCAAGTTATTATTTTACCTATTTCCCAACTTTTTGTTATCAGATCTCTCCACCAAACCAGTTGTTCTGCTTCTGTCTTTGCAGCTGGTTTCTGTAGATGCTGTTCAGCTGCTGATAACATCTGGCCTTTGGTCAGGCTCAAAAAATTTAAAGTTAATAATGCTAGATTCAATTGTGTAGGGGCTGTCCCATAATCCCTATTTCGCCCCCTTTTTTGCTTTTGTTATCAGTTGTTCATCTGTATGAAATCGTAACTGAGCATTTTCAATTAACTGTGTGGAATGAACCACATATGAAGAATCGGAAATCACATTAATAGGCATATCAAAAGCAGTCAATACCTCAATTACAGCTACAAGCTTTGCTTTTTATAGGGAGTCTGGAAAACTTTACTTTTCAAGCCAGAATAAGAAGCTTTACCATTACTAGACCCATCTGTAAAACAATGAAAACACTTAGCAGGCTGCAGGTTGTTTACCACAGGAATTGTAAATGCAAACCGTTCACAGTCTTGCTAGGCTAAAGGGATAGTAAAGAAACAGTCTTTTAAATCTATGACTATTAAAGGACAATTTTTTGGAATTATAGCAGGAGAAGGCAATCCTTGCTGTAATGCTCCCATAGGTTGTATAACTGAATTGATAGCTCTTAAGTCAGTTAACATTCTCCATTTACCTGATTTTTTCTTAGTTATGAAAACTGGAGAATTCCAAGGGGAAAATGTTGGAGCCATTTCCTAATTGTTCAGTAACTAATTTCTCTAAAGCTTCCAGTTTCTCTTTACTTAGCCACCATTGTTCTATCCAAATTGGCTTATCTGTTAACCATTTTAAAGGTATAGGTTCTGGAGGCTTGACAATGGCCGCCATCAAAAATGATATCCTAATCTTTGGTGAGAACTTTGCTTTTCTCCTTGAAGTGGCTCTTTCAAACCTTGCAAATTTTTTTCTAGTCCCATACCAGGGACATACTCCATTTCATGCATCATACATTGACTTTGAGGGCTATATAATTGTTCTGGAATTAGAACTTGTGCTCCCCATTGTTGTAATAAATCTCTCCCACATAAATTTATAGGTACAGAAATTACAATTGGTTGAATAGTCCCAACTTGTCCATCGGGCCCTTCACAATGCAAAATATAACTACTTTGATATACTTCAGGGGCTTTACCAACTCCAACTATGTTAAATTGAGCAGGTTGAATTGGCCACACAGATGGCCAGTGCTGTAGAGAAATGATTGAAATGTCCGCTCCTGTATCTACCAAACCTTTAATTTTCTTTCCCTGAATAGTTATTTATTTCACAGGTAGGACGTTTATCAGTAATTGATTTACCCAATAAACTGCTTTGCCTTGTATATTTGTGCTTCCAAATCCACCTGTTTGTTTAATTTCACTTTTTCCCATTCCCATATACGGCACAATCAGGAGCTGTGCTATGCACTCTCCTGGCTCTGCTTTCCAGGGAACAGAAGTAGATATAACAATTTGAATTTCCCCATTGTAATCTGAATTAATGACTCCTGTATGTATTTCTACCCCTTTTTAAACTTAAACTAGACCTTCCTAAAAGTAATCCTATTGTCCCCGCTGGCAAGTGTCCACAGACTCCTGTTGGGACCTTTTGCAGGGGTTCCCCAGGCAGAAGGCTCACAGCTTTTGTGCAGCATAAATCTACTGTGGCATTACCAGCTGTGGCGGGGGACAGACATTGTACAGGGGTGAGTACAGCCTGAGCTGGAAATGCCCCAGTTTAGAACGGGGCCCAGGATGGGCCCCTCATGGTGTTGCCCAAAATTGGGTTCCCTCCTCTATCAAACTTAGAATGACACTGATTAGCCCAATATTTTCCTTTTTTACATTTTGGAAATATTTCAGGCTCAGCAGTTTTCTTTTTTCCCCTATCTGGCGGCCTGACTCGCTGATTATTTCTACATTCTTTTTTAGTATGAATAGCTTGTTTAAATTCTTTGAGTAATTTAAAAGGAAAGGACTCAAATGTAGCTATAATATTTTCCTGTTGATCTGGAGGGTGTATTCTAACAGGGAGCTGCCAAGCCTCTAAATCACCCTCTCATCTAGCTTGCTGAATTCCTGCCTGAATAGAACTAAGAGCAGTCACTCGGGGCGCCGCTCGAACAGTCACTGGGGCAACTACTTTTTGCCCAGTGTCCTCCAGAAAAGAAAGATCTGGAGGGTCTTTTTCTTCAAAATAATAATGAGGGGGTGCAGAAGGGTAGGAATGAACCTCTCCCTCCTTTGCCGCTTTAGCTTTAGCTGGCAAATAAACCTGCTCTGTAACCTCTTCTGTTAATTCGTTATACTCTCCTTCCTCCTCATCATCAGTGTGAAAAAGTTCCAAGGTGGAACAAACCAGACCCCACACTTGTCCCATTTTTACCCTGATGCTTCTGAGCTCCCCTTTTTACTCACCACGGGGATTGCTTTAAGAGTACTCGGGTGTCCTCCAGCTTAGTTCCATGTTTTCCAACCATCGCTCCGGCAACCCTTTGACCTGCATTGGAGCCCCCATGATGGATGCCACTTGCCAGGACCAGCTCGGTCAGGGAGACCCTAACCCAGCGGTGGTAGAGGAATTAAAGACACACAGAAATATAGAGGTGTAAAGTGGGAAATCAGGGGTCTCCCAGCCTTCAGAGCTGAGAGCATCGAACAGAGATTTACCCACGTATTTATGAGCAGCAAGCCAGTCATTAGCATTCTTTCTATGGATATTAGATTAACTAAAAGTATCCCTTACGGGAAACGAAGGGATGGGCCAAAATAAAGGGATGGGTTTGGCTAGTTATCTGCAGTGGGAGCATGTCCTTAAGGCACAGATCGCTCGTGCTATTGTTTGTGGTTTAAGGATGCCTCTAAGTGGTTTTCTGCCCTAGGTGGCCTAGGTGTTCCTTGCCCTCATTCTGGTAAACCCACAACCTTCCAGTGTGGGCATCATGGCCATCATGAACACATCACAGTGCTGCAGAGATTTTGTGTATGGCCAGTTTTGGGGCCAGCTTATGGCCAGATTTTGGGGGGCCTGTTCCCAACACTGCTATTAAATTTTTTTGTTAAGATGGAGTTTAGCTCTGTCTCCCAGGCTAAAGTGTAATGGTATAATATCGCTTTACTCTAAACTTTGCCTCTGAGGCTCAAGCGATTCTTGTGCCTCTGCCTCCAGAGTAGCTGAGATTACAGATGTGCACCACCACACCAAGCTAATTTTTGCATTTTTAGTAAAGATGGGGTTTTGCCCTGTTGGCCAAGCTGGTCTCAAACTCCTTGACCTCAGGTGATCTGCCCGCCTCGGACTCCCAAAGTGCTGTGATTACAGGAGTGAGCCGCCACGTATGGTCTCTCCTACTAAAAGTTAAAGAACATCAGTGTTTAAACATTAATGAGTTCATTGGAGCAAACAGTGATTGGTGAAATGAAAAGCGCCCAACCGTGGTTTGTGGCTCATGTGAGGGGCATGAAGGAAAGGTTTTATAAAGTGCTTGAGAAGGCAAACCAGATTCAAGAATTGGTTACAGTTATGCAGTCACCTTACTTGCATGTTCCAGGTAGAAATGTCCTCCTTATATAATTAGAGGTTAATTGCAGGTTTATGATAGGCCAAGCCTGAATTTTTTTCATCCTAAGATAGTAATTTGTAAGAAATGCATTCAAGTTAGGTTTCAGATATTTTACTTATGAGCACAGGGCACTAGAGCCACTTCAGTCTAATTTCCTGCTGTTTATTTATTTATTTTGAGATGGAGTCTCACTCTGTTGCCCAGGCTGGAGTGCAATGGCATGATCTTGGCTCACTGTAACATTTGCCTCCCAGATTCAAGTGATTCTCCTGCCTCAGCCTCTTGAGTAGCTGGGATTACAGGTGCACACCACCACGCTCAGCTAATTTTTGTATTTTTAGTAGAGATGAGGTTGCACCATGTTGGCCAGGCTGGTCTCAAACTCCTGACCTGGTGATCCACCCTCCTCAGCCTCCCAAAGTACTGGGATTACAGGTGTGAGCCACTGCACCCAGCCATAGTTAGCTTTTCATGTCTGTTATTTTTAGTGGGTGATTTCAAATAAATAATTCTTTCACTTTGCTTTGGGAATGCTACTAGGGAAAAGAAATAGAGAAAATTTTTCTTCCACTGTGACTATAGAAAGTGAATACATTTCCACAAGCAAATGTGAAAGATTAATTGATGAATTTCATATATTTGTCAAAACATCAGATCCTCTTTTTTATAGGATCTAGAATTTGTAACAGTGGATATCTCTATTTTGTACTCTGCTCTCTGAATGTCCAAGTTTAATGCTAAATTTTATGAGATGAATCTTGGCACCTTCTAGAAATGTTTATATATGATTGTCTATTAAATTATTTAGTATGAATAATAAGGAAGCACAAAAAGGGTCAGAAAAAAAGGTGGGAGGGGAAGGGAGGGAAAAAACATGGTAAAATCAGATCCTAGGTGAGAGAATATTTCACCCAGAACTCAGCCTATTCTTAAGAGGGTCATAAAAAGGGCTTGTATGTTAGCTTAGAGTAAGATTGAGTCTAAGTTAGGAGGCCTGAGGAAGGAAAAAAACTTAAGCAAAGTTTGGTTAACAATTTATTATTCAATTATTTATGAGGCAAAAAAAAAAAAAGAATTTAGAGAGTCTGTGGCTTTGTGATATCAAAAACAGGAAGGGTGTTCTGTGCAGTAAGATGACCTTGGAAAACACAAAAGATGGGGGATTACTTTAATCACAGCTGTTACCTACCCACCCCATTTTTCCCCTTCACTTTTTTTGCCCTGTACATTTCTTCCATTTGGCTGTTGCTGACAACAACAATCGTTGTCTTTTTTTTTTTTTTTGGCAGTGGGAGGGGGATGGTTACGGAGTGTTTCTTTGTCACCCAGGCTGGTGTTCAGTGGCTTGATCTCGGCTCACTGCAACTTTCGCCTCCCGGATTCAAGTGATTCTCCTGCCTCAGTCTCCTGAGTAGCTGGGATTACAGGTGCACACCACCATGCCTGGCTAATTTTTGTATTTTTAGTAGAGATGGGGTTTCACCATGTTGGTCAGGCTGGTCTTGAACTCCTGACCTCGTGATTCACCCGCCTCGCCCCCCCCAAAGTGCTGGGATTACAGGTATAAGCCACTGTGCCTGGCCTCTGTTTTTAATTATATTTCTCTCACATTGTTCAGAATTACTAGACCTGATATTAACACATAATGTGTTCACAAGGCTTCACTCTGTATGGACCTTTTTCTCTTGGGCTTCCAGTCACAACCCACAGTCATGCAGCAAAGTTCACACTGCCCTCAAAGTCTGCAGGCTGAATGTTCTTCCTGCCTATTTGGGATCTAACATTCTTTTTTGTTTGTTTTTTTTTTTTTTTTGAGACGGCGTGTTGCTCTGTCACCCAGGTTGGAGTGCAGTGGCGTGATCTCAGCTTACTGCAAGCTTTGCCTCCCGGGTTCATGCCATTCTCCTGCCTCAGCCTCCCAAGTAGCTGGCACTACAGGTGCACGCCACCACTCCCGGCTAATTTTTTTTGTATTTTTAGTAGAGACGGGGTTTCATCGTGTTAGCCAGGATGGTCTCGATCTCCTGACCTTGTGATCCATCTGCCTCGGCTGGGATTACAGGCGTGAGCCACCACGCCCGGCCGGGATCTAACATTCTTAATAGTGCAGTTTGACCAGATTTCTACAAAAACAAACATGGCATTAATCAGCTATTCTCACTGTGTCTTTTCATTCCCCCAGCATCTTCAGACTTTAAATTGATTCAAATAGCATGTGGCCTGAAAACCCAGCTAGGTTCACACATTTGCATTGAGTAGGCCTGAGAATCTAAATATTTCACTCATTCTCTTGCCTGAATACCCATAAATGTGCCAAGTGTCCCTGTGGCTTCCTTTCCTGCCCCTCCAAACCTAAATCTGCAGTTCCAAATTTTGTCCAGCTTCTAGGGTTCTCCAGTATGTGTTAGAGCAGCCTTCATGTTGGAATTTCTCCTCCAGTTTTTCTCTCCTTACTGTAATGCCTAGAATACAGAGCCAAGTTAATTGTACCTAGAATCTACATATAAGGGCTGATATCCACCTGGAATTCACAAGACAGGGCCAGACTTAACATTTTGGGCAGTGAGCCACTGTGGTTGTGTGAGGGGCTCCTGGTGTAAGGTAAATTTGGTGGCAGAATCTATAGGTGTACAGAAGCAACTTAGCAGAGGCAAGGCAGGGCCACAGCTGTCCAGAGAGATAAAGATAACTACATCTCCTGTATGTGAATTGTGTTACTGGAGAAGGGTATTCTTGTCCTTGAACCCAACAGTTAGCTCAACATATATAGGTAATATCAGATCTGGATCGAGAATTAGGGGTTGTTCTATTTTTTATTCTGGCTCCACAGAGTCAGCCTGAGTCTCCTCTGTTTGAATAACTGTTGAAGCATCAGCCCAGGGCCACTGCAGACCCTCTCACTAGCACCTAGGAGTCCTTGAGACATTTAGGGATGTACTGTGCAGACAAGGGTCAGGCTGACAAGTCCAATCTTCCTCCCATCTCATAAAAGAATGAGTAATCCAGGGCTTCTTTCTCCCATCACAGAAGGTATCTCCTTATTTGGTGTCCAAATAGGAGTTGCTCCTATTTCCTGATATTTGGGTGGAGAACAAGTAGGAGGTCTGGAGGCCCAAACTGATAGGTTAACAAATTGTTTCCATTTTATTTGGCCATGAGAAGAACAGGTGAAGCAGTCATGGACCCTACCATCAAGGAATTTTTATTCTAGAGCCAATGGATAAATTATTTAATTTAGAGTAATGCGATCAGAACAGAGAAGGGAGTTGTATAGAGAACTTGGGCTTCATTTGGGACACTAATTGTATGTTGTGGTTGTGAGTTCTGATGTCACCACCTGAAGGGCCACCCATGGACAGAAAAGTTGTGGCAATTATTATTTCTATTTCTTTTCACTTGACAAGAATAAATAGTTTTCTATGTAATTTTCTTTATTATTATTATTTTTTTTTTTATTTGAGATGAAGTCTCACTCTGTTGCCCAGGCTGGAGTGCAGTGGTATGATCTCAACCACCTGCTACCTCTGCCTCCTGGGTTCAAGCAATTCTCCTGCCTCAACCTCCTAAGTAGCTGGGACTACAGGTGCCCACCTCCATGCCCAGCTAATTTTTGCATTTTTATTAGAGACAGGGTTTCACTGTATTGGCCAGGCTGGTCTCGAACTCCTGACCTCGTGATTCACCTGCCTTGGCCTCCTAAAGTGCTGGGATTACAGGCATGAGCCACCATGCCCAGCTTCAATGTAATTTTTTAGAAAGACCTACATGATTTGGTAAAATTGGTTGCTATTGTATCATGCAAAATAGATAGGATGAGGCTTAAATCGTTTAAATCAGAAAAGTTCTGGGAGTCAAGTTCTTATTGGTCAGGCTTAGAATGGAGAACTGAAAATAAGCCAGCAGCATAGAGATGAGAAGCTGAGGGCCAGCTCCCTGCCCCAGCCCTACCCAGCTCTACCCTCTTCTGAGCCTTGTCCAGGTCTGGCCTCACCCTGATATCTCCCTCACAGAACTGATTAGAGGAGATCGGATTTATGTGTGGCAACTCTTGGTATCTCTTCAGAGCTGGATCTCACGATTTTCCTAGACCCAAAAACGAATAAATGGGAGCAAAGGATTATTTATTTGGAGCCTTAATTTCTTTCTTTCTTATTGAAACCAGTGCTTCTAGAGACATTTCATACAGCAACCTGTTTTACACTTCTGCAAATCCAATAGTTTTTCTACATGTTATGAGAAAGAAAATATAAACACAACAATTAAAAGTCTTTTGGACCTCTACTTAAGCCTTCATTTCTGTATCCCTTTTATCTTCTGTATTTAGGTTTCATAGTGATAAGAAAACAAACAGGGCTGGGTGCCGTGGTTCACGCCTGTAATGTCAAAACTTTGGGAGGCCGAGGTGGGCGGATCACCTGAGGTCAGGAGTTCAAGACCATCCTGGCTAACATGGAGAAACCCAGTCTCTGTTTAAAATACAAAATTAGCCAGGCATGGTGGCACATCCCTGTAATCCCAGCTACTCGGGAGGCTGAAGGAGGAGAATCACTTGAACCTGGGAGGAGGAGGTCGCAGTGAGCTGAGATTGCACCATTGCACCAACAAGAGTGAAACTCCATCTCAAAAAAAAGAAAACAAACAGCCTGAACCATCGTCTAAATCCTGCTAGAAATTATGGGACACTTAATACCTACTTCACAGAATTTTTTGAGGTTTAACTCACACCAGGTGAGTTTCCCAGCACAACACACCACAGCATACTTGTGAGCACATAGTATGAGCTCAATAAACATTGCATTAACACATGTGTACATGTTTCAAAATGCATTCTCCAGCCTTCTGTAGACTTCAAATAGCTGGCAAAAAATGTGATCTTTTGGGATGGTGATTAGTGGTTTTCACTGTAAACAAAAAATATTCATGTTTCAATAAGAATATTGTATGTAAGGGACTTTGTGTGTTATTCCTGCTTTCTCTGAGAGCTGGAGAGCAATATCAGCATTAACAGGGAATTTTTTTTTTTTTTGAGACGGAATCTCGCTCTGTCGCCCAGGTTGGAGTGCAGTGGCATGATTTTGGCTCACTGCAAACTCCACCTCCCAGGTTCAAGCAATTCTCCTGTCTCAGCCTTCCGAGTAGCTGGGACTAAAGGTACCTGCCACCATGCCCAGCTAATTTTTGTATTTTTAGTAGAGACGGAGGTTCACCTTGTTGGTCAGGCTGGTCTCAAACTCCTGACCTCAGATGATCCACCTGCCTCGGCCTCCCAAAGAGCTGGGAATATAGGCGTAAGCCACCACATGCGGCCTATGGGGAACTTTTTTTAAACAAGCCAATTCCTGGACCCCTTCAAAACGTGCAGGATCACATTAGTTAGAGAAGGGCCCAGAATACCAAATGACCTATATGCACATTGAAGCTTGAGAGGGAATGGTCAGCTAAGTGGTTCTCAGCCCAGGCATCCAGTTAAGACCACATGACCAGTTTGAAGAAATACCATCACCTGCGTCTTCCCTTACAGGTTGTATTTTCTCCTGAGTAGATTCAGATGATTATGTACTTTTCTCTCCATCAATATCACAGCAGTAATAAAGGGCCCACCTAAGTGCCTTCTTAGTGCAATAGACAGCGTATCAGTCTCATAATGGGCCCATCTGTGCATTGGCCCCTAAATCTGGTTTGTCTCATTACAGCTGATGCTAAATTTATTCATCTGGCTAAGGTGTTTTCTGCCAAATTCCTTCACTATAAAGTTAGTTATTTTTTTCTTTATCAATAATGAGTATCTTGGAAGGGGGATTTACTGAGGTGTATAAATTATCAAATTTAATTTAAAAACTCCTATTTCTTTTTTTTCTTATATCTTACTTTGGAGAATAAATACTTTCCTATTTGTCAACTATAGATAGCAGCTTTTGAAACTGGAAGTTCTGAAACAGGTCTCAGTTGTTTAGGTTTCCATTTAATTTCACCTTCATTTCACAAGCATATACTTTATTCTCTGTAATTTTAGGGACAAAGAAAAAATATATAATCAATATATCTATTGTCTTAAAATTCTAAAACATACTATGGCACATAAAATAAACAAAGCAAAACATTAAAAAAAAATCTGACTCAGTGGATCACCTGAGGTCAGGAGTCCGAGACCAGCCTGGCCAATATGGTGAAACCTCGTCTCTACTAATAATACAAAAATTAGCCCTGCATGGTGGCGCACACCTGTAATCCCAGCTACTCAGGAGGCTGAGGCAGGAGAATTGCTTGAACCCAGGAGGCAGAGGTTGCAGTGAACCAAGATCGTGCCATTGCACTCCAGCCTGGGGGACAAGAGTGAAACTCCATCTCCAAAAAATAAAAAATAAAAATAAAAATAAAATAAAAAATATACAACTAATAATAGCTCTTATTTTACTTTATATTATTGCATGTTTTGATCTTCAATTACAAGCACAAAACACAAAAATAGATCTACAAAGAATGTTATAATTGTTAAACAATTTAAAACATTTAATTTTATTTATACAGAACTGTTCTACTCTCTCACTTTTCATGTGTATATAGTCACCATTTCTATGATGTGTGCATAAAATGTAAACATCATTTGATCAATTTTGTGTTGCTGCCTTTTTTTTTTTTTTTGAGATGGTGTCTCGCTCTGTCATCTAGGCTGGAGTGCAATGGCGTGATCTCAGCTCACTGCAACCTCCGTCTCCTGAGTTCAAGCTATTCTCCTGTCTCAGCCTCCCGAGCAGCTGGGACTACAGGCACCCACCACCATGCCCAACTAATTTTTTGTGTTTTTAGTAGCGATGGGGTTTCACCGTGTTAGCCAGGATGGTCTCAATCTCCTGACCTCGTGATTTGCCTGCCGTGGCCTCCCAAAGTGTTGGGATTACAGGCATGAGCCACTGCACCTGGCCTGCTGCTTTATTGTTTTTATTAATCTTCTCAATTATAAAAACTGCTCTGGCCAGTCGTGGTGGCTTGCACCTGTAATCCCAGCACTTCGAGAGGCTGAGGTGGGTGGATCATTTGAGGTCAGGAGTTTGAGACCAGACTGGCCAACATGGTGAAACCCCATCTCTACTAAAAATACAAAAATTAGCTGGGCATGGTGGCACACGCCTGCAGTCCCAGCTACTCTACTCAGGAGGCTGAGGCAGGAGAATGGTGTGAACCCAGGAGGCAGAGATTGCAGTGAGCCCAGATTGCATCACTGCACTCCAGCCTGGGGGACAGAGCGAGACTCCGTCTCAAAAAAATAAAATAAAATAAATTAAAAAAATTAAATAAAAAGTAACTGGTCTGGGCCAGGCACAGCGCCTCACGCCTGTAATCCTAGCACTTTGGGAGGCTGAGATGGGTAGACTGCCTGAACTCAGGAGTTCGAGACCAGCCTGGGCAACATGGTGAAACCTTGTCTCTACTAAAATACAAAAAAACCCCAAAAGCCTGGTGTGATGTCGGGTGCCTGTGATCCCAGCTACTTGGGAGGCTGAGGCAGGAGAATTGCTGGAACCCAGGAGGCAGAGGTTGCAGTGAGCCAAGATCATGTCACTGCACTCCAGCCTAGGCAACACTGTGAGACTCTGCCTCAAAAAAAAAAGAAAAGAAAAGAAAAGAAAAGAAACAAACAAACAAACAAACAAAAAACTGCTTTTCTTGTATCCAAGAAGTTTTGGGTCCTTGTGTGTTGAATTTGATTTATATCAGGGTGCTTTTTTTTTTTTTGAGATGGGGTCTCGCTCTATCACCCAGGCTGCAGTGCAGTGGTGCAATTTCGACTCACTGTAACCTCTGCCTCTCAGGTTGAAGCGATTCTCTTGCCTCAGCCTCCCAAGTAGCTAGGACTACAGGCGCATGCCACCATGCCCGGCTGATTTTTTGTATTTTTACTAGAGACAGGGTCTCACTGTGTTAGCCAGGATGGTCTCGATCTCCTGATCTCGTGATCCACCCACCTCAGCCTCTTGAAGTGCTGGATTACAGGCGTGAGCCATTGTGCCTGGCCCAGGGTGCTTTCTTATTTTCCCTCTAATTTCTTCTTTGACTGTCATTTGTTGTTTAGGAGCATGTTGTTTAGTAGCCACATGTTTTGAGTTTTCTAATTCTCTTCTTGCTATTTTTTTCTAGTTTTATGCCATTGTGATCAGAATAAAAACAACATAATTTTCACCTTCTTAAATTTGAAAAAGCCTGTTTATTTCTGGTTTAATGTATAATTTCTCCTGAAAGATATTTTATGTATTTTTTATTTTTATTTTCATTTTGTTATTTTTTTCTTTGCTCTGTCTTGCCCTGTTGCCCAGGCTGGAGTGCATGGGTGCAGTCTTGACTCACTGTGACCTCCTGAAATTATAATTTCTCAAAGTATAATTACTCCTGAAAAATATTTTATGTAATTTTTTGTTTTTATTTTTATTTTGTTATTTTTGTTGTTGTTGTTCTCTCTTGCTCTGTCGCCCAGGCTGGAGTGCATGGGTGCAGTCTTGACTCACTGTGACCTCCTGAAATTATAATTTCTCAAAGTATAATTACTCCTGAAAAATATTTTATGTAATTTTTTGTTTTTATTTTTACTTTGTTATTTTTGTTGTTGTTGTTCTCTCTTGCTCTGTCGCCCAGGCTGGAGTGCATGGGTGCATTCTTGACTCACTATGACCTCCATCTCCCCAGATCAAGCAGTTTTTCTGCCTCATCCTCCCACGTAGCTGAAACTACTGGTGCGCACCACCAAGCCCACCCAATGTCTGTATTTTCCATGATGATGAGGTTTCACCATGTTGGCCAGGCTGGGAGAATATTTCATGTATTTTTGAGATGAATGTGTATTCTCATACTGTTGAATGAAATGTTATGTGCATATCATCTATTTAGTCTATAGTGGTATACAACTACACTGTTTTCTTAGTAGATTTCTGTTTGAATGATCTGTCTGTTGTTTTGAGTAAGGTATTAAAGTTTTATTGTATTTCTGTCTACTTCTCCCTACAGTTTTGTGAATATTTGCTTTATATATTTAGAAGCTCCAGTGCTGGGAGCATACATATTTTTAATTACTATATCCTCTTGACAAATTAACTTCTTTATTATTGCATGGTAAACTCATTTGACTCTTGTGATAGATGTTGCTAGGAAGTCTTTTTTGTCTAATTTAGCAATAACTACCATTGCACACTTTTGATTATCATTTTCATGGAATATCTTTTTTCATCCTTTCACTTTTGGCCTATGCTTGTCCTTAAATCAAAAGGGAGTCTCTTTTAGGCAGCATATCAATGGGCTTTTAAAAAGTGAGTTGGTCACTCTTTTTCATTGTGTTGTTTGTTGCTATATCAGTGTATCACAGACTAAGTATTTTATGAAAAGCAAAAATTTATTTGCCTCATGATTCTGGAGGCTGAGATGGCAAAGAATATGACACTGGCATCTGTTGAAGGCCTTGTTCTGCATAATAACATAGCCAAAGGCATGAGGAAGAGACAGCTTCCTTTTATAAGAGAACCTCTTGATATAATTAACCCATCTCATGATAAGAACATTTATCCATTTATGAGGGTTAGATTGCTTATGGCCTAATCAATTCTTAAAGGTCCCACCTTTTAATTCTATTACAATGGCTATTTAATTTTAACCTAAAATGTGGAGATGACATTGTGTATAGTAGCAGTGTCTGTTTATTGGATAATTTATTTTCTTTATATGTAAAATAGTGATAGGTTACTATTAATAAGTTACTATTGTGATTTTGTTTTTTCTGTTTATTTAAATTTTAAAAAATATTTTATTCTTGTCCTGTCTTTCCTATGGTTTTGTTAGTTTGTGTCAAGACAGGGTTATGCTTTGTTGCCCAAGCTAGAACACAGTGGTATATCAGTGTGAGTCACAGCCCTCTGTAGCCTCAACTTCCTGGGCTCAAGCAGTCCTCCCATCTCAGCCACCTAGGTGGCTGAGACTACAGGCATGCTCCACAACAGCCAGCTATTTTTTTCATAGAGAAATGTCTCATTATGTTGCTCAGGCTGGTATCAAACTCCTGAGCTCAAGTAATTCTCCCATCTCAGTCTCTCAAAGTGCTGGGATTTTAATAGTCTAGTTTAGGATGATAACAATTTAACTTCTGTGTATGTAAAAACTGTACACATTTTCTTCTTTTACACACTTAATACTATATAGTCATACTTTATAACTTTTTATGTTGTGTATTCATTAAAAAATTATTGTCACTGTATTTTTAATACTTTTTGTATAGATCTTATTTTAGAGTTTAAAGTATTTTTACAAAACCATTACAATATTCTGAATTTCACTATATACTTATCATTTCCAGTGACATTTATACTTTAATGTTTTTCATATTGTTAGTTCTGATTCCATCATTTTAATGTGAAGAATTCCCTGTATCATTTCTTGTAAGACAGGTTGAGTGGTGATAAATTTCCTCACCTTTTTCCTTTGTCTTGAAATGTCTTGATCTGTTTTATGGCTAAAGGACAGCTTTATTGGATATAGTCTTTTCAGTTGTCAGGTTTTTCTTTTCTTCTTTCAGCATTTTAAATATATAATTGAATCTTCTGGTTTGCAATATTTTTGCTGAAAAATCCACTGATTACATAAAGTTTCTCTTGTATGTAAAGAATCTCTTATCTCTTCCTGTTTTCAAGATTTGTGCTTTATCTGTGAATGTTGACAATTTAATGATATTGTGTTCTAGGGTAATATTTACTAGGTTTATATTTTTTTTCTGTGGATAAATTGAGCTTCATAAAACTGGATGTTCATATCCTTCTCTAAATTTAGAAAGATTTTCTTTGAGACAGGGGCTCACTCTGTCCCCCAAGCTGAAGTGCAGTGGCATGATCTCAGCTCACTGCAACCTCTGCTTTTCAGGCTCAAGTGATCTTCCCACATCTGCCACCCAAGTAGCTGAAACTAAAGGCATGTGCCACCCTGCCTGGCTAATTTTTGTATTTTTTTGTAGAGATGGGATTTTGTCATATTGCCCAGGCTGGTCTCAAACACTTAAGCTCAAGCCATGCACCCACCTTGGCCTCTCAGAGTGCTGGGATTACAGATGTGAGCCACAAGGCTCAGCCTAGATTTGGAAAGTTTTCAGACATTATGTCTTTCAATCTCCTTTATTCTTTTTCTCTGTCTTCTTCTGAAAATTCTAAAATGTGTCAATTTGTTCACTTTATGATTGATTACTTTCAAATGACAAGTTTTTGAGTTTGTTGAATTTTCTTTTTTATAATTGAGTCTCCTGTTAAAATTTTCTACTACACTTCTTCAGTTCTGCCATTGTTTACCTTAACTGCAGGATTTTTGTGTGGTCATTTTTATGGTTTTTATTTCTCTCTCTCTCTCTCTCTCTCTCTCTCTCTCTCTCTATATATATATATATATATATATATATATATGTATAAAAAACATGAGATGTCATTTTGCTGTGTTGGCCAGGTTGGTCTTGAACTCCTGGTCCCAAGTAATGCTCCTGCCTCAGCATCCCAAAGTTTTATTATTATAGGTGTGGGCCACCATGCTTGGCCTACTTATGTATTGTTTCTAATTTTGTTTCTGTGTTGTTTCCTAAAAATTTTTTAGTTATCTGTGTTCTTTGCATCTTATTGAAATTTTTAAAGAAAATTGTTTTCTTTTTTAAAACTTTTTGAGATGAACTCTCACTCTGTCACCCCAGCTGGAGTGCAGAGGCATGACCTTGGGTCACTGCAACCTCTGCCTCCCAGGTTCATGTGATTTTCCTGCCTCAGCCACCCGAGTAGCTGGGAATACAGGTGCCTGCCACCACACCTGGCTAATTTTTGTATTTTTAGTAAAGATGGGGTTTCAACATATTGGTCAGGCTAGTCTAGAACTCATGATGTCATGTGATCCACCCACCTTGGCCTCCACAAGTGCTGGGATTACAGGCATGAGTCACTGTGCCCAGCCAGGAAGACTTATTTGAGGGAATAATAATAATAAAACAACAACAACAACAACAAAACTTCCATAGCTTTGCTAGAGATTTACACATTCAGATACAAAAAGCTCAAAGAGCCCCCAGGAAATTCATTACAAAAAGATAATTACCTAGGCTGTAGTCATCAGGTTATCTAATGTCAAGATGAAGAAAATAATCTTAAGAGCTGTGAGGTGAAAGCATCAGGTTACCTATAAATAAAAACCTACCAGATTAACAGCAGACTTTTCAGCAGAAATATTACAAGTGAGAAGGGATTGGCATTCTATCTTTAGCCTCCTTAAACAAAATAATTATCAGCCAAGAATTTTGAATCCAGTGAGATAAAGGAATATAAATGAAGAAGAGATAAACTCTCTTTCACAGAAACAGATGCTGAGAGAATTTGCCACTGCCAACTCAGCACTACAAGAAATGCTGAAAGGATATCTAAATCTTGAAACAAAACCTCAAAATATACACGAGTAGACTCTCCTTAATTCATAAATCTTACAGGACCTATAAAACAGTAACACAAAGAAAAATATCAAGATATTCAGGCAACAGCTGGCATGATGAATCCAGCAGTACCTCACTTCTCACTACTAATGTTGAATGTAACTGGCAAAAGTGCTTCGCTTTAAAAATACAGAATAGCAGAATAAATAGGAATCCCTACAACAAGTAGCTGCTGTCTACAAGAGACTCAATGTAAGCATACACCAAGAAACTAGAGAAAGAACAAATCAAACTCAAACCCGGCAGAAGAAAAGAAATAACAAAAATCTGAATAAAATCAGAGAAAAACTGAATAAAATTGAAACAAAACCACAAAAGATAAAACAAGAATCTGGTTCTTTGAAAAGATAAACAAAACTGATATGCCATTAGTGAGATTAACTAAAAGAAGCAGAGAGAGAAGCTCCAAATAAGCTCAATTAGAAACAAAACGGGAGATATTACAACCAATACCACAGAAATACAAAAGATTATTCAAGGCTACTAAGAACACCTTTATGTGCACAAACTAGAAAACCTAGAAACAATAATTCTTGGAAAAAATATAACCCACCTAGATTAAACTACAAAGAAATAGGCACTCTGAACAGACCGATAACAAGTAGTAGGATTGAAACAGCAATTTAAAAAATTGTCATTAACAAAAAAGTCCAGGACCAGATGAATTTACAGGTGAATTCTATCAGACATTCAAAGATGAATTGGTACCAATCCTACTGAAACTACTCCAAAAAGTATAGAAAGTGGAAATCCTTCCTAAATTATTATATGAAGCCAATATCACCTGAATATGAAAACCAGGATAGGACATAACACAAAAAGAAAGCTGCACTCCAATGTTCCTGATGAAAATGAATTTAAAAAATTGTCAACAAAATACTAGCTAGCCAAACACAACAGCATATCAATAAGATAATACACCATGGTCAAGTGCATTTTATACCAGGGATGCAGGGATAAATGTAATAGACCACAAATAAAATTCAAAACAAAAATTATACAATCATCTCAATAGATGCAAAAAAAGCATTTGATAAAATCCGGTACCTTTTTAAGATTAAGACCCTCAGCAATATCAGCATAGAAGGGACATACCTTAACATAATGAAAGCCATCTATGACAAACCCAAAGAAAACATTACACTGAATGGGGAAAAATTGGAAGCATTCCCTCTGTGAACTGAAATAAGACAAGGATAGGCCGGGCACGGTGGCTCACGCCTGTAATCCCAGCACTTTGGGAGGCCAAGGCGGGTGGATCATGAGGTCAGGAGATCGAGACCATCCTGGCTAACAAGGTGAAACCCCGTCTCTACTAAAAATACAAAAAATTAGCCGGGCGCGGTGGCGGGCGCCTGTAGTCCCAGCTACTCGGGAGGCTGAGGCAGGAGAATGGCGTGAACCCGGGAAGCGGAGCTTGCAGTGAGCCGAGATTGCGCCACTGCAGTCCGCAGTCCGGCCTGGGCAACAGAGCGAGACTCCGTCTCAAAAAAAAAAAAAAAAAAAAAAAAAAAAAGACAAGGATGCCCACTCTCACTCTCACCACTTCTATTCAACATAATACTGGAGGTCCTAGCCAGAGCAATCAGACAAAAGAAAGAAATAGATGGCATTTAAATTAGTAAAGAAGTCAAACTGTCACTGTTTACTGATGCGTATGATTGTATACCTAGAAAGCCCTAAAGACTCATCCAAATAACTTCTAGATCTGTTAAATAAGTCCAGTAAAGTTTCAGGATACAAAATAAATGTACACAAATCAATAGCACTGCAAAACATAAACAGCTACTAAGCTGAAAATCCAGTAAAGAACCGAAACCCTATTACAACAGCTGCAAAAAATATAAAATAATTAGGGCCGAGTGCGGTGGCTCACGTTTGTAATCCCAGCACTTTGTGAGGCTGAGGATTGCTTGAGCTCAGAAGTTTGAGACCAGCCTGGACAACATGGCAAAACCCCCTCTATACAAAAATTAGCCAGGCGTGGTGGTGCATTCCTATAATCCAAGCTACTTGGGAGGCTGAGGCACTAGAATTGCTTGAACCTGGGAGGTGGAGTTTGCAGTAAGCTGAGATCACGCCACTGCACTCCAGCCTGGGTGAAAGAGTAAGACTCTGTCTCTAAATAAATAAATAAATAAAATTAGGAATATACTTAACCAATGAGGTAAAATGTCCCTACAAGGCAAACCACAAAACACTGCTGAAAAAAATCATACATAACACAAAAACACACCCCATGCTCATGGATGGGTAGAGTCAATATTGTAAAAATAACCATACTGCCAAAATCTGTATACAAATTTCATGCAATTTCCATCAAAATGTCATCATTATTATTCACAGAACTAGAAAAAACAATCCTAAAATTCATATGGAACCAAAAAAAAAAGCCCACATAGACAAAACAACACTAAGTAAAAAGAACAATCTGAAGGCATCATGTTACTTGATGTCAAATCATATGACAAGGCTATAGTTACCAAAACAGCATGGTACTGGTAGAAAAACAGGCAGGTAGACCAATGGAACAGAATAGTGAACCCAGAAATAGAGCCAAATACTTACAGCCAACTTTTTTGACAAAGTAAATAAGAACATAAAGTGGGAGAAAGGACACTCTATTCAACAAATGTTGCTGGGATAATTGGCAAGCCATATGTAGAAGAATAAAACTGGAAACTCATCTCTCACCTTATAAAAATTCAACTTAAGATGGATCAATCACTTAAATGTAAGGTCTGAAACTATAAAAATTGTAGAAGATACCATCAGAAAAATGATTCTAGACATCGGCTTAGGCAAAGGTTCATGACCAAGAACCTAACAGCAAATGCAACAAAAACAAAGATAAATCAATGGGCCTTAAACTAAAATGCACAAGTGGGAGAAAACTTTTATAAACTATTCATCTGACAAAGGAATAATATCCAGAATCTACAAGGAGCTCAAACAGTCAGCAATAAAACTAATAATTCCATCAAAAAGTTGGCTAAGAACATGAATAGTCAATTCTAAGAAGATATACAGATGGCCAACAAACATGAAAAAATCCTCAATATCCCTAATTATCAGGGAAATACAAGTTAAAACAATAAAGTGATACCACCTTCTGCAAGAATGACCATAATTAAAATATCAAAAAAATATTACATGTTCACATTGATGTGGTGAAAAGGGAGCACTTCTACACTGCTGGTGGGAATGTAAACTATTAGGCTCGTGCAAAAGTAATCACAGTTTTGCCATTAAAAGTAATGAAGGCCGAGCGAGGTGGCTCAGGTCTGTATTCCCAGCACTTTGGGAGGCCAAGGAGGGTGGATCACGAGGTCAGGAGTTCCAGACCATCCTGGCTAACACTGTGAAACCCCGCCTCTACTAAAAATACAAAAAATTAGCCAGGTGTGGTGGCACGTGCCTATAGTCCCAGCTACTAGGGAGGCTGAGGCAGGAGAATTGCTTGAACCCAGGAGGCAGAGGTTGCAGTGAGCCAAGGTCACGCTGCTGCACTCCAGCCTCACTCCAGAGTGAGACTCTGTCTCAAAAAAAAAAAAAAAGTTTATTTCTGTTTTAATAGTCAGTAATCACTTGCTACATGTGTTTCCTGTATGTGATACTGCAGTCTCTCTGCTGCTATAACATTTACATTTGGTCTCAGCAGACTCAAACTGTCATTCCAAAGTATCCCATCATTTCTTTCACCACTTTATGTAATGCAGGGAAGAAACTAGGGTCTGGAAAGGCCCCTTGAAGCCAGAAATAAATATGTACGTGCCAGTATTTTTCCCATCTTTTAAAAAAGAAACCAGGACTCTCCCTCTCCCTCTCCCTCTCCCCACGGTCTCCCTCTCCCTCTCTTTCCACGGTCTCCCTCTGATGCCGAGCCGAAGCTGGACTGTACTGCCGCCATCTCAGCTCACTGCAACCTCCCTGCCTGATTCTCCTGCCTCAGCCTGCCGAGTGCCTGCGATTGCAGGCACGCGCCGCCACGCCTGACTGGTTTTCATATTTTTTTGGTGGAAACGGGGTTTCACTGTGTTGGCTGGGCTGGTCTCCAGCTCCTAACTGCAAGTGATCCGCCAGCCTCGGCCTCCCGAGGTGCCGGGATTGCAGACAGAGTCTCGTTAACTCAGTGCTCAATGGTGCCCAGGCTGGAGTGCAGTGGCATGATCTCGGCTCACTACAACCTCCACCTCCCAGCCTCCTGCCTTGGCTTCCCAAAGTGCCGAGATTGCAGCCTCTGCCTGGCCGCCACCCCATCTGGGAAGTGAGGATCCTCTCTGCCCAGCCACCCATCGTCTGGGATGTGAGGAGCCCCTCTGCCTGGCTGCCCAGTCTGGAAAGTGAGGAGCATCTCTGCCCGGCTGCCATCCCATCTAGGAAGTGAGGAGCGTCTCTGCCTGGCCGCCCATCGTCTGAGATGTGGGGAGCACCTCTGCCCCGCCGCCCCGTCTGGGATGTGAGGAGCGCCTCTGCCCGGCCGCGACCCCATCTGGGAGATGAGGAGCGTCTCTGCCCGGCCCCCCCGTCTGAGAAGTGAGGAGACCCTCCGCCCGGCAGCTGCCCCGTCTGAGAAGTGAGGAGCCCCTCCGCCCGGCAGCCACCCTGTCTGGGAAGTGAGGATCGTCTCCGCCCGGCAGCCACCCCGTCCGGGAGGGAGGTGGGGGTCAGCCCCCACCCAGCCAGCCGCCCCGTCCGGGAGGGAGGTGGGGGGTCAGCCTCCCCGCCCGGCCAGCCGCCCCATCTGGGAGGGAGGTGGGGGGGTCAGCTCCCCCGCCCGGCCAGCCGCCCCGTCCGGGAGGTGGGGGGCACCTCTGCCCGGCCGCCCCTACTGGGAAGTGAGGAGCCCCCTCTGCCCGGCCACCACCCCGTCTGGGAGGTGTACCCAACAGCTCATTGAGAACGGGCCATGATGACAATGGCGGTTTTGTGGAATAGAAAAGGGGGAAACGTGGGGAAAAGATTGAGAAATCGGATGGTTGCTGTGTCTGTGTAGAAAGAAGTAGACATGGGAGACTTTTCATTTTGTTCTGTACTAAGAAAAATTCTTCTGCCTTGGGATCCTGTTGATCTATGACCTTACCCCCAATCCTGTGCTCTCTGAAACATGTGCTGTGTCCACTCAGGGTTAAATGGAAAAAAAAAAAAAAAAAAGAAACCAGGAGTTGGCAATTACTTTTTTTTTTTTAAAGACAGAGTCTTGCTCTGTCACCCAGGCTGAAGTGCAGTGGTGAGATCTTGGCTCACTGCAACCTCCACCTCCCAAGTTCAAGTGATTCTCATGCCTCAGCCTTCAGAGTAACTGGGATTACAGGTGTATGCCACCATACCTGGCAAATTTTTAAATTTTTAGTAGAGATGAGCTTTTGCTATTTTGTCTAGGTTGGTTTCAAAATTCTGACCTTGGGTGATCCACCTTTCTCTGCCTCCCAAAGGGCTTGGATTACAGGTGTTAGCCATCATGACCAGCCAGCAATTTACTGCTAAAAAAGCTTTGTTATCTTAGGGATCAGGAAAAGCTGTGTTGCGTAACTGTAACACAATCTTTCTATGTGGCTCTTTACATTGTTTTTACCTGGGCATTGCACACAGTTAACCCATTTATAAATTTTCTGCAAGTGTATTTTGGTCAGTATGTTTTTGTTACATGTATATGTCTATAAAAGAATTAGGGCCTGTGGTATTTTGCTGTGCCATCTTGCTTATGTAGTTTGTACAATTTTATAGGTTAGATTAGTGAAGTATATTTATCTGAGTCTAGCAACTGGAGTAATTTGTTATTTTTATTTCTTTCAGTTACGTGTTCTCATTTTGCTCAAGACCTGTGGCCAGAGCAGGGCATGAAAGATTCCTTCCAAAACTTGATACCGAGAACATATGCAAAGTGTGGAGATGAGAATTTACAACTAAGAAAAAACTGCAAAAGTGTGGATGATGGTAGGATGCACAAAGGAGGTTATAATGGATGCAATCAATGTTTGACATCGACCCAGAGCAAAATATTTCGTGGTGATAAATATGTGAAAGTCTTTTATAAATATCCAAATTCAAATAATAATAAAATAAGATATACTGAAAAAATTCTTTCAAATGTAAATAATGTGGCAAATCATTTTGCATGCTTTCACACCTAACTCAACATAAGAAAATTCATACTAGAGAGAATTCCTACACATGTGAAGAATGTAGCAAAGTCTTTAAATGTTCATGACCCTCACTCAACATAAAAGAATTCACACTAAAAAGACACTGTTCAAATGTGAAGAATGTGGCAAAGCTTTTAAACAGTCCTCAAATCTTACTGAACATAAGAGAATTCCTACTAGAGAGAAACACTACAAATGTGAAGAATTTGGCAAAGATTTTAAGTGGTCTTCAAATCTTCCTGAAAATGAGATAATTCATATTGGAGAAAAACCTTGTAAATGTGAAGAATGTGGCAAAACTTTTAAGTGGTCTTCAAACATTACTGGACATAAGATAATTCATACTGGAGAGAAACTATACAAATGTGAAGAATGTGGCAAAGCCTTTTACTCCTCCTCAAACCTTACTTTACATAAAATGATTCATACTGCAGAGAAAACCTACAAATGTAAAGAATGTGGCAAATCTTTTAGCCAGTACTCACACCTTACTACCCATAAGGGAATTCATACTGGAAAGAAAACCTACAAATGTAAAGAATGTGGCAGAGCTTATAAGTGGTCCTCAAACCTTACTGAACATAAGATAACTCAGAACTGGAGAGAAACCCTACAAATGTGAAGAATGTAGCAAAGCCTTTAACTGGTCCTTACACCTTGCTGTACATAAGATAATTCATACTGAAGAGAAACCCTACAAATGTGAAGAATGTGGCAAAGCCTTTAAATGGTCCTCAAACCTTACTAAGCATAAGATAATTTATACTGGAGAGAAACTCTAGAATTTGAAGAATGTGGCAATGCTTTTAAGTGGTCCTCAAAACTTACTGAACAGCTTTCGGGTGATGACAACCTTCCCACAAGAGGACATGCCTCTCACAAAGGATCTCCTTCATCCCTCTCCAGAAGAGAAGAGGAAACACAAGAAGAAACGCCTGGTGCAGAGCCCCAATTCCTACTTCATGGATGTGAAATGCCCAGGATGCTATAAAGTCACCACGGTCTTTAGTCATGCACAAATGGTAGTTTTGTGTGTTGGCTGCTCCACTGTCCTCTGCCAGCCTACAGGAGGAAAAGCAAGGCTTACAGAAGGATGTTCCTTCAGGAGGAAGCAGCACTAAAAGCACTCTGAATCAAGATGAGTGGGAAACCATCTCAATAAACACATTTTGGATTAAAAAAAACTTACTGAACGTAAGATAATTCATACTTGAGAAAACCTACAAATGTGAAGAATGTAGCAAAGCTTTTACTCATCTCTCAATCCATGCTAAACATAAAATAATTTATGCTGGAGAGAAAACTTACAAATGTAAAGAATGTGGCAAAGCCTGTAACCATTCCTCACATCTTACTACACGTAAGTCATACTGAAGAGAAATTACAAATGTGAAGAATGTGGCAAAGCCTTTAATAAGTCCCCAGATCATACTTGAGAAAAACTTCACAAACCTGAAAGATGTGACAATGCTTTTGACAACACCTCAAACCTTTCTAAACATAAAAGAAATCATACTGGTGAGAAAGTCTAAAAATGTGAGGAATATGACAAAGTCTTTAAATGGTAGTCATGCTTAATTGTAGGTAAGATAATTCATACTGGAGAAAACTTCTACAAGTGTGAAGAATGTGGCAAAACCTTTAACCAATGCTCACACCTTATTGCACAGGAAACCATTTATATTTGAGAAAAATTGTATAAATTTAAAGACTATAGAAAAGCCATTGATATCTGCTCACATCTTACTCAACATCAGAGAGTTCATACTTAATAAAAGCATTATAAATGCAATTACTCTTAAAAGGTCTTTCAGAAAATATAAGCCTATAATGTGAAAAAGTATTTATTCTGAGGACAAACCTTACAAATATAAAAAGGATTGTAGTGTAGCAGGATGAGCCACAGACAAAACTCCTCAGACACTGCGTTAAAGAAGGAAGGGGTTTATTCTGCAGGGGGTATTGGCAAGACTCCTGTCTCAAGAGCCGAGCTCCCTGAGTGAGCAATTCCTGTCCCTTTTAAGGGCTCACAACTCTAAGGGTGTGCACGTGAGAGGGTCATGATTGAGCAAGCAGGGGGTAGATGACTGGGGGCTGCATGCATCGGTAATTAGATCGGAACAAAACAGGATAGGGATTTTCACAGTGCTTTTCTATACAATGTCTGTAATCTATAGATAACATAACTGATTAGGTCAGGGGTCAATCTTTAACTACCAGGCCCAGGGTGTGGCACCGAGCTGTCTGCTCGTGGATTTCATTTCTGCCTTTTAGTTTTTACTTTGTCTTTCTTTGGAGGCAGAAAGTGGGCTTAAAACAATATGAGGGGTGGTCTCCTCCCTTAGTAGTACCTTTACTTGTATCACAGATCTTATTGTATATATTTCATACTAGAGGAAAACCCTAAAGAAGTTGCTCAAACTTTGTTCAATATCAGGAAATTTATACTGGAGAAAAACCCTGCAAATGTAATGAATTTGAAAGAAACACATTTCAAAAACTACAGCTTAGAAAACATCATAGAGTTTATACTAAGATATATTTTTGTAAATGAAGTAAATATAAAAAATACTTCAAAACTAACTTTATGTAAATCACAGAGAATACACAGTAGAAATAAGGCACTTACTCTTCAGACATTACATTAAATCAGAGAGTTGAGTATAGAAAATAATCCCAAACTAAAATTATTTGATAAGTTATTAGTATATAACTTTAAAAGAAGTAGAAGATTTTTTGTAGGGTTATAATTACATTCAAAGTATACTTTTTTATTATTACAGATTTTTTTGAAAAGCAAATAATGATGTAATTTAACTCTCAAATTACTTCATGCTCTCCATTCCTATTGTATTTACATGTGAAAGCATGTGATCAAATATTACTGCATTACAGATATAAGAGATTCTTTTTTATTACGTAGGCATTATTTATGACCTTTTCCATGGAAGAGTAAGAACATTAAAATATAAAACACATAATGAAAATTTAAGTAGAGAGGCTCATTATGGTTAACTTATAATGTTAAGTGATGTATGAGGTAGGTGTTCTGAGTAATATTTTTGTCCACTATAGTGAAAAAAACTTTTTAAGTTTTAGTTAAAATTAATTAAATTAGCAGTAACTTATTAATTGTACTTTTATGTAATATGCAGTACATTTAAAAATTTTTCAGTTATATGTGAATTTAATTTTCTAGTAAAACATTGTTTAAAATGTAACATCTATTGTACATTCAATGAAGTGTTTTTTTTTTTTTTTTTTGAGATGGCGTCCCACTCTGTCACCCAGGCTGGAGTGTGGTGGCATGATCTTGGCACACTGTAACCTCCGCCTCCCAGGTTCAAGCAATTCTCCTGCCTCAGCCTCCCAAGTAGCTGGGATTACAGGCACTTGCCACCATGCCCAGCTAATTTTTGTATTTTTAGTAGAGATGGGGACTCACCATGTTGGCCAGGCTGGTCTCAAACTCCTCACCTCAAGTGATCCACATAAATGGCATATTTTGGTACAGGCATATAATATGTAATAACGACATTAGAGTACATGAGGTATCCATCACCACTAGTATTTGTTCTTTGTATTACAAACAATCCAATTCTACACCTTTAGCTATTTTTAAATGTACAATTGTTATTGAGTACAGGATAAATTTTATGGTCATAATTAAAATTATATAAATAAAATTCATACATATCTGAGTCCTAAAAAAAACTTTCAAAAATTTGTTTTTTATATATATATATTTTTCAACATGTGGCAACTCTGCCTGCAAACACATACATACAGAATTTTAGTTTTGATTTCAATCAGGTTAAATATACACATATATTATTTTAAAGATAACACTAGGTATATGCAAATTATGATGAATGTGTGTGTAAGTATGAGTCAGGGCATATTTTCAGAAGAAAACAATAAATTTTTTTTTTTTTTTGAGACAGAATATCGCTCTGTCGCCCAGGCTGGAGTGCAGTGGAGCGATCTCTGCTCACTGCAAGCTCCTCCTCCTGGGTTCACGCCATTCTCCTGCCTCAGCCTCCCAAGTAGCTGGGACTACAGGCACCCGCCACCACGCCTGGCTAATTTTTTGTATTTTTAGTAGATATGGGGTTTCACCATGTTAGCCAGGATGGTCTCGATCTCCTAACCTCGTGATCCACCTGCCTCGGCCTCCCAAAGTGTTGGGATTACAGGTGTGAGCCACCATGCCCAGCCATAAATTTTTTTATTAAGGCGACTAATTTAGTAGAAAACTAAAAACCTAAAAAATGTGGAAAGCAATTCTATACTGTCTGCTTTGTATTGAATTCTTTAAAATTGTATGGCTTATGGTTCAGAGTCTCCCCATGCAATTTGCCTGGTTTTACTTGCTTGGTACTCTTTGCTAGACCCATAATTTTCTTGTTTCTTATTTTTTTTGTTTTGTAGTTTATGCAGTATTCATTATGTGAGCTGGTCAGGGATTATAATGATTTTTATGAAATTTAATAGTGCACACAAAATAATTTGTAGATGTAATTTTACAATTAGTGTATGAAGTTATGTTTTATTTAATTAGAAGATTCCATTCTGTTCTTTTACTTGGAGAATACTATATAAGCCCACTTTTATTTAGTTACTGTTCCTTTCAGATTTTAAAATTGTCATAAGTTAATTTATTTATTTATTGAGCAAATTTGTTCAGGTAAGTACTAGGGTGGCTTCCATAAGTCAAGAGGATGTTTTTGTATATAAATGCAGCAAATGAACATGGCAGTGCTTGCTGTGTAGCAGATGCTTCATGATAAGCCATAAGTATTCCTCCTGGAGTTAGTTTGTAACTTCAAGTCAGAGAGAGAAAATATCAATGGTGAAGAAATAACGTTGATTTGTCATGTGAAGAGGATTTTTTTTTTTTTTTTTTTTGGCTGCACAGCTGACTCTTGCTGAATTTAAAGAGAAAATCTGCTTTTTTTATTTTTATTTTTGAGATAGAGTTTCGCTCTTGTTACCCAGGCTGGAGCACAAGGCATGATCTCGGCTCACTGCAACCTCTGTCTCTCGGGTTCAAGCGATTCTCTTGCCTCAGCCTCCCGAGTAGCTGGGATTACAGGTATGTGCCACCATGCCTGGCTAATTTTGTATTTTTAGTAGAGATGGGATTTCTCCATGTTGGTCAGGCTGGTCTCGAACTCCCGACCTCAGGTGATCCACCTGCCTTGGCCTCCCAAAGTGCTGGGATTACAGGTGTGAGCCACTGCGCCTGGCCAATTCTACTTCTTATATTACCAAATTATCTCATGTTTGTTTGTCTCATTATCGGCATTCCAACTATGTATGCATCACAGACCTTTTTTTTTCTGTGTTACAGCTACAGTATCCTCACTGTTGTCTTCATGCCATGTCATTTCACACTGTACTTTGTAGGTTTTGATAAGGAAGTTGGTATTTTAGTAATGCACTGAAAAATTAGTTTTAACTGAAGAATTAGCTTATCAATATAACTTTCATATCAGTTAATTAAGAGGCGGCTGGGCACGGTGGCTCATGCCTGTAATCCCAGCACTTTGGGAGGCTGAAGTGGGTGGATCATGAGGTCAGAATTCAAGGCCAGCCTGGCCAAGATGCTGAAACCCTGTCTCTACTAAAATACAAAAATTAGCCCGGCATGGTGGCAGGTGCCTGTAATCCCAGCTACTCGGGAGGCTGTGGCAGGAGAATCGCTTGAACCCCAGGGGGCAGAGGTTGCAGTGAGCCGAGATCGCGCCACTGCATTCCAGTCTGGGCAACAGAGTGAGACTCTGTCTCAAAACAAAACAAAACAAAACAAGCAAACAAACAAAAAATGCATTCACTGTCCACAGGTGAGAGAAATAAATCAGTTAGCACTGTTTTTCTTTGTAACAGAAAAATCTCATTAGATTCTTACACAAAGTGTAAATATAAAATTTGTTAGAAAATATATCTTACAAATTAAGTTTTTAAGACTTATTCACAAGTAAAAAAGTTTTAATTTAATTTTTTATGATATAGCACAACTTATGTTCTCATGCAGAATCTTTTGTCTTTAAGTGATAATGTTAAATTTTGCAAAATAATAAAATGAACCCTGTGGATTTGAAATTCAAAATAATATTTCTGTTTCATATTGATATTACAATTTTGAGGAGTTTCTCTTATTGTATATAAGATTTTTAGTGGATGAAGTTCAGTCTACAGTTTTTATTCTTCGTCACCTAACTGTAGCCAACACCTTGCTCATTTTTTTTTTTTTCTGGAAAAAATTTTAAAGATCATAGCAGCTTTTTGATTAAAACATTTTCCGTTATTTTGCACGCAAACTTGTTTACTGTATTCACAGAGTGCCCTGTTATGGGACCATAAGCAACACCTGCTTTCTTAGTGTCTTTTATACCTTTATTATCAGCACCAAAAACTTCATGTGCCCTCAAGCTTAAAATAAAAGCCCTAATGTACATTGGCTTCTCCCATGCACTGTGCTGGGTTCAGAACATGCTGATAAATATCAGAGTTTCTGTGATTGTGACTGAGAAATTAAATGGCAGGAGCAGCACAGAAACCATATGTTTTTGATACTATTTAGCCAAATCAATGACAAAGAGACAGTATTTTACACACTGGTATTCTTCTGTAATATTTTTAAAATATCTTTTTAACTTGACAGATAAGCATATTTATTCTGTAAAACATGATGTTTTAAAGTATATATACATTGTTAAATGCTTAATTTTAGGTAATTAATGCTTCACCTCACATAGTTAAAATTTTTATGGTGAGACCACATTGACATTGTCTTAGCATTTTAAAAAAATATAATAAATTATTATTTTTTTCTTATTTTATGTTCCAGAGTAGATGTGCAAGTTTGTTACATAGGTGAATGTGTTACATAGGTAAATGTGTGCCATGGTGGTTAGCTGCACCTATCAACCCATCACCTAAGTATTAAGCCCGGTGTGCATTAGCTGTTTTTCCTGATGCTCTTCCTACCCTGCCCTCTCCTGACAGGCCTCAGTGTGTGTTGCTTCTCTCCTGGTGTCCATGTGTTCTTATTGTTTAGCTTGCACTTACAAGTGAGAACAGGACGTGTTTTGCCTTCTGTTCTTGTGATAGTTTGCTGAGGATAATGGCTTCGAGCTTCATTCATGTCTCTGTGAAGGACATAATCTCACTACTTTTCATGGCTGTATAGTATTACATTGTTTATATGTACCAAGTATTCTTTAACTAGTCTATCATTAATGGGCATTTGGGTTGATATCATGTTTTTGCTATTGTGAATAGTGCAGCAATGAACATACACATGCATGTATCTTTATAATAGAATGATTTATATTATTTTTAGTATATACCAAGGAATGGAGTTGCTGGGTCAAATGGTGTTTCTGGTTTTAAATCTTTCAGGAATTGCCACACTGTCTTTTCTAATAATTGAACTAATTTACATTCCTACCAACAGTATATAAGCATTCCTGTTTCTCTGCAACATAGCCAGCATCTGTTGTTTCTTGACTTTTTAATAACCACCATTCTGACTGACATGAAATGGTATCTCATTGTGGTTTTGATTTGCATTTCTCTGATGATTAGTGATGGTGAGCTTTTTCTCACAGGTTTGTTAGCTACATGTATGTCTTCTTTTGAAAAGTGTTTGTTCAGCCAGGTGCAGTGGCTCACGCCTGTAATCTCAGCACTTTGGGAGGCCGAGGGTGGGGGGGGGGTCAGACCATGAGGTCAGGAGTTCGAGACCAGCCTGACTAACGTGGTGAAACCCTGTATCTACTAAAAATACAAAACTTAGCTAGGCGTGGTGGCACATGCCTGTAGTCCCAGCTATTCAGGAGGCTGAGGCAGGAGAATCACTTGAACCCAGGAGGAGGAGGTTGCAGTGAGCCAAGATCATGCCACTGCACTCCAGCCTGGGTGACAGCAAGACTCCATCTCAAGAAAGAATAAAGTGTTCATGTTCTTTGCCCAGTTTTTTATAGGGTTGTTTGTTTTTTTTCTTATAAATTTGTGTAAGTTCCCTCTAGATTCTGGATATTAGACCTTTGTAAGATAGATTGCAAAAATTTTCTCCTTTTCTGTAGGTTGTCTGTTTGGTCTGATGATAGTTTCTTTTTATGTGCAGAAGCTCTTTAGTTTAATTAGATCCTAATTCATCAATTTTTGCTTTTTGTGCAAATGCTTCTGATGATTTTATCATAAAATATTTCCCCATGCCTATGTCCTCAATTGCATTGCCTAGATTCTTTTCCAGGGTTCTTATAGTTTTGGGCTTATATTTAAGTCTTCAATTCAGCTTGAGTTATTTTCTATGAGATATAAGGAAGAGGTCCAGTTTCAATTTTCTACATATGGCTAGCCAGTTCTCCCAGCATGATTTATTAAATAGAAAAAAATTTTTTCCATTGCTTGTTTTTGTCAAGTTTGTTGAAGATCAGATGGTTGTAGACACGCAGTTTTATTTCTCATTTCTCTATTCTGTTCTATGTGGCCTATGTGTCTGTTTTTGAAATGGTACCATTCTTGTTTTAGTTACTGTAGCCTTGTAGTATACTTTGAAGTCAGGTAATGTAATGCCTTCAGCTCTGTTCTTTTTGCCTAAGATTGTCCTGGCTATATGGGCTATTTTGTTTGTTTGTTTGTTTGTTTGTTTTGAGACAGAGTCTCACCCTGTCACCCAGGCTGGAGTGCAATGGTGCTATCTCAGCTCACTGCAATCTCCGCCTCCTGGGTTCAAGTGATTCTCCTGCCCCAGCCTCCTGAGTAGCTGGGAATTCAGATGCCCACAACTATGCCCAGCTAATTTTTGTATTTTTAGTAGAGATGAGATATCATCATGTTAGACTGGTCTCAAACTCCTGACCTCAGGTGATCTGCCTGCCTCGGCCTCCCAAAGTGCTGGGATTACAGGTGTGAGCCATCACACCCAGTCTATGGGCTCTTTTTTGGTTCCATACAAATTTTAATATAGCTTTTCCTAATTCTGTGAAGAATGTCAATGGTAGTTTAATGGGAATACCATTGAATCTATAAATTACTTTGAACAGTATGGCCATTTTCACAATATTGATTCTTCCTATCCATGTGCATAGAATGTTTTTTCATCTGTTTTTGTCCTCTAATTTCCTTGAGCAGTGTTTTGTAGTTCTCCTTAAGGAGGTCTTTCACTTTCCTTGTTAGCTGTATTCCTAGGTACTTTATTCTTTTTGTGGCAATTGTGAATGGGATTTCATTCACAATTTGGCTCTCTGCTTGTCTGTTGGTGCACAGGAATGCTTGTAATTTCTGCACATTTAGTCTGTATACTGAGACTTTGCTGAAGTAGTCTTATCAGCTTAAGAAGCTTTTGAACTGAGTAAATAGGGTTTTCTAAATATAGGATCACATCATCTGAAAACAAAGACAATTTGACTTACTCTATTCCAGTATGAAAATTATTTTTTATCCTTGCCTGATTGCCCTGACCAGAACTTCCAATAATATGTTCAATAAGAATGGTGAGAGAGTGCATTCTTGCCTTGCACTGGTTTCCAAGGGGAAATGTTTCCAGTTTTTACCCAGTCAGTATGATATTGGCTGCAGGGTTTGTCATAAATGGCCCTTATTATTTTGAGGTATGTTCCTTCAATACCTAGTTTATTAAGAGTTTTTTATTTGTTGTTGTTGTTTTGAGACAGAGTTTCACTCTTGTTGCCCAGGCTGGAGTGCAATGGTGCTATCTTGGCTCACTGCAACCTCCACCTCCTGGGTTTAAGCGATTCTCCTGCCTCAGCCTCCCGAGTAGCTGGGATTACAGGCATGTGCCACTACACCCGGCTAATTTTATATTTTTAGTAGAGACGGGGTTTCTCCATGTTGGTCAGGCTGGTCTCAAACTCCCGACCTCATGTGATCCACCCACCTCTGCCTCCCAAAGTGCTGGGATTACAGGTGTGAGGCACCACACCTGGCCTATGAAGAGTTTTTAACATGAAGGGATGTTGAATTTTATTGATGGACTTTCCTGCATCTATTGAGATAATCATGTGGGTTCTTTTTTTTTTTTTTTTTAGATCTGCTTATATGATGAATTACATTTTTTTTTTTTAGATCTGCTTATATGATGAATTACATTTATTGATTTGCATATGTTGAACCAGCCTTGCATCTTGGGAATGAAGCCAACTTGATCATGGTGGATGAGCTTTTTGATGTGCTGGTGTATTCAGTTTGCAAGTATTTTATTGATAATTTCTGCATTGATGTTAATTAGTGATAATATCCTGAAGTTTTCATTTTTTGTTGTATCTCTGCCAGGTTTTTGTATCAGGATGATGCTGGCCTCATACAATGTGTTAGGGAGAAGTCCCTCCTTTTTAATTTTTTGGAATAGTGCATAAGAAAGGGTATCAACACCTTTTTGTAGTTCTGGTAGAATTCAGCTGTAAATTCATCTGGTCCTGGGCTTTTTCTTGTTGGTAGGCTATTATTGCTCCAATTTCAGAATTTGTTATTGGTCTATTCAGGGATTCAACTTCTTTCTGGTTCAGTCTGAGGAGGGTGTATTTGTTCAGGAGTTTATCCATTTCTTCTAGGTTTTCTAGTTTATTTGCATAGAGGTGTTTATAGTATTATCTGATGGTTATTTGTATTTCTGCAGGGTAAGTGGTGGTATCCCCCTTCTCATTTCTGATTATGTTTATTTGAATCTTCTCTCTTCTCTTATTTAGTAGTTTAGCTAGCAATCTATCTATTTTATTGATTTTTTTTCAATAAATCTGCTTCTGAATTCATTAATTTTTTGAGTAATTTTTAATGTTTCTATCTTTCATAGTTCCACTCTGAGCTTGGTTATTTCTTCTGCTAGCTCTGGGGTTTGTTTGCTCTTGGTTCTCTAGTTCTTTTAGCTGTGATGTTAGGATTTCAATTTGAGATCTTTCTAGCTTTTTGATATGGGCATTTAGTGCTATAAATTTTCCTCTTAAACTGCTTTACCTGTGTCCCAGAAATTCTGGTATGTTGTATCTTTGTTCTCATTAGTTTCAGAATTTTTTTAATTTCTGCCTTAATCTCATTATATACCCAGAAGTCATTCAGGAGCAATTTGTTCAATTTCCTTGTAGTTGTGTGGTTTTAAGTGAGTTTTTAAATCTTGAGTTATAATTCGATTGCACTGTGGTCTGAGAGACTGTTATGATTTTAGTTATTTTGCATTTTCTAAGGAGTGTTTCACTTCTAATTATGTAGTATATTTTAGAGTGAGTGCCATGTGGCACCAAGAAAAATGTATATTATGTTGTTTTTGTGGGGAGAGTTCTGTAGATATCTATCAGGTTCACTTGATCCAGAGCTGAGTTCAAGTCCTGATTATCTTTGTTCATTTTCTGTCTCAATGAACTGTCTAATATTGACACTGGGGTATTAAAGTCTCCCACTATTTGGCCAGGCGTGGTGGCTCACAAGTGCTGTAATCCCAGCACTTTGGGAGGCCGAGGCAGGTGGATCACAAGGTCAGGAGATTGAGACCATCCTGGCTAACATGGTGAAACCCCATCTCTACTAAAAAAAAAAAAAAAAAAATACAAAAAATTAGCCAGGCATGGTGGCGGGTGCCTGTACTCCTAGCTACTCAGGAGGCTAAGGCAGGAGAATGGTGTGAATCTGGGAGGTGGAACTTGCAGTGAGCTGAGATCGCACCATTGCACTCCAGCCTGGGTGACAGAGTGAGACTCTGTCTCAAAAAAAATAAATAAATAATAAAGTCTCCCATTATTATTGTGGGGGAGTCTAAGTCTCTTTGTAGGTTTTTGAGAACTTGTTTTATGAATCTGCGTGCTTCTGTAATGGTTGCATATATATTTAGGATAGTTGGCACTTTGTGTTGAATTGAACCATATTCTGTTATGTAATGATCTTTTTTTTACCTTTGTTGGTTTAAAGTCTATTTTGTCAGAAACAAGGATTGCATCTCCTCCTTTTTTCTGCTTTCCATTTGCTTGGTAAATTCTTTTCCATCCCTTTATTTTGAACCTATGTGTTCTCTGCACATGAAATGTGTCTCTTGAATACAGCACAGTGATGAGTCTTGTCTTTTTATCCAGCTTGCCATTCTGTGTCTTTTAACTGGGGCATTTAGCTCATTTACATTTAAAGTTAATATTGTTATATGTGAATTTGATCCTGTCATCATGATGCTGGCTGGTTAATTTTGCAGACTTGTTAATGTAGTTGCTTCAGTGTTATTGGTCTGTGTACTTCAATGTCTTTTTATGGTGGGTGGTAACGGATTTCCTTTCCATGTTTAGTGCTTCCTTCAAGAGTTTTTGCAAGGCAGGATGAAATCCTTGGTCATTAGCTTGTCTGCAAAGGATTTTATTTCTTCTTTACTTATGAAGCTTAGTTTGGCCAGATATGTATTCTGGGTTGAAAATTCTTTTCATTAAGAATGTTGAATATTGGTCCCCAATCTCTTCTGGCTTGTAGGGTTTCCACTGAGAGGTTTGCTGTTAGTCTGATGAGCTTCCCTTTGTTGGTGACCTGGTCTTTCTCTCTGGCTGCCCTTAACTTTTTTTTTTTATTTCAACCTTGGAGAATCTGATGATTATGTTTTTGGGGTGGATGGTTCATGGAGTATCTTATTAGGGTTCTCTGGATTTTCTGGATTTGAATGTTGGCCTGTCTTGCCAGGTTGGGGAAGTTCTCCTGGATGATCTCCTGAAGTGTGTTTTCCAACTTGGTTCCATTCTCCCCATCTCTTTTAGGTATGCCAGTCATTTGCAGGTTTGGTCTTTTTACATAGTTCCATAGTTCTCAGAGTTTTTGTTCATTCCTCTTTATTTTTTTCCCTCTAATCTTGTCTGCTTGCCTTATTGCAGCAAGATAGTCTTCGAGTGCTCACAGTCTTTCTTTCTCTTGGTCAATTCAGCTATTGATACTTGTGTTTGCATCATGCAGTTCTCATGCTCTGTTTTTCAGCTCCATTGGATCATTTATGTTTCTTTTTAAACTGGTTATCTAGTTAACAACTCCTGTAATCTTTTATTATGGTCCTTAGCTTCTTTGAATTGGGTTACAACATAATCCTTTAGCTCAGTGAAGTTCATTATTGCTTACTCACCTCCTGAAGCCTACTTTTGTCAGTTCATTTATCTGAGCTTCAGCCGAGTTCTGTGTCCTTGCTGGAGAGGTTTTTTTGCGATCTATTGGAGAAGACGCATTCTGGCTTTTGGAATTGTAAGCATATTTGCATTGGTTTTTCCTCATCTTTGTGGATTTATCTACCTTTGAGATTTGAATGAGGTTTTTTGTGGTCGTCTTGATGTTGCTGCTTTTTTCTCTCTTTTTTAACAGTCTTCTCTTCTGCAGGTCTGCTGCAGTTTGCTGGGGGTCAGTCCACTCCAGATGCTGTTCACCTGGGTATCACCAGTGAAGGCTGCGGAACAGCAAAGATTGCCACCTGCTCCTTCCTCTGGAAGCTTCTTCCCCTGGAAGCTTCTTCCCACAGGGACACTGACCTGATGCCAGCCTGAACTCTCCTGTATGAGGTGTCGGGAACCCCTGTTGGGAGGTCTCACCCAGTCAGGAGGCACAGATTCAGGAACTGATTTAAAGAAGCAGATTGGATGCTCCTCACTGGTGTCAGTGTATTGTGCTGTGGGGAATCTCCCTCGTCCAGATCATCAGGACACTTCAGAGCCAGCAGGCAGAAAAGATTATACCCACTGAACCTTAGATTATGACCGCCCCTCCCCCAGGTGCTCTGACCCAGAGAGATGAAAGTTCTGTCTGTAAACTTACAGCTGAAGTTCCTGGAATTTGTCCAGGGAGACTCTGCCCAGTAAGGACAGATGTATCCGTTTCCCACTTAAAGAAGCAGTCTGGCCATGATCTGCCACAGCCACTGTGGCTGTGCTCTGGGGACTTTCGCCCAGTCCAAACCTCAGTCTGTCTACCACTGGCAGAGGAAAACTACCAACTAGAGTCACAGTTACGGCAGTCACCTGTCTCTCCAAAATAAACTTGGTTGCATTATGCATACTTCAGGCTGCTTTGCTGGCCAGCAGGCATTCCAATCCAGTGGTCTTACCTTGTGGTATTCAATGGGAGTGGGATCTGCTGAGTGAGACCGCTTGGCACACTGGCTTTAGTCCCCTTCCCACATAAGTGAATGAATCTCCTGCCTCATGAGTTCTGGAAGCCACTGGAGTTTGCAAAAATTCCTGCAACTAAGTGCCTGCCTGAATGGCCGCTGACCTTAGCAGCTGCCACAGGTCCACACAGCTTTGTGCTTGGAATGCAAGGGCCTGTTAGTGTGGGAGCAAAAGGGACTCTCCTAAACCACAAATTGCAAAAATCCATAGGAAAAGTGTAGTTTTTCACCTGGGTAACATAATCTCTCACTGCGTTTCTCGGCTGGGGGAGGGAGTTCCCTTTCACCCTGTGCAGGTCCTGGGTGAACTGTGGCCCCACCCTGCTTTTTCTTGTTCTCTGTGGTCACACCAACTGCCTAGTCAGTTCCAGTGAGAGAATCTAGGTACTTCAGTTAGAAATGCCGAATTCACCTGCTGTTTAAATTCGGTGGGAGTTGCAGACCGGAGCTGTTTCTACTTGGCCATCTGGGCCCTTCCCAATATAACACATTATTATTAACTATAGACACCATGCTGTACAATATATCTCTTGAATGTATTCCTCCTATCCAACTATAATTATGTATTGTCTGACAGACATCTTCCCAAACACCCCTTTCTTTTAAATTCCTTGGGATCTGGTGGTCACCATTTTACTCTCTGCTTCAATGAAATTAAGTTTTATAGAATCCATGTGTAGGCGAAAGTATGAAATTTTAATCTTTCTGTGCCTGGCTTATTTCAAGAAATATAATGTTCTCCAAGTTAATCCATGTAATTGAACATAATAGAATTTTCTTTTTTAAAAATAAATAGTATTTTATTGTGTGTATATACCATACTGTCTTTATTTACTCATTAGATGTTGAACTGTTGCTTCTATATTTTGGCTGTTGTGAAGAGTGTTGCAAACAACAGAGAGGTGCAAATGTTTCTTCATTCTCACTTTATTTCTCTTAAATATATATGCAATAGTGAAATTGCTGTATTATAGGGTAGTTTGATTTTAAATTTTTTGAGAAATCTCTACTTTGTTTTTCTTAATGGCTGGCCTCATTTACATTCACATCAACAGTGTGCAAGCATTCTCTTCACATATTTATCTTTTTTTTTTCTTTTTCTTTCTAATAGGAGTCATTCTAATAAGAGCGAGTTGATATATTATAGATTTTTTGGCTCTCCTCTCCCTGATAATAATTGACATTGAGGGTTTTTTTTTTTTTTTTCGCTGAGTTTCACTCTGTTGCCCAGACTGGAGTGCAGTGTCACACTCTCTGCTCACTGCAGCCTCTGCCTCCCGGGTTCAGCAATTCTCCTGCCTCAGTCTCCCGAGTAGCTGGGATTACAGGTGCCCACCACCATGCCCAGCTAATTTTTGTATTTTTAGTAGAAACTGAGTTTCGCCATGTTGGCCAGGCTAGTCTCAAACTCCTGACCTCAAGTGACCCACCTGCCTTGGCCTCCCAAAGTGCTGGGATTACAGGCATGAGCCACTGCACTCGGGCCACATTGAGAATTTTTTAATATATCTATTGGCCATATGTATCTTTTCTTAAAAAATATTTAAGCCCTTTGCTCATTTTAGTAGTTATTTGTTTTTTGTTGTATAGTCATTTGAGTTTCTTACATATTCTTAATATTAACCCCTTGTCAAATGTATAAATTGCAAAAAAAAATTTTAGTTTTCTCATTTTAAGTGTGTCAGATTCTGCACAGCAGCTTTATAATTTGAACTAATCTTACTCATCTATTTTTTATTTTGTTCCCTGGGATTTTGAGTTTAAATCAAAAAAAGTTACAGCCCAGACTGATGTTATGGGGCTTTCAGTCTATATTTTTTGTAGTAGTCTCAGAGTTTCAGGCCTTGCATTTAAGAATTTATTTGATTTTTATATATGAAGTAAGATGAGGGTTGCATTTTATTGCTCTGCATGTTGCTATTAAGTTTTTCTCAGCGCCATTTATTGAAGATACTGTTCTTTTTCTAAGAAATTGTTACCTTTATCTAAAATCAGTTAGCTGGAAGTACACAGATATATTTCTAATTTCCCTTTTCTGCTCCATTGGCCTATGTGTCTGTTTTTTGTTCAAGTACCATACTGTTTTATTTGCTTTAGCTTTGTAGTATATTTCTTTTTTTCTTATTATTATTATATTTTAAGTTTTAGGGTACATGTGCACAACGTGCAGGTTAGTTACATATGTATACATGTGCCATGCTGGTGTGCTGGCTTTGCAGTATACTTCAAAGTCAGATAGGGTGATAACTTCTGTCTTTCTTATTTGCTGGAGTTCTTTGACTATTCAGAGTCTTTTGTGGTACCATAAAATTTTAAATTTTTTAAAATTTTCTATTAAATATGTCACCGGTATTTTGATAGAGGTTGCATTGTATCTGTACATCATTTTGTGTAATAAACATATTTAACAATATTAATAACTCCAATGATGAATGAGTAATGTTTTCCATTTGCATATGATTTTATTTTAATGTTCTTTAGATTATAATGTACAAATGTTTCAACTTTTTAGTTAAATTTATTTCAAGTTATAGTTACTACAGTTAGTGTAGATGAGATTGTTTTGCATTATAATTTCATTTTGAGATAATTATAAGTGTATAGAAATGCTACTGACAAATTGGCACCTAATTAAACTAAAGGGCTTCTGCACAGCAAAACAAACTATTGACAAACAGACAACCTAAAGTATAAAATAAAATATTTGCAAGCTGAATACAACATAAGATTAATATATAGAATCTATAAGAAACTTAATCAGAAAAAAGCAAATGATCTAAATAGACAGTACTCAAAGAAAGATATAAAAGCTGTTAATAGGGCAGTTCCAAGATAGCCGAACAGGAACAGCTCCAGTCTACAGCTCCCAGCATGAGCGATGCAGAAGGTGGGTGCTTTCTGCATTTCCAACTGAGGCACTGGGTTCATCTCACTGGGGATTGTCGGACAGTGGGTGCAGCACACTGAGCATGAGCCAAAGCAGGGCAAGGCATCACCTCACCTGGGAAGTGCAAGGGGCCAGGGAATTCCCTTTCCTAGCCAAGGGAAGCGGTGACAAACAGCACCTGGAAAATCAGGTCACTCCCACCATAACACTGTGCTTTTCCAATGGTCTTAGCAAATGGCACACCAGGAGATTATATCCTGTGCATGGCTCAGAGGGTCCTACACCCACGGATCCTCGCTCATTGCTACCACAGCAGTCTGAGATCGAACTGCAAGGTAGCAGCAAGGCTGGGGGAGGGGCGCCCACCATTGCTGAGGCTTGAGTAGGTAAACAAGTGGCTGGGAAGATCGAACTGGCTGGAGCCCACCACTGCTCAAGGAGGCCTGCCTACCTCTGTAGACTCCACCTCTGGGGGCAGGGCATAGCCAAACAAAAGGCAGCAGAAACCTCCACAGACTTAAATGTCCCTGTATGACAGCTTGGAAGAGAGTAGTGGTTCTCCCAGCACGGAGCTTGAGATCTGAGAATGGACAGACTGCATTCTCACGTGGGTCCCAGACCCCCAAGTAGCCTAACTGGGAGGCATCCCCCAGTAGGGGCAGACTGACACCTCACACAGCCAGGTAGCCCTCTGAGACAAAACTTCCACAGGAATGATCAGGCAGCAATATTTGCTGTTCACCAATATTCGCTGTTCTGCAGCCTCCACTGCTGTCACCCAGCAAATGAGGTCTGGAGTGGACCTCCGGCAAACTCCACCTGACCTGCAGCTGAGGATCCTGATGGTTAGAAGGAAAACTAACAAACAGAAAGGACATCCACACCAAAACCCCATCTGTAAGTCACCATCATCAAAGACCAAAGGTAGATAAAACCACAAAGATGGGGAAAAAACAGAGCAGAAAAACTGAAAATTCTAAAAATCTGAGCACCTCTCCTCCTCCAAAGGAATGCAGCTCCTCACCAGCAATGGAACAAAGCTGGATGGAGAATGACTTTGACGAGTTGAGAGAAGAAGGTTCCAGACGATCAAACTTCTCTGAGCTAAAGGAGGAAGTTTGAACCCATGGCAAAGAAGTTAAACACCTTGAAAAAAGATTAGACGAATGGCTAACTAAAATAACCAACGCAGAGAAGTCCTTAAAAGACCTGATGGAGCTGAAAACCATGGCAAGAGAACTACGTGATGAATGCACAAGCTTCAGTAGCAGATTTGATCAACTGGAAGAAAGGGTATCAGTGATGGAAGATCAAATGAATGAAATGAAGTGAGAAGAGCAGTTTAGAGAAAAAAGAATAAAAAGAAACAAAGCCTCCAAGAAATATGGGACTATGTGAAAAGACCAAATCTACGTCTGATTGGTGTACCTGAAAGTGACGGGGAGAATGGAACCAAGTTGGAAAACACTCTGCAGGATATTATCCAGGAGAACTTCCCCAATCTAGCAAGGCAGGCCAACATTCAGATTCAGGAAATACAGAGAAGGCCACAAAGATACTCCTCGAGAAGAGCAACTCCAAGACACATAATTGTCAGATTCACCAAAGTTGAAATGAAGGAAAAAATGTTAAGGGCAGCCAGGGAGAAAGATCGGGTTACCCACAAAGGGAAGCCCATCAGACTAACAGCGGATCTCTCAGCAGATACTCTAGAAGCCAGAAGAGAGTGGGGACCAATATTCAACATTCTTAAAGAAAAGAATTTTCAACCCAGAATTTCATATCCAGCCAAACTAAGCTTCATAAGTGAAGGAGAAATAAAATCCTTTACACACAAGCAAATGCTGAGAGATTTTGTCACCATCAGGCCTGCCCTACAAGAGCTCCTGAAGGAAGCACTAAACATGGAAAGGAATAAGAGGTACCAGCCACTGCAAAAACATGCCAAATTGTAAAGACCATCAATGCTAGGAAGAAACTACATCAACTAACGAGCAAAATAACCAGCTAACATCATAATGACAGGATCAAATTCACACGTAACAATATTAACCTTAAATGTAAATGGGCTAAATGCTCCAATTAAAAGACACAGACTGGCAAATTGGATAAAGAGTCAAGACCCATCAGTGTGCTGTATTCAGGAAACCCATCTCATGTGCAGAGACACACATAGGCTGAAAATAAAGGGATGGAGGAAGATCTACCAAGCAAATAGAAAACAAAAAAAGGCAGGGGTTGCAATCCTAGTCTCTGATAAAACAGACTTTAAACCAACAAAGATCAAAAGAGACAAAGAAGGCCATTACATAATGGTAAAGTGATCAATTCAACAAGAAGAGCTAACTCTCTTAAATATATATGAACCCAATACAATACAGGAGCACCCATATTCATAAAGCAAGTCCTTAGAGACCTACAAAGAGACTTAGACTCCCACACAATAATAATGCGAGACTTTAATACCTCACTGTCAACATTAGACAGATCAACGAGACAGAAAGTTAACAAGGATATCCAGGAATTGAACTCAGCTCTGCACCAAGCAGACCTAATAGACATCTACAGAACTTTCCACCCCAAATCAACAGAATATACATTCTTCTTAGCACCACACTGCACTTATTCCAAAATTGACCACATAGTTGGAAGTAAAGCTCTCCTCAGCAAATGTAAAAGAACAGAAATTATAACAAACTGTCTCTCAGACCACAGTGCAATCAAACTAGAACTCAGGAATAAGAAACTCACTCAAAACCACTCCAACTACATGGAAACTGAACAACGTGCTCCTGAATGACTACTGGGTACATAATGAAATGAAGACAGAAATAAAGATATTCTTTGAAACCAACGAGACCAAAGACACAACATGCCAGAATCTCTGGGACACATTGAAAGTAGTGTGTAGACGGAAATTTATAGCGCTAAATGGCCACAAGAGAAAGCAGGAAAGATCTAAAATTGACACCCTAACATCACAATTAAAAGAACTAGAGAAGCAAGAGCAAACACATTCAAAAGTTAGCAGATGGCAAGAAATAACTAAGATCAGAGCAGAACTGAAGGAGATAGAGACACAAAAAAAACCTTCAAAAAATCAACGAATCCAGGAGCTGGTTTTTTGAAAAGAGCAACAAAATTGATAGACCACTAGCAAGACTAATAAAGAAGAAAAGAGAGAAGAATCAAATAGATGCAATAAAAAATGATAAACGGGTTTTTTGAAAAGATCAAAAAAATTGATAGACCACTAGCAAGACTAACAAAGAAGAAAAGAGAGAAGAATAAAATAGACGCAATAAAAAATGATAAAGGGGATATCACCACCAATCCCACGGAAATACAAACTACCATCAGAGAATACTATAAACACCTCTACCCAAATAAACTAGAAAATCTAGAAGAAATGGATAAATTCCTTGACACATACACTCTCCCAAGACTAAACCAGCAAGAAGTTGAATCTCTGAATAGACCAAAACAGGCTCTGAAATTGAGGCAATAATTAATAACTTACCAACCAAAAAAAGTCCAGGACCAGACGGATTCACAGCCGAATTCTTCCAGAGGTACAAGGAGGAGCTGGTACCATTCCTTCTGAAACTATTCCAATCAATAGAAAAAGAGGGAATCCTCCCTAACTCATTTTATGAGGCCAGCATCATCCTGATACCAAAGCCTGGCAGAGACACAACAAAAAAAGAGAATTTTAGACCAATATCTCTGATGAACATCGATGCAAAAATTCTCAATAAAATACTGGCAAACCCAATCCAGCAGCACATCAAAAAGCTTATCCACCATGATCAAGTGGGCTTCATCCCTGGGATGCAAGGCTGGTTCAACATACACAAATCAATAAACGTAATCCATCATATAAACAGAACCAAAGACAAAAACCACATGATTATCTCAATAGATGCAGAAAAGGCCTTTGACAAAATTCAACAACCCTTCATGCTAAAAACTCTCAATAAATTAGGTATTGATGGGACATATCTCAAAATAATAACAGCTATCTATGACAAACCCACAGCCAATATCATACTGAATGGACAAAAACTGGAAGCATTCCCTTTGAAAACTGGCACAAGACAGGGATGTCCTCTCTCACCGCTCCTATTCAACATAGTGTTGGAAGTTCTGGCGAGAGCAATCAGGCAGGAGAAAGAAATAAAGGGTATTCAATTAAGAAAAGAGGGAGTCAAATTGTCCCTGTTTGCAGATGACATGATTGTATATCTAGAAAACCCCATCGTCTCAGCCCAAAATCTCCTTAAGCTGACAAGCAAATTCAGCAAAGTCTCAGGATACAAAATCAATGTGCAAAAATCACAAGCATTCTTATACACCAGTAACAGACAAACAGAGAGCCAAATCATGAGTGAACTCCCATTCACAATTGCTTCAAAGAGAATAAAATACCTAGGAATCCAACTTACAAGGGATGTGAAGGACCTCTTCAAGGAGAACTACAAACCACTGTTCAATGAAATAAAAAAGGATACAAACAAATGGAAGAACATTCCATGCTCATGGATAGGAAGGATCAATATCATGAAAATGGCTATACTGCCCAAGGTAATTTATAGATTCAATGCCATCCCCAACAAGCTACCAATGACTTTCTTCACAGAATTGGAAAAAACGACTTTAAAGTTCATATGGAACCAAAAAAAGAGCCCACATTGCCAAGTCAATCCTAAGCCAAAAGAACAAAGCTGGAGGCATCACACTACCTGACTTCAAACTATACTACAAGGCTACAGTAACCAAAACAGCATAGTACTTGTACCAAAACAGACATACAGACCAATGGAACAGAACAGAGCCCTCAGAAATAATGCCACACATCTACAACTATCTGATATTTGACAAACCTGACAAAAAAAGAAATGGGGAAAGGATTCCCTATTTAACAAATTGTGCTGGGAAAACTGGCTAGCCATATGTAGAAAGCTGAAACTGGATCCCTTCCTTACACCTTATACTAAAATTAATTCAAGATGGATTAAAGACTTAAATGTTAGACCTAAAACCATAAAAACCCTAGAAGAAAATAAAGGCAATACCATTCAGGACATAGGCATGGGCAAGGACTTCATGTCTAAAACACCAAAAGCAATGGCAACAAAAGCCAAAATTGACAAATGGGATCTAATTAAACTAAAGAGCTTCTGCACAGCAAAAGAAACTACCATCAGAGTGAACAGGCAACCTACAGAATGGGAGAAAATTTTTGCAATCTACTCATCGACAAAGGGCTAATATCCAGAATCTACAAAGAACTCCAACAAATTTACAAGAAAAAACAAACAACCCCATCAACAAATGGGTGAAGGATATGAACAGACACTTCTCAAAAGAAGATATTTATGCAGCCAACAGACAATGAAAAAATGCTCAGCATCACTGGCCATCAGAGAAATGCAAATCAAAACCACAATGAGATACCATCTCACACCAGTTAGAATGGCGACCATTAAAAAGTCAGGAAACAACAGGTGCTGGAGAGGATGTGGAGAAATAGGAACACTTTTACTCTCTTGGTAGGACTATAAACTAGTTCAACCTTTGTGGAAGACAGTGTGGTGATTCCTCAGGGATCTAGAACTAGAAATACCATTTGACCCAGCCATCCCATTACGGGATATACACCCAAAGGATTATAAATCATGCTGCTATAAAGACACATGCACAAGTATGTTTATTGTGGCACTATTCACAATAGCAAAGACCTGGAACCAACCCTAATGTCCAACAATGAGAGACTGGATTAAGAAAATATGGCACATATACACCATGGAATACTATGCAGCCATAAAAAATGATGAGTTCATGTCCTTTGTAGGGACATGGATGAAGCTGGAAATCATCATTGTCAGCAAACTATCGCAAGGACAAAAAACCAAACATTGCATGTTCTCACTCATAGGTGGGAATTGAACAATGAGAACACTTGGACACAGGAAGGGGGACATCACACACCGGGGCCTGTTGTGGGGTGGGGGGAGGAGGGAGGGATAGCATTAGGAGATACACCTAATGTAAATGACAAGTTAATGGGTGCAGCACACCAACATGGCATATGTATACATATGTAACAAACCTGCACGTTGTGCACATGTACCCTAGAACTTAAAGTATAATAATTTTAAAAAAGCTGTTAATAAACATGCAAAAAATTGCTAAACATTCCTAATAGAGAGACATAAATCAAAATGACAATGTCATATCATCCCACATCCGTTAGATTGGCTGTTGTTAGAAAGTCAAAAAATAACAGATGTTTAAGTTATGGAGAAAAGGAAATCTTGAAACACTGTGAAAATGCAAATTAATTCAGCCCCAATGAAAAGCAGTTTGGAGATTTCTCAAAGAACTAAGAATATAATTGCCATTTGACCCATCAGTCATATTACTGGGTATATACCCAAAGGAAAAATAAATTATTTTATCAAAAAGACACCTGCATTCATCTGTTTATTACTGCATTATTCACAATAGCAAAAACATAATTTTTTTTTGAGACAGAGTCTTGCTCTTGTTGCTCAGCATGGCACGGTCTCGACTCACTGCAACCTCCACCTCCCAGGTTCAAGTGATTCTCCTGCCTCAGCCTCCCAAGTAGCTGGCATTACAGGCACCCACCAACACACCTGGCTAATTTTTGTATTTTCAGTAGAGATGGGGTTTTGCCATGTCGGCCAGACTGGTCTCAAACTCTTGACCTCGTGATCCCCCCACCTCGGCATCCCAAAGCGCTGGGATTACAGGCATGAGCCTCCACACCTGGCCAAACAAAATTAAATTAGATATCCATACATCTTAAATTGGATTTTTAAAAAATGAGGTACTTACACACTGTGCAATAATATGCAGCCACAGAAAAGAATGAAATAATGTTTTTTGCAGCAGCATGAATGCAGAAGAAGACCATTACTTTAGGCAAATTAACACAGAACAGGAAAATATCAACATGTTCTCATTTATACGTGGGAGCTAATCATTGCATGTGCATGGAAACAAAGATGGAAAAAATAAACACTGGAAATTCTAAAAAAGGAGGAAGGGAGACAAACATTAAAAAACTATGTATCAGGTATGATGTACACTACTTGGGCAATGGAATTATCAAGTCCCCAAACCTCAACATCATGCGCTATGTTACAGGTCTGCACCTGTACCCTCTGAATCTAACATAAAAATAATAGAAAGCTCTGTGATAAAATGATATGTCACATTTCTCCAGTTCTGGGTTACTAGTTGAAATTAGGAGTGAAAAACAGAATTATGACCCCTTTCGCCATAAGGGTGAATGTTTCTATGCTCGGTCTCCCCATATTCTATAAACCAACCTCTCAGAAAGCTCTAAACATATGTCCCAAGAAGTGTTGTATTTCCAAGTGTGAAACTAAAATAAATGACTCTACATCTTTATTTTTAATGTTTTAACTGTTCACTAGACTACAGAGTTAATGTATTACCCTGCTTTATTGGGGAAAAATGATAAGTGGTTTAATCACATTTCTTCTTTAGAATAAACCATTTATGAAAATGTGAGGCTGTGGAAATCATGCTAAATTACTGAATTGGAAAGAGAAACTGTTTTTGTAAAGAACAGCATAGAAGTTTTATAGCCATAGCCCAAATATGATGAAACAGAGTGTGGGATATTTAGGACCACACAGCTACTAAATGTTCACTTCATCACGACCCTTCTTGTGAAAAAAGGAATAACGAGTCAGCAGGTACTTTTAGAATACTTTTCTGATTCTTCTGTAGTGTTAAATTTTTTGTCTTTATTATATGCCATATAAAAGTCTTTACTTCCACAAAAGATGCCATGAGTTCAAAGTTAATATGCTCACAAATATATTCTCCCTAGAAGGGCACTACTCTGTTTGCAGTCAAGGTGTAGCATTTTTGGCCTTTTTTTTTTTTTTTTTTTTTGCTGATATGTTTGTGTGAAATAGGCAGGAAGTAAAGCAAAGTTAATCATAACATTTCTAGATTCTATAACTACAGCATCTGAAATCTAGCATTATGTCAACTAGAAATAATGACAATATTTCAAAGCTGAAAAAATAAATTGATAAATACTTTATATGTTTATTTTTAATAGTTTATAAAAATTTATAGTTTCTAAATTATAGGTTAAACTAGTTGAACATGCAGATACCTAAAAGTTCTATTTGGATGATAGTATTAATATTTTAATATTTTATGATTGTGAATCACTACTGCCTTATTGGGTTAACTGTAAAGCAGTTATTTATCTTCTAAATGTAAACAGAGAAGAGGATTTTCATAATCTTAAGCATACAGATTTATTAAGATTAGCACTTTGTTTAGATTTGAATAAAATTTATAGGTTTTTAGTAATAAAAAATTTAGCAGTTTTTCTAGTAGAAATAAAACAGCAATATAAATATGTTTTTAAAAATCTGTTTAAAAGAAACTTTACATGTGTTTGTTAAATAACATTTAAAACCACATTGCAAGTGACTGATTAGTAATTCCAATCTTTATTTTAGTCACTGAGAAAACTTAGTATACTTTAATTATTCAATAGAAAAGAGTATTCTTATATTAGTGTTCCTGAAACTTTCAGAAACTATAGACCACTCAATAGATGATGATGTAGATGCAGAACACAAATGTTCTATATAATAGACTCAGCATTTTTTTTTTTTTTTTTTTTTGAGATGAAGTCTAGCTCTGTCGCCCAGGCTGGAGTGCAGTGGCATGATCTCGGCTCACTGCAACCTCTGCCTCCCAGGTTCAAGAGATTCCCCTGCCTCAGCCTCCCGAGTAGCTGGGATTACAGGCGCCTGCCACCACGCCCGGCTAATTTTTGTACTTTTAGTAGAGACAGGGTTTCACTGTGTTGGCCAGGCAGGTCTCAAACTTCTGATCTCATGATCCACCCGTCTCGGCCTCCTAAAGTGCTGGGATTACAAGCGTGAGCCACCGTGCCTGGCCTCATCCTAGCTTTTAATATAAACATTCAAAAGTAAAATTAATGGCCTTTTTTTTTGAGACAGAGTCTCACTTATCGCCAGGCTGGAGTGTAGTGGTGCCATCTGGACTCACTGCAACCTCCGCCTCCCGTGTTCAAGCGATTCTCCTGCCTCAAACTCCCAAGTAGCTGGGACTACAGGAGCGCGCCACCACGCCCAGCTAATTTTTGTATTTTTAGTAGAGACGGGGTTTCACCATGTTGGCCAGGATTGTCTCGATCTCTTGACCTCATGATTCGCCTGCCTGGACCTCCCAAAGTCCTGGGATTACAGGCGTGAGCCACTGCACCGGGCCCTTTTATTTTTTATTATTTATTTATTTATTTATTTATTTATTTATTTATTTATTTATTTATTTATTGAGACGGAGTCTGGCTCTGTCGCCAGGCTGGAATGATGCAGTGGTGCGATCTTGGCTCACTGCAACCTCCGCCTTCCGGGTTCAAGCAATTCTCCTGCCTCAGCCTCCCGAGTAACTGGGACTACAGGGGCGTGCCACCACGCCCGCCTAATTTTGTATTTTTAGTAGAGATGGGGTTTCACCATGTTTGTCAGGCTGGTCTCTAACACCTGACCTCAGGTGATCTGCCCGCCCAGGCCTCCCAAAGTACTGGGATTACAGGCTTGAGCCCGGCCAATTAGTGTCTCTTTTAAGTCACGAAAGGGATAACATTGTTAGAATCCATTTACCAAAGTATTTGTGTTAGGCTTAGTAACAAGAACTCTAAACCAAATATCAGGGTCTACATACTATCTAAGGGTGAAAAAAAAAAACCCTTGTTTTAAAATTTCTCTTTATTTCTACGAAGTTAGAAAATTCAAAGCTAAAAATCTTATGTCAGGAATAAAAACAAGTATTGGGTGAGAGGGTGTTGGGCCTAATGGTGAAGATTGAAACTCATTATCAGGGAGTTCCTGATTGCATCTCACTGATACAAAGTGAAGAAGGTACTGAAATAGCGAAAAACAGTGATATAAATTGAGTACTTACATATAAAATACAATTTTTAATAAAAAGTAGCATTTAATGTACAGCTATAGATGAGAACTTTTGGTCAAATATTACCTGCCTTCAATAGAAATAAAAAAAATTATTTTGTATGTATTTTCTTTTTTTCTTTTTTCTTTTTTTCTTTTTTTTTTTTTTTTTTGAGACGGAGTCTCACTTTGTCACCCCGGCTGGAGTGCAGTGGCAATCTCGGCTCACTGCAACCTCCGCCACCTGAGTTCAATCGATTCTCCCATCTCAGCTGCACAAGTAGCTGGGACTACAGGTGCATGCCACAGCCCAGCTAACTTTTGTATTTTTTAGTAGAGACGGGGTTTCACCATGTTGGCCAGGCTGGTCTCAAGCTCCTGACCTTAAGTGATCCTCCCTTCTCAGCCTCCCAAAGTATTGAGATTATATTCTTGAGCCACCGCCCTCGGCCATAAAAAAAATTCTTTATTTTACCACAAGCATTTTATTATTGATGCATATGCTTATTTTGCTTAAAATACAGTATCTTTTGATGAAAGACTTATACTTTTCTTTCAGTGTGTTATTTATTGCTGAGAAGTGGCTGTCCGGCTAAGAAACTGCTATTCTCAGCAACAACCACATTGACTAATAGTGAATGGAAGTGATGTGTGGATAAGAAGCAAATGTGTCTTCTCTGCATCTCTTTTTTCATCCATTGGCTGAAGAACGAGAAAGATGTAGAGAGAAAATGAAAGAAGATGTAATTCCTAAAAAATGATGAAGTCCTCTTTTGGTTTTTTTGTTTGTTTTTTGGTTTTCCTTTTTTTTTTTTTTTTTTTTTTTGGGACTTAGTCTCGCTCTGTCACCCAGGCTGGAGATCTCGACTCACTGCAACCTCAGCCTCCCGGGTTCAAGCGATTTTCCTGCCTCAGCCTCGAGAGTAGCTGGGACTACAGGCTCTGTGCCACCGAGCCCAGCTACTTTTTGTATTTTTAGTAGGACAGGGTTTCACCGTGTTAGCTAGGATGGTCTCGATCTCCTGACCTTGTGATCTGCCTGCCTCAGCCTCCCAAAGTGCTGGGATTACAGGCGTGAACCACCGCGCCTGCCTTTGAAGTCCTCTTAACAACAACAAAAACTTACACAGGAGGCCGGGAGCAGTGGCTCATTCCTCTAATTCCAGCACTTTGGGAGGCCGAGGTGGGCAGATCACCTGAGGTCAGGGGTTCGAGACCAGCCTGGCCAACATGGCGAAACCCCGTCTCTACTAAAAATACAAAAATTAGCTGGGCGTGGTGGCACGTGTACCTGTAATCCCAGCTACTCGGGAGGCTGAGGCAGGAGAATCACTTGAAACCCGGAGGCAGAGGTTGCAGTGAGCCGAGATGGTGCCATTGCACTCCAGCCTGGGTAACAAGAGTGGAACTCTGTCTCAGGGAAAAATAAACTCACAGGAGATAGTGACATGAGTAGAAAATATACTATTTTGTGAATCATCTGAAATTGTAATATACAACCCAAACTGCTTTAACAAATATATTATTCCTTCAGTTCTGACTCATCAAGATATGATTCAATTGCCTGGTGAATCAAAGCTGAGATGATAATAACTTATTTTACTTAGCATAATGTCCTCGAGGTTCATCAATATTGTCGCAAATGACAATACTTTCTTCTTTTTAAGGGCTAAATAGCATTCTGTGGTGTAAATATACCACATTTTCTATATTCATTCACCTGTTGAAGAACACTTGGCTCATACAATATCTTAGCTACTGTGAGTAATCCTCTTTCTTCTTTTTTTAATTTGTTTTTATATCTCTTTTTTCTTTACTTTTTTAATTTCTAGAAGTATTTTAACTTTATTTATTTATTTATTTAGAGACGAAGTTTCGCTCTTGTTGCCCAGGCTGGAGTACAATAGTGCTAACTTTATTTATTTATTTACAGACGAAGTTTTGCTCTTGTTGCCCAGGCTGGAGTGCAATAGTGCGATCTCAGCTCACCACAACCTCCGCCTCCTGGGTTCAAGCGATTCTCCTGCCTCAGCCTCCCAAGTAGCTGGGATTACAGGCATGTGCCACCATGCCCGGCTAATTTTTGTATTTTTAGTAGAGACAGGGTTTCTCCATGTTGGTCAGGCTGGTCTCGAACTCCTGACCTCAGGTGATCCGCTCACCTCGGTCCCCTAAAGTGCTGGGATTACAGGCGTGAGCAACTGAGCCAGGCCATTTTAACTTTAAAATATAAATTGTGTCTTTTGACCAGGCCCGGTGGTTCACGCCTGTAATCCCAGCACTTTGGGAGGCCGAGGTGGGTGGATCACCTGAGGTCGGGAGCTCAACCTCCCGACCTGACACATGGAGAAACCCCGTCTCTACTAAAAATATAATTAGCTGGGCGTGGTGGGCGCCTGTAGTCCCAGCTACTCAGGAGGCTGAGGCAGAAGAATCACTTAAACCCGGGAAGCAGAGGTAGCGATGAGCTGAGATAGCGCCATTGCACTCCAGCCTGGGCAACAAGAGCGAAACTCAGTGTCAAAAAAAAAAGAAAAGAAAAGAAAAGAAAAGAAATAAAGAAACAAATAAATAAAAACTCTCTGCTCTGCTTAATCAGCGGTCACCTTATTTTCACACTTCAAAGGCATTTTAGCTGCCTGAAAAGCAGAGTTACAGTTCAAGTGCGTGTGCTGAGCTGGTCCTCAACAGTGTCAGTCTATTCAAATTCACACAGATGATCTTCTGGTAAAAATAGTGCAGTTCAACAGCATTACCACGGCAATGTGGAACACATGTAATAAAATAAAAGTTAGGCTGGGCACGGTGGCTCACGCCTGTAATCCCAGCACTTTGGGAGGCCGAGGTGGGCGGATCACTTGAGGTCGGGATTCAAGGCCAGCCTGACCAACATGGTGAGACCCCCGTCTCTACTAAAAATACAAAATATTAGCCAGGCATGGTGGCATGTGCCTGTAATCCCAGCTACTCGGGAGGCTGAGGTGGAAGAATAGCTTGAACCCAGGAAGTGGAGGTTGCAGTGGGCCAAGATCACGCCATCACACTCCAGCTTGGGCGACAGAGTGAGACTCCGTCTCAAAAAAAAAAAAAAAAATTCTCCACCACGGATGTGTTTTTTACTGTCATCATGAGTAAAAGATCAGTTTGAGAACAGGTAAAATCAAAATGCGCATGCTCTCTACAGAGAAATTTTCCTACTGCAGATAGCTTTGCTTGAATTACCTGAAATACAATGTAAATGATGGGGCTTATTGAGTTGACAATATGCAGTCACCATTACAGTCGCCATGGTTGCTGCATGCTGAGGACATGGTCACTTTCTTGACTACCTCTCCTATCTCAATAATACTTGTCTTTATTTATTCCTAACTACCAACTTTGAGATAAGATTCAACTGTTACATCATCATTGTCAACAGTGGGAAAATCAATTTTTTTTTTTTTTTTTGAGACAGAGTTGCTCTTGTTGCCCAGGCTGGAGTGCAGTGGCACGATCTCAGCTCACTGCCACCTCCACCTCCTGGGTTTAAGCAATTATCCTGCCTCAGCCTCCCGAGTAGCTGGGATTACAGGCATGTGCCACCACGTCTGTCTAATTTTGTACTTTTAGTATTTTTAGTAGAGACAAGGTTTCTCCATGCTGGCCAGGCTGGTCTCAAACTCCCGACCTCAGGTGATCCGCCCACCTCAGCCTCCCAAAGTGCTGGGATTACAGGCGTGAGCCACTGCACCTGGCCGGGAAAATCAAAATTTTAAAATCAAACATATTTGAGCTAGCTTTGGGTCATTAGCTGTGTGCCCAAGAGAAATTATTTTACATCCTTGGAGCTTCAATTTTCATTACTAGTAAAACATTCTATTTTTCACAGGGCTGCTTTAATTCACACCTGGTAGCTACAAGTCTTTTCACTGAAAGTCTTTTTTATATATGTATATTAAATATTTAACAATAAAAATAAAATTATTCATATTTAAAGATATTCTAATTGAGTGGGTATATTTTGTCATATTTAATGTATTTATCCTTTCTAAAAAATACCAAAATAAGAATTTTATTATTTTTCCTGGAATAACATATTAAGGGTGTCTACATTGTGACTTTGCTCATTTTTGCATATGGTTTTGACTGCTGCTGTTGAATTTAGGCTGAATTTTAAACCCACTGTTGTCTAGCTTGTGTGATTTTAGTTCATTTGGGGAACCAAATATATTAGACATGGATTGTTTGGGGTAACTTGGCTTCATTTCTACTGTCTTTCTGTTATTACATCTGAAGATTTAGAAATGACTAGGATTCAAATAAGGTTGATTTGGAATCAGGCACAGAAAATCCCAGAAAAGACTGTGGAAAATAGTTACTTGATAGTGCCTTTCAGTGAGATTTATACATGAAACAGAGTTCAATAAAATTATTGCAAGTTTGTTAAATTTCAAATCTAATTGCCTGTAACATATTAGGCGCTTGTCTTAGTTTGTCTATGGCATCGTAGCTTGGAGAAGCTGACATTACAGAAAGGATATTGCTACATTAATAAGATTAGGAACAAATACTAATGTGCTTGTAAACATTTGCCTTAATATTCTTTAGATACATGCCACTCTGGCTCAATTCTTTTGGTACAACTGTTTATGATTCCAGAGACTCCTTTCCACCAAATTCAAGTCACGGTGTTTTCAGCTTCTTATGTTTATTTTTACCCAGTAATCTTCATAGTTGACATTATGATGTTGGAATCCCCCAGGCAATCCCTGAGCCTTACAGCGACCATCCTACCTTATCCGTCTTGTTTCACATTCTCTGTTGTTGAGTCCCTCTCACCCCATATTGGAGCTTTAATGAGGCCTCAATGGTTTGGAGGAAACAGTGGAATGGATTGCCATATATGTTGAGTTGAGAACAAGGGTCCTCTTGAGGATAAACACTTTACATTTATTATTCATAGTACAAAGCAGTATTTTTAAGATGTGAACATGTTTCACTCAAATTAAATATGAATGATTTATCAGTATGACAATATAGTAAAATTAACTGCATCAAGTTCACCAAATGTTTCGCTTTGGACTCTCCAAACACAAAGATTCATATGTATGCATTGGTGGATGTTAGCTTTTTTTGGTGTAAGTTTTTGTTTGTTTTCATTTTTAAAGATTTTTGCCTACTTTATAGCTCATGTTAAGCTACAGAAAGCTTACGAAAAGCTTTATTTTATCAATTTTTTTAACCAAATGTTTAAATATTGAAAGTGACATTTTGGATTACTACTTTTCACTGATGTAGTTTGCATTTATTAGTACATTTCAGTTTTTCCTTATGTGGTGTAAGGTTTTAAAAATTCCTTCCAGGCCGGGTGCGGTGGCTCACGCCTTTGATCCCCGCAGTTTGGGAGGCGGAGGCGGGCGGGTAAACTAAGGTCAGGAGTTGAAGACCAGCCTGGCCAACATGGTGAAACCCCGTCTCTATTAAAAACATAAAAATTAGCCCGGCGCGGTGGCGCGCGTCTGTAGTCAGAGCTACTCGGGAGGTTAAGACAGGAGAACCACTTGAACCCAGGAGGTGGAAGTTTCAGTGAGCCGAGATTGCGCCACTGCACTCCAGCCTAGCGACAGAGCGAGACTCTGTCTCAAAAAAAAAAAAAAAAAAAAAAGCCGGGCATGATGGTGGGTGGCTGTAGTGCCAGCTATTCGGGAGGCTGAGGCAGGAGAATCACTTGAACCCGGGAAGTGGAGGTTGCAATGAGCCAAGATCGGGCCACTGCACTCCTGCCTGGCAACAGAGCGAGATTCAGTCTCAGGAAAAAAAAAAAAAAATCCTTCCAGTTGATTGTTTAGGTAACAGCAAAATCTGTTTTCTTAGACAGCAGCATAAGAATTATTGATATGCCACCTTTAGAGGTACTGGAAGCAACTGGATAAATGTGCTGAAATCTGCATTTATTTATAGGCTCATTAGAGGCTAAGTCATAGCAACATATGTTAGTTCCATTCAATTTTTTTTTGTCTAAATTTTGTCGAGCCACATCCATCTGTATATATAACTCTATCTTGGTAACAGCTTTTTTATTCTAAGCCAGAACTTGTTTTAACTGGTGGCTTCATTTTAAATGTGTCAGCTGTATTATAACACATTCGAATAAGTAATAGAAATTTTATTCAAAAAATATGGATAGAAAAGTCATACAGGCACACTGAAAATAAATTGGAATCTAGCACGTGACACTAATTAACAGGTGGAGCATATTAGACTAGACTAAAATCCCTGTAAACAATACCGAAAGACAGAATTTTTTAATTAAAAACATCTTCAGGCAGGCGTGGTGGCTCACGCCTGTAATCTCAGCACTTTGGGAGGCTGTGGCAGGTGGATCACCTGAGGTCAGGAGTTCAGACCAGCCTGGCCAACATGGAAAAACCCCGTTTCTACTAAAAATACAAAAAAAATTAGCCCGGCGTGGTGGTAGGCACCTGTAATCCCAGCTACTTGGGAGGCTGAGGCAGGAGAATCGCTTGAACCTGGGAGGCAGAGATTGCAGTGAGCTAAGATCGCACCATTGCACTCCAGCCGGGGCAACAAGAGGGAAACTCCGTCTAAAAAAAAAAAAAAAATTCAACAATTTAATAGGCCTATGAGATATTTATAAAATTGATTTGTTTACCCATCATCAATCAATATCAATTTAAACTAGAAAATTTTAAACACATCATACAAAAAATATAATTACTCAACTATCCCCTGACTTAATCTGATTAAAGCAAGACTTCTGGATATTTCAAAATGCTAAATTATTGGTGAAAAATATTCATCTTGAACAGCTCTTTTATATATATATTACTACTAAGTAAAACCTAATACTGATAGGTATGATTTATGAAATGTTTGTGAATGTCTATCACAGTAGTCAGAAAATCAAAAAATTATTTTAATCTGCTGTCTAAATAATTTTGATTTAAATATTTGGTATTTTAATTGAGTGGCAGCATATATGTGTGTGTATATATATATATACACTAATCACCATTTCTTTACTATTTTGCCATTTTATAAAATAAGCCTGAATTTGTGGAGACATTTTTTTAAAATCCTATCTTTTATTAAAAAAAAAAAAATTTAGGCCAGGAGCAGTGGCTCATGCCTGTAATCCCAGCACTTTGGGAGGCTGAGGCAGGTAGATCACCTGAGGTCAGGAGTTTGAGACCAGCCTGACTAACCTGGTGAAACCCAGTGTCTACTAAATACAAAAAATTAGTGGGCATGGTGGTGCATGCCTGTAATCCCAGCTACTAGGGTGGCTGAGGCAGGAGAATCACTTGAACCTGGGGAAGCGGAGGTTGCAGTGAGCCAATATTGCACCATTGCACTCCAGCCTAGGCAACAAGAGCGAAGCTCCATCTCAAGAAAAAAAAAAAAAAAAGACTCAGACATCAAAAAGTAAATATACTAAAGTCATAATATTACATAGTTTGCTAAACGCTACAGTAATTTGTAAAGTTTGTTTATGCATACCAATCTTAGATTATCTAAAACATAATAAAGTTTCTTTTTTATGTTATATTAAACATACAAAAGTCCAAAATATATCCAGACACACAAGAGCTGTGGCTGGCATTTTAAGAAACAAATAATTTAGCACTATACACTGTTCTGTATATATACAGATGAAAAACAAAACCTTGAAGTTTTCAAATCATAAACAGAAATATTATTTGTGAGTCTGAACCTCAAATATATAATACTAATACATACAGTTTACTCTGGCTCTAATACTTAGACCCTTTTTATCTATGGGTTCCACCTTCATGGAATCAGCCAACCATGTCTGGAAAATATTTGGGAAGAAATTCCCACAAAGTACCCAAAAGCAAAACTTAAAACCTCACCAAGTACTATGTTGCACTTATGCTAATGAAGTAATGCATAGGTATTATATTAGGTATTATAAATTAATATTAGGTATTATAAATAATTTAGAGATAATTTAAAGTATATAGTCGGATGTACATAGGTTATGTGCAAGCACTACACTATTTTATATCAGAAACTTGAGACTCCTTGGATTTTGGTATCCATGGAGGAGAGTAGGGTTGGTCCTGAAACCAATCCCCCTTGAATACCAAGGGGCGACTGTACTTCTAGACATCCATGTAATAATACGTCTCTGTTGGCATGATGTAAGGATCCAGTGGGATCATTTAGGTTAAGTAAGCACTGGGCCTGGCACATGAGAAGTCTTCACTACATGTTACCTACGGCTTCATGGCTTCCTTCTTTTTTTTTTTTTTTTTTTGAGACAGTGTCTTGCTCTATCGCCCAGACTGGAGTGCAGTGGTGTGATCTCAGCTTACTGCAACCTCTGCCTCCCAGGCTCAAGCAATTCTTGTGCCTCACCCTCTTGAGTAGCTGGGACTACAGGGGTGCATGCCTGGCTAATTTTTGTATTTTTAGTAGAGATGGTGTTTTGCTATGTTGGCCAGGCTGGTTTTGAACTCCTGACCTCAAGTGGCTGCTTGCCTTGGCCTCCCAAAGTACTGGGATTGCAAAAGTGAGCCATTGTGCCCGGCCCAGTTTACTCTTTTTAATTTAAAATATACTGTACTTTTGTGTTGGATCATCATGGAGGACAGGAGGCAGGACTAGATTGCATCTCCAGACAGAGCAGCTTGCTGAAGCTTGCATCGTGAATTTTAGCTCCATATCTACTGCAAGAACAAGCCAGAAATCCCAAGAGGACCCACAGACCCTCTGAAGAAAATGGACTGCTCCTGCAGGATCCAGGAGACTCTCCAAATACTGTGAGTGTCCAAACTGTAGAAGTAGGAAAGGGAGATTCTCCTCTCCTGAACACACACCCCCACTGGAGAAGCTAAAGGTCTGTTTATAGGAGAAGTTTCTGAATTTACATGGAACTGAGTCAATTTAGATAGCCAAGCGAAATATAGGGGTAGAGGAAGCAGCAGAAAGGCCTGGGAGCTCACTGAATCCCCTAGTGGGCCATTTTTGTCTGGCACCAAAGGGATCCATCAGGAGGGTGACCAGAGGAGCAGGAGGTAAAACTCCACAGGGAGAAGGAAATCTCTAGCTGAACTTTGTGACAATTTGAATGGGGCAAGAAGCTTCTCTCCTGTATCCACAGCTGAGAAGCCCTCTGTGGGTAGGGCACAAATCTGGTGTGCAGATTTCACAGGTGGGGGAAGAACCAAGCCCCTTTCTTTCACATTTGGGAGGTGGTTAGCTGGGGGCAAGTTTTCAAGCCCATCACACCCTCTGCCTGGAAGAAGGCTCGGGGCTGTTGCAGGGTACATGGTAGGAGGGAGACCAGCTCTTTGGTTTGTGTGGGAGCTGGCTGGGGCCTGTGACTGTCAGCCTTCCCCAACTTCCCTAACAACATACATGACTCAGCAGAGGCAGCCATAATCCTCCTAGGTACACAACTCCAGTGACCTGGGAATCTCACCCCCATACCCCACAGCAGCCACAGCAAGACCTGCCCAAGAGGAGTCTGAACTCAGGCACACCTATCCCCGCCCCCACCTGATGGTCCTTTTCTATCTACCCTGGTAGCAAAAGTCAAAGGACATATAATCTTGGGAGTTCTAGGGCTCCGCCTACTTCCGGTCCCCCTCTATATTACTACAGCTGATGCTTTTCTGGAAAGCACCACCTCCTGGCAGGAGACAAACCAGCACAAAACTAGAGCATTAAACCACCAAAACTGAAAACCTTCACAGAGTCTATTGCACCCCGCTGCCACCTGCACTAGAACAGGTGCTGGTATCCACAGCTGAGAAGCCTATAGATGGTTCACATCACAGGACTCTGTGCAGACAACTCCAGTACCAGCGCAGAGTCACATAGACTTGCTGGGTGGCTAGACCCAGAAGAGAGACAAAAATCTCTGCATTTTGGCACGTAGGGAGTCACATCCATAGGAAAAGGGGAAGAGTACTACAACACCCAGTGGGACAAAAGAACTGAAAACAGCCTTCAGCCCTGGACTTTCCCTCTGACAGAGCCTACCAAAATGAGAAGTCAGAAAACAAACCCTTGTAATATGGCAAAACAAGGCTCTTTAACACCCCCCAAAAAATCACACTAGTTCACCAGCAATGGATTCAAACCAAGAAGAAATCCCTAATTTACCTGAAGAATAACTCAGGAGGTTAATTATTAAGCTAATCAGGGAGAGGTCAGAGAAAGGTGAAGCCCAATGCAAGAAAATCCAAAAAAAATCATACAAGAAGTAAAGGGAGGAATATTCAAGGAAATTGATAGCTGAAAGAAAAAACAATAAAAAATTCAGGAAACTTTGGACACAATTTTAGAAATGTGAAATGCTCTGAAAAGTCTCCACAATAGAATTGAACAAGTAGAAGAAAAATTCAGGGCTCTAAGACAAGGTCTTTGAATTAACTCAATCCAACAAAGACAAAAATAAATAAATAAATAAGAATAAGAAAATATGAACAAAGTCTCCAAGAAGTCTGGAATTATGTTAAATGACCAAACAAGAATAATCAGTGCTGCTGAAGAAGAAGAGAAACCTAAAAGTTTGGAAAACATATTTAGGGGAATAATTGAGAAAAGCTTTCCTGGCCTTGCTAGAGACCTAGACATCCAAATGCAAGAAGCACAAAGAACACCTGGGAAATTCATCTCAAAAAGATTGTTGCTTAGGCACATTTTCATCAGGTTATCTAATGTTAAGATGAAGGAAAGAATATTAAGAGCTGTGAGACAAAAGCACCAGGTAACCTATAAAACAAAACCTATCAGATTAACAGCAGATTTCTCAGTAGAAACTCTACAAGCGAGAAGGGATTGAGGATCTATCTTCAGCCTTCTCGAACAAAGCAATTATCAGCCAAGAATTTTGTATCCAGCAAAATTAAGCTTCACATATGAAGAAAAGATAATAATTTTCAGACAAACAAATGCTGAATTTGCCATTATCAAGTCACCACTACAAAACAGCTAAAAGAGAGCTAAATCTTGAAACAAATTCTGAAAACATATCAAAACAGAACCTCTTTAAAGCGTAAATCTCACAGGACCTAAAAAACAAAAATACAATTTAAAAAACAAAAACAAACAAAGTATACAGACAACAAATAGCATGATGAATGGAATGGTGCCTCACATCTCAATACTAACACTGAATGTAAATAGACTAAATGCTCTACTTAAATGACACAGAATTGCAGAATGAATAAGCATTCCCCAACCAACCATCTGCTGCCTTCAAGAGACTCACCTAACACATAAGGACTCGCAAAAACTTAAGGTAAAGTGGTGGAAAAACATTTCATGCAAATGGACACCAAAAGCAAGCAGGAGTAGCTACTCTTAAATCAGACAAAACAAACTTTAAGGCAACAGCAGTTAAAAAAGACAAAGGACATTATATAATGATAAAAAGCCTTGTCCAGCAGGAAAATATCACAATTCTATACATATATGCACCTAACAGTGGAGATCCCAAATTGATAAAACAATTACTAATAGACCTAAGAAATGAGATAGACAGCAACACAATAATAGTGGGAGATTTTAATTCTCCACTGACAGCACTAGAAAGGTCACCTGGGTGTGGTGGCTCATGCCTGTAATCCCAGCACTTTGGGAGGCTAAGGCAGGCAGATCAGCTGAGGTCAGGAGTTCAAGACCAGCCTGATCAAGATGATGAAACCCTGTCTCTACAAAAGTAAAAAAATTAGCTGGGCATGATAGCAGGTACCGGTAATCCCAGCTACTTGGGAGGCTGAGGTGAGAGAATCACTTGAACTTGGGAGGTGGAGGTTGCAGTGAGCCAAGATCATGCCATTGCACTCTAGCCTGGGTGAGAGAGCAGATTTCATCTAAGAAAAAAAAAAGTCATCAAGACAGTATACAAAGAAACAATGTACTGAAACTATACACGGGAACAAATGTATCTCTCTCTCTCTCTCTCTCTATATATATATATAGATATATAGATATAGATATAGATATATAGATATATCTACCTGTGTCGAGGCATAGTGTTACACACTTTATTTCAATTATTTAATTTGATTTTAACAATGAGATGGATAATATCCTGCTCATTTTACAGATGAGACAATTGAGCCTTAAAGGTTAAACAAATGATTTCCTAAGCTCATTCAGCCAATAAACGGTAGGGGACTGCTTGACTCCAGCCCAGTTGATCCTCAAATCCATGATTTCTGCCACCATATTCACAGAAACAAGACAAGCTGAAAGTATAGCCTGACTCTTGAAACAGTCAAAGAATTGTGTACGTTTATGAAAGATATAGATATATAGATATCTATATATCTATCTATATACAGATAGATATCTATATATCTATCTATATACAGATAGATATCTATATATCTATCTATATACAGATAGATATCTATATATCTATCTATATACAGATAGATATATATATAGAGAGAGAACATTTCATCCAACAACCACAGAATATACATTCTATTCAAAAGTGCATGGAACTTTCACCAAGACAGACCATATGACAGGCCACATAATGAGCCTCGATAAATTTAAGAAAATTAAAATTCTATCAAGCACTCTCTCAGACCACAGCGGAATAAAACTGGAAATCAACTCCAAAAGGAACCCCCAAAATCACGCAAATACATGGAAATTGAATAACCTGCTCCTGAATGATTATTGGGTCAAAAATGAAATTAAGAGGAAAATTATAAAATTCTTCTAACTGAATGAAAAAGGGGACAAAATCTATCAAAACCTCCAGGACACAGCTAAGGTGGTGCAAAGAGGAATGCTTATAGCCCTAAATGCCTACATCAAAGTCTGAAAGAGCACAGACAATCTAAGGTCGCATCTCAAGGAAATAAAGGAACAAAAACAAACCAAACCCAAACCTAGCAGAAGAAAGGAAATAACCAATATCAGAGCAGAATTAAATAAAGTTGAAACAAAGAAAACAACACAAAAAATAAATTTAACAAAAAGCTGGTTCTTTGAAAAGATAAAGAAAACTGATAGACCATTAGCAAGATTAACCAAAAAAATAAGAGAGAAAAGCCAAATAAGCTCAACAAGGAATGAAACAAGATACAACTGACACCCCAGAAATACAAAAGATCATTCAAGGCTACTATGAACACTTTTATGTGCATAAACTAGAAAACCTGTAAGAGATGGATAAATTCCTGGAAAGATACAACCCTCCTAGCTTAAATCAGGAAGAATTAGATATCCTGAACAAACCAATAACAAGCAACAAGATTGAAATGATAATTAAAAAATTACAAACAAAAAAAAGTCCAGGACCAGACAGATTCACAGCAGAATTCTACCAGATATACAAAGAAGAGTTGGTACCAATCCTATTGACACTATTTCACAAGATGGAGAGAGAGAAAACCCTTCCTTGGGTTTTCCTTCATTCTATGAACCCAGTATCATTTTAATGCCAAAACCAGGAAAGGATATAACCAAAAACAAACAAACAAAAAACTACAGACCAATATCCCTGATGAAAATAGATGCTAAAATCCTTAACAAAATACTAGCTAACCGAATCTGACAACATATCAACAAAGCATGATCAAGTGGGTTTCATACCAGGGATGCAGGGTTGGTTTAACATTGCAAGTCAATAAATGTGATATACCACCTAAACAGAATTAAAAACAAAAAACACATGATCATCTCAATAGATGCAGAAAAAACATTTGACAAAATCCAGCATTGCTTTATGATTAAAACTCTCAGCAAAATAGGCATACAAGGAACATACCTCAATGTAATAAAAGCCATCTATGACAAACCCACAGCCAACATAATACTGCATGTGGAAGAGTTGAAACCATTTTCTCTGAGAACTGTAACAAGACAAGGATGCCCACTCTCACCACTCCTCTTCAACATAGTACTGGAAGTCCTAGCCAGAGCAATCAAACAAGAGAAATAAAGAGCATCCAAATCAGTAAAGAGGAAGGTCAAACTGTCACTGTTTGCTGATGATATAATTGTTTACTTAGAAAACCCTAAAGACTCCTCCAGAAAGCTTCTAGAACTGATAAAAGAATTCAGCAAAGTTTCCAGACACAAAATTAATGTACACAAATTAGTAGCTCTTCTGTATACCAACAGTGACCAAGCTGAGAATCAGATCAGGAACTCAACCCCTTTTACGATAGCTGCAAAAAAAATTAAATGCTTAGGAATATGTCTAACCAAGGAGGTGAAAGCTTTCTACAAAGAAAACTACAAAACACTGCTGAAAGAAATCATAGACAACACAAACAAATAGAATTACCTCCCATGCTCAGGGATGGGTAGAATCAATATTGTGAAAATGACCATACTGTCAAAAGCAATCTACAAATTCAATGCAATTCCCATCCAAATACCACTATGATTCTTCAGAGTTAGAAAAAACAATTCTAAACTTCATATTAAACTGAAAAACAGCTCATATAGCCAAAGCAAGACTAACTAAAAAGAACAAATCTGGAGGCATCACATTACCTGATTTCAAACTGTACTATAAGACGATAGTCACCAAAACAGCATGGTACTGGTATAAAAATAGGCACATAGACCAATGGAACAAAATAGAGAACCCAGAGATAAACCCAAATACTTACAGCCAACTGATCATCAACAAAACAAACAAAAACATTATATGGGGAAAGGATACCCTTTTCAACAAATTGTGCTGGGATAATTGGCTAGTCACATGTAGGAAAATAAAACTGGATCCTCACCTCGCCTCTCACCTTATACAAAAATCAGCTCAAGATGGATTAAGGACTTAAATCTAAGACTTGAAACTAGAACATTGAAAAAAACCCTTCTAGACATTGGCTTAGGCAGGACTTCATGACCAAGAACCCAAAAGCAAATGCAATAAAACAAAGATAAATTGCTGGGACTTAATTAAACTAAAGAGCCTTTGCATGGCAAAAGTAAAGTCAGCAGAGTAAACAGAAAACCCACAGAGTGGGAAAAATCTTTACAATCTACACATCTGACAAAGAACTAATATCCAAAATCTACAAAGAACTCAAAAAAAGCAACAAGAATAAAAAAGAAACAATCCTTCCAAAAAGTAGGCTAAGGACATGAATACACAATTATAAAAAGAAGACATATAAATGGCTAACAAACATATGGAAAAAATGCTCAACATCACTAATGATCAGGAAAATGCAAATCAAAACCACAATGTGATACCAACTTACTCCTGCAAGAATGGCCGTAATCAAGAAATCAAAAAATAGTAGATGTTGGCATGGATTCAATGAACAAAGAACACTTCTGTACTGTGGGTGGGAATGTAAACTAGTACAACCACTATGGAAATCAGGGTGGAGATTCCTTAAATAACTAAAAGTAGAACTACCATTTGATCCAGCAATTCCATAACTGGGTACCCAGAAAAAAAGAAGTCATTATGTGAAAAAGATACCTGCACATGCATGTTTATAGCAGTACAATTCACAATTGCAAAATCGTGCCCAAATGCCCATCAATTGAGTGGATTAAGAAACTGTGGTATACGTATAGGATGGGAATACTATCCAAGCCTTAAAAAGGAATGAACGAATGGCATTCTCAGCGACCTGGTTGAGATTGGAGACTATTATTCTAAGTGAAGTAACTCAGGAATGGAAAACCAAACATCATATGTTCTCACTAATAAGTGGAAGCTGTGTTGTAAGGATGCAAAGACATAAAAATAATATAATGGACTTTGGGGATACAGGGAGAAAGGGTAGAAAGGGGGTGAGGGATAAAAGACTACAAATAGGGTCCAGTGTATACTGCTCAGGTGATGGGTGCACCAGACTCTCACAAATCACCACTAAAGAACTTACTTATGTAACCAAACACCACCTGTTCCCCAATAACCTTTGGAAATAAAAACAATTTTTAAAAAATGTCACTCTCAGCACATGCAGTTTCAGCTTTGCTTCAGAGACCTGAATTACTTTGATTCGTGGTCCAGCTAAAATTAAATTAAATTAAATTTTAAAATGTCAACGTTTTCAAAGGAAGTACAATAAGCCTGAAAATATTTTAGATAAAAATATTTTTGTAAATTTGACAGGTTAAGGCCGGGCGCGGTGGCTCACGCCTGTAATCCCAGCACTTTGGGAAGCCGAGGCGAACGGATCACGAGGTCGGGAGATCGAGATCATCCTGGCTAACATGGTGAAACCCCGTCTCTACTAAAAATACAAAAAAAAGAAAAAAAAAAAATAGCCGGGCATGGCAGTAGGCGCCTATAGTCCTAGTTACTCGGGAGGCTGAGGCAGGAGAATGGCATGAACCTGGGAGGCTGAGCTTGCAGTGAGCCGAGATTGCACCACTGCACTCCAGCCTGGGCGACAGAGCGAGACTCCATCTCAAAAATAAAAAAATAAAAAATTACGGGTTAATGTGGTATAAGACTAAACTAATTAGTAGAGTACATTTGAAACACTTCAGATTACAAATATTTAGTCCTTTTTAGGATACAGTTTTAAAAATTAATCACTATTTTTATGAATAAAAGACTTTTTTTTGAATTGTAAAATTTTATTTTCCACACGTCAACATTCTTATTAACACAGCTTGATTGAAAAAATTCTGACCATAAGCATGTTGATTATTTCCCTTTGGAACTGGTGAAATCAGAAAAATAAAATATTTATTTTGCATATATAGCATCAAAACTATTCACTCAATGTGGCCTTCTGTGTGTATATTAAAAGGCTTTCTTCTGGCCGGGCGCGGTGGCTCACGCCTGTAATCCTAGCACTTTGGGAGGCTGAGGCGGGGGGATCACCTGAGGTCGGGAGTTTGAGACCAGCCTTACTAACATGGAGAAATCCTGTCTCTACTAAAAATACAAAATTAGCCGGGCGTGGTGGCACATGCCTGTAATCCCAGCTACTCGAGGAGGCTGAGGCAGGAGAATTGCTTGAACCCGGGAGGAAGACGGAGTATTTATTAAAAAGAGAGAAAAGGGATTGATTACAGATGTTAGTTGCAGATATAACTTATTGTGATTGGAACTAAATGTTACCAAAAAATTTAGGTTGTATGTGAAATTCTTCGATAAATTTTATGGACTTCAATAGGTCACAGAAAATCTTACTGTGCTCTTCTTTCTTTTACAACACAAAGTTGGCCGGGCGCGGTGGTTCACGCCTGTAATCCCAGCACTTCGGAAGGCTGAGGTGGGTGGATCACTGTCATTATTTCTAGCTGACATAAGGTAACAATTTACAAGCTGTGGCTGTAGAAACTGGAAATCTCCTGGTTGACTCTGCTTTACTTCTTGCCTTCCTATTTTAGAGAAACAAAGCACCACAAGAAAGGCCAGAAAGGACACACCTTGATTGCAAACACACTGGCGTCTTTCTAGGGAGAATATATGGGTGACAATATTAATTTGAAATTTATGGCATCTTTTGTAGAAGTACGGACATCTATATGGCAAATAATAAATACAAGTAAAAATTTAACACTGCGATAGAATCAGGAAAGTTTGCCAAAAATACCTTGTGATCAATTATTCCTTTATTCACTAGTATGGTTGTGATGGAATGGTTGCAGCAGTGTGGTCTTAAATAGCCAACACTCTCTTTCATCATCCTTGCGCTATGGCCATTTTTTTTTTTTTTTTTTTTTTTTGAGACGGAGTCTCACTCTGTTGCCCAGGCTGAAGTGCACTGGCATGATCTCAGCTCACTGCAACTTCTGCCTCCTGGGTTCAAGCGATTCTCCTGCCTCAGCCTCCTGAGTAGCTGGGACTACAGGTGTGGGCCACCACGCCCAGCTAACTTTTATCTTTTTAGTAGAGACAGGGTTTCACCATGTTGGCCAGGATGGTCTCCATCTCTTGACGTCATGATCTGCCCGCCTCGGCCTTCCAAAGTGCTAGAATTACAGGCATAAGCCACTGCACCCGGCCGCTTTTTTCTTCAGAAAAATACTTTATTTTCCTAATTCAGAAATTTAACGTAATTTTCAGTCTCACATTTTCAAAAATGGTTTATTCTAAAAGAAGTATGATTAAACAATTCAGCATTTTTTTCCAAAAAAAAAAAGAGTAAAAAGTTAACTTTATAGTCTAGTGTAGTTACTAAGTAAAAAACAAAGATGTAGAGTCATTTATTTTAGCTGCACACTTGGAAATAAAACACTTCTTTGCCTATAGGCTGAGAGCTTTCAAAGATGCTAGCTTACAGAATGTGGGAAGACCTAGTATTAAAACATTCACTCCTATGCTCAAAGGGAACATAATTTTGTGTCTTCTTTGACTCCTAATTCCAACTATTAACCCAGATCTATAGAAATGTAACATTTCATTATAGCACAAAATATTTTATTATTTTTATTTCAGATTCAAGAGATATAGGTGAAGATGTGTAACACAGGTATACTACATGATGTTAAGGTTTGGGCACTTGATAACTCCATTGCCCCAGTAGTGTACATCATACTTGATAGGTAGTTTTTCAATGTTTCTCTCCTTTCCTTTTTTATTTTTAGAACTCTGCGTTGATTGTTTTCATCTATGTTTCCATGTTAACCCAATGTTTAGCACCCACTCATAAGTGAGAACATGTGGTATATAACATACTTATACACAATGCAATACTATCCAGCCACAGAAAAAGAAATAGTGTTTTTTTGCAGCAACATGAATGCATCAGAAGTAATGTTCTTTGCAGCAATATGGATGTTAATTTTCTCATTATAAGCAAATTAAAAAAGAAAATGAATCTAAAGGCCGGGCGTGGTAGCTCACGCCTGTAATCCCAACACTTTGGGAGACCGAGGTGGGCGGATCACGAGGTCAAGAGATCGAGACCATCCTGGCCAACATGGTGAAACCCCATCTCTACTAAAAATACAAAAATTAGCTGGGCGTGGTGGTGCATGCCTGTAGTCCCAGATACTTGGGAGGCTGAGGAAGGAGAATCGCTTGAACATGGGAGGTGGAGGTTGCAGTGAGCTGAGATCGCGCCACTGCACTCCAGCCTGGTGACAGAGGGAGACTCCATCTCAAAAAAAAAAGAAAGAAAGAAAAGAAAAAGAAAAGAAAAAGGACACCACATATTCTCACTCATAGGTGGGAATTGAACAATGAGAACACATGGACACAGGAAGGGGAACATCACACTCTGGGGACTGTTGTGGGGTGGGGGGAGGGGGGAGGTATAGCATTGGGAGATATACCTAATGCTAGATGATGGGTTAGCGGGTGCAGCACACCAGCATGGCACATGTATACGTATGTAACTAACCTGCACATTGTGCACATGTACCCTAAAACTTAAAGTATAATAATAATAAATTAAAAAAAAAAGAAAAGAAAAAGGAAATTAATCTAAAATTCATTAGTACCTGGTTAAATTGTAGATCTTTGCTATGGTGAATAGTGCTGCAGTAAACATTTCAGTGCAAGTCTTTTTTCTAAAATTATTTTCCCTTTTGGGTATATACTCAGTAATTGGGTTGATGGGCTAAATGGCAATTCTATTTTAAGTTCTTTGAAAAATCTTCAAACTGTGTTCCATAGAGGCTGAATTAATTTGCATTTCCATCAACAGTGTAGAAAGACGCCCTTTTTTTCCACAACTTGAATATTTGTCACTTTTTGGCTTTTAATAAGTCATTCTAACTAGCATGAGATAGTATCACATTGTTATTTTGACTTACATTTCTCTGATGACTAGGGACGTTGAGCATTTTTCTTTGTATGTTTATTGGCAGCTTTTATGTCTTTCTTTGAGTAATGGCTTTTCATATTATGTGTCTTTTTTTATAAAATTTCTGATAGATTCTATATATTAATACTTTGTTGTATGTAGTTTGCAAATATTTTATTTTATACTACAGGTTGTCTAATTTGTCAATAGTTTCTTTTGCTATGCAGCTATTTAGTTTAATTAGGTGCGAATTTCCAAGTTTTTTCCATTGAATTTACTTTTAAGGTGTTATGAATTATTTCCAGAGGGCAGTGTCTAGAAGAGTACTTTCTAATTGGTCTTCTAGAATTTTTATATATTAAAGTCTCACAGTTATTAATCTATCTTGTTTTATATATGAGAGGTAGGGTTTCAGTTTTCTTCTTTTGCATATGACTAACCAGTTTTCCCAATACTATTTATTAGATAGGTAGTTATTTCCTTTTTATTTCTATTAACTTTGTCAAAAATAAGTTGGGGGAAGGAGTGGTGGCTCCTGCCTGTAATCCCAGCACTTCAGGGACCAAGGTGAGCAGATCACTTGAGTTCAAGTGTTTGAGACCAGCCTGGCCAACATGGTGAAACCCCACCTCTACTGAAAATACAAAAGTTGGCCAGGCGTGGTGGTGCATATCTGTAATCACAGCTACTCGGGAGGCTGAGGCATGAGAATTGCTTGAACTCAGGAGTCAGAGGTTGCAGTGATCTGGGATTGTTCCACAGCACTCCCTCAAAAAAAAAAAAAAAAAGGTTCGTTGTGTACGAGTGTAGCTTTATTTCAGGGCTCTCTCTCTGTTCCATTGGTCCATATGTATATTTTTGTACCAGAACCATGTCATATTGGTTACTGTAGCTTCTGGTAAAGTTTGAAGTCAGGTAATGTGAGGCATCCAGGTTTGTTAACGTTGCCTTGGCTATTTAGGCTTGTTTTTCTACACATTTTAGAAGATTTTTTTTAATTCTATAAAAATGGCATTAAGGGTTTGATAGAAATAGCACTTAATTTGTAGGTGGTTTTAGGCAGCACAAACATTTAAATTATATTGATTCTTCAAATCCATGAGCATAAAATGCTTTTCCATTTACTTGTGTTTTCTGATTTCTTTCAGCAGTGTATTGTTGTACTCCTTGTAGAGAGATTTTACATCCTTGATTCAATGTATATATATTTTTTGTTTGTGGCTATCATAAACTGTGTTCTTGATTTTGTTCTCAGCTTGAATGTTATTAGTGTAAAAAATGCTACTCATTTTTGTATGTTGATTTTGTATCATGAGACATTGCTGAAGTCATTTTTTAGGCTTACGAGTCTTTTGGTTAAATATTTAAAGTTTCCCAGGTAGAGAATTATATCTTCTGTGAAGATAATTTGACTTCCTATTTTTCTCTTTAGATGCCTTTTATTTATTTGTTTGATTGCACTGGCTAGGACTTCCAGAACTATGTTGAATAGGAGTGTGAGTGTTGAGTGAATATTGTTATTTTTATGGAGAATGCATCTAGCTTTCATCTGTTAAGTATGATGTTAAATGAAGATTTGTCATGGATGACTCATTATTTTGAGGTGTTTCTTCAATGTCTAGTTTGTTGAGAATATTTTTATGAATATTGAATTTTCTTGAATGCTTTTTCTGCATGTTTTGATAATTACATAATTTTTGCTTTTAATCATTTTACAAGGTGAATTTCACTTATTGACTGCATATCATAAAACATTCTTGCATTCATAAAGCCCGCATGATTGTGGAAAATAACTTTTTGATTTGCTTGTGAACTCAGCTTGCTAGTGTTTCATGGAAGATGTTTCAATGTTCATGAAGAATATTTGCCTATAGTTTTTTTGTGTCTTCACTAGATTTTGGTATTAGGATGATACTTGTTTCATATAATGAATTAGGAATAAATTCCACTTTGATTTTTTATATACATTCAGTAGAATTAGTACCAGTTCATCCTTTTTTTTTTTTTTTGACGGAGTCTTGCTCTGTTGCCCAGGCTGGAGTGTAGTGGTGCGATCTCAGCTCACTGCAACCTATCCGTACCGGGCTCAAGCAATTCTCCTGTCTCAGCCTCCTGGGTAGCTGGGACTACAGGCACCCACTACCAACACACTTGACTAATTTTTGTATTTTTAGTAGAGACAGGGTTTCACCATATTGGCCAGGGTGGTCTTGAACTCCTGCCCTTGTGATCCGCCCACCTCAGCCTCCCAGAGTGTTGAGATTAACAAGCGTGAGCCACCGTGCCCGGCCTAGTTCATTTTTTTTTGTTTGTTTGAGGCAGAGTCTCGCTTTGTCGCCCAGGCTGGAGTGCAGTGGCATGCATGATCTTGGCTCACTGCAACCTCCACCTCCTGTGTTAAAGTGATTCTCCTACCTCAGCCTCCCGAGTAGCTGGGATTACAGGCACACGCCACCATGCCCAGTTAATTTTTGTATTTTTGATAAAGACAGGGTTTCACCATGTTGCCCAGGCTGGTCTCGAACTCCTGACCTCAGGTGATCCACACCCTTCGGTCTCCCAAAGTGCTGGGATTACAGGCATGAGCCACCATGCCCGGCCCATCTTTTTTATATGTGGTAAAATTTGGCTGTGAATTTATCTGATTCAGGGCTATTTATGTTTTTTTATTACTAATTCAATTTCATTATACATTTTTGCTCTGTTCTAGATTTTTGTTTCTTCATGGCTCAATTTTGGAAGATTGTGTGTATCCAGTTTATTTTCTCTAAATTTTTTAGTTTCCATGCATAGAGATGTCCATAGTAGTCTCTGAGGATGTTTTATATTTATGTGGGATTAGCTTTCACATGTTTAACATTTAAATACATGCAGAATAAAAGTTGGACAAAAGTCATATTCCCTCATGATAAATATGTGAATAAATTAGGTATAGGGCAAATGCACCTTAAGCCAATAAATGCCACATATAACAAAAATTGCACAGCTAACAACATAGTAGATGGAGAAATGTTGTGAGCTTTTACTCTAAGAGCTAGAATAACACAAGGATGCACACTTTCTTCAGTCTTACTAAACAGAGTACTAAATGTTCATGGCAGAGAAATTAGAAAATAAAATCAAAGGCATCCATATTGGAAAAAAATTAAATTATTGCTGCTTGCAGATGACATCTTAAGTATAGAAAAGCCTAAGACTTTACTGAGAACCACTAGAATAAACAAATTTATTAAACTGGCAGAATATAAAATCAACATACAAAATTAGTAGCATTTCTATACACTAATGATTAACTATCTGAAAATGAAATTAAAAACCAATCCCATCTACAATAACTGTAGTTACTAGACTTTGAATTAAATTTAACTAAAAAGTTGAAACATGTTACATTATAGGATAAAGAACCTTAAAGAAATTAAATAATACACAAATGAAAAAATTACACATATTTGCAAAAAACTATCAAAGTACCAGTGACACACTAAATAGAAAATTTTAAATATATATCTAAAATTTTATATATATATATATCTAAAATTTATATGGTACCACAAAATACCTGAATAGCCAAAACAACCAAGAAAAAAAAGACTGAAATTATCACCCAAACTGACTTAGAAATATACTACAAAGCTATAGTAATCAAAATGGTATGGTACTTGAATAAAAATAAACACATACACAAATGAAGCAGAAAAGAGCAGAAACATATTCATGTATTTATAGCTAAATGATTTTAGAAATAGGTGACAGTTTCTTAGGGAAAGGACAGTATCTTCAGTAAATGGTGTTGAGAAAACTATATAGCCACATGAAGAGCAATAAAACAAGATCTGCATATCACATCATATATATAAATCAACTCAAAATAAATTAGATACTTAACTGTAAGGTTGAAACTGGAATTACTACAAAAAAATATAGGGTGAAAGCCCTATAACATTGATCTGGACAGTGACTTTTTTGTTGTAATCTCAAAACCCCAGGAAAATAAGGGAAAAACAGATAAGTCATATTACTTCAAATTAAAAAGTTGCTGCACACAATTCTCATACAATTAACAGGATTAGACAACTGAAGAATCAGAGAAAATATAGGCAAATCATACATGAGACAAGCGTTTTGTTGTATACTAAAATTACTACACCAAAAAAAAACTTAAAAATGAGCAAAAGGTTTGAATATTTTTCAAGACATACATATTGCCAAGCTATAAATAAAAAATGCTCAATATCAATTATCAGAAAAGGAAAGCAAAAAAAATTACTATGAGATATCAACTCACTCCTGTTAGTATGACTCTTATTAAAAAGTGTTAGTAAAGCTGTGCAGAAAAGGGAATGCTTGCACACTGTTGGGTGAATATAAATGGGACAGCCATTATGAAAAACAAAATAGAGATATCTCAAAAAATTTAAAATCAAACTATCAAATGCAGAAAGTGCAATATTGGATACATATCCAAAACAAAATCGGAATGAAGAAACATTTGCAACTCTATGTTGTTCGCAACACTCTTCACAATGGCCAAAACATAAAATCAGTGGTTCAACATCTAATTAGCATATAAAGACAATGTGGTGTATATACACAACAAAATACTATTCATCTTTAAAAAAGAAAATGTAGTTTTCAATTACATGATTAATCTGGAGGACATTAGTTGAAGTAAGGCATAGATATTATTACTTTATAATTTCACTTAAAGATGGATTCTAAAAAACTTAATCTCATTGAAGTAGAGAGTAACATAGTGACCACCAGATGCCAAGGTATTCAGAAAGTGAAGCTTGAAAATAAATCTGTCAAACAATACATAATTATAGTTGGGCAGGAGAAATAAGTTCAAACAATATGTTCTACAGCATAGTGACTATAGTTCATAATAATGTATTTGCATTTTTTTAAAAAATTAAGACAATATCATGTGCTCTCACCACAAAGAGTTAACTATGTGAAGCATTACCTAAAATTGAGCATTTGACAATGTACATAGACTTCAAAATGTAATGTTTTACAAAATAAATACACATTTATTTATTACAGATGATAATGGTATGAAAGACACTAAAAGGGCAGGTGTTCGGGCTGGGCACAGTGGCTCACGCCTGTAATCCCAGCACTTTGGGAGGCTGACGTGGGCAAATCATGAGGTCAAGAGATTGAGACCATCCTGGCCAACATGGTGAAATCCCGCCTCTACTAAAAAGACAAAAAACTTAGCTGGGTGTGGTGGTACATGCCTATAGTCCCAGCCACTTGGGAGGCTGAGGCAGGAGAATTACTTGAACTAGGGAGGTGGAGGTTGCAGCGAGCCGAGATCGTGCCACTGCACTCCAGCCTGGTGATAGAGCAAGACTCCGTCTCAAAAAAAAACAAAACAAAAAAACTTACATTGATAAGCAAACTCTCCAGTTAAAATCAATTTTTCTTTCTTTTTTTGAGACAGTCTCGCCTTGTCACCTAGGCTGGAGTGCAATGGTGCAATCTCGGCTCACTGCTACCTCTGCCTCCTGGGTTCAAGCAATTCTTCTGCCTCAGCCTCCGGAGTAGCTGGGATTACAGGTGCATGCCACCCCACCTGGCTATTTTGTATCTTTAGTAGAGACAGGGTTTCACCATATTGGCTAGGCTGGTCTCAAACTCCTGACCTCATGATCTGCCCGCCTCGGCCTCCCAACGTGCTGGGATTACAGGTGTGAGCCATCGCACTTGACCAAAAAACAATTTTTCAAGTGCATTAAAAATACCAACTTTCTCATCAAAACCTACAAAGTAGCATGTGAAATGACATGGCATTACAAAAGTGAGAAAATTGTAGCTATAAAACAGAAAAAAAGAAGTGCTGTGATGTCATGCAAAGTTGGAAAACACGTAAGACAAACCTGAAGATAAATGGAAAATAAAACAAGCAGAATTTTGCTTTATATTCAGCAAGATTCAGGTTTGCTGCCTAAAAAAAGATCCTATCCACATAAAGAATCAATGTTTTTTCTTTGTCATTTATATTTTACATCTCTGACTTAAAGTTACAAAATAACTCTAGCAGGAATATTTACAGATTATAAAACATCTGTTACTCGGCAAGCACTGTCACGTTTTTTTGCTACATTTATATATTAAAACATCCTCATGACTTATGAAGCCTCCTTAGTACTTACCTGAATGTTATGGGAAGTCAGGGACCCTGAACAGAGGGACCGGCTGGAGCCGTGGGAGAGGAACATAAATTGTTAAGATTTCATCTTAATATGGACATTTATCAGTTCTCAAATAATACTTTTGTAATTTCTTATGCCGGTCTTTAATCTCTTAATCCTGTTATCTTCATAAACTGAGGATGTACATCACCTCAGGACCACTGTGATAATTAACTGTACAGATTGATTGTAAAACGTGTGCTTGAAAAATATGAAATCAGTGCACCTTGAAAAAGAACAGAATAGCGACTTTTATGGAACAAGGGAAGACAACCATAAGGTCTGACTGCCTGCGGGGTCGGGCAAAGAGCCATATTTTTCTTTTTGCAGAGGGCCTATAAATGGACGTGCAAGTAGGAAATATATCACCAAATTCTTTTCCTAGCAAGTAATATTAATACTCTGGGAAAAGAATGCATTCCTGGGGGAGGTCTATAAATGGCTGCTCTGGGAATGTCTGTCTTGTACAGTTCAGATAAGGACTGAGATAAGCCATGGTCTCCTGCAGAACCCTCAGGCTTACTAGGGTTGGGAAAACTCAACCCTGGTAAATTTGTGGTCAGACTGGTTCTCTGCTCTCCAACCGTTTTCAGTTGTTTATCAAGACAATACATGTACTACTGAACATACACCCTTATCAGTGGTTCTGCTTTTGCCCTTTGCCCTGTGATCTTTGTTGGACCCTTATCAGAGGTTCTGCTTTTGCCCTTTGATCTTTGTTGGAGCCTTATTAGTGGTTCTGCGTTTGCCCTTTGCCCTGTTCCCTCAGAAACGTGATCTTTGTTAGACCCTTATCAGTGGTTCTGCTTTTTGCTCTTTGAAGCATGTGATCTTTGTACCTACTCTCTGTTCTTACACCCCCTCCCCTTTTGAAACCCTTAATAAAAACTTGCTGGTCTGAGACTCAGGCGGGCATCATGGTCCTACTGATAGGTGATGTCACCCCTGGCAGCCCAGCTGTAAAATTCCTTTCTCTGTGTTATCTCTATTTCTCAGCCGGCTGACACTTATGGAAAATAGAAAGAACCTACATTGAAATATTGGGGGCGGGTTCCCCCAATACCTGAACTGGCTCAATCAACAAATAAATTTACTTCTGTCAATTATAAAAAGTGAAAGGAATAATAACTTAAATAGGCTTATATAAGGTTCTTCAATTAGAAGAACAAAATAGAATGTTTTAATTCAATAAAACAATACACTAATTGTGGAACTACATCTAAAAATTATTTTGTGTGCCCTACTAAATTTTATAAAAATAGTTTATATCTTTGACCACTTCACATAATGAAAACCTCATAAACTATAAAAGAAAAAAAATTGTAAGAAACAACAAAAAAATGTGGGCTAGGCATGAGTACCAATCAAGTAAAAACAAAATTTGCATAAGATTTTGAACCCATAAGCCATACTATTTTACAGTAATTCAGTAGAAAGAGTATAGATTTGCTTTCCGCATTTTTGAGGTTTATAGTTTTCTAGTAAATTAGTTACCTTACTAAAATGTTTTGTTCCAATATTGCTCTTTTCTTCTGAAAATAGGAACAAATTTATACTCACACAAACATGCTTACTTACTCCATAATTTTCTTACACCTAGGGTTTAACTTAAGAGTAATGTATGTATATATTTAACTTTACTAAGTCAAAACTAACAAGTCTGTATGTGTTTGCAGGCAGAGAAACAACATGTTCAAAAATACATATAACAATTTTTTTAATGCTTATTTAGGACTCAGAATGTGTGGACTTTATTTATACTTCTATATAATTTTTAGCATAACCATAAAAATAGCCCTGTAGTCAATAACAATTGTACATTAAAAAAAACTAAAACTGTAGAATTGGTTTATAATACAAAGGATAAATGCTGGAGATGATGGATACTTAATTTTTCCTGATGTAATTATTACATATTATATGTCTGTATCAAAATGTGCTATATATGGCATAAATATACACATACAATGTATCCACAAAAATTAAAAAGTATAAACTTAGATGAGAAATAAATATTTAACCTATGAGAACATTCTTTAACCTCCTTGCAGTTTAAAGTCACTGGCAAAAGGGATTACTAGAAATGTTTGTCCATTATGTTACCAAATAGTATGTTACCATCTTTTGCCTACACCAGTGAGTAAAGTGAAATAGGTTAAAGTTAATGGCATACTAACTTTATTAAATGTTTTATAAATGTTAAATAAAATTTTAATAAAATATTAAGTTCACACATAACTTAAAATTTTAAGAACGTACATTTTATTACATAAAAGTACAATTAGTAAAATAATTTACTAATTTTAACTAAAATTTAAAATGCTTTTTTCTCACTATAATGCAGAATATTACCCTGAACACCCACCTCATGTGTCACTTATATTAACAAAAAGAGCCTCTCCACTTAGATTTTTATGTGTCTTACATTTTAATGTCCTTACCCTTCCATAAAAAAGATCATAATGCCCAACTAATAAAAAAAAATTCTCCTATCTCTGATGCAACAATTAGTCACAAGTTGAATACAATAGAAATGAAGAAAACAAGAAGAGTTTTGAATTTTGAGAGTTGAATTACATTATTCATGTTGCAAATAATCTGTATTTTTTAAGGAAAAAAGTATACTTTCAATGTAATTATAACTTTTCAAAAAATTTTCTACACCTTTTAAAGTTATACACAATTTATCTAACAACTTTAGTTCTGGATTATTTTTTATACTCAGCATTCTGATTTACTGTAATGTCTGAAGTGTCAGTGCCTTAGATATTTCTGAGCTATCTGATATTTACATAGACTTAATTTTAGAATAAATATTGTTTTATATTTACTGCATCTACAAAAAAAAAAAAAAAAATATATATATATATATATATATATATATATATATAGAGAGAGAGAGAGAGAGAGAGAGAGAGAGAGAGAGAGAGAGAGAGAGAGAGAGAGAGATGGAGTTTCACACTTGTTGCCCAGGCTAGAGTGCAATGGCACGATCTTGACTCACTGCAACCTCTGCCCCTCCAGTTCAAGCGATTCTCCTGCCTCAGCCTCCTGAGTAGCTGGAATTAAAGGCACTCACCACCATGCCTTGCTAATTTTTGTATTTTTAGTAGAGACAGGGTTTCGCTATGTTGACCAGGCTGGTCTCGAACACCTGACCTCAGGTGATCCATCCACCTCGGCCTCCCAATATGCTGGGATTACAGGTGTGAGCCACTGCGCCCAGCCTGCAGAAATATATTTTAGTACTAACTCTCTGGTGTTTTCTAAAGCTATAGATTTTGAAAAAATGTGTTTTTCTAAATGTATTACATTTGCAGAGTTTTTCTCCCATACAGATTCACTGATGTTGAAAAAACTTTGAGCAACTGCTTCAGGGTTTTTCTCTAGTACAAAATGTACATGATAAGCTTTATGATACCAGTAAATGTACTACAACCCTCTTTATGTTTGTAATCTTTGTCTTCAAAACGAATACTCTTCTTCACTTTAAAGGCTTATATTTTCTTAAAGTCTTTAGACAGTAATTGCATTTATAATGCTTTTATTAAGTACCAACATTCTGATATTAAGATGTCAACAGATATTAATGGCTATTTTACACTCTTTATATTTGTACAATTTTTCTTAAGTATAAACGCTTTCCTGTGCAATAAGGTTTGAGCCTTAATTAACAGTATTGCCAAATTCTTCACACTTGTAGTTTTCTCCAGTATGAATTATCTTACATACAATGAAGTGTGAAAACCATTTAAAGTCTTTGACACATTCTTTACATTTCTAGAATTTTTCACCAGTATGATTTCCTTTATATTTAGAAAAATTTGAGGTGTTGTCAAAATCATTATCACACATTCCAGTTCTGTAGTTTCTCTCCAGTATGTATTTTTTTATGTTTAGTAAGGTTTGCAGATTGGTTAAAAGCTTTGTCACATCTCTCACATTTATAGGGTTTCTCTCCAGTATGAATTATCTTATGTTCAGTAAGTTTTGAGGATCGGCTAAAAGCTTTGCCACATTCTTCACATTTGTAGGGTTTCTCCCCAGTATGAATTCTTTTATGTGTAGTAAGGGATGAGGAGTGTTTAAAAGCTTTGCCACATTCTTCACACTTGTAGGGTATCTCTCCAGAATGAATTTTCTTATGTTCAGTAAGTTTTGAGGATTGGATAAAAGCTTTGCCACATTCTTCACATTTGTAGGGTTTCTTTCCAGTATGAAGTTTCTTATGTTCAGTAAGTTTTGAGGATCGGTTAAAAGCTTTGCCACATTCTTCACATTTGTAGGGTTTCTCTCCAGTGTGAATTCTCTTATGTGTAGTAAGGGCTGAGGAGTGTTTAAAAGCTTTGCCACATTCTTTACATTTGTAGGGTTTCTCTTCGGTATGAATTTTCCTATGTTCCGTAAGATTTGAGGATCGGTTAAAAGCTTTGCCGCATTCCTCACATTTGTAGGGTTGCTCTCCAGTATGAATGTTTTTATGTTCAGTAAGTTTTGAGGATCGGTTAAAAGCTTTTCCACATTCTTCACATTTGTAGGGTTTTTCTCCAGTATGAATTCTCTTATGTGTAGTAAGGGTTGAGGATTGGGTAAAAGCCTTGCCACATTCTTCACATATGTAGGGTTGCTCTCCAGTATGAATTTTTTTATGTGTAGTAAGATTTGAGAACTGGTTAAAGGCTTTGCCACATTCTTCACATTTGTAGGGTTTCTCTCCTGTATGAATTATCTTATGTGTAGTAAGGTGTGAGGACTGGTTAAAGGCTTTGCCACATTCTTCACATTTGTATGGTTTCTCTCGAGCATAATCTTTTTTATATTCAGTAAGGTTTGAGAATTGGTTAAAAGTTCTGTCACATTCTTGACATTTGTAGAGTTTCTCACAAGTATAAATTCTTTTATGTTTAGTAAGCTTTGAAGATTGGTTAACAGCTTTTTCACATTCTTCACATTTGCAGAAATTCACCTTGGTATAATTTCTTTCATGTCGAGTTAGGTGTGAAAGCATGCAAAATGATCTGCCACATTCTTTACATTTGAAAGGTTTATTTTCCATATGTTTTATCTTATGTCTATCTGAATGTGAAAATTTATTAAAGACTTTCACATATTTATCACATTGAAACATTTTGCTCTGCATAGTTGGTAAACATTGGTTAAGTCCATTATAACCTCCCTTGTGCAACTTACATTCATCCACACTTTTACAGCCTTTTAACTGAAAATTATCATTTCCACATTTTTCATATCTTCTCAGTGTCACTTTTTCAAAAGAATCTTTTATGTTCTGCTCTGGCCAAAACTCTTGGGCAAAATGAGAACACATTACTGAAAGAAATAAAAATAACACATTACTTTACAGACTCAGATAAATATACTTTCCAAACCTAACTTATAAAATTACACAAACTACATAAGCAAGATGGCACCACAGGCCATAATTAAGTGTATGTGTTGCCCCAGGTGAGCACAATGCAAAGAGCCACATAGAAAAAAAAAAAAAATTCTGTCACATTTACCCAACACAGCTTTTTCTACTCCCCAATATAACATAATGTTTTCAGAAGTAAATTACAGCCAGGTGCAGTGACTCACACCTGTACTCCCAGCACTTTAGGAGGCTGAAGCGGGCGGATCACGAGGTCAGGAGTTCAAGACCAGCCTGGCCAACATAGTGAACCCGCATCTCTAATAAAAATAGAAAAAAAATTAGCCAGGCATGGTGGCGGGAGCCTGTAGTCCCAGCTAATTGGGAGACTAAGGCAGGAGAACTGCTTGAACCTGGGAGGATAAGGTTGCAGTGGGCCAAGATCGCACCATTACACTCCAGCCTGGGTGACAAAGCAAGACTCTGTCTCAAAAAAAAAAAAAAAGTAAATTGCAAACTTCAATTATTTACATATAGAGGAATACCTGAGAGTAGATAATTTATAAAGAAAAAAGGTTTATTTGGCTCACAGTTCGGCAGACTGTACAAAAAGCATGTGCCAGCATCTGCTTCTGGTGAGGGTCTCAGGAAGCTTACAATCACAGTGCAATGCACAGATTAACTGGACACATCACATGGTAAGATACAAAGCAAGTGTCAGGTAAAGAAGCCAGGTTTTCTTTTTTTTTAAATGAACTAGCTCTTACTTGAATTAACAGAGTGTAAACTTACTGATTAACAAGAAGATAGTGCCAAGCCATTCATGAGGAACTTTCCCTCATGACCTAAGCACCTCCCACTAGGTCCCATATTCACCTTCTATCAGGACCCAAATCAACAATGATGATTACATTGCAATATGAGGTTTGGAGAACATAGACATCCAAGCCATATCACAGACCAAATAGGCTTAACAGACCTGTACAAACCTTTTCAATCAAAAGCAAGAGAATACACAATATTTTTCTTTGCACCTGGTGTATTCTGTTAGGACACAAATCAAGTCTTATTAAATTTAAGAATGCTGGCTGGGTGCATGCCTATAATCTCAACACTTTGGAAGACCCAGCTGGGCCAGAAATTTGACACCAGCCTGGGCAACATAGCGAGACCCTGTTCCTACAAATAATCAAAAAAATAGCCAGGCATGGTAGCAGCCATGGCACGTCTGTAGTGCCAGCTACTTGGGAGACTGAGGTAAAAGGATCACTTGAGCCTGGGAGGTTATGGCTGCAGTGGAGCCACTGCACTCCAGCCTGAGTGACACAGTAAAATCTTCTAACAGCAACAACAAATAAATTTAGGAAAACCAAAATTATAAACATTTTCTGACCAAAAGTGAATAAAACAAAAAATTAAAAGGAAAAGTAAAATTGGCAAATTGAAAAATATATGAAAATAAAACAGTGTTCAACATATTCTTGGCTCAAGGGCCAAAACACTTAATTTTTCAAAAATGTCAATGCAACCAAAAGTGGTGAACAAATTCAACATAATCTCTATAAAAAATGCATTAGCAGTGGCTCATGCCTATAATCCTAGCACTTTGGGAGGCTGAGGTGGGCAGATTACCTGAGGTCAGGAGTTTGGGACCAGCCTGGCCAACATGGTGAAACCCCTTCTCTACTAAAAACACAAAAATTAGCTGGGTGTGGTGGCATGTGCCTGTAGTCCCAGCTACACAGGAGGCTGAGGCAGGAGAATAACTTGAACCCAGGATGCAGAGGTTGCAGTGAGCTGAGATAGTGCCACTGCACTCCAGCCTGGGTGACAAAATGGGACTCCATCTCAAAAAAACAAAAAAGGTATACACACACACACACACACACACACACACACACACACACAATGGATTATTCAGCCTTAAATAAATCTAGTCAACATTTTAAGATAAACTTTGAGAATATTATATCACCTGAAGTAAGCCAGTAACAAAATGGATACTATATGATTCCACTTATGTGAGATATCTTAATTAGTCACACTCATAGAAAGTGCAAGGGTGTTTGTCAACGGCTGGAGAGAGGATAAAATGGGCAGTTGTTAATGGGTATTGAGTTTTAGTTTCACAAGATGAAAAATTTATAGAAGTCTTTTGCATAACAATACAAATATACTAAACATGGCTGAAATGTACAGTTTTTTTGAGACAGGTTCTCACTCTGTCATTCAAGTTTGAGTAAAGTGGCACAATTATGGCTCACTGTAGCCTCAAACTGCCAGGCTAAAGTAATCCTGCACCATCAATCTCCCAAAAAGCTGGGACCACAGGTGCACACCACCATGCCTGGCTATTTTTAAAAATTTTTTGTAGACAGAGAATCTCCATACGTTTCCCAGGCTAGTCTCATACTTTTGGGCTCAAGCAATTCTCCTGCCTTGGCCTCCCAAAATCCTGGGATCAAAGATGTGAGCCACTACCATGCCTGGCCCTGAAATACACACTTCAATAGATTTTAGATGGTAAAATTTATGTGGTTTTACAATTAAATTTTTTAAAAGAAAAAATGGAAAAAATACAGAATTATAAATCTTTACATGAATTACCTTCAAATCACAAAAGTGTTTCTCTCACACAAAAGAAATATATATTTATTATTAAACACATGGTGAAAATAAGACTATCTCACCGGGTGTGGTGGCTCACCCCTTGTAATCCCAGTACTTTGGGAGGCCAAGGCAGGTGGATCACCTGAGGTCGGGAGTTGGAGACCAGCCTGACCACATGGAGAAACCTCGTCTCTACTAAAAATACAAAAAATTAGCTGGGCGTGGTGGCGCATGCCTGTAATCCCAGCTGCTTGGGAGGCTGAAGCAGGAGAATCACTTCAACCTGGGAGGCAGAGGTTGCAGTGGGCGGAGATCACACCACTGCACTCCAGCCTGGGCAACAAGAGTAAAACTCCATCTCAAAAGAACAAAAAAGACTATCTCCATGACTAATCACTTAGACAAGATAAAACAATCATTGAAAATCAGCTAAGAAAGAATACATACAAGATAAGCCATAACCAAAATTGGGGTCATATTCATAGATAAACACACATATGTAATCTGATTGGGATAGATATGTGGCTGATTTATTTCTTAATTAAATCCCACAAAGTGTACAAACAATTGCAAATTGTCTAAAATGGTAAAACAAAAAAACAATAAACAGATGTCAAACTGAAAAAACACATTAATATGGAATGGCAAAACCATAGTAAGAGAAACGTTTACTCATAAAATCTTGCAGGCAACACTGATGTACCATTAAAAATGATGTGTCTAGGCCAGATGCAGTGGCTCACGTCTGTAATCCCAGCACATTAGGAGGTGAGGCTGGCAGATCACAAGTTCAGGGGTTTGAGACCAGACTCGGCAACACGGTGAAACCCTGTCTCTACTAAAAATGCAAAAAAATTAGCCAGGTGTGGTGGCGCACACCTGTAATCCTAGATACTCAGGAGGTGGAGACAGGAGAATTGCTTTAACCCAGTAGGCAGAGGTTGGAGTGAGTCAAGATTGCACCATTGCACTCCAGCCTGGGAAACAGGAGCAAAACTCCATCTCAAAATTAAAAAAAAAAAAAACAAAAAACAAAGACAATTTTGGGCCAGGCTCTGTGGCTCACACCTGTACCAGAACTTTGGGAGGCCAAGGAAGATGGATCACGAGGTCAGGAGTTCAAGACCAGCTTGGCCAACATGGTGAAACCCCATCTCTACTAAAAGTACAAAAATTAGTCAGGCATGGTGGCATGTGCCTATAGTCCCAGCTACTCAGGAGGCTGAGACAGGAGAATCACTTGAACCTGGGAGGTGGAGGTTGCAGTAAGCAGAGATTGTACCACTGAACTTCAGGCTGGACGACAGGGCGAGACTCTGTCTCAAAAAAAAGACAGAAATTTTACGTCTTAAATATATGCTATTGTTACACAAAACAAAACTGCTGTAATCCAACTTTAGAAGCAAAAAAATAGCCTTACATTGCTATATATATATCTATAGATATCTATAGAGATATAGATCTATATCTCTATAGATATATAGATATATCTATATAGATATAGAAATAGATCTATAGATATCTATAGATATAGATCTATAGATATCTATAGATAGATATAGATCTATAGATACCGATCTATAGATATAGATCTCTAGAGATCTATAGATAGATATAGATCTAGAGATAGAGATCGAGATCTATATATATAAAATGTTAAATATATAAAAATATATATATTGCAGAATATGGTTAGAGCGCCTGATATATAAAACAAATATCTGCGAATAAATTATATTATTTAGATACAGGCTGGACAAAATGGGTGCAAATCATAGAATTATTTTTTCCTACATCAAGCCTAAATTTATAAGTAACAGTTTTAGTAAATATGGAGTGCCTACAAATTATCTAATTTACTTTAGACATTACATGTAAATTCTAGCATATTGTTCTAAATTTCTAAATCTAAAATTACAGACAAAATTGAAACAGAAAATGGAGAATAAAAATGTATAGCAGGAGTGAAATTGGTAAGATGGGAGAATAAAAGGTGCCCTATTTTGTTATCTCCTGCACAGCAAGACAATTTGTCAGCCATCCCTGACAAAAATGCCTTTATGAGATTGCCAGGCATCATGGCTCACACCTGTAATGAAAGATACATGATATATTAAGTTTAGAGAATTGCTTCAGGTTAGGATTTCAAAATCAGCCTGAATTATGTATGTAGCAAGACTCCATCTCAAAATAAGTGCCTTTGAGAGCTTTGAGATCCAGAGAGAGAGGGAGTTGTGGAACTCTGATAAAGCCCAAGATTTAAAAGTCTTCTTTTCAGAAGGCAGGCCCTCATTCAGGTGCAAACTACAGGATCCCTGTTCTTAACTACAGACTAGGAAATGGCCCACCCAACTTGGTCCCACTAAGAATTCTGAACTTACTATGTAACCATCCCAAACTCCTCACAGCCAAAGTCTGGGAGAGATTCTGCTTTTCCAGAGGCCCAGAGGAAGGTACCCATTTACAGCCATGTGGACTGGCCTAAGGTAAAGGACCTTAGTCTTTACTGTGGTCCTTGAAGCAGTTCAATGACTCAGTTCCAGCTCGCTGAGCCACAGTTTATGGTCAGTTCTGCCTATACAGAAACCCACACAGTGACCTGGAAAGATCCTTTCTGGTACTCGCTGAAAGCCATAGTCATTCATATTTTGATATAAGGCCCACCATATGCAGACCCTACTGCAAAAACCTGCCCTAGTGTCTGCCCTACAGAGCAAAATCCTCTGCCAAAATTCAGTCTGTCCAAAATGGGAATTTAAACTACCCAAGTTTTTTAGGACAAGCCAACTAAAGGCAGACCCTAGTGCAGACCCAGCAGCCTTGTGACAAAGCTACAACCCCCTCTCCACTACAAACCCAGAGGGCATCCCATCACCCTGAGCGTCCAACAAAAGATCTTTACCTTCTGAAACCAGTTTATAAAAACTTGAGGTGTTTTCTCCTTCTGTACACAGATGCCAATGCAAAACTATATTGTGCCCATTGTCAATGCTGCTAGTTTAACATAACACTGAAAGTATTGGCAGAAGAATTAGTCGAAAAATGAAAAAGAGCAATTGAAATTGAAGACACATAAGTAAAAAGTTGCTGGCTGTAGCTCATATGATCATATATATAAACATAAACAGTACATTAAAACTTGTAAATACACTCAGTAAATCAGAAAAATATAAAACTAACATACAAGTTAGGGTTCCATAAACTTAAACTCTCTGATAAAATAGAGAAAAAAACTTATTTACAATAGCATTAAAATAATAAATTTCTGAGAACAAATTTAACCAAGGAGGTACAAAATCTTTACAGTGAGAGATATCAGTGAAAGATATTAGAAAAGACATAAATAAACTTGAAAATATTTTATGTCTATGAACTGAAAGAATAAATACTGTGCCATGTTATCCAAAATGATCTATAGATTCAAGACTCCCTATCAAAATTCCAGTGGCATTTGTTTTTCACAGTAATAAAAAATATAATTCTAAAATTTAAATGAAACTATGATACACTTTAAATAGCCGAAGCAAGCTTGAGAAAAAAGAACAAAGTAGAAGAATATCATACTTTGTAATTTTCTTTTTTTTTTTTTTTTGAGACGGAGTCCCACTCTATAGCCAGGCTGGAGTGCAGTGGCACAAACTTGGCTCACTGTAACCTCCACCTCCCGGGTTCAAGCGATTCTCCTGCCTCAGCCTCCTGAGTAGCTGGGATTACAGATGTGTGCCACCACACCTGGCTAATTTTTTGTATTTTTAGTAGACACCGGGTTTCACCATGTTAGCCAGGTTTCCAAACTGCTGAATCAAAAGAAAGATTTATCTCTGTGAGATGAATGCACACATCACAAAGCAGTTTCTCAGAAAGCTTCTTTCTAGTTTTTATCTGACCTCCTGATCCGCCCACCTCAGCCTCCCAAAGTGCTGGGATTACAGGCGTGAGCCACCGTGCCTGGCCCTTGAGCCGATGCCCAGCCCTTTATAATTTCAAGACTACATTAGAAGACTATAGAAATACAAACAAGTAAAATGTGTAGAAAAATGAAAAAAAAAAAGGGCGGGGAATAGTGGCTCACACCTGTAATCCCAGCACTTTGAGAAGCCAAGGTAAGCAAATGACCTGAGGGCAGGAGTTTGAGACCAGCCTGGCCAACATGGTGAAACCCCATCTCTACTAAAAACACAAAATTAGCCGGGTGTGGTGGCACGTGCTTGTAATCCCAGCTATTTGGGAGGCTGAGACAGGAGAACTACTTAAACCCAAGAGGCAAAAGTTACAGTGAGTCCAGACTGTAGCACTGCACCCCAGCCTGGGCTACAGAGCAAGACTCTGTCTCAAAAAAAAAGAAGGAAAGAAAACAATAGAAAAGAAACCACTTCTCATACGTTTCAGACAAGATGGAAAAAAAGAACTTAAAAAATCATTTAACAGTTTCTCAAAATTATGTAGGTATTTCTGTGCCTCCAAAAAAAATGAGTAAGGATTCAGATTGCACAGTCTCTTGTATGCCATGAAGCGGACACTGGTTCTCACCGAAAACTTAAAGGAAAATTACCAAAAATGTAAACAGAAACCTTAGAGAATTTAAAAGCATAAGACAGAAAATGCTCAAATGTGAGAGCATAAAATACTCAGGCTTTCCAGAAATTATTTCCTTTAAAACACGGCTTCCCAAATCACATTTTAAGGACTGGCTTTCTCTTTGACCTTTGGACCTCTCATCAGTGTCACCTGTTGTATTCACTTTCATTCTCACTTACCTGGGGGTTCATTCACCATCTCATGTCTCTTCACAGTCAAAGGCTCTTTTTCTTGCTCCAGACAGGTGATCAGGTCTTGCTTAGAGACAGCAATACCTGTTTTATTAAAAAATAAATAACATTAATTTTGCTCATATTCTCCAATTACCAACCTAGTAATGTGCTCAGTAAAGAGAATGTAATGGAATAGTCTAGTAAATTAATCCCAAAATACTGACTTATAACAGAAATTTTTAAATACTTAGAAAATATTCTAAATTTGTAGGTTCTTAATTTCACTACCCAGTACTACTGAATCAAAACTTGGTGTTGGCAATTAGATTTTAAGGTGTGGGCAACAATATTTTATGCCACTAAACTTCTGAAATTACCACTAGAGTGAAGGACACAGATCAGCTCAGGAATGTGTTAAGTTCAGATCAAGATGAAACATACTAAAGAAATTCTTCTCTATACAGACAAATCCTTAAGATTTTCTCAAAAACAGGGATCTGAAACTCATTTATGCAAAGCATACATTACCAAAATATATTCTACAAAGAAGAGAAATGAAACCTTTACGGTATATTAGAAACTGTCTGTTGGGACAGGCATGGTGGCTCACACCAGTAATCCCAGCACTTTGGGAGGCCGAGGCGAATGGCTCATCTGAGGTCACGAGTTCGAGACCAGCCTGGACAACATGGTGAAACCCTGTCTCTACCAAAAATACAAAAAAAAATTAGCTAGGCATGGTGGCTCACGCCTGTAGTCCCAGCTACTTGGAAGGCTGAGGCACGAGAATTGCTTGAACCCAGGAGGCGGAGGTTGCAGTGAGCCAAGATCGCACCACTGCACTCTAGCCTGGTGACAGAGCCAGACTCCGTCTCAAAAGAAAAACAAAAAAAAAAAGAAACTGTGTGTTTAAGTTATCCTTACCCAGGAAGACCAGGTTTCTGTAGTTCTCTAAAATCACATTTTTATATAAATTCCGCTGTGCAGTGTCCAGGCATTGCCATTCTTCCAGAGAGAATTCTATGGCCACATCCCTAAATGTCAACAGTCCCTGAAAAACACATACACACAAACATATTCACCAGGTAGCCAACAGAGATTATAATTTGACTCAAGGTAAAATGAGAGACTAAAGAGAACAGGTTCTGATTTATAGGAGTGACTGAAATTATCCAATAAAATCATATTTTTTACACAGAAATATTTCCTAATGTGTTCTCTAACCCTGAGAAAACAGAGTGGCACAAGAGCCACAACACCAGTGTATATATAATAATTTTCTAAATAATAACATATATAATAGGTCAGGCACAGTGGCTCATGCCTTTAATCCCAGCACTTTGGGAGGCCGAGGCGGGCAGATTACCTGAGGTCGGGAGTTCCAAGACCCACCTGACCAACATGGAGAAACCCAATCTCTACTAAAAATACAAAATTAGCCAGGCGTGGTGGCGCATGCATGTAATCCCAGCTACTCAGGAGGCTGAGGCAGGAGAATCACGAGAATGGCTTGAACCTGGGAGGTGGAGGCTGTGGTGAGTGGAGATTGCAGTGAGCTGAGATCGTACCATTGCACTCCAGCGTGGGCAACAAGAGTGAGACTCCATCTCAAAAAAATACATAATTAAGGGCATAAACACAAACACGTAGCTTTTTGAGTGCTTCACAAGCTTCTGTGTAATAAATGCTATCTTGTTTAAATAATAGCTAATTGAGAACACAGATGGAGCCTCAACATTAGATGTTCTCCATTTTTACTAAGGACCGCAGGTTTTCCCAATAGAAATGTTGAGTTATCTACACCTTTGCATGTTCAATAGCCACAGGTAACATTTTTAATATTGCAGATTATAAAATAATCGTGAGAATTCTGCATGGCATATAAGAAGTCATGATGTAGAGAAGCCTCTGGTATATGGAAAAGAAGTATTTTTCAGAGACTCTTGACTATCATAAGAGTTTTTATAAGTAGTTAAAACAAATTCATTAGGGAGAAAAAACCCAAGTAGAGAAGTCAAAGTTTGCAAGTACTAAACGCATGGCATTCCAGGAGGCAGAGCGGACACAGCTCTTGATCTGAGACATGTTTAACTGAAAAAAAGCCATTTTTTCCTTTCTCTGAAAATTCTTTTCACATGCGATTCTCTGGACAAATTACACCTGCATCTGGAGAATATGCCTTTAAAGGTATCAGCACCACATGTTTACCTGGTACCACCACACTCACAGGCAGAAGGACCAAGACTCACAGAAAAAGTCCACCCATTTCTGTCCTTCATACCAGAAGCGATTCAGGAACCATGAGCTGCTCCACGGAGATAAAAGTAAAAGTTCCTTTTCTTCTGTCCTCAGGTGTCCTCCCCTGCCATGGACATCAGCAATTTCTGCTACAGCAATGAAAATACGGACCACACTTTCCTGTCACTACCAAACCAAACAGAACCAGCCCTTTGACCATTCTTTAGAGCAAAGGTAGAACTCTCATGAATATATCTTGAACCCCTCATACTTGATTTTGGCCTCATGTTAGAGTCACAAGAGGCACTTAATTAAAACAACATGGGCGGGAACAGTGGCTCACACCTGTAATCGCAGCACTTTGGGAGGCCAAAGTGGGCAGATCACTCGAGGCCAGGAATTTGAGAACAACCTGGCCAACATGGCAAAACCCCATCTCTACTAAAAATACACAAATTAGCCAGGCATAATGGTACGTGCCTGTAATCTCAGCTACTTGGAAGGCAGAGGCAGGAGAATCGTTTAAACCTGGCAGGCGAATGTTGCAGTAACCTCAGGTCGCACCACTGTACTCCAGCCTGAGCAACGGAGTGAGACTCCGTCTCAAAAACAAAAAACAAAACATGATACCTCCGCCCAGAAGAATAAACAGACCTGTGGATAGGGCACAAGTAGATATTTCTGCAAACTGGCCATGTAATCTTAATTAGAAACCTGGGCTGGGCATGGTGGCTCACACCTGTTATCTCAGCACTTTGGGAGGCCAAGACGGGGGGATCACTTGAGGTCAGGAGTTCCTGACCAGCCTGGCCAACATGGTGAAACCCCATCTCTACTAAAAATACAAAAATTAGCCAGCCGAGGTGGCACTTGCTTATAATCCCAGCTACTCAGGAGGCTGAGGCAGGAGAATCGCTTAAACCCAGGAGGTGGAGGTTGCAGTGAGCTGAAATCGCACCACTGCACTCCAGCCTGGGCACAGAGCAAGACCCCACCTCAAAAAAAAAAATCAAACCTGGGCTGAAAACCACTTAGCTGGGCATTGCCTTTAAAGCTTTAATGGGCTTAAAAAATACTTGGAAACTGTGGCTCCACTCTCTGTGATGTAATTCTGCAGACTTAGGGTTCATGAGTGGTTTTTTTGTTCTTTGGGTTTTTGTGTGTGTGTGTGATGGAGTGTCGCTCTGTAGCGCAGGCTGGAGTGCAGTGGCGTGATCTCGACTCACTGCAACCTCCGCCCCCTGGGTTCAAGCGATTCTCCTGCCTCAGCCTTGAGTAGCTGGGATAACACAGGCGCCTGCCACCACAAGCAGCTAATTTTTTGTGTATTTTAAGTAGAGGCAGGGTTTCACCATGTCGGTCAGGCTGGTCTCAAACTCCAGACCTCTAGTGATTCGCCCAACTTGGCCTCCCAAAGTGCTGGGATTAAAGGCATGAGCCATGGCAGCCAGCCATTAATGGGTATTTTAAACCCATTAATGTTCCCTATCAATTGCTTTTCTGGGGCTCATGATTAGCATTAGAGAAAGCAGGCACAGCATGGAGTCCCTTACACTCAGCACTCTTGTTACAACACAAATACTTCTCAAATGAAGACTACCAATTTTCATATTCTTTGCTGGCTCTTTAAAGTTTACAGAATAAACAGAAGGCAGCAACATCTAAATAAGTCTGCATGTGGAAACCATGAGGTACACATGTACTAATGAGGCAAGAGAATAGGGTCTGGAGGCAGGGAACCTAAGACCATTTCACACCGAATTCCTAGACCTAAATGGAAAGGAAAACTAACTTTCCATGCCTAAGTAACAAAAAGACCAGAGGCTACTGCCTTTGCAAATCCCCACCTTTTCTGTGAGGCAGATAGGAAATTGGCTGTCCACAACCATTCAGACTGATTGTGGGCTGAGTCTCTATTTGAATAAAAGTGACACTTTGTAACTTCACCTTAGCCTCTAATTGGTTGCTTTTGCAATCAATTGGATATTTGCAGAGGATTGTGACCTTTTTAACTTTGCTTCAGCATCTGATTGGTTTCTTCCTGCAACTAATCAGAGCAATTGTGGGCCACCACTTCATTTACATGAGGTGAGCACCAAGTGGCCAATGGGAAACCTCTAGGGGATATCTGAACCCAAGAAAATTCTGTTGTCTGGGACCTTAAGCCATTGTTCGGGCCCACTTTCACACTGCAGAGTGTAATTTCATTTTCAATAAACCCGTTTTGTTCCTTTGTTGCTTCATTCTTTTCTTGCTTTGCTGTTTCATCCAATTCTTTGTTCAAAAGGCCAAGAATCTGGACAACTTGCAGTCAAGACCCTCTACTGGTAACTTATTTTGGTGAGCCAGGCAGGAGAGGAGGTAGGCCCAAAGTATTGGATTTAATTTTTTCCTTTCTCCTTTTACATACAGGGAAGTCTTTCTCTCTTTTTCTCTTTCTCTCTCTTTCTCTCTCTCTCCTCCCCTCCCCCCAACCCAGGGCCACTTTTTGATGAAACTGAAAGGTTTCCACGTGCAAGTGCCTGACTACCACCTCACAGTTTGGGTGAGGGACCTGAGACCTTTCGTCTGTTTGTTTTTCTGAGTCCTATTGTTTTTGTCCTTTTTCTGAGACTGTGTCCGGAATTGGTGGGTTCTTGGTCTCACTGACTTCAACAATGAAGCCGCGGACCCTCGTGGTGAGTGTTACAGCTCTTAAGGTGGCGCGTCTGGAGTTTGTTCCTTCTGATGTTCAGATGTGTTCGGAGTTTCTTCCTTCTGGTGGGTTCGTGGTCTCGCTGGCTCAGGAGTGAAGCTGCAGACCTTCGCGGTGAGTGTTACAGCTCTTAAGGCAGTGCATCTGGAGTTGTTTGTTCCTCCCGGTGGGCTCGTGGTGTCACTGGCTTCAGGAGTGAAGCTGCAGATCTTCATGGTGAGTGTTACAGCTCATAAAAGCAGTGTGGACCCAAAGAGTGAGCAGTAGCAAGATTTATTGCAAAGAGCTAAAGAACAAAGCTTCCACACTGTGGAAGGGGACCCCAGCGGGTTGCCACTGCTGGCTCCGGCAGCCTGCTTTTATTGTCTTACCTGGCCCCACCCACATCCTGCTGATTGGTAGAGCCGAGTGGTCTGCTTTGACAGGGCGCTGATTGGTGCCTTTACAATCCCTGAGCTAGACACAAAGGTTCTCCACGTCCCCAGCAGATTAGTTACATACAGAGTATCGACACAAAGGTTCTCCAAGGCCCCACCAGAGTAGCTAGATAGAGTGTCGATTGGTGCACTCACAAACCCTGAGCTAGACATAAATGTTCTCCAAGGCCCCACCAGAGCAGCTAGATACAGAGTGTCAATTGGTGCACTCACAAACCTTGAGCTAAACACACGGTGCTGATTGGAGTGTTTACAAACCTTGAGCTAGATACAGAGTGCCGACTGGTGTGTTTACAATCCCTGAGCTAGACATAAAGGTTCTCCAAGGCCCCACCAGAGCAGCTAGATACAGTGTCAACTGGTGCACTCACAAACCCTGAGCTAGACACAGGGTGCTGATTGGTGTGTTTACAAACCTTGAGCTAGATACAGAGTGCCGACTGGTGTATTTACAATCCCTGAGCTAGACATAAAGGTTCTCCAAGGCCCCACCAGAGCAGCTAGACACAGAGTGTCGACTGGTGCACTCATAAACCCTGAGCTAGACACAGGGTGCTGATTGGTGTGTTTACAATCCCTGAGCTAGACATAAAGGTTCTCCAAGGCCCCACCAGAGCAGCTAGATACAGTGTCAACTGGTGCACTCACAAACCCTGAGGAGCTAGACACAGGGTGCTGATTGGTGTTTACAAACCTTGAGCTAGATACAGAGTGCCGATTGGTGTATTTACAATCCCTGAGATAGACACAGGGTGCTCCAAGGCCCCACCAAAGCAGCTAGATACAGAGTGTCGATTGGTGCACTCACAAACCCTGAGCTAGACACAGGGTGCTCCAAGGCCCCACCAAAGCAGCTAGATACAGAGTGTCGATTGGTGCACTCACAAACCCTGAGCTAGACACAGGGTGCTGATTGGTGTGTTTACAATCCCTGAGCTAGACATACTCTCCACGTACCCACCAGACTCAGGAGCCCAGCTGGCTTCACCCAGTGGATCCCGCACCGGGGCTGCAGGTGGAGCTGCCTGCCAGTCCTGCGCCATGCGCTCACACTCCTCAGCCCTTGGGCGGTCGATGGGACTGGGCGCCGTGGAGCAGGGAGCGGCATCCGTCAGGGAGGATAGGGCTGCACAGGAACCCACGGAGGCGAGGGAAGACTCAGGCATGGCAGACTGCAGTCCCGAGGCCTGCCCCGCGGGAAGGCAGCTAAGGCCCGGCGAGAAATCGAGCGCAGCGCCAGTGGGCTGGCACTGCTGGGGGACCCAGTACACCCTCCGCAGCCGCTGGCCCGGGTGCTAAGTCCCTCATTGCCCGGGGCGGGCAGGGCCGGCCGGGGGCTCCGAGTGCGAGGCCCGCCAAGCCCACGCCCACCCGGAACTCCAGCTGGCCCGCAAGCACCGCACGCAGCCCCGGTTCCCGCTCGCGCCTCTCCCTCCACAACTCCCTACAAGCTGAGGGAGTCGGCTCCGGCCTTGGCCAGCCCAGAAAGGGGCTCCCACAGTGCAGCGGTGGGCTGAAGGGCTCCTCAAGTGCCGCCAAAGTAGGAGCCCAGGCAGAGGAGGCGCCGAGAGCAAGCGAGAGCTGTGAGGACTGCCAGCACGCTGTCACCTCTCAAGACCTTTTCCTTTTCTCCTTTTTCAGTCTTTCAGCAGCCATTTTCTAGTAGATGTTGGTAATTGAGTGGAACTAGCCAGAGCCACTCTGATGTTCTCTGAAGGCCAATGAGCAAACAGGGCTGCCTGTCCTGCCCAGAAGGGGGAAAGATTTTCTATCCTTTCTGGTTATAGTCCCTTATCCCTACATATGACACCGTTGGCAGCGGGCAGTTCGCCCAGGGTGAATCACATGTTTCAGGTGACTTAAACCTTCTTTTCTTTTCTTATGCTAAATTCTTCCCTTCCCCCACTCAACTAGCTATGAACAGAAAACCCACCTAGCTATGCAAAAAGGTTATATAAGTCAGAGGGTCCAAGCATGTTGCAGGTGGTCTCTGAGGTGCACGGTGGTGGGGGGGTGGGGGGAGCTTATGAAAGGAAATGTATTATTGCTGAAGTTGAGAGAGTTAAAGGGTTGCTTTAAATGGGATAGATAAACCTTTAAAAAAGCTCATAGTAGTCCGGGCGTGGTGGCTCATGCCTGTAATCCCAGCACTTTGAGATGCTGAGGCGGACAGATCATAAGGTCAGGAGTTCGAGACCTGCCTGACCAACTAAAACTACAGAAAAATTAGTCTTGCATTGTGGCACGCACCTGTAATGCCAGCTACTCAGGAGGCTGAGGCAGGAGAATCGCTTGAATCCAGGAGGCAGAGGTTGCAGTGAGCCAAGATCATGCCACTGCACTCCAGCCTGGACAACAGAGCAAGACTCTGTCTCAAAAAAAAATTAAAAAAAAAAAACAACACCTCATAGTAGGTCATCAGTGGTGGAGGGAACCATTCTAAAGTTGTGCTGGCACCTATCTAAGGTCAGAGCCATCTGACAGACTAAGTCTGGGGCCTAAAGAGGGGATGTTCCCAGAGACCCCAGTCTGGGCCAAGAAGTTTTCCAGGGAGATGCCCCAGGAAAAATTTGGGTCACCTAATGAGCCCTCTACTTTGCAAAGTCCTCTTCTTTTTTCTAGACCACTATGAGCAACTCTTAATCTATTTCACCTGATTCCACTGTGGGGAACTCTATTTCCAATTCTGATTCCCTGCTTGGCTATATCTTCCACCATTAGAATCAATTTGACCCTGACAATCTAACAAGAAAATGTATAATATTTTTCTGCAATACTGTCTGGCCCTATTATGAGCTGCTCAGTTCAGAACACTGGGCAGTCAATGGTAGCATTAATTATGACGCTATCCTGCAATCAGGCCTATTTTGCAAGAGGCAGGGCAAATGGTCAGAAATCTCCTATGTACAGCCCTTCATGACCCTATATCAAAACCTAACAATCTGTGAAACTCCCAGAACCTACCCCCCAAAGGAAAGTTCTAAGGCAGAAGTAGATATTATAGATAACCTTTTACAGGGCCACCTGGTTCTCAGGGTGAGTAGCGACCATCCTTGCCAAGCGACCCCTTGCCAAGTGCTTCTGAGGCTAAAACTCAGAAGCAAACACCGGGGACCCTACAAGTTCCCCTCATACTCAAGGGGGAACACTGTATTGAACTCTCTCTCCAGCCCTGCTACCTCTTAGGGTAGCAGGAGCTGAGAGGCCAGTCCTAGTGAAGGTCCCCTTCTCTATATAACTGATACGCAACAATGTAAGGAGAAGCTAGGAAGCTATTCTGAGAATCTTGGGAAATTTGCTGATGGGTTTCAAACTTTGATCTCTCATGGAGAGATGTTCAATTTATTCTAGCAACCTGTTGCATCCCTTCAGAAAAAGAACAAATCTTTTGACGCCACCCACCAGGAAGCGGATGGATTATTCACCTGAAACCCTCAGGGCAAACACTCAGGACCAGAAACAGTTCCCACTACTGATCCTCATTGAAACTACAACACCACTGTAGGAAACAACCAGGCTAAATTTCTTGAGGCTCTCCTTGGAGGAATGAGAAAGGGAATAACTAAGGCAGAAAATTATGATAAAGTACAGAAGGTTACACAAAGCAAGAAGAAAAATCTAGCCATGTTTTATGGCAGGTTGGAGGAAGCCTTTAAAAAAATATACTAATCTAGTCCCTTCCTCTTCCTGAAGGGAAAATACTAATGGCAAAGCATTTTATTAGCCAATCTGCCCCTGACATTAGACATAAGCTCCACAAGCTACAGATAGGGCCACAGACTAACCAAAACCAGCTTCTTGATACAATGTTTATGGTGTATAACAATTGTGACCTGAAGGAAGGAAAAAGGAAACAGAGTGAAGAAAAACGGCAAGTCAAAATTATGGCAGCCATCATTGGTGATGTCCTGAATGCCCGAAGAGCATCTAAGGAAAATCTGAAGGGCCATAAAGATAAAGCCAGCAGAGACTCTTGCTTCAAATGCAAGAAAAGTGGGCATTGGGCAAAGGGATATACTAAGCCCCTGCCAGGTCCCTGCTGTCAATGCAAAGGTACCAGTCATTACCCCTGGAGAACTGACTGCCCCTGTGCCACCATGGGGTTGGGTCAGAAAACTCTAGCAGTGCAAAAGGAGGAATTAGATGAAGACTGAAGGGGCCTGGGATCTTCCTCACTGCCCCTGTCTAGGAACATCGTAGCAACCACATCATGCCCAATTCAGCGGTTTATCTAGTTGCTATAGTCTAGACTAAAAGTTCCCGGATGACAGGGACCATGACTGCTTTATCTATTTATCTAATGGTCATATGAAATGGAAGCAATTAGTTTATCTGAGTCTCCAGACCTCTTCCTTGTTTTTCACCTAAGTACCAGGAAACTGGAGAAACTCTCATCTGAGTACCAACCAAAGACATCTCTTGCATGGGGGTAGGAACAAACACAGGATGACTTATTTCTCTTGCACTGAGACAGAAGCAGAATTAACCACTCATGTCAGCCTTACACAATTCTGTTCTGGACATTTTCAAATTTCTCAAGGATGCCTAGGTGATTGTGAGAGGGTTCTCAGTGCCCCTGAGCTGGTGGCCCAATGATAAGCTAGGGATGAGAGACTCAGGCTAAATGAAGAATGGAACTGTCCTGGTAGAGCTCCACAACTTGAATTGCATGTCCTGATTAGTTAGCTCTTGGGTTTAAAAAAAAAAAAAAAAAAGGACAAGAATACTCTACTCCAGTTAGTTAGCTCTTGGGTTTAAAAAAAAAAAAAAAAAAGGACAAGAATACTCTACTCCAGTATCACATTTTATGGGTAGGTATAGTTTGGTCATGGCACTGGATACCTTGTAAGTCTTAATCTCTTACTCTGAAGATGCTTGTTTACACTTACAGATTCTGTAATCAGATTCTATTTACACCTGGAGCCCCTCACATAACTGTAGAAAGTCACTGCACAAGATCTGAGAAGTTCAAAAACCCGCACCCTCAAAAAGGGGTTTTAATATTTCCATGTTGACATCTCACAATGCAGAAAATGTCCCCCGTATGTTTTCTGTACATTCTCAATCGAAAGCCTAACCTTGACTTGTGAATCCCAGACAGAGGTTAGACCTTATGTGCAGATTCTACGTCAGATAAACCTGGCTCTGCATTCCTGTGTGTCACAGAAAGTGGAGTACAATCAAAGGAGAGGTCCACTCACAGAGGCTGCTCTAGCTCATTCTAAATGATATTTCTACCTAAAAGGGAAAAGTTGAGGCAACATAAATATAAATAGACAGTTTTGGGAGGACCAAGCTTGAGGATTATAACATGAAAGCAAAGACTCAAGTTGCTTGGAATTTATATTTTGCTTACCACCAGTTACAAGTGTATTTGTAAAGGTAAAAAGAGGACAGAGGCTGTTCTCTCTTTGGGCTGGTACAAACTTGTTTGTCAGAAACTCTTACTTACAGGAATAACATTAATTATTGACTGGATGTACATCATTAAGGCTTAGAGTGTCCAGTGTGGCATTATTAATTTAATTCACAGCTACTGGTGGCAATAGCAAACAGTTTCAAGGTATGAATACATATAGTTGAAAGTGGGGAGAAAGACATAATTGTGCTCTCATTTTAATGTCTCTTCAAGTTTGACAACTAAAAGGACCTGCATTTCCCAGATATAAGTTTTTTAATTTCCAAAATTTCAAGACCTAGATTCAGAATTTGGAGCTGCAGATTTAGGTTCTGGATGGATAAGAGTATCAGCAGGTGTTACCTGCACATTTGTGAGCATTTCAGTAACAGGAGGAAGTGGAAAGTGGAGATTCTCATGTCTATGTGTATACTCAATGCACACCTGTTACTCTAATTGGGTTTGTGGGCCCCATGGTCTCTAAATCAGTTTCAGGTCTGAAGATACAAGAGTAATTGAAAGAGGTAAAATGGCTGATTGCTGCCCTGTGAAGTTCGTAGAAATCTGGCCTAGCCCCTCCAGAAGTGACTGTAGAGGACTATCAATACCAAATAGGAGAGACAATTCTGCCTGCATATTTAGGCGACAGCATGCACTTGGCAGCAAATTTGGGAGTGACTGGAAGCCTGAGAGGGTAAGCCCACTCTAGAGTAGATCCTGGTTGGCACCTTATATGTTTCTATCATATCTGGTAATTCCAGACAGTGTTTGGGAAATATCATTAAAATAAAAATTTTCTGGTTGGGGGCAAGGGGAGGGAGAGCATTAGGACATATATCTAATGCATGTGGGGCTTAAAATTAGATGACAGGTTGATAGGTGGAGCAAGCCACCATGGTGCATGTATACCTGTGTAACAAACCTGCACGTTCTGCACATGTATCCCAGAACTTAAAGTATAATTTAAAAAATAATAATAATAGAAGAAAAAATTTTATCCGGCCCCAGAGAAACTCCACAATGATAGAACATTAAGAAAACTGTTGGCCGGGAACAGTGGCTCACGCCTGTAATCCCAACACTTTGGGAGGTTGAGGTGGGTGGATCACCTGAGGTCAGGAGTTCGAAACCAGCCTGACCAACATGGTGAAACACTGTCTCTACTAAAAATACAAAAATCAGCCGGGCATGGTGGTGGGCACCTGTAATTCCACCTACTCAGGAGGCTGAGGCAGAAGAATTGTTTGAACCCGGGAGGCAGAGGTTGCAGTGAGCCGAGATCAAGCCATTGCACTCCAGCCTAGGCGAAAAGAGCAAAACTCTATCTCACAAATAAAATAAAATAAAACAAAAATAAAAATAAAATCCTGAGTCACAAAGAATGCCAAAAAGTTTATTTACCTGTTAATATGATACACATTTATTTTTAAAAAGCAGAGAAAAATATCTACATATAACCTAAATGCTTAAAGAAGTGAGAGATGGGCAGGCCACAGGGGCTCAACGCCTGTAATCCCAGCACTTTGGGAGGCTGAGGCAGGCGGATCACCTGAGGTCAGGAGTTCAAGACCAGCCTGGCCAACATGGGGAAACCACATCTCTACTAAAAGCACAAAAATTAGCCGGGCATGGTGGCGGGCATCTGTAATCCCAGCTACTCGGGAGGCTGAGGCAGGAGAATCACTTGAACCCAGGAGACGGAGGTTGCAGTGAGCCTGGTCGACAGAACGAGACTCCGTCTCAAAAAAAAAAAAGGAGAGAGATAAGCAAAATATTCTTTATTATTTTCAGGTATAAAAACAGAGCCTTTTGGTTGGGTGCAGTGGCTCACACCTGTAATCCCACCACTTTGAGAGGCCAAGGTGGGTGGATCACTTGAGGTCAGGAGTTCAAGACCAGCCTGACCAACATGGTGAAACTCTGTCTCTACTAAAAATATAAAAATTATTAGCTGGGCATGGTGGCACATGCCTGTAATCCCAGCTACTTGGGAGGCTGAGGCACGAGAATCACTTGAACCCGGGAGGCAGAGGTTGTAGTGGGCCAAGATCATGCCAGTGCACTCCAGCCTGGGTGACAGAGCAAGACTCCATCTCAAAAAAAAAAAAAAGAGAGAGAGAGAGCCTTTTATTTCTAACTTAAATTTTCTCTTACAACAGCCAGGTCTCTGGATATGTTGAACTCTTCGACATCTTAATTTTAGTAGACACTGGATTCAGGCATCTAAGGAGTAGCATTGGGCACACAGTATTCACTTGAAAGAATGTTTATGGGGAAAAAAGCAGAAGAGAAAAAGGTGCTATAAAAAATCCATGGGTCCACATAAATAAAGCAACTTCTTAGAGACCTATGAAGACAGTTGGATTCTTACACAAAAATAGTGGGAGGCTACAATACACCACAGACACTAGTAAACAAATCACTGAGGCAGAAAAATTAACAAAGATATTAGGACCTAAACTCAACACTTGACCAAATAGTAATAAAATATCTATAGAACTCTCCATCTAAAAACAACATAATATACAATGTTTTCACCACCACAGGGCACATACTCTAAAACTGACCACAAAATCAGAAATAAAACAATCCTGAGCAAATTCAAAAATTTCAAAATTGTATCAACAACATACTCAGACCACAGCTTGATAAAAATATAATTCAATACAAAGAAAACCACTTGAAACCAGACAACTACATGCAAATTAACCTCAATATGAATGACTTTTGGGTAAATAATAAAATTAAGGCAGAAATCAAGTTCTTTAAAATAAATGAGAACAAAGACACAACATACCAGAATCACTGCAACAAAACTAAGGCAGTATTAAGAGGGAAATTTATAGCATTAAATGCTCACATCAAAAGGTAGAAATATCTCAATTTAATAACCTGACATCCTAAATAAAAGAATGAGAGAAGTGAGAGCAAATCAACCCCTAAGGTAGAAGAAAACAACAAATAACTAAAATCATATCTGAACTGAAGAATATTTAGATGATGTAAAAAACTACAAAAAAGACTAAAAAATTAGAAGTAAATGTTTTGAAAAAACTCAGTAAGATAAATAAACCACTAGCTAGATTAATGAAAAAAAGAGAAGATCCAAAAAAAAAAAAAACACAATTAGTAATGACAAATGGACATTATCACTGATTTGGCAAAAATACAAACAAGGATGAAAGTCTACAATGAGCACTTCTATGCACAGTAACTAAATAATCTAGAAGAAATGAATAAATTCCTGGACAAATACCTCCTCCCTAGACTGAACAAAAAAGAAATTGAACCCCTGAATAAACCAATAAAAAGCTCCAAAATCAAATTAATAATAAGTAGCCTACCAACCAAAAAAAGCCCAGGACCAGACGGACTTACAGCTGAATTCTACCAGATGTACAAACAAAAGTTGGTATTATTTTTACTAAAACTATTCCAAATAATTGAGAAAGGACTTCTCCCCAAGTTATTATATAAGAACAGCATCATTCTGATACCAAAACCTGGCAAAGACAAAACAAACACACAAACAAAAAACTTCAGGCCAATATTTTTAATAAATATTAACAAAAAATCATCAACAAAATACTGAAAAACCAAATCCAGCAGCACATCAAAAAGTTAATCCACCATTATCAAGTAGGATTTATCCCTGGAACACAAGGTTGGTTCAATATATACAAATCAATAAATGTCATTTATCACTTAAACAGAACTACAGACAAAAACCACAAAATTAACTCAATAGATGCAGAAAAAGCTTTCAGTAAAATTTAACATCCTTCATGTTATAACCCTCAACAAACTAGGCATTGAAGGTACATACTTCAAAAGAGTTATCTACGACAAATTCACAGCCAACATACTGAATAGATACAAGTTGCAAACATTTTTTTTCTTGAAAACTGGCACAAGACGGCCGGGCGCGGTGGCTCACGCCTGTAATCCCAGCACTTTGGGAGGCCGAGGTGGGTGGATCACGAGGTCAGGAGATGGAGACCATCCTGGCTAACATGGTGAAACTCCGTCTCTACTAAAAATACAAAAAATTAGCCACGCGTGGTGGCGGGCGCCTGTAGTCCCAGCTACTTGGGAGGCTGAGGCAAGAGAATGGCGGCGTTAACCCGGGAGGTGGAGCTTGCAGTGAGCCGAGATTGCGCCACTGCATCCCAGCCTGGGCAACAGTGCAAGACTGTCTCAGAAAAAAAAAAAAAAGAGAAAAGAAAAAAAAGAAAAAGAAAACTGGCACAAGACAAGGGTGCCTTCTCTCACCACTCCTATTAAACATGGAATTTTGAAGTCCTGGCTGAGCAATCAGGCAAGCCGAAACAATAAAAGCACCCAAAAAGAAAGAGGAACTCAAACTATCCCGGGTGCAGATGACATGACTCTACATCTAAAAAAAACCTATAGTCTCAGCAGAAAAGTTCTGTAAGCTGACAAACAACTTCAGCAAAGTTTCAGAATACAAAATAAACATACAAAATTAGTAGCATCTCTGTACATCAACCATATCCAAAGCAAAGGCCAAATTAATAATACAATCCTAGCTGGGCACGGTGGCTCACGCCTGTAATCCCAGCACTTTGGGAGGCCAAGAGGGGCAGATCACCTGAGGTCGGGAGTTGGAGACAAGCCTGGCCAACATGGGGAAACCTCATCTCTACTAAAAATACAAAAATTAGCCAGGTGTGGTGGTGCATGCCTGTAATCCCAGCTACTCAGGAGGCTGAGGCAGGAGAATTGCTTGAACCCAGGAGGTGGAGATTGCAGTGAGCCAAAATCACACCACTTGCACTCCAGCCTGGGCAACAGAGTGAGACTCCGTCTCAAAAAAAAAAAAAAAAAAAAAATCCCATTTGCAGTTGCCACAAAAACGAATATCTAGAAATACAGCTAACTAGGGAGATGAAAGATCTCTAGGACAAGAATTACAAAACACTTCTTAAAGAAGTCAGAGATGGCCGGCTACAGTGGCTCACGCCTGTAATCCCAGCACTTTGGGAGGCCGAGGCGGGTGGATCACCTGAGGTCGGGAGTTTGAGACTAGCCTGACCAACATAGAGAAACCCCATCTCTGCCTAAAAATACAAAATTAGCACGGGGTGGTGGTGCATGCCTGCAATCCCAGCTACTCGCGAGTCTGAGGCAGATGAATCACTTGAACCCCAGAGGCGGGAGGCTGCAGTGAACCAAGATCGTGCCATTGCACTCCAGCCTGGGCAACAAGAGTAAAACTGTCTTGGGGGGAAAAAAAGTCAGAGATGACGCAAACAAATGGAAAATCATTTTGTGCTCATTGATAGAAAAGTTCGGTATTAATATGGCCATACCACCAAAAGAAATTTACAGATATGTTATTTCTATGAAACTATCAAAAATATTCTTTTTTTTTTTTTTTGACGGAGTTTGGTTCTTGTCGCCTAGGCTGGAGTACTGTGGTGAGGTCTTGGATCACTGCAACCTCCACATCCTGGGTTCAAGGCTGCCTCAGCCACCCAAGTAGCCGGATTACAGGCATATGCCACCACACCAGGCTAATTTTTTGTATTTTTATTAGAGACAGGGTTTCACCATGTTGGCCAGGCTGGTCTCGAACCCCTGACCTCGAGTGCTCCACCCACCTCGGCCTCCCAAAGTGCTGGGATTACAGGTATGAGCCACCACACCTGGCCTCAAAAATATTCTTAACTTAAAAAAAAAAAAAATTAAATACATATGGAACCAAAAAAGAGCTCTAATAGCCAAGGCACTTTTCTAAGCAAAAATAACAAAGCTGGAGGCATTACATTACCCAACTTTATCTTACAAAGCTACAGTAACCAAAGCAGCATGGTACTGGAACAAAAACAGACTCAGACAAATGCAACAGAATAGAGAGCCAAAAAATAATGCCACGCACTTAAAACCATCTGATCTTCAACAAAGCTGACAAAGAGAAATACAGGAATAATTTCCTATTTAATTTTAAATGTTATTTAAATTTTTAATGTAAACATTTAAATTTCTGGCCAGGCGTGGTGGCTCATGCCTGTAATCCCAGCACTTTGGAAGGCCGAGGCGGGTGGATCACGAAGTCAGGAGATCGAGACCATCCTGGCTAACACGGTGAAACCCCATCTCTACTAAAAAATACAAAAAATTAGCCGGGCGTGGTGGCAGGCACCTGTAGTCCCAGCTACTTGGGAGGCTGAGGCAGGAGAATGGCATGAACTCGGGAGGCGGAGCTTGCAGTGAGCCAAGATCGTGCCACTGCACTCCAGCCTGGGCGACAGAGCGAGACTCCGTCTCAAAAAAAAAAAAAAAAAGAGAACAAAAATTAAATGTAAATATTTAAATAATCTTATTAAAAATAATGCCACACACTTACAACCATACGATCTTCAACAAAACTGACAAAGAGAAATATGGGAATAATTTCCTATTTAATAAATGGTGCAGTAATAACTATTTAGCACTATGTACAAGGCTAACCCTGGATCCCTTCCTTACAACATATACAAAAATTAACAAGATAAATTAAAGACTTAAATGTAAAACTTAGAATTATAAAAAACTCTGGAAGATAACCTAGGAAATATCATTCCAGACACAGGAACCAGCAAATTTTATAATGAAGATACCAAAAGCAATTGCAACAAATTGACAAATGGGATCTAACTGAAGAGTTTCTTCATAGAAAACTATTAACAGAGTAAAGACAACCTACAGAATAAAAGAAAATATTTGCAAACTATGCTTTTGACAAAGGTCTAATATCCAGAATCCATAATGAACTTAAATAAGTTTACAAGAAAAAAAAAAAAACCTCATTAAAAAGTAGGTGGCCAGGCACCACAACCTACTTGCTCATGCCTGTAATCCCAGCACTTTGGGATGCAGAGGCAGGTGGATCACCTGAGATCAGGAGTTTGAAACCAGTCTGGCCAACATGGTGAAACCCTATCTCTACTAAAAATACAAACTTAGCCAGGCGTGGTGGCAGGTGCCTGTAATCCCAGCTACTTGGGAGGCTGAGGCAGAAGAATCACTTGAATCAGGGAGGCAGAGGTTGTGGTGAGCCGAGATTGCACCACTGCACTCCAGCCTGGGCAACAAGAGCGAGACTCCGTACCCCCCCCCAAAAAAAAACATTAATAAAAACAAAATATGGCCAGACGCGGTGGCTCACGCCTGTAATCCCAGCACTTTGGGAGGCCTAGGCGGGCAGATCACGAGGTCAAGAGATCGAGACCATCTGGCCAACATGGTGAAACCCTGTCTCTACTAAAAATAGAATTAGCTGGGTGTGGTAGCAGGCTCCTGTAATCCCAACTACTAGGGAGGCTGAGGCAGGTGACTCGCTTGAACCTAGGAGGCGGAGGTTGCAGCGAGCTGACATCTGCACAACTGCACTCTAGCCTGGGGACAAAGCCAGACTCCGTCTCAAAAAAATAAAAATAAAATAGGTACATAAACATCATGGAACACTGTGTGGCCATAAAAAGAGACCAAGATCATTTCTTTTGCAGCAACATGTACAGAGCTAGAGACCACTATCCTTAGAAAACTAATGCAGAAACAGAAAATCAAATGCATGTTATTATTTATAAATAAGAACTGGCTGGGGGCAGTGGCTCAGGCCTGTAATCCCAGCACTTTGGGAGGCTGAGGTGGGTGAATCATGAGGTCAGGAGTTTGAGACCAGCCTGGCCAACATGGTGAAACCCTGTCTCTACTGAAAATACAAAAATTAGCCAGGTGTGGTGGGCGCCTGTAACCCTAGCTACTTGGGAGGCTGAGACAGGAGATTCGCCTGAACCTGGGAGATGGAGGTGGCAGTTAGCTGAGATCGTGCCACTGCACTCCAGCCTGGGCAACAAGAGCAAAACTCCGTCTCAGAAAAATTTAAAAAAATAATAATAATAAGAGCTAAATAATAAGAACACATGGACACAAAGAGAGGAACAACAAAAACTGAGACTTAGTTGAGGGTGGAGAGTAGAAGGACAAAGAGAATCAGAAAAAAATACTTGTTTGGTGCCATGCTTAGTACCTCAGTGACAAAATAATCTGCACACCAAACCTTCATGACACAATTTTACCTATAAAACAAACCTGCAGATGTACTTATGAACCAAAAATAAAAGTTAAAAGTAAAAAATCCATGGGTGGAGGAGAGTGCAATGTAAGTGGAAGGACTGGTTTGTACTACAGATAGTGGCTTAGGTGAGGCTACACTGATTTATTTTTGTGCCCATGAAGGCAGAAGAGATTATGAACAGTTGGTCAAAACCCTAGGATGGTGGAGAAAACAGATTACTGCTGCAGATTCAGTGTCTGCAGGTGGGGATATTCCAGGAGACATAGTCATTTTTTGGGTTTTTCGCAAGAAGCACTAGGATAAACAATGCTGTTGTGAATTTTCTGAGGGTGGTACCTAGTCCTGGGAGGGGTGTGGGCACGTCAATGTCTAGTGGGTGTGTTTGTGAGTGGGTGGAAATCTTGTGGTGGTAGCTGTGGGAAAGTGGGGTTTGTTATCACAGCTCTTGTCCTTTAAGTTTTCAGTCCTCCCTCACCCTTGGAGGAGACCTGAAATCACAGGACAACGAGCTTGTGTACAGGAGAGCAGAGCCTCCCATTCCAGGCACCCAGAGTTCCATTCCAGGCCAGGCCTCTGTGATATCTTTTTTCTGGCACCAAATCTGTAGAGTTTACTGAACACCAAGCAATCCTCCAACACTCATTGTCTAACGTTTGAATTCTGACACCACCCAGAGTCAGCATAGACCCTGATTCAGAGCACAATCCACAACACTGTCTTTACTGCAGATGCCAGTCACAAACTTCATGGGCTGATCTATGCTTCTGAGCCACTGTTTAATAACTGGGGACTCCCAGAACTTTCCTCAAGTTCAGTAATATAACAGAGCTATTCACAGAACTCAGTGAAACACTGTAGTTATCTTTACCAGTTTATTATAAAAGATACAACTCAGAAAAAGTCAAATGGAAGAAATACATAGGACCAGGAAAAAAGGTGGGGAAAAATGAAGCACATAGATAATCCTGGTAAAGAGCTATGATTAATAAAATTCTCCATCTTTGTATTCTCCAAAAATAGTTTTTCAAAAGAAATACCCTCTTATTATGACTTAGATGGTGCTCTCTCTTTTCTCACCTGTTGTAGAGCCAGACATAGACTCTGCATATTTTCTTCCTTTTCTTAAAAAAATCAGCTAAATTTGTCTTCAGTGGTCAAAATAAAATACTTCTTAATCAAACTTCTTTTTCCCACAGCAACTAAACTTTGAGCTACACTCAGTCTGAGCCAACATACAACCCCATTTTATGTTCACCCTAAGAATATGCTAACTTCAGGGTAAAACATTTTCTGATCTAAAACCTGACTTTTTCACTCTCTATTCACCATTCTTCTGCTATTTTCTTTCTAATCTTGTTTTCTCCCCTCTGTGGAAAAAAAGTCTGCCTGAACTTTGCAATAATAGTTGGTACTTCCTCCTGTTGCAATACTCCTTTGGAATTAAAATTTTTTTTACATAAATCTATAACTTTAATTTTACAAAATTTAGAAACTGCCTCAAAACAATAATACTTATCTTCAGTAAGACCTTCACAGCACTTTTTCATTTTAACCTTAACTGCACCTGCCTGTGCATCCCCAGCTTCCCAGGGCTCTCAAGCTTCTCTCAGGATAAAGCCTTCTTCCATGGCTGGGGTGAGCAGGCTGACATATCTGCAGAAAAGGCTCCCCAGAAAGAACTAACTGGGCCTTTAATAACCTCCTTTTGCAGGCTCAATATTAGCTTTAGATGGGCTCAAGCTTTAATTTTCATGTCTGAGTTATTCACTTGGTGTCTGAAACTATGTGTTTGAAAAATCCAGCAAAATTACTGAAACGCAGTGTTAGTATATAAAAAGAAAATTTTAAGGTGCTTCCATTTCATACCTCTGTAAGAAAACCAAAAGTATCTACACCTTTCAAACAATTAAAGTATTATTTTATTATTTATTTTAAAAGTTATGTAGTAGGCCGGGCACGGTGGCTCACACCTGTAATCCCAGCACTTTGGGAGGCCAAGGCCAGCAGGTCACCTGAAGTCAGGAGTTCGAGCCTAGCCTGGCCAACATGGTGAAACCCCATCTCTACTACAAATACAAAAATTAGCCAGGCGTGGTGGTGCGCATCTGTAATCCCAGCTACTCGGGTGGCTGAGGCAGAAGAATCACTTGAATCTGGGAGGCGGAAGGTTGCAGTGAGCTGAGATCATGGCACTGCACTCCAGCCTGGGTAACAGAGCGAGACTCAGTCTCAAAAAAAAAAAGAAAGTTATCTAGTAAACAATTAGTCATATGAGAACACTTCTAGGAGGTACCAAATTTCATCTCATAACACTTAGCATTAAATTCAGAAATCAAGATCATAGGATATAGAACAGATATTCACTGCCACAAATTTATGGTGCAAAAAGAGGAACTATGTTTTCATGAATCTATGTAACTCACCAATTATCTACTACATTTTCTTGTGGAAAGGTATTTAATTTTTACAGCCAAAAAGGAAGAGAGATTGTCTCGCTCTGACTCCCAGGCTGCAGTGCAGTGGTGCGATCTCGGCTCACTGCAACCTCCACCTCCTGGGTTCAAGCGATTCTCCTGCCTCAGCCTCCCAAGTAGCTGGGACTACAGGCACGTGCCACCATGCCCGGCTGATTTTTGTATTTTTAGTAGAGATGAGGTTTCACCATATTGACCAGACTGGTCCTGAACTCGTGACCTCGTGATCTGCCCACCTCAGTCTTTCAAAATGCTGGGATAATAGGTGTGAGCCACCCCACCTGGCCCTTATTCTTTTCCTTAGTAGGATTCTAACAGCTAAACCTTGGAATTCTGTTTGAAATTACCCAGCCATAAACACAACTGACAAATTTTCTAAACTCACTCTGGGAAAGAAAAAGGTAAATAAAAACTTTTAACAAATAGAATATATAATTAAATTTTTTTTTTCTGAAACCCAACTCTTACATGCTCTTTGCACATATTTTCTTCCCTTTCAAATGCTACTAATAAAATGCAATTTACATTTAAAAAAACTAAAGTCACTGACTGGGCGTGGTGGCTCACGCCTGTAATCCCAGCACTTTGGGAGGCTGAGGAGGGCGGATCACGAGGTCAGGAGATCAAGACCATCCTGGCTAACACGGTGAAACCCCGTCTCTACTAAAAATACAAAAAAATTAGCTGGGCGTGGTGGCGGGCACCTGTAATCCCAGCTACTCGGGAGGCTGAGGCAGGAGAATGGCTTGAACCCGGGAGGCAGAGCTTGCAGTGACCCCAGATCATGTCACTGCACTCCAGCCTGGGCAACAAATCGAGACTCCGTCTCAAAAAAAAAAAAAAAAAAAAACTAAAGTCAAAATAAGTGCACTAATCTTTTCAAGGTGACAAACTAGGGAGTGGCAATGCTGATTAGAAAACAGATGTGTTGGCCCAGGGCAGTGGCTCATGCCTGTAATTCCAGCACTTTGGGAGGCCAAGAGGGGCGGATCACCTGAGGTCGGGAGTTTGAGACAAGCCTGGCCAACACGGGAAAACCCCGTTTCTACTAAAAATACAAAATTAGCTGGGCATGGTGGTGCATGCCTGTAATCCCTGCTACTCAGGAGGCTGAGGCAGGAGAATCGCTTGAACCTGGGAGGCGGAGGTTGCCATGAGCCGAGATGGCACCATTGAACTCCAGCCTGGGCAACAAGAGTGAAACCCCATCTCAAAAAAAAAAGAAAACAGGTGTGTCTAATTCATGTGTCAAGTCAGGTCACCAATCACTTGAGAGATTCTCCCACCCCATCCTGCTCACTTAAGTGCTCAATGACCACCCTCTCACTGCACTATGCCTCAGTGACTGCCCCAAGTGCATTTTACTTTGCAAGTTTTTGCATCATTTCACTGAGGTCACTTTTTTTTGTCTTTTGAAATGCTATTTTTTCTTTCACAAATCTTAGACAATTCAGGGGACAGAAATTATCTCTGTGTTTTTCCCTCAATACCAGCATCTGATTGGCTGACCAGCAATATGTCTCCAAGAAATGGAAGCTGGGTTGAGTAAAGGCAATCTTCATGTCTCAAAGGCTTAGTTTTTCTTTTTTTGAGATGGAGTTTCACTCTTGGTGCCCAGGCTGGAATCCAATGGTGCGATCTCGGCTCTCAGCCTCCAAAATAGCTCGGATTACAGGCAGCCACCACCACGCCCAGCTAATTTTTTTGTATTTAGTAGAGATGGGGTTTCACCATGTTAGTCAGGCTGGTCGCGAACTCCTGACCTCAGGTGATCCACCGCCTCAGACTCCCAAAGTGCTGGGATTACAGGTGTGCACCACCGTGCACGCAAGGGTTAGTTTTTCAAAGGAAGAGCGCAGGGGAGAGTCCTATCAGTCCAAGGGCATTCATCTGTTTCCATTGAGAGGCTACACTCCATACCTCAGGTTGTTTTATGAAAGAAAATAACCCAGTAGATTATATTCACTAGACACTCGAGCAGACATAGCCATGGTAGATATATTGGTTTATTCACAGAAACTACTGAAGCCCAGGACCAGAAAAAACTGAAGGTGGCTGAGGCCACATCACCCATAAAGTTTCCAAAGGGAAACCTTGACCCAAAAATATTCTGATACTATCTCTGTGCCTAGAGAAGATTTTTAAAAATGAGGCGAAAAGATTTTTTACAATACAGTATCAGGGAATTGTTCTTCTTTTTCTTCTCATAAAAAATATTTTCAAACAGAAAACGATTTTTTTAAGTGCCATTCAATGTCAAAAAATGCTTAGTTAAAATACAGTATCTAAAGTGTACAATAAAAGACAAATAGTTGATAATGTGAATTAGAAAGGGGAAGCTGGCATTTGAGAATGTGAGAAGAAACTGGAAATTTAGTATTTTACTGCAAGTCATAGTTAGTCTGGAGGAATGGGATGAGGGGTAGGCTTGAGACCCAGCTTGAGAGAACTGTGAAAAATGCAGGGGAAAATCAGTCTCCTGTGGAGTGTGAAAATAACTAAGTAGCAGGCAATTAGACGGAGGTTACTCTAGTCCCTGGGTTCCTATTTTTTAAAAACTCTAACTCAAATGCATTTTTTTGCAAATTACTGAATTGAGGGAAACAAAAATTTAGGCTTAACCAATCATAAACTGCCAATTAACCTCTGATTACATAACCAGGAAATGTCCACCTTAATTGTACAAGTCAAGTAACTATGAACTGTACCTAACCAATTATTTAATTTGGTTTTCTTCATCATGTACCTTTAAAAGTCTTTCCTTCAAGCTGCTCTCATAAAGTCACAAGCTCCAAACCACAGCTGAATGCTCCACAATTTTTGAATCACTCTTTGATTAAATTCTCCAATATTTTTGTGGTGATCCCCATAATTTATTTATTTATTTAACTTATTTATTTATATATTTTTTAAGACGGAGTTTCGGTCTTGTTAACCAGGCTGGAGTGCAATGGCGTCATCTCGGCTCACTGCAACCGCCACCTCCCGGGTTCAAGCGGTTCTCCTGCCTCAGCCTTCTGAGTATCTGGGATTACAGGCATGTGCCACCACGCCCGGCTAATTTTGTATTTTTAGTAGAAACGGGGTTTCACCATGTTGGTCAGGCTGGTCTTGAACTCCTGACCTCAGGTGATCCACCCACCTCGGTCTCCCAAAGTGCTGGTATTACTGACCTGAGCCACCGCGCCCGGCCCTCCCATAAAATTTTAATAGGAGAAAACAGGAACTGGGAACCCCACGGACCAAAACTCTTCCCATTAATGAACCCGCACCCTGAGTCAGGATTCTCCGGTGACGGCCCTCCTGTGGTCCCTGCACAATCTGAGAGAAATGCGGCGCTGCGGGTACAGAGCTGCCCAGAGAGGGCTACAGGCCAGGGCACAGTCACTAGGCAGAGAAGAGACGGGATGCCCCGGGGCTGGCTGTCAGCGCGCCGCCATCTTATGGCTGCAGGGGACTGAGCCGAGCTGGGGAAGGAGAACTCGGGGTGCAGATTGTGGAGCTGACTGCGGGGAGGCCTGAGTCCCGCCATAGCCATTTCCCACGGGTTCCAACCAGCCCCTTCCCCCTCTCGGGATGTCGCACCCGTAACTCTCACCATTTCTAGGCTTCCAGGGGGTCCTGGAGTCTTAGCTGTGGATCTCTCAATTTCTGCAGGTCACAGGCCCACAGAGGCTGGACCTCTAGGAGCAGAGGACACAGAGCAATGAAAGCGAGACCTGGAGCTCCGGCTGCAGCGAGAGACAAAGGCGCCGCCAAATCCCGGAAGCCATCTTGTCTGCTCCAGCTGCGTGCCTGATTGGACGGTTCCCAGCCCAGCGTGCCTGATTGGACAACGTTTAAGGTCCTGACCCTTCAGGCCCTGAGTGACAGAAGATGTGATCAGACACTGGGCTGAGTGAAGACTGATAGCCTGCGCTGCAGCCTTTTCAGCCGGGGCTTCCTCTTTTAGCTGAGCCAGGCCCATCCCATAGGGTATTTGTATTTAACCTTGTGTATAAGGTCATATACATTTATAAATGATATATGGCTACTCACAAAGAAAAATAATATAATAATAATTATTTTAGAATTTCAGACTTTATGACCTTCCTGGCTTCTGGTCCTTTGAGTAGGCAGCCTGAGAATTTTAAAAAGAGGCAATCCTCAAATAAAATGTGAGCCACATGTGAATTTTAAATTTTCTAGTAGTCAAACTTTAAAAAGAAAAAAACAAGTGGAATTGATTGTAACAATCTAACCCAATATATCCAAAGTACTATCATTTTAGTATGAGAGCAATATGAAATTATTGATGAAATACACATATATATGTATATATGTGTATACACACACACACACACACACACACACACACACACATATATGGAACTAAATCTTTGAAAATAACTCTATTTTACCTAACACATTGCAATTCAGACCAGCCACATTCCAGGCACCCAGTAGCCACACGTGGCCAATAGCTGCCACATTAAAATGCAGCTCTGATGTCAGGGGGGTGAAGAAGAGCCTGAACATCCCTTTTTTGCCAGAGGTGAGGGGACAGCCTCTCTCTACCAACATCTCTCTTCAATTCCAAGGAAAAAACAGTTAGTGACCATAGAAAGAACAGAGGACAGATAGAATAAAATAACCACAGGTCGACCTGTGGTTACCTCTGGTTATTTTATTAACTACTGCTGCCCACCTGTTGCTCACCTTAATTCCAAACATCAGACAGTGAACAAAGAATGATGAAGCCACAAAACAAGAAAACTCTGTATCTTCAGATCTGTCCACAGTCTTAACCTCCAATGTTTAGATATGGAGAAAATAGATTAAAGGCAAACTTATTTTGCTATTTGGCCTTGGCCCTAACGGTCAGCCTGTGGTTATCTGTTTTCTCCTGTGGTGTGGTGAACTGTGTGAGTATAAGCACCAATCACACGCAGACATGTCTACATGTATTTTTGCATTATTCAATATTCTCTTACAAGACATAAGACTTTAAGTCAAGAATAAAGGTAATGTGAGTCTTTTTTCTTGCATTGGCGCTACCCACAGGGTGCATCATGACATATTGCTAAGTTCTGCATTCAGGTTATGTGGCTCTCTTCTTTTACCCAGGCCCAGAATATTTTGCACAATAGAACATATTACTAGGCCCAACATATATAAAATGGGAGGCCCTTGCCTGAGCCTTTTTTACAGAGGGCCTTGTGACATATCTCTGCATCAATCACCTAAGAGATGCAACTGTCCATTTTTCCCTGCACTCTGCCCACAGGAAAAATTGTGACTTATCATTAAGCCTAGGTAGCAGGTGATGTGTCTCTCCTGCCTGGGCCTTGAGCCACAGAAAGCATTGTTACCTATTGCTGGGCTCAGCACCCAGGTGATGTGACTCTGCTGCCTGTGTCCTGCTGTCAGGAGAAGGTTGTAACATATTCCTATTTAGGTGATGTGACACTCCTGTCTGGTCCCTGCCCTCAGAAAATATTGTGACATATTCCTGGCCCAAGTATGAGAGTCAACATGTCCTTCGGGAACACTTCAGGACCTTTAACCTTGGGTACATCATCTCACAATTCAGAAGGGCCCTTCCAAACTCAGGAATGAGCAAGTGGCTGTTGGCTGTCTAGGTTCTCCATGAGTTCACATTTATTACTGAATTTATGTCTGCTTAAATATCAGGTTTGTTTCTTCAATTTAGGTGTATAACACTGATAACTGAGGGGTAATCATAGGTAATCTGACTTGAATCACAAAGTTTATTCAAATGGCATATCTAAAAAATTTTAGTACTGGTTTATTTAACACAAAAATGTGTCAGAGGCCAGGCGCAGTGGCTGATGCCTATAATCCCAGCACATTGGGAAGCCAAGGAGGGCAGATCACGAGGTCAAGAGATCAAGACCATCCTGGCCAACATGGCAAAACCCCGACTCTATTAAAAATACAAAAATTAGTTGGGTGTGGTGGCACATGCCTGCAGTCCCAGCTACTCGGGAGGCTGAGGCAGGAAAATCGCTTGAACTGGAGAGGCGGAGGTTGCAGTGAGCTGAGATCACGCCACTGAGACTCCAGCCTGGTGACAGAGCATGACTCTGTCTCAAAAAAAAAAAAAAAAAGTGGCAGAGTATTTTCCTGATGTTCAACTATTTTTGTTTTTCCTGAATTAGCAGTTTTATGAATCAGTGTGTTCTTTAGAATTCTCACAATCCTTACCCAGTCCAAACAATATAATTTTAAAATTATCAGAAACCTGTACTCAACTTGTCTGGGCTATTTTCATCTTTTCATGAATCTCCTTACAGACACAGTACTCTAGGATTTTGCATGTTTTTGAAGTTTGTAGAAACTACATCAGAATTAAACCATTAACTGTAGAAATGACTTCAAATAATTATAAAGAAACAAATGAAACAAACTTATTATGTCTGTGACCTGCAATAACTTATCATAACCATAATTATGACTAATAGCTTATACTCAGATATATAAGATTTTTAGAAATTTCATAATATTATGAAATAAATGTTAATATATATTAAAATAGAAGTTGAAGAAGATCAAACATTATCTTTAATTCAACAATGCTTTTCATGTAATTTAACATATCAAATAATTACGTTTTTTACTCTTTTGGATGTTGCATAGACCCTCTGTAGCATCCAAAAGTTAGGGGTCTAGGCCGTGCCCAGTGGCTCACACCTGTAATCCCAGCACTTAGGGAGGCCAAGGCAGGTGGATCACCTGAGGTCAGGAGTTTGAGACCAGCCTGGCCAACTTGGTGAAACCCTGTCTCTACTAAAAATACAAAAAATTAGCTAGGCGTGGTGGCAAGCCGCTGTAATCCCAGCTACTTGGGAGGCTGAGGCAGGAGAATTGCTTGAACCTGGGAGGTGAAGGTTGCAGTGAGCCGAGATCATGCCATTGCACTCCAGCCTGGGTGAAAGAGTGAGATGCTGTCTCAATAAAAAAGAAAAAAAAAGTTAGGGGTCTAATAATACATAAAATTTGTGTTCAAGAGAAAATTGTTATACTTTTTAATTAGTGTATTATCAATGGTAAAGCTAATTTTAATAAAACCTTACAAGTAAATTCATCAAATTTGTCATTTTTGGCCAATCTAGATTTCCATAAATATGTTATAATCTCTCATAATCATTTAAACTTTTTATATTTTATTTTTATCTACTATTTTATTTTTTCAATTTGACACAACCATTAAGTAATTTCAAACTACACTAAATGTTTCTAACTTCCTTCATCAAAAGCATTTTTTGCTTTCGTTTCTACACTCTATGCAGAATTGTTTTTCGTACATCTAATTGATTTAATTATATATAAATCACATTAACTCTTTTTTTTTAAGATGGAGTCTAGCTCTGTCACCCAGGCTGGAGTGCAATGGCGGGATCTCAGCTCACTGCAACCTCTGCCTCCTAAGTTCAAGCAATTCTCCTGGCTCAGCCTCCAGAGTAGCTGGGACTACAGGCGCATGCCACTATGCCTGGCTAATTTTTGTATTGTTAGTAGAGATGGGGTTTCACCGTGTTAGCCAGGATGGTCTCAATCTCCTGATCTCATAATCCTCCCGCCTCAGCCTCCCAAAGTGCTGGGATTACAGACATGAGCCACAGTGCCTGGCCTCATTAACTCTTAACAACCTTTTAGTGAAATTCCTAGGAAGCAATTTTGAACTGTTTCAGTATTTGTAGACAAAATTTATTTTATATTTTAAATAAATATTTTTTAAATTTTTTTAAAATAACAAATCTAAATATATTTAGCTTTTTTATATTACATAAAAATAAGATTCTGATCAGGCATGGTGTCTCATGCTTGTAATTCCAGCACTTTGGGAGACCAAGACAGGAAGGCTGTTTAAGCCCAAGAATTCAAGTCCAGCTGGGGCAACATGGCAAAATCCCATGTCTACAAAAAATACAAGAATTAGCTGGGCATGGTTGCCTGCACCTGTAATACCAGCTATTCAGGAGGCTGAGGTAGGAGGACTGCCTGAGTCCAGAAAGTTGAGGCTGCAGTGATCCATGATGAGGCTATTGCACCCCATCCTAAGTAATAGAGTGAGAACCTTTCTTTAAAAAAGGCCAAAGCACATGAACTTAATGTTATGGGGTTTTTTTTGGTTTATTATTATTATTTTAATAGTTTTGGGGGTACAGGTTATGTTTGGTTACATGGATAAGTTGTTTAGTCGTAATTTCTGAGATTTGGGTGCACCCATCTCCTGAGTAGTGTACACTGTATCCAATGTGTAGTCTTTCATCTCTCACCCACCTCCTGCCCTTCCACCTGAGTCCCCAGAGTTCTGTGTATAATTCTTATGCCTTTGCATAAGAGCTTAGCTCCCACTATTTGGTTTTTCATTTCTGAGTTACTTCACTTAGAATAATTGTCTCCAACTCCATCCAGGTTGCTTCAAATGCCAATATTTTGTTCCTTTCTTGACTGAGTAGTATTTCATTGTTTGTGTGCGTTTGTGTGTGTGTGTGTGTGTGTGTGTGTGTGTGTATATATATATAGTGATATATATGCGTGTATATATATAATGTGAAATATATATATATATATATATATATATATATATATATATGCACACATATATATCACATTTCTTTATCCACTCATTGGTTGATACGAATTTAGGCTGGTTCTGTATTTTTACAATTGCAAATTATGCTGCTGCAAACGTGTGTGCATGTGTCTTTTTAATATAATGATTTCTTTTTGTGTGTGTAGATACCCAGCAGTGGGACTGCTGGATCAAATGATAGTTCTATCTTTAGTTTTTTGGGTTTTTTTTTTTTTTTGAGACAGATTCTCACTCTGTCACCCAGCTGGGGTGCAGTGGCACGATCTTGGCTCACTGCAACCTCTGCCACCCGGGTTCAAGGGATTCTCCTGCCTCAGCCTCCCAAGTAGCTGGGATTACAGGCGCCTGCCACCACGCCCGGCTAATTTTTTCTGTATGTTTAGTAGAGACGGGGTTTCACCATCTTGGCCAGGCTGGTCTTGAACTCCTGACCTCCTGATCCACCTGCCTCCGCCTCCCAAAATGCTGGGATTACAGGCGTGAGCCACCCCTCCCAGCCCTACCTTTAGTTCTTTAAAAAATCTTCATACTGTTTTTCTCTAGTGGTTGTACTAGTTTACATTCCCACCAGCAGTGTAAAAGTGCTTTTGTTTCACCACATTTCTGTCAACAGCTAGTATTTTTAAATTTTTTAATTAAGACCATTCTTGTAGTGTGGGGAAAAGCAAGAGAGATCAGATTGTTACTGTGTCTGTGTAGAAAGAAGTAGACATAGGAGACTCCATTTTGTTCTGTACTAAGAAAAATTCTTCTGCCTTGAGATTCTGTTAATCTATGACCTTACTCCCAACCCCGTGCTCTCTGAAACATGTGCTGTGTCAAACTCAGGGTTAAATGGATTAAGCGTTGTGCAAGATGTGTTTTGTTAAACAGATGCTTGAAGGCAGCATGCTCCTTAAGAGTCATCACCACTCCCTAATCTCAAGTACCCAGGGACACAAAAACTGCGGAAGGCCGCAGGGACCTCTGCCTAGGAAAGCCAGGTATTGTCCAAGGTTTCTCCCCATGTGACAGTCTGAAATTTGGCCTCCTGGGAAGGGAAAGACCTGACCGTCCCCCAGCCCGAGGAAGGCATCTGTCTCCTGCCCGTCCCTGGGCAATGGAATGTCTTGGTATAAAACCCGATTGCACGTTCCATCTACTGAGATGGGGAAAAACTGCCTTAGGGCTGGAGGTGGGACAGGCGGGCAGCAATACTGCTTTGTAAAGCATTGAGATGTTTATGTGTATGCATATCTAAAAGCACAGCACTTGATTCTTTACCTTGTCTATGAATGCAAAGACCTTTGTTCACGTGTTTGTCTGCTGACCCTCTCCCCACTATTGTCTTGTGACCCTGACACATCCCCCTCTCAGAGAAACACCCACGAATGATCAATAAATACTAAGGGAACTCAGAAGCTGGCGGGATCCTCCATATGCTGAACGCTGGTTCCCTGGGTCCCCTTATTTCTTTCTCTATACTTTGTCTCTGTGTCTTTTTCTTTTCCAAGTCTCTCGTTCCACCTAACAAGAAACACCCACAGGTGTGGAGGGGCAACCCACCCCTTCATTGTAGGAGTAAGGTGGTATCACATTGTGGTTTTGATTTGCATTTCCCTGATAGCTAGTGATGTTTAGCATGTTTTTATATGTTTTTTGGCCATTTGTATATCTCCTTTTGAGAATTGTTTATTCATGTTTTTAGCTTACTGTTTCATGGGATTTTTTTTTTCTGATTCTTTTGAGTTCCTTGTAGATTCAGAATATTTGTCTTTTGTTGGATGAATAGACTGTGAAGATTTTCTCCCACTTGGCGGCTTGTAAGTTTACTTTGCTGATTATTTCTATTGTGGTCAAGAAGGTTTCTGGTTTAATTAAGTCCCATTTATTTTTCTTTGTTTTTGTTTTATTTGCTTTTGGGTTCTTGGTCATGCACTATTTGCCTAAGCCAATGTCTAGAACAGTTTTTCTGATGTTAGCTTCTACAATGTTTACAGTTTCAAGTTTTAGATGTAAATATTTTCTCCATATTGAGTTAATTTTTGTATAAGATAAGAGATGAAGATTCAGTTTTATTCTTCCACATGTGGTTTGCCAATTATCCCAGCAGCATTTGTTGAATAGGGTGTCCTTTTCCTACCTTACATATTTATTTACTTTCTCAAAGATCAGTTGGCTGCAAGTATTTGGCTTTATTTCTGAGTTCACTATTCTGTTCTATTTGTCTGTGTGTCTACTTTCATACCAGTAGCATGTTGTTTTGGTAACTATAGCCTGGTAGTATAGTTTGAAGTTAGGTAATGTGATGCCTCTGATTTTTTACTTTTTGCTTAGTCTTGCTTTGGCTATGTGGGCTTTTTTTAGGCTCTATATGAATTTTAGGATTTCTTTTCCTAATTCTGTGAAGAACGATGGTGGCATTTTGACAAAAACTGACTTGTAGAATGCTTTCGTCAGTATGGTCATTTTTACAATATTGACACTACCTATCCATGAGCATGGGATATGTTTCCATTTGTTTGTGATATCTATGGTTTCTTTAAGCAGTGTTTTGTAATTTTCTTTGTAGATGTATTTCACCTCCTTGGTTAGGTATATTTCTAATTATTTTATTTTTTTGCAGGTTTTTGCAACGAGTTGAGTTCTTGATTCGATTTTCAGCTTGGTAGCTGTTGGTGTATAGCAGTGGTGCCGATTTGTATACATTGATTTTGTATTCTGAAAGTTTACTGAATGTATTCATTAGATCTAGAAGCTTTTTAATAAATCTCTAGGGTTTTCTAGGTATAAAATCATGAATTCAGAAAACAGTGACAGCTTGACTTCCTCTTTACAGATTTGAATGCAATTTATTTATTTATTTTTATTGTCTAATTGCTCCAGCTAGGATTTCCAGCACTATGTTGAATAGAAGTGATGTAAGTGACCATTCTTGTCTTGTTCCAGTTGTCAGGAAGAAAGTTTTAATTTTTCCTCATTCAGTATAATGTTGGCCATGGATTTGTCACAGATGGCTTTTATTACCTTAAGGTATGTACCCCCGTGCCGATTTTGCTGAGAGTTTCAATCATAAAAAGATGCTGGATTTTAAATATGTTTTTCTCGTCTGAGTGTGGTGGCTTATGTGTGTAATCCTGGCAGCTTGGGAGGCCAAGACTGGTGGGTTGCCCGAGCTCAGGAGTTCAAGACTAGCCTGGGCAACATGGTGAAACTCTTTCTTTACCAAAATACAAAAAATTAGCTGAGTGTAGTGGCGCACACCTGTACTTTTAATTTTAGCTACTTGGGAGGCCGAGGCATGAGAATCTCTTGAACCCGGGAGGCAGAAGTTTCAGTGAGCCAAGATCATGTCACTGCACTGCAGTGCAGGTGACAGAGATTTCATCTGAAGGAAAAACAAATGTTATTCTGCATCTGTTGAGATGATCATATGGTTTTTGTTTTTAATTCTGCTTATGTGAGGTATCACATTTGTTGACTTACGTATGTTAAACCACCCCTACATCCCTGGTATAAAATGCACCTGATCATGGTGTATTATTATTTGATATGCTGTTGTATTTGGTTAGCTAGTATTTTGTTAAGAATTTTTGCATCTATGTTCATCAGGAATATTAGTGTGTAGTTTTGTGCTATGTTCTTTCCTGGTTTTGGTATTAGGGTGATACTGGCTTCATGGAATGATTTAGGAAAGATATCCTCTTTCTCTATTTTTGAAATAGTTTTATTTAGGTTGGTACCAATTCTTCCTTAAATGCCTCATAGAATTCAGCTGTGAATCCATCTGGTCCTGGACTTTTTTTTTTTTTTTTGGAAATTTTTTATTACTGTTTCAATCTCACTACTTGTTATTGGTCTATGCAGAGTTTCTACTTCTTTCTGGTTTAATCAAAGAGGGTTGTACATTTCCAGGAATTTATCCAGCTCCTCTAGGTTTCCTAGTTTGTGCATGTAAAAGTATTCATAGTAGCCATGAATTATCTTTTGTATTTCTGTGGTACTGGTTGTAATATCTCACATTTTGTTTCTAATTGAGCTTATTTAGATGTTCTTTCTTCTTTTCTTGGTTAATCTCACTAATGGTCTATTAATTTTGGTTATCTTTTAAAAAACAAATTTTTGTTTCATTTGTCTTTTGTGCTATTTAAAATTTCAATTATGTTAATTCTTCTCTGATTATTGTTTGTTTTTTTGTTTGTTTGTTTGTTTTTGTTTTTTGCTGGGTTGGGGTTTGGTTTGTTCTTGTTTCTCTAGTTCCCTGAGGTGTGAGGTTAGATTTTCAATTTGTGCCCTTTCAGACTTTTTGATGTAGGCATTTAATGCTATGAACTTTCCTCTTAGCACCACTTCCGCTGTATTCCAGAGGTTTTGATAGGTTGTGCCACTACTATTGTTTAGTTATAAAAAAATTTAAATTTCCATCTTGACTTCATTGCTGACACAACAATTATTCAAGAGCAGGTTATGTAATTTCCATGCATTTGCATGGTTTTGAGGATTTATTTTGGAGTTGATTTCCAATTTTATTCCAATGTGGCCTGAGAGAATACTTGACATAATTTTGATTTTCTTAAATTTGGTGAGACTTGTTTTGTAGCCTAATTATATGGTCTATTTTGGATAATGTTTTATGTGCTAATAAATAGAATGTATATTCTTCAGTTGTTGAGTAGAATGTTTTGTAAATATCTGTTAAGTCAATTTATTCTAGAGTATAGTTTAAATTCACTGTATCTTAGTTGACTTTCTGTCTAGATGACCTTTCTAGTATTGTCAGTGGGGTATTAAAGTACCCCATTATTATTTTGTTGCTCTCTATCTCCTTTCTTATGCCTAGCAGAAATTGTTTTATAAATTTGGGAGCTCCAGTGTTAGGTGCATATGGATTTAGAATTGTGATGTCTTCCTGTTTGGACTAGTTCTTTTACTATTATATAATGTTATTCTTTGTTTTTTTGTTTTGTTTTGTTTTTTACCATTGTTGCTTTAAAGTCTGTTTTGTCTGCTATGAGAATAGCTACTCCTCCTTACTTTTTGTTTCCATTTGCATAGAATATCTTTTTCCATTTCTTTGCCTTAAGTTTATTTGAGTTTTTATTTGTTAGGCAAGTCTCTTAAAGACAGCAGATACTTGGTTGGTAATTTTTTTTCTTCTTTTGAGATGGAGTGTCACTCTTGTTGCCCAGGCTGGAGTGCAGTGGCACGATCTTGGCTCACTGCAACCTTTGCCTCTCAGGTTCAAGCAATTCTCCTGCCTCAGCCCCCTGAGTAGCTGGGATTACAGGCGCACGCCACCATACCTGGCTAATTTTTCTATTTTAGTAGAGATGGGGTTTCACCGTGGTAGCCAGGCTGGTTTCGGACTCCTGATCTCAGGTGAACCACCCACCTCGGCCTCCCAAAATGCTGGGATTACAGGCGTGAGCCACCGTGCCTAGCCATAAATTTTTATTTATTCTGCCATTCTGCATCTTTTAAGTAGAGCATTTAGGTTATTGACATTTAATGTTAGTTTTGAGATGTGAGGTACTGCTGTATTCATCAGGTTAGCTGTTGCCTGCATATCTTTGAGTTTTTTTGTTATTGTTTTATAGGCCTTGTGAGACTTATGCATTAAGGAGGTACTATTTTGGTGTATTTTGAGGTTTTGTTTCAAGATTTAGAAGTTCTTTTAGCATTTCTTCTATTGCTGGCTTGGTACTGGTAAATCCTCTCAACACTTGTTTTTCTGAAAATGACTTTATCTCTCCTTCATTTATGAAGCTTACCCTCACTGGATACAACATTCTTGGCTAAAAATTGTGTTGTTTACGGAGGCTAAAGACAGGACTCCAGTCCCTTCTTTCTTGTAGGGTTTCTGCTGAGTAAACTGTGTTAATCTGGTAAGTTTTGTTTATAGGGTACCTAATGCTTTTCCTCACAGCTCTTATGATTCTTTTCTTCATCATGAATTTAGATAACCTAATGACTACATGAATAGGTGATGATCTTTTTGTGATAAATTTTCCAAGTGTTTTTTGAGCTTCTTGTGTTTGGATGTCTAGATCATTAGCAAGACCTGAGAATTTTTTCTCAATTATTCACTCAAATAAAATTTCCAAACATGTAAATTTATCTTTTTGTTTTTTTCAGGACCACCAATTACTCCTAGGTTTGGTCATTTAACATAATCCCAATTTTCTTAGAGGCTTTGTTCATTTTGTTGATTCTTTCTTCTTTGTCTTTGCCAGACTGATTTAATCTGAAAGACTTTTCTTCAAGCTCTGAAGTTCTTTCTTCAACTTGTTGTAGTCTATTGTTTAAACTTTCCAGTTTATTTTGTATTTCTGTAAGTGTGTCTTTCATTTCCAGAAGTGGTGATTGTTTTTTAATTTATAGTATTTATTCCTTTGGAAATTTTTAAATTCATATCTTGTATTAATTTTTTAAATTTCTTTAAGCTGGTTTTCTTGTTCCTCTGGTTTCTCTAGTAGCTTAATAATCAACTTTCTCAATTTATTTTCTGGCAACTCAGACAGTTCTTCTTGGTTTAGAATGATTATAGAAGAGCTAGTGCAATATTCTGGGGTTGTTATAGAACCTTGTTTTGTCATATTGGAATTACTTCTCTGGTTTCTTCTCATTTGGCTAGACTATTTCAGTGGAAAGATCTTGGACTCAAAGGCTCCTGTTCAGATTCTTCTGTCCCATGTAGTGATTTCTTGATGTGGTGCTTTCTCACTTTTCCTAGGGATGGGCTTTCTGCAAGTCAGACTACAGTGATTGTTATTGTTCTTCTGGGACTAGTAAACCAGTGGAGCTCTACAGCTCCAGGCTGATATTGAGGAATGTCTACAAAGTGTCCTGTGATGTAATCTGTCTTCAGGTCTCTCAGCCATGAATACCAGCACCTGCTTCAGTGGAGGTGGCAGGGAAGTGAAGTTGACTGTGTGAGAGACCTTGGTTGTAGTTTTATTTAGTGCATTGGTTTTCTCAATTGCTTGTTATGCAAGCAGTGAATTTGTCATGTGGACAGACTCAGGACCTCTGGTTAGCCAGGATGTTACAGGTGGTGGAATTAGTTTTTCTTTTTTTTTTTCTTTGGAGCAGGGCTGTTCTGTTACGAGTCGCTGTTATGGCTTGTGTCAGTTGGCCTCCAGCCAAAAGGTGGTGCTTTCAGGAGAACACCAGCTGTGGTAGTAGAAAGGGGGTATAGACTTGCCCTAGTTAACCAGGATACCCGTTCAGGATTCTCAGGTGATGGGTGGGACCATAGATCTTCCAAAAGTTAATTTATTTTGCCTTCGGCTACCAGGTTGAGTAGAGAAAAATCATCAGGCAGAGGCAGGATTAGACCGGTCTGAGCTCAGACTCTCAGGGGGTGTGGCTTGCTGCAGCCACTGTTGGAGGAGAGGTGGTTCTCAAGCCAATGGAGTTATGTTTTAAGGGAGGTTATGGCTGCCTTTGCTGCTTCATACAGAGCACCAAGAAAAGCGAGAAAAAGCTGGCAGTGGCAGGCCTCACCCAGCTCCCATGCAGCCAGCAAGGCCTGTCTCATTCCATTCCCACCCTGTCCTGCCAAAAGCATGGAGTTTATATCAAGGCAGCCAGCGTGCAGAGTTGAGATCTTGCCCCAGGCTACATGCCTATCCCTGAGAAAGTCAGAAAGGCTTTCAGGCTTCACCCCTCCCCACCTGCCCACACACTTAGCTGCACAGCTTCTGTGCTTATATCTGCACTTCCTATTCACTTCTGCAGACTCTGCGCAGTAAAATTTATGCTTGGTCAAAATTATTGCACAGTTCACTAAAAGCTTTTTTAATTTTTTTGGCCCCTCCCTAATTCTGCTGGCTGCCTTTCACAAAGACCCTTGTGAGATAAAGTCAGGTATGACTCTTTTGGTCATGAGCTGGGGACTGGGAATGCCTATGGGCTCTTTCCCTGGCTGCTTCTTTTATATTTCACTCAGCTCCCTAAATTCATTTCAGCTCTAGGTAAGGTTAAATACATTTCCTTTGATCTGGATTTTTCAGGTCCCCCTGTGGGGATGTGTGTTCAAAGGTAGACTTTCTTTCTCTTACACTTTGGGGAACTCACAGTTCTTCAGCTGTGTCACAGAGTTTGCAGTAACAAGCTGCTTTTTTCAAAGGGTCTGTGAAATCTTTTGTTTTTTCTTGGTATGTTCCTGCAGTGGTTATGTCAGAGGCGTTCGAAACAGAGCAACTCCATTTTGAGTGAGGGCTACAAAAATGAGGCTGAGACGTCGGGCGCGGTGGCTCAGGCCTGTAATCCCAGCACTTTAAGAGGCTGAGGCGGGCGGATCACGAGGTCTGGAGATCAAGACCATCCTGGCTAACACGGTGAAACCCCGTCTCTACTAAAAATACCAAAAAATAGCCGGGCATGGTGTCGGGCGTCTGTAGTCCCAGCTACTCGGGAGGCTGAGGCAGGGGAATGGCGTGACCCGGGAGGCGGAGCTTGCAGTGAGCCGAGATTGCGCCACTGCACGCCAGCCTGGGCGACAGAGCCAGACTCCGTCTCAAAAAAAAAAAAAAAAAAAAAAAAGAGGCTTAGGCTTGCTGGGCTGTATGCCCAGAAAATTAGGCATTCCTAGCCTCTAAATGTTTATGGTTAAGGGAACAAATTAATAATGTTTACCAAACAGACTCAGACTTGGGTGTGTCCAGATATCCTGACATCTGGAGAACAAAGGCATTCCTAATTTTGCTTTAAAGATAATAATATCGATTCTCACAAAATATAGTAAGAAAATTAATTATGTATTACAAACCCTTGTAGCAGAACACATCTCCCCACATATACAAGCATTGTACCTAGGGGGATGCATTCTTCTCTTACTTTCAGGAACGTCCTGTTTTGTCTATGGACTAGCTGTCCTTTCACCACTTTACTTTCTTAATAAACTTGCTTTTGCTTTGCACTGCGGACTTGCCCTAAATTCTTTCTTGCGTGAGATCCAAGAACCCTCTGTTGGGGTCTGGATCGGGACCCCTTTCCTGTAACATGTTTCTGGTGACCACAGAAGGGACTATAGTGCAGAAACCCTGACCCAATGGCTACCTTTGCCTAAGTGTTGAGGTCCTGTAACATCTTTCTGGTGAACCACGGAAGGGACGATACTAAAGAAACCCTCCAACCCAAAGGAAATAGGCTGCAGCACTGATTGGATGACTTTGGGTAAGTGGTGGGGTACCCGGTTAAAGAATAGGATTGGGTTAGAGGCCCCTCTTAATAAAAGGAAAGAATGCTTGACTGACCCCGACGTCAGACGCCTGATTTAGGAGAGTTAGAGTCCCTTCTAAGGTTTAGGGACCTCTTGGTAAAGTCCCTCTCAGCTGAAAACGGGCTTGGCACTGCAGGCTATGCTCTTTGTATTAATCTGCCTTCTCCTTGCTGCATGAATCAATTTCTTGGGTGCTGTCTCTGTTTCATTGTCATGATTTTATTTTATTTTATTTTTTAGATGTGTCTCACTCTGCTGCCCAGTCTGGAGTGCAGTGGCGCGATCTCGGCTCACTGCAACCTCCACTTCCAGATTCAAGCAGTTCTACTGCCTCAGCCTCTCAAGTAGCTGAGACTACAGGCGCTTGCCACCATGCCCGGCTGATTTTTGTATTTTTAGTAGAGGTGGGGTTTCACCATGTTGGCCAGGCTGGTCTCAAACTCCTGGTTTCAGATGATCCGCCGGCCTCGGCCTCCCAAAGTGCTGGGATTACAGGTGTGAGCCACCGAGCCCGGTCTTCACTGTCATTTTCAGGAAACTTTAACTGATCTTAGGGATGTTAACTTATTCTTTTTCTGTGTGCCTCCTGATTTCCGTCCGTTTGCTTGTGAAACATTGGGAACAAAAAGCATTGAAGGCTCCGTCTCCAAAATGGCTAATTGAGATTTAGTATTTAACAGCTATGAGCAATAAAATTACATAGATGTGGTTTTGCTTTGTTGCTGCTATAGTGACTAGGCGTGATCGAGAAGCACTAGGATGGAAATCAGGGAACTTTTCTCCTTGCTGTTTTGTTTCACTTTGCACACTAAAAATACAATTCTTTCCTTTCTTGGATTCAGGCAAACTGGCTCTGCTTGTTTAATCCACACTGTCGCTATTGCCCAGAACCTGCTTGCTCTGGTCATTCCCATCTAAATCTTCTTCATTTCCTTTGCCTTATTCGACATTTTTGTCAAAGTCCATTTGTGGTTTAAGATTCATGGCTTGGCCAGGCGCAGTGGCTCACGCCTGTAATCCCAGCACTTTGGGAGGCCAAGGCAGGCGGATCACGAAGTCAGGAGATCGAGACCATCCTAGCTAACACGGTGAAACCCCACCTCTACTAAAAATACAAAAAATTAGCTGGGCGTGGTGGCGGGCGCCTGTAGTCCCAGCTACTCGGGAGGCTGAGGCAGGAGAATGGCGTAAACCCGGGAGGCGGAGCTTGCAGTGAGCCCAGATCGCACCATTGCATTCCAGCCTGGGTGACAGCGAGACTCCGTCTCAAAAAAAAAAAACATAAAATAAAATAAAATAAGATTCATGGCTTGGCTCACTTATGTTAGTTGGATAATGTGAAACATGTTTGATGAGAGAAAAAGAAGAAAAAGAGCTAGACATGCAAGATGATCCTTTAATGCAAGCCCCCCCCCCGCCCCCGCCCCCGCCCCTGGTTCAGCGTGCAGTTTTGAGTGGAGCAGACCCTTCTGTCACCTCTAAAGGTTCAGATGTGTCGGTCCTTTCTTCCTCTAGCCCACCTGAAAGTTCTGTTGATAATCCTTCATCTCCTCTTCCTTACCGGACTAGTCCCTCTCTACACCCACCACTCCCTGAGGAACTGAGCCCAACGAGTACTACTCTAGTGGAGCTGCCTATCAACCTCCAAAGGGAAATCTGTCCACTTACAGAGGTGGCAAATGGGGAAGAAGGCACTGTGAGAGGACATGTCCCCTTTTCTATGTCTGATTTGGCTCTATGTAAAGAGAAGTTTGGTCATTTCTCTGAAGATCCAGGAAAATTCCTAGATGAGTTTGAGAAATTAACTCTGACCTATAGTTTAACTGGACAGGATCTGCACATTTTGTTGTCTCTGTGTTGTACAGTAAAAGAGAATGCATTTTGGTGACAGCTAGGGCGCATGCAGATGAGGTATTGTCTTGAAACCTGAACCATAATATATATCAGGCAGGAGGTTCAGCAGTTCAAGATCAAGATCCACAGTGGAACTATCAAAGAGGCAGTGAGGACTTGGGGTGGAGAGAGAATATGGTCACTTATTTTTTGAAAGGGATGAAGAAATGTATGAAAAAGCCTGTTGTGGGAGGCCGAGGCAGGCAGATCACAAGGTCAGGAGATCGAGACCAGTCTGGCTAAGATGGTGACACCCCGTCTCTACTAAAAATACAAAAAATTAGCTGGGCGTAGTTGTGGGCACCTGTAGTCCCAGCTACTTGGGAGGCCAAGGCAGGAGAATGGCGTGAACCCGGGAAGTGGAGCTTGCAGTGAGCCAAGATCGTGCCACTGCACTCCAGCCTGGGCAACAGAGCGAGACTCTGTCTCAAAAAAAAAAAAAAAAGAAAAGAAAAAGAAAAAGTCTGTTGACTATAAAAAGGTTAAGGAAGTTTCTGAGGGCAAAGATGAGAATCCAACTTTGTTCAAGGGCGTTTAGTTGAAGAAATCGGGATATATACTAACATTGATCCTGCCTCAAGGGAAAGATGAACCATTCTGGGAGTACATTTTATAACCCAGTCTGCCCCTGATATCCATAGAAACCTATTAAAAGCAGCTGTGAGTCCCCAAACTTCTAAGGAACAGCTGTGGATATAGAATTTTTAGTTTTTAATAACAGGGACAAAGCAGAGGAAGCAGAAAGTGCAAGAAGGACCTCCCACAAGCACGGCTCTTGGCTGCAGCCTTAAGCTCACATCAAACATGGGATTGCCTCCTGGCTCTTGGCCTGAACAAGGGAAGCTGAAAGGTGGGAAGCCCAAAGCTGGGCATCTGAGTCACCATGCTTTGGGCATAAATCAGTGTGCACATTGTAAGAAAACTGGCCATTGGAAAAGGGATTACCCAGCATTCTGAAGGGAGCCATCAGCACCCAAACCCATGATGGCTGAAATAGCCAGGCAAGCCCAAGAGCGATGGGACTGAGACCTTCAGCCACAGCTCCTGTTGGACAACTAACTATATCTATGGAGGAGCCTTGGGTAACCCTTGATGTGGCAGGTAAGAATATTACATTCCTTCTGGAATGCTAACTCTGTTTTGACCCACCATGTTTTACCTATCCTTTAAGCTGCTCTTCAGACTTTGAATGCCCCACCCCTTGTTGGGAAGGGATCTGTTAATTCAGAATAAATATCAGTGATATGGTTTGGCTGTGTCCCCATCAAAATCACAACTTGAATTGTATCTTCCAGAATTCCCACATGTTGTGAGAGGGACCCAGTGAGAGGTAATTAAATAATGGGGACCAGTCTTTCCTGTGCTATTCTTGTGGTAGTGATTAAACCTCACCATATCTGATGGGTTTATCAGGGGTTTCTGCGTTTGCTTCTTCCTCATTTTTCTCTTGCTGCCACCACGTAAGAAGTGCCTTTCACCTTCCACCATGATTCTGAGGTCTCCCCAGCCATGTGGAACTGTAAGTCCACTTAAAACTCTTTTTATTGCCAGTTTCAGGTATGCCTTTATCAGCAGCATGACAATGAACTAATACAGTAAATTGGTACCAGTAGAGTGGGGCACTGCTAAAAGGATACCCAAAAATGTGGAAGAAGCTTTGGAACTGGGTAACAGGCAGAGGTTGAAACAGTTTGGATGGCTCAGAAGAAGAGAGGAAAGTGTGATAAAGTTTGTAACTTCCTAGAGACTTGTTGAATGGCTTTGCCCAAAATGCTGATAGTGATATGGACAATAAGGTCCAGGCTGAGGTGGCCTCAGATGGGGATGAGGAACTTGTTGGGAACTGGAGTAAAGGTGACTCTTGTTATGTTTTAGCAAAGAGGCTGGTGGTATTTTGCCCCTGCCCTAGAGATTTGTGAAACTTTGAACTTCAGAAAGATGATTTAGAGTATCTGGCAGAAGAAATTTCTAAGCAGAAAAGCATTCAAGGGGTGACTTGGGTGCTGTTAAAGGCATTCAGTTTTACAAGGGAAGCAGAGCATAAAAGTTTGGAAAATTTGCAGCCTGACTATGCAATAGAAAAGAAAAACCCATTTTCTGGGGAGAAATACAAGCTGGCTGCAGAAATTTGCATAAGTAGCAAGGAGCCTAATGTAAATCCCCAAGACCATGGGGAAAATGTCTCCAGGCCATGTCACAGACCTTCATGGCAGCCCTTCCCATCAGATGCCTGGAGGTCCAGGAGCAAAAAATGGTTTTATGGGCTGGCCCCAGGGTTCCTGTGCTGTTTCCAGCCTAGGAACTTGGTGCCCTGTGTTCCAGCTGCTCCAGCCATGGCTGAAACGGGCCAATGTACAGCTCGAGCTGTGCCTTTAGAGGGTGGAATCCCCAAGCCTCAGCAGATTCCATGTGGTGTTGAGCCTGCAGGTGCACAGAAGTCAAGAACAGAGGTTTAGGAACCTCTACGTAGATTTCTGAAGATGTATGGAAACCCCTGAATGCCCAGATGAAAGACTGCTGCAGGGGCAGGCCCCTCATGGAGAACCTCTGCTAGGGCAGTGTGGAAGGAAAATGTGGGGTCAGAGCCTCCACACAGAGTCCCTACTGAAGCACCATCTAATGGAGCTGTGAGAAGAGGGCCACCATCTTTCAGATCCCAGAATGGTAGATCCACCGACAGCTTGCACTGTGCACCCAGAAAAGCCACAGTCACTCAACGCCAGCCCATGAAAGCAGCAAAGAGAAGCCCGTACTCTGCAAAGCCACAAGGGTGTAGCTGCCCAAGACAATGGGAAACCATCTTTTGCATCAGCATAATCTGGATGTGGGACATGAAGTCAAAGGAGATCATTTTGGAACTTTAAGTATTTGACCACCCCACTGGATTTCGGACTTGCATGGGGCCTTCAGTCCCTTTATTTTGACCAATTTCTCCCATTTGGAGTGGCTACATTTACCCAATGCCTTTACTCCCATTGTATCTAGGAAGTAACGAACTTGCTTTGATTTTACTGGCTCATAGGTGGAAGGGACTTCTCTGGTCTCACATGAGAATTTAAACTGTGGACTTTTGAGTTTATACTGAAATGAATTAAAACTTCAGGGGACAGGCCGGGCATGGTGGCTCACGCCTGTAATCCCAGCACTCTGGGAAGCCAAGGCGGGTGGGCGGATCACGAGGTCAGGAGATTGAGACCATCCTGGCTAACATGGTGAAACCCCGTCTCTACTTAAAATACAAAAAAATTAGCCAGGCATGGTGGCAGGTGCCTGTAGTCCCAGCTACTCAGGAGGCTGAGCCAGGAGAATGGCATGAACCTGGGAGGCAGAGCTTGCAGTGAGCAGAGATCACGCCACTGCACTCCAGCCTGGGCGACAGTGCTAGACTCCCTCTCAAAAAAAAAAAAAAAAAAAAAAAACAACTTTGGGGGACTATTTGGAAGGCATGACGGGTTTTGAAATGTGAATGTATGAGATTTGGGAGAGACCAGGGGCAGAATGATATAGTTTGGCTCTATGTCCACATGCATATCTCATCTTGTAGCTCACATAATTCCTCCCTCTTGTGGAAGGGACCCAGTGGGAGAGGATTGAATCATTGAATTGTAGATGATTGAACAGCATCTTTTCTGTGCTGTTCTCATGACAGTGAATGGGTTTCATGAGATCTGATGGTTTTAAAAACGAAAGTTTCTTTTCACAAGCTCTCTGTCTGCTGCCATCCATGTAAGAAGTGATTTGCTCCTCCTTGCCTTCCATCATGATTGTGAGGCTTCCCAAGCCATGTGGAACTGTAAGTCCAATAAACCTCCTTCTTTTGTAAATTGCCCAGTCTTGGGTATGTCTTTATCAGCAGCAGCATAAAAATGGACTAATACATTAATTTATATTTTATTTAGTTAGAACATTCCATTTTCATTTATTAATTGGAGAACCCTACATGAGCCTACATTTCTTTAGTTATTGTTCCTTTCACTTTTTATAAATGACATAAGTAAATTTATTGATTGATTGGGCCAATTTGTTCAGGTCAGTACTAGGGAGACTTCATAAGTCATGAGGATGTTTCTATACATAAATGCAGCAAACAAACATGACAGGGCTTGCTGTGTCACAGATGCTTTATAATACACCATAAATATTCCTGCTGGAGTTAGTTTGTAACTTCAAGTCAGGGATGGAAAATAGCAATGGTGAAGAAATAACATTTATTCTTCATGTGGAGAGGACATGTTTTCCAGGCTGCAAAGCTGACTCTTGCTGAATTTAAAGATCAATTCTGCCTTTTTCCTTTCCTAATTATTCTCAGTTTTGTTTGTCTTATTATGGGGATTCCAAGAATGTATGCATCACAGCCCTTCTTTATTTATTGTGTATTGGTGACAGTTTTCTCACTGTTGTCTTTATGCCATGACATTTTACATGGTACTTTGTAGGTTCTAATTTAAAAGTTGGTACTTTTTATTGCACAGAAAATTGATTTTAACTAGAAAATTTATTTAGCAATGTAACTTTCAGATTAGTTAATTAAAATAAGAGGCATATACTGTCCACAGGTGAGAAAATTACATCAGTTAGCATTGTTTTTCTTTGTTTGTCAAAGAAAACTCTTATTCAATTCTTTTTTTTTTTTTTGAGACAGTCTGACTCTGTCACCCAGGCTGGAGTGCAGGGGTGAAATCTCAGCTCACTGCAACCTCTGCCTCCCAGGTTGAAGCGGTTCTCCTGCCTCAGCCTCCTGAGTAGCTGGGACTACAGGCGCGTGCCACCACGCCCAGCTAATTTTTGTATTTTTAGTAGAGACAGGGTTTCACCATGTTGGCCAGGCTGGTCTTGAACTCCTAACCTCGTGATTCACCCATGTCGGCCTCCCAAAGTGCCGGGATTACAAGCATAAGCCACTGCACCCAGCCTACATTCATACACAAATTCTGGCAAATATAAAATTTGTGAGATACTATATCTTTGAAATTAGACTTTTGAGAGGGTTAATGATACATAATTGTTTTAAATTTTTATTTTATTTTATTTTATTTTGGAGAGGGAGTCTCACCCTGTTGCCCAGGCTGGAGTGCAGTGATGTGACGTTGGCTCACCACAACCTCCGCTTCCCGGTTCAAGCAATTCTTCTGCCTCAGCCTTCAAAGTAGCTGGGACAACATGCGTGCACCACCATGCCCGGCTAATTTTTGTATTTTTAGTGGAGACGGGGTTTCATTATGTTGGCCAGGCTGGTCTCAAATTCCTGACCTCGTGATCCACCCACCTCAGCCTCCCAAAGTGCTGGGATTACAGGCATGAGCCACCCTGCCCGGTCAATGATACATAATTTTAAATTTAATTTTGCTGTGATATACTTACAGCACAACTTTCTTTTTTTCTTTCTTTCTTTTTTTTTTTTGAGACAGAGTCTTGCACTGTTGCCCGGGCTGGAGTGCAAAGGTGTGATCTCCACTGACTGCAACCTCTGCCTCCCGGGTTCAAGCGATTCTCCTGCCTCAGCTTCCCAAGTAGCTGGGATTACAGGTGCCTGGCACCACGCCTGGCTAATTTCTTGTATTTTTAGTAAAGACAGGGTTTCAGTATGTTGGCCAGGCTGGTCTCAAACTCCTGACCTCATGATCCACCCACCTCGGTCTCCCAAAGTGCTGAGATTACAGGCGTGAGCCACTGCGCCCGACCCAACTTACATCTTTATGCAGAGTCTTCTGTTTTTACGTGTGAATGTTAAATGTTGCACAATAATAAAATGAGCTCTGTGGATATGAAATTTAGAATAATATTTCTTTCACATATTGCTATAACAATATGAAGAAATTTCTCACTCTTATTTTATATAATTTTTTCTGTGAGTGAAGTTCAGTCTACAGTTTTTACTGATAGTCACCTAACTGTAGGTATCTCCTTGGTCACTGGTAAGTGACTGATTAGTAATGCCAATCTATTTCATTTTAGTCACTAAGAAAACAATATTTTAAAATTTTCAATAGAAAAAAGTATTATTATATTATTGTTTCTGAAACTTTCAGACACTGTAGACCATTCAATCAATAATGATGTTGATGTAGACAACAAATTGTCTATATAATTATAAGCTCATTTTAGCTTTTAATGTAAAAATTCAGTATATTTTATAAGCAAAATTAGCAGCTCTTTTAAATCACTAGAGAAATATTGTTGTTGGAATCCATTTACCAAAGTATTTGTGTTAGGCTTAGTAATGAGTACTTTAAACCAAAAATCAAGTTCTACATACTATCTAAGGGTTAAAAAAAAAGTGGTTTTTAAGTTTCTATTTATTTCTACTATATTATAAAATTCAAAGCCGAAATGTTAGGTCAGGAATGAAAGCAAGAATTGGATATGACGGTGCTGGGCACAATGGTTAAGACTGAAACTTGGTATCAGGTGGTTCCTGATTGCATTTTGTCTGCCACTTGTGGGCTGTATGACCTGAATACATTTTCATGACCTCTCTGTGCTTGACTCTTCAGTTGCACAGTGAGGATAATAGTGCCTAAATTCTAGGGTTTTGTAAAATTAAGGCAACTAATGCTGATAATGATGCCATAGGTACACCAACCACATAGCAAGTGTACAGAAAATTTATTCACTTTTATTTGTTAATTGTTACATCATAATAAATGTTAAGCCTGAAAAACAGGTGGCCACATCAGTGATTTGCAACCCATGTTTATTCTTTTTTTTTTTTTGAGACAGAGTCTCACTCTGTTGCCCAGGCTGGAGTGCAGTGGCATGATCTCAGCTCACTGCAACCTCCGCTTCCTGGGTTTAAGCAATTCTCCTGCCTCAGCCTCCCAAGTAGCTGGGACTACAGGCACCTGCCAACACGACTGGCTAATTTTCGCAGTTTTAGTATAGAAGGGGTTTCACCATCTTGGCCAGGCTGGTCTTGAACTCCAGACCTTGTGATCCATCCACCTCAGCCTCCCAAAGTGCTGGGATCACAGGCATGAGCCACCACGCCCAGCCACCCATGTTTATACTAATCAGCCAGTCTTGGGCTATAATGGTAGTTAGATTTATTTTATTTTATTTTTGAGACAGAGTCTCGCTGTGTCATCAGGCTGGCGTGCAATGGCACTATCTTGGCTTACCGCAACCTCCGCCTCTCGGGTTCAAGCGATTCTCCTGCCTCAGCCTCCTGAGTAGCTGGGATTACAGGTGCACGCCACCACGCACGGCTAATTTTGTAGTTTTAGTAGAGATGGGGTTTCTCCATGCTGGTCAGGCTGGTCTCAAACTCCCGACCTCAGTTGATCTGCCCTCCTTGGCCTCCCAAAGTGCTGGGATAACAGGCATGAGCCACTGCACCCGGCCAGTAGTTGAGTGCTTTTAATGCTACCCTTGGAAAATTCCCATATATTTACATATATCACGGATATAAATATTATAAAAAGATTTCTCATTGAGTATTGCTCTTTAGCACTCCAGTAACACTAGACAAATAAGCAGTTAAGGCCGGGCATGGTGGCTCACGCCTGTAATCCCAGCACTTTGGGAGGCAGAGGAGCGCAGATCACGAGGTCAAGAGATGGAGACCATCCTGGCCAACATGGTGAAACCCCATCTCTACTAAAAATACAAAAACTTAGCCAGGCGTGGTGGCACGCACCTATAGTCCCAGCTACTTGGGAGGCTGAGGCAGGGGAATTGCTTGAATCTGAGAGGCGGAGGTTGCAGTGAGTAGAGATCGCACCACTGCACTCCAGCCTGGTGACAGAGGGAGACTCTGTCTCAAAAAATAAAATAAGTTAAATAAATAAATAAACATAAGCACTTAAATATTGAGCATTTGCTAGTTTTAAAATGAAAGTAGGCAAATTGTTTCCTTACTTATTTAATAAATTTCTAATTGCCAAGTACCTATGTTTATTTGAAAAATTGAAATGTAGTGTAAAAATATATTTAAATACCTTTATTTCCTAACAAATAAAAGAAATCATTTATTTAGAGAGAATTTTACTCTAAACAATTGCTTTAGAGTGTGTCTTTTAAAGTATTATATTATTTTGAACATTAAAAATAAAGATAATGGGCCAGGTGCAGTGGTTCACGCCTATAATCCCAGCACTTTGGGAGGCCAAGGTGGGCAAATCACCTGAGGTCAGGAGTTCAAGACTAGCCTGGCCAGTGTGGTGAAACCCCATCTCTACTAAAAATACAAAACATTAGCCGGGCGTGGTGGCACATGCCTGTAATCCTAGCTACTCAGGAGTCTAAGGCAGGAGAATCGCTTGAACCCGGGAGGCAAAGGTTGCGGTGAGCCGAGATCGCGCCATTGCACTCCAGCCTGGGCAATGAGCAAGACTCTGTTTCAAAAAAATAAATAAATAAATAAATAAAAATAAAGATAATTTATTCCTGACTACTGGGTTCAGACTATTCATAATACTAGAAGTTTTCTCATCTACATCACTCATTCAGTAAGCCATTTCAAAGAACAAAAATACTTACGTTTTCTGAAATTTTAAGATTGAAAAACACTGTTTTCTCTGGCCTAATTTCTTTTTTTTTCTCTTTTCTTTTTCTTTTTTTTTTTTTTTTGAGACACAGTTTTGCTCTTGTTGCCCAGGCTGGGGTGCAATGGCTCAATCTCACTGCAACCTCTACCTCCCAGCTTCAAGCTATTCTCCTGCCTCAGCTTCTCGAGTAGCTGGGATTACAGGCATGCACCACCACACCCGGCTAATTTTGTATTTTTAGTAGAGACAGGGTTTCTCCATGTTGGTCAGGCTGGTCTCGAACTCCCAGCCTCAGGTGATCCTCCCACCTCGGCCTCCCAAAGTGCTGGGATTACAGGCGTGAGCCACCATGCCCAGCATCTCTGGCCTAATTTCTTAAAATTTACTTCTCAATTTTTAAAAATAATGTATTAATAGTATTTTTGATTGGCAAATTATAGTCGTATACATTGATAGTGTAAAATGTGATGTTTTATTTTATGTATACAATATAAAATGATTAAGTCAAGTTAAATAAAATATCTAACAACTTGCTTACCTATCATTTTTTGTGGTGAGACATTTGAAATTTAGTTATTTTGAAATTTACAACACATGATTGTTTACTATAGTCACCCTGCTGTTCAATGTATGTCAAAACCTATTTACCCTGTCTATGTGAAACTTTGTACCCTTTGATAAACAATCTGTATTTCTTTCTTTCTTTCTTTTTTTTTTTTTTTTGAGATGGAGTTTTGCTCTTGTTGCACAGGCTGGAGTGCAATGGTACAATTTCGACTCACTGCAACCTCTGCCTCCCGGGTTCAAGCAATTCTCCTGCCTCAGCCTCCCAAGTAGCTGGGATTACAGGCATGCACCACCACACCCGGCGAATTTTGTATTTTTAGTAGTGATGGGGTTTCTCCATGTTGGTCAGGCTGGTCTCGAACTCCCGACCTAAGGTGATCTGCCCACCTCAGCCTCCCAAAGTGCTGGGGTTACAGGCATGAGCCGCTGCGCCCGGCCACAGTTCTCTATTTCTTTCCCACCACCCTCAACCTCTGATAACTATTATTCCACTTTTTGCTTTTTTGAGTTAAACTTTCTTAGGTTTAGTATATAAATAGGCCGGGCATGGTGGCTCATGCCTATAATCCCAGCACTTTGGGAGGCCAAGGCGGGTGGATCAGGAGGTCAGGGGTTTGTAGACCAGCCTGACCAACATGGTGAAACCCCGTCTCTACTAAAAATACAAAAAAATTAGCTGGGCGTGGTGGCGGGCGTCTGTAATCTCAGCTACTCAGGAGGCTGAGGCAGGAGAATTGCTTGAACCCGGGAGGCGGAGGTTGCAGTGAGCCGAGATCACACCACTGCACTCCAGCCTGGGCGACAGAGCAAGACTCTGTCTCCAAAACAAAACAAAAAAACAAACAAACAAAAATATAAATAAATTATGCAGTACTTAACCTATTTGTGTCTGGCTTATTTTATGTAGCATAATGCCTTCTAAATTTATCTCTATTGATTCAAATGATGAGATTTACCCACTTTTAAGGCTGAATAGTGTTCCATTGTTTATACTACATTTTTAGAAGAATTAATTTAATATATATTTATCTGTTGGTGGAAAAACTCATGTTATGAAATAATATTTCTATGTTAAAGCATGTTAGTGTAATTTTCAGCCTATAAATATCTTATTAAAAGTAGCTAATTTATACAGAGCACTAATTGTAACACTATGCATGTGTTACTGAATTCAATTTTCACAGTAACTTAATAACATAGGTCTTATTATTATTCTCATTTTACAGAGGAAGAAACAGAGCCACTGAGAGAAAGGACTTGGTCACACTAGCAAAGCCAGTATTAAAACACAAACAGCGGCCGGGAGCTGTGGCTCATGCCTGTAATCCAGCACTTTGAGAGGCCAAGGTGGGCGAATCACGAGGACAGGAGTTCGAGACCAGCCTGACCAACATGGTGAACTCCCATCACTACTAAAAATACAAAAATTAGCTGGGCATGATGGCAGGCACCTGTAGTCCCAGTTACTCAGGAGGCTGAGACAGGAGAGTTGCTGGAACCCAGGAGGTGAAGGTTGCAGTGAGCCGAGATCATGCCACTGCACTCTAGCCTGGTGACAGAGCAAGACTCCGTCAAAAAAAAAAAAAAAAAAAAAACCACAGGCAGCTTGGTATCCAGAGATAACCCTCTTCAGTACAACAATAAAAACTCTCTTCAAGCAGAAAAGACATAATTATTTTTAACACTCATTTTTAATAAACATTTTACAAAAATTAAATAATTGGATGCATTTTTATTGTTCTATGTGTGTATTAGTATATAAAATGGTACATAAAAAAATAAGCCAGAAAACAATAGTTAATATTTGCAATAAATATAACTGGAAAGTAGTTAACTATCATTTGCAGATGATATCTTTGTTTACTGAGATAATAAAAGCAACTGAAAGACTTTTAAAAGTCTATTCAGGGCCGGGCGCGGTGGCTCACGCCTATAATCCCAGCACTTTGGGAGGTGGAAGTGGGTGGATCACCTGAGGTCAAGAGTTTGAGACCAGCCTGGCCAACATGGTGAAACCCCGTCTCTACTAAAAATATTTTTAAAAAAACCAATTAGCCGGGTGTGGTAGTGGGCGCCTGTAATCCCAGTTACTCAGGAGGCTGAGGCAGGAGAATTGCTTGAACCCAGGAGATGGAGATTGCAGTGAGCCAACATGGTCCCACTGCATGCACTCCAGCCTGGGTGACAGAGTGAGACTCCATCTCAAAAAAAAAAAAAAATGTCCATTCAGGTGGGAACAAAAAATTCTAAGATTATCCTCAAGATTATCAGTTTGTTGTACACCTGTAATCTTTCATTTTCTTGCAAAAAAATGTGTGACTGTGGTGGGAAATCACCCATGAAATTAGGTTACTATTGGGTAAACTAAATCAGAGGTGCTTTTATATATTTTATTTTTTTTATTTTACTTTATTTATTTATTTAGAGACGGAGTTTTGCTCTTGTTGCCCAGGCTGGAGTACAATGGTGTGATCTCGGCTCACCGCAACCTCTGTCTCCCAGATTCAAGCGATTCTCCTGCCTCAGCCTCCCTAGTAGCTGGGATTACAGGCAGGTGCCACCCACACCCAACTAATTTTGTATTTTTAGTAGAGGCAGGGTTTCTCCATGCTGGTCAGGCTGGTCTCAAACTCCTGACCTCAGGTGATCTGCCCGCCTCGGCCTCCCAAAGTGCTGGGATTACAGGCATGAGCCACTGTGACCGGCCAGAGGTACTTTTAATAGAAAGAGACACATCATAGAAAAACACTCCTTGACCTGGAAGTAAGTGACTTCCAGCTGGGCCATGTTGTAATCTGCTCATAGTGGCCACATGGAAGGAAATATATTTGTATATTGTCATTGTATCTGCCTCCTACATGTTGCTTCAAGTAGGGAGAACAGGAGGATCCCATGGAAGAGGAAAAAAAGGAGGTCTCATTTGTGTGAGAAATAATCACCTCTAATCTGGAATAGCTTATGATAAATAGAAGAGACCACAACATGACCACATCAATGAGAGAAAAAAGGCAACCTGGTTAAAAGTGCTCACTGGCATTTTTAGGCAGCATTTAGTAAGGCTTAGTGAATGATCAGCCTCTGGAATACCAACAGTCTACCAGCAAGGCTGAACTCATTCTGGTTAAATCAGCATTCTAGTGGCCCAGTTTTACACTATTCATTACAGAAATACTGTGGAGATGAGTGGGTACCCTGCTAGAATTGGCCTTATTATGAAAAAGCATACCTAATTATTTGTTTTCACAATTTAAAAACCTTGAAAATGACCAGGCGCAGTGGCTCATGGCTGTAATCCCAGCATTTTGGGAGGCTGAGGCAGGTGGATCAAGAGGTCAGGAGTTCAAAACCAGCCTGGCCACGATGGTGAAACCCTGTCTCTACTAAAACTACAAAAATTAGCCAGGCACAGTGGCAGGCACCTGTAATCCCAGCTACTCCAGAGGCTGAGGCAGGAGAATTGCTTGAACCTGGGAGGCAGAGGTTACAGTGGGCCAAGATCACATCACTGCACTCCATCCTGGGTGACAGAGTGACTCCATCTCAAAACAAACAAACAAACAAACAAAAAACCTTGAAAACATCATGAATTTATTAAAAATGTACTTCTGCTAATTGTGGAGCATTCTACAATACTGTAATATAATATTGAACTTTAAGCACCTTAATATGAATGTTTCTTGAATGCATGAAGAGTTATGTAGATGGTTTCTTTTAAATTAACATGAGAGAAGTAATAGAGAAAAGATTTGAAGTGGAATAAATAATCTAAAACACATTTTTTTCAAAGGCTTGGCATAATTACTATGCTTTTTGAAATGGCCATATTACTAACCAGAAGCAAAAACAAGATTTTTGTTTTTCTCAGTCAGTATGTTTTTGATCTTTTGAAATTTAAAATCCTGGCTAAAGGATTTGATTTTAGTAAGTGGCTTACTAAAGTATTCAAGGCAATACAAGGATAATTTTTATAGGTAGGAAAATGCATACTATATACACACATTGCTCTTCCCTGTTTGCTTTTTTTTTTTTTTTGACATGGAGTCTTGCTGTGTTCCTGAGGCTGGAGTGGAGTGGCGCTGCAACCTCTGCCTCCTGGGTTCAAGCAATTTTCTTGCCTCAGCCTCCCGAATAGCTGGGATTACAGGCACACACCACCATGCCCGGCTAATTTTTGTATTTTTAGTAGAGATGGGGTTTCACCATATTGGCCAGGGTGGTCTCAAACTCCTGATTTGAGACCGCATCCAGCCCTCTGACTTGCTTTAACATTGAAAGACTGCAGATTGCAAATCTAGTCTCTTGATTTAGAGTAAATTAACAAAAGACTTATTTTTCAGCCAAATAATTGTATAAAATCAATGGGTAGGGTCGAGCGGTGGCTCATGCCTGTAATCCCAGCACTTTGGTTGGCTGAGGCGGGTGAATCACGAGATCAGGAGTTCGAGACCATTCTGGCCAACATGGTGAAACCCTGTCTCTACTAAAACCACAAAAAATTAACTGGGCGTGTGGCAGCATCTGTAATCCCAGCTACTCGGGAGGCTGAGGCAGGAGAATCACTTGAATCCGGAAAGAGGAGTTTGCAGTGAGCCGTGATCATGCCACTGCACTCACTCCAGCCCAGGTGACAGTGTGAGACTCCATCTCAAAAAAAAAAAAAAGGGTAACAGATGCCCAGATGCCATTATCAGCCAAAAAAAATAATATGACTAGATTTAGTAAGTATCCAGCCATGCAAATAACAGCCCAATTAAATTAAGACCCTAATAAGTGCATGTGGAAAGCATACATGTGCAGCATGGTGCACATCCACTCAGCACCTGCTTCTGCCTCTTTAGAGATATACCAATTTTCCCTGAGTGACTCAGAGTGACTACTAGGAACTGAGAATTCTGTGTTCAGAGGGATTACTGGAAACATGGTTAATACACTTTTTTAATATTATAATAAAATTTTATGAATCTTACTCTGCCTCACAGTCTTTTAGTAAAAAATTGTTTATATATAGTACTCAATTTGGATTCATGGAAAATTTCAATATTCCAGGTAAGTCAGACACACTTAAATGTCAACCAAATTTCATAAAACATATTCGAGTCAGATTCAAATATGTTTACTCATATTACCTGGGAATCAAAACTGAGAGAAGAATAACTTATTTGTTAAAGTTAGAGATGTAGGGAAGACCCACTACTTTTGACCAACATCTCCTCCACCCCTAACCACAGGCAATTATCATTCTACTCACTGTTTCTATGAATTTGATTTTTTAATATTCTACACAGAAATGAGATTATGTGATATATTTTTATTCTGTGCTGGCTTATTTTACTTAGCACAGTGTCCTCCAGGTTCATCAATGTTGCAAATAAGACTTCCTTCTTTTTAAGGGCTGAATAGCATTCCATTGTGTAAATATACCACATTGTCTTTATCCATTCATCTGTTGATGGACACTTAGGTTGATTCCATAACTTAGCTATTGTGAGTAATCACTTCCTACTCTTTCATTTGTTTGTATATCTTTTCTTTCCTTCCTTTGTTATTTCTAGAAGTATTTTAATATTAAAATATAAATTACAACTCTCAAATAACTTCATTTCTATGCCTCCTATTGGTTAATATTTTGGCTGACTGAACAAATAAGATTTTTTAAAATTACTTGGAACAAGGCCATTACTTCGTATTTAACATAATTTGAGAAAAAACAGTAATGAAAATCAACACTGATTAGTGAAACAATGATTATCTAGCCCCTGGTAATAATTTTCTCTCCCATTCATCATAAAAGCTGTCTTTGTGTCATCTCTCCTAGTTGTAAGAAAGAGGCTTCTGATCCAATTGGTCAGCATAAAATATTGTAAAATTTAACTTTTTGGTCCCAAAATTAAGCTGCTTTTTAACAGAAAAGTTGATTTTTATATGTATTATTTTATTGTATTATATTTAAATTCTTCAGCAAAACTAAACAACACATACATTTAAAATTCTCTGAAAATTAAAAATGCTTAAGAAACATTTTTATAGAAACTAAATCTAAAATAATTTTAGATTCTTAGAGAACATTTCTCAAATACTTCAAGTTCTCCTGTTCTGACAGTAGCTATATATTTTTCCATATTGCTATAATAGAGCTTTGGCTGTTCTTTGTGGCTAAATCCACCATTTCTATTCTATTTTGTTGTGTAGTATTTACGTTATGCATTTTACATTTTAAAAGTTGTAGTCCATGCAATGCAATTTTAAACAATTGACAAACATTTTTTCATGTAAAATTCTGTGCTTATTCAGCAGTCACTTTATTTTCACTCTTCAAAGGCATTCTAACTGCCTGAAAAGCAAAGTGACAGTTCAAGTGAGTGTGCTGAGCTGGAATGTTGCAGGAAGTCAGGGACCCCAAACGGAGGGACCAGCTGAAGCCATGGAAGAAGAACGTGGATTGTGAAGATTTCATGGACATTTATTAGTTCCCCAAATTAATACTTTTATAATTTCTTATGCCTGTCTTTACTGCAATCTCTAAACATAAATTGTGAAGATTTCATGGACACTTATCACTTCCCCAATCAATACCCTTGTGATTTCCTATGCCTGTCTTTACTTTAATCTCTTAATCCTGTCATCTCCTAAACCAAGGCGGATGTATGTCGCCTCAGGACCCTGTGATAATTGCATTAACTGAACAAACTGTAGAGTATGTGTGTTTGAACAATATGAAATCTGGGCACACACCTTGAAAAAAGAACAAGATAACAGCAATGTTTAGGAAACAAGAGACATAACTTTAAACTCTGACAGCCCCAGTGAGCCGGGCGGAACAGAGCCGTAGGAGCCGGGTGGAACAGAGCCGTAGTTCTCTTCTTTCAAAAGCAAATGGGAGAAACATCGCTGAATTCTTTTTCTCAGCAAGGAACATCCCTGGGAAAGGGAATACACGCCTGGGGGTGGGTCTCTGAACTGGCCCCCTTGGCGTGGCCGTCTTCTATGGTCGAGGCTGTAGGGGTGAAATAGACCCCAGTCTCCCATAGCACTCCCAGGCTTATTAGGAAGAGGAAATTCCTGCCTAATAAATTTTGGTCAGACCGGTTGCTCTCAAAACCCTGTCTCCTGATAAGATGTTATCAATGACAATGGTGCCCAAAACTTCATTAGCAATTTTAATTTCGCCTCGGTCCTGTGGTCCTGTGATCTCTCCCTGTCTCCATTTGCCTTGTGATATTCTATTACCTTCGGAAGTACTTGATGTCTGTGACCCACACCTATTCGCACACTCCCTCCCCTTTTGAAAGTCCCTAATAGAAACTTGCTGGTTTTGCGGCTTGTGGGGCATCACGGAACCTACCGACCTGTGATGTCTCCCCCGGATGCCCAGCTTTAAAATTTCTCTCTTTTGTACTCTGTCCCTTTATTTCTCAAGCCGGCTGTCGCTTAGGGAAAATTGAAACGAACCTACGTGACTATCGGGGCAGGTTCCCCGATACTGGAACTCTCCAGTGTCAGTCTATTCACATTCATACAGGTGATCTTCTGGTGAGAGTGGACTTCGACAGCAATATCACAGCAATGTGGAACAGATGTAATAAAATAAAAGATGAAACACTGCTTTTCAGGAAAATGAGCTAATCTTTCTTACTCTGTGTATGTGATTATGTGATGGTTGTAAGTTTTAAAATAAAGACTAGGCCAGGCGCAGTGGCTCACACCTGTAATCCCAACACTTTGGGAGGCTGCGGTGGGCAGATCACGAGGTCAGGTGTTCGAGACCAGCCTGGCCAACATGGCGAAACCCCATCTCTATTAAAAATACAAAAAAAAATTAGGTCATCGTGGTGGGCGCCTGTAGTCCCAGCTACTTGGGAGGCTGAGGCAGGATAATCGCTTGAACTGGAGAGGTGGAGGTTCTCTCTGTCACCCAGGGTGTAGTGCAGTGGCATAATCTCAACTCTGGGGTTCAAGCCTTCGTCTCCCAGGTTCAAGCGATTCTCTTCCCTCAGTCTCCCATGTAGCTGGAACTATAGGCACGTGCCACTATGCCTGGCTAATTTTTGTATTTTCAGTAGAGACAGGGTTTCACCATGTTGGCCAGGCTAGCTTCAAACTCCTGACCTCAGGTTATCCACCTACCCACTTTGGCCTCCCAAAATACTAGCATTACAGGCGTGAGACACCATGCCTGGCCATTGCGTGCTTTTTTTTTTTTTTTTTTTGAAATGTAGTCTTGCTCTGTCACCCAGGCTGGAGTGCAATGGCACAATCTCGGCTCAGTGCAACCTCCACCTCCCAGGTTCAAGCAATTCTCCTGCCTCAGCCTCTCAAGTAGCTGGGATTACAGGTGCCCGCCACCATGCCTGGCTAATTATTGTATTTTTTAGTAAAGATGGCTTTCACCACGTTGGTCAGGCTGGTCTCGAACTCCTGACCTCAGGAGATCCACCCGCCTCAGCCTCCCAAAGTGCTAGGATTACATGCGTGAGCCACTGTGCCCGGCCTAACATCCCTCTTTTTAAACAACCAGTTATTCTCTTTAGAACAAAAATTTACCATACAAGATCCTTTCTTATATACAAGCTGTTTGTCTATGTAATCTTTTTTGCATAGCTAGGGTGTGACATATTACCAAACCCAATATGAAGTCTTAGCAGACTCAGTGATTATAGACTATCATCCCTGCTATAAAGATAATAATTAAGCAATATACTACAGCAATTGAGATTCTTTGTTTGATACTCCACTCTGGGGGGTGCTACAGTATATAATCCCACTGCAAAAAGTAAAGTGAGTATAACAATTCCCTGCCCAGGGCAGTGGTTCACGCCTGTAATCCCAGCACTTTGGGAGGCCGAGGCAGGCAAATCACCTGAGGTCAGGAGTTCGAGACCAGTCTGACCAACATGGAGAAACCTCGTCTCTACTAAAAATACAAAATTAGCTAGGCATGGTGGCGCATGCCTGTAATCCCAGCTACGCGGGAGGCAAAAGCAAGAGAATTGCTTGAACCTGGGAGGCAGAGTTTGCAGTGAGCTGAGATCGTGCCATTGCACTCCAGCCTGAGCAACAAGAGGGAAACTCCATCTCAAAAAACAAAAACAAAAACAAAAACAAAAAAAAGACAATTCGCACAAGGGTGGTGTAGTAGATAATTTCTATCTAAAATTTTATTCACCAATTTATAGAATTTCCCTTTTGGGGTCTATGAAGTTACAAATGTAATCCCATAAATAATCAAAATTTCCCTGCAAATATGCACCAAAAAGAAGTTATAATAGTTGATGGCAAATCTTGAGAGGAAAGGTAGGAATGACTGAAAGTATTTGGTAAGGTAAGAATGGGACTGAGTAGAAGGAGTAGGCCTCACTTATGTACTCATCTTTTATAATTTTTATATTTCTTCACATTAATATCTGGGACTTTCCTCTAGGCTGTTCAGGGTTGCTCCCTCAGCTTTCCAGGTTTAACTGAGTATGATGTATCCAAGAGTCAATTCCTGTAACTTTCATTGCAAACAGGGTTCAAAGAAGAACAGTGAAAGGTCCTTCCCAGTTTGCGCTTAGGGAGGGAGAGAGAGAGAGGGGAGAGCTTTCACCAATATCAAATCTGGGCTAAATGAAGGTGTTCTTATTTTCTGGGGTTGAGACTCTGCTAAATGTGTTAATTCCTGCTGAAAGTGAGCAAGAGAGGTTACATGCTTAACCAATTCAGAGGTTTCCTGGTCTAATAGAAACCATTGTAAGAAAAGGCCATTCATACAGCATCTTGAAAGGGCTCAGACCTAACTTTGAAGGGGTATTTCTTACTTGCAGTAAAGCCATGGAAAGAAAAGTAACCCAAGAAAGGTGAGTTTTTTGGGGACAGTTTTTTTTTTTTTTTTTTTTGAGACAGAGTTTCACTCTTGTTGCCCAGGCTGGAGTGCCATGGCATGATCTCGGCTCACTGCAACCTCCCTCTGCCTCCTGGGTTCAAGCGATTCTCTTGCCTCAGCCTCCCGAGTAGCTGGGATTGCAGGAATGTGCCACCACACCTGGCTAATTTTGTATTTTTAGTAGAGACAGGGTTTCTCCATGTTGGTCAGGCTGGTCTCGAACTCCCGACCTCAGGCGATCTGCCTGCCTTGGCATCCCAATGTGTTGGGATTATAGGCGTGAGCCACTGCGCCCTGCCTGAGACTGGGCTATCTCTCAAGGTTATGCTTTCCAGCCCTCAGGATGGCCACAGTCAGATAGGTATTAGGCCCATCCGGCCTAATACATGTTTTAACATAGAAATATCTTCCCATAATATACAAGTTTTTCAAAGAATAGATGAATGTATTTAAATTAACTTTTTAAAATGTAGCATAGATTCACAATGGAATACTATTCAGCCTTTAAAGACAAGATGTCTTTTAACAATATTATTTGTCTTCTCTACCTTTCCTGAGTACTGGGATCTTTAAGCACAATGGAGATAATACTATATTCCTAGTGCTTTTGAGACCCACTGTGTGATGGCTGCCTTAAATGAGGTGCCATTGTCACTTTGGAGGTACTTAGGTAGACAAAAGTCGGTAGTAATTTCATTAATTAACACTTTTATTACCGCAGAGGTCTTTTCTGTATGGCATGGAAATGCTTCTACCCAATTTGTGAAAGTATTAATTCCAGGAGGTATTGCATGCCCTCTGTCTTTGGCATGTGGGTAAAGTCTATCTGTCAGTCTTTTCCTGGTTAGCTTCCCATCCTTTGGATTTGAGAAGAAAGAAGTGGCCTGTTGAGATTATCTTTAAGACAGACTTTGCAAGCATTAACCTGTTTGACTGTTTTTAATAGACTCTTTCCTGGCCGGGAGCAGTGGGTCTTGCCTGTAATCCCAGCACTTTGGGAGGCCAAGGCAGGCTGATCACGAGGTCAGGCATTCGAGCCCAGCCTCGCCAACATGGCAAAACCCCGTCTCTACTAAAAATACAAAACAAAAACAAAAACAACAAAAACCAAAAAACTAGCCAGGTGTGGTGGCGGGCGCCTGTAGTCCCAGCTACTTGGGAGGCTGAGGCAGGAGAATCGCTTGAACCTGGGAGGCGGAGGTTGCAGTGAGCCGAGATAGTGCCACTGCACTCCAGCCTGGGCGACAGAGTGAGACTTCATCTCAAAAAAAAAAAAAAAAAGGTATTTCCTGAAAACAATCTCTGAGGACACTGACAAATTTTATTCTTTCCCAAGTAAAATGTTTGATGGATTTTAAAGACTTTTCCATTGGCTGGAGGCTGGCAAGTGGAATTTGCCATTCTCTGACTGTGGCCATCCTGAGGGCTGGAAAGTGTACCCTTGAGAGATGGTCCATTTTATCTTTTCAGGACTACTAAAGCTTAATTTCTTTTATGGAGCCTTCATAGATTAGAGGGGTTTCAAGTGTGTTGATGCCTGGAGGCTTCATTGTAACTGACTAGGCTGCCTGATTAGCTAACTTGTTTCTTTCCACTATTTTATCTGTTCCCTCTGAAGGGGTGGGTTGCCCCTCCACACCTGTGGGTGTTACTTGGAAAAGAAAGAGACACAGAGACAAAGTATAGAGAAAAAAAAGGGGGCCCAGGGGACCAGCGTTCAGCATACAGAGGATCCACGCCGGCACTGGCCTCTGAGTTCCCTTAGCATTTATTGATCATTATTGGGCATTTCCCAGAGAGGGGCATGTGGCAGGATAATAGGGTAATAGTGGAGAGAAGGTCAGAAGGTAAACACGTGAACAAATGTCTCTGCATCATAAACAAGGTAAAGAAAAAAGTGCTGTGCTTGTGATGTGCATATACATAAACATCTCAATGCCTTAAAGAGCAGTATTGCTGCCAGCATGTCCCACCTCCAGCCCTAAGGCGGTTTTCCCCTATCTCAGTAGATGGAATATACAATCGGCTTTACACCGAGACATTCCATTGCCCAGGAACGAGCAGGAGACAGAAGCCTTCCTCTTATCTCAACTGCAAAGAGGCGTTCCTTCCTCTTTTACTAATCCTCCTCAGCACAGACCCTTTACGGGTGTCGGGCTGGGGGACGGTCAGGTCTTTCCCTTCCCACGAGGCCATATTTCAGACTGTCACATGGGGAGAAACCTTGGACAATACCTGGCTTTCCTAGGCAGAAGTCCCTGCAGCCTTCCGCAGTGTTTTGTGTCTCTGGGTACTTAGGGAGTGGTTGAGATTAGGGAGTGGTGATGACTCTTAACAAGCATGCTGCCTTCAAGCATTTGTTTAACGAAACACAACCTGCACAGCCCTTAATCCATTTAACCCTGAGTTGACACAGCACATGTTTCAGGGAGCACAGGGTTGGGGGTAGGGTTACAGATTAACAGCATATCAAGGCAGAAGAATTTTTCTTAGTTACAGAACAAAATGGAGTCTTAGCCTATGTCTACTTCTTTCTACACAGACACAGTAACAATCTGATCTCTCCTTCTTTTCCCCACACCTTCTGATGTCTCTTACATTGCTATTTCTTATGGAAGAAAAACTGAGAAAAATAACCTGTTAATTTTATGATTGTCTCCATTTTCCATTGGCTTTTTGCACTCCTAATATTGGAGTGGTGCAGGGGCTGTTACAGGGTTTGAGGAGGCCCTGCATTTTCAGATTAATAATGGCTTCTAGTCCTTTCCTAGCCTCTGGCTTTAGCGGATATTGTTGCTGGTTAGGAAAAAAGGTGGGATCCTTAAGATGGGTCTGGACTGGCCTAGTAGTTATAGTTTGGCATATTTTTCCTTGAAGTGCCCATACTTTTGGATTAACATTAGCTTCCACCAGGGAAAGACAAAGAGTTTGTTCCAGGGCTTATTATAAAGATGCTGACCCCATGTTAACTAAAATTTCTCTACCTAAAGAGTGGGACTTTCTGGAATGATTAACACACTTGAATAAACCTTTCGGTTTTTGTTTTGTTTTGTTTTGTTTTTTCTGAGACTGTCTTGCTCTGTCACCCAGGCTGGAGTGCAGTGGCATGATCTTGGCTCACTGCAACCTCCATCTCCTGGGTTAAAGCGATTCTACTCCCTCAGCCTCTTAAGTAGCTGAGATTACAGGCACCCATTACCATGCCCACCTAATTTTTGTATTTTCAGTAGAGACAGGGTTTCACTATGTTGGCTAGGCTGGTCTTGAACTTGCGACCTCAGTTGATCTCCCCACCTCAGCCTCCCAAAGTTCTGGGATTACAGGCATAAAACACCATGCCCGGATAGAATAAAATTTTAAAATAGTCTTTTTGTTGCTGTTGTTATCTAAGTAAACAAAGATATCACCTGCAAATCATAATTAGCTACTTTATAATTGTACTTATTACAAATATTAACTAACTTATCTTTTTTCGGCTTAAATTTTTTATGTACCATTTTATACATTCACACACATATAAAAGTGAAAACATATTCAATATTCAATTTTTTGTTAATCTTTAGTAAAAATGAGTGTTAAAAATATTTTTTTTTTGAAGGATTTTTATTGTTGTACTCAAGAATGTTATCTCTGGAGGCAACATTGCCTGTATTTTAATATTAACTCTGCTATTGTGAGCAAGTAATTTCTCTCTGTGCCTCTATTTCTTCCTCTGTAAAATGAGAATAATAATACCTATGTTATTAAGTTACTGTGAGAATTAAATTCATTCACATATAGTGTTATAGTTAGTGCTCAGTAAAGATTAGTTATTAATAAAATATGTACATGCTGAATTAAATTAAGACTTCCTTTTTTGAGATGGAGTTTCACTCTTTTTGCCCAGGCAAATGGAGTGCAATGGCACAATCTCAGCACACTGCAACCTCCGCCTCTGGAGTCAACCGATTCTACTGCCTCATCCTCCTGAGTAGCTGGGATTACAGGTGCCCACCACCATGCCCGGCTAATTTTGTATTTTTAGTAAAGACAGAGCTTTACCATGTTGGCCAGGCTGGTCTCGAACTCCTGACCTCAGGTGATCTGCCTGCCTTGGCCTCCCAAAGTGCTGGATTTACAGGTGTGAGCCACTGCGCCTGGCCTAATACATGTTTTAACAAAGAAATATCTTCCCATAACACACGAGTTTTTCAAAGAGTAGATGAATATATTTAAATTAACTTTTTAAAATGTAGCATAGATTCACAATGGAATGCTATTCAGCTTTTAAAAAGGGTAAATTCCAACATTTAGACAAATAAAGACAAATACTGCATGATCTCATTTATATATAGAACAAAATTTAACTCAAAAGAGTAGAAAGTGGATTAATGGTTACCAGAGGCTATGGGTAGTGAAAAGGAAATAAAAAGTTGTGGATCAAAAAGTACAAAGTTTCTAATAGACAGGGTAAATAGGTTTTGAGATCTGTTGCACAGCAGCATGATCATAGTAAACAATAATGCATTGTATATTTCAAAATAACTAAGAGTAAATTTCAAATGTCTCACCACAAAAAATGATATGTAAGCAAGTTGATAGATATGTTATTTAACTTAATCACTCCATCTATTTATCTATCTATCTATCTATCTATCTATCTATCTATCTATCTATTCCTTTTTGTGGAGAACAGGGTCTCGCTATATTTCCCAGGCAGGTCTCGAACTCCTGGGCTCAAGCTATCCTCCTGCTTCTGCCTCCCTGAGAGCTGGGATTACAGGCGTGAGCCACCATGCCTCGCAATCACTCCATATTATATACATATATTCAAACATCACATTTACCCTATAAATGCATAGAACTCTGATTTGCCAATAAAAAATACTATTAGGCTGGGTGCCGTGGCTCATGCCTGTAACCCTAGCACTTTGGAAGGCTGAGGCGGGTGGATCACCTGAGGTTGGGAGTTCAAGACCAGCCTGACTAACATGGTGAAACCCCATCTCTACTAAAAATACAAAATTAGCTGGGTGTGGTGGCGCATGCCTGTAATCCCAACTACTCGGGAGGCTGAGGCAGGAGAATCGCTTGAACCTGAGAGGCAGAGGTTGCTGTGAGCCAAGATTGCGCCATTGCACTCCAGCTTGGCGACAGAGTGAGACTCCATCTCAAAAAAAAAAAAAAACAAAAACAAAAAACAAAAACAAACTATTAATCCATTTTTACTAAAAAAAAGAAACTTTAAAAAATTGGGCTAGATAATAAAGTGTCTTATCTTAAATTTCCAGAAAATATATACACGTATTTTTTATTTCAGATAGCTTGCACATTTAGTGATGTAGGTAAGTAAACTTTTAATATCATGAATAGTCTGAACCCCACACTCAGGATAAAATATTTTGATTATTTTTTTCTTTTTTTGAGATGGAGTTTTGCTCTTGTTGCCCAGGCTGAAGTGCAATGGCACGATCTTGGCTCACTGCAACCTCTGCCTCCCAGGTTCAAACGATTGTCCTGCCTCAGCCTCCCAAGTAGCTGGGATTACAGGAATGTGCCACCATGCCCGGCTAATTTTGTATTTTTAGTAGAGATGGGTTTTCTCCATGTTGGTCAGGCTGGTCTTGAACTCCCGACCTCAGGTGATCTGCCCCCCTCGGCCTCCCAAAGTGCTAGGATTACAGGCGTGAGCCACTGTGCCCAGCTGGTTTTTCATGTTCAAAATAATATAGTACTTTAAAAGACAGACTCTAAAGCAACTGTTTGGAGTCTCTAAATTGTCTCTAAATATTTAATGATTTCTTTCACTTGTTAAAGGAAAACATTATTTAAATTTTTTTTTTTTTTTTTTTTGAGATGGAGTCTTGCTCTGTCACCCAGGCTGGAGTGCAGTGGCGCAATCTCGGCTCACTGCAAGCTCTGCCTCCCGGGTTCACGCCATTCTCCTGCCTCAGCCTCCCTAGTAGCTGGGACTACAGGTGCCCGCCACCACACCCGGCTAATTTTTTGTATTTTTAGTAGAGGCGGGGTTTCACCATGTTAGCTAGGATGGTCTCGATCTCCCGACCTTGTGATCCACCCGCTTCGGCCTCCCAAAATGCTGGGATTACAGGCGTGAGCCACCGCATCCGGCCATTAAATATGTACTTTTAAACTACATTTAAATTTATCAAATGAACATAAATAATTACTTGGTAATAAGAAATTTATTAAACAAGTAGATGAGGAAATAATTTGCCTCCTTTTCTAATTTTATAACTGACAAACTCTCCGTATTTAAGTGCTTACTTATCTAGAGTTACTGGAGTGCTAAAGAGAAGTACTCAATGAGAAATCTTTCCATAATATTCATATCCATGCTGTATGTGAATATATGGGAATTTGCCAAGGATAATATTAAAAACATTCAAGCCTCAGACTGATGAGGATGAACATGGGTTACAAACCACTGATATGGCCAGTTTGTTTTCAGGCTTAACATTGATCATGATCTAACAGAATAAAAAAATAAGAGTTAATAAATTTCCTGTATACTTACTATGTGCTGGGCATTGTTTGGCCACCTTTATTTGTATCAATTGCTTTAATTTTACCAAAACCCTAGGAGTTATGCAGTATTATCCTCACTCCACAGCTGAAGAGTCAAGCACAGAGAAGTCAAAACAGTCCATAAGTGGCAGAACTGGAATGCAATTAGGAACCACCTGATACCGAGTTTCAACTTTAACCATTATACTCAACACTCTTTTACCCAATGCTTGTTTCCATTCCTGACATAACATTTTGGCTTTGAAATTTCTAATTTAGTAAAAACAAAGAAGAATTTAAAAATCACTCTTTTTTACCGTTAGATAGTATGTAGAACTTGATGTTTTGTTTAAACCACCTATTACTAAGCCTAAACCAAATACTTTGGTAAATGGGTTCTAACAGTGATATACTTCTCACGACTTAAAATTGCCACTAATTTTACTTTTGAAATATATTAGATTTTATATTAGAAGCTAGGATGAGCCTATTATGATACAGAAAATTTGTGGTCTGCAGGAACATCATCATTCATTGCATGGTCTACAGTTTCCGAAAATTTCAGAAACACTAACATAAGAATACTTTTCTGATTGAATAATTTAAGGATATTAAGTCTTCTCAGTGACTAAAATGAAATAGAGTTACTAATCAGACACAATGTGGTTTTAAGTGTTATTTAATGAACACATGTAAAGTTTCTTTTAAACACATGTTAACAACTTATTTCTATTGATTTTTCACTTCTATTATAAAAAATATTAAAATGTCTGTGACTACAAACGTATAAAATTCATTCAAATCTAAACAGTGCTAATCTTAAAAGTTCTGTATACTTAGAATTATAGAAAGCCTATTCTCTATTTATACTTAGAAGATAAAAAAATTGCTTTTCAGCAAACCCAGTGGAGCAATCATAAGCTCACTATCATAAGGTATTATAATATTAATACAATCATCTAGAGAAAACTTTTAGGTATCTGGATGTTCAAGTTGTTTAACTTATATGATTCAGAAACTATGATTTATTTATTTATTTAGGAGATGGAGTCTCACTGTGTCGCCCAGGCAGGAGTGCAATGGCACAATCTCGGCTTACTACAAACTCTGCCTCCTGGGTTCAAGTGGTTCTCCTGCCTCAGCCTCCCATGGTCTCAAACTCTTGACCTCAGGTGATTCAACCACCTTGGCCTCCCAAATTGCTGGGAGTACAAAAGTAAGCCACCATGCCCAGCCCAGAAAGTATACATTTTTATTAAGTATAAAAAATTAAAATATGTCAATTTCTTTTTCTCAGTCTCTAAATACTGTCATTATTTCTAGTTGACATAACAAGAGAATTTAAATGCTGTGGCTGTAGAAACTAGAAATGTGGGCTGGGCGTGGTGGCTCATACCTGTAATCCCAGCACTTTGGGAGGCTGAGGTGGGTGGATCACCTGAGGTCAGGAGTTCGAGACCAGCCTGGCCAATGTGGTGAAACCCCGTCTCTACTAAAGATACAAAAATTAGCCGGGTGTGGTGGCAGGCACCTGTAATCCCAGCTACTCGGAAGGCTGAGGCAGAACACATGTGTTTAAAAGCTACTCGGAAGCTTCCCTGAGGCTTGAACCCGGGAAGCAGAGGTTGCAGTGAGTCGAGAATGCGCCATTGCACTCCAACCTGTGGGACAAGAGTGAGACTTCGTCTCAAAAAAAAAAAGAAACTAGAAATGTGATGGTTGACTCTGGTTTACTTTCTGCCTTTTTATTTTATAGAAACAAAGCAGCATAAGGAAGGGCAGAAATAATACATCTTGATTGCAAACACACCAGTGCCCGTCTAGAGAGAATATATTTCTGAGCATATTAATTTGAAATTCACGGCATCTTTTGTAGAAGTACAGACTAGTATATGACAAACAATAAACACAAATAAAAATTTAAGACTGCAATAGAATTAGAAAAGTATTCTAAAAATAAATTCTGATCAATTATTTTTTTTCCACCAGAATAGTTGTGATGAAATGGTTGTGGCAGTGTGATCTTAAGTAACCAACACTCTCATCATTCTTGGGCTATGGACATTAGACTTTGATGCCTTTTTTCTTTATAAAAATATTTTCTTTTCATAAGTCAGGAATTTAACCTGATCTGCACACCCACTCATTTTCAAAAATAGTTTATTCTAAAAAAGAAATGCGGTTTCTTTTTTTTCTTTTTTTTTTGAGACAGAGTCTTACTCTGTCACCCAGGCTGGAGTGCAGTGGCACGATCTTGGTTCACTGCAACCTCCACCTCCCAGGTTCAAGCAATTCTTCTGCCTCAGCCTCCTGAGAAGTGTGCACCACCACACCTGGCTAATTTTGTATTTTTAGTAGAGCTGGGGTTTCACCATGTTGGCCAGGCTGCTCTTGAACTCCTGACCACAAGTGATCCACCCACCTCGGCCTCCCAAAGTGCTGGGATTATAGGCATGAGCCACCACACCCAGCCTCAGAAATGCGGTTTTAAAACCACATTTTTTTCTAAAAACAGTACAGTAACAAATTAACTCGATAGTCTAGTGTACAGTTAATTAATTAAAAATAAAGATGTGGAGTCATTTATTTTAACCACACAGTTAAGAATAAAACATTTTTCGGGCTAAAAGCTTTCAGAGATGTTAGCTTATAGGATGTGGGGAGACCTGGCATAGAAACATTCACTCTTATGCCCAAAGGGAAAATAATTCTGTGTCTTTCAACCCAATGCTAACTATGAACCAAGAATTGGAAAAATGTAACATGTCATTATACCACAAGGCATTTTATTATTTTTATTATAGATTCAGGTGTACATGTACAGATTTGTAGCATAGGTATACTGCATGTTGTTGAGGTTTGGACACTTAATAATCCCATTGTCCAAGTAGTTTACAGTATTACCTAATGAGTAATGAGTAATTTTTCTGTTGGTTTTTTTTTTTTTTTTCTTTCCTGAGATGGAGTCTTGCTCTGTTGCCCAGGCTGGAGTGAAGTGGCATGATCTTGGCTTACTGCAACCTCTGCCTCCCGGGTACAAGTGATTCTCCTGCCGCAGCCTCCCAAGTAGCTGGGATTACAGGCACCTGCCATCATGCCTGTCTAATTTTTGTATTTTTAGTAGAGACAGGGTTTTGCCATGTTGGCCAAGCTGGTCTCAAACTCCTGATCTCAAGTGATCCGCCTGCCTTGGACTCCCAAAGTGCTGGGATTACAGGTGCGAGCCACTGCACATGGCCCACTTTTTGACTTTTTTTTTTTTTCTTTTTGAGACAGAGTATTGCTCTGTTGCCCAGGCTGGAGGGCAATGGCCTGATCTCGGCTCACTGCAACCTCCACCTCCCGGGTTCAAGCGATTCTCCTGCCTCAGCCTCCCGAGTAGCTGGGACTACAGGCATGTGCCACCACGCCCGGCTAATTTTCTGTACTTTTAGCAGAGACAGGGTTTCACTGTGTTAGCCAGACTGGTCTCGGTCTTTTGACCTCGTGATCTGCCCACCTCAGCCTTCCAAAGTGCTGGGATTACAGGTGTGAGCCACCATGCCCAGCCACTTTTTACTTTTTAATAAGAGCCATTCTAACTGGCGTGAGATGGTATCACATTGCCATTTTGATTTGTATCTCTATTGATTTGGGATGTTGAACAATTTTTTGCATGTTTATTGGCTGCTTTTATGTCTTCCTTTGAGAAGTGTCTATTCATATCATTTGCGTTTTTCTTATTAAATTCCTGATAGATTCTATATATTAACGCTTTGTTGCATGCAGTTTGCAAACATTTTATACTGTAGGTTGTTTTTTTTACTTTGTCAATAGTTTCTTTTACAGTGCAGCTCTGCAGTTGAATTAGGTGCTAATTTTTATTTTTGTTGTATTCACTTCTAAGGTGTTAGTTATAAATGCTTTCTGGAGGCCAGTGTCTAGAAGAGTACTTTCTAAGTGCTCTAGGATTTTTATAGCTTGAAGTTTCACTGTTAAGTCTTTAATCTATCTTGAGCTATTTGGTTTTTTATATATAGTGAGAGGTAGGGGTCTAGTTTTCTTCTTCTGCGTAAGACTAACCAATTTTCCCAGTGCCATTTATTGCACTGGGAGTTATTTTCTCTTTGTTAATTTCTGTTGACTTTGTCAAAAATAAGTTGCTTGTAGAAGTGTAGCTTTGTTTCAGGGCTCTCTCTTCTGTTCAATTGGTCATTATGTATACTTTTGTACCAGAACCATGTTATATTGGCTACTGTAGCTTATAGTATAGTTTAAAGTCAGGTAATATGAGGCATCCAAGTTGATTCACTTTCACATTGCCTTGGGTTTTTGGCTTTTTAATTTCTTATATGAATTTTAGAAGATTTTATCTGAATTCTATGAAAAATGGCATTGATAGTTTGATAGAAACAGCACTTAATCTGTAGGTTGCTTCAAACAGCATGGACATTTAATTATATTGATTCTTCCAATCCATTAGCATAAAATGCTTTTTTATTTATTTGTGTTTAATTTTCTTCAGCACTGTTTTGTAATTTTCTTTGTAGAGATATTTTATCTACTTGATTTAATGTATTCTTAGGTATATTATTTGTTTGTGGCTATTGTAAACAGAACTGTGTTCTTGATTTTGTCCTCAGCTTGAATGTTATTGGTGTACAGAAATGCTACTCATATGTGTATGTTGGTTTTGTATGGTCAGACTTTGCTGAAGTCATTTTTTAGTCTTAGGGGTGTTTTAGTGAAATCTATAAAGTTTTCCAGGTAGAGAATTATTTCACCTGTGAAGATAATTTGACTTCCTTTTTTTTCCTATTTGGATGACTTTTATTTCTTGATCTTGTTGAATTGCTCTGGCTAGGACTTTTAGAACTATGTTGAATAGGAGTATTTAGGGTGCATATTTTTTTCTTATTTTTATTCTTATGGAGAATGCATCCAGATTTTGCCCATTCAGTATGATTTTGGCTGAAGATTTGTCATAGATGACTCTTATTATTTGGAGGTATGTTTCTTCTATGCCTAGTTTATTGATTTTTTTTTTTTTTTGAGATGGAGTCTTACTCTGTCGCCCAGGCTGGAGTGCAGTGGCGTGATCTCGGCTCACTGCAACCTCCGCCTCCCAGGTTCAAGTGATTCTCCTGCCTCAGCCTCCCTAGTAGCTGGGACTACAGGTGCCCACCACCATGCCTGGCTAATTTTTGTATTTTTAGTAGAGACAGGGTTTCACCTTATTGGCCAGGCTGGTCTCGAACTCCTGACCTTGTGATCAGCCCACCTCGGCCTCCCAAAGTGCTGGGATTACAGGCGTGTGAGCCACCATGCCCGGTCTTTTTTTTTTTTTTTTTGAGACGGGGTCTCGCAGTCACCAGGCTGGAGTGCAGTGGCTCACTGCAACTTCAACCTCCCAGGTTCAAGCGAGTCTCCTGCCTCAGCCTCCCAAGTAGCTGAGACTGCAGGCATCCACCACCACGCCCAGCTAATTTTGGTATTTTTTGTAGAGAAGGCGTTTCACCATGTTGGCCAGGATGGTCTCGATCTCTTGACCTCATGATCCACCCGCCTCGGCCTCCCAAAGCGTTGGGATTACAGGCGTGAGCCACTGCACTCAGCCTTGTTGATAATATTTTTATGAATACTGGATTTTCTTGAATGCTTTTTCTGCACTTGTGATAATTATGATTTTTTGCTTATATATTTTTACAAGGTGAATCACACTTATTGACTTGTATATGAACATTTTTGCATTCATAAAATAAAGCTCACATGATAGTGGCAAAATAACTTTTTGATTTGCTTATGAACTCAGCTTGCTAGTTTTTTTTTTTTTTTTTTTTTGAGATGGAGTCTCCCTCTGTCGCCCAGGCTGGAGTGCAGTGGTGTGATCTCGGCTCACTGCAAGCTCCGCCTCCTGGGTTCACGCCATTCTCCTGCCTCAGCCTCCTGAGTAGCTGGGACTAACAGTGCCCCCCACCACGCCCAACTAATTTTTTTGTATTTTTTTAGTAGAGACGGGGTTTCACTGTGTTAGCCATGATGGTCTGGATCTCCCGGCCTCGTGATCCGCCCGCCTCGGCCTCCCAAAGTGCTGGAATTATAGGGGTGAGCCACCGTGCCCTGCCCCTCAGTTTGCTAGTATTTTGTGGAGGATTTTTGTTTTAATGTTCATCAGGAATATTGACCTATAGTTTTTTTGTTGTTGTTCTGTCTTCACTAAATCGTGGTAACAAGATGACAATGGTGTTTTTTTTTTTGTTTTTGTTTGTTTGTTTTTGAGACAGAGTTTCACTCTTGTTGCCCAGGCTGGAGTGCAATGGTGCGAATTCAGCTCACTGCAACCTCTGCCTCCCAGGTTCAAGCGATTCTCCTGCCTCAGCCTCCCGAGTAGCTGGGATTACAAGCATGTGCCCCCACGCCCGGCTAATTTTGTATTTTCAGTAGAGATGGGGTTTCTTCATGTTGGTCAGGCTGGTCTCAAACTCCCGACCTCAGGTGATCTGCCCGCCTCAGCCTCCCAAAGTGCTGGAATTACAAGCGGGCCACCAGGCCTGGCTGACAATGGTTTTATATAAGTTAGGGAGGAATCACACCTTGATTTTTTTGAATACATTCAGTAGGATTAGTACCAGCTCATCTTTTTGCAATATATGTTGTAAAACTCAGCTGAGAATTCATCTGATTTAGGGCTATTTCGGTTGATAAGTTTTTTATTACTAATTCAATTTTATTATACATTTTAGACATTTCTGTTTTGTTCAAGATTTTTGTTTCTTTCTGGTTAAATCTTGGGTCATGTGAATCCAGTAGTTTATTTATTTTCTCTGAAGTTTCTAGTTTGCAAGCGTAGAGGTGTTCATAGACGTATCTGAGGATGTTTGTATTTCTGTGGTATTAATTGTGGTTTTACAACTGTAACGTTTAAATTGATGCTGGATAAAAGTTCTAGAAAAGTCACAGTCCCTCACAATAAATCTCTGAAAAGCATAAGTATAAAAAAATGCACTGCAAGCCAATAAATGCCACATATAACTTAAAAAAATTCACAGCTAATAACATACTATATGAGGTAATGTTGTAAGCTTTTACTCTAAGAGCTAGAATAATACAAAAATGCCCACTTTCTCCAGTCTTACTAAACATAGTACTAAATGTCCAAGACAAACAAATTAGAGAATAAATCAAAGTGTATTATTCTGTTCTCTTGCAGCTAATAAAAACATACGCCAAACTGGAAAATTTATAAAGGAAAGAGGTTTAAAGAACTCACAATTCAACATGGCTGGGGATGGCCTCACAATCATTATGGAAGGTGAAGGAGGAGAAAAGTCATGTCTTACATGGTGATAATGGAGAGCATGTGCAAGTAAATTGCCCTTTATAAGACCATCAGATCTCATGAGGCTTATTCACTATCATGAGAATAGCATGGGAAAACCCACTGCCATGATTCAATTACCTTCCACTGGGTCTTTTCTATGACCTGTGGGGAGTATGGGAGCTACAATTCAAGATGAGATTTGGGTGGAGACACAGCCAAATACCATAAAGGCATCCAGATGGAAAAGAAAAAGTGAAATTATTCCTGTTTGCAGATGACATAATTTTAGGTATAGAAAAGCCTAAGAATTTACTAAGAACTACTAGAACTAATAAATTTGTTAAACTTGCAGAATAAAAAAATCAATGTACAAAAGTCAATAGCAGTTTTATACACTAACAATTATCTCAAATTGAAATGAAAAAAGAAATTCCATCTACAATAGCTGTAGTTAACTATACTTTGAAATAAATTTAGCCAAAAAGTTTCAACACCTTACAATCTAAAAAACATTTAAGTAAAAAACTAAGTAATACACAAATAAAAATACATTACTCATTCATGAATTGGCATATATATATACATGTATATATATGTGTGTGTATATACGTGTGTGTATGTGTGTGTGTATCTATATATAGATGTATTTGAGACGGTGTAGCGCTCTGTCACCCAGGCTGGAGTGCAATGGCATGATCTCGGCTCACTGCAACCTCTGCCTCCTGGGTTCAAGAGATTCTCCTGCATCAGCCTCCTGAATAGCTGGGATTACAAGTGTGCACCACCACGCCTGGCTAACTTTTGTATTTTTAGTAGCGATGGGGTTTCACCATATTGGCCAGGCTGGTCTCAAACACCTGACCTCGTGATCTGCCCCCCTCAGCCTCCCAAAGTGCTCAGATGACAGGCGTGAGCCACCGTGCCCGGCCAGCATTAATATTTTTAAACAGCTGTATTACACAAAATGATCTACAGATATAATGCAACCTCTATCAAAATGCCAGTTGTTGGGAGCAAGCCCCCCAAAGTCTAGCCATAAACTGGCCCCAAAACTGGCCATAAATAAAATCTCTGCAGCAATGTAACGTGTCCATAATGGCTGTAACGCCCAAGCTGGAAGGTTGTGGGTTTATGGGAATGAGGGCAAGGAACACCTGGCCTGCCCAGGGTAGAAAACCGCTTAAAGGCATTCTTAAGACACAAACAGAAGCCTGAGCCATCTGTCTTAAGGGAGTGTTCCTGCTGCAGTTAACTAGCCCAACCTATTCAATTAATTCGTCCTATCCCTTCGTTTCCCATAAGAGATACTTTTGGTTAATTTAATATCTATAGAAACAATGCTAATGACTGGTTTGCTGTTAATAAATATGTGGGTAAATCTCTGTTCAGGGCTCTCAGCTCTGAAGGCTGGGAGACCCGATTCCTCACTTCACACCTCTGTATTTGTGTGTGTGTGTCTTTAATTCCTCTAGCGCCGCTGGGTTAGGGTCTCCCCAACCGAGCTGGTCTCAGTAGCCAGTGAAATACTTAATATAAATTTTGTAAAATATATGTAAAATTCATATGGTACCACAAAAGACCCAGAATAGCCAAAGGAATAAAAAAGTAAAAAAGGCTGAAAGTATCACCCTACCTGACTTTGCAACATACTGAAAAACTATAGTAACCAAAACAGTGTGGTACTTCAATAAAACTGGATACATAGGGCAATGTAGCTGAGGAGTGTGGAAATATATCCATGTATTTACAGCTAATTGATATTAGATATAGGTGACATTTTCTTAGAGAAAGGACAGTATCTTCAATAAATGGTATTGAGAAAACTTTCTTTTTTCCTTTCCTTTTTTTTTTTTTTCTTGAGAGGGAGTTTTGCTCTTGTTGCCCAGGCTGGAGTCCATGGCACGCTCTCAGTTCACTGCAACCTCTGCCTCCACATTGTTCAAGCTTGCCTCAGCCTCCCGAGTAGCTGGGATTACAGGCATGCACCACCATGCCCGACTAATTTTTGTATTATTAGTAGAGATGGGATTTCTCCATGTTGATCAGGCTGGTCTCAAACTTCCAACCTCAGGTGATTTGCCTGCCTCAGCCTCCCAGTGTTGGGATTACAGATGTGAGCCAACGCGTCCACTGAGAAAACTTTCTAGCCACATGCAGAGCAATAAAATGAGACCCTCATCTGATACCATATATAAAAATTAACTCAAAATAAATTAGATATTACAATGTAAGGTCTGACACTCTGAAACCACTACAAAAAAAAACAGAGTGAAAGACCCATAACATTAGTTTGGGCAGTGACTTTTTTGATATAACTTCAAAATCCCAGGGAACCAAAAGAAAAATAGATTAATCAGATTACTTCAAATAAAAAAATTGCTGCAAAGAATCTGAGACAATCAACAGGATCAGACAACTAAAAAATGGAAAAAATGTGCAAATCATACATGTGACAACGTGTTAATATCAAAAATATATAAGAATCTCAAATTACAATACAAAAAGTACTATTAAAAATGAGCAAAAGGCTTATTTTCAAGAATAGACATACATAGTCAAAAGATATATTTAAAAATGCTCAATATCAATTATTATCAGGGAAAGGAAAGCAAAAAAATAAAAAAAGATGAGATATCAACTCACTCCTGTTAGAATGACTCTGATTAAAAAGAAAAAGAAAATGAGTATTAGTAAAGGTGTGAAGAAAATAGAATGCTTGCACACTGTTGGTTTGAATGTAAATGAGGGCAGCCATTATGAAAAACAAAATAAAGATTTCTTTAAAAATTTAAAATCAGGCCAGGTGCGGTGGCTCACGCCTGTAATCCCAGGACTTTGGGAGGCCGAGGCTGGTGGATCACGAGGTCAGGAGTTCGAGACCATCCTGGCTAACACAGTGAAACCTTGTCTCTACTAAAAATACAAAAAATTAGTTGAGTGTGGTGGTGGGTTCCTGTAGTCCCAGCTGCTCAGGAGGCTGAGGCAGGAGAATGGCATGAACCCGGGAGGCGGAGGTTGCAGTGAGCCGAGATCGTGCCACTGCACTCCAGCCTGGGCAACAGAGCAAGACTCTGTTTCAAAAAAATAAAAATAAAAAAAAAATTAAAAAAATAAAAATTTAAAATCAAACTATCATATAATATAGCAATTTCAATAATGGATACATATCTCAAAATAATTAAATCAGAATGAAGAAATATTTGCAGAAATAATCTGCAAGAAATATTTGCAGAATGAAGAAATATTTGTAACATTCTTCACAATTGCCAAAATACAGAATTAACACTTCAACATCTAATGAGTACATAAAGACAACGTGGTATATATACACAATGGAATACTATTCATCTTTAAAATAAAAAAATTTATTATTTTCAATTACATAGATTAACCAAATTATTTCACTTACATGATTCTAGAAAAATTAATCTAACTGAAGTGGAGAATAAAATGGTGACCACCAGATGCCAACATATTTGGAAAAAAGAGGGGTTTAGAAAGATGTCAGTCAAATACATAATTACAGTTGAATAGGAGAAATAAGTTCAAAAAAGCTTTTGTACTGCATGGTGCCTATAGTTCATAACAATGTATTTGTATTTCTGAAAAATGCTAAAACATTGTCATGTGCTCTTACCACAAAAATGTTAACTATGTTAGGTAAAGCATTAATTACCTAGAATGAAGCATTTGACAATGTGTATATACTTCAAAATGTCATGCTTCACAGAATAAATGCACAATTTATATATTACAGACGGTATGAAAGACACTAAAAGGGCAGCTGTTTCTTATGGTCTCATGACTGGCCACTCTGTGAACACAGTAAACAAGTTTGCACGCAAAATAATAGAAAATGTTTTTATCTAAAAGCTGCCATGATCTTCGAATGTTTTCCAGAGAATATGACCAAGAAGTTGGCTAGAGTTAGGTGACTAAATGTAAAAACTGTAGACTGAACTTCACCCACTAAAAAAACATATAAAACTGAGAAAATTTCTTCAAATTGTAATATGAATATGGAAAAGAAATATTACTCCAGGTTTCAAAATCACAGAGGTCATTTTACTATTTTGCAATGTTTAATGTTCACACTTACAAATAGAAGATTTTGCATGGAAACGTACATTGTGGCATAAGTATACTGTAGAAAATTAAATTAAAAGTTTAATTTCTAAGATATATTTTCAAGCAAATTTTATATTTGCCACACTTTGTGTAAGAATTTAATAAGATTATTCTTTAACAAACAGAGAAAAACAACGCTAAATGATTTAATCCTTTCATCTGTGGACACTGTATGCTTTTTGTTTTAATTTAACTGATCAGAAAATTATATTGATATGCAAAATCTCCAGTTAAAACCAATCTTGCAGTGCATTAAAAATACCGATTTCTCATCAAAACCTACAATATACCATGTGAAATGACATGGTGTGAAGAGAACAGTGAGAAAACTGTAGCCACAGCACAGCAAAAAGGAGGGCTGTGATGCATACACAGCTGAAATACACATAATAAGACAAACAAAACTAAGACAATTAGGAAATAAAAGAAGCACAATTTTTTAATTCAGCAAAACTGAGCTTTGCAGCCTGAAAATAAATGTCCTCTCCACATAAAAAATCAATGTTATTTCTCACAATTGATATGTTCCATCTCTGTCTTGAAGTTACAAACTAACTCCAACAGGAATATTTATGGCTTATTATAAAGCATCTGTGACACAGAAAGCACTGTCATGTTTGTTTGCTATATTTATATATAAAAACATCCTCATGATTTAGGAAGCCCCCCTAGTACTCACCTAAATAAATGGGCTCAATCAATATTTACTTATTTTCATTATAAAAACTGAAAGGAACAAAAACTAAAAAAAGTAGGCTTATACAGCGTTCTCCAATTAAAAGAACAAAATAAAATATTCTAACAACATAAAATATAACAATACACTAATTTTGAAATTAAATCTAAATTTTTTGCACTAATTTTATAAAAATTATTTTTATAATCTCTGACCAGCTCACATAGCATCTTATATAAAATAAGAGAAAAAAATGTAAGACACAAGAAAATTATGGGTCTAGCCTAAGAATCAGGCAAGTAAAAACAAAAATTTGCATAGGGAGATTCTGAATTATAAGCCATACAATTTTACAGTAATCAATTCAATACAAAGCAGAGAGTATGGATTTGTTTTCAGCATTTTTAAGTTTTTTTAGTTTTGCAGTCATCATCTAATTAAAATAATTTGATTTGTTTCAATATTGCTCTTCTGAAACTAGGTAGAAACTCATACTCGCAAAGAAGGCATTTATTTACTCCATAATTTTTTTAAACCCAAGCTTTATCTTTAAAGTAATATATGTATATATTTAACTCTGTGTAAATCAAAACTAATAGTCTGTATGTGCTTGCAGGCAGAGAGGCAACATGTTTGAAGAAAAATATATAACAATTTTTTAATGTTAATTCAGGTCTCAGAAATGTATGCATTTTGTTTATATTGTTTTCTTATGACCATAAAAGAGACCCTGTAGCCAACAACAATTTAATGTACATTTGAAAACAACTAAAAGTGGCTGGGTGTGGTGGCTCCCACCTGTAATCCCAGCACTTTGGGAGGCCGAGGGGGCTAATCATGGGGTCAGGAGTTCAAGACAAACCTGGCCAACGTAGTGAAACTGTTTCTACTAAAAATACAAAAATTAGCTGAGTGTGGTGGCATGCGCCTGTAGTCCCAACTACTCAGGAGGCTGAGGCGGAAGAATCACTTGAACCCAGTAGGCGGAGGTTGCAGTGAGCTGAGACCACGCCAATGCACCCAGGCGTGCACAGCCTGGGTGACATAGTGAGACTCGTCTCAAAAAAAAACCGAAAAGTGCAGAATTAGTTTATAATACAAACAAATACAAACAATAAATGCTGCAGGTAATGAATATTTCATTTACCCATATGTAATTATTACATATTATATACCTGTATCAAAATATGCCATATATGCCATATTTACACATACTATGTACCCACAAAAATTAAGAAAAATAAGTTTAAATAAGAAAAAATGAGTAATAATTCAACCTACAGGAATAATATTCTCTGACTTATTTGCAATTTAAAGCCACTGGCAAAACAGATTACTAGAAATGTTAGTCCATTATCTTATTAAATAGTGTATAGTTACCATCATTTACCTATACCCTTGAGTAAGATGGGATAAGTTAAATTTAATGGCATAATAATGCTTCATTGAATGCACGATGGTCTTAACATGTTTTTTAAAAAGCCTGATTAATAAGTTCACACATTATCTAAAAATTTTAAAATGTACTACATTTTATTACATAAAAGTACAATTGGCCAGGCATGGTGACTCGCGCCTGTAATCCCAGCACTTTGGGAGGCCGAGGTGGGTGGATCACCCGAGGTCGGGAGTTTGAGACCAGCCTGACCAACATAGAGAAACCCCATCTCTATTAAAAATACAAAATTAGCCGGGCATGGTGGCACATGCCTGTAATCCCAGCTACTCGGGAGGCTGAGGCAGGAGAATCCCTTGAACCTGGGAGGTGGAGGTTTTGGTGAGCCAAGATCACACCATTGCACTCCAGCCTGGGCAACAAGAGCAAAACTCTGTCTCAAAAAAAAAAAAAGTACAATTAGTAAAATGATATACCAGAAAATTTTTTTTCTCAATATAACACAGGATATTTATCTGAACTCCTACCTCATGCATCAGTCAATATTATAAATTAACCAGAAAGAGCCTCTCCACTTACATTTTCATCTTGCATCTTACATTTTAATGTCCTTAACTCTTTCACTAAAAAAGGTCGTAAATAATGCACACCTAATAACAAAGAATCTCTCATCTTTGATGCAGCAACAATTAAGTCACATGCTTTCACATGTGAATACAATAGGAATGAAGAGCATAACTTGAGTTAAATGACATTATTCACTTTTCATAAAACCTAATTTTTTTCAAAGGATAGTTTGAATGTAGTTACAACTCTGCAAAAATTTTCTACTTCTTATAATGTTATATACAAATAATTCATTTACCAACTTTAGTTTTAGATTCTTTTCTATACTCAGCAATCTGATTTAGTGTAATGCCTGAAGTGTCAGTGCCTTAACTATTTCTACTGTGAATTATCTGATATTTACATAGAATTTTGGATTAAATATTTTTTCATATTTACTGCATCTGCAAAAATAGATTTTAGTATGAACCCTCTAGTGTTTTCTAAGCTGTCGTTTTTGAAAAAATGTTTTCCCAAATTTATTACATTTGCAGGGTTTTTCTCCAATATAAATTTCCTTATGTTGCACAAAGTTTAAGCAACTGCTCCATGGTTTTCCTCTAGCACAAAATGTGTACAATGAGATCTGTGATACAAGTAAAGGTACCACAACCCTCCTTATGTTCATAATGTGTGTCTTCAAAATGAATACTCTTCACTTTAGAGGCTTATATTTTCTGAAAGATTTTTGACAGTAATTGCATGTATAATGCTTTTATTAAGTATGAAATCTCTGATGTTGAGTAAGATGTGAACAGATATTAATGGCTTTTTCACATTCTGTATATTTGAAATTTTTTTCTAGTACAAATGCTTTCCTGTGCAATAAGGTGTGAGCATTGGTTAAAAGTTTTGCCACATTCTTCACACTTGTAGGTTTTTTTTTAGTATGAATTATCTTATGCACAATCAAGTGTGACAACTTTTAAAGGTTTTGTTACATTCTTCACATTTCTAAGATTTCTCACCAGCATAATTTCTTTTATGTTTAGAAAACTTTGAAGTGTTTTCAAAATCACTGTTACATCTTTTAGGTTTGTAGAGTTTCTCACCAGTATGAATTTTCTTATGTCCAGTAAGGTTTGAGGACTGGTTAAAAGCTTTGCCACATTTTTCACATTGGTAGGGTTTCTCTCCAGTATGAATTCTCTTATGTCTAGTAAGGTGTGAGGACTGGTTAAAGGCTTTACCACATTCTTCACATTGGTAGGGTTTCTCTCCAGTATGAATTACCTTATGTGTAGCAAGATGTGAGGAATGGTTAAAGGCTTTGCCACATTCTTCACATGTGTAGGGTTTCTCTCCAGTATGAATTTTCTTATGTTCAGTAAGTTTTGAGGATCGATAGAAAGCTTTGCCACATTCTTCACATTTGTAGGATTTCTCTCCAGTATGAATTCTCTTATGTGTAGTAAGGATTGAGGACTGGTTAAAAGCTTTGCCACATTCTTCACATTTGTAGGGTTTCTCTCCAGTATGAATTCTTTTATGTGTAGTAAGGTTTGAGAACTGGTTAAAGGCTTTCCCACATTCTTCACATTTGTATGGTTTCTCTTCAGTATGAATATTCTTATGTTCAGTAAGGTTTGAGGATTGGTTAGAAGCTTTGCCACATTTTTCACACTGGTAGGGTTTTTCTCCAGTATGAATGCTCTTATGTCTAGTAAGGTGTGAGGACTTGTTAAAAGCTTTGCCACATTCTTCACATTTGTAGGGTTTCTCTCCAGTATGAATTATCTTATGTGTAGTAAGGTGTGAGGACTGCCTAAAGGCTTTGCCACATTCTTCACATCTGTAGGGCTTCTCTCCAGTATGAATTATCTTATGTCTGGTAAGGTGTGAGGACTGGTTAAAGGCTTTGCCACATTCTTCACATTTGTAGGGTTTCTCTCCAGTATGAATTATCTTATGTCTGGTAAGGTGTGAGGACTGGTTGAAAGCTTTGCCACATTCCTTATATTCATTGAGTTTCTCTCTGGTATGAATTATCTTATGTGTAGTAAGGGTTAAGGACTGATTAAAGGCTTTGTCACATTCTTCACGTTTGTAGGGATTCTCTCCAGTATGAATTATTGTATGTGTTGTAATGTGTGACGACAGGTTAAAGGCTTTGCTACATTCTTCACGTTTGTAGAGTTTGTCTCTAGTATAAATTATCTTATGTGTAGTAAGGTTTGTGAACTGGTTACAGGCTTTGCCACATTCTTCACATATGTACGATTTCTCTCCAATATGAATTCTTTTATGTTTAGTAAAGATTGAGGATCCATTAAAGGCTTTTCCACAGTCTTCACATTTGTAGAAATTTACTCTAGTACAAATTATTTTATGTTGAGTTAGGTTTGAAAATATGCAAAATGATTTGCCAAATTCTTTATATTTAAAAGGTTTTTTTCTGGTGTGTCTTACCTTATGTCCATTTAAATTTGAAAATTTATGAAAGATTTTCATATATTTATCACATTGAAATATTTTGCTCTGGGTAGTTGGCAAACATTGGTTAAGTCCATTATAACCTCCTTTTTGCACTTTGCACTCATCCACACTTTTACTTAACTGTAAATTCTCATGTTCACATTTTCCATATCTTCTTGGTGTCACTTTTTGGAAAGAATCTTTTATGTTCTGCTCTGGTGAAAAGTCTTGGGCAAAATGAGAACAAATAACTGAAAGAAATAAAAATAACAAATGACTCCACTTGATAAGACTCTAAATATACTTTACAAATCCAACCTATACAATTATACAAATTACATAAGCAAGATGGTATAGCAAAATACCAAAGGCCCTAATTTTTTTTTTTTTTTTTTCCTGAGACGGAGTTTCAATCTGTCACTTGGGCTGGACTGCGGTAGTGTGATCTCAGCTCACTGCAACTGCTACCTCCCAGGTTCAAGCAACTCTCCTGCCTCAGGCTCCTGAGTAGCTAGGATTACAGGCATGTGCCACCATGCCCAGCTAATATTTGTATTTTTAGTAGAAACGGGGTTTCACCATATTGGCCAGGCTGGTCTCAAATTCCTGACCTCGTGATCTGCCCACCTCAGCCTCCCAAAATGCTGGGATTACAGGCATGAGCCACCGTGCTCGGCCCAAAGGCCCTAATTTCTTAATAGAAATATAAATGTAACAAAAACATATTGACCAAAATACATTTGTGGAAAATTTATAAATTAGTTAAGTGTGTGCAATGACCCAGGTGAGCAGAATGCAAAGAGCCACATAGAAAGAAAATAAAAGCCTGTTACATTTACCCAACATAGATCTTTCTGCTCCCCAATATAACATAATGCCTTTAAAAGTAAATTGCCAACTTCAATTGTTTTGCATACAGCAGCACACCTGAGAGTGGATAATTTATAAAGAAAAAAGGTTGGCAGGGTGCGGTGGCTCATGCCTGTAATCACAGCACTTTGGGAGGCCAAGGCAGGCAAATCAACTGAGGTCAGGAGTTTGAGACCAGCCTGGCCAACATGGTGAAACCCTGTCTCTACTTAAAATACAAAATTAGCCAGGCATGGTGGTGCATGCCTGTAATCCCAGCTACTCGGGAGGCTGAGGCAGGAGAATCACTTGAATCTGGGAGACGGAGGTTGCAGTGAGCCAAGATTGTGCCACTGCAGTCCAGCCTAGGTGACAGAGTGAGACTATGTCTCAAAAACAAAAAAAAAAAAAGAAAAAGGAGAAAGTTTATTTGGTACACAGTTTGGCAGACTGTACAAGAAGTGCATGCCAGCATCGACTTCTGGTGAGGGTCTCACAAAGCTTACAATCATGGTGAAACACAAAGAGTAATTATGTGAGTACTATGTGAACATATCACATGGTAAGGGACAGAGCAAGTGTGAAATAAAGAAGCCAGGTAATTTTAATGAGCCAGCTCTCATTTAAATTAACAGAGGGTAAAGTTTTTGATTACCAAGAGGGTGATGCCAAGCTATTCATGAGAAATTTGCCCCCATGACTAGAACACCTCCCACCAGGTTCTGCATCCAACATTGAGGACTGCGTTGCAGCATGATGTTTGGGGAACGTGAACATTCAGGTTGTACCATAGATAAACTAGGCTTAACAGACATGTAAACTACTTTCCAGTTAAAAGCAAGAAAACACACAATATTCTTATTTGCACCTGGTGTATTCTGTTAGGATACACAACAAGTCTTATTAAATTTAGGAATACCAGGTGGGTGCTGTGGCTCATGCCTATAATTTCAACACTTTGGGAGACCAAGATGGGAGGATCTCTTGGGGCCAGAAGTTTGAGACCAGCCTAGGCAACACAGTAAGACTCCATCCCTACAAATAATCAAAAAATTAGCCAGGCATGGTAGTGCATCTCTGTAGTTCCAGCTAGTCAGGAGGCTGAGGTGAAAGGAGCACTTGAGCCCTGAAGGTTGAAGCTGCAGTCACTGCACTCCAGCCTGGGTAACAGAAAGAGATCCTGTCTCAAAACAACAACAACAACAAATAAATGTAAGAAAATAAAAATTGTACACTAAATGTTTTCTGACTAAGACTGAATGAAACTGGAAATTGAGAACACAAGTAAAACTGGCACATCCAAATATACATGAAAATAACACATACTCTTCAACATAGTTTTACTCAAGGGTCAAAAAATTTAATTTTTCAAAGATGTCTGTATAACTTACAGTGATGAATATATTCAATATAATTTCTATAAAAATCCCCAAAGTGGCCGGGCGCGGTGGCTCAAGCCTGTAATCCCAGCACTTTGGGAGGCCGAGGCGGGCGTATCACGAGGTCAGGAGATCAAGACCATCCTGGCTAACACAGGGAAACCCCGTCTCTACTAAAAATACAAAAAAATTAGCCGGGCGTGGTGGCGGGCACCTGTAGTCCCAGCTACTCGGGAGGCTGAGGCAGGAGAATGGCATGAACCTGGGAGGCGGAGCTTGCACTGAGCCGAGATCGTGCCACTGCAGTCCAGCCTGGGCGAGAGAGCAAGACTCCGTCTCAAAAAAAAAAAAAAAAAAAAAATCCCCAAAGCACAAGTTTTACAAGAATATTGTTTAAAATTTTAAAATTTGATTATAAACTATAGCCAAACATTCATGAAAAAGAACAAAGAGGTGTTATACTTCTGGATTTTAAAAAATATTAATAGCTACAAAAACAAGGTGGTACTGACACAAAGACAGATAAACAGATTAAAAAACAGAATAGAGAGCCCAGAAATAAACTCCTCAGTATATGATTAAATAATCTTTTACAACTTTGCCATGAGCACACAATAGAGAAAAGACAATCTCTTCAAAAAATCATGTTGAAAACTGGACACCAACACTGATAAAGCTGGATTCTTTGAATCATATACAAAAAATATTTTAAATAAAATACTTAAACATATAAAAATAACTAATAAATCTCTTAGAAAAAAAGAGAAATGACATGACGTTGTTCTTGGCACCATTTTTTTTGATATGATATTAAATGCATGAGCATCAAAGAAAAAAGTAACTACACTACAAAATTTCCACACATCAAAAAAACATTAGAGTGACAATGCCTTGTAGAAAATAAGTAAAAATATTTGCAAATTATATGTGATAAGAGTTAATTGCAGGGAGCTAAAGGCCCGAGGGTCATGACCAACTCAGCATTCCACTGAAGGCTATATGATCAAACAGCAAACTGTTTATCATGAATGCAGGATGTGGGCAAACTCACATCTGTGCCTGCCACCAGAAGGTTTGCTGAGGGCAGTCACTCCCTGGTGCCATGCTCCTTGAGGTTATCTACTGGAACATCTGGAGACTACTGTTCAAAGAATGCAGTTGTGCAAGCCTGCACTAAGTAAAGCAGCTGACAGACAACCACCCCCTTCTCCCTATCTCCTTTACTCAATAAATACAAAGGGGTATAGAAGTTCACGGCCCTTATTCACTAGAAGCAAGGAGCCCCCTGACCCCTTCTTCCAAATACACTCTTTTGTCTTTGTCTTTATTCCCACGTTCATCCTCCTTTGTTCAGTCCAGCAAGGTCCATGGCAGTTAATATTGAGAATACATAAACAAGTCTTAAATGGACTAATAATTGAAATAAATTTTAATCAAAAAAATACAAAAATTGGAAAAAGCATTTGAAAAGACACAGGAAATTACATTTGTAGAGAAATGCATAAAAATCACGTGAAAAAAACTCAAACCAATTAGAATGGCCACTATCAATTTTTTTAAAACATTAAATCTGTTGATGATGAACTGAAAATCCGTTATTTGTTGGTGTAAAACAAGGATGCAGCCACTGTTTTAAAATGTTATGTTACCCAAATAATTAAAAATGGAATCATTAAATACAATAATTCAATTTGTAAATCTATATGCAAACTCTGCAATGCAGGAGCTAGAAGGCATATTTGAATATTGATGTTTACTGTACCAGTATTCACAAAAGCCAAAAGACTGAAGCAACCCTTTCTTGACTTACAAATACATCAAAAAATGTAACATATAAATACAATGGAATATTATTCAGCCTTAAAAAAAATCTTGTCACACTTTAAGACAAACTTCGAGAATTATTATGTCACCTGAAATAAGCCATTAACAAAATGATGGCTACTATATGATCCCATTTATAGGAGATATCTTAAGTAGTCACGCTCATAAAAACAGAAAGTAGAAGGATATTTGTCAAGGGCTGGAGAGAGGGTAAAATGTTCAGCTGTTACTTAATGGATATTGAGTTTTAGTTTTATTAGATGTAAAATTTTTAAAAGTCTTTTGTATAACAATGTGAATACACTTAACATGTCTGAAAAGTACAGCTTTTTTCTGAGACAGGGTCTCATTCTATCACGTAAGGTGGAGTGCAGTGGCACAATTATGGCTAAGTGTAGCCTCAAATTCCCAGACTCAAGTAATCCTCCTCCCTCAATCTTTCAAAGAGCTGGGACCACAGGTGCACACAACCATGCCTGGGTTAAAAAAAAAAAAAAAAAATTTGTAGAGTGGGAATCTCCATATGTTGCCCAGGCTGGTCTCAAACTTTTGGGATCAAGCAATCCTCCTGCCTTAAGATCCTCAAATTCTGGGATTACACATGTAAGCCACAACCTGGAATGTACACTTCAATAGATTTAAGACAATACATTTTATGTTATGTGTTTTTACAATTAATTTTTCTCAAAAAAAATCTGAAAAAATTCAGAATCATAAATCTTTTCATAAATTACCTTCAAATCACAAAAGTGTTTGTCTCACACAGAGCAAATACATATTCATCATTAAACACATGGTGAAAATAAAACTATTTCCATGACTACTCAATTAGACAAGATAAAACAATCACTGAAAATCAACTAAGAAAAAAAAAAAAGGGCCGGGCACCGTGGCTCACGCCTGTAATCTCAGCACTTTGGGAGGCCGAGGTGAGCGGATCACCTGAGGTCGGAAGTTCTAGACCAGCCTGGTCAACATTGTGAAACCCCATCTCTACTAAAAATACAAAAAATATCTGGGTGTGGTGACATGAGCCTGTAATCCCAGCTACTCGGTGGCTGAGGCTGGAGAACTGCTTGAACCCGGGAGGCAGAGGTTGCAGTTAGCCAAGATTGCGCCATTGCACTCCAGCCTGGGCGACAGAGTGAGACTCCAACTCAAAAAAAAAAAAAAAAAAAACCAAAAAACAACTAAGAAAGAATATATACAAGATAAGTCATAACCAAAGCTGTGGTTATATTTACAGATAAACACACAAACATATATACTCTCATTGTGATAGACATATGGCTGATGTACCTCTTAAGTAAACCCCACATTGACTTAAAGTGTACAAACAGAATTGCAAATTGTCTAAAATTATAATACATATGTAAAACTAAAAAGCACAAGAAACTAATATTAAGAAACCTACACTAAAAAAAACACACTAGTAGGCCAGGCACGGTGGCTCACACCTGTAATCCCAGCACTTAGGGAGACTGAGGTGGACAAATCACCTGAGGTCAGAAGTACGAGACCAGCCTGGCCAACATGGGGAAACCCCATCTCTACTAAAAGTACTAAAATTAGCCAGGCCTGGTGGCATGTGCCTGTAGTCCCAGCTACTCGGGAGGCTGAAGTGGTAGGTTCCCTTGAACATGGGAGCTGAAATCACTCCACTGCACTTCAGCCTGGGCAGCAAAGTGAGACCGCATCTCTAAAAAAAAAAAAAAACACCCAGGCGCAGTGGCTCACACCTGTAATCCCAGCACTTTGGGAGGCTGAGGTAGGTGGATCATCTGAGGTTGAAGGTTCGAGACCAGCCTGACCAAAATGGAGAAACCCTATCTCTACTAATAAAAGAAGTACAAAATTAACCAGGCATGGTGGCACATGCCTGTAATCTCTGCTACTCGGGAGGCTGAGGCAGGAGAATTGCTTGAACCTGGGAGGTGGAGGTTGCAGTGAGCCAAGACTGCGCCATTGCACTCCAGCCTGTGCAATAAGAGCAAAACTCCATCTCAAAAAAAAAAAAAAAAAAAAGATCTGGTTTGCAAAACGATGTACCATTAAGAATTTATCTAAATAGGCTGGGTGCGGTAGCTCACACATGTAATCCCAGCACTTTGGGTGGCTGAGGCAGGCGGATCACCTGAAGTTGGGAGTTCAAGGCCAGCCTGACCAACATGGTGAAACCCCGTCTCTACTAAAAATACAAAATTAGCTGGGCGTTTTGGCACATGGCTGTAATCCCAGCTACTCGGGAGGCTGAGGCAGCAGAATTGCTTGAACTCTGGAGGCGGAGGTTGCAGTGAGCCGAGATTGCGCCATTGTACTTTAGTCTGGCGACAGAGTGAGACTCCGTCTCAAAAAAAAAAAAAAAAGAAAACAAAAAAAATTCTATTCTCTAGATAACCGTAATATGTGACTGTGTTCACAGAAGGCAAGTATTTTGAATAACTGGCATGTGCTCCATGGCAGTAAAATTTCAAAGGAAATGGAGTGTAATCATAAACAGAAGATTCTAATGAGAAACTTTTAATCAATAAGCATTTAAAAGAAACTAGAGACAATTTTATTTATTTATTTATTTTTTTGAGATGGAGTCTTGCTCTGTCACCCAGGCTGGAGTGCAGTGGCACAATCTCGGCTCACTGCAACCTCTGCCTCCCGGGTTTATACCATTCTCTTGCCTCAGTCTCCTGAATAGCTGGGACTACAGGCGCCTGCCACCATGCCTGGCTAATTTTTTTTGTATTTTTAGTAGAGACGGGGTTCCACCATATTAGCCAGGATGGTCTCGATCTCCTGACCTCGTGATCCGCCCACCTTGGCCTCCCAGAGTGCTGGGATTACAGGCGTGAGCCACTGCGCCCGGCCTGAGGTTGGAAAATTGCTTCAGGCCAGGATTTCAAAACCAGCCTGGGTTATGTAGCAAGACCCAATCTCCAAATTAAGTGCCTTTAGGAGAGCTTTGAGATCCAGGGAGGGAGTTGTGAAACTGCTAATGCCCAATTCTGAGGAGTGCTATTTTTCAGAAGGCAGGTGGCAAACTACAGAACTCCTATTTTTCAGTATAGACCAGGAAATGGACTACCCAACTTGGTCTTACTGATCATTCTGAAGTTACTCTGTAATCATCTCAGACTTTTCCCAGCCACAGTCTGTAAGAGGTCACATACCCTTTCAGAGGCCTTGAGAAAGACACCCACTTATAGCCATGCAGCAGGCCTGCAGACCTTGGCCTTTACTGTGGTCCTTAAAGCAGTTCAATGACTCAGTTTCACATCCAAGCCACAGTTCACAGCCAGTTCTGCCTATGTTAAAGCCCACTGAGTGACCTGGAAAAATCCTCTCTGATACACAGTGAATGCCATACTCATCCACATTCTTAAATAAGACTCAACCATATACACAGACCTGACTGCAGAAACCTGCCCTAGTGACTGCCCTACAGGTCAAAGTCTTGAGAGAAATTCAGTCTGTCTAAAAAATAAAGTGTTAATTACAACTACCCAAGCCCCTTGTAACAAGCCAACTAAAGGTGGACCCTAGTGCAGACCCAGCAGCCTTATGACCAAGCTACATGCCCTCTCCACTACAAACCCAGAGGGCATCTCATTACCCTGGGGGCCCAACAAAAGACCTTTACCTTCTGAAAACAGGTTATAAAAACTTGAAGAGGCTTTTGCTTTTTCAAGTTTAAAGACACTAATACAAAACTATATTTTGCCTATCGTCAATGCTTCTCTTTTAACAAAGAACTGTTAGTACGTGGCAAAAGAATTAGTCAAAAAAATGAAAAAGAGCCATTGAAATTGAAGACAAGTAAGTAAAAAGTTGCTGGTTGCAGATCATATGATAGTATATGTGTATATATATAGAGTACATTAAATCCTGTCTAAACTAATAAATACACTCAGTAAATTAGCAAAATATTAAATTAACGTACAAGTTATGGTTCCATACACTTAAGCTATCGGATAAAATATTTAAAAAATCTTATTTACAGCCAGGCATGGTGGCTCATGCCTGTAATCCCAGCACTTTGGGAGGCTGAGGCAGGTGGATCATCTGAGGTCAAAAGTTCAAGACCAGCCTGGCCAACATACTGAAACCCCATCTATACTAAAAATACAAAAATTAGCCAGGCATGGTGGCATGTGCCTATAGTCCCAGCTACTTGGGAGGCTGAGGCAGGATAATTGCTTGAACCCGGGAGGCAGAGGTTGCAGTGAGCTGAGATCGCACCAGTGCACTCCAGCCTGGGCAACAGAGCAAGACTCTGTCTCAAAAAAAAATCTTATTTACAATAGCATTAAAATAAATTTCTGAGAAGAAATTTAATCAAAGAGGTAGAAAATCTTTACAATGAAAGATATATCAATGAGAGAAATTAGAAAAGACACAAATAAATTTAAAAATATTTCATGTCTATAGATTGAAAGAATAAATACTGTTAAAGTGCCATGTTGGCCAGGCACGGTGGCTCACACCTGTAATCCCAGCACTTTGGGAGGCTGAGGCAGGCAGATCATGAGGTCAAGAGATGGAGACCATCCTGGCCAACATGGTGAAACTCTGTCTCTACTAAAAATACAAAAATTAGCTGGGCCTGGTGGTGAGCACCTGTAGTTCCAGCTACTCGGAGGGACTGAGGCAGGATAATAGCTTGAACCTGGAAGGGAGAGGTTGCAGTGAGCCGAGATTGTGCCACTGCACTTCAGCCTGGAGAAAGAGCGAGACTTTGTCTCAAAAAAAAAAAAAAAAAGTGCCATGTTATTCAAAATGATCTATAGATTCAATAAACTCCCTATCAAAATTCCAGTGGCGTTTTACAGTAATGAAAAATACAAGTCTAAAATTTATATATGAAACTACAATAAACTTTGAATAGTGAAAGCAATCTTGAGAAAAAAAAAACAAAGCTGAACGACATCATACTTTATAATTTCAAACTATATTTGAAGACTATAGTAATACAAACAGGACGGAATATGCAGAAAAATGAACAAAAACCTACTACTCTCACACATTTCAGAGATGATGCAAAAAAAGAACTTAACAGAGTTTCTCAAAATTATGCAGATATTTGTGTGTCCCCCAAAACAATGGAAAAGCAGTCAGATTGTGCAGTCTCTTACATGCCATTAAGGAGACTTTGGCTCTCACTCTAAACTAGAAGGCAGATCACTGAAGGGAAAGCAGAGTCCTGAGAGAACTTAAAAGCGTAAGACAGAAGACTCCCTTATGTGAGAGCAAAATAGAAAAACTCGGCAGGGTGGCGTGGCTCATGCCTGTAATCGCAGCACTTTCAGAGGCCAAGGCGGGCAGATCACCTGAGGTTAGGAGTTCGAGACCAGCCTGGCCAACACATAGTGAAACCGTCTCTACTAAAAAAATACAAAAATTAGCTGGGCGTGGTGGCACACACCTGTAGTCCCAGTTACTTGGGAAGGTGAGACAGGAGAATCGCTTGAACCTGGAGATGGAGGTTGCAGTGAGCCCAGACTGTTCCACTGCACTCCAGCTTGGGTGACAGAGCGAGACTCCATCTCTCAAAAGAAAAAGAAAAGAAAAGAAAAACTCTGGCTTTCCAGAAACTATTTCCTTTGGAATACAGCTTCCCAAATCACATTATAAGCACTAGCTTTTTCTTTGACCTTTGAACCGCTCATCTATGTTATCTGTTGTATTCACTTTCACTCTCACCTACCTGGGGGTTCGGCCACCATCCTATGTCTCTTTCTAGTCCAAGGCTCTTTTTCTTGTTCCAGACAGGTGATCAGGTCTGGCTTAGAGACAACAATACCTGTTTTATTGAAAGTAAATAACATAAATCTTGCTTATATTGTCTAATCACCAACATGGCAATGTAGTCAGTAAAGAGGGTGAAATAGAATATTCTTGTAAATCAATCCCAAAATACTGATTTATAAAAGAAATTTCTAAATATTTAGAAAATATTTTAAATTTGTTAGTTCTTAATTTCACTGTCCAGTACAACAAATCAAAAACTGGTGTTGGCAATTAGATTTTAAAGTGTGAGCAATAATATTTTATGCCACTAAACTTCTGGAATTACCACTCTAATCTAGAGTGAAGAATACAGATTAGCTCAGGAATGCAGAAAGTTCAGGTCAAGATGAAATATCTTGAAGAAATTCTTTTCTACAGAGATGAATCCCTAAGATTTTTATAAAAACAGGGATCTGAAACTCACTTATGCAAAGCATAAATTACCTAAAAACATTATACAAAAAAGAAAAATGAAACCTTTAGGGTATAATAGGAATTGTATATTGAAGTTATCCTCACCCAAGAAGACCAGGTTTCTGTAGTTCTCTAACATCACATTCCTATATAAATTCTGCTGTATAGTGTCCAGGCATTGCCACTCCTCCAGAGAGAATTCTATGGCCACATCCCTAAATTTCAATGGTTCCTGAAAAACACACACACACACACACACACACACACACACACACACACATACACATTTAGAAAGTGGCCATGGAAAGAATTTATAATTTGATTCAAGGTAAAATAAGAAAGTGAAGAGAACTGGTTCTGACTTACAGAAATGACTGAAATTATCCAATAAAATAATTTTTTTTTACACAGGAACATTCTCTAATTTGTTCTCCAACCATGAGAAAAGAAAGCGGCATTAGATCTATAACACCAGACCTAAATAAATCGCCAGTCAGAATGGCGATTATCAAAAATTCAAGAAACAATACATGCTGGTGAGGCTGAGGAGAAATATGAATGCTTTTACACTGTTGGTGGGAATGTAAATTAGTTCAACCATTGTGGAAGACAGTGTGGTGATTCCTCAAGGATCTAGGAACAGAAATACCATTTGACCCAGTGATACCATTTCTGAGTATATACTCACAAGAATATAAATAATTCTACTATAAAGACACATATGTGGCTGGGCGCAGTGGCTCAACCTGTAATCCCAGCACTTTGGGAGGCTGAGGCGGGTGGATCATGAGGTCAGGAGATCGAGACCATCCTGGCTAACCTGGTGAAACCCCGTCTCTACTAAAAATACAAAAAATTAGCCGGGCATAGTGGTGGGCACCTGTAGTCCCAACTACTCGGGAGGCTGAGGCAGGAGAATGGCGTGAACCCAGGAGGCGGAGCTTGCAGTGAGCTGAGATGATGCCACTGCACTCCAGCCTGGGCGACAGAGCGACACTCTGTCCCCCCCCAAAAAAAGACACATATGTTATTGAATCACTATTTACAATAGCAAAGATATGGAACCAACCTAAATACCCATCAATGATAGAATGGATAAAGAAAATGTGGTACATACACAACCATGGAATACTATGCAGCCATAAAAAAGAATGAGATCATGTATTTTGCAGGGACCATGGATGCAGCTGAAAGCTATTATCCTCAGAAAACTAACACAGGAAGAGAAAACCAAACACTGCATGTTGTCACTCATTAGTAAGAGTTGAACAATGAGCACACATAAACACAAGGAGACAAACCATACACACCAGGGCCAGTCGGGGGGTGGAGGGACAAGGAGAGAAAGAGCATTAGGATAAATAGCTAATGCATGCCAGGTTTAAAACCTAGGTGATGGGTTGATAGGTGCAGCAAACCACCATGACACATGTACACATATGTCACAAACCTACACGTTCTGCACTTGTATCCCGAAACTTAAAGTAAAATAGAAAAAAAATATATTATAAAAGACTATACTTAGAAATAAATGATAATAAAAATTATACAAAAATTTATTTTTTTTTTGAGTTGGAGTCTCGCTCTGTCACCCAAGCTGGAGTGCCATGGCGTGATCTCGGGTCACTGCAACCTCTGTCTCGTGGGTTCACGCAATTCTCCGACCTCAGCCTCCAGAGTAGCTGGGATTACAGATGTCCGCCACCATGCCTGGCTAATGTTTGTATTTTTAGTAGAGATGGGCTTTCACCATGTTGGCCAGGCTGGTCTCTTTGCCAGGCTGGTCTCAAACTCCTCACCTCGTGATCCACTTACCTGAGCCTCCCAAAATGCTGGGATTACAGGTGTGAGCCACCTCACCTGGCTTATAAAAGTTATACAAGCTAAAAGTGCTGAGATACAACAAAAAGAAAAAGAAAAAAAATTATGTTACAGGGCACTGTGCCTGGGATAACACATTATGTAATTTAATTTTTATAACACCCTGGGAGCTGGTACTGTTTAATAATTCCCAGGATTTAGATGAAAAGCCCGGCATTTTTATTTCTTCTGTTTCTCTGTCATTGATTTTTTTTAAAAAGTATACACAATAAAAGCTAAATATAGACAGAGAGGAATGCGGAAAGAATTTAATGTATTTTAGAGAAATTTATATTGTGTCTGTTTACTTGTTTGTGACTTGTAGAGCAACTACTAGATCTGTAAGAATAGAAAACAAGTTGCTAGATAGAATGCAAGCACTAGTTTTAATAAAAAATTATAACCATAAAATATATACTTTATTTTTTTAATTTATCTGCTTTTGTGTTTCAGGAATTGTAAGCACCAGCCCTAGCAGCAGAATTCACCAGCCAAAACTCCGATCTCCAAAAATCAGTTCTATGAGGCAAGACTTAAGGGTAGGGCCAGACCTAAATAAGGCCTCCAAAAAGGTGAACCTGAGCAGAACTGGGGCAGGGAGTGGACTCTATATAGAATTCTGTTCTCTATGCCACTGGGGTATTTCCAGTTCTGTTTTTCCTAAACTTACCTTAAAAAAAAAATCCTTAAATCTCAGAGTTTGTATAATTTTAATCTTTCTTAGACCCTGCCCTATCAATTATATGACATATACTAATAAGCAATTTGAACACATTTATAAAGGTTTTCTAGGGTAATTTTATTAAAAGATAAATATGTATTAACAAGGTAAAAGAAATGGAAATAGAAATAATTCTTCTGTCTATAAATATCCCTTCAGGTGATGACATCGCAAGTCACAATTATATAAAGTGGCACAAATAGAGCCCAAATTTTCTGCACACATCTATTTATTGTACCAATTATATGATGCTTAATTTAACCATTTATCCAGTTGCTAGACTAAAAGCTCCTGGATTGTAGGGACCATGACTGCTTCATCTATTTTTCTAATGGCCATATGAAAAGAAAACAATTTAGCCGGGCGTGGTGGCAAATGTCTGTAATTACACCTACTCGGGAGGCTGTCTCGGCCTCCCAAAGTGCTGGAATTACACGCGCGAGCCACCGCGCCAGGCCTTTTGACTCTCATACATTTTTAATGAAAGGAAAGAGAGACTAGGAACGCCACGGACCAAAGCTCTTCCCATTCATGAACCCGGCACCCGTCAGGATTCGCCCCTGACGACCCTCCCGTGGTCCCTGCACAATCTGGGAGAGACCCGGCGCTGCGGATGCAGAGCCACCCAGAGAGAGCTGCAGGCCAGGACACAGTCACTGAGCAGGGAGGAGAAAGGACGCCCGGGGGGCTGGCTGTCAGCGCAGCCGCCATCTTATGGTCCAAGTGGACTGAGGCCGCCTGGGCGAGGAGAACTCAGGGCGCAAATTGTGGAGCTGACTGCGGCGAGGTCTGAGTCCCGCCACAGCCCCTTCCCCTCTCTCGGGATGTCGGACCCGACATTCTCACCATTTCTAGGTTTCCGGGGGACCTGGCGTCTTAGCTATGGATCGCCAATACCTGCAGGTCAGAGGGCCATAGAGGCTGGGCCTCTAGAAGAAGAGGACACAGAGCAGTGAAGACGAGACCCGGAGCTCGGGCTGAAGGGAGAGACAAAGGCCCCGCCAATCCCGGAAGCCGCCCTGTCTGCTCCAGCTGCATGCCTGATTGGACAGTTCCCAGCCCAGCGTCCCTGACTGGATAATGATTAAAACCCCACCCCTCAGGTCCTGAGTGACAGAAGATGTGATCAGATGCTCTGCTGAATGAAGACTAACAACGTAAGTTGCAGCGTTTTCAGACAGGGCTCCCTCCCTGAGCTAAGCCAGGCCCACCCAACAGGGTATTTGCCTTTAACCTTCTGTGTAAGGTCACATGCATTTCAAATAATATACTAGATAGCTATTCAAAAATAAAAATATATATAATAACAATTATTTTAATATTTCATCTTTTATGACCGTCCTGGTTTCTGGCAGCCATAGTCCCTACCCCGACAGCCCCCAGCCCAGATGGCATTCAAATCTTCCTGGATGGGCTTGATGCCCGTCACTCACGCGCTCTTTAGCACTGCGTTGTGTTGGTTACTCAGGCCTGGGAGAGGTGGTGGGGATTGTAGATCCAGGGTAGGAGCCACCTTACACCCAGAGTTCACCTGGCCACATGCCAGCAAGGAAGCCCATGAAGCACAGCCCTAGACACTGAGCCTCGGCACCTCCAGCTGCACTTTCTATTTATATATCAGGTTTTTTTTTTTTTTTTTTTGAGACGGAGTCTCGCTCTGTTGCCCAGGATGGAGTGCAGTGGCACAATCTCAGATCACAACAACCTCTGCCTCCTGGGTTCAAGTGATTCTCTTGCCTCAGCCTCCCGAGGAGCTGGGACTACAGGTGCGTGCCACCATGCCCGGCTAATTTTTGCATTTTTAGTAGAGACGGGGTTTCACTATGTTGGCCAGGCTGGTCTTGAACTCCTGACCTCGTGATTGGCCCGCCTCAGCCTCCCAAAGTGCTGGGGTTACAGGTGTGAGCCACCGCGCCCGGCCTATATATCAGGTTTTTAAAACCATAAATAAACAGACACAAAAGCAGCCACTTTGATTGAGGAGAAAGTGGGAGCCTAAAGCAGCTGACCCTCAAACAGCTTTGCCAAGCCTCAGGCCAGGCCAGGCCATCTCAACACTCCAAGGCTACATGATAGTTACAGAGGACGACAGTTCCCATAGGTACTTGTCAAGCACTGTGCTAGCTTCTCAGTCACAGAGTCTCAGAATTTCTCCTTGCCAATACCCTGTGAGGGGAGGCCCTAACTCACTAGAGCACAGGAGGTTCCTAAGCTCTTCCCAGGAAATGGTTAACAAAGTGTGGAGCTGGGGGAAAACCCAGTCAGAACAAATGACTTCCCAGGGTCTCCCTTGACTCCATCCCTATCTCCACATGGGGCCAGGAGGTGAAGCGAGCCCCCTAACCCCCTCCATTCCACTCTCTCCTCAAAGTGGCTGTTTTTGTGTTTTCTTATTTATGGGATTTCAAAAGCCTGATTTTTAATTTTGAGTAGTTTCAGGCTTGTATGGGTGTATTTGTATAGGCTTTATTAGAAGGAAGAGGGCTTAAGACAATAACATTTTTAAAATGTCTCAGTGGGGAATAGACTTCCATGTCATGAACGATGATGTTGACCTCCTTCTGCTGTCTTTGTGCAAAGTATAAATAGTGTGAGAATTGGCATGTGCTGGGTTGTGGTTTCAGTGTGGGAGGGCAGTTCCTTAAGATGGAAACCAAATCTCACCGAGCTGTAGCAGCCACACTCACCTTTTATCACATTCCCCACCATAGTCTTTCACTTTTCTTCTGTGCTTAAATTTCTTTCAACATATATATATATATATATATATTTTTTTTTTTTTAAGACAGAGTCTTGCTGTGTTGCCCAGGCTGGAGTGCAATGGTGCAGTCTCGGCTCACTGCAACCTCTGCCTCCCAGGTTCAAGCAATCCTCCTGCCTCAGCCTCCTGAATAATTGGGATTACAGATGCGTGCCACCACACTGGGCTAATTTTTGTATGTTTAGCAGAGTTGGGGTTTTACCATTTTGGGCAGGCTGGTCTCGAACTCCTGACCTCAGGTGATCTGCCCACCTCGGCCTCCCAAAATGCAGGGATTACAGGTGTAAGCTACCATGCCTGGCAAACATACATATTATTTTGATTATATATATAGGGTGTATAAATATATGTGTGTATATATATATACACATATATATAGGGTATATATGTGTATATATATATATGTTTGTGTGTGTGTATATATATATGTGTGTGTGTGTGTACACATAGAGGTCTCACTCTGTCATCCAGGCTGAAGTGTAGTGGCTGAATGATGGGTCACTGCAGCCTCAACCTCCAGTGATCCTTCTACCTCAGCCTCTTGAGTAGGTGAGACTATAGGCAGGCAACTCCACACAAGGCCAATTTTCTAAATTTTTGTAGAGACTGAGTCTCACTACATTGCCCAGACTGGTCTTGAACCCCTGGGCTTAAGCAATCATTCCACCATGGCTTTCCAAAGTGTTTGGATTACAGGTGTTAGCCATCAAACCCAGCCAACAATATTTTTTAAAGAACTGTTACAACCAAATTATGAGCTATGGTTGTGCCACTGCATTCCAGCCAGAGCACCAGAGTGAGACCTTGTCTCCAAAAACAAAACAAAACAGAAACACTTATGACCAAATTAAAATTCTAAGGTTGTGTCCTCTGTGTCCCCTTCTTGCCCTGTAAACTATCACTGTTAAATATAATGCGTATTGAGAAAACTGTTAGATATTATTAAGAAATTCCTATATATCTTCTAAGTGAGATAAGGTATTCTAATGTGACCCAATATTTCCTCACCCCTACCTCCAGGGTCTAAACTAGCAAATCAAATCAGGACATCCACAAAGGACAGTTGGCCATGTTCAATTAGAAAATTAAATATCCCCGTTAGTGAGAGTAATCCAGTGATTTTAAAAAAGAGAAGTCAAACTGAAATGCAGCGTAGTCACGGCACAATTACCCTGGAATAGCCACTTCACATGGAATGACTGAGGAGCCTTTCTAAGATGAACAAATTTGGGTAACGTAATTCTTTCTTTCTTTCTTTCTTTTTTTTTTTTTTTGAGATGGAGTCTTGCTCTATCGCCCAGGCTGGAGTGCAGTGGCATAATTTGGGCTCACTGCAACCTCTGCCTCCCGGGTGCAAGCAGTTCTCCTGCCTCAGCCTCCTGAGTAGCTGGGATTATAGGCGTGCGCCACCACGCCCGGTTAATTTTTGTATTTTTAGTAGAGACGGGGTTTCACCATGTTGGTCAGGCTGGTCTCGAACTCCTGACCTCGTGATCAGCCCACCTCAGCCTCCCAAAGTGCCGGGATTACAGGCGTGAGCCACCGTGCCCGGCCCGGTAACATAATTCTTTCTAAACCATTCTCAGCCTGGGCTGCCTCCCACCCCCGCCTTATTTCTAATGGCCATCCCACGATGTGGTCAGCAGTGTGGTACGGCATGGTGAGAGAGGCGCTCAGGGATGGGATGAAGGTCTTTCCCGCATTATGAAAATGATTAAAAAATGTCCAAATGGGCAGGGCGCGGTGGCTCATGCCCGTAATCCCAGCACTTTGGGAGGCTGAGGCGGGCGGAACACCTGGGATCTGGAGTTCGAGAGCAGCCTGGCCAACATGGTGAAACCTCATCTCTACTAAAAATACAAAAAGTACCAGGGCGTGGTGGCATGCGCCTGTAATCCCAGCTACTCGGGAGGCTGAGGCAAGAAAATCATTTGAACCTGGGAGGAGGAGGTTGCAGTGAGCCAAGATCGCACCACTGCACTTGAGCCAGGGCAATGAGGCGGAAACTCGGTCTCAAAAAAAAAAAAAAAAGTCCAAATGTTCTTTCTTACCCTTAAGTAGCAAATAAGATGCATTATACAAGACCCAGGTAAGGAAAAGAGCAAGTGCATTTCATGTCTCAGCTTACTTCTTAATTAGCTGTAATTCCCTGTGCATGTTACCTTACCTTTACTGTCCGTAAAATGCCCTACTGCCGAGCGGGGCGGGTGGTGGTATGGAGAGAATGCTGTTGCTTTATCCAATCAGTGGCGCTGGCGCGGGAACCGCCCAATCAGGGGCGCAGCCGGAGAGGAGGGCGTGGCTTCCGACATTCCGCGGGGTCTTTACCTCTTGCTCCCGCCAGAGTTTGGGATCGGTCTCTTCTGTTCCGCGTCCTCCACCTCGGTAGCCCCTGGTGACTCTGTTACAGCCTCTGTTGACCTATGATCTGCAGGGAGACGCACAGCCAGGACATCCTGGAACCTGGGAAAGGGTGAGTGTGCGGGGTTGGGCAACCCGAGAAGGGAGACCAGGCTGTGAAACCAGCAGAACCGGCCTCTCCACAGTCCGCTCCCAGGTCGCCGACCTGAGTCCCCGCTGGCGCAGCTCCGTCCCAGGCCCCTCTGGCCGCAAGATGGCGGCTGGGCCCACAGCCGGGACCCCAGCGTCCAGCCCCGTCCGTGCGGGGCCATGTCTGGAGCCCCCTGAGCAAGCTCTTCACGCAGCCTCGAGTATTTCCCAGGTTGTTCAGGGATGCCAGGCGGGTCATAAGAGCAGAATCCCGACCCGGTGTTTGCGTGGGAAGAACTGCAGCCTATGGGGCTCCCAGTGTCTTTTGTTAAACATTTTGTTTGAGACGGAGTCTTGCTCTGTCGCCCAGGCTGAAGTGCAGTGCGTGTTCACGGCAACCTCCGCCTCTCAGGCTCTGGTGATTCTCGTGCCTCCGCCTCCCGAGAAGCTGGGATTACAGACCTGCGCCACCCCGCCTGGCTAATTTTTGTATTTCTAGTAGAGAAGTGGTTTCGCCATGGCGGAAGGTGGTCTGGAACTCCTGGCCTCAAGTGATCCGCCAGCCTTGGCCCCCCAAAGTGCTAAGATTAGGAGGAGCATGAGGCACTGCGCCAAGCCTCTTCTCTTAAAAATTAAAGGGAGTCAGGGTTAAAACCTTAAAGAGGTTATTTGAGCCGTGATTGGTGAAATGGAAAGCACCCCAGCCATAGTATGTGGCCCACCTGAGAGACATAAAGCAAAGGGTTTTATAAAGGGCGTGTGAGAAGGCAAACCAAATGCAAGAATTGGTTAGTTATGTAGTCACCTTATTTGTATGATACAGGTGGAAATTTCCTGGTTATGTAATCAGAGGTTAATTGCAGGTTTATGATTGGTTAATAAAATTCAATTATGATTGAATTTTGTTTCCGCCTAAAATAGTAATCTATAAGATATAAACTCGAGTTAGGTTTTACATTTTTTACTTATGAACACAGGGCACTAGGGCCACTTCAGTCTAATTTCCTGCTTTTTAATTACTTTAACACTCCACAGGAGGAGGACTGGTTTTCCTCTGTGACTTCCTAATGTATGGCAAGCAGGACTTCTTCTAATCCACTACCCTCTTCCCCTAGCTTAACTAAGGCTTGCAGTAAAATTATAAATTTCCACTTTCTTTCCTACATTCTCAAATGTAGGAAATGAGGACAAACAACTTCCTCTCTCCAATTTACAACACTATCAACTATTTGTCCTTTATTGTGCATTTCAGACACAGTGTTTTAATTGTTAATCATGTTTTTACACTGCAGTGGATGGCAGGTTTTTAAAGATTTGTTTTCTGTTTGTAAACACTTTTTTATTGGAGACAGAGTTTCATTCTTGTTGCCCATGCTGGAGTGCAATGGCATGATCTCAGCTCACTGAAGCCTCTGCCTCCCAGGTTCAAGTGATTCTCCTGCCTCAGCCTCCCAAGTAGCTGGGATTATAGGCTGCCACCACTGTGCCCTGCTAATTTTTATATTTTGAGTAGAGAGTGGGTTTTGTCTTGTTGGCCAGGCTGGTCTTGAACTCCTGACCTCAGATGATTTATCTGCCTCAGCCTCCCAAGTCTGTAAACATTTTATGTGAGAAAAAAAGTAGAAAATAATCCTCTGGAACTCCACTTTAAAAAAAAAAAAAAGTCTGCGCCTCTCCTTCTTTTATCTTCCCTAGGCACACACACCCTACTAGTACGTCTTTGGGTTGAAGTTTTGCTTTGGAGAAATTACAGGGCCTTTACAGCAGCCCTTTAGTCTATTCTTGGTAATGAGTTTCAGAACTGTCTGGGGTAACTCAACATACCCACAGTGGCCATATATCTTGGAGTGTCTAATGAGTATCATCCCCTGAGTCGTCTCTTAGAGGACAGTCTGAGGAGTAAGAGTGTAGCCTCTCAGAAGAGCAACTGGATGGCCTAGGCCTGTGGAAAATTTCCTTGTATACTATTTGTCTAAAAAGCTAACCTCTTAGAAAATTAAAATTATTTTTTCACAAAGGAATGCTTCTACACTGTTGGTGGGAGTGTAAATTAGTTCAACCATTATGGAAGACATGGTGGGAACTCCCTGAAGACCTCAAGACAGGAATACCATTTGACCCAGCAATCCATTATTGGGTATTTACCCAAAGCAATATGAATTATTCTATTATAAAGGCACATGCATGCGTATGTGCACCGCAGCACACTTCACGATAGCAAAGACATGGAATCAACCTAAATGCCTATCAGTGATAGACTGGATAAAGAAAATGTACATATAAAACATGGAGTACTGTGCATCTATAAAAAAAAAATGAGATTATGTCCATTGCAGGAATGTGGATGGAACTGTAAGCCATTATTCTTAGCAAACTAACACAGGAATAGAAAACTAAATACCACATGTTCTCATTATAAGTGGGAGTTAAATAATGGGAACACATAGACCCGTAGAGGGGAACAACACATACTAGAGCCTATTGGAGGAGGGAGAGGATCAGGAAAAATAACTTATGGGTAGTAGGCTTAATACCTGGGCGATGAAGTAATCTGCACAACAAACCCCCATGACACAAATTTACCTATGTAAAAAATTTGCAATGTACCCTTGAACTTAAAAGTTAAAAAAATAATTTGTTAGCTTTTCCAATAATTCCCTGATAGCGTTTTGATTTTATGTGTGTATGACACCTATTATGTATCAGAAATTTGGATTACACAGATGAACAGGGTTCAACATACCTGCCGTGTAGGAGTTTATAGTTCATTAGCATGGATAGGTGTGTAAAAAATTAATTTATTCTGGAGAATAATACTTGTACATAAAAAGACATAAGGTATTGAGCTGTAAGGTAATAGTGATCAATTCTGCCACTAACATAGCAGTGGGAATATCAAGGAGGGCTTTATAGAAGAGGTGACATTTGAGTGGGTGTCATTGTTTAATAGAACTTTTTGTATTAATGTTGCTGGTGCGGATATTTCATTTCCTTTTTTTTTTTTTTTTTTTTTTTTTTTGAGATGGAGTCTCACTCTCTTTCCCAGGCTAGAGTGCAGTGGTGCAGTCTCGGCTCACTACAACCTCCACTTCCCAGGTTCGAGTGATTCTCCCACCGCAGCCTCCCGAGTAGCTGGGATTATAGGCATGAGCCACTGTGCCCAGCCTCAGAGTGTACCCTTTAAAAAATTATTTTAAAAAAATTTTACCTCTTGACTCTGAAATATATTGAGAGGTCTTCCCCCAATGAGATAAAAATGAACAAGTGTGTAAACAGTTAAGAAGTTTTTTCTCAAGCTAATTTTTTTTTTTTTTTTTTGAGACAGAGTCTTGCTCTGTCACCCAGGCTGGAGGGCAGTGGCGCGATCTCCCCGGCTCACTGCAAGCTCCGCCTCCCGGGTTCACGCCATTCTCCTGCCTCAGCCTTCCGAGTAGCTGGGACTACAGGCGCCCACCACCTTGCCCGGCTAATTTTTTGTATATTTAGTAGAGACAGGGTTTCACCGTGTTAGCCAGGATGGTCTTGATCTCCTGACCTCGTGATCCGCCCGCCTCGGCCTCCCAAAGTGCTGGGATTACAGGCCTGAGCCACCGTGCCGGGCCAAATGTTTTTTTTTTTTTTTTTGAGACGGAGTTTCGCTCTTGTTACCCAGGCTGGAGTGCAGTGTCGTTATCTTGGCTCACTACAATCTTCACCTCCTGGGTTCAACCAATTCTCCTACCTCAGCGTCCTGAGTAGCTGGGATTACAAGCGCCTGCTATCAAGGCCGGCTAATTTTTTGAATTTTTGTTTGTTTGCTTGTTTGTTTTGTGTTTTTGGGAGACAGAGTCTTGCTCTGTCATCCAGGCTGGAGTGCGGTGGCATGATCTCGGCTCACTGAAACCTCTGCCTCCCGGTTTCAAACCATTCTCCTGCCTCAGCCTCCTGAGTAGACAGGTGCGTGCCACCACGCCCAGCTAATTGTATTTTTAGTAGAGACGGGGTTTCGCCATGTTGCCCAGGCTGTTCTCGAACTCCTGACCTCAGATTATCCACCTGCCTCGCCCTCCCAAAGATTTGGGGTTACAGGCGTGAACCACGGTGCCCGGCCTAATTTTTTGTATTTTTAGTACATACGGGGTTTCATTATGTTTGCCAGGCTGGTCTCTAACTCATGACCTCAGGTGGTCCATCTGCCTGGGGCTCTCAAAGTGCAGGGATTACAGGTGTGAGCCACCACGCCTGGCCTCTCAACCTGATTTTTATTTTTAGTAGACACATTGGTGATGAGACAATCAAATGTTCGCATTGATGAGAAAAGGCAGAAATGATTTTTGTTCTCTGGATTCTTGAAATAAAATTTTTTCCAAAGGACAAGAAGATCCCATCCCAGTAAGGCAATGCAAGAACCTGCAAGCAAAATGTACCTGAGACTCACAGTGGGGTACAAAGTGTCTCCTGGGAAGGTGGTCACTGAGTAATTTAATAGGCAGGATGGGGATGACAGAATATTTTGAGTGATATTATGGTCTGACTTGACAGTGGAGTCAGACATGTTTGTGTCCCAATCAGCACTGCCACTTCCTGAGTTTGTCACCTTGGAAAGATTTTTTCACTTATTTCAATTTCAGTTTTTTTTTTTTTTTTTTTTTTTGAGACAGAGTCTAGCTCTGTCGCCCAGGCTGGAGTGCAGTGGTACAATCTTGGCTCACCACAACCTCCGCCTCCCGGGTTCAAGCTGTTCTCCTGCCTCAGCCTCCTGAGTAGCTGGGATTACAGGCGCCCACCAGCATGCCCAGCTAATTTTTCTATTTTTAGTAGAGACGGGGTTTCACTGTGTTGGCCAGGCTGGTCTGGAACTCCTGACCTTATGATCTGCCCACCTCAGCTTCCCAAAGTGCTGGGATTACAAGCGTGAGCCACCACGCCCGGCCCAATTTCAGTTTTTTAATAACTGTAAATTACATTTCATCAGAAGAGCTTAAAAGATGTTTAAAAAGTCAACGACTATGAAAGGTATATTTCAGAAAAATCTAGTGATATGTTTTATTTGTTAAATTTATGTTTTTTTCTGGTTGTGTAATTTTAAATAGAACCCCAGGGGTTTGCTTTGAGAATGCTACCAGAGAAGAGAAATAGGAAAAATCTTTTTTCCATTATGGCTATACAAAGTGAATACATTTCCACAAGCAAATATGATAGATTAATTGGTGCATTGTATATATTTCTCAAACCATCAGCTCCTCTTTTTTTCAAAGTCTAGAATTTGTAATGGTGGATATCTCTGTTCTGTATTCTGTTGTCTAGATATCCAAGTTTAATGCAAAATTTTATGACATGGAACTTGACACTTTCTAGAAATGTTCACATATGGTTGTTTATTAAATTATCTCTCATGGAAATATTTAAATGACATGTTTATTGTCTGAAAAGGACAGATATTTAAGCTTTTTTTTTTTTTTTTTCTTTTTTTTTGAGAAAGAGTCTCGTTCTTTTGCCCAGGCTGGAGTGCAGTGGTACAATCTTGGCTCACTACAACCTTCACCTCGCAGGTTCAAGCGATTCTCCTGCCTCAGCCTCCCTAGTAGCTGGGATTACAGGTACACACCACCAGGCCCATCTAATTTTTCTATATTTAGTAGAGACAGGGTTTCACCATGTTGGCCAGGCTGTTCTCAAACTCCTGACCTCAGCCAATCCGCCCGCCTCAACCTCTTAAAGTGATGGGATTACAGGTGTGAGCCATTGTGCTTGGCCCCCTTTAACTATTTTATGTGACTCTTCTCTCTTACCTGAACGTTGCCCAAAAAGAGATTGTGACATATATTTGGGCCCAGCACCAAGGTGATGTAACTCTCCTCTTCAGCCGGGCCTTGCCCACAGAAGAGAGAATGACTTATTCCTGAGTTTAGCATACAGGTGATTTGATTCTTCTGCTGACTCCCAGAAGTCACTGTAACATATATCTGGGTCCATCGCTGAGACTGTGTGACTCTCTTCTCCCTGGGACCTGTCCACAGTGGGGATTGTGACGTATTGCTTGGCCAAGCACCTACGTGATATGACTCTTTTCTTAGGCCTGGGCCCTACCCACTGGAGTGATTTTGACACATTGCTGGGCCTAGCTCAAAGGTTATATGTGACTTCACACTTCTTCCTGGGCCCTACCCATGAGGGGCACTGTGTCTTAACTCTGAGACACTTAATTAGGTGATGTGACTCTCTTTTTTCGAGATGGAGTCTGGCTCTGTCACCCAGGCTGGAGTGCAGTGGCAAAATCTTGGCTCACTGCAACCTCCACCTCCTGGGTTCAAGTGATTCAACTGCCTCAGCCTCATGAGTAGCTGGGATTATAGGCATGCACCGCCACAGTCAGCTACTTTTTGTATTTTTAGTAGAGATGAGGTTTCACCATGTTGGCCAGGCTGGTCTCAAATTCCTGACCTCAAGTGATCCACCTGCCTTGACCTCCCAAAGTGCTGGGATTACAGGCGTGAGCCACGATGCCCGGCCGATGTGTCTCTTTTGTTTGGACCCTCTTCTTGGGATATTGTGACATATTGCTGGGCCCAAAATCTAGGTGATGTGACTCTACTCTTTGGTCTCTGCCCAAAAAGGGATTGTGGCATATCACTGGGTCAAGAACCTAGATGAGGTGACTCTCCTCTCCAGTCTGGGACCTGCACACATTGTGTGTTGAGACATATCACTGGGTCTAACACCTAGGTAATGCAACTCTCCTGCAAGGGCCCCGCCCACAGAAGTATTATGAAATATCTTTATATTAATCACCTAGGTGATGTGACACTCCTCTTCTGCCTGGGAACTGCAAAAAAAGTATTATTACATATCACTGGGCCCAGCACCTAGGTGATGTGACTCTTTGCTCATGCATGTGCTCTGCGAACTGGGGTGTTTGTTACATATAGTTGGGCCTAAACCCTAGGTCATGTGATTCTTTCATTTTCCTGAGCCATACTCATAGCATTTTGACATATTTTTGGGCCCATAATTTAGATGATGTGACTCTCTTGCATGGGCCCTCCCCATAAAGGTAGTGTGACATATTGTTGAGCCCAGTACATAGGTGATGTGACTCATAGTTCTCTATGGATTGGGCTTTGCCCAAGCAGGGATTGTGATGTGTTGCTGGACTCACCACCTACGTGTTATGACTCTCCTCTTCTGCCTAAGCCCTGCATGCATTGTGTGTTGTGACATATGCCTGGATTCAGCACTTAGGTGATATAACTTTATGACATGGGAACTGCCCATGGAAGTATTATGACATGTCTCCTTTCCATCACCTAGGTGATGTGACCCTTTTATTTTTCTTGTTTCTGGCATATTTTGGGTATAGTGACGTATCATTGAGTTCAACACCCATGAAATGGAGGCTTCTGCCTGAGCCCAGCACATAAGTGGCCTTGTGAAATATCTTTGCATTCATTATCTAGGAGATTTAACCCCCCTTTTCTGCCTGCACCCTGACCACTGGGAAGATTGTGACGAATCACCGGTCTCAGCAATCAGGTGATCTGTTTTTCCTGCCTGGTCCTTGCCCACAGATCATTGTAACATATCACTGGGCCTAGCATCTAGGTGATGTGACTCTGCTGACTGTATTCTGCTTTCAGGGGGAGATTTTAACATAACCCTAATCAAGCACCCATGTGTGGGTGTGGCACTTCTGCCTTATCCCTGCCCTCAGAGAAGATTGTGACATATCACTGCCCCAAAATGCGGTGATGTGAGTCTACTGGTCAATACCTATTCACTGGTGGGATTGTGATGCATATCTTATCCAAACTTACAGGTGCAATAATGACTCTCATACCTCTAAACAACCAGTAGCAGATGTAGTTTCTCTCATAGCCAGGGTCAGGAAAATGAGTAATATCCTGGGCCTCCTCTTTGTATGAAGGTCATAAAGAATTAACACTCTCTCACATACTGTGTAAAGTTGTCAAGAGGTACAGAGAATGTCCTAACAGAACTCAGCACACAGGGGAGGTTGTGACACTCATATGCATAGCCTGCCAACAGTAAAGACTGTCATCCTTCCACATAAACACAGCTCAATGTTGAGGTTCTGAATCTCATACCCAGCTGCAGTCAAAAGTTGGAAAATTGAATGTCATGTTAATTCAGTCCATAGAGAGGTCAGTGTCTCTGAGACCAAGATTCAGCACATGTGTGAGTTGTTGACTTCAATAAATGACACAATTTGCAGGAGGGATTGAGGTTTTCATACACAAATCCAGACCGTCATTGAGACTCATTCATGTACTTATACCCAACATACAGAGGGTATTATGTCTCATACCTAGAACTAAAAAAATGTGTGAAATTGTTAATCTCATACCTCCACCTTCATCCAGATGTGATTGTGACATACAATTCTGCCCAGCAACTGAGTGATTTGACTCTCCTGCCTGGGCCCAGTGTACAGACGGGGTTGTGCCATATTGCTCAACCCAGCATTTAGGTGATGTGAATCTATTCTTTTGTCCTAGTGCTTTTCACAGAGGGCATTGGACATATCACTGTGAGTAATGTCCAGGTGATGTGACTTTTCTCTACTTCCTGGGCTTTTCCCAAGAAGGGACTGTAATATATTTCTGGGTCCAGAACCTAGGTGATGTGACTCTCCTCTCCTGCCTGGTTTCTGTTGTACATTGTGTTATTGACATGTGGCTGGTTCTAATACCTTGGTGATGTAAATCTCCTGTATGGGCCCTGCCCACAGAGGTGTTATATCTTTTCATTCATCACCTAGGTGATGTAATTCTGTTTTTCTGCCTGGGCCCTGCCGGAAGGGAGGATTGTGGCATATCACTAGGCCCAGCACCTAGGTGATATGATTCACCTGTTTTTCCTGTGCCTCACATATTTTGAGTACTGTAAAATATTACTAGACCTACCACCTATGGGATTGCGTGCTCCTGCCTGGGCTCTGCCCACAGGGACATTGTGACATATATCTGCATCCATGAAGTAAAAGATGTGACATTTCTTGCCTGCACCCTGCCCTGCACAGGAAAGATTGTGACATATCCCTGGAACCAGACACAAGGTGATTTGGCTCTTCTGCCTCTGTCTTGCCCCCAGGGAGCATTGTGACAGTGCTGTGACTCTGTTGCCTGTGCTGTGCTTTCAGGAGAGAATTGTAACATATCCCTGGCTGAGCACCTAGGTGATGTGACACTGCTGCTTGGTTCCTTCCCTCAGGGAAGATATCCTTGGCTGAAATCCCAGGTGATGTGACTCTCCTCCTAACTCCCTACCTACAGGTTAAATGGTGACATATACTATAGTCAGCTTATAAGTGCGATGATTACTCTCATAACTCAAGTCAGCTATTAGAAGAAATAGTGTCTCTCATAGCTTGCCTTAGATGAGTCACATCCTTGGTCTCTCTTTTTATGAAGGTCATAAAGAATTGCCACCCTCCCACATATCATATAATGCCCTTGAGTGTTACAAAGAGTGTTATCCCAGGGCACAGCACAAAAGTGAGCTTGTTTCTAATATGCACACCTCGCCAACCATTAGGATTATCACCTTCACACATGGAAAGAGCCCATTGCTGAGGTCTTGAATCTCAAATGCAAACACTGTCCACAGTTGGAATTGTGACTGTCATATATGAGCCTCCAGCCACAGTTGAGATGGTGACACATTTCTAAACTCAGAACATAGCAGATGAGGACTACTATCCAAACCCAACCAACTGGAGAGATGTTTACCCCAATACCTGGGCTTAGGGCCAGAAGTATGGTCATGGGTGCTTACAAACATGATTTTAGAGTAAATTGTGACTCTCATTTATACTGGATAAAGCCATTGAGTAGTACAGAGAGTGTACTAGCCGGGTTGCATTGAGTTGAGATCGTGCCACTGCACCCCAGCCCAGGTGGCAGTCTGAGACTCCGTCTCCTCCTGTGTGTATGTGTGTGTATATATATATATATATTTTTATTTTGGATGGAGTATCTCTCTGTTGCCCAGGCTGGAGTGCAGTGGCACGATCTCAGCTCACTGCAAGCTCCACCTCCCAGGTGCACGCCATTGTTCTGCCTCAGCCACTCCAGTAGCTGGTACTACAGGTGCCTGCCACCACGCCTGGCTAATTTGATATATATATATATATATATCAAATTTTTTTTTTTTAAGACAGAGTCTCACTGTCACCCAGGCTGGAGTGCAGTGGCGTGATCTCAGCTCACTGCAACCTCCACCTCCTGGGTTCAAGTGATTCTCCTGCCTCAGCGTCCTGAGTAGCTGGGATTACAGGCACGCACCACCATGCCCAGATAACTTTTGTATTTTTAGTAGAGATGGAGTTTCACCATGTTCACCAGGATGGTCTCGATCTCCTGACCTCATGATCTGCCCGCCTCAGTCTCCCAAAGTGCTGAGATTACAGGCGTGAGCCACCACAGCCGGCCTGGAGATTTTTACTGTTGTATGAACACACATCAAATAGCATACATCATCATTTTCTCACATAAACATAGCCTACTCTTGAAGTTCTGACTCTCACACATAGAGGTAGTCAGAGGTGGAAAAATTGACTCTCATATGTGGATTCAGTTTGCAGGTGAGTTGATGACACTTAGAGCAAGATTCAGCACACCTGTGAGTCTGTGACTTCACTAATTAGACAAAGTCCACAGGAGGAGTATAGGCTGTCAGGTACAAATTTAGTTCATCGTTGAAATTGTAACTCCTGTTCTTAGACACAATATATAGGAAGGGTTAACTTCCTATTCCTAAAACCAGAACATGTGTGGGATTGTTAATTTCATCCCTGCACCTTCCTGCAGGTTTAATTGTAACATTTTCAGCACCTGAGTGATCTGACTCTTGCCTAAGACCAGCCCACAGATGGAATAGTGACATATTGCTGAACCCTGAACTGAAAGGATGTGACTCTATTTTTCTGTGTTGGTGCTGCTCACAGGGGACATTGTGACATATCGCTGGGCCTTGCACTTAGGTGATGTGAGTCTCCTCCTTTGCCTTGGCACTGCCCACAGAATGCATTGTCACGTATCTCTGGGCCCCACACCCAGGTTATGTGACTCTCCTGACTGTCCCCTGACCACATAAGCAATTATGACATATTGCTGGGTCCGACTCTCTGGTATAACTCTACTGCCAACAAGGAGCATTGTGACATATATTTCCACTCATCATCAAAGTGATGTGACTCTCTTCTCCTGCCTGTTCCCTGCTCACAGTGGGAGTTGTGACATATCACTTGGCTCCGTACCAAACAAATGTGATTCTTCTTCCATCATGAGTTCTGCTGGCAAGGGAGATTGAGACATATTATGGAGCTCTACACCAATGTGACATTACTGTTTTGCCTGGGCCTGGACCTCAGAAGCCATTGTGACATATTACTGGGCTCAACAAGGTAACATGAGTCTCCTGTATGGACCCTGACAACAGAGCATTGTGACATCTTTAAGAGCATCAACTATTTGATGTGACTCTCCTTTTACACAAGGCTTCCCTCATATGAGAGATTGTGACATACCTTCTGGCCCAGAAATCAGATGACATGTTTCTTCTGCCTGAGCTTTGCTTACAGGGAGCATTGTGACATATCACTGGTCTCAGCACCCATGTGATATGACTCTACTGTCTGTGCCCTGATTTCAGGAGGAAATTGAACTTATCCCTGACTGAGCACCCAGGTTTTAACTCTTCTGCCTGGTGTCTGCTCTCAGAGAAGATTGTGACATATCCCTGGCCTGTTACCCAGATGATGTAACTCTCCTGCTCACTCCCTATCCACAGGGGAGATTGTGACATATACCTTTGTTCAGATCATAGGTGTGATGTTTACTCTCATATCAAAAATCAGCCAATAAGAGACAAACTATCTTTCATATGTGGGCTTGGGAAAATGAGTAAGATTCTGGCTCTCCCCTTTGTAGGAAGGTCAGAGAGAATTACACTCTCACATATTGTATGAAGCCCCGGGTGGTACAGAGAGTGTCCTAACAGGTTGCAGAAAACATGAGATTGTTTTTGTGTATGCACACTTTGCCAGTTGTTAAGATTATCACCTTCATCCATGGACAGAGCCTACTGGTGTGGTCTTAAATCTTACAGGTGGATGCAGTGCAGAGTTGAAATTGTGACTGTTGTAAGTGAACATCAGGCAACAGCTGAGGTGGTGACTTATTAATAAGCCTAGCTTATAGGTAGATGGCAACTCTCATATCTGGACCCAGCCATTACAGAGGTGTTAACTCTCATATCTGGGCATAGAGCCACAGGTACGATCACGGGTCCATAGCAGCAGAAAAGTCTCCCAGCCACAAAAGATTGCGACTCTCACGTGTACCTTATAAATTCCTCAGGTGGTACAGAGAGTGTTCTAACTAGGCTCAGTGTAGAGTTTAGGTTTTCACACTCATGCACACCCAGCCAACAGTAAAGATTTTCATCTTTTCACATGAACACAGTCCACTGGAGGTTCTGAATCTCATATGCAGAGACAGTCACAAGTTGGAAAATTTACTCTCATAAGTGAATTCAGTCCAAAGGTAAGTTGGTGACTTTCAGACCAAGATTGAACACACCTATTAGTCTGTGATTCCACTAAGGTGACACAGCCAGTAAGAGGGATTGAGTCTGTCATTCAGTGATTCAATTCATTCTAAAAATTGTGACTTGTGTGCTTAGATCCAACATACAGGAGGTGTTGACTTTCATACCAAGAACTGGGGTATATACAGGATTGTTAATGTCATCCCTGGTCTTTCCTGCAGGTGTGATTTTGGCACACACTTCTGCCCAGCACCTTAGTAATGTAATTCTTCAGAATTGGCCCAGCCTACAAATAGGATTGTGCCACACTGCTGGACCCAGCGCCTAAGTGATGTAACTCTGTTCTGCCTTGGTGCTACTTGAAAAAGACATTGTAGTATATCTCAGAGCCTTACACCCAGGTAATGTGAGTCTCCTCTCATGCCTTGCTGCTGCACACAGAAGCAGGATATGCACAGGATTGTTAATCTCATCTTGGACCTTCCTGCACGTGTGACTGTGACAGATGCTTCTGTGTAGAACCTGAGTGATTTTACTCTCCTGTCTGGATTTAACCCACAGATGAATCGTGACATATCGCTGGACCAGAAACTAGGTGATGTGACCCCATTGTCTTGCCTCTGTGCTTTCCACATGGGGCATTTGGACATATCACTGTGCCTTGCACCCAGGGGATGGGAGTTTTCTCTCCTGCTTTGGTGCCATCCACAGTGAACATTGTGAAATATTGCTGCCCTCCCCCCTAGTTTATGTTACTCTCCTGCCTCTGCTTTGCTCACATGGGTCATTGTGACAGTGTGACATACTGCTGGGTCTAAAACTCAGGTAGTGTAACTCTCTTGTTTGGGTTCTGCCTGCAGGAGCCATTGTGACATATCTCTGTGCTCATCACCCAGGTGATGTGACTCCCTTTTACTGCCTGGTTTCTTCTCACAAAACATCTTGTGACATATTGCTAGGCCCCATACCTAGCTGGTATGACTCTTTTAGGCTCCACCTGCTGCAGAGATTGTAACAAACTGCTGGGCCCAGCAGCATAATGATATTACTCTTTTGCCTTGGGCCTGCCCTCAGAAAGCACTGTAACATTCATGGGCCCAATGCCGAGGTGATGTGTGTCTTCAGCCTGGACCCTGCCCACAGGGGGCATTGTAACATATCACTTGGCTCATCAGATGTTTGATGTTATCCCCTCCCCTCTCCTACCCTGTGTTTGCCTATAAGAGACATTGTCACAAGTTTCTGGGCCCAGCACCTAGGTGATATCTTCCTGGGACCTGCCATATGGGGATTGTGATATATCGCATGGCCCAGTACTTACTTGATGTGACTCTCCTCTCATGCCTGGGCCCTGCTTACAGGTGTGATTGTGACACATAGCTTGGCCTAGCCCCTAGGTTATGTTACTCTCCTCTTATCCTTCAGTTATTTTCACAAGGGGCATTGTGACATATTGCTGGACTGGGAACCCAGGTGATGTGACTCTCCTCTACTGCCTGAAATACAACCAAAAAGAAAGTTTGATATATTGCTTGGCCAGGATCCTAGGTGACGTTATTCTTTTCTCCTGCCTAAACCCTGCATACATTATGTATTTTGACACATCGTTGAGGCCAACACCTAGGTGATGTAACTCTCCTGCATGGGCTTTGCCTACAGGGGTATGATGATGTATCTTTTCATTCATCACCCAGGTGGTATGACTCTCCACTTATGCCTGGGCCTTGATGAAACAGAAATTGCGACATATCCCTGGACTTGGCACTTAGGTGATGTAACTCACCTTTATTGCCAGGGCATGGAATATTATGAGTATTGTGACAAATCTCTTGGCCTGACACCTAGGGGATGAGAGACTCCTGCCTGGGCCCTGCCCACAGGATGCTTTGTGGCCTGTCTTCTGGTTTTATTACCTAGAAAGATGTAGATGTGACTTTCCTCTTCTGCCTGCATTCTTCCCACAGAGAAGATTGTGACATCACTGGACCCAGCAATTAGAAAATGTTTCTCTCCTGCCTGAGCCTTGCCCACAAGAACATTGTGACATATCCTTGGGCTCAGCACCCAGGTGATGGAACTCTACCACCTGTGCCCTGTCTACTTAGGCTATTGTGAAGTATAGCTGGTTTCAATACCCAGGTGATGTAACTCTCCTGCCAGGCCACTGCCTTCCAGTGATATTGTGACATGTCTTTGTGCCAATCACCCAGGTGATGTGAATCTTTTCACCTGCCTGGTCCTTGTTCACTAGGGGATAATAATACATATTGCTGGTTTCAGCACCAAGCTGATGTGACTTGTCTCTTCTTCGTAGATTCTATCCCCCAAAAAACTGACATATCACTAGGCCCATCAGCAAAGTTATTTTGCCTGGTCCTGCCCTTAAAAGACATTGTGACATATTGCAGTGACCAGAACCAATGTAATTTGTCTCTTGCCTAAACCCTGCCTACTGGGGGAATTGTGATAGATCTCTTGGCCAATCAACTGTTTGATGTGACTTTCCTTTGTGGGTTTTTTGTTTTGTTTTTGATGGAGTTTCACTCTTGTTTCCCAGGCTGGAATGCAATGGCGCAATCTCGGCTAACCGCAACCTCTGCCTCCCAGGTTCAAGCGATTCTACTGCCTCAGCCTCCCAAGTAGCTGGGATTACAGGCCTGCACCACCACGCCCAGCTAATTTTTTGTATTTTTAGTAGAGACAGGGTTTCTTCATGTTGGTCAGACTGGTCTCGAATTCCTGACCTCAGGTTATCTGCCCACTTCGGCCCCCCAGAGTACTGGGATTACAGGTGTGAGCCACTGTGCCTGGTGACTCTGTTTTTTAACCAGGGCTTTGCCAATAGTAGAGATCGTGACCTATCTCTGGGCCTAACACCTAGATGTTATGACTTTCCTCTCCTGCCTGGTCCATGCCCACAGAAAAGAGAGTGACTTACCGCTAGGCTCAACACACAAGTGATGCGATTCTTCTGCATGATCCCAGCCCACACCGCTTACTGTGACATCTCTAGACCCATCACCTGGATGATGTGACTCTTCTTCTTGGGAACTGTCCATAATGAGGATTGTGACACATCACTTGGCCTAGCACTTATGTGATAAGACTCTTCATTTGCCTGGGCCGATCAATTTGGGCGACTGTGTCATATAGCTTTACTCAGCCCCTAGGTTACTCTCCTGTTTTTCCTGAGTCCTACCCACAGAGGTCATTGCAACATATTTCTGAGCCCCTCATTTAGGTAATTTGACTGACTCTCCTGCCTGGGCCTTCTGCTCAGTGATTTTTGTGACACTTTTTTTTTTTTTTTTTTTTTTTGAGACGGAGTCTCGCTCTGTCGCCCAGGCTGGAGTGCAGTGGCGCAATCTCTGCTCACTGCAAGCTCCGCCTCCTGGGCTCATGCCATTCTCCTGCCTCAGCCTCCCAAGTAGCTGGGACTACAGGCGCCCGCCACCACACCCGGCTAATTTTTTGTATTTTTAGTAGAGGCGGGGTTTCACTGTGTTAGCCAGGATGGTCTCGATCTCCTGACCTCATGATCCACCCGCCTCAGCCTCCCAAAGTGCTGGGATTACAGGCGTGAGCCACTGCGCCCGGCCATGACACATTTTTTGACTGAGCTCCTAGGTAATAAGACTCTTCTCCATTGCTTGGACTCTGTCAGAGAAGGTATTGTGATGTATCACTGGGCCTAACACCTAGGTGAAGATACTGTCTTCTCCTGCCTGGACACTCCATAAATTGTATATTTTGATATGTTGCTGGGGTTAACACATGGGTGATTCAGCTCTCTCACATGGATCATAAGCATGGGGTTATTAGGACATTTATTTTTGCTAATCACCTAAGTGATATGACTCCTCCCTGAACCCTGTCAGAAGGAAAGATTGTGACTTATTACTGAAACCAGAACTTAGGTGATGCGACTCTTCTGTCTAGCAACCACGTATTTTGGGTATTGGGACATTTCACATGTCCAAACACCTAGAAGAATGGGAGACTTTGGCCTCGTCCTGTCCACAGGGTTTCTTGTGACACATATCTGTATCCATTACATAAAAGATGTGATGCCTTTTCTATCTGCACCCTGCCCACAGGAAAGATTGTGACATACTTCAGGCCCCAGCCACCAAGTGATGTGTCTCTTCTGAATGTGCATAACTTTCAGGAGAAAATTGTAACACGTCACTGGTTGAGAACCCAGATGATGTGACTCTCCTGCCTTGTCACAGTCCTCAGGGAAAAGAAATTACATATCAGTGGCCCAGCATCCAGGTGACGTCGCTCTCCTGCGTGATTTCTGCCAAGAAGTTCGTTGGTAACCTACATCTCAGCCCAGCTCACAGGTCTGATGATAACTAATACCTCTTACCGGTCAATAGAAGAGATACTGTCTCTCACAGCTAGGCTTACAAAAAGGAGTAAAATCCCAGGTCTCCTCTCTGTATGAAGGTTATAGAGAATTACCACTCTCTCGTATATTGTATAAAGCACTCGGATGGTACAGAGCATGTCATCATAGGACCCAGCAGACAGATCATGTTTCATGTAAACACACCCTGCCAATTTTTAGAATTGTCATCCTCACACATGGAAAAGCCCACCGATGAGGCCATAATTCTCATGCACAGATGCAGGCCACAGTTAAAACTGTGACTATCGGCCGGGCGCGGTGGCTCACACCTGTAATCCCAGCACTTTGGGAGGCTGAGGTGGGCGGATCACAAGGTCAGGAGATCGAGACCATCCTGGCTAACGTGGTGAAACCCCATCTGTACTAAAAATACAAAAAATTAGCCAGGCGAGGTGGTGGGCGCCTGTAGTCCCAGCCACTTGGGAGGCTGAGGCAGGAGAATGGCATGAACCTGGGGGATGGAGTCTGCAGTGAGCTGAGATCGTGCCACTGCACTCCAGCCTGGGCAACAGTGAGACTCCGTCTCAAACAAAACAAAACAAAACAAAAAACAAAACTGACTATCATTTGTGAACATGTGGCCACATTTGAGATGGTAACTCTATAAGATCATGGGTCCAGAGCAGCACAACGTTCTCAGAGCAGGTTGCAACTCTCATGCACACCATATACAGTCCTCAAGAGAGTGCCCTTACAGGGCCAAGCACACAGGTGAGATTGTGAAACTTATATTCACACCCAGTCAATAGCAAAGATTGTCATCCACTTAAATACAGCCTACTTTTGAGGTTCTGAACCTCACTTTTGGAGATAGTTGAATTGGAAAATTGACTCTCATTTGTGGATTTTGTCCACAGTTGGGTTAGTGACTTTTTTCTTTGAGACAGTCTCGCTCTGTCACCCAGGCTGGAGTGCAGTGGCATGATCTCGGCTCACTGCAACCTCCACCTACCAGGTTCAAGCGATTCTTTCACCTCAGCCTTCAGAGTAGCTGGGACTACCGGTGCATGCCACAATGCCTGGCTAATTTTTGCATTTTTACTAGAGACAGGGTTTCACCATGTTGGCCAGACTGGTCTCGAACTCCTGACCTCATGATCTGCCCACCTCGGCCTCCCAAAGTGTTGGGATTACAGGTGTGACCGCCATGCGTGGCCTCGGGTTAGTGACTCTGTAACCAAAATTCAACACACCTTTGTGACTGTAACCTCACTAAGGAGAATAATTTATTTATTTATTTTGAGATGGAGTTTCGCTCTTCTTACCCAGACTAGAGTGCAGTGGTGTGATCTTGGCTCACTGCAACTTCTGCCTCCTGGGTTCAAGTGATTCTCCTGCCTCAGCCTTCCGAGTAGCTGGGATTACAGATGCCCACCACCACACAGGCTAATTTTTTGTATTTTTAGTAGAGATGGGGTTTCACCATGTTGGTCAGGCTGGTCTCGAACTCCTGACCTCAAGTGATCTGCCCACCTCGGCCTCCCAAGGTGGTGGGATTACAGGTGTAAGCCACCATGCCCAGCCTAAGGCACATAATTTGCAAAGGAAATTGAGGCTCTCATGCACAAATCCAGTCCACCATTGAGACTGTAACCCCTGTACTTAGACCCAACATACAGGAGGTGTTGATTCTCATCCCTTGACTCAGGACATGTGTGTAATTGTTAATGTCATCACAAGACCTTTCTACAAATGTCTTGTGACATACACCTTGGCCCAGCATCTGAGTTATTTGTCTCTTTTTCCTGGGCCCAGTTCACAGTGCTGTATCACTGGACCCAGACCCTTGGTAATGTGATTCTATTCTGCCTTGATACAGCCCACAAGGGTCATTGTGACATATCACAGGGTGTTGCACCCAGGTGGTTTGAGTCTCCTCTTCTGCCTTGGTGCTACCCACAGGTGTATTGTGACATATTGCTGGGTCTGTGTTATGAGAATCTTTTGCTTTTGCCCTAAACATATAGGCCATTGTAACATTGCTGAGTCCAACACCCAGGTGATGTAACGCTTCATCCTGGACCTGTCTACAGAGGGGATTGTACTGTATGTCTTCACCAATCACCCTGGAAATGTGATTTACTTTTCCTGCCTGTTCCCTAATCACAGGGGGTATTGGGACATACTATTGGGTCCAGCACCTAGCTGATGTGACATTTTTGTTTTTTTAAGGTTCTGCTTAGAAAAGAGATTATGACATATGACTGTCCCTAACACTAAGGTGATGTAACTTCTTTTGTTTTGGCTCTGCCCTTAGAAGGCATTGAGACATACTGCTGGGCCTAGCACTAAGATGATGTGAGTCCTCTGCCTGAATCCTGACTACAGGGAGCATTGTGACATATTTCTTCACCCATTACAATCTCTCCTATAGACCAAGCTCAGGTAAATGCCCTTTATACCTACGTGATGTGACATTCCTCTTCTGCCGGGGCCATGCCCACAGAATAGAGAGTGACTTATTGCTGGGGCAAGCAAAACAGTGATGTAATTATTTTGCCTGGTCCCTGCACACAGGAGTCACTGTGATATATGTTTGGGCCTCCCACCTAGATAATGTGACTCTTTTCTTCTGGGGTTTGTCCACAGTGGGAATTGTGATATGCCACGTGACATAGCTCCTGTGTGATGTGACTCCTCTTCATTCTTGACTTCTTCCAACTGGGTTGATTGGAATATAAAGCTGAGCCCAGCACCTAGGCTATGTCTCTCCTCTTGTCTATGAGCCCTACCCACAAGAGACATTGTGACATGTCTCTAGGCTTCTCACCTAGGTAATGTGACTTGTTTGCCTAGGCCATCCCCTCAGGGGTATTGTGAAATACTGCTGGACCAAGAACCTAGGTGATGTGACTCTCTGCTACTGCTTGGGGTGTGCTTAAGGGGAAATTGTGATGTGCATTTAGGTGCGTCCATCACCTACATGGTGTTACTCTCCTCTCCTGCCTGAGATCTGCATGCATCATGTATTTCTTTTAATTAATTAATTAATTGTTTTGAGATGGAGTTTTGCTCTTGTTGCCTAGGTTGGAGTGCAATGGCACCATGTCAGCTCACCACAACCTCCACCTCTCAGGTTCAAGCAATTCTCTTGGCTCAGCCTTCTGAGTAGCTGGAATTACAGGCATGCACCACCACTCCCACCTAATTTTGTATTTTTGATAGAGACGGGGCTTCTCCATGTTGGTCAGGCTGTTCTCAAACTCCTGACCTCAGGTGATTTGACTGTCTTAGCCTCCCACAGTGCTGAGCTTATAGGCAGGTGCCACCACACCTGGCTGGAATCATTTATTTCAACATATCTCTGGGTCCAACAACATGGTGATGCAACTTTCCTGCATGGGCCCTCCCACAGAAATACTCTAATACATCTTTTCATTCATTATCTTGGTGATGTGACTTTTCTATTCTGCTTGAGCACTGCCAAAAAAAAAAAAAAAAAGATTGTGACAGATTTCTGGACCAAGCACCTAGGTGATATGACTTTACTCACTTGCCTGAAACCTGCATATTTTGGTTATTGTGACATATCACTGAAGCAAACACCTAGGGGTTGGAAAGTTTCTGCCTGAGCCCTTCCCACAGAGAGCCTTGGGATGTATTTTTTTAATCCATCACCTGGGAGATGAAACCCTATACTTCTGCCTGCATTCTGCCCATAGAGAAGATTGTGACATATTGCTGGGTCAAGCAACCAGCTGTTCTGTCTGTCCTTCTGGACTTTGCCCACAGTGAGTCTTGTGACATATATCTGAGCCCAGCATGCAGGTGATCTTACTCTTTTTCCTGTGTCCTGCTTTCAGGAGAGGATTGTAACATCTCTGGTTGAGAACCCTGTGATGTGACTCTTCTGCCTGGTGCATGCTCTCGGGGAAGATTGTGACATAACCCTGGCCCAGCACACAGTTGATGTGACTCTTGTGTTTGTTCTCTACCCACAGGTGGAATTGTGACATATAACTTGACAAAGCACACAGATGTAATGATGACTCTCATACCTCAAAGAAGCCAGTAGGAGAGATAATGTTGCTCACAGCTACGCTTAGGAAAACAAAGAATATCCTGGCTCTTCTTTCTGTACAAATGTCATAGAGAATTACCACTCTCTCACATCTGTAAAGCCCTAGTGTGTTATAGAGAATGTCATAACAGGGTCCACCATGCAGATGAGATTGCATTTGTCCTATGCACAGCCCACCAACCTTTAGAATTGTCACCCTCACACATGGGCAGAGCCCACTGGGTGAGGTCCTGAATCTCACATGAATGCACTCCACAGTTGGAACTTTGACTGTCATATGTGAACATCTGGCCGCAGTTGAGATGGTGACTCATTTCTAAACCTAGCTCATAGGAAGGTGAGGACTCTATTATCTGGACTCAGCCAATTAGAGAGATGTTGACTCTGGGCTTAGAACCACAGAAAAGGTTCTGGATTTCCTTCTTGTATGAAGGTCACAGAGGATCACCACTGTTGCCTATTGTATGAAGCCCTCAGGTGACACAGATAATGTCGTAGGAGTACACAGCACACAGGTGGATACTGTCTCTTGCATGCACACTCAGACAACAGTAAAGACTGTCATTCTCCCACACAAACATATCCCACTGTTGAGGTTCTGAATCTCAAATATGGAGTCTGTTGATAGTTGCAGAATTGAGTCTCATATATGGGCCTGGTCAACAGGTGGACTGGTGACTCTGAGACCAAATTTCAGCACACATATGAGGCTGTGACTGCACTGACGGTCTGCAGAAGAAATTTTGGCTCTCTTGCAAAAATTCTGTCAGCTATTGAGATTGTTACTCATGTACTTAGACCCAATATACAGGAGGTATTGACTCCCATATCTAGAACGTGGACACGTATGGAATTTCTAATCTCATTCCTGGACTTTCTTTCAGATGTGATTGAATGTGTCTGCTAAGCGTTTTAGTGATTTGACTTTTCTGCCTTAGCCCAGCCCACAGATGAGATTGTGACATATCTCTTGACTCTGCACCTCAAAAGAAGTGACTCTTTTTCCAGCCTTGGTGTTGCCCTCAGGTGGCATTGTGACATATGGCTGGGCTTTCCACTTAGGTGATGGGAATCTTTTTTTCTTGCCTTGGTGCTGTGCACAAGTTGCATTGTGACATATTGCTAAGATCTGCACTCAGGTTATGTGAATTTGCTTTTTTTCCCTAAGCCCTGAATATTTTGCAAGTTAGGACATATTACTAGCCCCAACACCTATAAAAAGGGAGGCTTCTGCTTGGGCCCTTTCTACAGGGCCTTGTGACATATCTCTGCATCAGTCACCTAGGAGATGTGACTCTCCATTTTTGCCTACACTCTGCCCACAGAAAAATTATCACTAGGCCCAGGTACCAGACAATGTGTCTTTCTTGCATGGCCTTTTACCATAGAAAGCATTGTTACCTATTGCTGGGCTCAGCACCTAGGTGATGTCATTGCTGCCTGTCTTGCTTTCAGGAGAAGGTTGTAACATATTCCTGGCTGAGTATTAAAGTGATGTGACACTCCTGTCTGGTCCCTGCCCTCAGGAAAGATTGTGATGTATTCTTGGCCAAAAACCCAGGTGATGTTACTCTCCTCCTTTCTGCCTGTTCACAGGTAGGATTGTAAAATATATTTTGGTCTAGCTCACAGGTGCAATGGTGACTCTCATACCTCAAACCATCTAATAGGAGAGGTGCTGTCTTTTATAGCTAGGCCTAGGGTAATGATTAAGATCCTCGGTCTCCTTTTTTGTACAAAGTCATAGGAAATTACCACTTTCTTGTATACTATACACATCTCTTGTGGTACAGTGAGTGTCATTCCAGGGTTCAGCACACAGGTGAGATTGTGGTTCTCATGTGCACACCCCACCAATTGTTAGAATTGTCACCATAATACAATCCACAGTTAAAATTGTGACTGTCATATGTGAACATCCAGCCAGAGTTGGAATGATGATTTATTTCTAAATCCAGTACTTTAGCGGGTGAAAATTCTATCTGGACCCATGAAAAATTTACCTGGGCTTAGGGCCAGAGTAAACACAGTTTACAGGAGGAATGAAGGCTCTCATGTGCCAATCCAGTTCATTGGTGAAATTGTCAGTACTGTACTTAGACCCAACATAGAAAATGTGGTGATTCTCTTACCTAGAACTGGGACCTGTGCGGGATTGTTAATTTATTACTGGACCTTCCTGCGGGAGTGATTATCACATATGCCTATGTTCAGCACCTGAGTGATATGATTTTGCTGCCTGGTCCCAGTCTGAAGATAAGATTGTGATTTATCACTGGATCCAGCACCTCGGTGATTTGACTCTTCTTTTTTTGGGGACCCAACAAATTTTAAGTATTGTCAATTTTGGGTGAATCCTGCACCCATGTTATGTGACTCTCCCAAATGTGCCTTACATGTTGTGCCATATTGGGGCTCAATATATCACATTAGACATTGTTACATATTGCTGGGTTAAACACCCAGGTGATGTAACTTTTTTTTTCTGGGACTGCGTGCAGGGGACCTTGTGACATAACTCAATGTCCATCACCATACTGATGTTACTCTCTTCTCCTGCCTGGTCTCTGCTCACAGAGAAATTGTGACAGATTACTGGCCTAGCATCTAGGTGATGTGACTCTCCTCTTTTTTTCAGGCTCCGCATATTTGGGTATTGTGACATATTGCTGAACTCAACACCTAAGGGATGAGAGTCTCCTACCTGTGCCCTTCCTATAGGGGACATTGTGACATGTCTCTGCATTCCTCACCTAGGAGATGTGACTCTCATCTTCTGCTTGCACCCTGCCTACATGGAAAGCTGTGGCATATTGCTGTGGTCAGCAACCAGATGATGTGTTTCTCCTGCCTGGGTCTTAATAAAGACAGGAAAGATGGTTGACATATTACTGGGCCCAGCATCCAGGTGATGTGGGTCTCATCTTCTGCCTGGTCCCTGCTTACAGAGAAATTGTAGCATATTGCTACACCCAGCACCTAGCTTATGTGACTCTTCTCTTCTTTTAGGTTTTGCCTTCAGATGACATTGTGACATCGCTGGGCCCTGCATTGACAATTTGTGACTCTTCTGCCTGTGATTTGCACACTTGGGCCATTGTGACATATTACTGGGTGTGACACTCAGGGGATGTAATTTTTATGCCTGGGCCTTGCCTATAGGCGGCATTTTGAAATGTCTTTGTGGCTGGGTGTGGTGACTCATGCCTGTAATCCCAGTACTTTGGGAGGCTGAGGGAAGTGGATCACAAGGTCAGGAGTACAAGACCAGCCTGCTTAATATTGTGAAACCCTGTCTCTACTAAAAAAAGAAAAATACGAAAAGCAGCCAGCCATGGTGACTGGTGCCTGTAGTCCCAGCTACTCAAGAGGCTGAGGCAGGAGAATTGGTTGAATTCGGGAGGTGGAGGTTGCAGTGAGCCAAAATCGTGCCACTGCACTCCAGCCTGGGTGATAGAGTGAGATTCCATCTCAAAAAACAAAAACAAAACAAAAAAAAGAATGAATGAATGTCTTTGCACCAATCCCAAAGGTGATGTGACTCTCTTGTGTTACCTGGTCTCTGCTCACAGGAAGAATCGTGACCTTTCACAGCATATGGTTGATTTTTTTCTTTTATTTCTTACTTTTTCCTGCAGGAAAGATGGTGAAATATTAATGAACTAAGTACCAAAGCGATATTACTTTTTTTTCTTGGACCTGCCTACATAATACGTTGTGACATATTGCTGCGCCCTGCCCATAGATGATATGAGTTTTCTGCCCATCAACTATTTTATGTGACTCTCCTCTTTTATCTTCGTTTTGTCCGTAGGTTAGATTGCAATATATCTTTGGGCCTGGGTCATGCTAACAGAAGCGACAGTGATTTATTACTGGGCACAGCCCACAGGGTTGTGATATTCCTGCTTGACTCCTGCCCAAGTGGTCATTTTGACATATCTCTTGGCCAGTCGCCTAAATGATAGGTCTCTCCTTATCTTTCTGTACCTGTCCACAGTAGGAAATGTGACATATCTCTGGGCCCAGCACCTATGTGATGTGACCTTCCTGTCATGCCAAGGCCTTGCCTACTGTAGTGATTGTGCCATATAGCTGGGCCCAGCTCCTATGTATCTGACTCTCATTTTCTTCCTGAGCCCTATGAAAAGATAGCATTATAACATCTTTCTGAGCATTTTACCAAGGTGATGTGACTTTTCTTCCTGGGTTGTCCTCTCAGGGCATTGTGACATGTTGCTGGATGCAGCATTTAGGTGATGTGACTTCCTCTACTGCTTGGACTCTGACCAAAAAGGGATTGTGATGTATCACTTGGCCCAGCACCTATGTGATGGGACTCTTTTCTCTTGTCTGGGCCCTACAAACATTTTGCATTGTGACATATAGCTGGGTCTGCCACCCAGATGATGTGTCTTCTACGTAAGCCCTGACCACAAGAGTATTATGAAATACCTTTTCATTCATCACCTAGGTAGTGATGTGACTCTTCGTCAGCCTCTACCCTGCCATAAGGGAATTGTGATGTATCACTGGACCCAGCACCTAGATGATGTAACTCGTATTTTGACTGGACCTTGCATATTTTGCATATTGTTACATATTATTGGGTCTGACATTACGGGATGGGAAGCTCCTCCCTGGGCCCTGCCCACAGGTGGCCTTGTGACATGTTTTGGATCCATATCCTATGAAATATGACTGTCCTCGCCTACATGCTTCATGCACAAAGAAAAGATTGTAACATATCACTGGGATCAGCCACCAGGTGTGTGTCTCACCTCTCAGGGTGTTGCTCACTGAGAGCTTTGTAACATATCACTGGGCCCAGCACCCAGAAGATGTGACTTGTGGCCTGTGCTCATCTTTTCTTTTTTTTCTTTCTTTCTTTTTTTTTTTTTGACAGCCAGGTTGGAGTGCAGTGATGTGATCTTGGCTTACTGCAACCTCCGCCTCTTGGGTTCTAGTGGTTCTCCTGCCTTAGCCTCCCAAGTAGCTGGGATTACAGGCATGCATCACCACACTGGGCTTATTTTTGTATTTTTAGTAGAGGTGGGGCTTCACCATGCTGGCCAGTGTGGTCTCGAACTCCTGACCTCAGTTGATCCACTTGCCTTGGTCTCCCAAAGGGCTGAGATAACTGGCATGAGCCACTGCATCCAGTCTGCCTGCCACCAGCAGCCATCTTATAGAAATAGATTTTAATGCATCCCTGACCAGGTACCTAGGTGATGTGATATGACTCTCCTGTCTGGTTCTTTCCTTCAAAAAAGATTGTAACATCTTTAGACAAGCCCCAGGTGATGTGACTCTTCTGCTTACTCTCTACTCACTGATGTAATTGTGACATATATCTTGCCCCAGCTTGTAGTTGCTATGATGATTCTCACACCTTGAACCAGGCAATAAAAGAGTTACTCTCTCTCCTAGCTAGGCTTAGGAAAACAAGCACAATCCTTAGTCTCCTCTTTTTGCCAAGGTCCTAGAGAATTACCACTCTCTCACATATTGTATAAAGCTCTCGGGTGGCACAGACAGTGTCATCAAGGAACAAAATCACAGATGATATTGTGTTACTTTTTTTTTTTTTTGGAGACAGAGTCTCGCTCTGTCACCCAGGCTGGACTGCAGTGGCACACTCTCGGCTAACTGCAGTCTCAGTCTCCTGAGTAGCTGGGACTACAGGCATGTACCAGGAAGCCAAACTATTTTTTGTATTTTTAGTACAGATAGGGTTTCACTATGTTGTCCAGGCTGGTCTAGAACTCCTGACCTCAGGTGATCTGCTGGCCTCAGGCTTGGAAAGTGCTGGTATTACAGGCATGAGCCACTGCGCCTGCCCCCCAGCTTCTTTTTTGTATGTATATATTTATTTATTTTTTGAGATGAAGTATTGCTCTGTTGCCCAGGCTGGAGTGCAGTGGCATGATCTGGGCCCACTGCAACCTCTACCTCCCGGGTTGAAGCAATTCTCTGTCTCAGTCTCCTGAGTAGCTGGGATTACAGGCGCCCGCCACTGTGCCCGGCTACTTTTTGTATTTTTAGTACAGACGGTGTTTCACCACCTTTGTCAGGCTGGCTTGGCACTTCTGACCTCGTGATCCACCCGCCTAGGCTTCCCAAAGTGGTGGGATTACAGACGTGAGCCGCTGGACCCGGCCTGATTTTCTCTTGAACAATAATTTTATGTATTGTTAATATACATAAAATATTTTGGTTCACATTTTGAATACATTGAAAAAGAAAGAAAAAAGAGAATTTTCCCATGTTCTGGGGTGGGCCTGGCTCAGTTCAGGGAGGAAGTCCTCCCTGAAAAGGCTGCAACTTAGGCTGTCTCTCTTGTGTTAGGCTGATCACATCTTCTGTCACTCAGGGCCTTGAGAAGGTGGGGTCTTGAACGATATCCAGTCAGCGACATTGGACTGGAAACTGTCCAATCACACACACAACTGGAGCAGACAGAGCGACTTCCAGGTTGTAGTTGGGGGGACTGTGTCTCTAGCTGCAGATGGAGCTCCAGGTGTCGTCTTCACTGCTCTGTGTCCTCTGACTTAGAGTCCCAGCCTGTGTGGCCCTGTGACCTGCAGGTACTGGAGATCCACAGCAAAGACGCCAGGACCCGCTGAAAGCCTAGAAATGGTGAGATTGCCAGTTCCGACATCTGGAGAGGGGCAAGGGCTGGTTGGAACTGGTGGGAAGCAGCTGTGGTGGGACTCAGGCCTCCCCGCAGTCAGCTCCACAATCTGCACCCTGAGTTCTCCTTGCCCAGGTTGGCATCCGTCCCCTGCAGCCATAAGATGGCAGCTAGGCTGACAGCCGGGCCCCCGGGCGTCCTGTCTTCCCAGTGCATTGGCTGTGCCATGTCCTGGAGCCCTCTCTGGGCAGCTCTGCACCAGTAGCGCCACATCTCTCCCAGATTGTGCAGGGACCACGGGAGAATCATCAGGGCAGAATCCTGACTCAGGGTTATTAAAAATGTATGGGTGTCACAATGAAAGTATTAAATAATTTAATCAAAGGGTGATTCAAAAATTGTAGAGCACCCAGCTATGGTTTTAATTTATGGTCTGTGGAAGGGGCTTCTCGAACTCCTGACCTCAGGTGATCCACCCATCTCGGCCCCGTAAGTGCTGGGATTACAGGCATGAGTCACTGCGCCAGCCCTAGTTTCTTAATTTTTACACATCAGGGTGGAAATATCTTGGTTATGTAATCAGAGTTTAATTGGCAGTTTATAGTTGGTTAAGCCTGAAGCTTGTTTCCGGCAATGTAGTAATTTACCAAAAAATGCTCTTGAGTTTAGATTATTTTTTAGAAGTACAAATCCGGGGACTAGAGCCACCTCAGTCTAATTGCCTGCCACTTAATTATTTTCACACTCCAATGGTGACGGATTTTTCCCTGAATTTTTCACATGTGTGCCAAGCAGGACCTCAAGTCCACCCCTCATCCCATATTCCTCCAGCCTAACTCTGGCTTACAGCAAAATACTAAATTTCCAGTTTCGTCTGATATTCCCAAATGCCAATTTCCCCTCCCTAATTCACTTTATCAACTATTTGTCCTTGAGTGTACATTTTTATATTATTTTAATCTTTTCTTTTTTTTTTTTCTTATTGAGATGAAGGGAGACTTGCTCTATCTCTGAGACTGGAGTGCAGTGGCATGATCTTGGCTCACTGCAACCTCCACCTTCTGGGTTCAAGCAATTATCCTGCCTCAGTCTCCTGAGTAGCTGAGATTATAGGTGCCTGCCACCACACCTGGCTAATTTTTGGGTTTCACCATGTTTGTCAGGCTGGTCTCGAGCTCCTGGCCTCAGGTGATCCACCCACCTTGGCCTTCCAAAATGCTGGGATTACAGGCATGAGCCACTGCGCCCTGCCGACTGATTGTTTACTACATGATTTTTCATACAAATAATAAAATAATTGTCTGAAAGGAATAAATGATTTTGCTTTTCTTACTGAGATATAAAATGTAAGCACCTTAAAAGTTTCTTCCCTTATGTGAACACTGTGTTTGAGTAATATTGCTGAATTTTTCTAACACTTAGTTTCACAAACCAAGTTAATAACTCTGACATGGAAATTAAAGCTTAAGCCCAGTGACTCCAAGCTGAGGCTAATATTGAGCCTGCAAAAGGAGGTTATTAAGGCCCAGTTCCTTTTGGGGAACCTCCCCTGCAAATTTCCCAACCTGATTATCCAAGACATGGAAGAAGCCTCTATACTGAGAGAAACTACAGAGCCTTGGAATGCTGGGGATCCACAGGCAGATGCAGATAAGGTTAATATAAAGGAGATTGGGAGGGTCTTACTGAAGATGGAGTTGTTATTGTTTTGAGGCAGTTTCTAGACTTTTAAAAATAAAACAGATGTATATAAAAAATTGAATTTCGAAGGAGTATTGCAACAGGAGAAAGTAGCAACTAAGTTTTTTTGTTTTTGTTTTTGTTTTTTTTTTTGTGACAGAGTCTAGCTCTGTCACCCAGGCAGCCTCCTGAGTAGCTGGAATTACAGGCGCGCACCACCAAGCCCGGCTAATTTTTGTATTTTTAGTAGAGACGGGCTTTCACCATGTTGATCAGGCTAGTCTCAGACTCCTGACCTCGTGATCTGCCCGCCTCGGCCTCCCAAAGTGCTGGAATTACAGGTGTGAGCCACCGCGCCAGGCCAAGAGTTTTAAAGATTGCAAAGATTAGGCAGAAAAGGGCTTTGCCTTCCAGAGAAAAGCAAACAAGATTAGAAAGGAGGTTGGAGGGGAATGTTTAAATTGAGTGTAATAAAATCAGATTTTAGATTAGAGAATGTTTTACCCGGACGTCAGTATGTTCTTAGGAGGGACATAAAATGGGGTTGTATGGTGGCTCAGACTGAGGGTAAGCTCAAAGTTCATATCCTGTGGGAAGAGAATAAACCTAAGCTTGATTAAGAAGTATTTTATGTTGACTACTGAAGACAAAGTCAGCTTGTTTTTCAGTGAGTAAAAAGAAAAAGTACAAAGCGTTTTTCTGGCTGTGTGATAGGTAAGAAAACAGCACCATTTCAGTCATAATGGAAAGAGGTGGCTTTCTTTTTTTTTTTTTTTTTTTTCCCTTAAAGTCTTCCTGGAGAACACAAAGGATGAGAATTTTATTGATCACAGCTGTTTCTCACCTTTGTGCTTCATCTTTTCCCACCTTTTTTCTTGGTTCAATACATTTATTTCACTTTTTTGGGGTTATATCTTTTTTTTTTTTTGAGACTGAGTTTTGCTCTTGTTTTATTTGTATTTTATTGTATTGTATTTGTATTTTATTTTCTTTGTATTTTATATTATGTTATGTATTTTGTTTGGAGACAGGGTCTCAGTCTGTTGCCTAGGCTGAAGTGCAGTGGCATGATCTTGGCTCACTGCAGCCTCAACCTTCCAGGCTCAAGCAATCTTCTTTTTTTTTTTCTTTTGAGACAGTCTCACTTTTGTTGCCCAGACTGGAGTGCAATGGCGTGATTTTGGTTCAGTGCAACTTCCTCCTCCGGAGCTCAGGTGATTCTTCTGTCTCAGCTTCCTGAATAGCTGCTATTACAGGTGCCCACCACCATCATGCCCAGCTAATTTTTGTATTTTTAGTAGGGACAGGATTTCACCATGTTGGCCAGGATGGTCTTGAATTCCTGACGTGGTGATCTGCCTGCCTCGGCCTCCCAAAGTGCTGGGGTTACAGGTGTGAGCCATCCCGCCAGGCCAAGCAATCCTCTTGTACCTCAGACTTCCAAGTAGCTGGGACTACAGGCATGCACCACTAAACCTAGCTAATTTTTCTTTTCGTATTTTTTTAGAGATGGGATTTTTCCATATTGCTCAGGGTGGTCTTAAACTCCTGAGCTCAGGCAATCCACCTGCCTTGGCCTCTCAAAGTGCTGGGATTACAGGCATGAGCCATTGTGCCTGATCATACCGTATTTTCTTTATTCAGTCTACCATTGATAGGCATTCAAGTTGATTCCATGTCTTTGTTATTGTGACTAGTGCTGCAGTGAACACGCTTGTGCATGCATCTTTATGATAGAATAATTTGTATTTCTTTGGGTATATACCCAATTATGAGGTTGCTTGGTGAAATGGTAATTCTGTTTTTAGTTCTGTGAGGAATTACCACACTGCTTTTTACAATGGTTGAATTAATGTACACTCTTTAACAGCAGTGTATAAGTATTCCCTTTTCTCTGCAACCCTGACAGCATCTATTTTTTAACTTTTTAATAGCCCTTCTCACTGATGTGAGATGGCATCTTGTGGTTTTTCTTTGCATTTCTCTAATGATTATTGATGAGCATTTTATTACATGCTTGTTAGCCACGTTTGTCTTCTTTTGAAAAGCATCTTTTTCATGTTTTTTGTCTACTTGTTAGTGAGGTCTTTTTTTTCTTGTAAACTTGTTTAAGTTTGTTATAGATTCTGGATATTACACCTTTGTCAGAAGCATAGTTTGCAAATATTTCCTATTATTCTGTGGTTGTCTGTTTACTGTGTTGATAGTTTCCTTTGCTGTGAAGAAGCTCTTTAGTTTAATTAGGTCCAATTTGTCAATTTTTGCTTTTGTTGCAATGGCTTTTGGTATCTTCATCATGAAATCTCTGCCAGTTTCTATGTCTAGAATGGTATTTCCTAAATTATCTTCCAGGGTCTTTTATAATTTTCAAATAAATATTTCAGCCTTTAATTAATGTTGAGTTGATTTTTGTATATGGTGTAATAAAGTTTCAGTCTTCTACATACTGCTAGCTAGTTATTCCACCACCATTTATTAAATAGGGAATTCTTTCCACATTTCTATTGTCATCTTTGTTGAAGATCAGATGGTAGTAGGTATGTGGCATTATTTCTGGGCTCCCTATTCTGTTGCATTGGTCTATGAGTTTGTTTCTGTACCAGTTCCATGTTGCTTTGTTTACTGTAGCTCTGTAGTATAATTTGAAGTTAGGTAATCTAATGCCTTCAGCTTTGTTGTTTTTGCTTATGATTACCTTGGCTATTCGGACTCTTTTGGTTTTATATGAATTTTACAATAGTTTTTTTTTTTTTTTTAGTTAAAGATATTTTGGTCATCTGATTAGAATAGCATTAAATCTGTAAATATTGGGGTTAGTATGACCATTTTTAGGATATTGATATTTTCTACTTATGAGTGTAAAGTTGTTTTCCATTTGTTTGTGCCATTTCTTACTTCTTTAAGCGTTGTTTTGTAATTCTTATCATAGAGATCTTTCACCTTCCTGATTAGCTGTATTCCTAGATATTTTGTTCTTTTTGCAGCAATTGTTAATGGTATTGTGTTTATAATTTGTATTTGGCATGGATGTTGCTGATTTACAGGGATGATACTAATTTTTGTACATTTATTTTGTATCCTTAATGATACTGAAGTTGTCTGTAAGTTTAAAGAGTTTTTCCACCAAGACTATACAGTTTTCCAGACATAGAGTTATGTTGTCTGCAAAAAGGGATAGCTTGACTTCCTCTCTGTTTAAGTTCCTTTTTTTGTTGTCTTTTGCCTGATTGCTCTGACCAGGACTTCCTATTTTATGTTGAATAGAAGTGTTGAGAGAAGGCATCTTTGCCTTGTGCCAATTTTTGAGGATGAATGCTTCAAGCTTGTTTTTTTCCTTTATTTTTGAGATAGAGTCTCCCTTTGTCTCCCAGGCTGGATTGCAGTGGCACAATCTTGGCTCACTGCAGACTCTGCCTTCTGGTTTATGCAATTCTCTTTCCACAGCCTGTAAAGTAATTGGGATTACAGGCACCCCTGGCTAATTTTTGCATTTTTAGTAGAGATGGGATTTTGCCATGTCAGCCAGGTTGATCTCAAACTCCTGACCTCGGGTGATCCGCCTGCCTTGGCCTCCCAAAGTGCTGGAATTACAGGCATGAGCCACTGCACCCATCTGCTTCCAGGTTTTGTCCATTCAGTATGTTGGCTGAGAGTTTGTCATAAATAACTTATTATTGTAAAGTATGTACTTTTAATGCCTAGGTTTTTGAGTTTTTAACATAAAAGATGTTATATTTTATCAAAAGCCTTTTCAGCATCTATTGAGGTAATCTTGTGGTTTCTGTCTTTAGTTCTGTTTATGTGATGAATCACATTTATTGATTTGATTTGTGTATGTTGAACCAACCTTGCATTCCCAAAATAAATTCTACTTGATCATCGTGGGTTAGCTTTTTTGATATGCTGCTAAATTTGGTTTGTCAGTATTTTGTTGAGGATTTTTGCATGAATGTTGAAAGATATTGGCCTGATTTTTTTTTTTTTAATCTCAGCCAGGTTTCAGTATCAGAATAATGCTGTTCTTATATAATAAGTTGGAGAAAAGTTACTTTTTCTTAATTTCTTAAAATAGTTTCAGTAGAAATAATACCAGCACTTTTTTGTACACAGCTGTGAATCTGTCTGGTCCTTGGCTTTATTTGGTTGGTTGGCTCTTTATTACTAATTCAATTTTTGAGCTTCTTACTCATCTATTTAGGGCTTTGATTTCTTTTTTGTTCATTCTTGGAAGGATGTATTTGTTCAATAATATTTTCATTTTTTTTAGATTTTCTTGTTTGTGTGCACAGAGGTATTAATAGTAGACTTAAATATATTTTTGTGGGGTCAATAGTAATGTCTCCTGTTATTTCTAATTGTGTTTATTTGGATCATCCCTTCTTCCTTCATTAATCTAGCTAGTGGTTTATTTATCTTATTTTTTTTTTCATAGACTTAATTCCTGGATTTCTTGATACTGATTTTGGTTATTTCTTGTCTGCTGCTAGCTTAGGGATTGATTTGCTCTTGCTTCTTTCATTCTTTTATTTATGATGTCAGGTTGTCAAATGAAGATCTTTCAAACTTTTTTAGCATTAAATGCTATAAATTTCCCTTTTAACACTACTTTAGCAGTATTGCAGATATTCTGATGTGTTGGTTTTTTATTTTTATTTATATTTATTTATTTATTTATTTTGAGATGGATTTTCGCTCTTGCTGCCCAGGCCAAGTGCAATGGCACGATCTCAACTCACTGCAACCACTGCCTTCCAGGTTCAAGCGACTCTCTGGCCTCAGCCTCCCAAGTAGCTAGGATTATAGGCATGTGCCACCATGATGGGCTAATTTTTGTATTTTTAGTAGAGATGGGGTTTCACCATCTTGGCCAGGCTGGTCTCAAACTCCTGACCTCATGATCTGCCTGCCTCGGCCTCCCAAAGTGCTGGGATTACAGGCATGAGCCACCATGCCCAGCCCTGGCCTGTTTTTTTGTTCTTATTTGTTTAAAAGAACTTCTTGGTTTTTGCCTTAATTTCATTATTTATCAAGAAGTTATTCAAGTGCCGGTTGTTTAATTTTTATGTAATTGTATGGTTTCAAGTTGTTTTCTTTTTGTTGAATTATATTTTTGTCAAGCTGAAGAGTTCTGTAGATGTCTATTAGGACTATTTGGTCAAGTGTTGAGTTTAGGTTCTAATGTTTTGTTAATTTTCTTCTTCAGTTATCTGTCTATTAGTGCCTGTGGGATGTTGTAGTCTCCCACTATTGTTGTGTCAGAATCTAAATCTCTTCATAGGTCTCTAAGAACTTGCTTTATTCATATGAACCCATGAATTTTATATAACACCTTTCTCTTTTCTGCTTTTTCTTCCGTAAACATTCTTTCCTGTGTGCACAATGTGCAAAATGTAGATGTCCATGAGTTCAAGAACATGTTTAGAGACCTAGCTGTTGTAAAAGAAAATATAAATTAGAAATAAGAGGCTTAATTAGTCCACATAAAAATAAGAGAAAATATCTTACTAAAATCTCTTTTCTTAAAACACTTAGATTATGTGTAGATTTTTATCTCCTTTTTTTGAAATATATGTAAATCATTAACAGCTAAATAAATCTTTGTTATGTATTTATTTTTTTTTTACTCACGATTGTCTTTATCTGGGACCTGAGATTAATTGCTTTGTTTCTGCTTTGGCAAAAGGTTATTCTTATTATTTTTAGTCTTTTAAAGTTGACACAGATTTGTTCACAGTAAAACTCATTCCAAGAGCACACAAAAGTTTAGCATAAAAATAGGATTAAATTTAGCAAAACAGAATTATAAGGACTAAAAGATATTGGTAATTTGATTGACAGAAACCTGTTTATCCAACATGATTATTTACAGGCTGAAGTACTTACACTACAAAAGCAAAAATAGTACAGTTTATAAACTGAACAGTGGAGTATATTGTCATACCTTGGTTTCTATTTATTACTTCAGTACAATTAGCATAGTTATGTGTGGTGTTGTTAGACAACCTGCATTCATATACATTTAATAGTATTTTCTACAATAGTATGAATATAAAGCCACAATGTCTACTTTGAATGAATTCCTTAATTCTTTTATTATTGTGATTCATACTTTTGAAATGTAAAGTTTTTCAATTGAAATACAGTTACAGAAATTTTTTAAAAAATCCTACATACATTATGACTAGTATGTTAAAATTATTCCTACTTACATATTTATATCTAATATCCAAAGAAATTTTACTACCACATTGTTACAGTAGATATTAGTCTGCTATGCTTATTAATTTAACCAATAGAGATAATTATAAGTAAGCATAATTTCAATGTCTTTCATTTCACAAATTGGAATGCTGCTATTGTAGGACAAATAAAGACAGATGATGTGGCCACCCAAAAACTGTAGTAGCTCTCCAGTTAGCTACCTTGCAGGTTCATGTATATTCCACTATATTAACACAGTCAGATTTTAATTTTTTATCAAAGTGCTGGTGGAAGTTGTCAGATATATTTGAATATAGATTCTGCATTCAAAGGCTAGAAAATTAGAGAGCAGCAGAGATAGAAAAAATATTTTATGATTCTGCTGATAATATACCTCTTTTCTTCATAATACTCATGTTTCTCATGCTGAGAGTAGCTATGCACTTTGGGTATTTAGAGAGAAATTGTTTTTGCAGGAATATTTTCTGGCTGACTTGATCAATCTTATATCTAATTTCAGTTTTTTCTTAAGATGCTTTTAACTTCTTTTTTTTCTCTCAATATAATCTTTCTCAGAGTGAGAGCTGTTTTTCTGTAGAATGCTTTGTGTATCTGTTTTAGAAGCCCTATTAGTATCCCATAATGTCTGTGAAAGACGTGGCTGTCACAGTGAGAACTCTTGGAGCTATCTCTATCTGGATGCATGCTGGAAATCTAGCAGTATATTTTCCATGTCACCATTATAAATAGAAACTGTGGCTTAAATAATGCTCTCATTTCCGTTATTGTGAAGGTGCAGTTCTACCCAGGGAGGCTCTCTTCCTGCAGCTCAGGCTTCACTCTTTGATGTGACACTAAAGTGCTGCTATGGCAATTGGCGTTCACCTATGATGTGAGCTGCCAGCTGTGAGCCCTGTGCTGTGGTCCATACCGCAGTGGCAGATGGTAGGAAACAAAAGAGGACACTGGCCACCAGAAGAGGGGAAGCCGGAGTACTGTAACCCCGTCCTCAGGGAGGAGAGAGGTACTGCTTTAAAATGCAAGTAGCCAAAAAGATAGCACCCTATTCAACCACTTTTGTAGAAGAGTGAAAGTCTGCCTTCAGCAGGCAGCTGGCTTCAAGTTGCAGAACTATCTTGTCAGGAAGATGTGAAAAGGTTATTTTGTCATTGAATATAACCAATTAGCATATATGGATGACCTCCCCAATGTCCAGGTGAATTTAGGATGAACTATGTATGACATGGTGCTGTGAATTCTTCTACTTGTGAACTATTTATGGTAACCATCTTTATGTCTTTTCGATCTCTTAAGCAGACTGACTGTAATACATTTGACATTCAGATTTAATTGTGTAATGAAAGAGTTTTCTTTTTCTTTTTTTTTTTTTTTTTTTGAGACAGAGTCTCGCTGTATTTCCCAGGCTGGAGTGCAGTGGTGTGATCTCAGCTCTTTGCAACCTCTGCCTGTCAGGTTCAAGTGATTCTCCTGCCTCAGCCTCCCAAGTAGCTGGGATTACAGGCACATGCCACTATGCCCGTCTTTTTTATTTTATTTTATTTTTTTTTATTTTAGTAGAGATGGGGTTTCACCGTGTTAGCCAGGATGGTCTCTATCTCCTGATTTCATGATCGACCCGCCTTGGCCTCCCAAAGCTGGGATTACTGGTGTAAGCCAGCATGCCCAACCTCTTTCTTTTCTATTATTGTGGTTTCTCTGGGGCTGAAGAGAATTTTTTTAAAATTATATTTCCTAGAATTACCGGACATAATATAAACAAATAAGGTGCCAACCAAGCTTTACTCTAGAGGGGACTTTCCCTCTCAGGCTTCTAGCCAACTCACAGTTATGCTGTAAAGTGCATACTGTCACCTAAATATGCAGGCAGAATTGTGTCTCTGCCTATTTGGTATCTATAGTCCTCCACAGTCACTTCTAGAGGGGCTAGAGCAGATTTCTACAAACTTTTTTTTTTTTTCTTAGATGGAATTTCACTCTTGTTGCCCAGGCTGGAGTACAGTGGCACAATCTCAGCTCACTGCAGCCTCCACCTCCTGGGTTTAAGTGATTCTCCTGCCTCAGTGTCCCGAGTAGCTGGGATTACAGGCATGCACCACCAAGCCTGGCTAATTTTGTATTTTCAGTAGAGACAGGGTTTTTCCATATTGGTCAGGCTGGTCTTGAACTCCTGACCTCAGGTGATCCACCCACCTTAGCCCCCAAAGTGCTGGGATTACAGGTGTGAGGCACCTCACCTGGCCTAGATTTCTACAAACTTAATAGGGCAGATATTAACCATTTTACTTCTTTCAATGACTCTTGTATCTTCAGACCTGAAACTGATTCAGAGACCATGGAGCCCAGAAACCCAATCAGTGTAACAAGTGTGCATTGAGTAGACATGGAGACATGAGAATCTCCACTTCTCTTTTTCTCCTCTTGCTAAAATGCTCACAATTGCAGGTAACACCTGCTGCTACTCCACCCATCCAGGACCTAAATCTGCAGCTCCAAATTCTAAATCTAGGTCTAGAAATTAAAAAACAAAACAAAACAAAAGTTTCATTTGAGAAATGCAAGTCTTTTTTTTTTTAGGGGAGGGTTGGGGGGGATGGAGTCTTGCTCTGTCACCAGGCTGGAGTGCAGTGGCGTGATCTCGGCTCACTGCAACCTCTTCCTCCCAGGTCAAGCTATTCTCCTGCCTCAGCCTCCCGAGTAGCTTGGATTACAGGCATGTGCCATCACACCTGGCTAATTTTGTATTACTTTTTTCAGCAGACATGGGCTTCACCATGTTGGCCAGTATGGTCTCGATCTCTTGACTTCGTGATCCACTTGCGTCGGCCTCCCAAAATGTTGGGATTACAGGCGTGAGCCACTGTGGCTGTCTGCCAGTCTTTTTACTTATAAAACTCAGACATTAAAATAAGAGCACAATTATGTCTTTCTCCCTACTTTCAACTATATATTGATCTCTTGAAGCTGTTCACTATTGCCAAAAGTAGGTATAAGTTAAACCAATAATAAGTTATTTATTTAAACAAATAAGAATTTCTCACAAACTAGTTTGTATCACCCCACTCTCTATCTCTCTTCTTTTTTTCCCTTCACAAATCCACTTGTAATTGCTGCTAATCAGTATAGATTCCAGGCATCTTGAATATTTCTTCTCAAGTTACAATGCTTAAGCTTGGCCCCAATAAACTGTGTACTTATATTCATGTTGTGTCAGCTTTTTTTTAGGTAAAATATTATTTAGAATTTTCTAGAGCAGTCTCTGTGAGTAGATTTCTCCTTTGATTGTACTCGCTGTAACAGCCAAAAATGCAAAGTGATGTTGATTTTATCTAGAATCTGCACATAAGGTCTGGTCTCTGCCTGGAATTTACAAGACAGGGCCAGACTTTAGATTGAGAATGTACAGAAAACCAACAGGAGGCATTTTCTGCATTGTGAGATGTCCACATAGACACTTCAGATCCCTCCTTTGAGAGTGTGACTCTTTGACCTTTTCACATTGCTACCTTTCTGTGAGAGGCTACAGGTTTAAATAGAATCTGATGGCAGAATCTCTAAGTGTAAACAAGCATCTTAGGAGTGAGAGATCAAGGCCACAAAGTAGCCAGAGCCCTGAGCACAACTATAGCTACCTGGAAAATGTGATACTAGAGTGTTATTGTCCAAAAGCTAGCTAATCAGGACAGGAGATCCAGGTTCTGGAGCTCCACCAGGATAGTTTCATTTTCTTTTTAGAATCAGCCTGAGTCTCTCCTGCTGGCTTATTATTGGTCCATCAGCCCAGGGTCACTGGAAATGCTCTCACAATCACCCAGGCATCTGAGACATTTGAGAATCTCCAGAACAATTGTGTCAGGCTGACAAGAGTGGTTAATTTTGCTTCTGTCTTACTGTAAAAGAAATGAATCATCTGGTGTGTGTTCCTCCCATCATACAAGAGATGTCTTTGGTTGGTACCCAGATGAGAGTTTCTCTGGTTCCCTGGTACTTGAGTGAAAAACAAGGAGGAGGTCTGGAGACTCAAACAGATAAATTGATTCCATTTCATATAGTCATTAGAAAAATAGATGAAGCAGTCATGGTCCCTACCATGCAAGAACTTTTAGTCTTGACTATCAACTGGATAAATGATTTAATTATGCATCATATGGTGGGTACAATAAATAGACATGTGCAAAAATATGGGATATATTTGCACCATTTTCTTTATATTGTTAAGACTTCTGATGTCTACACCTGAACATATATTTATAAACAAGAGTTATTATTTGCATTTTTTAGCTTGCTAAGAACACTTATTTATCTTCTAAAAAACTATTTTAGAAAACCTTAAGAGATTTGTTAAATTGCTTATTAGTATGTGATATAACCTTGAGAGGGGAGTGGGGTTTAAAAAGATTAAAAATTATACAAACTCTGAGATTTAATTTTTTTTTTTTTTGGTACACTTAAAAAATGAAACAGAACTGAAAATACTCCCCAGTGGCACAAAAAACAGAATTTTACATTAGCTCTACACCCTGTCCCAACCCTGATCAGATTCACCCTTTTTGAAGACCTTATTTAGGTGTGGCCATACTCTGGAGTCTTGTCTCACAGAACTAACTAGAAGAGATCAGAGTTTTGGGTGATGCATCCTGTTGCTTTTTTAGGGTTGGTGCTCATGATTTTCTGAAACCCAAAAGCAGATAAATGGAAAATATAAAATATGATTTATAGGGTCTTAATTAAAAAAATTTTTTTTAAAACCATTGTTTGCAGAGACATTACATTTAGCAACTTGTTTTCTCTCCCTGCAGATATAGTTGTTGATTCACAAATCACAAAATAGTAAATATAAACACAACAAAAATTCATCTAAATTATATGAAACTCTATCTGTATCCCTCTCATCTGTCTATATTTATATTCTATACATTTTTTAAAAAAAATCAGTGACAGCCGGGCGCGGTGGCTCACGCCTGTAATCCCAGCACTTTGGGAGGCCGAGGCGGGCGGATCACGAGGTCAGGAGATCGAGACCATCCTGGCTAACACGGTGAAACCCCGTCTCTACTAAAAATACAAAAAAATTAGCCGGGCGTGGTGGCGGGCGCCTGTAGTCCCAGCTACTCGGGAGGCTGAGGCAGGAGAATGGCGTGAACCCGGGAGGCGGAGCTTGCAGTGAGCCGAGATCGCGCCACTGCACTCCAGCCTGGGCAACAGAGCGAGACTCCGTCTCAAAAAAAAAAAAAAAAAAAAAAAAAAAAAAATCAGTGACAGATAAACAGAAGAAGAAATAAAAATGCTGGGTTCTTATTCTAAATCCTTGGAATTATTGAACACAGTATAAACTCACAGGGTTTTATCAGAATTAAATAATGGGTCATCACAGTGCTCTGTAACGTCTTATTGAGAACACAGTACCTGCTTAATAAACATTGCATTAGTACATGTGTACATGTTGTTTTCTAAATGCAGACTTACTCAGAAATTGCTGCTTTCTGTTTTCTCTGTAAACTTTAAAGAGCCAGGAAATAATATGATACTTTAAGATAAAGAATGGTTGTCTTCATTTGTATCAAAAGTATTTGTGTTGTGACAAGACTGCTGAATATAAGGGACTCTGTCCTGTGCCTCATTTTTCTTTTTCTTTTTTTTCTTTTTGGAGACGAGTCTTGCTCTGTCGCCCAGGCTGGAGTGCGGTGGCGCCATTTCGGCTCACTGCAAGCTCCGCCTCCTGGGTTCACGGCATTCTCCTGCCTCAGCCTCCTGAGTAGCTGGGACTACAGGCAACCGCCACCACACCCGGCTAATTTTTGTATTTTTAGTAGAGATGGGGTTTCACCGTGTTAGCCAGGATGGTCTCGATCTCCTGACCTCGTGATCCACCTGTCTCGGCCTCCCAAAGTGCTGTGATTACAGGCGTGAGCCACCGCGTCCGGCCTGTGCCTCATTTTTCTAAACAGTGCTAATAATGAGCCCAGAGAGAGCGACATCAGCACTGACAGGGGACTTCTTTAAAACACCCATTTATGGACCCTTTCCAAACCCACAGAATCGTATTACATAGAGTGGGGCCAAATTTACGAAGTGATTTATAAGCTCATTAAAGCTTGAGTAGCAATGCTTAGGTAAGTGGTTATAAGCCCAGACTTCTAATTAGAATCACATGGCCAATTTGCAGAACTCTCTTGTGCCCTTTTCACAGTTTGCTTAATGTTCTGGGTGAAAGCATCTATTTGTTTTAATTAAGTGTCTCATGTGACTCTAATTTGCCAGAATCAAGTATGACGAGTTCAAGATACATTTATGAGAGTTAAGTGCCGCCTTTGCACTAAAGAGGGGTCCAGGAACCTGTTCTGTTTGGGTTTGTTAAGGACAGGACAGTGTGGCCAATATTTCTATTACTGTAGCAGAAATTGCTAGTGTCTGTAGCAGAGGAGAGAACCTGAGGACCAAAAAAATAAAAAGCACACACACACACACACACACACACACACACACACACACACACTTTTTTTCTTTTTTTTTAAGATGGAGTTTCACTCTTGTTGCCCAGGCTGGAGTGCAATGGTGCAATCTCGGCTCACTGCAACCTCCACCTCCCGCGTTCAAGCGATTCTCCTCCCCCAGCCTCCTGAGTAGCTGGGATTACAGGCATGTGCCACCACGCCCTGCTAATTTTCTATTTTTAGTAGAGATGGGGTTTCTTCATGTTGGTCAGGCTGGTCTCGAACTCCCTACCTCAAGTGATCCACCCACCTCAGCCTCCCAAAGTGCAGGATTACAGGCATGAGCCACCTTGCCCAGCTGCAGAGAAACTTATAGTTCCTAAATCATTTCTGTTATAAAGGACAGAAATGGGTAGAGTTTTTCTGTCTTGGGCTTTCTGCCTTTAGGTGTGGTGGTAAGAGATGAACATGTGGTGCTCAAAGTTTTTAAGGCATATTCTCAAGATGCAGGTATAATTAGTCCAGAAAATGTCATCTGAGAAATAATTCTAGAGGAGGAGGAGAAAGAGAAAAAATGACTTTTTTTCAGCTAAACATTTCTGACATCAAGAGCTGTGTCCGCTGTGCCTCCTGGATTGCCATGTGCTTAGTATGTGCAAATCTTTACTTCTAAACTTGTGTTTTTTCTCCCTAATGAGTTTTTCTTAACTACTTTTATAAATGCTTGTGATAGTCAAGGGTCTCTGAAAAATATTTCGTTTCTATATATCACAGACTTCTCTACATCACGACTTCTTATATGCCGTGCAGAATTCTCACCATGAATTCGTGATCTGCAATATTAAAAATGTTGTCTTTGGCTGTTGAACATGGATAGGTGTGGATTATCTATCTGTCTGTCTATCTATCTATCTATCTATCTATCTATCTATCCTTCTTTCTTTCTTTTTTTTTTTTTTTGAGACGGAACCTCACTCTGTCGTCCCCGCTGGAGTGAAGTGGCATGATCTCGGCTCACTGCAGCCTCCACATCCCGGGTTCAAGCAATTCTCCTGCCTCAGCTTCCTGAGTAGCTGGGATTACAAGCATGCATCATCACACTCAGCTAATTTTTGTATTTTTAGTAGAGACGGGGTTTTACCATGTTGGTCAGGCTGGTCTCAAACTCCTGACCACATGATCCACCCGCCTCAGCCTCCCAAAGTGCTGGGATTATAGGCATGAGCCACAGCATCCAGCAATGATACTCTAGATTTCTATGGGGAAAACCTGGGATTCTTAGTAAAGATGGAGAACATGTAATGTTGAGGTTCCTTCTGTGTTCTTAATGGCATTACACCATTAAGAAAATGCTCATTTAAACAGAATGGCATTTATTACCCAAAAAGTTCTGAGAAAAGTGGCTGGGTGATGTGGCTTATGCCTGTAATCCCAAAACTTTGGGAGACTGAGGTGGATGGATCATGAAGACAGGAGATTGAGACCATCCTGGCTACCACGGTGAAACCCCATCCCTACAAAAAATACAAAAAATTAGCCAGGCATGGTGGCACGTGCTAGTAGTCCCAGCTACTAGGGAAGCTGAGGCAGGAAAATCACTTGAACCTTGAAGGCAGAGGTTGCAGTGAGCCAAGATCGCACCATTGCACTCCAACCTGGGTGACAGAGCGAGACTGAGTCTCAAAAAAAAAAAAAAAAAAAAAAAATTACCAGGAGATACCTGCTTATTTGGGTGCTAAAGAGAGACTACTTAAAGTCACTATTAAAAATTGTAGAACATGGAAAATATCTCTATCTTGGACTTTCCATATAACCGATGTTTTCTTATGGTTAAATTGAGACTGTAATTTACTTTAGTGGGGGGCCATATCTCAGTAGTGATGCTGTGTCCTTCTGGGTGCATCAGCACACTATGAAAACTTGTTCGAGTGCATTTGATGTTAATAACTCACTTGCTTAATAAACTCTCTTACAGATTTTTGCACTATAGAGGTTTTTTTTCCTCTTCATCATTAAGTATCTTTATGCAGCTGATGTCCATACACCATCACATTTAATCTGGCAGCTGCCCTGTTTTTGAGGTTTTCTTTGTATTTATCTTTCTTTGGTAAATGAAAGCTCTCATCTTTGTTTACAGGCCAGAAAAACTGAAAAAGACACAGGCTCTTCCACTTACTGGATGTTTGACAAAATGATATTTTGGGGCCAAAACATTGGCATTACTGGTAAACTTGGTAGAGATTCAGTAACTCAGACTTTATTTCAGATCTCCTGAAAAAATAATCTGCATTAACATGATGTCCAGTTTATTGTACACATTAAAATTTGAGTGGTACCTTCTAAGTCAACATGTCTATTTTGTCTGAAAAATGTAAAGAACTATGTCTTTTTCATCTGAAAAACATATATAACTCATTCTGTATTATGTAAATATAGTACTCAAAAATGTGCATGTTAGTGTCTATGCCCTCAATTTTATACTTTATCATCCAGACAAGTATCATATATACACTGATGTTGTGGATATTATGCCACTCTCTTTTCTCAGAGTTAGAGAATACATTAGAAAAGGTTTGTGTGTTGACAATTATTTTATTGGATAATTTCAGTCACTCTTATAAGTCAGAACCAGTTTTTTTTACTCTCTCATTTTGCCTTGAGTCAAATGGAAAATTCTGCCAATGGCCACTTTGTACATATGTGTGTTTGTGTGTCTTTTCCAGGGACTCTTGACGTTTAGGTATGTGGCCATAGAATTCTCTCTGGAGGAGTAGCAGTGCCTGGACACTGCACAGCAGAATTTATAGAGGAATGTTATGAAAACCTGGCCTTCCTGGGTGAGGATAACTTTAATACAAAATTCCTTATATAAACTAAAGGTTTCATTTCTCTTTTGTAGAATGTTTTCTGGTAATTTATGCTTTCAAATTTCTGTTTTCAAGAAAATCCTGGGGATTTGTCTGTTTAGAAAAGAATTTCTTCAAGATATTTCATCTTGACCTGAACTTTCCACATTCCTGAGCGGATCTGTGTCCTTCACTTTAGATTATTGGTAATTTCAGAAGTTTAGTTGCATAAAATATTGTTACTCACACCTTAAAATCTAATTATCATCACCAGTTTTTGATTCAGTAGTACCAGGCAGTGAAATTAAGAACCTACAAAATTAATTTTTTTTTTTTTTGGAGATGGAGTCTTGCTCTGTCACCCAGGCTAGAGTACAGTGGCATGATCTCGGCTCACTGCAACTTCCGCCTCCCAGGTTCAAGCGATTCTGCCTCAGCCTACTAAGTAGCTGGGATTACAGGCACCCGCCACCATGCCCAGCTAATTTTTGTATTTTTAGTAGAGACAGGGTTTCACCATCTTGGGCAGGCTGGTCTCAAACTCCCGACCTCGTGATCCCAGCCTCCCAAATTGCTGAGATTACAGGCGTGAGCCACTGCGCCTGACCAATAAAAGTATTTTCTAAATAGTTAAACATTTCTGTTATAAATTAGTATATTGGGATAAATTTATTAGAATATTCTATTATATCCTCTTTACTGAACACATTACTAAGTTGGTAATTGGAGAATATGAGCAAGATTCATGTTAGTTATTTTTAATAAAACAGGTATTACTGTCTCTAAGCCAGACCTGATCACCTATCTGGAGCGAGAAAAAGAGCCCTGGAATATGAAGTGACATGAGATGGTGGATGAACCCCCAGGTAGGTTAGAGTGAATACAACAGACAACATGGATGAGAGGCCCAAATCAAGAAGAAAGCAAGTCTTTAAAGTGATTTGGGAAGCTGTGTTCAAAAGGAAATAGTTTCTGGAAAGCCTGAAATTTTTAAAAATTATACTCTCACGTAGGGGCATCTTATGTCTTATGTTTATAAAATTTCTAAGAATTCTAATTTCCCTTCAGTGTTCTTCCTTCAAATTTACAGTGACAGCTAAAGTACTATTCATGACATACAAAAAGAGTGCACAATCTGACTTTTTTCTTGTTTTTGTGGACAGAGAGATATCTCCATAATTTTGAGATACTCTATGTTAAACTATTTTTTAAGTTCTCTTTTTACATCACGTCTGAAATGCACGAGAGTGACGGTTTCTGTTTCACTGGTTTTCTTGTTCATTTTTTCTGCACATTTCATCCTGTTTTCATTACCATAGTTTTGAAATATAGTTTGAAATTATAAAGTATGATGTCCTTCTGCTTTGTTCTTTTTTCTTAAGATTGCTTTGGCTATTCAAAGTTTATTGTAGTTTCATCTATGTTTTAGGGTTGTGTTTTTCATTACTGTGAAAAAAAAACACTGGAATTTTGACAGGGAGTTTATTGAATCTAGAGATCACTTTGGATAATATGGCAGTTTCACAATACTTATTCTTTCAGTAGAAATAAAATATTTTTAAATTTATTTGTGTCCTCTAATTTTTTTCATTGATATATCTTTCACTTAAAAGATTTACAAGCTCCTTGTTTAAATTTGTTCTAAAATTAATTATTTCATTGCTATTGTAAATAAGATTTTTTTTCTCTCTTTTATCAGACCGTTTGTTTTAAGTGTATGGAACCATAACTTATACTTGTATGTTAATTTTATATTTTTAGTTTAAACAAGTTTTAATGTACTGTTTATGTTTTTTTTTTATATATAAGATTACATGGTCTACCAACAGCAATGTTTTACTTTTGGTCTTCAATTTCAATGACTTTAAATTTTTCTTTTGACTATTTCTTCATCCACATACTTTCAGTGCTATGTTAAAATAGAAGCATTGACAATAAGAAACAATTGTTTTGCAATGGGGTCTGTAAATTTAAAGGAGCAAACACCTCTTCAAGATTTTATAAACTGGTTTCAGAGAGCAAAAATAAATTTTTGTTTGGCCCCCCCAATGTGATAGAATGCCCTCTGGGTTTGTGGTGAAGAAGGGTTGTAGCTTGGTCTTAAGGCTGCTGGGTTTGCACAAGGGTTCACCTTTAGTTGTCTTGTTAAAAGGGGCTTGGATAGGCTGGGTGCGGTGGCTCATGCCTGTAATCCCAGCACTGTGGGAGGCCGAGGCGGGTGGATCACGAGGTCAGGAGATCAAGACCATCCTGGCTAACTCGGTGAAACCCCGTCTCTACTAAAAATACAAAAAAATTAGCCGGGCGTGGTGGCAGGCGCCTGTAGTCCCAGCTACTCGGGAGGCTGAGGCAGGAGAATGGCGTGAACCTGGGAGGCAGAGCTTGCAGTGAACCGAGATCGTGCCACTGCACTCCAGCCTGGGTGACAGAGCGAGACTCCCTCTCCAAAAAAAAAAAAAAAAAAAAAAAAAAGGGAAAAGGGCTTGGATAGTTGTAGTTTTCATTTTCATTTAATTTTTGGACAGAGTGAATATCTTTCAGGACTTTGCTGTGTATTGCAGACCCAGGGGCAGGTTTCTGCAGTCGGGTCTGCATATGGTGTTCTTTATATCAGGATGTGATGAGAGTGGCTTTCACTGAGTACAAGAGAGAATTTTCCCAGGTCACTTTGGGTTTCTACATAGGCAGAACCGGCCATGAACTGTGGCTCAGGGAGCTGGAAATGAGTCATGGAACTGCCTCAGGGACCACAGTAAAGGCCAAGGTCTGCAGGCCTCTCAGCATAGCTATAAATGGGTGTCTTCCTCTAGGCCTCTGGAAGAGCAGGACCTCCCCCAGACTGTGACTGGGAAGAGTTTGGGATGGTTACAGAGTAAGTTCAGAATTCTCACTGGAACCAAGTTAGGTGGAACGTTTTCTTGTCTGTAGCCAACAACAGTAGTCCTGTAGTTTGCCACCTGAATGAGGGCCTGCCTTCTAAACAGAATTATCTTCAATATTGGGCTTTAGCAGAGTTTCACAACTCCCTTCCTGGATCTCAGAACTCTCTTAAAGGCACTTTTTTTTTTTTTTTTTTGAGACGGAGTCTTGCTCTGTCACACAGACTGGAGTGCAGTGGCGAATGCAGTGGCACGATCTTGACTCACTGCAACCTCCGGCTCCCAGGTTCAAGTGATTCTCCTGCCTCAGCCTCCCGAGTAGCTGGGATTACAGGTGCCCGCCACCACCCAGCTAAATTTTGTGTTTTTAGTAGAGATTGGGTTTCACCAGGTTGGCTAGGCTGGTCTTGAACTTTTGACCTCAGGTGATCCACCCACCTCAGACTCCCAAATTGTTGGGATTACAGGTGTAAGCCAATGTGCCTGGCCAAAGGCACTTATTTTTGAGATGGGGTCTTGTTACATAACCCAGGCAAGTTTTAGTATTTTGACTGTAAGCAATTCTTTAATGTATCATGTAGCTGTCATTACTGGTGTAAACCATGATGCGTGATTCTCTTAAAAAGGCATTTTCATCAGGAATGACTGACAAATTTTCTTGCTGTCAGGGGATAAGCAAATAGGATGCCTTTTTTTTTTTTATCTTGTTAATGTCACTCTCCATATAAATTTTTACTTTATTTTCTACTTTAAATTTGTCTGCAATTTTAGATTCAGACATTTAGGGCAATATACTAGAATTTACGTGTTGTGCCTGAATTAAATTAGGTAATTAGTATGCAGGCAGGCAAAAAGGAATTATAAAATTTTCAACCACTTTTGTCAGCCTATATCTAAATAATAACATAGTTTATTTCCCAAATATTTGTTTTATATATGAGGCTCTAACCATATTCTGCTAAATATATGTATAATTTAGCAATGTAAGGTATTATTTGCTTCTATATTTGGATTAGTTTTATTTTGTTCAAAAATAGCAAACATTTAAAACAAAAAATTGTCAGTAGTTTCTTTTAAAAGCTTATCCATTAAAGGTTTCTCATTAGCATCTCCTGTTTATGATTGTATTTCCTTTTCTCTGAAATTTTATTGCCATACAATAGATATCAGTAATTTAAAATGCCTGCCTTCCGGGAATGCACAGTTACAGTCAAACATTGCAGTTATCTAGACAAATTATTTGTTAATGTACATTGATGTTGCCAACTAGATTTTATGAGTAAACATTTATTATTGTCTTGTAGTTCTATATTGTGGTTTTTTACTATAAATTTCTTAATATCAGTTTATTGTGTTTTTGGTTTTACTTATGTATTATAATTTTAGATAATTGGCAATTCTGTTTGTATACTTTAAGTTAATGTGGGGTTTAATTAAAAGATAAATGGGCCATATGTCTATCACAATCAGATATGTGTGTGTTTATATCTGCAAATGTGACCCCAATTTTTGTTGTAGCTTATCTTGTATATATTCTTTCTTAGCTCATTCTCTTTTTCTCTTTTTTTTTTTTTGTTTATGTTTTTGAGACGGGGTTTTGCTCTTGTTGCTGAGGCTGGAGTGTAATGCAGTATCTCGGCTCACTGCAACCTCTGCCTCCAGGGTTCAAGCAATTCTCCTGCCTCAGCCTCCCAAGTAGCTGGGATTACAGGCATGTGCCACCAGGCCTGGCAAATTTTGTATTTTTCTTTATTAGAGACGGGGTTTCTCCATGTTGGTTAGGCTGGTCTCGGATTCCTGACCTCAGGTGATCTGCCCACCTCAGCATCTCAAAGTGCTGGGATTGCAGGCATTAGCCACTGGGCCCGACCTCTTAGCTCATTTTCAATGTTGGTTTTATCTTGTCTAAGTGAGTAGCCTTGGAAATAGTCTCATTTTCGTCATGTGTTTAATGATGAATATGTATTTCCTTTGTGTGAGACAAACACTTTGTGATTTGGAGGTAATTTTTAAAAAGATTTATAATTTGGTATTTTTTTCAGTTTTTTAAAAAGTAACTGTAAAAACATGTAACATGTAATTTAGTTTCTTAAATCTATTTAAATATACATGTCACAGCCAGGCATAGTGGTGGCTCACATCTGTAAAACCAGGATTTTGAGAGGCCAGGACAGAAGGATTGCTTGAGCCCAAAAGATTGAGACCAGCCTGGGCAAAATGTGGAGACACCCTCTCTACAAACATTTTTTTTCTAAGAAATAGCCAGGCAGGGTTGTGTGTACCTGTGGTCTCAGCTACTTGAGAGAATGAGGGGCAGGGTTACTTGAGCCTGGGACTGTGAGGCTGCAGTGAGCCATAATTGTGCCACGCACTCAAGCTTGGGTGACAGATTGAGACCCTGTCTCAAAAAAAAAAAAAAAAAGTTGTGTATTTCAGGTATGTTAACTATATTCACATTGTTATGCAAAAGACTTCTAGAAATTTTATATCTTGTAAAACTAAGACTCAATATCCATTAAATAACATTTACTCATTTTATGCTCTCTCCATCCCTTAACAAACACCCTTCCACTTTCTGTTTTTATGAGTGTGACTATTTTATATATCTTACGTAAGTGAAATCATAATATCTATGATTTTACTACTGGCTGATTTCAGTTGACATAATATTTTCAAAGTGTATCTTTAAATGTGTCAAGATTTTTAAGATTTTTTTTAAGGCTGAATAATATTCCATTGTATCAAATATGTCTTGAAGGTCCTATATTGCATATTTTAGATATAGATTAATAAATGGAATTGCTGTATTTGATAATAATTTTATTTTTAATTATAAGAAGTACATTTATAACATAAAATAATGGATGCCTGCTTGTTTTCTACTGACAATCAACACGGGTTTCTTTTTTTTTTGAGACAGAGTCTCACTCTGTTGCCCAGGCTGGAGTGCAGTGGCATGATCTCAGCTCACTGCAACCTCTGCCTCCCAGGTTCAAGCGATTCTCCTGCCTCAGCCTCCTGAGTAGCTGGGATTACAGGCACGTGCCACCACACCCGGCTAATTTTTGTATTTTTAGTAGAGATGGGGTTTCACCATGTTAGTCAATCTGGTCTGGAACTCCTGACCTTGTGATCTGCTCACCTCGGCCTCCCAACATGCTGGGATTACAGGCGTGAGCCACCGTGCCAGCCAGTCCAACATGATGAAACCCCATCTCTACTAAAAATATAAAAATTGGCCAGGCATTGTGGCAGGCGCCTGTAATCCCAGCTTCTTGGGAAGATGAGGCAGGAGAATTGGTTGAACCTGGAAGGCGGAGGTTGCAGCAAGCTGAGACCATGCCACTGCATTCCAGCCTGGGCAACAGAGCAAGACTCCATTTCAAAATAAAAAAAAAAAAAAGAAGTTATCTTCTATGTCTAATTAAAAGATTTTTCACTTATAGTTTCAGGAAATAATCGAACTTAATTTTATCAGTATTGATATTCAGTATGGATAATTCAGTATGGATATTCAGTTTTAAAATTATCTTTTTTCTATTGTGTGCTCATGTCAATTTTGTGGGAGATTATTTGGCCATATTCAGAAGGGTTATTTCTGGGCTCTCTGTTCTTTCATCTGTTTATCTGTCTTTTTGTCAGTACCACATTGTGTTTGTTATTGCTGCTTTTAATATGTTTCAAAATCAGAAATTATAATGCACCTTTGTTCTTTTTCATGGGTGTTTGGCTAGAGGTCATAATAAAATTTTAACATTTTAAACAATATTTCTTTAAAAAACTGCTGTTGGGATTTTTATGAAGATTATATTGAATTTGTCTACCACTGTAAGTTGTATTGACATCTTTGAAAAACTATTATTTTTTGATTCCTGAGCAAACATATGTTGAAGAGTGTGTTTTATTTTCTTATATTTTTGGATTTTTTTTAGTTTTAATTTATAGCTTAATTCAGTTTTGGTCAGAAAACACAGTGTATAATTTTGGTCTTCTTAAATATATTTGTTGTTGTTGTTGTGTTTGTTGTTTTTGTTTGGAGACAGGATCTTACTCTGTCAACCAGGCTGGAGTGTACTGCCATGATTTTGCCTCACTGCAGCCTCAACCTACCAGGTTCAAGTGATCTTTCCTCCTCAGTGTCTCATGTAGTTGGGACTACAAACATAAAGTACCATGTCTGAATAATTCTTTGATTATTTGTAGGGATAGAGTCTCACTATGTTGCCCAGGCTGGCCTCAAACTTTTAACTCCAAGTGATCCTCCTACCTTGATCTCTAAGTGTTGGGATTATAGGCGTGAGCTACACCACCCAGCTGGCATTCTTAAATTTAATAAAACTTAGTATGTGTCCTAACAGAATACACCAGATGCAAATAAGAATATTGTATATTCTCTTGCTTTTGACTGGAAAGTTTTGTACTCATGTGTTAAACCTAGTTGGTCTGTAACATGGTTTTGATGTTCATGTTCTCCAAACCTTATTCTGCAGTGTAATCCTTAATGTTGGATGTGAGACCTGGTGGGAGGTGTTTGGGTCATGGGAGCAAAGTCTTCATAAATAGCTGGTAATCAAAATGTTTACACTCCATTAATTCAAATGTAAGCAGGTTTATTAGAAGAACCTGGCTCCTTCACCTCATACTTGCTCTGTCTGTTATTATGTGACATGTACAGTTACTCTTCGCCTTCAACCATGATTGTAAGCTTGCTGAGACACTCACCAGAAGCAGATGCTGGCACACACTTTTTGTACAGTCTGCTGGATTGTGAGCCATATAATCTTTATTTCTTTATAAATTATCCACTCAGGTATTCCTCTATATGCAAAATGATTAATACGGTCTGCAATGTCGTCTAGGCTTTGTTTTCTTGTTGATTTTTTAATCTGAATTTTCTATTTATTATTAAAAATGGGGTATTGATGTCTACAATTATATTCTATGTATTTCTTGCTTTACTTTTGTCAATATTTGCTTTATATATTTTGGAGACCTTATGTTATATATACATATACATACAGATAGGTAGATGGATATAATCATTATAGATTTGTGGTAAATCAACCTATTTTATGAGTATGTAATATCAGTGTTTGTCTCATGTTAGCACTTGACTTAAAACATATCTAATACACAATTGTAGTTACTATTTTCATAAAATGTAGTTGTTTTTTTTTTCGCTCTGTGGTTTTCAGCCTATTTGACTTAGTGCTGAAATGATTCCCTTGTAGGCAACATACTGTTTGCTTTTTTCTTAAGCTAGTAAAGCATTTTATTTTTTCTTTTTATAATTTCATTTATTTACTTGTTTATTCATTTATTTTTGAGATAGGGTCTCACTCTGTCAACCAGGCTAGTTTGCAGTGTTGTGATCATGGCTCACTGCAGCCTCAACTTACAAACTCAGAAGATTCTCTCATTTCAGCCTCTTAGGTAGCTGGGTTACAAGTGTGTAGCATCACGCCTAGCCAGTTTTTTGTGTATTTTTGGTTGAGACAGAGTTTTGCCACACTGTCAAGGCTGTTCTCAATCTTCTGAGATCCAGTGATCAGCCCGCCTTAACCTCCCAAAGTCCTGAGATTACATTTCTTTTTATTAAGTAATTTAATTTATATTTAAAACTGCTTCTTAAAAATGAAGTTACTGGTTTTATTGTAACTGTTTTATGTGTTCCTGAGTGGTACGTTTTTTCTTATTCACTGTTTTATTGCCTTAAATTTTATTTTAATTGTGTAGTGATGTGCTTCAATTATTTTTCTAATTTTGTTTTGCACAGTTTCTTTAATTATTATCTTTATAATCATGTTGTCTATTCATGTGTTTTCATGCTGCTGATAAAAACGTACCTTACCCTGGGCAAATTACAGAAGAAAGAAGTTTATTGGACTTACAGTTTCATGTGATTGAAGAGACCTCACAATCATGGTGGAAGGTGAAAGGCATGTCTCACATGGTGGCAGACAGAGAGCTTGTGCAGAAAAACTCTGCCTTATAAAGCCATCAGATTTCATGAGACTTATTCACTATCATGAGACTAGTACAGAAGAGACCTGCCCCCATGATTCAATTACCTTCCACCACATCCCTCCCACAACATGTGGGAATTAAAGATGAGACTTGGGTTGGGACACAGCCAAACCATATTATTTTAAAAAATGGAGTTTACATTAAATATCTTAAAATTCAAACAATATACTTTAATGACAACTTCAATTGAATATAAAATTATACCTCTATGTTTTTCAGTTTGTTATTAACATTAAAAATTTTTAGACTGGGTGCAGTGGCTCACGCCTGTAATCCCAACACTTTGGGAGGCCGAGGTGGGCGGATAACCTGAGGTCAGGAGTTTGAAACCAGCCTGACCAACATGGAGAAACCCTGTCTCTACTAAATAATACAAAATTAGCCAGGCATGGTGGTGCATGCCTGTAATCCCAGCTACTCGGGAGGCTGAGGCAGGAGAATTGCCTGAACCCGGGAGGGAGAGGTTGCAGTGAGCCAAGATTGTGCCATTGCACTCCAGCCTGGGCAACAAGTGCGATACTCCATCTCAAAATAAAATAAATAAATATAAATTATTTTGTGTATTTATTAACATATTTATGCAGATTGTATTCTGTTTTAAATATTTTACAGAGGAGCTTTAAGGGTTTTATGCATCATTATTATGATAGTAAAGACTTCTATATTTGTATATTTACATTTAATATAGACTTTTATTTTATATGTGGTTTTGTTAGAGAAAATAGGAGGCAGGAGACACCCAGTAGGTGAAACTGGAGGATTTTATTAAGGTGCACCCTGGCACAATGGATTCGCATCCAAAAAGCTGAGCCTTGGACTAAGACAGGGCTTGTCTTTTATACATGCATGGGCCATCTAGTGGCGCAAAGCTCGTGGTGCAAGTAAGCAGGCTCACAGAAGCAGAACAGAGGCAGTTAATCAAACAGTGACAGGTTATGCTGACCTTGCAGCTTCACTGGAAGGGAAACATGAATTTATCAAACTAAAGCAGGCCTTGCAGCTGGTACATGTCTTACTCAAGCTCGTCTTGTAACCTTGTCATGTTATCCAGAACAGAGAAACTGGAGTTGTTGTGAAGTAACCTTGAGTTTCACTAAGGAAGGATTACTAAGGGGAGGAGGAAGCTAGGAGAGGAGGAAAAATTGTTTTTCCCATCATTGCTCTATGGGAGGAGAGGGGATAAGGACTAGTTTTCTTTACATCCTCTACTTCATTTCCCCCTTTGACGCTTTTTATAAATGACGTTTAATAGCATCACTATGACTTAATTTTTCATGAAAAGGCAAGTTTTCTTCATTTGGCAAAGGCTGATATTTAGTTAGGGTCATTAGTTGTGTAGTAGTTTGCCTGGTTACAAGAGCCTCTGTGGCCATTTAGATGTTTTTGACAAGGAGGGGTAAGAGACAAGGGAGTATGAGGCAGACTCCTAATATGGCTAGAACTATTCTTACTAAGGTTTTAAATTCTGCAAGGGATGAGAACTAACCCCTGAAGAGGGAATCTGGAGACCATCCTTTCTAAGTCTTGACTGGAATATGGGCTAATTTTTGGATTCTTGCAGCTTTTTGTTTGACGACCTTTCCGTTGTCATCGATTTTTAGACAGCAATTAGTTAGGCTGAACTTTCTACATACTCCTCCCTCTTGGGCTAGGAGGTAGTCTAAAGCCAGTCTATTTTGATAAACGGCATTTCTCATTTCTGTAGATTTCCGAGCCAGCAAATTTAAGGCTCTTGCAGTATCATTCGTAATGATCTCCAGTACTGCCTGCAACCATATGATGTGATTTAGCATGTAAATAGGGGTGCGGTATCTCCATGATCCATCTGCCCATGTGGCTGGGCCATAGTATTGCATTATTCTTTCAGGTGGCCATTCATTATCTTTAATTCTTTATGGTTATTCCCCTTTTATTTCTTTTGACCTGACATGAACCTCCAACTAGGTTCTAGGTAAGGACTTTGGGTCATAACATATATAAGGCTGGCCACTTCCTGGGTTGCAGATTGAGTAGGTTATCTGGTTGTGTGTACAAGTTCCTCAATGGGTCCCTGCATACCTATAATAAGTGGTAGAACAGGGTTCTAGTCATGGTGCTTCCTGTCTACGTATTGTCAGTGCAGTGGGGGCATCCTTCTAAGGATTCTCCCTTTAACGTGGTTAAAGGGAATAGCAAAAGTAATGAATAACATGTTTATACCTAGCATGGAGAGAAGAGGTCCTTTCCTAGAGGAGGAGGTTGAGCAAAGCAACAGGACAATAGTAAAACAATTAATATTACAAGGAAAGTTTCCAGACGTAAGATTTCTAACCACTTTTACTTTCCTGATGATGCCTCGAGCTTTGGCCGTACATAGACGAGTCAGCTTCTGGGGTGACTAGAACAGGGCTGTTGTTTCCTCAAGCTTCCACCGTGTGTAGACTGGTCAGCTTCTGAAGTGACCAGAGCAGGGCTGTTGTAGTCTTCATTGGCACCTCGGTCCCATCATAGGATCAGCTGGGTTGGATGGCCTGGGTCCTTCTGGCTGGTCCACTTGTCTTGGGCTACCAGTTTCAGCCAACTGTGGTGAATCCAAGGCACGATTCCTGCAACTTTAGCAGCAGTGAGTAGACAAGATTACAATATGGGGCCCATCCCATATGGGTCCCAGTGTTGTTGGATTCCATTTTTTAAACTAAACAGAGTCCCCGGGTCTAAAGGGATAAATTGGGTCTGTGAGGCTTATGGGCATTCTTTCCCATACCCAGCCATGAATTTTTTGCATGGCTATTCTTAAAGCCTGCATCTCTCTCCTTAAGGCTAATTCCTCTAGTTCACAGAGATCACCTTTAAATTGGCCGAACAAGATCTCATAGGTGAATACCCAGTTTGTTTGGTGGGGGTGTACCTCACTTGGAGGAGGACCATGGGCAGGACCTGATCCCACCTTAGATGAGTTTCTTGGCAAAATTTTTTTAGTAGCTGTTTGAGTGTCTGGTTCATGTGTTCCACTTTTTCTGAGCTCTGTGGCCAGTAGGCTATGTGTAACTTCCACTTTATTTTCAATAACTGTGTTAGTTCTTGAACTATCTTGGCTATGAATGCTGGTCCATTGTCTGACGCTAGAGTCAGGGGCAGTCGAAATCCAGGGATAATGTCTCTTAACAGTACTTTAGTTACTTCTCGTGCTTTCTCAGTCCTGATGGGGAAAGCCTTGACCCATCCTGAAAAGGTGCAGACAAGTACTAACATGTTTCAATATCCCCCTGCTTGGGGCAACCCATAAGCAGATTTTCACAAGGTGTGGCCCCTATTTCCTGCATTCCCAGGGTCCTGGTGGGCCCCTGTATTAGGTTGTTCTGGGCACAAGTTAGGCATTGTTCACAAATGGCTCATGTGATGGCAGTGAGCCGTGGCACATAGAAGTGGTGTCCTAATAGCGTCTCTAGTGCCGTTTTTCCCATGTGAGTTCCTTGGTGGAATTGCCTCACAAATTTGGAGGCCACCATTTCAGGGATGGCTAGTCTCACATTAGATAATTTCCACCATCCTCCTTCAATATGTTCTCCAGATTCTTGGGCAAACCAGGCCCTGTCACTTAGAGAGTAACTCCGGGTCTCCTGGAGGGGAGATTGCGGGAGGAGAGGCATGGTCAGGGCTTCTTTTCTAGAGTGTGGAGCAGTCAATGCTGTCTGTCTTGCTTCTCTGTCTGCTTTTCCATTTCCCTTGGCCTCCTGTGTCCCTGACTTCTGGTGTCCTTTATAGTGCATAACAGCTACCTTCTCTGGGGCTCATACAGCATCTAAGAGCTGTATAATTTCTTCTTTGTATTTATTTCTTTGCCCCTGGCAGTTAAAACTCCTCCTTATATATAGCAATGTGGCAAAAGCATATTTGGAATCAGTATAAATATTGATCTTTTTGTCCTTTGCTAGCAAAAGGGCTCTTGTTAGAGCTATCAGCTCTGCTTTTTGGGCTGAAGTTTCTGTGGGCAGAGACTGAGCTTCCACCACCAAGTGCAATGTTACTACTGCATACCCGGCCCATTGGACTCCTTCCAGTACAAAACTGCTTCTATCTGTAAAGTACTCGATATCTGGGTCCCTGAGGGGTTGGTCTGTAAGATCTCTCCAGCTTGAGAATACCTCATCAACTGTGTCTATACAGCAATGAAGAGGGCCTCCTGGTTCTGATTGAATTGGGAGCAAAATAGCTGGGTTTAGAGTGTTCACAGTCTCTAGAGTTACGTGAGGATTTTTACATAGAAGCCCTTGATACCAACTCATTATTGGATTTGATAACCAATGGTGCCCTCTCTGATCGATTAATGTTATAACTCAGTGCGATACTCAGGTGGTTAGTTGCTGTCCTAGAGTTAGTTTGTCAGCTTCCCATGCCAGTAGGGCTGTGGCAGCTAATGCTTTGAAGCATGGGGGCCATCCCAGCGCCATGGAGTCCAACTGCCTGGATAAGTATGCCACCAGGCGATGCCATGATCCCGTGACCTGAGTTAGGACTCCTATAGCCATTCCCTTTCACTCATGGGCCTATAGAAAGAAAGGCTTAGTTAGACCTGGCAGTCCTAAGGCTGGAGCCCTAGTTAAGGCTTCTTTGATTTGTTTAAATGCCTTTTCCTGGTCTGCCTCCCAGAGGAGGGACTTCTTCCCTGCCTCCCCCACTTCTAATGTGACCATGGGCTCCTGGGGGCCTAGGGAGAAGGAACCCGGTTGGTCCTAGTCCTCATATTCTTAATTCTCTGCCAGCCCGATCAGGTCGGCATCTGGCTCCCTCAGGGTGTGGCAGCCCTTGGCTGGGGGCCTCTTTGTTTCATAGCCTTTGCCATTCTCTTCATTGTCCTCTGGACATTCATTTTTCTAGTGTCCCTTCTTTTTGCACTGCACACATTGACCTCCCCTTAGCCTCAGCCATCTCTTGGCTCGCTGTTCAACTTGGCCTCTTCCATGCCCACACCCATGTGAACATTCGCGTCCCTTTACAATGTTAATTTTCCTTTTTGTGAGGGCTGCCGCTAACAGGTTGGCCTTTTTCCTAAGCCTCTGCTCTGTTTCCTTTTTTGCCTCTTGGTCACAGTTAATGTACACCTCGGTGGCCACTTCTATAAGCTGGGTGGCATTCATGCCTGCAAAACCCTCTAGCTTTTGCAGCTTCTCTCTGATGTCACCCTGGGCTTGCCTTACAAATGCTGCATTCACCATGCACTGATTTTCAGCAGCCTCAGGGTCAAATGGAGTGTAAAACTAAAATGCCTCACAGAGTCTCTCATAAAACTGGCTAGGGCTCCCATCAATTCGCTGGAGTACTTCAGAGACCTTCCTTATATTGATTGCCTTTTTTCCACCTTCCCTCAATCATTGCAGCTGTGCTTCTTAGTACCTTTGCAGGCGCTGAAGCTGGGTTGCGTCATTTGGGTCCCAGTTGGGATCTGTTTCTGGGAATTGGCCCTGAGCATATGCCTGGACATTAAGGGTGCCTTCAGGCACACTGGCTTCTAGCCAGCAGAGAGCTGCCTGGGCTATCCTTTGACACTCCTTCGTGTTAAACAGCGTTAGGAGGAGATTCCTGCAATCTGGCCAGGTTGGATTGTGCATTAGGAAGATAGACTGCATTAGATCTATGAGGTCCTGGGGGTTCTCCGTGTAGGAGGGGGTATGATGTTTCCAGTTTAGGAGATTAGTGGTAGAAAAAGGCTGGTAAATAAAAGTCTGTTGCCCCCCTTGGACCTGGCCCTGTTCATCATAATAAATAGGTCCCTGTGTTTTCTGGAGGGGCATCTGCAAAGCTCTGGTGTGGGTAAATTGAAGGTGGCCTGCTTGATCATCTTGACTTCCTTCTTCACCTCCTGGGACAGGGGCTCAGATTTGCCCCTTTAGGGTGTAGCCTGGGGCATGATACCATCTGAGTTGGGCTGCTCAGTGGCCAGCCTTGGTAAAGGTGGGTAGATTGGTGCATAGGGAGGAGGGGTTTCTATCTCCTCCGGTGGTTCCTCCAAAACTGGTTTCTCCTGTCTTTCCTGTGGCTTTCCCTTTGTCTCTGTAGCTTCCAGCAAAGCTGATTTTTTTTTGGTGGCTTAGGCTCAGCTTGAGCAAAAAGCTGCCAGGCAAGTCTGCAACCATGCAGGTGGAGTCTGTACTATATTTAACCATGAGTCAATACAAGGGAACTGGTCTAGGTGCCCTGACTGTCCTCTGACCCCAGTTACCACCTTAAATACATAGCCAATTGTTTCCTTATCTACATTTCCTTCAGCTGGCCATCTAACATCAAAAGAGGGCCATTGTATTTCACAGAGAGTTCTCAGCCTCTGGGGGTCAACTTAATTCCATAGTCCCCGAATAACCTTTCTTAAAGTTCCTTAACATACATGCTAATCGGGTGGGTTTTGGTGACTTCCCTCCCATTTCCTCCCCAATACAGCACAACACATTCATTCTTCCTTTTGATTCAGACCAATTAAACCATCCCCCTTGCAGGAGTTTTCAGACACTGCTTAGCTTTGGAGTTTGTTAATCCCCTCACAATTACTAAATTGTGGGGCACCTCCATAAGCCGTATGTGGATTGCCACTAGTCCCGGTTGGTCCCACAATTCTCTCAGAGCGCACAGTCTATACTAAGAGAGCTGTAGCCCCCACATGTCACTGTCTGCATTGGTTCCTCCCAAAACCATCTCTTTCACACACAGTCACACACCGTCCTACTCCCAGTTTTCTCTCCTAACTGACTTCGCGAGCCACTCTTATGCCCTAGTCACTTGGGGTGTAAGTTTCCCTGAGTTTGCAAACCATTCTTGCATCCTGTGTCAGTCTACTAGTTACACCTTGGAAGGTGATCAGGCTCCCCTTCCATCCTTATGGGACGGTTCCTGCCTTGGGCCCCAAAACCTTACCGTGGTCCTGTAGTGCACTGTTCCTGGAATCATCCTGTAGCCCCTTAGATTCTGTTGTGCTGTCTGGGAGGGGCACTGGGTTGTGGGATAGCTGATCCCTTCTTCAGGTTTAAGTTCTCCTGATGGCACCTGAGGTCATGGGTCTCTCCTGGCTTGGGGTCTCACACCTAAAGGCAAAGTAGACAGCAAACCTGTCATCTCCATCTCCTGGCTGGCTCACCAAAGTGTTGCAGAAAACAGGAGGCAGGAGAGGCCAGTGGGTGAAACTAGAGGATTTTATTAAGGTGCACACTGGCTCAGTGGATTCACACACAAAAAGCTGAGCCCTGGACAAGTACAGGGCTTGTCTTTTATATGTGCATGGTGGCCATCTAGTGGCACAAGGCTCCTGGTGCAAGCAAGCAGGCTCACAGAAGCAGAACAAAGGCAGTTAATTAAACAGTGACAGGTTATGCTGACCTTGCAGCTGCATTGGGAGGAAAACAGGAAGTTAACAAACTAAAGCTGACCTTGCAGCTGCATTGGGAGGAAAACAGGAAGTTAACAAACTAAAGCAGGCCTTGCAGCTGGTATACGTCTTACTCAAGCTCGTCTTGTGACCTTGTCATGTTGCCCAGAACAGAGAAACTGGAGTTGTTGTGAAGTAACCTTGAGTTTCACTAAGGAAAAATTACTAAAGAGACAGGGAAGCTGGGAGAGGAGGAAAACTTGTTTTTCACATCCTTGCTCTTTGGGAGAAGAGGGGCTAAGGACTAGTTTTCTCTACATCCTCTACTTCAGTTTTATGATGGTGTTCATTATTATTTTATTTTTAAGCAAAATTGACTCATTATAGCATTTCTTTTTTTTTTTTTTTTTTTGCAGAGTCTCAGAATGCTCTTAAACTCTTAGTCTCTAGTGTTCTGACAGCCTTGACCTCCTAAAACTAAGATTACAGGCATGAGCCATGGTGCCTGGTCACCATGTACCTTTTTTTGTAGAACTGTGCTAGTGGTGATGAACATCTTCACCTTTTATTTTGGAAATTCTTTATTTTCATCTTCTTTTTAAAGGGAAGTAAATTTAAATCAAGTATTATTGGTTAGAAATTTTTTTTTATTACATCAAAATTTGGGAAGTTTTCACCCTTTTTTATCTTCAAATAACCTCTGTATTTTTTTTCTTCATTTTCTTCTTCTAAGATTTCCTAAATCTAGTTGATGGTTATCTAATAAGTTGTTTGTTTTGTTTTGTTTTTGTTTTTGTTTTTGTTTTTTTTGAGATGGAGTCTCGCTCTGTTTCCCAGGCTGGAGTGCAGTGGCACAATCTCAGCTCATGGCAAACTCTGTCTCCTGGGTTCATGCCATTCTCTTGCCTCAGCATCCTGAGTAGCTGGGAGTACAGGTGCCCGCCACCACGCCCAGCTATTTTTTTATATTTTTGTAGAGACTGGGTTTCACCATGTTAGCCAGGATGGGCTTGATCTCCTGACCTCATGATCTGCCTGCCTTGGCCTCCCAAGGTATCTAATAAGTTTTACATTCCATGTTTTAACTTTGTTTTGCAATTATAGATTTTTGTGTTATATATTTTAGGGTATGCCACCACACATTCATTAATTGTGTTTTGATTTTTTAGTATTTATTATAATTATGCATGCTAATTTTTAACATCTTATAATTTAAGGCAGTGTGGAAGAAAGTCAAATATGAATGAGCTATACGTCTTTTTCCAATAGAATTATCTCTGTGTTTGTTTTCCTGTATACAAAAATAAATGTTATCCTTGTATTTTTTTTCTAACTTGTATATTTGTTGTGTAGGTTTGTTGTGAATGGTTTTCTAATTCTGCGTAGATGAGTCATCATAAAATACTCTTTTTTTTTGAGATGGACTCTTGCTCTTCTTGCCCAGGCTGGAGTGTAATGGCGCGATCTCAGCTCACTGCAACTTCTGCCTCCTGGGTTGAAATGATTCTAGTGCCTCAGCCTCCTATGTAGCTGAGATTACAGGCATGTGCCAACATGCCTGGCTAATATTTTTGTATTTTTAGTAGAGACAGGGTTTCTCCATGTTGGTCAGGCTGGTCTTGAACTCCCAACCTCAGGTGATCTGCCCGCCTCAGCTTCCCAATGTACTGAGATTACAGGTGTGAGCCACCATGCTCAGCCCATAAAATTTTTATAATTTCAACAACCTATTTATTTGTAAATCTATATGATTTCTGTGTGGGAGAAACACTTTTGGATTTGAATATAATTTAAAACTATCATAACTCTGTATCTCTTTTAGTTATTATTGTTTATTTCTTGTCAAAAAAAAACAAAATTTACCACAAAATATTTTTAAATATTTAGTCATATCAATTATCTTGACATTGTCATGCAACATATTGCTAGAATGTTTTTATCTTGCAAAGCTAAATCTTAACACATATTAAACAACAAGTACTAATTTTTAATTTTTTCTTTTTTTCTTTTTTCTTTTTTTTTTTGAGCTGGAGTCTTACTCTGCTACTCAGGCTGGAGTGCTGTGGCATGATTCACCTCACTGCAACTTCCACCTCCCGGGTTCAAGCAATTCTCACGCCTCAGCCTCCTGAATAGCTGGAATTACAGGTGCCCATCACCATGCCTGGCTAATTTTTGCATTTTTAGTAAAGATGCAGTTTCACCATGTTGGCCAGCGTGGTTTCAAACTCCTGACCTTAGGTAATCTATCTGCCTCAGCCTTTCAAAGTGCTGGGATTACAGGTATGGGCCACCATGCCTGGCCACAATTTTTTCTGTTTTATAGCGTTTTGCAAACACCACTCTGTTTTTTGTTTTTAACAGTATAACTACTTCATGTATGTCATAAAATCTGTGTCTTTTTGTGATTGGCTCATTTCATTTTGCATAATGCCATCAAGATTTATATTTATAGTTGGTAGAATATTTCCTGCTTTTGAATACTGAGTATATTCCAGAATATATATATATATTTTTTGAGACAGTCTTGCCCTGTCACCTAGGCTGGAGTGCAGTGGGGCGATCTTGGCTCACTGCAACCTCTGCCTCCTGGGTTCAAGCAATTCTTTTGCCTCAGCCTCCCGAGTAGCTGGGATTACAGGCACGTGCCAACACGTTTGGCTAATTTTTGTATTTTTTTTTTCAGTAAGGACAGGGTTCACCATTGTTGGTCTGGTTGATCTCGAACTCCTTACCTTGTGATCTGCCTGCCTTGGCCTCCCAAAGTGCTGGGATTACAGGTGTGAACCACCGTGCCTGGGAAGAATTTTTATATTTCAAATTATATCTACTGAATGATTTATTGAAAGATATTTGCATTGCTTTTACCTATTTGCTTACAGTAACAATGCTGCAGCTTTTCCGCGCTACCTGCAGAGGGGTCCATACGGCGTTGTTCTGGATTCCCGTCGTAACTTAAAGGGAAACTTTCACAATGTCCGGAGCCCTTGATGTCCTGCAAATGAAGGAGGAGGATGTCCTTAAGTTCCTTGCAGCAGGAACCCACTTAGGTGGCACCAATCTTGACTTCCAGATGGAACACTACATCTATAAAAGGAAAAGTGATGGCATCTATATCATAAATCTCAAGAGGACCTGGGAGAAGCTTCTGCTGGCAGCTCGTGCTATTGTTGCCATTGAAAACCCTGCTGATGTCAGTGTTATATCCTCCAGGAATACTGGCCAGAGGGCTGTGCTGAAGTTTGCTGCTGCCACTGGAGCCACTCCAATTGCTGGCCGCTTCACTCCTGGAACCTTCACTAACCAGATCCAGGCAGCCTTCTGGGAGCCACGGCTTCTTGTGGTTACTGACCCCAGGGCTGACCACCAGCCTCTCACGGAGGCATCTTATGTTAACCTACCTACCATTGCGCTGTGTAACACAGATTCTCCTCTGCGCTATGTGGACATTGCCATCCCATGCAACAACAAGGGAGCTCACTCAGTGGGTTTGATGTGGTGGATGCTGGCTCGGGAAGTTCTGCGCATGCGTGGCACCATTTCCCGTGAACACCCATGGGAGGTCATGCCTGATCTGTACTTCTACAGAGATCCTGAAGAGATTGAAAAAGAAGAGCAGGCTGCTGCTGAGAAGGCAGTGACCAAGGAGGAATTTCAGGGTGAATGGACTGCTCCCTCTCCTGAGTTCACTGCTACTCAGCCTGAGGTTGCAGACTGGTCTGAAGGTGTACAGGTGCCCTCTGTGCCTATTCAGCAATTCCCTACTGAAGACTGGAGCGCTCAGCCTGCCACGGAAGACTGGTCTGCAGCTCCCACTGCTCAGGCCACTGAATGGGTAGGAGCAACCACTGACTGGTCTTAAGCTGTTCTTGCATAGGCTCTTAAGCAGCATGGAAAAATGGTTGATGGAAAATAAACATCAGTTTCTAAAAAAAAAAAAAAAAAAAATGCTGCAATAATTATGAGTCTATAAATGACTACTTATATGACCATATATGTGAAAGTTTATATATGTGCTGCATTCTATTTTATTAGTCTACTTTTTCACCTTTATACTCATATCAAATTGTTTAATTTGGTAGCTTTGTAATGTGTTTTGAATCAGGCACTTTAATGCCTGCAGCATTCTTTCTTTCTTTTTTTTTTTTTAATATTGTTGGGTAGTTTGTTTTTCTTTTGAGTCTCTGTATACTTTTGAGGTTGGTGTTTCTATTTCTTCAAAAATGCAATGAGAAATTTGAAAAATATTGCATTAAATCTGTAGATTGCATTGAGCAGGATGGACTCTGCAATATTAAGTATTTCAACCTTTGTGTAAGAGCACACTCAAGAGTGTGTTGTTTAGTTTCTATATATTTGTAAATTTTTCAGTTTTTTTTTTTTGCTTTTATCGTTGTATATTCTCATTCCATTTTGGTCATAGAATGTAGTTCATAGAAATTTACTTTTAAAAAATTTGATAAGACTTCCTTTTTGTCCTAAGATGTGGTCTTTCAAGGGAAATGTTGTATGAGCTATTGAGAAGGGTGTGTATTCTGATGTTGTTGAGGAGTGTTCTCCATAACTCTGTTTGGAATAATTGTTTTATACTGCCTTTAAGTAGTCTGTTCTTTTATTAACATTCTTTCTTGTTTTAGTTTTATTACAAAAAGTGTGGTATTAAAATATATTGTTCTAATTATATTGCTTTCTGTGTGTTTCTTCCATTCTGTCAATATTTGCTTTATATACTTGGAACCCTAATGTGAGACACACACACACACACACACACACACACACACAAATTTGTCATAGATTCCCTGTGAATGAATCTATTATTTTTTGATGTCCTTCTTTGTTTCTTTGGAGTTTCAATTTCAAGCACATTTTATAAAATATTATACTTTCTGACTTAAGATGTAGCTTGTGTGATATTATTTTGACTCTTTCTGCTCTTATTTGATTAATGTTTGCATGGAATGTCTACTTCCATCCTGCCACTTACAGTCTTTTTTAATTATTAGACTTACTGTTATTTTATTATGCATTTTATTTGATTATTGCATCTTTGTGTCTTATTCTCTTTCCATCTTTGTGTCTTTTTGATGTTTGCATTGATATGCTTTCGCTTATTTATTTATTTATTTGTTTGAGACTGAGTTTTACTCTTGTTGTCCATGCTGGAGTGCAATGGCATTGATCTTGGCTCACCGCAATCTCCGCCTCCTGGGTTCAAGCAATTTACCTGCCTCAACCTCCTGAGTAGCTGAGATTACAGGCAGGTGCCACCATGCCTGGCTAATTTTGTATTTTTAGTAGATATGAGGTTTCTCCATGTTGGTCAGGCTAGTCTTGAACTCCTGACTTCAGGTGATCCACCCGCCTCGGCCTCCCAAAGTGCTGGAATTACAGGCATAAGCCACCATGCCCAACCTCTTTTGTGTATTTATACAAATATTTTTGTGGTACCTTGGGGACTACATATAATGTCTAAAAGATACAACAATACATTTTAATCTGGTAGAAAAACAGGTTGCATACAAAAATTCTTCTTTATTACATCTTCCCTCAAATTTGTCATTGATGTTGCTAATTATATCTTATGTTGTATGTTCATTAACTGATGTTTATAATGATTTCTATTCTTTTATTGTTCAAATTTCAGAGAATAATTAAAAATGTTTTCTGCGTCACTAGGATAATGCTAATAAATTCTACAAAGTGAATTTGCATATTTTTTCTAGAAAATAATGTATTTTTATATAATTATGTGTAGCTTTTTGAATCATGTTATTTTCAGTAAAAGGAACTGTTGTTAGCACCTTTTATATGTAGGGCATATGCAGTTCCAATATACTTTTTTAGAATTTCATTACTTTGGAAGGTTTTTTTTTTTTATTTGGCAGGATAGATTCACTGATGGTATAATTCTCACTTAATAGGTATTTTTTTTAACAACTTTTTCATGACTCCATAACATAGTTCTTTTTTTGAGACTAAACGTCTCTCTATCCCCCAGCCAGGCTGGAGCATAGTGGTATGACTTCAACTCACTGCAACCTCCACTTCCCAGGTTCAAGTGGTTCTCCAGCCTCAGCCTCCTGAGTAGCTGGTATTACAGGCATGTGCCACCACACCCAGCTAATTTTTGTCGTTTTGGTAGAGACAGGGTTTCACCATCTTGTCCAGGCTGGCCTTGAACTCCTGACCTCAGGTGATCCGTCCACCTCTGCCTCCCAAAGTGCCTGGATTACAGGCAGGAGCCACCATGCCTGGCCTGGCACATCACTTTTATCTTGCAGCTTCAAAGATAATCTTTTTGTCTTTGACTAGAAATTGTGGTTATATACATGTTTGTTATAAATATCTTTCTGTGATACTAGTTTGTTGTACTTCTTTATTTTTACATCATATTTTCTTTTAGGATCTATTAGTTTTTTTTAAATTTTTTTACCTCCACAATTTTTGTTTTTTTGAAATCTTAAATATTTTTGTTCTTGTCCTCATTTTTCTGAATTTCCATAGTTGTCTCTGTTCCTATTTTAATCAATGAGAACTATTCAATTTATTACCAATTATTAAAAGTAATTTATACCTCTGATTTTTTTTATGCTTTCTTTCAGAAAAATTTATAATATTTTTGCTGGGATCATATTGCCCTATTTTGTATATTTTATCTTTGATTGTGATTTGGACATTAAAAAAAGCTACCTGTCAAAATCTTTATAATGTTGTTCTGTCCTGGCATAGTCTGAAAACAATTGTTTTGGCTGGTGATTATGGGAGTTTCTCACACATATTCTTAGGATATGTGCTGTCTGAAATTTTGTGTTTAATTTTTAATTAACAGAGTTTACTCTTGTTATTTTGTAGGAGTCAGAAATCACTTGCTACACCTGTTCCTTTTCTGTGGTACTGCTGTCAGTCTGCTGCTCTACCACTTTTTTTTTTGGTCTCAGCTGACTCAAACTCTCATTTCAAAATATGCCACCATTTCTTTCAGCACTTTATGTCATGAGAGACTGAAACAAGTGTCAGAAAAGGTCCCTAAAAGTCAGAAATAACAACGAATGTGCCAGTATTTTAGCTTTCTTTTAAAACAGAAACCAAGAGTTAGGAATTTACTTCTGAAGGTACTACGTTATAGTGGAAAGCAGGAAAAGCTGTGTTGGGTGAATTTAACACTTCCTTTTTTTCTTTGTGCTCACCTGGAACACTGCACACACTTATTTATAAATTTTTTACAGATGTATTTGGGTCTGTATATTTTAGTTACATTTATATATCTATAAATGAATTAGAGCCTGTGGTATTTTGCAATGCCCTCTTGTTTATGTATTTGGTATAATTTTAAAGGTAAGATTTTAAAACTATATCCATGTGAGTCTAGTAGGTGGAGTAATTTATTATTTTTATTTTTATTTTTTTAGGTATATGCCCTCATTTTGCTTAAGACCTCTGGCCAGAGCAGGGCATGGAAGATTCCTTTTAAAAAGTAATACTGAGAAGACATGAAAAATGTGGACATGATAATTTACTGTTGAGAAATGGCTGTAAAAGTGTGGATGAGTGTCAGGTGCACAAAGAAGGTTATAATGGACTTAACAAGTGTTTCACAACTACTCAGAGCAAAGTATTTCAATGTGGTAAATGTTTGAAAGTCCTTTATAAATTTTTAAATTCAAACAAAAAATAAGATATACTGGAAGAAAACCTTTCAAATGTCAAAAATGTGTCAAATCATTTTGCATGCTTTCACACAAAACCCAACATAAAAGCATTTATACTAGAGAGAAGTCCTACAAATGTAAAAAATGTGGAAAAACCTTTAATTGGTCCTCAATCCTTACTAATAATAAGAAAATTCATACTGAACAGAAACCTTACAAATGTGAAGAATGTGGCAAAGCTTTTAAGCAACACTCAACCCTTACTACACATAAAATAATTTGTGCTGAAGAAAAACTTTACAGATGTGAAGAATGTGGCAAAGCATTTTGCCAGCCCTCAACCCTAACTAGATATAAGAGGATGCACAGAAGAAAGAAACTCTACAAATGTGAAGAATGTGGCAAAGCGTTTACCCAGTTCTCAACCCTTACGAAACATAAGAGAATTCATACTAGAGGGAAACATTACAAGTGTGAAGAAAGTGGCAAAGCATTTATCTGGTCCTCAGGCCTTACTGAACATAGGAGAGTCCATACTAGACAGAAACCCTACAAATGTGAAGAATGTGGCAAAGCATTAATTCAATTCTCAACCCTAACTAGACATAAGAGGATACACACTGGAGAGAAACCCAACAAATCTATGTGGCAAACCTTTTAGCCAAAACTCAAACCTTACTATATATAAGATAATTCATACTGAAAAGAAACCCTACAAATGTCAAGAATGTGGCAATGCTTTTAGCCAGTCCCCATACCTTACTACACATAAGGTAATTCATACTGGGAGAGACCCTACAAATGTGAAGAAGGTGGCAAAGCATTTCTATGGTTCATTACCCTAACTGGTCATAAGAGGATGCACACTGGAGAGAAACCCTACAAATGTGAAGAATATGAAAAAGCTTTTAGCCAGTCATCAATCCTTACTCGACATAAGATAATTCATACTGGAGAGAAACCCTACAAATGTGAAGAATGTGGCAAAGCTTTCAGCCAGTCCTCAACCCTTACTACACATAAGAGAATTCATACTGGAGAGAAACCCTACAAATGTGAGGAACGTGGCAAATCTTTTAACCTGTCTTCAAGCTTTACTAAACATAAGGTAATTCACAGTGGAGTAAAACCCTACAAGTGTGAAGAATGTGGCAAAGCCTTTAGGCAGTCTTCAATTTTTGCTAACCATAAGAGAATTCATACTGGAAAGAAACCCTACAAGTGTGAAGAATGTGGCAAATCTTTTAACCTGTCTTCAAGCTTTACTAAACATAAGGTAATTCTTACTGGTTTAAAACCCTACAAATGGGAAGAATGTGCCAATGCCTTTTCCTGGTCCTCAGCCCTAACTAAACATAAGAAAATTTATACTTGAAAGCAACCCTACAAATGGGAAAAATTTGGCAAACCTTTAATCCTTACAACTTAATGCACATAAGATAACTTATATTGAAGAGAAATATTACAAGTGTGAATAATGTGTCAAAGCCTATAAAAAGTCCTCAATTCTTTACAGACATAAGGTTATTTATACTGGAGAGAAACTTTGCAAACCTGAAAGATGTGCCAATGCTTTTGACAACAACTTAAGCTTTTCTAAACATAAAGAAAATCATGCTGCTGAGAATCCTAGAAGTGTGAAGAATGTGACAAAGCCTTTAAATGATTGTCACACTTGATTGTAGGTAAGGTAATTCATACTGGAGATAACTATCAGTGTGTACAATGTGGCCAAGCTTCTAACTAATGCTCACACGTTATTGCACAGGAAAGCATTTATAAGCATTTATACTTGAGAACAAATGTGCAAATATAAAGTAAAAAAGCCATTAATACCTGCTCACATCTTACTCAAAATCAGATAGTTCATATGAAATAAAAGCATAAAAGTGTAATTACTGTCCAAAGATCTATTAGAAAATATGTCTTTAAAGTGCAGAAGAGTATTTACTTTAAAAAAGCACTACAAATATAAATAGGGTTGTAATACCTTTACTTGTATCAGAAATCTTATTGTACACATTTTGTGCTAGAGGAAAACCCTGAGGCAGTTGTTAAAATTTTGTCCAACATCAGTGAGTTTATATTGAAGAAAACCCTGCAAATATAATAAATTTGGAAAAACATTTTTTCAAAAACTACAAATTATAAAACACCAAAGAGTTTATACTAAAATATATTTTTGCAGGTGCAGTAAAGATGAAAGATATTTAATCCAAAATTGTCTATGTAAATATCAGAATAATCCACAGTAGAAATATCTAGGGCCACTCAATGTTTAGACACTACTGTAAATCAGAGTGCTGCGTATAAAAAATAATACAAAACTATAGATAGCATAAACATTATTTGTATATAACTTTAAAAGAAGTAGAATATTTTTTGGAGAGTTATAATTACATTCAAATTATACTTTTTATGAACATACAGGTTTTTTTCGAAGTGAATAATAATGAAGTTAAACTCTTAAATTACTTCATGCTCTTCCATATTCCTGGTTTATTCAAATGTGAAAGCATGTGACTAATTGTTGCTGGACAAAATATATGAGAGATTCTTGTTTATTAGGTAAGCATTACTTATGACCTTTTCTATGGAAAGGTAAGGACATTAAAATGTAAGATGCATAATGAAAATTTAAGTAGAGAGGCTCTTTGTGGTTAACTTATAATATTTTGTGATACATGAGGTAGGTGTTCAGAGTAATACTCTTCTACATTATTATGAAAGAAAAATATTCTTAATTTTAGTTAAAATTAGGTTAGTAATGTTATTTTATTAATTGCACTTTTATGGAATACTATACAGCATATTTTTAAATTATAAATTATTTGTGAAATTAACTTTTCAATTCCACATTTTTAACATGTTAAATACTATCATGAATCCATTGAAATGTTATTGTGCCACTAACTTTAACCTATTCCATCTTACACAAGGGTGTAGGTAACAATACATTATTTGGTAAGATAATGGACTGACATCACTAGTAATCTTTATTGCCAGTAACTTTAAATGGCCAATAAGTTAAAAAATATTGTTCCTATAGGTTATATTTTTATTCTTATTTTCACATTTAAATGTATTTTTCTTAATTTCTGTGGATATATGTTTATATGTTTATGCCATATATGGCATATTTTAATACAGGAATACAAAATATGATAATCACATTAGAGGAAATGAGATGTCCATTACCTCTAGCATTTATTCTTTGTATTACAAGCAATTCAATTCTACAGTTTAAGTTATTTTTAATGTACAATTAAATTGTTATTGACTACAGGGTCATTTTTATCATCATAATACAAATTATATACAAACATGTAAAATCCATACATTTCTGAGTCCTTAATAAATATTTTTATAAATTTTAATATATTTTTCTTTGAACATGTGGCCTTTGCCTGCAAGCACATATGGACTGTTAGTATTGATTTACATAGAGTTAAATATTCACATCTATTAGTCTAAAGATAAACTTTAGGTCTAAATAAATTATGGAGTAAGTCTGTTTGTGTGAGTATAAATTTGAAACTATTTTTAGCAGAAAAAAATATTAGAACAAAATAAATCATTTTAATCAGGGGCCTAATTCACTAGAAAACAAAAATTCTCAAAAATGGTGAAAGCAAATCTATGCTCTCTGCTTTGTATTGAATTTATTACCGTGCAATCTTTTGGCTCAGGGTTCAGAATCTCCCCATGCAAATTCTCTGTTTTAATTTGACTGGTACTCATGCTAGTCCCGTAATATTCTTTTTTTGTTTGTTTAATAGTTTTTTTTTTTGTTGTTGTTGTTCTTGTTTTTTTCTTTTGAGATAGAGTCTTGCTCTGTCTCCCAGGCTGGAGTGCAATGGTGAGATCTTGGCTCACTGTAGCCTCTGCCTCTCAGGTTCAAGCAGTTCTGCCTCAGCCTCCCAAGTAGCTGGGATTACATGTGCCCGCCACCATGCCCAGCTAATTTTTGTATTTTCACTACAGACAGTGTTTCACCAGGTTGGTCACGCTGGTCTCAAACTCCTGACCTCAGGTGATCCATCCACCTCAGCCTCCCAGAGTGCTGGGATTACAGGTGTGAGCCACTGCACCCAGCCTGTGTAATAGTTTATGAAGTATTCATTATGTGAACTGGTCTGTAATTATAAGAATATATATTTTTTTAATTTTATTGTTCCATAAGTTATTGGGGTATAGGTGGTATTTGGTTAGATAAGTAAGTTCTTTAGTGGTGATTTGTGAGATCTTGGTGCACCCATCACCCAAGCAGTATACACTGCATCATATATGTTGTCTTTTATTCCTCTCCCTTCCCACTCTTCTCCCCATGTCCCCAAAGTCCATTGTATTATTCTTATACCTTTCCATTCTCATAGCTTACCTCCCACATATCAGTGAGAACATATGATGGTTGGTTTTCCATTCCTGAGTTACTTCACGTAGAATAATAGTCTCCAGTCTCATCCAGGTTATTGCAAATGCTTTTAATTAATTACTTGTTATGGCTGAGTAGTATTCCAACACACACACACACAGACACACACACACACACACCCCACAGTTTCTTTATCCACTCGTTGATTGATGGGCATTTTGGTTGGTTCCAGAATTTTGCAATTGTGAATTGTGCTGCTAGAAATATGCATGTGCAAGTATCTCTTTCAAATAATGACTTATTTTTCTCTGGGTAGATACCCAGTAGTGGGATTGCTGGATCAAATGATAATTCTGCTTTTAGTTCTTTAAGGAATTTCCACAGTTTCCTATAGTGACTGTACTGGTTGACATTCCCACCGGCAGTGTGGAAGTGTTCTTTGATTGCTGCATCCATGCCAACATCTACAGTTTTTTGATCTTTTGATTACGGCCATTCCTGCAGGAATAGAGTGGTATCGCATTGTGGTTTGATTTGCATTTCCCTGATCATTAGTGATGTTGAGCATTTTTTTTAATATGTTTGTTGGCCATTTGTGTATCTTTTGAGATTTTTCTATTTTTTGATTTTTTTCTTACTGATTTGAGTTCATTACAGATTCTGTATATTAGTCCTTTGTCAGATGTATAGATTGTAAAGATTTTCTCCCACTCTCTGAGTTATCTGTCTATTCTGCTGACTGTTCCTTTTGCCATGCCAAAGCTTTTTAGTTTAATTAGGTCCCAGCTGTTTATCTTTGTTTTTACTGCATTTGCTTTTAGGTTTTTGGTCATGAAATTTTGGCCAACCAATGCCTAGAAGAGTTTTTTCAATGTTAGCTTCCAGAGTTTTTATAGTTTCAGGTCTTAGGTTTAAGTCCTTAATCCATCTTGTGTTGATTTTTTTTTAATAAGATGGGACATGAGGATCCAGTTTTATTCTCCCACATGTGGCTAGCCTATTATCCCAGTACCGTTTGTTGAAAAGGGTGTCCTTTCCCCACTTTATGTTTTTGTTTGCTTTGTTGAAAATCAGTTGGCTGTAAGTATTTGGGTTTATTTCTGGGTTCTCTGTTCCATTGGTGTATGTGCCTATTTTTATACCAGGACCATGCTGTTTTGGTGACTTATAGTATACTTTGAAATCAGGTAGTGTGTTTCCTCCAGATTTGTTCTTTTTTCTTAGTCTTACTTTGGCTATATGGGCTTCGTATGATTTTTTGAATTGTTTTTTCTAACTCTGTGAAGAATGTTGGTGGTATTTTGATGGGGATTGTGTTGAATTTATTGATTGCTTTTGGCAGTATGGTCATTATCACAATATTGATTCTACCCATCCATGAGCATGGGATGTGTTTCCATTTGTTTGTGTCGTCTATGATTTCTTTCAGCGGTGTTTTGTAGTTTTCCTTCTTTTGGCTCCTTCATTAGGTATATTTCCTAAGTATTTTATTTTTTTCAGCTATTGTAAAAGGGGATGAGTTCTTGATTTAATTCTCCATTTGGTTGCTGTTGGTGAATAGAAGAGCTACTGATTTGTGTACATTAATCTTGTATCCAGAAACTTTTCTGAATTTTGTCAGTTCTAGGAGCTTTCTGGAGGAGTCCTTAGGGTTTTCAAGGTAAATAATCATGTCATCAGCAAACAGGGACAGTTTGACTTCCTGTTTACTGATTTGGATGCCTTTATTTCTTGTCTTATTGCTCTGGCTATGATTTCCAGGACTATGTTGAAGAGGAGTGGTGAGAGTGGGCACCCTTGTCTTGTTCCCATTTTCAGAGGGAACGCTTTTAACTTTTCCCCATTCACTATTATGTTGGTTGTGGGTTTGCCATAGATAGCTTTTATTACATTAAGCTGTGTCCTTTTTATGCCAACTTTGCTGAGAGTTTTAATTATAAAGCGATGTTGGATTTTGTTGAATGTTTTTTCTGCATCTATTGAGATGATCATGTGATTTTTGTTTTCAATTCTGTTTATGTGGTGTATCATTTGTTGACCTGTGTGTGTTAAACCATCCCTGCATCTGTGGTGTGAAACCCACTTGATCATGGATTATCTTTTTGACATGTTGGATTTGGTAAGCTAATATTTTGTTAAGGATTTTAGCATTAATGTTTATCAAGGATATGGGTCTGTAGTTTTCTTTTTGGTTGTGTCTTTTCCTGGTTTTGGTATTAGAGTGATGCTGGCTTCATAGAATGAATTAGGGAGAGTTCTTTATCTAGTGTCAAAAGGTTTGGTACCACTTCTTTGAATTTCTGGTAGAATTTTGCTGTGAATCTGTTGGATTTTTTTTTGTTGGTGGTAAGTTTTAAATTACCATTTTAATCTCACTGCTTGTTATTGATCTGTTCAGGGTATCTAATTCTTCCTGTTTTAAGCTAGTAGGGTTGTATTTTTCCAGGAATTTATCCATCTCTTCTACATTTTCCAGGAATTTATCCATCTCTTCTATGTTTTCTAGCTTATGTGTATGTGTGTAAAGGTGTTCTTAGGAGCCTTGAATGATTTTTTGTATTTCAGTGGTGTCAGTTATAATATTCTTTAGTTTCATTTCTCAGTGAGGTTATTTGGATTTTCTCTCTTCTTGATCAATTTTGCTAATGATGTATCAATTTTATTTATCTTTTCTGAGAAGCAGCTCTTTGTTTCATTTACCTTCTGTATTTTTTGTTTATTTGTTTGTTTCAATTTCATTTAGTTCTGCTCTGATCTTGATTATTTCCTTTTTTTTCTGCTGGGTTTGGGTTTCATTTGTTCTTGTTTCTCTAGTTCCTTGTCTGTCTGTGCTCTTTCAAACTTTTTGATGTAGGCATTTAGGGCTATGAACTTTCCTGTTAGTACCACCTTAGCTGTATCCCAGAGGTTTTGATAGGTTGTATCATTATTGTCATTAAGTTGAAGAATTTTTTAATTTCCATATTGATTTTGTTTTTAACGCAATGCTCATTAAGGAGCAGATTATTTAATTTCCATGTATTTGCATGGTTTTGAAGGTTCCTTTGGGAGTTGATTTCCAGTTTTATTCCACTGTGATCTGAGAGAGTTCTTGGTATAATGTCAATTTTCTTAAATTTATTGAGGCGCGTTATGATTGTCTCTGCTGATTCATTCAGGGTGTCAGGGACGTGGGGGAAAGCTGGCAGTCACAGGCCTCACTCAGCTCCAGTGGAAACCAAAAGGCTGGTCTCACACCCACTGCACCCCTCACAACAGCCCCAAATCTGTTTCCATGTGGAGGGCAAGTTGGGTTTGAAAATTACCCCAGGCTTTCTGTTTCTCAGTGTGGTAAAATAAAAAGGCTTTAGTTCTTCCCCACCTGTGAAGTGTTCAAGCCAGAGTCACGCCTTCCCTGAGTTCTTGCCAGGAGGCTTCTTGCCCCATTCAAATTGTTATGAAGTTCAGCTAGGGAAATCCTTCTCCCCTTGGAGTTTTACCCCTTGCTTCTCTGTCCTCCTCCCTCTCCCATGGATTCCTGTGGTGCCAGGCAGGAATGGGCTCCTTGGGGATTCAGCGAGCTCCCAGGGCCTCCCTGTTGCCTCCTGAACCCCTGTATTTCACTCAGCTTGGCTCTCTAACTTGACTCACCTCCAGGTAGTAAGGAGCTTCTCCCACAAACAGACTTTCAGTTTCTCCAGTGGGGTCGTTGTGTTCAGGAGAAGAGAGTCTCCCTTTCCCACTTCTGCAGTGGTGGCACTCACTGTATTTGGGGTGTCTGTCAGGTCCTGCAGGAGCAGTCTGCTTCCTTCAGAGGGTTGTCCTGATGCCTTTAAGGACATATTCTGAAGATAAAGGTGGTGATTTTTTCAGATACTCTCTCCTGAGAAGGAATCAGAGAAGAGAGAAAAAATGGTTGATTCTCAAATGAATGTGTCCCAGGTCAAAACTGTGTCCACATTTTCTTCTAGAAGGTCATGTATTTACAGTTGCAATCATTTTCATTTCTACTTCTGATGCTTTTGCCTAACAAGATTATTTGAAGTACCTTTTTTCTTCTCATGACAGTGAAATGACCTCATTAAAATAATTCTCCCCTATGTTTCAGAGCCTTATCTTTATTCTCTCCATCCAGGCTTCTTACATATCACAAATAGTACCTTGAATTTATACCGTGAAATATTGAAAGTATTCCCTTTGTTGACAGATCAGCCTGAGCAGGTGAAGATATAAAACATTCTTATTGGGGATGGTGCTGGGTCCTCAGATATCAGTGAGGGAGAAAACTGCACCATTTAGGTTCTATCTGAATGCTCCATCAGCTCTATGAATAACACAATTTTTAAATGCACACTTAAAAAAGATGGAATTAATGGCCTGGAATAATTTAGAAAGATATGTAAAGGAATGAATTCAAAGAAATGTGCCTTCTAGAATGCTTAAAGAGAGAGTATTTAGATACACTATTAGAAATTACAAAACATGCGCTGGGCACGGTGGCTGACACCTGTAATCCCAGCACTCTGGGAAGCTGAGGTGGGCAGATCACCTGAGGTCAGGAGTTTGAGACCAGCCTGACCAACACGGTGAAACCCCATCTCTACTAAAATACAAAAAAAAAATTAGCCGGACACTGTGGCACGTGCCTGTAATCCCAGCTACTTGGGAGGCTGAGGCAGGAGAATCTCTTGAACACAGGAGGCAGAGGTTGCGGTGAGCCAAGATTGCACCATTGCACTCCAGCCTGGGTGAAAACAACAAAACTCCGTCTCAAAAAAAAAAAAAAAAAAAAAAAAGACAAAACATGGACATCGTATGTGCCTTGAACTTTACATAAAACATGTTTTTTATGATTAGATTCAGATTATGATTTATGTTTTTTTGGCCAGTAATCTCACAGAAGTCATGTTGCATCCTCCAATATGTATCAGCACCTGATACCAATCTGTCTCATTAATTTTATTTACTTGGTTAACGTGTTTTCTCAAGGATTTCTTCCCTATAATGTTTCTTTTAAAAAACTGTATTATTTGGGAGGCCGAGGCAGGCAGATCACGAGGTCAGGAGATCGAGACCATCCTGGCTAACATGGTGAAACCCCGTCTCTACTAAAATTACAAAAAATCAGCTGGGCGTGGTGGTGGGCACCTGTAGTCCCAGCTACTCGGGAGGCTAAGGCAGGAGAATGGCGTGAACCTGAGGGGCGGAGCTTGCAGTGAGCCAAGATCACGCCACTGCACTCCAGCCTGGGCGACAGAGCCAGACTCCGTCTCAAAAAACAAAACAAAAACCTGTATTATTAACAGGTACTTTGGAGAAACTTTCTGACTAATGTGCATAAACAATCACATTTAATCTGAAAGCTCCCCTGTCACGCCAAGTGTCAGGTTCCAACCCAATCGGAGGTCTGACAGGAGTGGGTGGGTGATTTGTGGGTTACTGGAAAAACACTCATGGAATTGTGGGCAGTTTTGAGATGGCTTTATTCTCTAGGCATAAGCCTGGGCATGAGCCCTGTGTACAGGGTGAGCAGCTTACTCTCTCTCCTCCTCCTGTTCACCTGTCTGTGTACTCCTTACACTCAGTAGCGGCTGAGAGCTAAGTATGAGCTTATACAACCAGGTTACATATTAGCAGAGATGAGCACTTGTACTCCAAACTTACTGAGTCAGGCTGAACCAGATGTTTACCACGGCCTATTCTTGACCACTGCACATCCATTTATCTTACACCCTTTTTCTGAATAGTTTCTCTTTGTTTATACTTTGCTTTGGAAAATGAAGGCTGTCATTTTTGTTTACTGGTCATATACACTGGGATAAAACCCAGGTTCTATCAGTTACTAGATGTTTTACAAAGTATTTTCCTTAAGCTAGAATGATTGACATCACTGGTGAGTTTGTTTGCAATATAGTAACTCAGGTCTCATCCCACATCCCTTGAATTAGAATACGTATTTTAACAAAATCTCCAGGTTATTGATGTATGCATTAAAATTTGAGAGGTATCTCCTAAGTTACTGTGACTTCTCCATGTGAGAACTGTACACAGCTTACTCTGTATAATCTAAATATGGCATTCAGAACTGTATATACTTGTGTTTATGCCATAAGTTCTATGCCGTGTTATTCAGAAAACTATAGTAATTACACTGGTTTTTTGGATCTTATTTTATCCTCTTTGTTCAGAATGAAGGAATGCATTAGAGAATCTTTCTCTGTTAAGCAATATTTTATTGGATAATTCCAGTCTCTTATGTAAAACAGAGCCAACTCTCTTAACTCTGAAACACCTAGAGTAAAATTAACAATTCTGCCCATGACCACTTGCTAAATATGTGTGTTTTTTTTTTTTTTAGGAAATGTTAACTTTCAAGGCTGTGGCCATAGAATTTTCTCAGGAGGAGTGGGAATGTCTGAATCCTGCTCAGTGAAATTTGTATAGAGATGTAATGTTAGAGAACAACAGAAACCTGGTCTCTCAGAATAAATTTTCACCAGATTTCCTAATATACCCTAAGGCTTCTATTTTCTCCCTTTGTAGAATGATTTTGGGAGTTTTTGCTCCACATAAATTATTTTTAGATCAACCCTTTTAAGGAAAACTTGACGGTTTATTGAAATAGAAAAGAAAATCTTCAAGATGTTTTATCTTAACAGGAACCATCCCCTTTTTTTTGAGGTAATCTGTATCCTTCACTCTAGATTAATGATAATTCTAGAAATTCAGTGGCATTAAATATTATTGCCCAAATAATAAAATCCAATATCCAGCACCAATTTTAAATTCAATAGTATTGGATAGTAGAGCTAAGGACCCAGAAATGTAAAATATGTTCTAAGTATTCTAAAGGTTCTGTCAGAAAACAGTATTTTGGAATTAAATTTCTAAAATCTTTCATAATATTCTCTCCTCTGTACTAAACATGGTACTAGGATGGTAACTGGAGAATCCCAACAAATCATGTTAACTTTTTTCTAACAAATCAGGCTGTGGTGTCTCTGTACCTGATCTGATCTCCTGCCTTGAGCAAATAAAAGAACCCTGGTATGTAAAGAGACATGAGACAGTGGTCAAATACTCTGGCACGTAAGCATGAATGAAGCAGATAACACAGACAAGAGGTACAAAGGTCAAAAAGAATTCCAGACCTTAAAATGTGGTATGGGATGCTCTGCTTCAATGGAAAGGTTCCTAAAAAGCCATTTTGTTTTTTTCCCTAGTTCTTATATAGGAGCATCTTTTGTCCCATACCATTAAATTCTTTATGGACTCTACTTCCTATTTAGTGATTTTCCTTTGAGGGTACCATGAGAGCTAAAGTCCTCTTTATGGCTTATAAGGTACTGCATGATATACCTGCTCTTCCATTGCTTTGGGGCAATATGAGAATATCTCTAACTATTTTTGAGAAACTGCATGTTAGATCATTTGTTAGGTTTTCTTTTCCCATCATATCTGAAATGTGTGAGAGCAGTGGTGATATTAAGATTTGTTTCAGAAATCTCAGGAACATCAATGACATGTTACTTGTTATTTATCTATATTGTCTTGTCTTTTCTTTTTTCTTCTGTTTTCTTTTTTTTGAGATGAAGTTTCACTCTTGTTGCCGAGGCTGGAGTGCAATGGCATGGTCTCAGCTTACCGCAATCTTTGCCTCCTGGGTTCAAGCGATTCTCCCGCCGCAGCCTTCTGAGTAGCTGGGATTACAGGCATGCACCACCACACCTGGCTAATTTTGTATTTTTAGTAGAGATGGGGTTTCTTCATGTTGTCCAGCCTGGTCTCCAACTCCTGACCTCAGGTGATCTGCCTGCCTTGGCCTCCCAAAGTGCTGGAATTACAGGTGTGAACCACCGCACCTGGCCTCTATTTTTTCTTTTTGATATTAGGAATCTTAACAGATTTGAAGTGATAGCTCATCGTTGTTTTTGTTTGTAATTGCCTGTTTGTGGGGGCTATTTAGCACTTTTTAAATATATCTATTGGTCATTTGTATATAATTCATTGGCAAAATATTTCTTCAGTGTTTTGACTATTTTTCAGTTGGTTTATCATTGTTATTATACTTGTCTTTGCTTTGAATTTTCTATATATTTTGAATTTTAAACTTTTCTTGTATGTATGGTTTGCTATTGTGAGCATGCTGTGATAAACATGCAAGTATAGGTATCATTTTCACATAATAAACTATTTTTTTGGGTAGATACCCAATGGTGAAATTTCTGAATCAAATTGTAGTTCTATTTTTAGTTATCTGAGATTAAGCATACTCATGTTGGCTATTTGTATGTCTTTATTGAAAAGTGCTTAGTAATGTTATTGGTCCATTTTTCAATGGGATTTCTTACTATGCTTTTAGTTTGAGTTATTTGTAAATTCCAAATATAAGTTTCATGTTGTCACATAGTTTGCAAATATGTTCTTTTATTCTTTAGGTTGCCTATTTACCCTGTTATTTTATTTGCTGTGCAAAAACTTTTTAGTTTGAATCTAATTTGTCCATTTTTTTATAATATAATAATAATATAATAACAATTTTCTTTGTTGTGTTCATGGCTAGTTTTGGTAGCAGGGTGGTACTGACCTGAGAGTGACTTAGGAAGAATTTTATTATCCTCAATTTTTTGGAAGAGTTTCAGGAGGATTTGGTAGAATTTTTATACATTTGGTAGAATTTGGCTGTGCATTTATCTAGTTCTGAGCTTTTCTTTTTCAAGACTTTTTTTTATTACTGACTCAATCATGCTACTCATTATTGGTTTGTTCAGGTACTCAGTTTCTTCCTGGCTCTATCTTGGGAGGTTGTATGTTTCCATGAATTTATTCATTCTTTGTAGGTTTTCAGGTTTATGAGTGTCTAGTTGTTTATAATCATTGCTAGTGATTTTTTGTATTGCTGTTGTATCCATTGTAATGTCTATTCTTTCATTTCTGATTTTGTTTATTTAGATTTCTATTCTGTTTGTGGTTAATCTAGCTGGCAATTTATAAATTTTGTCTTTTTGAAAAAGCAACTTTTTATTCTATTGGTCATTCTTATAGTTTTTGGTTTTTATTTCATTTGGTTCTGTTCTGATTTATGTTTTTTTTTTCTTCTTCTAACTTGGAATTTTGTTTGTTACTAATTTTCTAGTTCCTTGAAATATGATGTCAGGTCCTTAACATGTAAGCTTTCTACTTTTTTGATGCAGACATTTAGGCTATAAACTGCCCTCTTAGTACTATATTTGATGTATCTCACAGGTTTTATTATATTGTGTTTCTATTTCCATCTTTTTTCCCCACACATTTTTAATTTTCATCTTAATTTTCTTTTTGAGATGAGTTTTACTCTGTCACCTGGGCTGGAGTGCAGTGGAACAATCTTGGCTCACTGCAACCTCTGCCTTCCATGCTCAAGTGATCTTTTTATCTCAGCCTCCTGAGTAGCTAGTATCATAGGTGCGCAGCACCACACCTAGCTATTTTTAAATTTTTTTTGTAGCAATGCGGTTTTTGCATGTTGCTCAGGCCGTCTCAAACTGCTGACCTCAGGCGATCCACCTGCCTCAGCCTCACAAAGTGCTGGGATTACAGGTGTGAGCCACCACCTCTGGCTGGCCATCCTAATTACTTCATTTACAGTGACTGTTTGGGATCATGTTGTTTTAATTGTTTGTAAATTTATAGTTTCTGAAATTTCTCTTGATATCAATTCATAATTTTATTCTACTATGGTCTAAGTAGGTAGTTGATATAATTTTGATTTTTGGGAGTACTTTGTTGATTTGCCAGCTTTCCTATCTCAATGGTCTCTCTAATGCTGTGAGTAGAATGCTGAATTTCTCCACTATTATTGTGTTACCTATAGAGATATTGTGTTACCTAAAGAGATGTGTCCATCTCTTTCTATAGGTTTAATAATATTTCTTTTTAAAGTCTGTTTTATTTGATATAAGACAGATACTGCTGTCTGTTTTTGGTTTCTGTTTGTGTTAATATCTACCCCCTTTACTTTTAGTTTATATGTATCTTACAAGTAAGGTGAGATTCTTGTAGGCAACACACAGTTGGATCATTTTTTCTTATTCATTTCATAAATCTATACATTTCAATGAAGGTTTTAATTGATTTATATTCAAGATTATATTAATATTAAGGCTTTGTTACTGTCATAATGTTAATTATTGCCTTGTTTTATTTTTTCTTTTTATCTATTTATATTTGTGGTTTAATAAAATTATGTCCTATTGTGATTTATTTATTTCTCTCTTTGTTTTATAAGGCCTGTTTTATACTTTTATATGTTTTAATGATGGTGAATATCAATCTTTTGTTTTTATATTGGAAATCCCTGGAACATCTTTTGTAGGCCCAGTCTATTGGTAGTTAGTTTCCCCAGCCTTTATTTGTCAGGATAAGACTTTATTTCTTCTTCACTTGTGAAGGTTAATCTAGCTTGATGTAAAATTTTTGGCTGGCATTTTTCTTTCAACACTCTAAAAGTACCATCCTGTTCTCTTCTGGCCAGTAAAGTTTCTGCTGAGAAGTCTGCTTTTAGTCTGATGTGGTTCTATTTATAAATGACTAGATGCTTTTCTTTGGCTGATTTTAGAATTACTTCTTTCACTTTGAGTTTAGATACTATGATTATTATGTGCCATATTGAGGTCTGTTTTGCATTGTATTCTGGTGGTGATTGCTGAGCTTCCTGTATATGTATGTCTAATTCTATTGCTAGAGTTGGGAAGTTTTCATCAATTATTTTCTTAAATAGGTTTTCTAAACTTTTTGATGTTTTTTATTCCTCAGAAACTGATAATTTTTGTTTAGTCACTTTATGTAGTTGCAAATATCTCCAAATCTTTGTTCATTCTTTTTCATTTCTCTCCTTATTTTTGTCTCAGTAAATTATTTTAAAAGACCTGTTTAAAGGTCTGAAAATTCTTTTTATGCCTGTTTCAGTCTATTATTGAATTTTTGAATGTATTTTCTTTTTCCTTCATTAAATCTTTAAGTTCTACAATTTTTGTTTCTTTTTTTTTTTCTTTAAGGATGTCTATCTCCTTGGCACATTTCTTACTCATACTCTAAATTTATTTATTTATTTTTATATTGGTTTTCAGATTTCTCTTGCATCTCTTTGTATTGGGGAAACCCACCCCCAATATTTCAACATAGGTTCTTTCTGTTTTCCATAAATGTCAGCCAGTCTGAGAAATAAAGAGAAAGAGTACAAAGAGAGGAATTTTACAGCTGGGCTGCCGGGGGTGACATCACATATCGGTAGGACCATGATGCCCACCTGAGCCACAAAACCAGCAGGTTTTTATTAAGGATTTCAAAAGGGGAGGGGGTGTAAGAACAGGGAGTAGGTCACAAAGATCACGTGCTTCAAAGGGCAATATCAGAAACTCCTGATAAGAGCCTATGTTCAGTGGTGCACGTATTGTCTTGATAAACATCTTAACAGAAAACAGGGTTTGAGAGCAGATAACTGGTCTGACCAAAAATTTACCAGGCTGGAGTTTCCCAATCCTAGTAAGCCTGAGGGTACTGCAGGAGACCAGGGCGTATCTCAGTACTTATCTCAAACACATAGGACAGAAATTCCCAGAGCGGCCATTTATAGACCTCCCCCCAGGAATGCAATTCTTTTCCCAGAGTATTAATGTCAATATTCCTTGCTAAGAGAAGAATTTAGGGACATCTTCCCTACTTGCACATCCATTTATAGGCTCTCTGCAAGAAGAAAAATGTGGCTCTTTTTGCCTGACCCCGCAGGCAGTCAGACCTTATGGTTGTCTTCCCTTGTTCCCTAAAATCGCTGCTATTCTGTTCTTTTTCAAGGTGCACTGATTTCGTATTGTTCAAACACGCATGTTTTACAATCAATTTGTACAGTTAACACAATTATCACAAGGTTCTGAGGTGACGTACATCCTCAGCTTATGAAGATAACAGGATTAAGAGATTAAAGTAAGATAGGCATAAGAAATTATAAGAGTATTATTTGGGAAGTGATAAATATCCATGAAATCTTCACAATTTATGTTCCTCTGCCGTGGCTCCAGCCGGTCCCTCCGTTTGGGGTCCCTGACTTCCCACAACATCTCTCCCTTTCTTTTTATATAAACGTGCCATGGCGATGAAGGCTTGTTCATTCTCTCAATTTTTACACATGATTCTTTGACTGGTCCAGCACACTAAAAACAAGCCGATTAAACAGATAATCATAATACCAAACATTACTACAATGGAGCCCCTGGTAGACTTAATCCAAGTCATGGGGTTTAGTCCAGAAAGACTTTCTGCCACCTGATCTAATGTATAACTCCAGGCACAATGTATAAACCAGCTTGAGAGACTTCAAAAATTTGTTTCTTTAATTTAGTTATGTCCAAGGATAAATTATCTTCCCTACTGAGAAGGTGTCCTTTGACCATTTCCCATGAATGATCAGTCTTGTTGTAGGAATATGGTGTGATACAGAAATCAGAAGTATTCCAATTGTACTGCATTTGCATGTGATGATCGAGACTCATTAGCTGATCCCCAAGCCAAATAACAGACTGTCTTAAATCATTCATTTGGTGAACTAATTTTTGATTGATGCCTTGTTGAGAATTCCACATTTGGGTGGAATTGGCTTGCCAATCATTGACAAAATGAGCCATTTGAATAGATTGGTGTAATGCCACTCCAGCAGTGGTGACCAGTGCAGTGACTGTAATTACACCCATGATCACAGCAACTAAAGTGAAAACAAATCTCTTAGCTCTTTTGAGAATTCATTGTAACATTCATTAATTAAATATACTGAGGGGGAAGATTCCCAAGGTCTGGGTAAAGTTACCAGTATCCAGATTCCTTCTTGAGCTCGAACCAACATTTCACTTTTCCTGGAGTCAAAATGGGAGTTAATACAAGTGTATAAATGACAATTAATACATTGGGCAGTTTGTCCAAATTTTGATATTTCCCACTAACAGCATGTAAGGAGGCTTAACACAACTCTGTATAGGAATAGTCAGATTGGAGGTAAACAAAGCAGAATGCTTGAATCTACCTTGATACTGAGGGAGGGGAGCAGCAGTGGCAATGCCCGATGTTCTCCACCATAATGAAGCAATCTGAGGTGCCCAGGGATGCCAAAGAGGTAGAGGGGCATACCTGGATTGAGAAGAATTATAATGCCAATTAGGGTCCCATAAAGGAAGATTGGCATCAAAAAGAGGAAAAGGGTTTAAAGGGGATTTATCATGGGGTTCAGAATCATGGATGCGAGGGGCAGCAGTGGTGACAACAGACAGAAAAGTTTCCGCTTTCCATACTCACAGCCCGGACATGGCAATAGCCAATTTCCAAAGTTCTGGGTGTTCTGGGCACAGAATGGGGAATATCATACGAGGCCTCAGGTGGGTAATGCCCTTATCTTCCCATTTCAAGGGAAAGAATGAGCTGAACCTCCTATCCAAAGTAGAATGATGATCCTCATCCTTCCAATAAGAAATAAAATAAGTAGCCTCCAGGCATTCCCTCCTGCCAGCGGAGCAATTGTTTTTTAAATAGCCCTTTGGTGCCCAGTCTATTACTAAACCATATGAGTCATTTTTTTTAATACTACTGCATGTCAGTTAACACAATCTTCCCAAATTAAAGTTTCAGATGGGCCCTCAACATTTTTAGGACATAGTTTTCCTACAGGTTTATATTGAAAGTATGGGGTATCTCCTATTGCTCCCCTTTTCATTTGTCTTAAAGGAGAAAGGGAGAGGCCAGAGACCAAATGTCCCGGTTCTCTTGTAGTTAATCTCTCCGGAAGATAAGCAGCCCAGACTTGAGTTTGTAGATGGATACAACCAGGTGCATGTCTGAGGCACAGAGGAGGGTATTTATAACCCCTAGTAACATTAAATGCAGTGCCGCCTTCTCCTGGTTGAGTGGGGCAATGGTCATCTCTAGCTCCAGGCATCCACACACTATTGTTAGTATAGATTTCTGCAGGAGCATCCATCCAGATGAGAGGTCAAATAAGTGGAGGAAAAGGCACATAAGCCTAATAAGAATAAGTATGTGTAGCAGGTAAGTCAGTATGAGGGGAAATTGGTGAGACAGAAAGTATAAGGAGGAGAAATATTAAATAAAACCTATTGTAAGCAAGATCCAGTGCTGAAGGAGGAAGAGAAGAACAGAGGGATGTTATTTTTAAGGCTAATAGAAATGGTGAGATTTTTTGGTTTAGGAGAAGTGGGATTAGTTAGAGGGGTCTCCATTGCCATTAGGGAGGATTGAACCAGACCCATTTTGATTTGTGTGCCAGTTTCTAAGGAGGTGGCACAGATCTCACCAGGTATGAGGGTGGTCTCTGACACAGACGTCTTTTCTCTGTGGTGTTCATTGTCAGTATTCACACGAAGTTTAAGTCTCCTAGTGGGCACCCAGACAGGGGATTGATGATCTCCTGGTGAAACACAAGCATACCCTCTTCCCCACGTTATAATCGCTCCAGGTTCCCAGGTATTGGTCTGGGAATTTTTCCATAACACTGGCTTGCCTTCATTTAGGGAGAATTTTTTTTGCCTGTATAATGGCTTTCAGCTGCAGTCAGAGTATTGTCTTTAGGAACATTCAGAAAGTTTGAAGTAAACAATGCTAAATGTAATTGGGAATGGGGAGTGGTTAAATTATTCTTTTGTTGTTTAGACTGTTTGGACAATTGAGTTTTTAAGGTGTGATTGGCCCGTTCCACAACAGCCTGTCCCTGAGGATTGTAAGGGATTCTGGTAATATGGGAAATTCCCCATTGTTGCATAAATAAATCAAAAGCCTTACATATCCAGGGGCATTGTCTGTTTTTATCTGATATGGAAGCCCCATAACTGCAAAGCAAGAATACTTCTTTTAACATGGGCCTTGCCTTCTCCTGTTTGGCAAGTAGCCCAAATAAAGCCTGAAAAGGTGTCTACAGAAACATGTACATATGAAAATCTTGCAAAGGAGCTAATGTGAGTCACATCCATTTGCCATAAATCTTTAGGAGTTAGGCCCTCTGGGATTAATACCAGGTTCCTGATTTGGAAGTATAAAAACTTGGCACTGAGAGCAGCAGTGGACAGTAAGCTTAGCCTCTTTCCAGGTGAGAGCAAATTTATCTTTTAATCCAGCAGCATTGACATGAGTGAGATTGGAACTTCTGAGCTTCTTGGGTTGCAAAAGAGACCAAAAGTCTACCTTTTGGTTACCAGCAGCCATGGGTCCTGGTAAAGTGGTATGAGATCTAATATGTGAAATATAGAAAGGGTGTCTACATTGGTGAACCACCTGTTGTAACCTTGAAGATAAGCCAATTCAGAATTATCAATATGTTTAATAGTAGCAGTTTCTATATTTTTAGTGGCATGCATAACATAAGCAGAATCAGAGACAATATTTAAAGGTTTGGGGAAACCCTGTAAGGCAGTAATTACAGCAATTAACTCTGCCTTTTGAGCAGTTGTATAAGGGGTAGAAATAAGCTTGTCTGTAGGACCCACATAACCAGCATTTCCGTTACTGGAGCCATCAGTGAACGCTGTAACGGCCTCAGGAATGGGCTGATCTTTGGTCAGTCGAAGGACCACCCAATAAGTCATTTTTATAAAATCAAACAATTTGTTTTTTGGAAAATGATTGTCAATAACGCTGATAAAATCAGCCAAGTGAATTTTCCACAGTATGGAATGTTGAGAAGCGGCCTGAACTTTGAGCCGATTTAAATGAACCACAATTAAATTTGGATCAAATCCGGAAATTTGAACTATTCTACACCGAGCTTGTCCAATTAGGGTGGCTATTTTAGAATGAGGAAGAAAACACCACTCTACTAAATCATTATGTTGAACTATTAGCCCAGTAGGGGAGTGGAATGAAGCGAAAACTAGAAGCTGAAAAGGCTGAGACAGCTGTACCCTAGACAACTGGGCAGTTTGGATTCTTCTATGAATTGCAGTTCCAATGAAGCCTCAGGGGTCAAAGTTCTGGGACTGTGGAGATGGGAATCTTCATGCAGCATAGAAAACAAGTTAGCACATATGTTGGAATGCCTAAAGTAGGTCTTAAATAATTAATGTTACCTGCTGAGACCAGCTCGGTTGGGGAGACCCTAACCCAGCGGCGCTAGAGGAATTAAAGACACACACACACACACACACAAATATAGAGCTGTGAAGTGGGAAATCAGGGGTCTCACAGCCTTCAGAGCTGACAGCCCTGGACAGAGATTTACCTACGTATTTACTAACAGCAAACCAGTCATTAACATTGTTTCTATAGATGTTAAACTAACTAAAAGTATCCCTTAAGGAAAACGAAAGGATGGGCCAAATTAATTGCAGCAGGAAGATGCCCTTAAGACACAGATCACTCATGTTTTTGTTTGCGGCTTAAGAATGCCTTTGAGCGATTTTCCGCCTGGGTGGGCCAGGTGTTCCTTGCCCTCATTCCCATAAACCCACATCCTTTCAGCTTGGGCGTTAGGGCCATTATGGACATGTTATATTGCTGCAGAGATTTTGTTTATGGCCAGTCTTGGGGCCAGTTTATGGCCAGATTTTGGGGGGCTTGCTCCCAATAGTTACCCAAAAGTTTTTGGAAATCACTTAAGGTTTTCAAAGAATCTCTCCTAATCTGAACATTTTGAGGTTGAATACATTCTTTATCAACTGCCATTCCTAAATATGGAACAGGAGGTGTCTGTTGAATTTTATCCTGAGCAATGTGTAATCCAGCTTCTGTAACTCAGCGGCTCAAAAATTGATAACAGTCAATTCTTTGTCAGTGGGGTCAGCAATTAATATCAATATAATGAAGAATATAGGCCTGGGGAAATTGAGCTCCAACTGGTGAAAGCATCTGTCCAATATAAAGCTGGCAGATGGTAGGGCTATTCAGCATTCCCTGAGGAAGTACTTTCCATTGATAATGAACTGCAGGCTCCTGATTATTGATAGATGGTTAAGGCAAATTTTTCACAATACGATTTATGTAAAGCAGTATGAAAGAAACAGTCTTTAAGATCAATAACTATGAGAGGCCAATTCTTAGGTATTAAAGCAGGGGCAGGCATGACAGGTTGGATGGCTCCCATAGGTTTAATTACAACATTAATGGCCCTTAAATCAGTTACCATCCGCCACTTGCCTGATTTCTTTTTTACTAGAAACACATGAGAATTCCAGGGGGGAAAGAAGATTCCACATGTCCAAGTTGTAACTATTCAGAAACCAATTGAGTTAAAGCCTCCAGTTTTTCTTTAGAGAGCAGCCACTGATCAAACAGGTGTTTCCAATTTCCATTATAAAGGCATAGGATTAGGAGGCATGGCATTGGCTGCCATTAAAAGGGATAACGTAAACCATCCCTGTCTTCTTTTACAGTAACTTGAAGAGGTTTAGTAATTCCTTCATGTTTTGGGCTGGTACCGAGTCTGGGAACAAACCCCATGTTTTTCATTATATGTTGGGTGGGAGCACTATAAGAGTTATGTGGAATATTAATTTCAGTCCCCCATTGTGCCAGCAAATCTCTACCCCAAAGATTAATGGGGATTGGCATGATATAAGGCTGAATTGTACCCTTTTGACCATCAGGGCCAGTGCAAGGCAAGATAAATGTTCTCTGGGGAATTTCATCAGCTTTTCCAACACCTACTAGTCCCATGTTAGTGGGATGTTTAAGCCAGGAGGAAGGCCTTAAATTAGAGGAAATAATAGAAACATCAATCCCAGTATCTACTAGGCCATCAAACTTTTTTCCTTGAATGTGTTTGGTGCAGGTGGACCATTGTTTAGAAATTACATTAATCCAATAAGCGGCTTTTTCACTGCTGGAGCCCATCCCAGGGCCCCGTGTCTTATCTCCTTTGTTTAAAACAATATTAGGTAGTAAAAGTAATTGAGCAACTGACTCACTGACTGGAATGGAAACAGGAACCTTGGCAGACACCATAAGTTTAATCTCATTACAGGAATCAGAATTAATGAGACTAGTATGAACAGTGATTCCTTTAGCAGAGGTGGATGCCCTACCTAACACCAGGCCCACTGAACCTTGAGGTAAAGGGCCAGTGACCCCCGTGGGGACAATTACAGGCAAAGAATTAGGTAGTAAATTTAGAGGAATGGTACTACAGAGATCTACTGCTCCACCCCCCTACTGTGAAGGTGGACAAGCATTGTACTGAGACAGAAGAGGCTGGGACCCACCTGGGTTGGCTGTAGGTAAATTTGTTTGTGCTGGGGGCTGCATTGGGACTGCTTGAAGTGGGAACACATTGGTCTGAGTCTGAGGTGTTCCATTTGATATTGGGGCCTGGGACTGGCCCTGCTTTCTGTTTCCCTGGTTCTGTGGCAAGGGATTTCCATCTATATCAGACTTAGAATGGCAAGTACTTGCCCAGTGTTTACCTTTATGGCAATGTGGGCAAACAGTAGCAGCAGCATTTGGCTGTGTTTATTGAGCCAGCTTGGCTGCTTTTAAGTTTTTAACAATGCAATTTTTTTGAGTATGACCAAGTTGACTGCAATTATAGCAGGCTCCAAGAAAAGAATCAGTTGAGCCAGTTTGATTGCCATCCTTCGTGGCCCATGCCCACAGAATAGCTTTGTGGGTCTCTGATCTAATGCCTTCACAAGCTTTAATATATGCAGGCAACACCTTGTGATCAGGTAAATTTTGTCGTTGGATGGAACGAATGGCCATTTTACACTCATGGTTCGCATTCTCAAAAGCCAACATATGAAGGAGAATACCTTGAGCGTGCTCATCAGAGACAGATTTTTGAACAGCATCTTGTAATTTAACCAAAAAATCAGGATATAATTCATTGTGACTCTATTTAACAGTAGTAAAAGAAACAGGAGCTTGGCCTGGGGCACGTAATTTATCCCAAGCTCTCATACACAACTTTGTTACTTGTTCCATGGTGAAAGCATCAAAACTTGATTGAACAGTAGTATCAGATTAATTATCAGAGCCTGTGAACTGAGCTTGAGTAATTAGAATGCCATCAGCATGATTTAGCTGAGCCTGCAGACGGGCCTTCTCTGACCACAAGGTATGCAATTGTAAATGCTGAGATGGAGTTAGAACAGTTTTTGCCAAAATGTCCCAGTCTAAAGGAAGCAGAATGACCTCAGTACAAAGAGTCTGTAATACCATTTTAGCATATGGAGAAGTAGGACCATACTGAGTACAAGCATCCTTGAATTCTTTTAAAAACGTAAGATTGAGTGGCACATACTGATGCACTTGTATCCGAGCATCAGGAGGTTCCAGCACGACCAGATAAGCCCACACCTCTAATCCACTTGTTTGTTTGTTTTGGCATAATAAGCGTTGGGTGGAAGTTTCAAGAGCAGGAACATGAGACAGAGTCAGCATAGAAATGACAGGAAAAGCATGTGTAGATAAGGGAAACTGAGGTTGAGGAAGTCAGACTGGTATGAGAGTGTGAGAAAGGGGCATGGGGGAGCAGAAGAGGCAGAAGCATACTGGTGATTATTGGCGTCCATGCATGAAGAAGGGTACAGAGAAGCAGGTTGAATGGATGGCAAAGTGACTGGATGAGGGACCAAAATGACAGGAGGGTGAGGAGCTGCAGTAGATGGGGGATGGTCTGCAGAAGTACAGGTGAATTGTAGTTTGGTCCCAGAGCCATTAGGTGGCTCCGGAGGCAAAGACCGCAAAGGTTTGGAGAGGGAAGAGTTAGCATAGATATGGTCCTGGGCTGTCTGTGTCAGGGCCGTGAGAGCCACAAGTATTGGTTCTTCATGAAAAGAAATAAGATCATCTGGGGGTGACATTAAGCCAAAGTCACCAGAGTTAGATATTGAATCCTCAACATCATCAGGTGGGGGAGGAGTAGGTGAAGGGAGACGCTGAGCAGATAACAAAGGCCGAACAGAAGAGGAAAGCTGAGGAAGAGGTAGAGAGAGGGTTGCCAGATTCAGAAAATTGTGGTAACTGCAGGGGGTTATGGGATTGGTATGTCATTAGGATGGCACTTACAAGGCCAAATCACCCCAAACGGTGACAGGAACATAATTTCCTGTCGGGACCAGTTCCTGGAATCTTACACCAACACGATCCCATAGTTCCACATCTAACGTTCCCTTTTCAGGAAAGCAAGGACAGTGTTCTTCCACCACCCTGAATAGGGTGACCATATTTTCCATGGTCACTCAAACTCCTCCCTGTTTTAACAGGAGTTTAATATAGTAGAGATAAGCATAATGTTTAGACTCTGTGTGACCCATACTTACCCCAGACAATACACAGACAACTCACCAATCATCAGGGAGCCGAACAAGTGTTTCTGTGGTCTGGACCAATAAACATTTCTCCACACCTACCAAAGGGAATCGGGTTCCCACATGCACTTAGGATAAAACCATGTTGGCATGCCAGATATTGGGGGAACTTGCCCCCAGTATTTCAACATAGGTTCTTTCTATTTTCCATAATTGTCGGCCGGTCTGAGAAATAAAGAGTACAAAGGTAGGAATTTTACAGCTGGGCCGCTGGGGGTGACATCACATATCGGTAGGACCATGATGCCCACCTGAGCCACAAAACCAGCAGGTTTTTATTAAGGATTTCAAAAGGGGAGGGGGTGTAAGAACAGGGAGTAGGTCACAAAGATCACGTGCTTCAAAGGGCAATATCAGAAACTCCTGATAAGGGTCTATGTTCAGCGGTGCACGTATTGTCTTGTTAAACATCTTAACAGAAAACAAGGTTTGAGAGCAGAGAACTGGTCTGACCAAAAATTTACCAGGCTGGAGTTTCCCAATCCTAGTAAGCCTGAGGGTACTGCAGGAGACCAGGGCTTATCTCAGTCCTTATCTCAATCGCATAGAACAGACATTCCCAGAATGGCCGTTTATAGACCTCCCCCCAGGAATGAAATTCTTTTCCTAGAGTATTAATATCAATATTCCTTGCTAGGAAAAGAATTTAGCGATATCTGCACTGATTTCATATTGTTCAAACACACGTTTTACAATCAATTTGTACAGTTAACACAGTTATCACAGGGTCCTGAGGTGACGTACACCTTCAGCTTATGAAGATAACATGATTAAGAGATTAAAGTAAGACAGGCATAAGAAATTATAAGAGTATTATTTGGGAAGTGGTAAATATCCATGAAATCTTCACAATTTATGTTCCTCTACCGTGGCTCCAGCCGGTCCCTCCATTTGGGGTCCCTGACTTCCCGCAACATCTTTGAGCTTCTTTAAAATCTATATTTTGAAGTCTTTTTAAAGTCTTTTTTTTTTTTTTTTTTTTTTGAGATGGAGTTTTGCTCTCATTGCCCAGGCTAGAGTGCAGTGGTTCAATCTTGGCTCACTGCAACCTCCACCTTCCAATTTGAAGAGATTCTCCTGCCTCAGCCTCCCAAGTAGTTGGGATTACAGGTGCCCACCACCACACCTAGCTAATTTTTTTTTTGTATTTTTTAGTAGAGACAGGGTTTCACCATATTGGTCAGGCTGGTCTCGAACTGCTGACCTCATGATCCACCCACCTTGGCCTCCCAAAGTGCTGGGATTGCAGGAGTGAGCCACTGCACCTGGCCCTTTTTTAAAGTCTTATAAAGTCATTTCAATAATTTTTTTTTCTTAGAGTACTGAAGAATTATGGAATTTCTTTAAAAGTGGAATAAACCTTGCTTATCTGTGTTTCCTGTGTATTTCTGCGTCTTTATACTGATTTCTGCACATCTGGAGAGACAATTGCTTCATTTTATTTTAGAATTTACATTCACTGGAGAAAGCTTTTTTTTAAATTGAAGTTACTATCATGATGTTTATTGCATAGAATCATTTGGCTTTACTTTGGGGTTTGTGCATGGGAAAGACTCTGTATAAGTTTCTTGAGTATAAGCAAATATATATATATATAAACATGTTTTACTGGTTTAGGAATCATGTTTTCTCTTAGGTTGATTTTTAATTCTAAGTCTCAGAAAACAATTATTTTTTCTTTGTTGTGTTGGTCATTGAAAGCCAGCACACCTGACCTGAAAGGGTGAGAAGGTAGGTAGGGTGGGGGGTGGGTGATGAGAAATTACTTAATAGTTTTAATGTACATTGTTAGAGTGATGGATACCCTAAAAGCCCTGACTTCACCACTATGCAATCTATGCATGTAACTAGATTACACTTGTACCCAACACATTTGTATAGATAAATTGAAAAGAACAACTAGAGTTTGCTGTCTTGCTTATTCATACATACAAATATGTTATAAATGTTTCCCATGACATTAACTGTTGTAGATACAGGAGTTAGAAATTATTTAGGCAGATAGTGAGTGCAAGGAAGTCCTTGGTAAAGTTTCCCTTCTAATAAAAAGCAACACACAAATTATTTCTTTTTTGACAAAGAGCAGCCTGTAAAATCGAGCTGCAAACATAGATAACCAAGGTGGAAGCTTGCATGAATAAATGCCAGCAGCTGTGCCAATAGGAAAGGAGCTACATGTGGACTGCGCATGTTCAAAATGGTAGCTCCATCTTCCCTTGTCTTTGTAAACCAGATGTAGAGTAAGAAGCAGGCAACACAGTGCTGGCAAATGCTCCGTTTGCATAATAGAAGATTAGGGTGGGGCAGCCAGGTTTCTCATGCACTCTGTAAATGTCCACACCTGATCCAACCAATCTTTGAGCCCTATGTAAATTAGACACTGCCTCCTGAAGCCAGTCTGTAAAATCCGCTGTGCTTCACTGAGGGCTGGAAGTCCCACTTGGGTGCCCCACTCTTTTTCAGGAGATTCAGGAGAGAGAGCTATTCTCCTTTCTTTTGCCTATTAAACCTCCAATCCTAAACCAACTTCTTGTGTGTCCATCTACTCGATTTCCTTGACATGAGATGATGTATCTCAGGTATTTACCCCAGACAAGTGACCCTGCTTCATTATGTTAAAACTAATTAATTTATTAGTTAAAATTGCTATATTAAGAAATATAGCACATTTTAAAGGCCACTGATGCAAAGTGCAAAAACTGCTACGTACAAACATGACATCAAATTATACTTCCAGTAACAGTGTTAGAAAATTCTTGTTTCCCTACACTTACCATTTATGAATAGTTTAATGGAACATGTTATTTAAAAAAATATTTCCCAGGCTGGGTGCGATGCCTCACACCTGTAATCCCAGCAGTTTGGGAGGCTGTGGTGGGCGAATCACCTGATGTCAGGAGTTCGAGACCAGCCTGAGCAACATGGAGAAAGCCCGTCTCTACTAAAAATACAAAATTAGCCAGCGTGGTGGCACATGCCTGTAATCCCAGCAACCCAGGATGCTTAGTTAGGAGAATCACTTGAAACTGGAAGGTGGAGGTTGCGGTCAGCTGAGCTCACACCATTGCACTCCAGCCTGGGCAACAATAACAAAGTTCCGTCTCAAAAAAAAAAAATTGAATTGCTTAGTCATGTCTTCTGCTTATTTTGCTATTGAATTATTTAACTTTTTACTGATTCATATAAGCTTTTGGCATGCCCATTACAGTAATCGTTTGTCCAAAATTATTTTACACATATCTCCATTCAGCTCCCAGTGTCCAGGTTCAATATTTTTGAAAGAAAAGGAGTCCCTGCTTTGTAAATATGCCTACTCTTTAAAGAGTTTAAATACTAATTAGTAAAACCCTGTTAGGGAAGATTAAACATTGTCTAATTGAATTTGATTTGTGGAAAATAAATATCTAACTTTTCCATTATGATTTAACCATGTTTACGAAGGCAGCCCATACATTCTGGGCTCAAAAGTCTCTTAAAAAAGGGAAAATGTATTCTATCAAAGAGGGTACCAGATTCCAAGTTTGCATTGCACTTTGCTGAACACATTGTCTTTTTTCAAGCTTAAACTTTTTGAAAGGTTACCAGTGTTCTCTCTGAAAACACAGAGCTGCTCATATTACAGCCCTGCTGCAAAACATTTGATGGCTCATAACACCCTACAGAGCTGAGCCCCCATCATAATTCTAAGCAATCATTCATGTTTCCAACATCTCTTATTGTCTCATCTCCACACGACCCTCCCAAACTATATTCTTTTCTCACACTCCACTTGTCCTACCCTGTCATCAAATAAGCCTCATATTTTTCTACTTCAAATCCTGTACTTAAACTGCTTTTTTTGGTTTAAATGTATATTTCTCCTTTCCCACATTCTTCTACTCCACATGGAAAAGCTGCACATGTGAGAGTATCACCTTTTCTTTCCACTGCAGCTTCTCACTTCCCAGTTCTCCACTTCTTCTTGCTGATTGTAAGGCACTGGTGAATTTTAGAACTGGAATCATATTATATCCATCTTTGCAGTTCTAGAGCCTGGTACCAGGTGTAGATGTCAAGAAATGGTTCCCAATGCAAGCTTGCTGATAGTGATCTTCAACAGATGAGACAAGAAAGGAGCCAGAATGCTAGTCTACTAATCCATATTGCTTTCCACTATTATTTTGCTGAAACTCTCCCAATGTCATAAGAAAAATAACAATGAAAATAATAATAATAGTAGTAAATACAGAAGATAAGTCAGTGAAAATTGAGCTGGTAGCATGCATGACTTCAATTCTCTATTTATTACTAGTTTCAAAATAGTCCTTATCCACAAATAGAAGAAAACAGACCCTTAAGTGTCTACCACAATGCAAGACCTGCCAATTTCATAACTTGCTCAGGCACACTTATAAAAGAAACTAGACACACTGGTGACCCCATCTCAAACACACTCAAAGGAGACAGAAGATCTTCCTCTCACTGTCCTCCAGTACATGTTGCTCCTCCTGCTTAAAAAAGCAATACAACAAAGAAATAATACCTTCCAGAGGCTATCACATTTGATCTTGGACAAATTTTTAGATTAGTAATCAAGTCAATTCAACTGTTGCCCTTACTTCACTCATATCACATGTTATGAACCACTTCGGATCACCCCAGTGCAAATTCTGAGGCAAAACCTTGATTTTCTATGTTATGTAAAATAACAATAGACCTGTCCTCAAGGCATTGGCCCTACCCAAAGCAAAATTAAATTTCCCAAACACTTATGAGTTTACAGTTTCAAATCTCTTCAAAAGTAGGTTTCATATGAGTCCTTGAACAGGGTTCAGCACTTTCAGTGAGATTAAAGTGGGTGTCCACAAGAGATAAGAGAGCCCCCCCACTACCCACCACACAGAGGACCAACAGAATTGTAGAATCCATGCCCACCATTTTTCACTTCTAGCATATCTCCCCCCATGTGAAAGACCACCTCCCTTCCACATACTATCCTTTCCAATGAGAACATGTTAAAAATTTCATCCTTGGCAGTATTTTTTCAGGGTTCTACTGTACTTTTCCACCGGGCCTCAGTCTACCAGCGTTCTGCTTTAGTGTCTTGTTGAACTCCCCCTTTTTAAGGGCAAACAAATCCCCGTCAGTCAGTTCACGTACTAACATGACCTCTGCAAGCCCCTCACTCCACAAAACACCAATCTCCATTCCTGACCATCACAGAAGGGAAGGTCTAACTTTTGTGGTCAAATATTAGCTAAAATGAGCTGTTGAATAGCTAGGCTGTAATTTATTTCTGGAAACCAGAACCCTGAGTTGACACACTTATATTCTTCCCTTGGTTTGACCATCTTTTCCCTTGATGTGCCTAATAGGGAGAACTCTGCACACAGGAGGTTTTCAGTTAGTGTTTGTTTGGTGAGCGGATCATGTCTCTATGGTAGGTAGTCTGGCAGGGGTAAGAAGCACAGTCCTTTTTCATGATATTGATTCTTCCTACCCATGAGCATGGAATGTTCTTCCATTTCTTTGTATCCTCTTTTATTTCATTGAGCAGTGGTTTGTAGTTCTCCTTGAAGAGGTCCTTCACGTCCCTTGTAAGTTGGATTCCTAGGTATTTTATTCTCTTTGAAGCAATTGTGAATGGGAGTTCACTCGTGATTTGGCTCTCTGTTTGTCTGTTATTGGTGTATAGGAATGCTTGTGATTTTTGTACATTGATTTTGTATCCTGAGACATTGCTGAAGTTGCTTATCAGCTTAAGGAGATTTTGGGCTGAGACAATGGGGTTTTCTAGATATACAATCATGTCATCTACAAACAGGGACAATTTGACTTCCTCTTTTCCTAATTGAATACCCTTTATTTCCTTCTCTTGCCTAATTGCCCTGGCCAGAACTTCCAACACTATGTTGAATAGGAGTGGTGAGAGAGGGCATCCCTGTCTTGTGCCAGTTTTCAAAGGGAATGCTTCCAGTTTTTGCCCATTCAGTATGATATTGGCTGTGGGTTTGTCATAGATAGCTCTTATTATTTTGAGATACATCCCATCAATACCTAATTTATTGAGTGTTTTTAGCATGAAGGGTTGTTGAATTTTTCAAAGGCCTTTTCTGCATCTATTGAGATAATCATGTGGTTTTTGTCTTTGGTTCTGTTTATATGCTGGGTTACATTTATTGCATTTATTGATTTGCATATATTGAACCAGCCTTGAATCCCAGGTGCACATGTACCCTAAAACTTAAAGTATAAGAATAAAAAAAAAAACAGTCCTGGGGACAAACTTAACAGTTTGAGTTCTAATAGCTGGCTGCCTCTCTGGGTCTCTATTCCCTCATCTTAATCTTCAGGATAATAATTACATCTACATCTCTTTTTCTTTCTTTCTTTCTTTTTTTTTTTTTTGTTTGTTTTTTTGAGATGGAGTTTTGCTCTGTTGTCAGGCTGGAGTGCAATGGCACAAACTTGGTTCACTGCAGCCTCCACCTCCCAATGAATAAAAAAGATAATGTGTAAAAAATAATTAGGATCCTGGTAGCTAGTGCTCAATAACTGTTAGATCTTAAGACTTCTGCTTCTACTGCTATCATGATGAGTGTGTTTGGCTTAACAGGTCTAGCGCAGGTAGAAGAGAAATAGAAACACTTAACCCCTGGTTTATCTGATTTAATGCAAATACAAGCAAACTTGGCTAAGAAATGCTTTTCACCAAAGTTTGTCTGCAATTTGAATGCTTTAGATTAAACTTAGAAGAGTATTTAAAAGTATTCTAGACAGGCCAACAGCAGTGGCACCCACCTGTAATCTCAGCACATTGGGAGGCTAAGGAGGGTGGATCACCTAAGGTCAAGAGTTCAAGACCAGCCTGGCCAACATGGTGAAACCCTATCTCTGCTACAAATACAACAATTAGCCAGGCATCGTGATAGGCACCTATAATCCCAGCTAGTGGGGAGGCTGAGGCAAGAGAATCGCTTGAACTCAGGAGGTGGGTGTTGCAGTGAGCTAAGATCACACCACTGTACTCCAGTCTGGGAGACAAGAGTGAGATTCCAACTCAAAAAAAAAAAAAAAAAAAAGGCACTCTAGACAGATTCATTTGTAATATAAGCATGTCATAGTTTCTGGTGTATAGGACTTGATTTCTGTTTATTTAGTTTTCTGAAGAAACACAAGAGACAGCCCCTAGCTACTACAAAACTTCCTAGAGACAAGCTGGACATATGAGCCCTTACAAAATTCCATTTACTGTAAAGATAATAATGAAATAATCTCTAAACATAAGAATTTGACTAGTGTTAACCACTCCACTTCCCCAATACACTGATGTTTATATCTCTTTCTTATCATAATACAAAACAAACACATGACCACACACCATCTGCTCTCCAGTGCAGAACAGAATAACAGAGGCACAAAGCAAGCTTCAGAACACACAGACCACCATGTTCACCACATCTACATCTGGGGCTGCTTAAGAAAAGGAGCAAAATCAATGAGAAACTGAGAAGATGTGTGACTACCCTGTTTTCAGCACTTATTGTCACAAGAAGACCGAACATGCACACACACTCTCTCATTCCAAGGCAGAGCATCCATTTTCCTGTCGAAAAAGTAATTTGACAGCATAGATCCCTATCTCACATTCTGAGCAAGATGACACTGGCTTTGGGCATGCAAAGAATGGGCATATTACAGACACCCTTAAGACACAACGCATGGCCTGCCTTACCTGATACAATTTTTAATTTCTCTGAAGTAAACTCAAATTACTTCTTAAGTAAACTCAAATTTCAAACATGTATTTCTTTATTAACATTCCATTAATTTCCTCATGGGCTTCACAGGAAATATATTCTACTTTCATTCACTTAATCTCACCATAATAGATGGTCTAAAATATCCAGAAGACAGCCATATGTAACACATACCCATACCCCAAAGCATAGAAAATGTAACACACAAAGGCCTTGAGGAAGCAACACTATAACAGTGCAAATACACAAATATTTAAGGAAGAATACATCACCCAACAGACAGCATACATGGTCACCACTATCCAGGACTCTCCATAATAAGTAGCTATGAATTGCTTATTCTAAAGTTGGCTTATATATATTCATCACCACAAATTAGTTCTGAACATACTGATTTTAATTTTGGATATTCACAAGGTAATTATCTGGTAAAATATATTTATAACTAATTTGTAATTAGACTACTAAATGCACGCATATGCTTAGGTCACAGTGAGGCAAAAATCTGAGTTATTTGTAGAGTAAATTAAGATTTAAATTTTTAAATATTAATTAATTTTTAAATTTTCAAAGAATGCTGTCATGCAGGCCTGCACTAAGTCAAGCAGATGACTGACAACCACCCTCTTCTCCCTGTCTCCTTTACACAATAAATGTGAAGGGCTCTAGAAGCTCAGGCCCTTCTTCACCAGAAGCAAGGAGCCCTCTGACCTATTCTTCCAAACATACTCTTTTGTCTTTGTCTTTATTCCTGCATTTATCCTCCTTTGTTCAGTCCACCAGGGTCAGTGGCAAAGTGGTGTCATGAATAGGGACTTCGAGGAAGTGAACGAGGAAGATCTGCTGGAGCACAGGAAGTGAAATAGACAAGATGAATGGGGACCCCAGGACAAATATGCTGGCAGTGGATATAAGGTCAGTGCTCTAAAAAAGTACTGGGAATGGGAAGTTTCTGAATGACGGTACCATGGGGCAGCATTTGTCTGTTGAAGAAAAACATTATGTGCAGTTGCCTAAAGTTGTGTTGAAACAGTCTGGATCTCAAGTTAATTCACAGACATTAGCTAAACTTCTGCAGGAGGTTATTACACATAACCCATTGTTTCCACAGGCAGGCCCTCTTGATGTGGAAAATTGGGACACAGTAGGAGAGGGATTGAAATGGGCTCATCAAAAAGTCTCAAAGTAGACCCTTCTGTTTTTTCTGCTTGGGGTTTGGTTCGCATGGTCCTACTGCTGCTGTCTCTTTATTCTGCCAGGCAACAGAAGTCAGTTTCTGAGTCTCAAGAATTAAAAAACTCATTTGTTCCTCCAACAGTGCATATTGAAAATAATGAGCAGGAGAAAGGGGGAGAATTGGCCATTTGCTAAGCAGAAAAAAAGAGAGGAGAATTGGCCTCTGCCACCCCCTCCAATAACAGAAGTAGAAACCCCCACACAACAAATTTTGCATGCTGCTGCTATGGCAAGGGAACTTTTGGGACCTTATGCTTTTCCTATTACCATAAGGCTTGATCTGAATGATCCACCACATTTTTGACATGAACACACTCTTGTAGAGTTTAAATTACTAAAAGAATTAAAAACTGGTGTGGTTAATAATGGAGTGCAAAGCCCATTCACTATAGGGCTGTTAGAATCGGTGTTCAGAGCCATGTGCCTTCCACCTTTTGATGAAAAACCTTTGGCTTGCACTTGCTTATCCACCAGTGCATATCTGACATGGAGTTTAAATTGGCAAGAAATGTGTGCAGACCAGGCTAGGCAGAATCGCACCGCTCTTCAAGGAAACACTACAGAGGAAATGTTGATGAGCTGTGGCCCCTTTTCAGATCTGGTACAACAATTAACACTCCCATCAGAGAGGCCACTTACCACCAGTCTTCCTTAGCCACCAAGCATGTTTGGAGCACAATTCCTGAAGAGGGAGTTACAGTGCAGTCTTTTCTACATGTCACACAGGGATCACAGGAGCCTTATGCACAATTTATCGCATGGCTGCAAGATGCAGTGCAGCATCAGATCACTCATGCCTCTGCTGCAGAAATGCTTACCATAGCTCTAGCCTATGAAATGCAAATGCAGATTGCAAGCATGCTCAAGCAATGGCTAGTTTAATAGTTGACAAATCTAAAAGGAGCCAAGGATCAAACCCTAAAGTGGGAGAATGTTATAATTATGGAAAAACTGGACATTTTAAAAAGGAATGCCACCCCAGACCTCAGGACAAAAAGGATCTTACAATGTGGTGCCCCCCCCCGCCCAGTGGAAATAATGCCAGGACTCTGTCCTCTCTGTAACAAAGGAAATCATTGGGCTCACCGATGCCACTCAAAATTTCATCACAATAGCACCCCCTGTCAGGAAATGAGAAGGAGGCCTGGACCCAGGCCCCTCAAGCCATGAGGGCATTCCCAGTTCAGACCACAACCCCACTTCAGGGGTGGGTCCCAGGAGGAATATTGATTGATTCCCTCTCCCCAGGAACACCAGGAAGTGCAGGATTAGATATCCCCACCAGAGATAGAATTACATTAGTTGGAGAAGACAAACCTTCCAAAGTTCCCACTGGCATTTGGGGACATTTGCCAGCAGAATACATGGGACTAATTTTAGGCAAAAGCTGCCTTAACTTGCAAGGCATCACTGTAGTCCCCAGAGTAGTTGACTCTGGTTAAGGAGAAATTCAAATAGTTTTAATGTCAAAAGATCTTTGTGTTTTTGAACCAGGGGAATATATAGCACAATTATTGCTTATCCCCTGCAAATTACACCCTTCTGCATGAAAGGAGAAATGAGGAAATAAAGGGTTTGGGAGCACAACTACATGCAAAATCTATCTATTCCAACCCTTAGCCTCTAATAGACCCACCTGTTTGGTACAAATTAAAAAAAAATGTATGGGCTTATGGACACAGGAGCTGATGTGTCAGTAATATCCAGTAAGGATTGACCCCCATCCTGGCCCCTCAGACTAATCTCCACATCCCTAGTGGGAGTAGGAGCAGCTCAAAGTGTTCAACGGAGTGCTGAGATTTTACCTTGTCTTGGTCCGGATGGACAATCATGTACTTTCCAGCCTTATGTTGCAAATATAGCTATCAATTTATGGGGTCGAGACTTACTTATAGCATTGGATATGAGACTTACAAATGAAAACTTTAATAACCTAGGATTTAAAATGTCAAAGGACATGGAATATCAGAGTGGGAAAGGTTTAGGAAAATTCCTACAAGGAAACCCTAACCCAATATCAATAACTGGAAAGACAGACAAAAAAGACTGGGGCCGGGTGCGGTGGCTCACGCCTGTAATCCCAGCACTTTGGGAGGCAGAGGCGGGTGGATCATGAGGTCAGGAGATCGAGACCATCCTGGCTAACACAGTGAAACCCCACCTCTACTAAAAATACAAAAAATTAGCCGGGCGTGGTGGCGGGCGCCTGTAGTCCCAGCTACTCGGAAGGCTGAGGCAGGAGAATGGCGTGAACCCGGGAGGCAGAGCTTGCAGTGAGCAGAGATTGCGCCACTGCACTCCAGCCTGGGCGACAGAGCGAGACTCCGTCTCAAAAAAAAAAAAAAAAAAAGGATTGGGACATCAGGATTTATTATTGGGGTCATTGATACTTTTCCACCACCCACTGCCTTACCTTTAGAATGGCTTAGTGACAAACCTGTGTGGGTGGATCAATGGCCCCTAACACAGGAGAAGCTAGCTCAACTTCATCTGTTGGTGAAAGAATAATTGGATGCAGGACATTTAGAGGAGTCAGTTCCCGGAATTCACCGATGTTTGTTATCCTAAAAATAGTCCAGAAGATGGCGACTGCTGCATGACTTGAGAGCTATTAGTGCACAAATTAAACCAATGGGTGCATTACAGCAGGGCTTGCCATCCCCAGCAGCCATTCCTAAAAACTGGCCTCTTGTAGTAATAGATCTTAAAGATTTTTTCTTTACTATACCATTACATGAGAAGGATAAGCCTCGATTTGCCTTCTCTGTGCCTTCTATTAATCAGAGACATGCTACAAGCCAAATGGGTGAGACATCCGGTCATGTATGGTGACACTGTCTGTCGCCGTTTGCTCATATGGAGATTTCTAAACAATTAAAAACTGACAATAGACCTGCTTATACTAGTCATGCTTTTCAAACTTTCCTACAGCTTTGGGCTATGACCCATAAAACAGGAATTCCTTACATTATAGACCAGGCACATCAAACGTTACAACGCATGTTGAGAAAACAAAAAAAAAGGGTGATTGGACACCAGCCACCACCTCAAACAAAACTAAGTTTATCTTTATTTACTTTAAATTTTTTGACTCCTTGTATGAATGGTAAGACTGCAGCAGAAAGACATTGGCAAGTGTTAGAGGAAATTAGGAAAGTTTATCTGAAATTATTATGGAAATCCCTGGAAGAAGGACAATGGAAAGGTATGGTGGATTTACTGCTGTGGGGACAAGGGTATGCTTATGTTTTTACAGCAGATGGATAAACCATGTGGGTGCCCTCAAGGTGCGTGCAACCATGGAATGGAAGACTGGAGGAACCCATGGTGGCCAACCATGGGCCCGGTCCCTCTGGTATGGGCCATGAGCCAGCTGAGCCTGAGTGCAAAAATGGACAGAAGGCCAACTGGAGTCATGGTGACATCAACCCCTATAACCTGGGGGACACTCAAGAAAACCATGCAGGAAGCTGAGAAACTACTGGAGCGTCAAGGCCAGAAAAAACCCCTGATTCCATGTTCTTGGCCATGTTAGCTATAATGCCCTGTGTGGTAGGTTTTCCCTTGCAGAGTCAAAAACATATTGGGCATAGGTTCCCAATCCTCCAGCAGTACAACCTGTACTTTGGAGTGACACTCCTCCTGAGATCTATCGTGATCAGGGAGCATGGGCTCCAGGACCCCTATGTCTGGCTCCCCCGGACATAGAACAGTTAGACTCTCAGAACAATGTCGTCAATTATACTACCCCACTGGAAGGACTCCCCTTGTGTATCACTACAAAGATGTCGCTCAACCATAGCTGTCTTACAACTGAAGCTCAAGCATGGTTGAGTCACCTTGGAAAAGTTATGTACTTAATAGTTCTTGGTTCTATTTATGTAACTGGTGTGCTAACCAACCATGCCCGGCCCAATTGCCCCAACTGTGCTGACTATATGGAATGGATTCCCTTCAATAGTTCTGACCTCTCTCCATTGACCCAGTGTCTTGGCCCACTGGGTAGAAAAGAATCTGTGTTAACTGGAGACATTGTGGATTGGGGAACTAAAGGTCAACTAGATGGAAAAGAGGAAAATCAGAAATCATGACACAAACTTCACTGCCATTGGTGGCAAGCTTTGAATACTCCTTCTTTATACCACACCGGGATCCAATCCCAGTCTGCCACCTGGATTGCTTGGCATGGAGCAGGCTTTAGCACACCTCTTCCTCAGTGGCATTATCTAGGGAGGAAAGGTCCAATTCAAGAAACAATATGGAAAGCAGCACTGCTGTTCACAAACGGTAGTATCCGGGTAGGAACACTCTCTAATACCAGTACTGCTACTCAACACAGTCTTAATGTCACATTTGTAAAGAATATCACCACTCAACTTATGGTTTGTGGTTTTAATCCTTATGTCTTTTTGGCAGCTAAGGCGGACCAGCTCCAGGTAAGCAATACTCAATTGACCTTAAATCTTGCTGGTTATATCACTGCATTAATCATAGCACATTGCAAACATGTAATATCTCTACTTTGATATTTGGGTCACATTCCTGGGCTATGGATTCTCATTAATCTGTCTGAGCCTTGTGATGCCACCCCTGTTTGGCACTTTGTGAAACTTCTTCTAACTAAACTTACTCATCATGCCTGTAGAGCCTCAGGCATCATAATTTTTGCTATTGTTTCTTTGGTCACACTAATCACTTCTGCTGTAATGTCCTCTGTAGCTTTGCATAGTTCTGTTCAAATGGCTCAGTATGTAGAGGACTGGAGGCATGCAGCCAACTAAGCATGGCTACTTCAGAGTAAAATTAACACTGAGTTACAAACTGAAGTGGTAATATTAAAATCCATGGTTCTGTGGTTAGGGGAACAAGTACAAAGCTTACAGTTGCAACAGAAATTGCACTGTCATTCACACTCATATTTGTGTAACCAACTTAGAATATAACCAAAGAGTATCCATGGGACCTTGTAAAAGCCCATTTGCAGGGAGCTTTCACATCCAACATCACCTTTGACATTGGTGAATTACAAAAAAAAGTTCTTGATTTAAATAAGCAAACTCAAGAGTTTCAGCCTTCTTTAGAAGCCTGGACTGAATTCCAGCAAGGCCTGGAGAGCCTCAATCCTTGGAACTATCTAAAGTACCACATTAACATCTCATATATAGTTCTGGGAATAATGTTGTTCTGTCTCTGTTTCCTGCTCATAGCCTGTAAAATCAGATGGATTGCCAATCAGAAAATAAAGCTGCCCAACCTGGCCTTACATTCATTCAATTAATGCAAAAACAGAAAGGGAGAGATGTTGGGATCCAGAAGCCTGAGGATTGTGACCAACACAGCATTCCACTGGAAGCTATATGATCAAAGAGCAAACTGTTTATCATGAATGCAGAATGTGGGCAAACTCACATCTGCACCTGACACTGGAAGGTATGCTAAGGGGAGCCACTCCCTGGTGCTGTGCTCCTTGAGATTATCTACTGGGACATCTGGAGCCTACTGTTTAAAGAATGCTGTCATGCAGGCCTACACTAAGTCAAGCAGCTGACTGACAATCAGCCCCTTCTCCCTATCTCCTTTACTCAATAAATATAAAGGGCTCTAGAACTCAGGGCCCTTGTTCACTAGAAGCAAGGAGCCCCCTGACCCCTTCTTCCAAATAAACTTTTTTGTCTTTGTCTTTATTCCCACATTCATCTTCCTTTATTCAGGCCACCAGTGTACATGGCAAAGTAATCAAAATACAGTAGTCAGTGAGCACCAACCATGCAATTGTGCTAGGTAAGGAGATGGAAAAAATATTTTTGAGGTGGGAGAAACATCCTAACAGATAAATTACAGCAGACAGACTTGACAGATGGGGGTAACAGTTATTAGGAACAAAAGACTGAATTCTCCCTAGAAAAGGTAGTATCTGAGATGGGTCTTACCAGAGGAGTAAATGTTCTTTGCTGGGGTAAGGGGATGGACACACAACAAAAAGAACAACCCATGCAACAGCACAGGGAGTAAATAATTATTCAGTGTGGCACTGATGTGGAAGGTAGAGACAAGAGCCAACACTAGAAATTTGGCTTGTCTCAGCACTTCGGGAGGCTGATGTGGGCAGATCATGAGGTCAGGAGTCCGAGACCCTCCTGGCCAACATGGCAAAACCACATCTCTACTAAAAATACAAAAATTAGCTGGGCGTGGTTGCATGTGTCTGTAATCCCAGCTACTCCAGAGGCTGAGGCAGGAGAATTGCTTAAACCCAAAAGGTGGAGGTTGCAGTGAGACGAGATTGTGCCATTGCACTTCAGCCTGGGTGACAGAGAAAGACTCCGTCTCAAAAAAAAAAAAAAAAAAAAGAGAAAAGAAATTTGGTTTGGAAGCAGATGACGGTCTTTGTAAAACAAGTTAAGGAGTTTGGATTTTTCTTTTTGTAGACAACAGGGAGCCAAGAAATATTATTAGGCAGGCAAACAACTAGAGAAGCTTTAGTTTTTGAGGATGATGACTCTGACAGCAGGGTGGAAAATTAACAGCAGCAGGGAGAAATTAGTGGCAGAAAATTAACTTAAGAGGTGTTTATGACTCAATGATGGCCTTAGGTCAGAAGTGATTAAACAGCCAAAGTCAGTGACTGGAGCATGGTTTTGGGGGAGAGCCTGGTGACTGATTGGACATGGGGGTGAGAGAGACATGCATCAGGACAGCCATCAGTAATGTTCCTGGCCTAGTAGGTTGTGTACATTGCAATCATCTTCCAGAAGGGATGGAGATTACTTTCATTATTACAAGTACCTACAGGATGAGGGATTTGTAGTATGATCAGGATGACAAAGAGTACAGCTTCAGATAAGTTGTAAGTGAAAATATAGTGTTAGAGTTGCCAGTTTATAGGTTAGAGGAGAGGTAAGAAAAGCACAAGAATGCACAGGTCATTCTGCAAGAACAAAACTCACTCCCAGGTATGGGACTGCAAAGGTCGCTGCAGAGAACAGGCATTGGGTAACTGGCAACTGACACCAATGGAATGCTTACAGTCTGTCCACAGATTTAAGATTTTTAAAACAACTATTCTCAAGTGTTGCAAATGTCTCTAAGGTAAGTGGGGGCCCAGAGCACTTTGGGGGCAACTGTCTGCTTACTGCAGGCAGCCCTTTCTTATCTGGAATTCAGTCTCCTCATCTTCCTGCCTTCTCCCTTGCATATCTCCTGCTTGTGTAATAGGGTGGAAAGTGGGAGGGCAGGACAAAGGTCAGACCAATAGCACTGGTTAGCTAAAAGATCACTCCTTTCATTCTACTAGACAGTTCTGGTCTGAGGCCTGGGATCCCAGAACATAAAATTATTACTCTGTCCTTTATTGCATCCCTGTATTATCCCCATTTCCCTCAGCCAGAGCATCTGGCTGACATCCACCCTCTCAAGAGGACATGTAGGACAGAAGACCAGGCTCAGAAAAACTGCTGTTTGAAAAGGGCAGGTAGTTAAGTAAGAATTTTGGAAGAACTTGAGAAATTAAAATTACGGAGACTATGAATGCAAAAACACTAACTGTCAAGCAAGTAAGAGCTAATTTAAAGAACTTTTTTAAAAGATATAGTCCACATAACTTGAAACATGCGGAAGACTGGCAGATGACTGCATCAGAGCGAATTTCCTAAATAACTGAGGAGGTGACTGGGAAAACTGAGCCACCTACCAAAACAGCTTTACAGAGCCAATGCATCTCAATTGTTGTAAAAGAAGATGAGTTCTAGAACTCTTATTTACTATGGAGTTTTCAAATACATTGAACATCACTTAATGTTTTCCTCAATCCCAAGCTTCTTGTAAAACTTTGACCTTGCCAACCATGGCACCTTAGAGGCAGATGAAAGCTTACCTATTTTATGGAATTTCAGATTTCTAAATATAGCACATGCAATACAGGGAATGCACCCAGTGTGCTTGTGGATGCAATAATGACCACTACTACACCTCTCAAGCAGGCTTTGTTGACTTCAGCTCTCCTGACATTTGGGGCTGTCCTATGCATTGTAATATGTGGAGCAGCATTTCTAGTGTCTGTACACTAAAGGCCAGTAGCACCCTTTCCCAAAGCAAGACACTAAAAATTTCAAAATTCTGGAAAGGAAATCCACAGTAGACACCCACAAAGCTTCCTGATCTCAAAATATACCACTTTATTCCATATGTAGGTTTTGAGTTTCTGAAACATTTGCTTTATGCTTACAACAATCCCATGAGGTAGAAAAGCTACTGACAAGATGCCTGTCATCATATTCATCAATGGCAATGCCACCAAAAGCTAAAGTTTCATTTTAAATTCCCTTATACCTTCAAATCAACTGAATTTATTTTGAAAAAAAATAATGGTCTTCTTTATTAAAAATAACAGCACACATATACAGAGGTAAATAAGCAGTATACATTTAAAACTACATTGTTTTGAGATCAAGCTGACTGTATAAAGCAGCTGTTCCATGGGGCTAAGCAATAGGAACTGTGGATCCTGAGCTTAATGTATTGCCAGCCCCTGGGTAGATCATAAAGCATCTATAACAGTAGTCAATATGCCCACCCAACCCTAATAGTTTTGCTCTGAGTAGAAATGTGAAATCTTTGCTGAGTGCTTTCAAAAAACAGGGTGAAAATAACTTAGTCCAAAAAGGTACACCAAAATAAACAAGGAATATTTTAAAGTAATTAAACCACCAGAAATATCAGACATTTTCTATAATCCTACCCCATTGTCTCTGAGAAAAGGGAAAAAGAAAATACAAAGCAAGCTATCCAAAGACAAATACAGCTTTTAAAAGCTCTATCTAATTAACCCCACCAAAAATTTTTTTGGCTACCTAGTATATGCAGGCTCTGCACAATGTGGGACAGTGGTCCCCAACCTTTTTGGCACCAGTGTCTGGTTTTGTGGAAGACAATCTTCCCACAGATGTGGTGGGATAGTTTTCATTTGGGATGATTCAAGCACATTACACTTACTGTGCACTTTGTTTCTCTTATGATTACATTGTAATAGATAATGAAATAATTATATAACTCACCATATTGTAGAATCAGTGAGAGCACTGGGATTGATTTCCTGCAACTAAATGTTCCCATCTGGGGGTGATGAGAGGCAGTGACAGATCCTAAGGCATTAGATTCTCATAAATAGTGTACAGCCTACATCCCTCACATGCACAGTTCACAATAGCAGTTGCACTCCTATGATAATCTAATGCTGCTGCTGATCGGTAATGCAAGTGATGGGGAGTGGCCATGAATACTGATGAAGCTTTGCTAACCCACCATTCACCTCCTGCTGTACAGCCTGGTTTGTAACAGGACAGACTGGTATCAGTCTGTGCTCTGGTGTTGAGGACCCCTGACGCAGGGCAACTACATTTATTTATTTATTTATTTATTTAGTGCAATGGTGCAATCTCAGCTCACTGCAAACTTCACCTCCTGGTTTCAAGCAATTGTCCAGCCTCAACCTTCCAAAATAGCTGGAATTACAGACACATGACACCACGTCCTGTTAATTTTGTATTTTTAGCAGAGGTGGAGTTTCACCATGTTGGTCAGGCTGGTCTCAAACTCAGGATCTCAGGTTATTCACCCACCTCAGCCTCCTAAAGTGCTGGGATTACAGGCATGAGCCACTGTGTTCTTCTGACAACTACATTTATTACCAGCCATTTATTACCAGGACACCTATGTTGTGCAGTGCCTGGCATACACCAGGTACTTAATAAACAGCTATTGATCTAATGCAGGACTAATAAGGTAAGGTGTATTTTTTCTCCTTCTACATGCTGTGCCTGTGTCAGATGCAAATAAGACCTCAGGAGTCTGCCTGAAGAGACTTAAAATAAAACTCTTTCATCAAGCAGTCACTTGGATGGTGTAACAAGTTACATATGAATGTGTCACCTGTAACAGCTTAGTGACATGCATGTTTACCATCACATAACAAACACATGTCTGCCATGCTCAGGGCTTAGAGTCTGAATTTCTAATGAGAAATAAAGTGGTACCTAGAAAACCCCAGAAATGATACTCCATATATCCATAAGCATCAGTAGCATTTCCAAAAATTGTCCCACATCCAACAAATCCTTTAAAAACAAGATATGCTAACATGCATCCAGTTTAGCGGAATTTCTAAAAATGATAAACAGTGCAACTTCAAACACCTGAAATGGAGCACAAGACCCTTTTGAAGGAATTCATATCCATTCCTGCAAAAGTTCTGTGGACTCTTGAAGGTAGCACAGAACTAAGCATTTTTTGTGTGTTTCCAAAAGGTTTTAGCCTAGCCTTTGGCCTCTAACAGACTCTCTGATTAAAATATGGCTTAGAAACTCTACCTGCCTACTTGAAAAAGCATCAAATCTGGAGAATGCTTTTCACGGGTGTGAAAAAATGAAAACAAAATCACATTCTTCTCTTTGCAATTCCCTTTCCCCCACCTTCCACTTCTATTAAATATACTTCAGCATCATTGTGCATAGGTGCAGGGACCATTACATATCTAAAAAAGGAAAAAACCCTCAAATATATGGGGATGCACTGGCAACTTTGCCTTTGCAGAAATCATTTTGTTTCCACCAGACAGAAGCGTCTCACTATTTTCAGCATTCTCATCTAACAGGCAAATTTTGTTTTTATTGACTTTGAAAGGGGTAAGCTTAAATCTAAACTCTTAAACAAGAACCAGGGTTCAATTTTCTGTTAATGAAATTCCCAGACAGGTTTTTCAACCTACCAAATCATTATAGTTTTTATTCACCCTTCTCTCTCTCTTCACAACCACTAACATCACCACCCACAAAAGAAGAAGACAATCCCTCCAATGTTCCCCAAACGTGTGCTGCTGCTAGCTCAGAAGTTGTGTAGAGTTTTGTAATTGAGTGTGAACCGCTGGCCTGGATCTGGGCTCGTGAATCACATGCTCGATGCGCCTCTGCCCAGAAAATGCGCTGCTTCCCAGGGAAAGCGTCGGCTATGGGAAGGACCTCCCCTGCTCCTTAGCAAACATTAGGGTCGCAGTTTCCTAAGAGACACGAGTGGGAAATGGGGGAGTATTGGAGACCAGCCTCAACACCACCTGTGGGGTACCTGAAGTCCGGTGGTGACGAAGTAATGAGAAGAGACAAGAGTGCAAAAGGATGGGGGCCAGGGGGCCAGTGCAATTCAGAGGCTGCAAAGGCGCTGATCTCTGGCCTCCACACTATTTATTGAGTACAATCACTTAGATCTAAGAAGCAGATGTTCAGGGGTGAAATGGTGAAAGGGAGGTGGTGTGTCACACACCTAATCTATAGCAGTGGCGGTTTAGGTAAATTTTCTTTGTGCTGAAGCAGCATAAACTTAACTACTGATTTATTCTTTAACTTATCGGAGAGCAGCTGTGGGGGGTGGGCCTAACTAGGAACTAGCAAGTATGGCCACATTCCAATGCTTCAAAGGAGTGTCTTTCTCCTTGAGCACAGTGTTTATAGATAAGAGAGCAGGTCACGCTCTTGTCATGGGAACATGATGGTAATAAAGAGGCTTTCCTCCTCAGAGGCCTCCTGTGGCTTTCCACAACTTATAGTCCCATATTTTTATGGCCAGTTTATACAGGCACTCCATAAGCCTTTTTCCCAGCAGGGGAGGGGGCCCAGGCAGAGGCTGGTGCTGGGGTTAGAGAAAGCTACACTAGGTGTCTGGCTGGTGTGGGAGCAGGAAGGGAAGCCCCAGAACAAGCCACAAATTGTTCCAGCAGGAGTAGGCCCCCTGCCTTTTTCCTGGACTAACGACGGCACCCGGCACTGAGCCCCTCACTTCTGCAAGGAAGTGCTCTCCACACCGACGGTCCTTGTGAAACACGCACCCCACTGATGGAAGGGTGAGGAATGATAGGCGCCCCATGGCCAGGCCGTGGCCCCCTTCTTTCCTGGGCGCCTTAGGTGGTAGTCAGCCACACCACAACTGCCAGCCAGGAAAGGGTAAGGGCGTAGGGCTGCCTGCTGCCCCCTCAGTGCCAGTGTCCTCTGCCCAGAAAGGTCAAATCGGCAGAGCAGGGTGCGGAAAGCACCCTGGTGAGAACACCCTGGTGAGAACACCCCAGGAGGCCAACTCCTGGCCGGCACCCACGATGCTTTCTGGCTGCAGAGGAAAGCAGGATCCCTAGTTTCCAGGCTTCCCTGCCAGAGAGAGACTGGAAAGACCATAGAAGGAAAGTTTCTCCTTTCACAGGGGGAAGGATACAGGGAGACAGCGCAGAAGTTGGAGAGCAGCATCGAAATGTTTCTGGCCTATGTGGCTTGCACCATCCGATTCCCGGCAGTGTTATAACAGATAAATTCATCCCAGTATTCCGGGAGGCCAAGGAGGGCAGAACACATGTGCGCGGAAGTTTCAGACCAGCCTGGGCAGCATGGTGAGATCCAATCACTACAAAAATAGTTAATCAGGTGTGGTGGGCCACGCCTGTATTCCCAGCTACTCGGGAGGCTGAGGTGAGAGAATCTCTTGAGGCTACAGTTAGTCATAAGCTTGTGCCACTGCACTCCAGGCTGGGTGACAGAGTAAGACCCTTTCTCATAGAATAAATAAATAAATAAATAAATAAATAAATAAATAAACATATAAATAAACTCGGCCGCCTGGGTTGGGCCGGATTCTTAGCTTCCAAAAGCTAATATTGACGCACTTCAGGTCTTGCTAGCACAGCGCTGCAGAGACTGCCACAAAGTGTGCTGGGTGCTGCTTGTTGTTGCCAGTGGCTAGGTAAGAGGCGGAGTAAGAATGTAGGAGTGGAGAAAAAGGAGGAGAAAAAGAGAAGAGTAGAAGAGAAGGAGAGGTGGGAAAGGAGGAGAGATAAAGGGAGGAGGAAGTGAGAGAAGAAGAGAAGAAAAAATGCGAAGAAGATAGAAGAGAGAAAGTGGTGAAAAAACCGGAAGGGAACAATGGGACTAGAAGAGAAGAGGAGAAAAAACCTGGAAGAAGGAGTAGAGCAGGAGAAAAAGAGAAGGAGGAGGAGGAGAGGAAAAGGAGAAAGGTGAGGAGAAGAAGGAGGACGAGGAGAAGAGGAGAAGAAAATAGGAGGAGGAGAGGCGAGAAAGAGCAGGAGAGGAGGAGGAGAGGAGAAGGAGGAGGAAGCAAAGTAGAGTATAAGAGGAGAAAAGGGGGAGGAGAAGAGATGAATGAGGAGAGAAGGAGGAGGAGGAGTAAGGAAAAGTAGAAGAAAAAAGGAGAAGAGGAGGAGAGGAAAAGGAGTAAGAGAAAGCAAAGAGAAAAAGAAGGAAGAGAGGAGGAAAAGGAGGAAAAGAAAATGAGGAAGAGTAGAGGCAGAAAAGGAAAAGCAAAAGGAGGAGGAGAGGAGAAAAAGGAGGATAGAAGGAAAAGGAGGAAAAAGAAAAAAGGAGGAGAAGAGGGGACAGAGGAGAAGGAGGAGGAGGAAGAGAAGAGAAAAAAGAGGAGAGGAGGAGAAGGAAGAGGAGAGGAGGAGAAGGAAGAAGAGAGGAGGAATGGAGAAAGGAGGAGGAGAGAAGAAGAAGGTGAAGGGGATGAGAGAAGAAGAAAAAGGAGGAAGAGGAGGAAAAATGAAGGAGGAGAAGGTAGAGGATAAAAAGGAGGAGTAGGAGTGGAGAAGAAGGAAGACAAAAAAAGGAGGTGGAAAAGAAGGATTAGAAGAGGAGAAGGAGGAGAAGGAAAAAGAGGAGGAAAGGAGGAAGAGGTGGAGAGAAAGAGAAAGCAGGGAGGAGGATGCGGTGGACTAGGACGTGGAGGAGAGGAGAAGGAGGAGAGGAGGAGGAGAGATAAAGAAGGAATAGTAGGAGGAGAGAAAAAGGAGGAAAAGAGGAGAGATAAAGAAGGAATAGTAGGAGGAGAGAAAAAGGAGGAGAGAAGGAGAGGAGATGGAGGAGGAGGAGAGGAGTAAAAAGAGAAGGAGAGGAAAAGAAGGAGAAGAGAAGAAGGAGCATAGGAGGAGGAGGAGGAGAGGAGGTGGAGGAGGACAAAAAAGCAAAAGGTGAGGAGAAGGAGGGGGAGAGAAAAAGGAGGAGAGGAAGGAGAAAGAGAAGGAGGCCAGGAGAAAAAGGAGAGGGAGGTGGGGAAAAGGAGGAGAAAAGGAGAAGGAGAAGGATAGAAGGAGGAGAAGAAGAAAAGGAAAGGAGAAGGAAGAGAGAAAGGAGAAAAAGAAAAAAGAAAAAATTAGAAGAAGAAGGAGGAAAGAACAAGAAGGAGGAGAGGAAAAGGAGGAGAAAGTGGATAAGAGAAGGGGAGTGGAAAGAAAAAAGGAGGAGAGGAGGTGGGGGAGGAGAAAAAACGAGGAGGAAGAAGAAGGAGGGGAAGGAAAATAGGTGGAGAAGGAGGAGGAAGAGAAGAAGGAGAGCAGGAGAAGAGGAAGAGAAGGGGGAGGAGAGGAGAAGAAGGAGGAGGACTAGAGAAGACGTAGGAGAGAAGGACTTGGAGAAGAGGAGGAAAGGAAAAAGAGAAGAAGGAGAGGAGGAAGAGAAGAAGGGAAAGGAGGAGGGCGAGGAGAAGGAAAGGAGTAGGTAACAAAGAGAAGGAGAGAAGAAGAAAAGTAGGAGAAAAGAAAATGGAGAAAGGAGAATAAGGAGGACAGGAGGGAAAGAGAAGAAGGAGGAGGGAAAGAAGAAGCGGAGGATAGAAGGAGTACTTAGAGAGGAGGAAAAGGTGGAGGAGGATAGCAGAAGGAAGAGAAAAAGGAGAAAGAAAGGAGGAGGGGGTGGAGAGAAGAAAGAATAGAGGAGAAGGAGGAGGAGAAGAGGAGGCAGAGGAGGGGGAAGAAGGAGAAGAGGAGGAGGAGCAGAGGAGGAGGAAAAGAGGAGAAGGAGGAGTAGACAAGCAGGAGAAGAGAAAGAAGAAGAAGCAGAGGAGAGAAGGAGAGGAGGAGGAGAGGTGGAGGAGGAAAAAAGAAGTAGAGGAGGAGGAGAGGAGGAGGAAAGGAGGAGAGAAGGGGGAGAGGAGGAGAAGGAAAAGGGAAGGAGACAGGAGAAGAAGGACAGGGGGAGAGGAGGAGAAAAAGGAGAGGAGGAGGACAGGAGGAGAAGGAGGACAGGAAAGGAGGAGGAAGAGGAGTGGAGGAGAGGATAAAAAGAAGGTGGAGGAAAAGAGGAGGAGGAAAAGGAGGTGAGGAGAAGGAAAAGGAGAGAAGGAAGAGGAGGAGTAGAGAAGGAGGACAAGGAGGAGCAGAAAAGAGAAAGGAAGAGGAGAAGGAGAGAAGGAAGAGAATTAGAGAAGAAGGAGAAGGAGAGGAGAAAGAGGATGAAAGGAGAAGGAAAAGGAGGAAGAGGAGAAAACAAGGAGAAGGGGGAGAAGAAAATACATAGGAGAAGAAAGAGGAAAAGAAGGAGAGGAGAAGTAAGAGGAGAGGAGGAGGATGAGAGGAGGAATGGAGCAGGAGGAGTAGAGGAGGAGAAGAGGAGAAAAAGGAGAAAAGCAGAGAATAAGGAGGAGGAGCAGAAGCAGAGGAGAGAGAAAAGTAAGAGATGGAGAAGATGAGGAGCAGGAAGAGGAGGTGGAGGAGGAATAAAAGGAGGAGTAGGAGAAAAGGAGAAAGAGTTGGAAAAGGAGAGGAGAAGAAGGAAGAGAAAAAAGAGAAGGAGGAGAGGAGAAGGAAAGGAGAAGAAGAAAAAGGAGGAAGAGAGGAGGAAAGGAGGAGTAGGGGGAGAGGAGGAGAAAGAGGGGAGGAGGAGGTGGATGAGAGAAGAAAGAAGAAAGGAAGGAGAGGAGGAGAGGAAAAGTAAAGGAGGAGAAGGAGTAGGAGGATAGAAGGAGGAGAAAAAGAGGAGAGGAGAATGAGGAGAAAGAGGAGGAGATAAGAAGAGAAGGAGTGAGGGAGGAGTAGGAGAAGAGAAGTAAAAGGAGAGAAGAAGGAAGAGAGGAGAAGAAAAAAGAGAAAAGGAGGAAGAGAGAAGGAGGAGTAGGAGAGGAAAAAAGAATAGGAGGAGGAAGAAGAGGAGGGGAGGAGAAGGGGGAGGAGGGAAGGGGAAGAGAAGAAGAGAAGAAAAAGGAGATGGAGGAGAGGAGAAAAAAGAAAAAGGCAGCGAGAAGAAGGAGAAGAGGAGAAGAAGGGGAGGAGGATGAAGGAAGAAAGAAAGGGAGGAAGAGGAGAGAAGAAAAAGTAGGATGAAGAGAAGGAGGAGGTGAAGAGGAGAAGGAAGAAAAAAGAAAGAGGAAGAGAGAAGAAAAGGGGGAGAGGTGAGGAGGAGGAGAAAAGGAGAAGGAGAGGAGGAGAAAAAGGAAAGGAGGAAGAGAAGAGAAGGTTAGGAGGAGAGAAAGAAAAGGTGAAGGAGAGGAGGAGAAAAAGGATAAGAGAAGGAGGAAGAGGAGGGGAGGAGAAGGAGGAGGAAGAGGGGGAACAGGAGGAGAGAGAAAGAAGGAGGTGGAGGAGAGGAGAAAAAGGGAAAGGAGGTGGAGAGGAGGAGCGGAGGAAGAGGAGGAAGAAAGGAGAAGGAGAAAAGGAGGAAGAGGAGGAAGAAAGGAGAAGGAGAAAAGGAGGAAAAGGAGGAAGAGGAGAGCAGAAGGAGGAAGAGAGGAGGAGGAGTGGAGGGGTAGGAGGAGAAGAGGAGGAGGAAGAGAGAAGTAGGAGGAGGAAGAGGAGGAGAGAAGGAGGATAAGAGAAGATGGATGAGAAAAGGAGGAGAGGAAGAGAAAAAGAGGAGGAAGAGGATAGGAGGAGGCGGAGAGGAGAAGGATGAGTAAGAGAGGAAGAGAAGAGAAATAGGAGGAAGAGGACAGGCGGAGTAGGAAAAGGAGGGAAGGAAAAGGAGTAATAGAACAGGAGGAAGAGGAGGAGAAGAGAAGGAGGAGAAGAGAAAGAGGAGAAGAGAAGGAGGAGGAGAAGAGAAGGAGGAGGAGCAGAGGAGAATATGGAGGAGGAAAGAAGGAGAAGTAGAAGGAGGAAAAGAGGAGAAAAAAGGAAGGAAAAGGAGGAAGAGGAGAGGAGAGGAGAAGGAGGAGGAGAGTAGGAGGAGGAGAAGAGGAGGAAGAGGAGGAGAGGAGGAGGAAAAGAGAGGGAGTGCCTGGTCTGTCCCACGGACCCTGGCTGAGCAACGGATGAAAGGAGTACTCAGACACAGGTACACAGTGTTAGAGCAACTAGGGGTCTGCCTGGCTCTAGTGGCCAAAGTGCAGCCCCAAGAAGCTTGAGCTGCTTGCTTTTGTTCAGTGCAGGCACAATGCCAAAAGCCTTGAGCAAACACAGTCTGTAGATAATTAACAATTATTGTTTCCATTTCAGGGAACGTCACACGCGAGGATGTTCAGAGGTCAGTTCAGGGACAACTTCAGACAAACAAGCCTGATCAAGACAACTTATTCCTCACTCTTTTGAACATACTTCTCACCCTATTCTTCAGGGTTAGAGAACAGCAGTCTTCAGCTATTCTCTCCCAAAGCTACTCAAAGTCTTTTGACCTTTCAGAAGGCCTGCTCCCTTCTTCTACAGTTTTTCCCACCACTCTGACTGACCTCTCACATCTCCCCATTTTCTGTTTTTTTTTTTCATCAGGTTTTGTTGATTGAAGAGTACAGATGTGTGCAGCAACAGGTTTGACAGGCGCAGCTGTTACAGCTTGTGTTTTGGCTTTGCATGCTAGAATTAGTAAATAACATAAGATAAACATGAGTATAATCAGTAATATTCTTTCCCAATCAAAGAGTGACCCGCAGGAATGGGGATCTATCCAGGAGAGATGTTTTTGCACATTGTTATATAGGGCTGTTAATGAGAAACCCCACCATGGGTATGTTAATCTCTTCTAGCCAGGTAGTCACATTGTTAAAAGCTGGGAAAGGGGTGTCTGCCCAGGTAATAGGGTGGAAGAAAGGTGGATCTAGAAGGTGGGCCTAATAGAGTGTAGCAGGTATGGGTTGCAGGCAGAGTGAGAGAATAAGAAAAACTAATACCCTACAAGAGTTGCAATGTACAACAGACAGCATAGCAAGGAAGATTATCTGGAGTGAATGGTGTTTTTGTCTGGAGCAGAATTTGCTCAGTCTCCTGAGTTGTCTTTTTCAGCATAATGTCCAGGGCCTGTATTGTCTGAGGAAGCCACATCATCTGGGGCTGTGGGTCCAGCAGGGTTATTTTATTTTTGGTACCAGGTTTGGTTTCAGCCACATCGTAGTATGACTTGATGCATCACACTAGAATCCAAAGAGGACCTGAGGGAAAGTGAACACAAGCATATCATCTTCCCCTGTTAACAAATCATTTGGACCACACCATACATTACTATTTACATCTTTCCATAAAATTGAAGGTTTTATATCTTGAATGATTTTTGCAAAGTGCTTTATTATAGCTGATTGAAATTTATCATCTAAATTTAAGAAATTAAGGGTAAATAAGGCTTGTGCCAATAGTATTGCAGGGTTGTTACTCATATCCCACCTTTTTTGTTTTCTGAGCATATTTTTAAGGGTGGAGTGGGCACGTTCTACTATGGCTTCTCCTTGGGAGATATACAAGACACCCATGGAATGTTGGATGTTCCATTTGTGACAAAATTGTTGAAATTGTGAGCTGGTGTAAGCTGGACCATTATCAGTTTTAATTTTTTGGGCCACCCCATGAATGCAAAAGTTAAAAGAAGAGGTTTAACGACATATCGGGCAGACTCTCCGGGAAGAGCAGGAGTGCCAATTAGATGGGAATTGGTATCAACGGATACATGTACATATGTTAGTTTTTCAAATTCAGGGACGTGCATAACATCTGTTTTCCATATCTGATTAGGTTCTAGTCTTCTAGGGTTAACATCTGTTGAAGGAGGGGATGTGCCTGTGAGAGGGCAATCTGGGCTTTGTAAAATAATTTGTATAGCTAGTTTTTGGGTAAGTTAAAATTGTTAAGTTTCTCCAATTTTGCTGAAAAAATTGATGTGATTGGGTGGCTTGGTCAAGCAGTGACATCATAACCTACAGGTCTGCTTGATCTTAGGTGTGAACTAGTGGACTGGACAGTGAGCTGTGGGCCCGAATCTTTGTAATAAAAATAGGATGTGTTTGTTGAACCAGCAATTGCTGAAGTTGGAAAAAAAGGACACACAGGGTGAGCTCAACAGTGGACTTAATGAAGGCTGTTTCAAGGTTTTGCAATAAATAAACAAAGTAGTTTATCAGTGGGAAAGGTGCATGTTCTCTTTCTTTTTCTTTTTCTTTTTGAGACAGAGTCTTGCTCTGTAGCCCAGGCTGGAGTGCAGTGGCACATCTTGGCTGACTGCAACCTCCGCCTCCAGGGTTCAACAAATTCTCCTGCCTCAGCTGTCCGCGTAGCTGGGAATATAGGTGTGTGCTACCACACCTGGCTGTTTTTTGTATTTTTAACAGAAATGGGGTTTCACTGTGTTAGCCAGGATAGTCTCGATCTTCTGACCTCATGATCCACCGGCCTCGGACTCCCAAAGTGCTGGGATTACAGGTGTTAGCCACCGCACCCAGCTGAGAAGGACATGTTCTATATGGCCCACATAATCAGAGAGTTCTATCTGAAGGTATAGAGGTAGGGGGATGACTGCTTTGAATTGCTTTTTACTTAAGGGTATTCTTACGAAATCCAGGTCATAACCTTGCAATTGATTGCAATTGATTGACTTTACTACTAGATAGACACAGGGAGATGGTATTTTAGTCCTGGTATGTGAGCAAAGAACCCATTCTAGGAGGTGCAGCCTTGGGGCCATCTGTCTTATTAATCCTGTTGGGGAATATTTAGTAGGAAATACAAATAATTGGACTTAATATCATGGGTCTATGCAATCTAGTAGCCTCTGAGTAATAGCTTGCTCTATTTCCTCAATTTTCCTTTTTGCAGTGGGGGGTCAAATACCTGGGTGAGTCCAAGTCTGCATTGCCCTTTAGGATAGAAAGTAGGTTCTGTAACTTATCAGTAGTTATGCCCGAGGTGGGGCAAAGCCAGTTAATATCACCCAGTAATGTTTGATAATCATTTAAGGTGTGTAAGTTGTTAGTATTCATTCAACCTTTTGAGGTCTTACTGACCGGAAAGTTAGTATGTATTCAAGATGTTTCCAAGGGAAGGACATCAGTACCTTCTCAGGTACTATGATTAAACATCTAAACTGTGTATTCCTTTTGACAGAGGCATATAAACTCAAAAGTATTGGCTCCGTTGGGGCTGCCAGTAAGATGTCATCCATGATCTTGCAATTAGGAAATTCTTTTCTACTGGGGAGAAAATCCTGATTTACATGATACTGACACATGGTAGGACTGTTCAGCATTCTTTGAGGAAGTACTTTCCAATGATTCAGCAAGCTGGCCTTTCATTATTTATAACTGGTATTGTAAATGCAAATTTTTCTTTGTCTTATTCTGCAAGGGGAATAGTAGAAAAGGAGTCTTTTAAGTCAATAATAACTATAGGCCAATCTCAAGGAACTGCTATGGGGGAAGGGAGCCCCTGTTGAATGGGCCCCATAGGTTGCAAATTAACATTGATAGCAAGTAAGTCATGAAAAAGTCTCCAATTATTAGACTTCTTGTCAATGATGGAAACAGGTGAATTCCAATAGCTGTTTGATGGTTCTATATGGCCAGCTTTTAAATTGTTCCTCAACTAATTCATGGGCTCCTTGTAATTTCTCTCCCTTTAAAGGCCACTGTTCTAGCCACATAGGATTTTGAGAGAGCCATGTCAGGGTAGGGGAAAAATCAAAACAGTGGCCATTACCAGAAAGGGGTCTGATATTACCTCAATTAATCCTCTCATAAATGGGCTAGTGGCTCCATTTTCTCTAATACTTTTTCTTATTTCTTCATAAGTGTTGAAAGCAATGAGTTCATGTACCCAATTGCCTTATTGATCTCCCATCACCAAGCAGGCCCAGAGCTCCCCTTCTAATGCTGTTTGCCTAAGGCGTGGCCCCATAACTTTAGTGTTTCCCTTTCATTCTACCCAATTTATTGGAGAAGGGGGCTCAGAGAAAATCTGTGTCTCATCTGTGGCACCTTTACCTGGTAACAGTGGGGCTGAGGGAGCAAGAGGAGATATTAAGGTAGATGATGGTTCTTCCTCCCTTCCCTTTTAAGGCTCTTCTGTGTAGAGTGGGGCCAGAGCAGCCCTATCTAAGGCCCATAACATTAAAGATGCTACTGGGACCTGTTGTCCTTGTGCAATTTAAGATTAAATGACAAGAATGTCATTTAAGATTTCTTCTCACTTGTTCCCAGAGCTCTAGGTCTAGTGTACCATCTTCTGGGAACCATGGGTTATGGAAAACAATAGTTTGCATTAGGTCCCTTAATTGGGGCTCCAAGACCAAGGCTCTGCTAGCTTTAAGAAGCTGTTTCAATATCTTTATATACTGTTGCTGTTGAGTGAATAACTGTTGTTCATTTTTGAGGGTTTTGTCATGATCCATTGCTCTGTTCCTCACACAGGGCACCACCAATAGCCTTTATAGTCTCAGCCATAGTCATCCTAGCCACTGCTAGTGTTGCTGTTGCATCTATTACTGAATCAGTACAAACAGCTACCTTTGTGGATAGCCTGGCCAGATATGTGTCTAACGAATTTCTCCTACAGCAGGGAATAGATCAAAAAATTGTTGCACATTGGCAAGCCCCCAAGGCTGCCTTGGAGTATGTAGGAAAATAACAAGATGTACTGGCATTCTGACAGCAATAATATTGGGAACATAAGCATATTTGTGTCACCTCTCTACCATGGAATCGATCAATACAAAGTTGGGATGAGGTGAAACAACAACTCTGTGGAACCTTACATGATAATGTAACAGCAGACGTAAAGCAACTTAAAACAACAGTTCTAGAATCCCTAAACACTATAAATCTACACACCCAACAAGCAGCCATATGGAAGGATGTGCAAGAACATCTCTCCTAATAGACCCCCTCTCCTGGGGGACCCTCCACTCCTTGATTGGAAAAGAATAATACTGATTATATTCATATTTGTCTTATGTTATTTAGTAATTCTAGGATGCAAAGCCTGAACACAAGCTATAACTGCTGCACCTGTCAAACCTGTGCCTGCACATCTCTGTACTCTTCAATCAGAAAACCTGAGGCAAAAAAGGGGGAAATGTGGGAGATCGATCACAGTGATGCAAGAAACTATAGGGAAAAGAACAGGCCTTCTGAAAAGTTGGAAGGCTCTGCATAGCTTTGGGGTACAATATCTAAAGGCAGTTGTTCTCTAACCCTGAGGCAGAGGGTGAGGAGTATATGCAAGGGAGTGAAGGGGAAGTTATCTTGATCAGGCTTGTTTGAAGTTGTCCAGGAACTGACCTTTGATCATCCACACTGGTGATGTTTCCTGAAAGGGGAACAATAAACGTTAATTACCGGATTGTGTTTGCTCCAGGCTTTTGGCATTGTGCCTGCACTGACTAAAAGCAAGCAGCTTGAACTTCTCATGACTGAACTCTGGCCACTTGAGCCAGATAGTCCCCTAGCTGCTCTTACAATGCATATCTGTGTCTGAGTACTCATTTTATCCATCGGCAAGGGTCTGTGGGGCAGACCCGCACTCGCCCTGTCACCCAGGCTCAAGTGCAATAACATGATCTCGGCACACTGCAACCTCCACCTCCTGGGTTCAAGTGATTCTCCTGCCTTAGCCTCTGGAGTAGCTGGGATTGCAGGCATGCACCACCACACCCAGCTAATTGTTGGTATTTTTAGTGGATACAGGGTTTCACCATGTTGACCAGGCTGGTCTCGAAATCCGGACATTGTGATTCACCCACCTCAGCCTCCCAAATTCCTGGGATTACAGGCATGAGCCACCATGCTCAGTGGGTAATATTGCCTTTTTTGCTTGGGCTGTGCCCTTAGAAGGCATTGAGACATACTGCTGAGCCCACCACTAACATGATGTGAGTTCTCTGCCTACCCCTGACCACAGGAAGCATTGTGACATATTTCTTGACCCATTACAATCTCTCCTATGAGCAAAGCTCAGGTAAATGCCCTTTTTACCTATGTGACGTGACATTTCTCTTCTGCCTGGGCCATGCCCACAGATTAGAGAGTGACTTACTGCTGAAGCAAGAAAAACAGTGATGTAATTATTCTGCCTGGTCCCTGCACACAGGAGTCACTGTGGTATATGTTTAGGCCTCCCACCTAGATGATGTGACTCTTTTCTTCTGGGGTTTGTCCTCAGTGGGAATTCTGATATGACACGACATAGCTCCTATGAGATGTGACTCTTCCTCATTTTTAGCTTCTTCTCACTGGGGTGATAGGAACATAAAGCTAAGCCAAGCACCTAGGCTATGTCTCTCCTCTTATTTAGGAGCCCTACCCACAAGGGACATTGTGACATAGCTCTAGGCTTCTCACCTTGGTAATGTGACTTTGTGCCTAGGCCCTCCCCTCAGGGGTACTGTGAAATACTGCTGGACCAAGAACCTAGGTGATGTGACTCTCTGTTACTGCTTGGAGTGTGCTTAAGAAGAAATTGTGGGCTGGGTGCAGTGGCTCACACCTGTAATCCCATCACTTTCGGAGGCCAAGGCAGGCGGATCATGAGGTCAGGAGATTGAGACCATCCTGGCTAACACGGTGAAACCCTGTCTCTACTAAATATACAAAAAATTAGCCAGGTGTGGTGGCGTGCACCTGTAATCCCAGCTACTCAGGAGGCTGAGGCAGGAGAATGGCATGAACTCGGGAGGCAGAGCTTGCAGTGAGCCAATATTGCACCACTGCACTCCAGCCTGGGCGACAGAGCGAGACTCCATCTCAAAAAAAACAAAACAGAACAAATAAAAAAAAAAGAAGAAATTGTGATGCACATTTATGTGCATCCAGCACCTGAGTGATGTTACTCTCCTGTCCTTCATGAGACCTGCATGCATCATGTATTTCAACATATCTGTGGGTCTAACAACATGGTGATGTGACTTTCCTGCATGGGCTCTCACACAGAAATATTCTAACACAAGTTTTTATTTATTATCTTGGTGATGTGACTTTTCTTTTCTGCTTGAGCACTGCCAAAAGAAAAGATTGTGACAAATCGCTGGACCCAGCACCTAGGTGATGTGAATCTCTTCACTTGCCTGAGAGGTGCATATTTTGGTTATTGTGACATATCACTGAAACAAACACGTAGGGGTTGGAAGGCTTCTGCCTGAGCCCCTTCCACAGAGGGCCTTGGAATATATTTTTTTTATCCATCGCTGGGAGATGAAACCCTCTACTTCTACCTGCATTCTTCCCATAGAGAAGATGGTGATATATTGCTGGGCCCAGCAACCAGGTGTTTTGTCTATCTTTTCTGGGCTTTGCCTACAGTGAGCCTTGTGATATATTTAGCTGAGCCCAGCACCCAGGTGATCGTACTCTTCTTCCTGTGCCCTGCTTTCAGGAGAGGATTGTAACATCTCTGGTTGAAGACCCTGTGATGTGACTCTCCTGCCTGGTGCATACTCTCAGGAAAGATTGTGACATAACCCTGGCCCAACACACAGTTGGTGTGACCCTCGTGCTTGTTCTCTACTCACAGGTGGAATTGTGACATATAACTTGGTCAAGCACACAGATGTAATGATGACTTTCAACCTCGAAGAGCCAGTAGGAGAGATAACGTTGCTCATAGCTACTTTTAGGAAAACAAAAAATCCTGGGTTTTCCTTCTGTAAAAATGTCATAGAGAATTACCACTCTCTCACATATATAAGGCCCCAGTGTGTCACAGACAATGTCATAACAGAGTTCACCATACAGATGAGATTGTGTTTGTCCTATGCACAGCCCAGCAACCTTTAGAATTGTCACCATCACACATGGACAGAGCCCACTGGTGGGGCCCTGAATCTCACATGAATGCACTCCACAGTTGGAACTTTGTCATATGTGAACATCTGGCCACAGTTGAGATGGTGACTCATTTCTTTTCTTTTTTTTTTTTAAGTGCCAAGTTATTCTTTTTTTTTAAATTTTTTTTTTATTATACTTTAAGTTTTAGGGTACATGTGCACATTGTGCAGGTTAGTTACATACGTATACATGTGCCATGCTGGTGTGCTGCACCCACTAACTCATCATCTAGCATTAGGTATATCTCCCAGTGCTATCCCTCCCCCCCTCCCCCCACCCCACAACAGTCCCCAGAGTGTGATGTTCCCCTTCCTGTGTCCATATGATCTCATTTTTCAATTCCCACCTATGAGTGATAATATGCGGTGTTTGGTTTTTTGTTCTTGTGATAGTTTACTGAGAATGATGATTTCCAATTTCATCCATGTCCCTACAAAGGACATGAACTCATCATTTTTGATGGCTGCATAGTATTCCATGGTGTATATGTGCCACATTTTCTTAATCCAGTCTATCATTGTTGGACATTTGGGTTGGTTCCAAGTCTTTGCTATTGTGAATAATGCCGCAATAAACATACGTGTGCATGTGTCTTTATAGCAGCAAGATTTATAGTCTTTTGGGTATATACCCAGTAATGGGATGGCTGGGTCAAATGGTATTTCTAGTTCTAGATCCCTGAGGAATCGCCACACTGACTTCCACAATGGTTGAACTAGTTTACAGTCCCACCAACAGTGTAAAAGTGTTCCTATTTCTCCACATCCTCTCCAGCACCTGTTGTTTCCTGACTTTTTAATGATTGCCATTCTAACTGGTGTGAGATGGTATCTCACTGTTGTTTTGATTTGCATTTCTCTGATGGCCAGTGATGGTGAGCATTTTTTCATGTGTTTTTTGGCTGCATAAATGTCTTCTTTTGAGAAGTGTCTGTTCATGTCCTTCGCCCACTTTTTTTGATGGGGTTGTTTTTTTCTTGTAAATTTGTTTGAGTTCATTGTAGATTCTGGATATTAGCCCTTTGTCAGATGAGTAGGTTGCGAAAATTTTCTCCCATTTTGTAGGTTGCCTGTTCACTCTGATGGTAGTTTCTTTTGCTGTGCAGAAGCTCTTTAGTTTAATTAGATCTCATTTGTCAATTTTGGCTTTTGTTGCCATTGCTTTTGGTGTTTTAGACATGAAGTCCTTGCCCATGCCTATGTCCTGAATGGTATCGCCTAGGTTTTCTTCTAGGGTTTTTATGGTTTTAGGTCTAACGTTTAAGTTTTTAATCCATGTTGAATTGATTTTTGTATAAGGTGTAAGGAAGGGATCCAGTTTCAGCTTTCTACTATGGCTAGCCAGTTTTCCCAGCACCATTTATTAAATAGGGAATCCTTTCCCCATTGCTTGTTTTTCTCAGGTTTGTCAAAGATCAGATAGTTGTAGATATGCGGCATTATTTCTGAGGGCTCTGTTCTGTTCCATTGATTTATATCTCTGTTTTTGTACCAGTACCATGCTGTTTTGGTTACTGTAGCCTTGTAGTATAGTGTGATGCCTCCAGCTTTGTTCTTTTGGCTCAGGATTGACTTGGCGATGCGGGCTCTTTTTTGGTTCCATATGAACTTTAAAGTAGTTTTTTCCAATTCTGTGAAGAAAGGCATTGATAGCTTGATGAGGATGGCATTGAATCTGTAAATTACCTTGGGCAGTATGGCCATTTTCACGATATTGATTCTTCCTACCCATGAGCATGGTATGTTCTTCCATTTCTTTGTATCCTCTTTTATTTCCTTGAGCAGCAGTTTGTAGTTTTCCTTGAAGAGGTCCTTCACGTCCCTTGTAAGTTGGATTCCTAGGTATTTTATTCTCTTTGAAGCAATTGTGAATGGGAGTTCACTTATGATTTGGCTCTCTGTTTGTCTGTTGTTGGTGTATAGGAATGCTTGTGATTTTTGCACATTGATTTTGTATCCTGAGACTTTGCTGAAGTTGCTTATCAGCTTAAGGAGATTTTGGGCTGAGACAATGGGGTTTTCTAGATATACAATCATGTCATCTGCAAAGAGGGACAATTTGACTTCCTCTTTTCCTAATTGAATACCCTTTATTTCCTTCTCCTGCCTAATTGCCCTGGCCAGAACTTCCAACACTATGTTGAATAGGAGTGGTGAGAGAGGGCATCCCTGTCTTGTGCCCATTTTCAAAGGGAATGCTTCCAGTTTTTGCCCATTCAGTATGATATTGGCTGTGGGTTTGTTCTAGATAGCTCTTATTATTTTGAAATATGTCCCATCAATACCTAATTTATTGAGAGTTTTTAGCATGAAGGGTTGTTGAATTTTGTCAAAGGTCTTTTCTGCATCTATTGAGATAATCATGTGGTTTTTGTCTTTGGTTCTGTTTATATGCTGGATTACATTTATTGATTTGCGTATAGTGAACCAGCCTTGCATCCCAGGGATGAAGCCCACTTGATCATGGTGGATAAGCTTTTTGATATGCTGCTGGATTCAGTTTGCCAGTATTTTATTGAGGATTTTTGCATCAATGTTCATGAAGGATATGGGTCTAAAATTCTCTTTTTTGGTTGTGTCTCTGCCTGGCTTTGGTATCAGAATGATGCTGGCCTCATAAAATGAGTTAGGGAGGATTCCCTCTTTTTCTATTGATTGGAATAGTTTCAGAAGGAATGGTACCAGCTCCTCCTTGTACCTCTGGTAGAATTCGGCTGTGAATCCATCTGGTCCTGGACTCTTTTTGGTTGGTAAGCTATTGATTATTGCCACAATTTCAGATCATCTTATTGGTCTATTCAGAGATTCAACTTCTTCCTGGTTTAGTCTTGGGAGAGTGTATGTGTCCAGGAATTTATCCATTTCTTCTAGATTTTCTAGTTTATTTGTGTAGAGGTGTTTGTAGTATTCTCTGATGGTAGTTTGTATTTCTGTGGGATCAGTGGTGATATCCCCTTTATCATTTTTTATTGTGTCTATTTGATTCTTCTCTCTTTTTTTCTTTATTAGTCTTGCTAGCGGTCTATCAATTTTGTTGATCCTTTCAAAAAACCAACTTCTGGATTCATTAATTTTATGAAGGGTTTTTTGTGTCTCTATTTCCTTCAGTTCTGCTCTGATTTTAGTTATTTCTTGCCTTCTGCTAGCTTTTGAATGTGTTTGCTCTTGCTTTTCTAGTTGTTTTAATTGTGATGTTAGGGTGTCAATTTTTGATCTTTCCTGCTTTCTCTTGTGGGCATTTAGTGCTATAAATTTCCCTCTACACACTGCTTTGAATGTGTCCCAGAGATTCTGGTATGTTGTGTCTTTGTTCTCGTTGGTTTCAAAGAACATCTTTATTTCTGCCTTTATTTCGTTATGTACCCAGTAGTCATTCAGGAGCAGGTTGTTCAGTTTCCATGTAGTTGAGCGGTTTTGAGTGAGATTCTTAATCCTGAGTTCTAGTTTGATTGCACTGTAGTCTGAGAGACAGTTTGTTATAATTTCTGTTCTTTTACATTTGCTGAGGAGAGCTTTACTTCCAAGTATGTGGTCAATTTTGGAATAGGTGTGGTGTGGTGCTGAAAAAAATGTATATTCTGTTGATTTGGGGTGGAGAGTTCTGTAGATGTCTATTAGGTCCGTTTGGAGCAGAGCTGAGTTCAATTCCTGGGTATCCTTGTTGACTTTCTATCTCATTGATCTGTCTGATGTTGACAGTGGGCTGTTAAAGTCTCCCATTTTTAATGTGTGGGAGTCTAAGTCTCTTTGTAGGTCACTCAGGACTTGCTTTATGAATCTGGGTGCTCCTGTATTGGGTGCATATATATTTAGGATAGTTAGCTCTTCTTGTTGAACTGATCCCTTTACCATTATGTAATTGCCTTCTTTGTCTCTTTTGATCTTTGTTGGTTTAAAGTCTGTTTTATCAGAGACTAGGATTGCAACCCCTGCCTTTTTTAGTTTTCCATTTGCTTGGTAGATCTTCCTCCATCCCTTTATTTTGAGCCTATGTGTGTCTCTCCATGTGAAATGGGTTTCCTGAATACAGCACACTGATGGGTCTTGACTCTTTATCCAATTTGCCAGTCTGTGTCTTTTAATTGGAGCATTTAGTCCATTTACATTTAAAGTTAATAGTGTTATGTGTGAATTTGATCCTGTCATTATGATGTTAGCTGGTTATTTTGCTTGTTAGTTGTTGCAGTTTCTTCCTAGTCTCGATGGTCTTTATATTTTGGCATGATTTTGCAGTGGCTGGTACCGGTTTTTCCTTTCCATGTTTAGCGCTTCCTTCAGGAGCTCTTTTAGGGCAGGCCTGGTGGTGACAAAATCTCTCAGCATTTGCTTGTCTGTAAAGTGTTTTATTTCTCCTTCACTTATGAAGCTTAGTTTGGCTGGATATGAAATTCTGGGTTGAAAATTCTTTTCTTTAAGAATGTTGAATATTGGTCCCCACTCTCTTCTGGCTTGTAGGGTTTCTGCCGAGAGATCCGCTGTTAGTCTGATGGGCTTCCCTTTGAGGGTAACCTGACCTTTCTCTCTGGCTGCCCTTAACATTTTTTCCTTCATTTCAACTTTGGTGAATCTGACAATTATGTGTCTTGGAGTTGCTCTTCTCGAGGAATATCTTTGTGGTGTTCTCTGTATTTCCTGAATCTGAACATTGGCCTGCCTTGCTAGATTGGGGAAATACTCCTGGATAATATCCTGCAGAGTGTTTTCCAACTTGGTTCCATTCTCCCCATCACTTTCAGGTACACCAATCAGATGTAGATTTGGTCTTTTCACATAGTCCCATATTTCTTGGAGGCTTTGCTCATTTCTTTTTATTCTTTTTTCTCTAAACTTTCCTTCTCGCTTCATTTCATTCATTTCATCTTCCATTGCTGATACCCTTTCTTCCAGTTGATCGCATCGGCTCCTGAGGCTTCTGCATTCTTCATGTAGTTCTCGAGCCTTGGTTTTCAGCTCCATCAGCTCCTTTAAGCACTTCTCTGTGTTGGTTATTGGAGTTATACATTCTTCTGAATTTTTTTCAAAGTTTTCAACTTCTTTGCCTTTGGTTTGAATATCCTCCCGTAGCTCAGAGTAATTTGATCGTCTGAAGGCTTCTTCTCTCAGCTTGTCAAAGTCATTCTCCGTCCAGCTTTGTTCTGTTGCTGGTGAGGAGCTGCGTTCCTTTGGAGGAGGAGAGGCACTCTGATTTTTAGAGTTTCCAATTTTTTCTGTTCTGTTTTTTCCCCATCTTTGTGGTTTTATCTACTTTTGGTCTTTGATGATGGTGATGTACAGATGGGTTTTTGGTGTGGATGTCCTTTCTGTTTGTTAGTTTTCCTTCTAACAGACAGGACCCTCAGCTGCAGGTCTGTTGGAGTACCCTGCAGTGTGAGGTGTCAGTGTGCTCCTGCTGGAGGGTGCCCCCCAGTTAGGCTGCTCGGGCGTCAGGGGTCAGGGACCCACTTGAGGAGGCAGTCTGCCCGTTCTCAGATCTCCAGCTGCGTACTGGGAGAACCCCTGCTCTCTTCAAAGCTGTCAGACAGGGACATTTAAGTCTGCAGAGGTTACTGCTGTCTTTTTGTTTGTCTGTGCCCTGCCCCCAGAGGTGGAGCCTACAGAGGCACACAGGCCTCCTTGAGCTGTGGTGGGCTTCACCCAGTTCGAGCTTCCCGGCTGCTTTGTTTACCTAAGCAAGCCTGGGCAAAGGTGGGTGCCCCTCCCCCAGCCTCGCTGCTGCCTTGCAGTTTGATCTCAGACTGCTGTGCTAGCAATCAGCGAGACTCCGTGGGGTAGGACCCTCCGAGCCAGGCACGGGATATAATCTCATGGTGTGCTGTTTTTTAAGCCCGTCGGAAAAGCACAGTATTTGGGTGGGAGTGACCCGATTTTCCAGGTGCCATCCGTCACCCCTTTGTTTGATTAGGAAAGGGAACTCCCTGACCCCTTGCACTTCCCGAGTGAGGCAATGCCTCACCCTGCTTCAGCTCGCGCACGGTGCGTGCACCCACTGACCTGCGCCCGCTGTCTGTCACTCCCTAGTGAGATGAACCCGGTACCTCAGATGGAAATGCAGAAATCACCCATCTTCTGCGTCACTCAGGCTGGGAGCTGTAGACTGGAGCTGTTCCTATTTGGCCATCTTGGCTCCTCCAGATGGTGACTCATTTCTAAACCCTCCTCATAGGAAGGTGAGGACTCTCTCATCTAGACTCAGCCAATTAGAGAGATGTTGACTCTGGGCTTAGAACCATAGAAAAGATTCTGGATTCCCTTCTTGTACGAAGGTCACAGAGGATCACCACTCTTGCATATTGTATAAAGCCCTCAGGTGACATGGTGAGTGTCATAGGAGTTCACAGCACACAGGTGAGATAATGTGTCTTGAATGCATGCCCAAGTGACAGTAAAGATTGTCATTCTCCCACATAAACATATCCCACTGTTGAGGTTCTGAATCTCAGACATGGAGGCTGTGAAAGTTGGAGAATTGACTCTCCTATATGGCCTGGGCCACAGGTGGGCTGGTGAACTTCAGACCAAGAATTCAGCACACATATGAGGCTGTGACTGCACTAACAGAACACAGTCTGCAGAAGAAATGGTAGCTCTTTTGCAAAAATTCTGTCAGCTATTGAGATTGTTACTCATGAACTTAGACCCATCATACAGGAGGTGTTGACTCTCATATCTAGAACATGGACCTGTATGGAATATCTAATCTCATTCCTGGACTTTCCTGCAGGTGTGATTGTGCCTGGTAAGCATTTTAGTGATTTGACTCTCCTGCCTTGGCTCAGCCCTCAGATGAGACTGTGACATATCTCTGGACTCTGCACCTCAAAGAAGTGACTCGCTTTTCCAGGCTTGGTGTTGCCCACAGGTGTCATGGTGACATATGGCTGGGCCTTCCACCCAGGTAATGTGAGTCTTTTCTTGCTTTGTCACTGCCCACAGGGTGCATTGTGATATATTCCTAAATTCTGCACTTAGGTTACATGACTCCATTTTTTTTTTTTTTTTTTGCCTAAGCCCTGAGTATTTTGCATAGTATAACATATTACCAGGCCCAACACCTATAAAATGGGAGGCTTCTGCCTGGGCCTTTCAACAGAGGGCCTTGTGACATATCTCTGCATCAATCACCTAGGAGCTGTGACTTTCTGTTATTGCCTTTACTCTGCTCACAAGAAAAATTACGAATTATCACTAGGCCCAGCTACCAGGTGATGTGTCTCTCTTGCATGGGTCTTGACTATAGAAAGCGTTATTAGCTATTGCTGGGCTCAGCACCCAGGTGATGTGACTCTGCTGCCTGTGTTTTGCTTTCAGGAGAAGGTTGTAACATATTCCTGGCTGAGTATTAAAGTTATGTGACACTCCTGTCTGATCCCTGCCCTCAGTAAAGATTGTGATGTATTCCTGGCCAAAAACCCAGGTGATGTGACTCTCCTTCTCTCTGCCTATTCACAGGTGGGATTGTAAAATATAGTTTGGCCTAGCTCACAGGTGCAATGGTGACTTTCATACCTCTACCCACCTAACAGGAGAGATGCTGTCTTTTGTAGCTAGGCCTATGGTAATGATTATAATCCTGAGTCTCCCTTTTGTACAAAGTCATAGGAAATTACCAATTTCTTGCATACTATATAAATCTCTTGTGGTACAGAGAGTGTCTTCCCAGGGTTCAGCACACAGGGAGATTGTAGTTCTTATGTGCAATGTGCACAGCCCACCAGCTGTTGGGATTGTCACCCTCACACTTGGATAGAGCACACTGGTGAGGCCCTGAATTTCACACAGACACAGTCCACAGTAGAAACTGTGAACTCTCATATGTGAACATCCAGTCAGGGTTGAAATGATGACTGATTTATGAACCCAGTACATTGGAAGGTGAGAATTCTATCTGAACCCATGAAAATTCTACCTGGGCTTAGGGCTAGAGTGAACACAGTTTACAGGAGGAATGAAGGGTCTCAAGCTCCAATCCAGTTCATTGGTGAGGTTATCACTACCTTACTTAGACCCAACATAGAAAATGTGGTGACTCTCATACCTAGAACTGAGACCTGTGCAGGATTGTTAATTCACTACTGGACTTTCCTGCACGAGTGATTATTACATATGCCTATGTTCAGCCCTGAGTGATTTGATTTTGCTGCATGGTCCCAGTCTGAAGGTAAGATTGTGATTCATCACTGGATCCAGCACCTCGGTGATTTGACTCTTCTTTTTTTGGGGACCCCACAAATTTTAAGTATTGTCAATTTTGGCTGAATCCTGCACCCATGTTATATGACTCTCCCAAATGTGCCTTACATGTTGTGCCGTATTGGGGCTCAATATATCACATTAGACATTGTTACATATTGCTGGGTTCAACACCCAGGTGATGTAACTTTTTTTTCTGGGACTGCCTGCAGGGGACCTTGTGACATAACTCAATGTCCATCACCATACTGACGTTACTCTCTTCTCCTGCCTGGTCTCTGCTCACAGAGAAATTGTGACAGATTACTGGCCTAGCATCTAGGTGATGTGACTCTCCTCTTTTTCTCAGGCTCTACACATTTGGGTATTGTGACATATTGCTGAACTCAACTCCTAAGGGATGGGAGTCTCCTACTTGGGACCTTCCTACAGGGGACATTGTGGCATGTCTCTGCATTCCTCACCTAGCAGATGTGACTCTCCTCTTCTGCCTGCACCCTGCCTACATGGAAAGTTGTGGCACATTGCTGTTGTCAGCAACCAGATGATGTAATTCTCCTGCCTGGGTCTTTATTACAGGAAAGATGATTGACATATTACTGAGCCCAGCATCCAGGTGATGTGACTCTCTTCTTCTTCTGGTCCCTGCTTACAGAGAAATTGCAGCATATTGCTACACTCAGCTCCTAGCTTATGTGACTCTTTTATTCATTTAGGTTTTGCCTTCAGGTGACATTGTGTCATAATGCTGGTCCCTGCCCTGACAATTTGTGACTCTTCTGCCTGTGATTTGCCCATTTGGGCCATTGTGACATGTTGCTGGATTCAACACTCAGGTGATGTAACTTTTATGTCTGGGCCTTGCCTACAGGGTCATTTTGAAATGTCTCTGTGGCTGGGCGTTGTGGCTCAAACTTGTAATCCCAGCACTTTGGGAGGATGAGGCAGGTGGATCAAAAGGTCAGGATTCAAGACCAGCCTGGTTAATATGGTGAAACACTGTCTTTACTAAAAAAATTAATAATAATTACAAAAAGCAGCTGGGTGTGGTGATGGGCATCTGTAGTCCCAGCTACTCGGGGGGCCGAGGCAGGAGAATCACTTGAATTCAGGAGGCAGAGTTTGTAAAGATCACACAACTGCACCCCAGCCTGGGTAACAGAGTGAGGCTCCATCTCAAAAAAAAAAAAAAAAAAAAAAGAAAGAACGAAATGTCTTTGCACCAATCCCACAGATGATGTGACTCTCTTGTGTTACCATGTCTCTGCTCACAGGAAGAACTGAGACATTTTACAGCATGTAGCTGATTTTTGTTGTTGTTGTTGTTCCTGCAGGAAAGATTGGGCACTGTTACTCAACTAGGCACCAGAAAGATATTATTTTATTTTTCTTAGTCCTGCCCATGTAAGACATTGTGTCATGTTCCTGGGCCCTACACGAAGATGATGTGAGTTTTCTGTCCATCAACTATTTTATGTGACTCTCCTCTCTTACCTTCACCTTGTCCATAGGTTAGATTGTAATATATCTTTGGGCCTGGGTCACGCTAAGAGAAGTGAGAGTGACTTATTGCTGGGCCCAGCACACAGGGGATGTGATTCTTCCACTTGGTTCCTGCCCAATTGGTCATTGTGACATATCTCTGAGCCAATCACCTAAATGATAGGTCTCTTCTTATCTTTCTGGACCTGTCCACAGTAGGAAATGTGACATATCACTGGGCCAAGCACCTATGTGATATGACTCTCCTCTCAAACCAAGCCCTTGCCTGATGTAATTGTGCCATATAGCTGGGCCCAGCTGCTACATTAGCTGACCTCATTTTTTTCCTGAGCCCTACAAAACAATAGCATTATAAGATATTTCTGGGCCTTTTATCTAGGTGATTTGACTTTTCTGTCTGGTATGTCCTCTGAGGGGTTATTGTGACATGTTGCTGGGTGCAGCATTTAGGTGATGTGACTTCCTCTACTGCTTGGTCTGACCAAAAGGGGATTGTGATGTATCACTGGGCCCAGAACTTATGTGATGGGACTCTTTTCTCTTGTCTAGGCCCTACAAACATTTTGCATTGTGACATATAGCTGGGTCTGCCACCCAGGTGATGTGAGACTTCTACATAAGCCCTGACCACAAGAGTATTATGAAACATCTTTTCATTCATCACCTAGGTAGTGATGTGACTCTTCTTCAGCCTCTACACTGCCACAAGGGAATTGTGATGTATCACTGGACCCAGCACCTAGATGATGTAAGACATCTTTTGACTGGACCTTGCATATTTTGCATATTGTTACTTTTACTGGGTCTGACATTATGGGATGAGAGGCTCCTGCCTGGGCCCTGCCAACAGGTGGCCTTGTGACATATTTTGGCATCCATCACCTATGAAATAGGGCTCTCCTCACCTACATGCACCATGCACAAAGAGAAGATGGTAACATATCACTGGGATCAGCCACCAGGTGTGTGTATAACCACTCAGGGTGTTTCTCAAAGACAGCATTGTAGTGTATCACTGGGCCCAGCACCTAGGTAATGTGACTTGTGGCCTGTGCACATCTTTTCTTTCTCTCTTTCCTTTTTTTTTTTTTTTGAGACAGAGTCTCACTCTTGTCACCCAGGTTGGAGTGCAGTGATATGATCTTGGCTCACTGCAACCTCTGCCTCCTGGGTTCAAGCTGTTCTCCTGCCTTAGCCTCCCATGTAGCTGGGATTACAGGTATGCATTGCCACACTGGGCTAATTTTTGTATTTTTAGTAGAGGTGGGGTGTCACCACATTGGCCAGGCTGGCCTCAAACTCCTGATGTCATGTGAACCACTTGTCTTGATCTCCCAATGCAAGAGCCTTCCCTCTTGTCTGGGTATAAGCCAATGCACCCAGTCTGCCTGTGGCCATCTTACAGGAATAAATTCTAATGCATCCCTGGCCAAGCACCTAGGTGATGTGATATGACTCTACTCTCTGGTTCTTGCCCTCAGAAAAGATTGTGACATGCCTTTAGACCAGCCCCAGATGACGTGACTCTTCTGCTCACTTCCTACTCAGCAGCATAATTGTGACATATATCTTGCCCCAGCTTGCAATTGCTATGTTGATTCTCACACCTTGAACCAGGCAATAAAAGAGTTGCACTCTCTCCTAGTTAGGCTTAGGAAAACAAACACGATCCTTAGTCTTTTCGTTTTGCCAAGGTCATAGAGAATTACCACGCCCTCAAATACTGTATAAAGCCCTTGGGTGGCACAGAGAGTGTCATCAAGGGACAAAAACACAGATGATATTGTGTTTCTTTTATTTTCTTTTTTTTCTTTGGAGATGGGAGTCTCACTCTGTTATTCAGGCTGGAGTGCAGTGGCACGATCTTGGCTCACTGCAACCTCCACCTCCTGAGTTCAAATGATTCTCCTGCCTATCCTCCTGAGTATCTGGGACTACAGGCGCATGCCACGAAGCCGAGCTAATTTTTGTAGGGGTTTTACCATGTTGGCCAGGCTGGTCTTGAACTCCTCACCTTAGGTGATCTGCCCGCCTCTGCCTCCCAAAGTGATGGGATTACAGGTGTGAGACACTGCACCCAGCCAAAGTTTGTGTTTCTTAAAAGAACTTCCTGCCGCCTGTTATAATTGTAACCTCAACATGGACAGAGCCCACTGGTGAGGTCCTAAATCTCATATGCAGATGCAGACTGCAGTTGGAATTGTGACTGTGATATACAAACATCCAGCCAGGAATGGCTCATTTCTAAAGCTACAAATGATGACTCTCTTCTAAATGTAGCTCATAGGCAGGTGAGGACTTTCCTAAATGGATCAGCCAGTTGGAAAGATATTGACTCTCATTCCTGGGCTTAGAGTCACATGTAGTATCATGGGTCCATATCATCACAAATGTCTTAGAGTAGATTGCGACTCACATGCGTATTGCATAAAGTGTGGGGGATCAGTCAGAGTGGTGAAAAGGGAACTATAAATGTTAATTACCTACAGGTTGTGTTGGCTCCAGGTATTTGACATTGTGCCTGCACTGAATAAAAGCAAGCAGCTCCAGCTTCTCGGTGCTGAAATCTGGCCACAAGAGCTGGGCAGTTCCCTAGCTGCTTTAAGACTGCATACCTATGTCTGAGTACTTATTTCATCTGTCAGCCAGGATGTGTGGGACAGAACCAGCAGGTGGTGCCCCATGTGGGAAGCAACAAAATGGATCATGACGGAACCCTCAAAAATGAAAGGGAAGTGACTGCACAGTAAGTAATTTGTGTCCACTGGGGATTTCCAAGTTCAAAGGAATTTTTTCAAGCCAGGGTTTTATTTATTATTATTATTATTATTATTTTGAGATGGAGTTTTGCTTTTGTTTCCCAGGCTGGAGTGCAATGGCTCAATCTTGGCTCATGGCAACCTCCACCTCCCAGGTTTAAGTGATTCTCCTGCCTCAGCCTCCTGAGTAGCTGGGATTGCAGACATGCACCACCATGCCTGGCTAATTTTGTATTTTTTTTGTAGAGATGGGGTTTCTCCATGTTGGTCTGGCTGATCTTGAACTCCTGACCTCAGGTGATTCACTCACCTCATTCTCCCAAAGTGCTGGGATCACAGACATGAACCATTGTGCCCAGACTCAAGCTAGGGCTTTATCATGTGACAACAATTATCAGCTCAACAGCAACAGTATATAAAAAATTGAAACAACTGCTAAAAGCTAGTGGAGCCTCAGTTTCAAAGGCTCAATTAAGGGACCTAATGCAAACTGTTGTTTTCCATAGCCCATGGTTCCCAGAAGAAGGCATACTAGACCTAGAACTCTGGGAACAAGTGAGAAGGAATCTTAAACATTATGCACATGGGCAACGAGTCCCAGTAACATCTTTAATGTTCTTTAATATTATGGGCCTTAGTTAGGGCTGCTTTGGCCCTGCTCTATACAGAACAGCCTAAAAAGGGAAGGGAGGAAGAATCATCATCTACCTTACTGCCTCCTCATCTTCCTCCTCCTCCTCCTCCCTCAGCCTGGTTGTTACCAGTAAAGGTGCCACAGAGGAGGCAGAGATTTTTCCTGAGCCCCCTCTCCCAATAAATTGGGGAAAAGACAAGGGATACATTACAGTTATGGGACCCTGTGTTAGGTAAGCAGCATTAGAAGGGGAGCTCTTGGCCTGCCCAATGATGGAAGATCAACAAGGCAGTCAGGTACATGAACCCATTACTTTGAAGACTTATAAAGAAAAAGCATTAGAGAAAATGGAGCCACTAGCCCATTTAGGAGAGGATTACTTGAGGCCATAGCAGAAAACTACCATATGACCCCATGGGACTGGTCAATATTAGCTAAAACAACTTTAGAGGCCAGTCAATACCTCCTCTGGAGGGCAGAATATGATGAGTTATGTGAACAACAAGTTAACCAGAATCAGTTGGGCCAGGCAAAACATAACAGCTACTATGCTCCAGGGGAGGGGTCCCTATGTTAATGTATAACAACAATTAAATTTTTCCTCCAAGCCTATGCACATGTGTCTTTGTGCACTCACAGGGCCTGGGAACGAATTCCCAAAGGCAGAGTCCAACAGAGATCTTTTGTAAATGTATGACAAGGGCCCCAGGAGCCATTTGTTGAATTTATCAATTATTTAACCCAGATAACAGTGGAATGTACCCATTCCACCCTTAAGAGTATGCTTAAAAAACCAAAAACGGGAATATGAGTAGGAACCCTACAACACTATTAGCACGAGCCTTATTTACCCTAAATTTCTTAAATTTAGATAATAAATTTCAGTCAGCCATAGAAAAGCACTTTGCAAAAACCTCTCAAAATATAAAGCCTCAAGTTTTATGGAAAGATGTAAATAGTTGTTGGGAACAAGCCCCCAAATCTGGCCATAAACTGGCCCCAAAACTGGCCATAAACAAAATCTTTGAAGCACTGTGACATGCTCGTGATGGCCATGATGCCCATGCTGAAAGTTGTGGGTTTACTGGAACGAGGGCAAGGAACACTTGGCCCACCTAGGGTGGGAAAACCATTTAAAGGCATTCCTGAACCACAAACAATAGCATGAGCAATCTGTGCCTTAAGGACTGATTCCTGCTGCAGATAACTAGCCAGAGCACATCTCTTTATTTCTCACAAGGAATATTTTTAGTTAATCTATAATCTATAGAAACAATGCTTATCACTGGCTTGCTGCCAATAAATATGTGGGTAAATCTCTGTTTGGGGCTGTCAGTTCTGAAGTCTGTGAGACCCCTGATTTCCCAGTCCACATGCTATATTTCTGTGCGTGTGTCTTTAATTCCTCTAGTGCCACTGGGTTAGGGTCTCCATGACTGAGCTGGTCTCGGCAAATAGTAATGTATAGTGTGGTCCAAATTATTTGTTAATGTTGGGAAGAGGATATGCTTGGGTTCACAACCCCTCAGCCTCTTTGGATTCCAGCGTGACACACCAAACCTTACCACAGCATGGCTAGGACCCAACCCCGTACCAAAAATGAAGGAAATTATCCTGCAGAACCTGCAACCCCAGACAATGCCACTTTCTCAGACATCACAGGCCCCAGACATTACCTGGGGGATGCTGAAGAAGACAACTCAGGAGGCTGAGTGAATTCTGCTGCAGAAAAAGAAACCATTCCCTCAGATAATGTGTTCCTTTCTATGCTTTCTGTTGTACATTGTAACTCTTGCAGGGTATTGATTCTTCTTATTCTCTCACTTTGCCTGCAACCCATACCTGCTATACTCTATTGGGCCCATCTTCTAGATCCACCTTTCTTCCGCACTGCTACTTCGGCAGAGACCCTCTTCCTAGCCTCTAAAAATGCGACTGATTGGCTGGAAGGGATTGACATACCTCTAGTGGGGGTCCCTCAGTAATGGCATACATTGGACTGAGGTGGCAAGTACCATTACATATCACTCCTTGATTGTAAAAGAATAATATTGATTATACTCATGTTTGTTTTATATTATTTACTGGTTCTAAGATGCAAAGCTGGAACACAAGCTGTAACCACTATGCCAGTCACTGCTCACATCTGTATGCTTCAATCATCAAAACTTGATGCAAAAAAAAAAGAGGGGAAATGTTGGGCTTGGGGGGGTGTCGGTCAGAGTGGTGAAAAATCTATAGGGAAAGAATGCAAACCTCCTGAAAGTTTGGAAGGTCCTGCAGAGCCCCAGGGGATAATAGCTGAAGGCACCTGTTCTATAACCTTGAGTCAGGGGGTGAGGAGTAAATACAAGGGAGTGTGGGGGAACTTTATCTTAAAGAGGCTTGTTTACTTATGTTGACCAGAAACTGACCTTTGATCATTTGCACATGTGATGTTTCTTGAAAGGGGAACAATAAATGTTAATTACCTGCAGGTTGTATTGGCTCCAGGTTTTCGGCATTGTGCCTGCACTGAATAAAAGAAAGCAGCCCAGCTTCTCAGGGCTGCACTCTGTCCAATATAGCCAGGCAGTCGCCTAGCTGCTCTTACACTGCATACCTGTGTCTGAGTACTCATTTCATCCATCAGCCAGGGTCTGTGGGACAGACCCAGCGATAAAGCCCTCAGGTAATATATTGAATGCCCTTATATGGTCCAGCACACAGGTGACATTGTGATACTGGTATTCACAACCAGTCAACAGTAAATACGTCATCCTTTTAGATAAACACAATCTACTTCTGAAGTTCTGAATCTCATCCCTGGAGGAAGTGGAAAGCTGCAAAATTGACTCTCACATGTGGATCTGGTCCACAGCTAGGCTGCTGACTCAGATCAAGATTCAGCACACCTGTGAGACTATGGCGTTTACTGAGGAGACACAGTCTGAAGGAGAGAATGAGACTCTTATTCATAAACCTGTCCACATTGAGATTGTGATTTGCATACTTAGACCCAACCTCCAAATGGTCTTGACTCTCATACCTAGAATGGGAATATGTGAAAAGTTATTCATGCTATCCCTGAGTCTTTCTGCATGTGTGATTGTTACACACATCTCTGTTCATAACCTGAGTGATTTGACACTCCTGCCTGGGCCCTGCACACAGATGGGATTGGGACATATTGTTGGAACCAGTATGTAGATGATGTGACCCTAAACTCATGCCTTGGTGCTGCCAAAGAGGGCATTGTGACATATCACTGGTCCCTGCACCCAGGTAATGTGCTTGTCCTTTCTGTGCCCTGCCCACATTGGCTACTGTAACATATCCCTGGGTCTAACACCCAGGAGATATGAATCTCTGCCCTAGACCCTGGCTACAGGAGGCATTTTGCCATATTCCTGGACCCATCTATTTGATGGGTTACTTTCCACTCTTACATGGGCTTTTCCCTAGGAGACATATGTAATGTTTCTCTTTTCTCCTATCTGGACCCAGACCACAGAAGCGAGAGTGACTAATCCCTAGTGACATTTCACAGGTGATGTAATTTTTCTGCCTTATACCTGTCCACAGAGGACATAGTGAATGTCCCTGGCCCACTAAACTGGATTATATGACTTTTTATTTTTGTCTCAGAACTGTCAACAGTGGGGATTGTGACAGATCACTCTTCTCAGCACTTACATAATATTTTTCCCATCCTTGGGCACTGCCCACTGGGGTGATTGTGACATATAACTAGGTGAAGGCCCTAGGTTATGACTTTTCTCTTCGACATTAGCCTTGCCCACACAGGGTGTTTTGACATATCTCTGAAGCTCTAATTTAGGTAGACTGCTGCATGGGCTCTTCATTTTTCAGGGAGTATTGTCCCATATTTTTTTCACCTAGTAATAAGGTGATGTTACTCTCTTCTAGTGCTTGGGCTCTGCCCAAAAAGGGCATATTTCAAAAGTTCCATCACCTAGGTGTTGGGTCCAGCCACATTTCAATATACAAATTGTATATTGTGTATGTTAAAAACTGTGTATATTGAAATACGGCTGGGTCCAACACCTATGTGATCTAACTCTCCCACGTGAGCCCTTCCAATAGGGGAATTATGACATATTTTGTTTATCACCTAAGTGATGTAACTCTCCTTTTCTACCTGAGCCCTGTATAAAGGGAGAATTGTGACATATCACTGGACCCAGCATCTGGTGATATCACCCTCTTTTTTCTTTTCTTTTGTCTTTTTTTTTTGAGATGACATCTCACTTTGTATCCCAAGCTGGAGTGCAGTGGTGTGATCACGGCTCATTGCAACATCCATCTCCCAGGTTCAAGTGATTCTCCTGCCTTAACCTCCTGAGTAGCTGGGATTACAGGTGTGTGCTACCACAGCTGGCTAATTTTTGTATTTTTAGTAGAGATGGGGTTTTGCCATGTTTGCCAGGCTGGTCTCCAACTCCTGACCTCAAGCGATCTGCCAGCCTCAGCCTCCCAAAGTGCTGGGATTATAGGCATGAGCCACTGCACCAGCCCTTATCACTCTCCTCTTTCAAATTGGCCCCATCTATTTTAGGTATTAAAACATATTGCTGGGTCAAATCAAGTGGGTGAGAGGCTCTAGCCTGGGCCCTGCCCACTAGAGGCCTTGTGACATGTCTCTGCATCCTTTACTTTGAGGTATGACTTTCCTCTTGCATCTGCATCATGCCCACACAGAAGATTGTGATATACTTCTGGGTTCAGCAACCAGGTGGTGTTTTTCTTGTACCCAGGTCTTACCTGCAGAAAAAATTGTGACATATAGCTGGGCCCATTACCCAGGTAATATGTCTTTGCTGTTTGTGCCCTGCTTTCTGGAGAAAATTGTAACATAACCCTGGCCAGGCAACCAGGTGATATTACTCTCTGCCTGGTCTCTGCCCTGGAAAAATTGTGACATATTTCTGACCCAGCACCCAGGTGATGTTAGTCTTTTGTTTTTTTCTACTCACAGTTTGGGTTGTGACATATACCTTACCCAAGCTCACAGTTGTGATGATGACACAAATACCATGAATCAGCCAAAAGGAGAGATACTGGCACTTGTAACTAAACTTAGAGAAATGGGAATATTCCTGTGTCTTCTCTATATAATAACATCATAGAGGATTACCATTCTTTCACATTTATATTAAGTCTTTGGATGGTACAGAGAGTGTCATCACAGAACCAAGCACACAGGTGAGACTGTGTTTCCCACATGCACAACCTACCAAATGTTAGCAATGTCACCCTGACACATGGACAGTGCCCACTGGAGAGATACTGATTTCACAGGTGAGTGCAGTCCACAGTAAAAATTCTGACTGTCATATGTGATCATGCCCCCAGAGTTAATATAGTGACTCATTTCTTTCTTTCTTTTTTTTTTTTTTTTGAGACAGAGTCTTGCACTGTTGCCAGGCTGGAGTGCAATGGCACAATCTCAGCCCACTGCAACCTACACTTCCTGGTTCAAATGATTATCCAGAGTAGCTGGGATTATAGGTGCATGCCACTAGTCCTGGCTAATTTTTTTTTTTTTTTTTTTTTTTTTGTATTTTTAGTAGAGATGGGATTTCACCATGTTGGTCAGACTGGTCTCAAAATGTTGACCTCAGGTGATCCACCCACTTTGGCCTCCCAAAGTGCTGGGACTAGGGGCAATTGTTTAAAGATATTTTGTTTCTGACTAGCAGTCTCACCCATTATTTCTTTATTCTGAAATTTCTAAAACAAAAGAATATATGTAGCCAATCAATAACTTATGCATTTAAGTATGAATTCTTGGTAAATAACTTAGGGACTGGCTTCTCACTTTTTTGAAAAGACTCACTTTCAATGGCTGTTAATTGAAATATATATTCAGGGCAACTTAAATCTGTCCTCCTGATGGCCATCCTCAATATCAGATCTTGAGTAAATATATTTCAGATTACATTTTAACTTTTTGATTATTTTAAGTTGACTCAGGGCTGGCCTGGAACATTCTCCTGGGTGTAAATACTCTGACTATAAGCTACCTGCTCAGTAGAGGAAACTAATCAACAGCATGGCCTAGCATAGTTCAAAGACACATGTGGTGAGAAGCTCACTGGGGCCTGGCTCCTAATTGCAAGGACAGTTGCACAGGTGTGTCTGAATGCTTGGTGAGCCTGGCCTTTCCTCACCCAATGTCTCTCACCAGCCATTTCAACCACATCTTGGCCTTCTGTCATTCTGTTCTCTGGGGTGAAAACTCATCTTCAGGGCTGTCTACAACAAAAGAGAAACATCAGATTACCAAAACCTCAGGAATAGGGATTACAGATTGGATTAAGAGCCTGCGCTTTCTTAAGGATGATATGTATGGAAAATCAGCAAATAATTTCAGAATGATACAAGAAAAAATGCCTCTAATAGGTATTCATACTATAGTTCAACTCGATTTGTTCTGTACATGGTAGGGAAAATGGGATAAAATATCGTAAGTTCAAGCATTTTTGCTGCTCAGTCAGAATGAAACCCTGCAGCAGGCATGGGCATGTTTCATGAGAGAAATAGAATAAAAAGAGTTAGACAATATGATCATTTATTGCAAGCCCCCTGCCACTTGATTCAGTGAGCATTTTTGGGTGAAGTGGAACCTCTTTCTGTCAGGTCTGAAGGTTCAGATGTGTCGGTCCTATCTGCCCCTAGTTCACCTGAAAGTTCTATTGAGAACCCTTTGTCCCTCCTCCTTACCCTTCTAGTTCCTCTCTACACCCACCACGCCCTGAAGAATGGAACTCAGTGGGTACTACTAGTAGTGGGGCTGCCTATCAACCTCCAAAAGGAAATCTTTGTCCACTTAGAGAGGTTGCAAATGGGGAAGAAGTCATTGTGAGAGGACATGTCCCCTTTTCTATGTCTGGTTTGGCTCTATAATAAGACAAGTTTGGTCATTTCTCTGAAGATCCAGAAAAATTCATAGATGAGTTTGAAAAGTTAACTCTGACCTATACTTTAACTTGGCAGGATCTGTATGTTTTGTTGTCTCTGTGTTGTACGTGGAAGAGAAACAATGCATTTTGGGGACAGCTAGGACTCATGCAGATGAGGTATTGGCTTGCAGCCTGAACCATAATATATATCAGACAGGAGGTATAGCAGTTCCAGATTAAGATCTACGATGGAATATCAAAGGGGCAGTGAGGACTTGGGAGAAGAGATCATATGGTTACTTGTTTGTTGGAAGAGATGAAGAAATGTAAGAAAAACCTTGTTAACAATGAAAAGGTTAAGGAAGTTTCTCAGGGCAAAGACGAGAATCCAGCTTTGTTTCAATAGCATTTAGTTGAGGCAATCAGGAAATATACTAACATGGATCTTGCCTCAAGGTAAAGATAAACCCTTCTGGGAGTCCACTTTATAACCCAGTCTTCCTCTGATATCCATAGAAAACTAGTAAAAGCAGCTATGGGTCCCCAAACTTCTATGAACAGCTTTGGATATGGCATTTTTAGTTTTTAATAACAGAGGCAAAGTGGAGGAAGGAGAAAGAGGAAGAAGGACCTCCACAAGGTGCAGCTTTTGGCTGCAACCTTAAGCTTACCTCCCATATGGGAGGTTGCCTTCCTAGGTCTTGGCTTGAACAAGGGAAGCTGAAAGGTGAAAAGCCCAAAGCTGGGAATCCGAGTCACTGTGCTTTGGGCATAAATCAGTGTGCACACTGTAAGAAAACAGGCCATTGGAAGAGGGATAGTCCAGTGTTCTGAAGAGAGCCGTCAGCACCCAAACTAATGATGGGTGAAACAGCCAGGCAAGTGCCCAAGAGTGACGGGGCCTGAGACCTTCCATCACAGCTTCCATCAGACAACTAGCCATATATCTGGAGAAGCCTCAGTAACCTTTGCCATGGCAGGTAAGAATATTAATTTTTGCCAGGTGTGGTAGCTCACGCCTGCAATCCTAGCACTTTGGGAGGCCAAGATGGGAGGATCACTTGAGGTCAGGAGTTTGAGAGTAGCCTGGCCAACATGGTGAAACCCCATCTCTACTAAAAATACGAAAAAAAAAAAATCTGGGAATTGCTTGAATCCAAGAGGCGGAGGTTGTGGTGAGCTGAGATTGTGCCACTGCACTCCAGCCTGGGCAAGAGAGCGAGACTCTATCTCAAAAAAAAAAAAAAAAAAAAGAAAACAAAAAAGAATATTAACTTTCTTCTGGATGGCTTACTCTGTTTTGACCCATATAATGGGTCTCTGTTGCCCCAAAACTTCATGGTCACAGGGGTAGACTGAGAAGCCTATAGATGCCATTTTACCTATTCTCCATGCTGTTTTTCAGAGACCTTGGTTTTCTTACACAACTTTCTTATCATGCCTGGATACCTCAGGGCAGTTGCAGCAACTTCTCTTTTGGTAGATGAATCCAATAAACTGGCTTTAGAACAACACCTGGAAGTTAAAACCCACACCAAGTACAAGGAGTCCTAGAAGCTAAAGGACACCAGTGGATGACAGGGGGACGCTTATTGAAATAGCAGGCATTTTGCTAGACACTCCTGATAAACTACTGATATGAGGTGCTAATCAATAAAAAATAGTTAAACATTTGCATGACTCTACCCATTTGGGAAGAGATTCCCTGTTTCAAATAATGTCTTGGCTTTTTATAGAAAAAGGATTACTTAAAACAGTAAACTAGGTTACTTGAGCCTGTGAAGGATGTGTCTGGAATAACCCAAATGACCAATGTTTACCTCCTCCTTTAGTAAGGCCTATTCAGCATAGACGAACATACCCTGGTGAAGACTGGCAAATAGACTATACTCAGATGACCCCATGTAAAGGGTTTAAATATTTATTAGTATTCATTGACACCTTTGGATCGAGGCTTTTCCTACCCGATCTGAAAAGGCAATTGAGATTCCCAAACTCCTGCTAAAAGAAATAATTACACCCCTGGGTGAGGTGGCTCATGCCTGTAATCCCTGCACTTTGGGAGGCTGAGGCGGGTGGATCATCTGAGGTCAGGAGTTCAAGACCAGCCTGGCTAACATGATGAAACCCCCGTCTCTACTAAAAATACAAAAAATTAGCCAGGCGTGGTGGAGGGCACATCTAATCCCAGCTACTTGGATGCTGAAGCAGGAGAATCACTTGAAGCTGAGAGGCAGAGGTTGCAGTGAGCTTAGAGTGTATCACTGCACTCCAGCCTGGGTGACAAGAGTGAAACTCTTTTGCAAAAAAAAAAAAAAAAAAAAAAGAAAAGAAAAGAGAAGAAATAATTCCTAGATTTGGGCTGCTAAGAAATTACACAGAGATAATGGCTTATTTTTCACAGTGACAAATACACAAAACATATCTTGATACCTAGAAATTTAGTACTGCCTTCACTCAGCGTGAAGGCCACAGTCTTCAGTGAACGTAAAAAGAGCTAATCAAACTGAAAAGAGGACTCTTGCTATGCTATGCCAAGAAATATCAAAGACCTGGCTGTCTTTACTATCTGTAGCCTTATTACAGATTCCAGTGGCCTCTAAGGGAAATCTGCAGCTCAGCTCTTTTGAAATAATGTATGCAAGGCCTTTTTTAGCTACACGCCTTCTTTACTGTGCCTAATAGACACGGATACTTTCAAGTTACAGAATTATGTGACAAGTGCAAAACACACTCTGAATATGGAAATCAAAGACTCCTTTCCCCAACTAAGGAAGCTAATCTTGTTATAACCCAGCCAGGAAATTTGGTCCTATTAAAAACTTGGAAAAAAGGATCCCCAGCAGGTCAACTTTCCCCAAAGTGGAAGGGACCCTATCAAGTTCTCTTTAGTACCCCAACTGCAGTTAAAATTCTGGGAATAAATAGCTGGGTCCACTTAACTCGAATTAAACCTGTCTCTTATGAAGTCCTACAGGACGGCAGAACAGAAGAAACTGATCCTGTTTATTCCCATGAGCCAGTGACCTTTGACTCCTGTTCAGAAGAAATGAAAGGGATGGGTAACATAAAGATATAGATTGGCTTTCTACTTTTGGGAATTAGTTGAAATCATGCAGAGAGTAACTTATTTACTGAGTGGGCACAGACTTCATCCTGTCTACATAATCGAACAAACTGTTGTGTATGTAGACATTTAAACAGAGACTCAAAAGGAAACCTATGCTTTGATCAAAACCAAATGTTTTGTGTGTGCTCCAGACTATTTACATAACATAACCCAGGGCATAAAAGTTTTATGCACTCACATCTCTGCCATTTATGTGCTATCAGTGAACCATATATCAGTTTGGTTCTAACAACTGCCCACTTCTTGAAAGGCTTTCCTGTTTAGTTTACGTGGAATAATTTTACTAATTTTGCTTTGCTGTTGTGGAATATATTGTGGTTGTACTCTTTGTGTAGGAATGCAAGACAAGCTCACTAAATGCTTTCTTAAATTGGACGCTTATTAATCTTCTAGACATCACCTTCTTTTGGAACTAGAAGTTATGAACGACCTTCACCATACCAACACTGTCTGACTGAATTTCTCTCTACCCTGAATGCAAGAGACCAATGGTTAGGCAGGAATATTATCGCCCCTAATCAGCCTGAAAAAGTTACAGAAGACGAATCTTTGTCTCTCTGCAACTCTTAGGATTAAGGGTCCTCTTGTAAAGGAAGGCGAAAAATATGTCAGAATCATTTGAACCAGAGCGACTCCGTTTTGAGAGAGAGCTAGGAAAATGACGCTGAGACTCGCTGGGCTGCATTCTCAGTAAGTTAGGCATTCCTAGCCTCTAGATATTTATGGTTAAGGAAATGAATTAATAATGTTTACTAAGCAGAACCAGACGGAGGAGTGTCCAGATATTCCAACATCTGGGGAATAAAGGTATTCCTAATTTTGCTTTAAAGATAATATCGAGTCGGCCAGGCATGGTGGCTCACGACTGTAATCCTAGCATTTTGGGAGGTCGAGGCGGGTGGATCTCCTGAGGTCAGAAGTTCGAAACCAGCCTGGCTAACGTGGCGAAACCCCATCTCTACTAAAAAAAACCAAAAAACAAAAATTAGCCCGGTGTGGCTGTGTGCACCTGTAGTCCCAGCTACTATGGAGGCTGAGGCAGGAGAATCGCTTGATCCCGGAAGGCGAAGGTTGCAGTGAGCCGAGATCGCGCCATTGCACTCCAGCCTGGACAACAAGAGCGAAACTTTGTCTAAAAAAAAAATTATTCACATATTTAATACGTTGAAAAAAAGACAGCAAAGAAGAGAGAAAATTTTTCCGTGTTCTGAGATGGGCCTCGTTCAGCTCCGGGAGGAAGCCCCGCCTGAAAAGGCTGAGGCTTAGGCTGTCAATCTTTCTTCATTCAGCCCAACGTCTGATGACATCTTCTGTCACTCAGGGCCTTAGAAAGCGGGGTTCTTAAACGTTATCCAATCAGAGACGCTGTCCTGGGAACTGTCCAATCAGGCACGCAGCTGGAGCGAACAGGGCGGCTTCCGGGATTTGGCGGGGCCTTTGTCTCTATCTGCGGCCGGAGCTCCAGGTCTCGTCCTCACTACTCTGTGTCTTCTGCTTTTAGGGGCGCAGCCTCTGTGGCCCTGTGACCTGCCCCCTGGAAGCCTAGAAATGGTGAGAGTGCCGGGTGCGACATCCCAAGAGAGGGAACGGGGCTGGCTGGAACCGGTGGGAAGCGGCAGTGGCGGGACTCAGGCCTCCTCGCTGTCAGTTTTACAATCTGCGCCCGAGTTGTTGCCCAGCTCGGCCTCAGTCCCTTCAGCCTTAAGATGGCGGCTGCGCTGACAGCCGGGCTCCCGGGCGTTCTGTCTCTTCACTGCGCAGTGACTGTGCCCTGGCCTGGAGCCCTCTTTGGGCAGCTCTGCACCAGTAGCCCCGCGTCTCTCCCAGATTGTGCAGGGACCATGGGAGGAACGTCAGGGCAGAATCCTGACTCCGGGTGCGGGCTCATGAATGGGAAGAGCTTTGGTCCGTGGGGTTTTCAGGCCATTTTTTCCTATTAAAAATTTATGGGCCTCACTGCAAAAACATTAAATAATTTAAAGTGTGATTCAAAAATTTTAGAGCACCTTGCTGTGGTTTCTAATTTGTATTCCATGGAAGGAAAGGTTTTTATAAGTTTCATCATAAAACCAAATTCCGTAATTGGCTAGGTACGGTTATGTAGATTTTGTTGTTATTTTGTTGTTGTTGTTTTGTTTTCATTTTCTTTTTTTTTTGAGGCAGAGTCTCTGTTGCCCAGGCTGAAGTGCAGTTTCGTGATCTCGGCTCACTGCAACCTCCACCTCCCGGGTTCAAGCGATTTTTCTGCCTCAGCCTCCCTAGTAGTTGGGACTACAGGCGCCTGCCACCACATTTGGCAATTTTTTTTATTTTTAGCGGAGACGGGGGTTTCACCGTGTTGGTCAGGCAGGTCTCGATCTCCTGACCTCAGGTGATCCACCCACCTCGGCCTTCCAAAGTTCTGGGATTACAGGCGTGAGCCACTGCCCCCGTCCTAGTTCTTAATTTTTACAATCAAGGTGGAAATATCATGGTTATGTAATCAGAGCTTAATTGGCAGTTTATAGTTGGTTAAGCGTTAAGCCTGAATTTTGTTTCTGCCAATGTAGTAATTTACAAAAAAATGCTCTTGAGTTTAGACTTTTTTTTTAGAAGTAGAAATCCAGGGACTAGAGCCACCTCAATCTAATTTCCTGCCACTTAATGGTTTTCACACTCCACAGGGGACTGATTTTTTCCCTGAATTTTTCACAAGTGTCCCAAGCAGGGCCTCAAGTCTGCCCCTCATCCCTTATTCCTCCAGCCTGACTGGCTTGCAGTAAAATACTAAATTTCCAGTTTTGTCTGACGTTGCCAAATGCCAGTTTCTCCTCTCTAATTGACTTTATCAACTATTTGTCCTTTAGTGTACATATTGATACCTATTTTAATGAATCTTTTTTTTTTTTTAAAAGTATTTGAGACAGAGCCTTGCTCTGTTGCAGTGCAGTGGCTGGAGTGCAGTGGCATGACTTAGGCTCACTGCAGCCTCCGCCTCCTGGGCTCAAACGGTTCTCATTTCTGTCTCCCAAGTAGCTGGAATTACAGATGCCTGGCACCACGCCTGGCTAATTTTTGTAGTTTTAGTAGAGACGGGGTTTCACTATGTTGGCCAGGCTGGTCTTGAACTTCTGGTTTCAAGTCATCCTCCTGCCTCGGCCTCCCAAAGAGCTGGGATTACACATGTGAGCTACCGTGCCTGGTGAATTAATTATTTTTTGACAAAGCATTTGATGGCACATTTACAATGATTTTTTTTCTAAATATTTCCTACGAGAATAAAGCAAAGAATAATCTGACACTATTGTAAAATATCTGTGTTTTTTTCTTTTATTTTACCTAGTCACAGATATCTTAGAATGTTTTTGGGTCAAGATTTTTTTTTTTTTGGAAACTTCATAGGGTGACGTATCTTCAGTCACACTTCAGTTTTAGACAATCAACTAATTGAATGGCCTGACTTGACACATGAGTAAAACATATCTGTACCTTGAAAGGATTTGTTCATTTGCTTTGACCTAAAGTTTATTTATGTATCTTTTTAAGACAGAGTTTCCCTCTGTCACCCAGGCTGGAGTAAAGTGGTGCCATCTCTGCTCACTGCAACCTCCAAATCCTGACTTCAGGTGATTGTCATGCTTCAGTCTCCCAAGTAGGTGGGATTACAGGTGTGCACCACCACACCCACCTAGTTTTTGTATTCTTAGTAGAAATGGAGTTTCACCATGCTAGCCAGGCTGGTGTCAAACTTCTGGCCTCAAGTGACTCACCTTCTTTGGCCTCCCAAAGTGCTGTGATTACAGGCATGAGCCACTGTGCTCAGCTGACCTCAGTTTTTTAACTGTGTATTGCATTTTATTAGTAGAGCTTGAAAGGTAAGGAAATATTTACAAAGGCCATAAAAGGTGAGTTTCAAAAATTAATAATATATTTTACTTGTTGAAAACTTTTACTTTATCTTTCTCAGAGTGAGTTTAGAAATTTTCTCAGGCATGTGCTTTTATGGCTGAGTGATTTCATACAGAAGTCCATCTAGCTTTTAGAATGGTAGCTACCAAAGAAAAAAAGAAAAAAAAAAAAAATCTCTGTTCAATTTCAGCTGTAGACAATGAATACATTTCCCCAAAAAATGTGGTAGATAATTGGTGAGTTACATATATTACTGAAAACTTCAGTTCCTTTTTTTTAGCAGGGTAAAATTTTGACAGTGAATATCTTTATTCTGTATCCTTTTTTGTTTGTTTACTACCTGATTTTTAATACAAATAATAAAATAATACATTTACTGTCTGAAAGGAATACATAGTTTTGCTTTTCTTACTGAGGTATAAAATGTAAGCACCTTAAAATGTTCTTTCGTTATATGAACACCGAGGAATTTTGCTGATTTTTTCTAACAGTTTTAGTTTCAAAAATGAAATTAATAACTAACATGGAAATTAAAGCTTAAGCTGCAGGAGGGTGCCCCTTGTAGGTTGCCATGAGAGTAAGCAGGAACAAAGGAAAGTAGAGGGGTTTTATTACCTCTAAGCAGCTTGTCCTTCTTACTGTGTCCTGTCTCCATTGGCTGGAGTTGGATGGCACAATCCAGTTGGCTAAACCCGGTTGGCTAACTTGAAAAGTGCAGGAATGCGGTTATACCTGTGGCAAGGCAGGAAGATCAGTTTCGGTGGAAGTAGCCCTTGTGACGGGAGGGGTAATTCACAGAGTGGGTAGCAGGTGTGGGATGTGGCTCCATACATAAGAACTGGCGAGAAGGTTGTTTACCAGGGAAGGGGGAACACAGAGAGTAAGGAAGTCTGGCCTTGAAAGCAAGGGAAAAAAGGGCAAAGAAACTTAAGCAAGCTAAACTTTTGAAGAATAATTTCTTACAGTATTCAACATCTATGCATTACACGATTAAGAAAAGGCTCATTTAAACAGGATGGCATTTATTACCCAGAAAGTTCTGAAAAAACTGTCGGGAGATACCTGCTTATTAGGGTGCTAAAAAAAGGCCACTTAAAATCACTATTAAAAATTGTAGAACATGGAAGATATCTGTATCTTGGACTTTCCATAAAAATGATGTTTTCTTAGGGCTAAATTCAGACTGTAATTTGCTTTAGTGGGGGTAATACCTCAGTAGTGATGCTGTGTCCTGCGTGCATCAGCACACTATAAAGACTTGTCCTAGTGCAGTTGATGTTAATTCCATAAGCTCTCTTACAGAATTTTTCTTTATGGAGTTATTTTTCTCTTCATCATTAAGTATCTTCATGCAGCTGATGTGCATAAACCATCACACTTAAATGGCAGCTGCCTGTTTTTTTTAGGTATTCTTTGCATTTATCTTTTGTTGGTAAATGAAAGCTCTCATCTTTGTTTACAGGCCAGAAAAACTGAAAAAAAAAACACGACTCTTCCACTTACTGGATGTTTGACAAAATAGTCTTTTGGGGCCAAAACATTTGCATTACTAATGAGCTTGATAGAGATTCAGTAACTCAGACTTTATTTCAGATCTTCTGAAAAAATACTCTGCATTAACGAGATGTCCAGTTTATTGTACACATTTAAATTTGAGTGGTACCTTCTAACTCAACATGTTTATTTTGTCTGAAAAATATAAACAGCTGTCTTTTTCATCTGAAAAATATACACAACTCATTCAGTATTATGTAAATACTGTACTCAAAAATGTACATGTTAGTACATTTTTACACTTTATCATTCAGAAAAGTATCATATATACACTGATGTTCTGGATATTATGCCAGTCTCTTTTCTCAGAGTTAGAGAATACATTAGAAAATGTTTGTGTTTTGACAATTATTTTATTGGATAATTTCAGTCCCTCTTATAAGTTAGAATCAATTCTATTCACTTTCTGATTTTACCTTGAGTCAAATGAAAAATTCTGCCCATAGCCACTTTGTAAATATGTGTGTTTGTGTGTATTTTCCAGGGACTGTTGACATTTAGGGATGTGGCCATAGAATTCTCTCTGGAGGAGTGGCAGTGCCTGGACACTGCACAGAAGAATTTATATAGGAATGTGATGTTAGAGAACTACAGAAACCTGGCCTTCCTGGGTGAGGATAACTTTAATACAAAATTTTTAATATAAACTAAAGCTTTTATTTTTCTTTTGTAGTATGTTTTCTGGTAATTTATGCTTTCCTATTTCTGTTTTCAAGAAAATCCTGGGGATTTGTCTGTTTAGAAAAAATTTCTTCAAGATGTTTCATCCTGACCTGAAATTTCCACATTCCTGAGCTGATCTGTGTCTTTCGCTTTAGATTAGTGGTAATTTCAGAACCTTAGTGGCATAAAATATTGTTATTCACACCTTAAAATCCAAGTGCCATTACCAATTTTTGCTTCAGTAGTACCAGGCAGTGAAATTAAGAACCTACAAAATTAAAATATTCTGTAAATATTTAAAAATTTCTGTTATAAATTAGTATATGGGATAAATTTATTAGAATATTCTATTATATCCCTTTTACTTTGCACATTACTAAGTTGGTAATTGGAGAATATGAGCAAGATTCATGTTAATTATTTTTAATAAAACAGGTATTGCTGTCTCTAAGCCAGACCTCATCATCTGTCTGGAGAAAGAAAAAGAGCCCTGGAATATGAAGCGAGATGAGATGGTGGATGAACCCCCAGGTAGGTGAGAGTGAATACAACAGATGACCTGGATGAGAGGTCCAACGTCAAGAAGAAAGCCAGTCTTTAAAGTGATTTGGAAAGCTGCATTCCAAAGGAAACCGTTTCTGGAAAGCCTGAAATTTAAAAAAAAATATACTCTCAGATAGGGGCATCTTCTGCTTATGCTTATAAAATCTCTAAGAATTCTACTCTCCCTTCAATGATCTTCCTTAACGTTTACAGTGACAGCCAAAGTACTGTTCATGGCATATAAAAGAGTGTACAATCTGACTTTTTTTTTCTTGTTTTTGTGGACAGATAGATATCTGCATAGTTTTGAGACACTCTATGTTAAAATTTTTTTTTGTTTTAGAAGGAGTTTCGCTTTTGTGGCCCATGCTGGAGTGCAATGGTGCGATCTCGGCTCACTGCAACCTCTGCCTCCCAGGTTGAAGTGATTGTCCTGCCTCAGGCTCCTGAGTAGCTGGGGTTACAGGTGCACACCACCACAACTGGCTAATTTTTTGTATTTCTCGTAGAGACGGAGTTTCATCATGTTGGCCAGGCTGGTCTCCTGACCTCAGGTGATCCACCCACCTCAGACTCCCAAAGTGCTGGGATTACAGGTGTGAGCCACCGTGCCTGGCCTCTCTTTTTGCACAAGAGTAGTGGTTTCTGTTTCATTAGGGGTTTTTTTTTGTTTGTTTGTTTTTCTGCTCATTTCATCCTGTTTTTTTTCTTGCTTTCTTTTTTTTTTTTGTTTATTTAATATGGCCGTTTTTACTTCCTGCAGAAAGGGTATACTCGCCAGCAGTTTTGCCATGAGAGTACACTGAGCAAAGGAGACAGGGTCATTTATAACCTGATGTGTCCACTCTACTGCTGTGTCCAGTTTCCACTGGCTGGAACGGGCATCCTGTTTTCATTACTATAGCCTTGAAATATAGTTTGGGCCATGCGTGGTGGCTCACGCCTGTAATCCCAGCATTTTGGGAGGCCAAGGTGGGTGAATCACGAGGTCACGAATTTGAGACCAGCCTGGCCAACATGGTGAAACCCCATCTATACTAAAAATAAAAAAATTAGCTGGGCTCAGTGGTGGGCACCTGTAATCCCAGCTACTCAGGTGGCTGAGGCAGGAGAATTGCTTGAACCCAGGAGCCAGAGGTTGCAATGAGCTGAGATCATGCCACTGTACTTTAGCCTGGGCGGCAGAGCAAGACTCTCTCTCGATGTATATATATATAGTTTGAAATTATAAAGTATAATGTCCTTCTGCTTTGTTCTTTTTCCTCAAGATTGCTTTGGCTATTCAAAATTTATTGTGGTTTCGTGTACATTTTAGGATTGTAATTTTCATTACTGTGAAAAACTGGAATTTTGACAGGGAGTTTATTGAGTCTAGAGATCACCTTAGATAATATGGCAGTTTCACAATACTTATTCTTTCAATAGAAATAAAATATTTTTAAATTTATTTGTGTCCTCTCTAATTTTTTTATTGCTATATCTTTCACTTAAAAGATTTATGAGCTGCTTGGTTAAATTTGTTCTAAAATTGATTATTTTATTGCTATTGTAAATAATGTTTTTTCCTCTATTTTATCAGAGAGATGGTTTTAAGTGTATGGAATGATAACTTATAATTGTATGTTAATTTCATATTTTGCTAATCAACTGAGTGTATTAATTAGTTTAAAGAGGTTTTAATGTACTTTTTTATATGTAAGATGACATAATCTACAAACAGTGACGTTTTACTTATTGGTCTTCAATTTCAATGACTTTAAATTTTTGTTTTGACTACTTCTTAATTCACATACTTTCAGTGCTATGTTAAAATAGAAGCATTGACAATAAGAGACAATAGTATTGCGTTGGTGTCTGTAAATTTGAAGGAGCAAACACCTCTTCAGAATTTTATAAACTGGTTTCAGAAACTAAAAATCTATTTTCGTTGTACCCCCAGGGTGATAGAATATCCTCTGGGTTTGTAGTGAAGAGGGGTTGTAGCTTGGTCTTAAGTCTGCTGGGTTTGCACAAGGGTCCACTTTTAGTTGTCTTGTTAAACAGGGCTTGGATATTTGTAATTCTCATTTAAATTTTAGACAGAGTGAGTATCCTTCAGGACTTTGCTCTGAAGGGCAGACCCAAGGGCAGGTTTCTGCAGTCAGGTCTGTATATGGTGTTCTTTATATCAGGATGTGGATGAGCATGGCTTTCACCCAGTACAAGAGAGGATTTTCCCAGGTCACTTTGGATTTCTACATAGGCAGAACTGGCCATGAACTGTGGCTCAGGGAGCTGGAACTGAGTCATGGAACTGCTTCAGGGACCACAGGAAAGGCCAAGGTCTGAGGCCTGCCATCATGGCTATAAATGGAGGTCTTCCTCCAGGCCTCTGGAAGGGCAGGACCCACGCTGCCCATTGGCTCCCAAGACTGTGGCTGTGAAGAGTTTGGGATGGTTACAGAGTAAGTTTAAAATTCTCAGTGGAACCAAGTTAGGTGGAGCACTTTCTTGTCTGTAGCCAAAAACAGTGGTCATGTAGTTTGCAACCTGAACGGAGGCCTGCCTTCTAAACAGAATTACCTTGAATCTTGGGCTTTAGCAGAATTTCACAACTCCTTTCCTGGATCTCAGAGCTCTCTTAAAGGCATTTATTTTTGAGATGAGGTCTTGCTACATAATCCAGGCAAGTCTTAATATTTTGACCTCAAGCAGTTCTTCAACTGTAATGTACCATGTAGTTTTCATTACAGGTGTGAACCATGATGCCTGGTTCTCTCATAAAAGCATTTTTGTCAGGAATGGATGACAAATTTTCTTGCTGTCAGGGGATAAGCAAATAGGTCACCTTTTTTTTTTTTTATCTTATTAATGCCACTCTCCATATAAATTTTTACTTTCTATTTTCTACTTCAAATTTGTCTGTAATTTTAGATTCAGACATTTAGGACAATATACTAGAATTTACATGTTGTTCCTGAATTAAATTAGATAATACGCAGGCAGGCAAAAAGGAATTACAGAATTTTCAACCACTTTTGTCAGCCTATAACTAAATAACATAATTTATTCCCCAAATATTTGTTTCACATATGAGGCTCTAACCATATTCTGCTAAATATATATATAATTAAGCAATGTAAGGCTATTCTTTGCTTCTAAACTTGGATTACAGTAGTTTTATTTTGTGTAAAAATAGCATATATTTAAAACATAAAAATTGGCATGAATTTCTTTTAAATGCTTATCTATTAAAAGTTTCTCATTAGCATCTCCTATTTATGATTGTACTGCATTTTCTCTGAAATTTTATTGCCATACAATAGATGCCAGTAATTTTTTTTTTTTTTTTTTTTGAGATGGAGTCTCGCTCTGTCACCCAGGCTGGAGTGCAGTGGCGTGATCTTGGCTCACTGCAACCTCCGCCTCCCAGGTTCAAGCCATTCTCCTGCCTCAGCCTCCTGAGTAGCTGGGACTATAGGTGCCGACACCGCGCTTGGCTAATTTTTTGTATTTTTAGTAGAAACGGGGTTTCACCGTGCTCTCGATCTCCTGATCTCGTGATCTGCCCGCCTCGGCCTCCCAAAGTGCTGGGATTACAGATGCCAGTAATTTAAAATGCCTGCCTTCCATGAATGCACAGTTACAGTCAAACATTGCAGTTATCTAGACAAATTATTTGTTAATGTACATAAATGTTGCCAACTAGTTGTAATGAGTAAACATTTCTGTTATTGTGTTGCAGTTTTATATTAGTGTTTTTTGTAGTGTAAGTTTCCTAACATCAGTTTATTGTGCCTATTGGTTTTTTCTTATATATTATGTTTTGTATACTTTAAGTTAATGTGGAGTTTAATTAAAAGATAAATGAGCCATGTCTATCACAGTCAAATTATATATATGTGTGTGTGTTTATATCTATAAATATGACCCCAATTTTGGTTATACCTTGTATATATTCTTTCTTAGCTCTTTTTTTTTTTTCTTTGAGAGGAAGTTTTACTCTTGTTGCCGAGGCTGAAGTGTAATGCACGATCTTGACTCACTGCAACCTCTGTCTCCCGGGTTCAAGTAATTCTCCTGCCTCAGCCTCCTGAGTAGCTGGGATTACAGGCACATGCCACCACACCTGGCTAATTTTGTATTTTTTTTTTTTTTTTAGTAGAAATGGTATTTCTCCATGTTGGTCAGGCTGGTCTCAAACTCCTGACCTCAGTTGAAATGCCCACCTTGGCCTCTGAAAGTGCTGGGATTACAGGCGTGAGCCGCCTTGCCTGGCCTCTTAGCTCATTTTCAATGTTGGTTTTATCTTGTCTAAGTTAGTAGCCTTGGAAATAGTCTTATTTTCACCATGTGTTTAATGATGAATATATATTTCCTTTGTGTGAGATAATTCTTTTGTGATTTGAAGGTAATTTTTAAAAAAGATTCATAATCCTGTATTGTCTCCAGTTTTTTAAAAAATAATTGTTTTAAAAAAACATAACATATAATTTACCTTCTTAAATCCATTTAAATGTACATGTCAGGGCGAGGCAATGTGGTGGATCCCTTCTGTAAAACCAGGATTTTGAGAGGCCGGGACAGGAGGTTTGCTTGAGCCCAAAAGATTGAGACCAACCTGGGTAAAATATGGAGACACCCTCTCTACAGATATTTTTTTCTAAGAAATAGCAAGGCATGGTGGTGTGCACCTGTGGTCCCAGCTACTTGAGAGTTTGAGGGTCAGGATTACTTGACGCTGGGAGTGTGAGGCTGCAGTGAGCCATAATTGTCCCATTGTACTCAAACTTGGGTGACAGATTGAGACCTTGTCTTAAAAAAAAAAAAGTGTATATTTCAGGCATATCATGTATATTCACATTGTTATGCAAAAGACTTCTAGAAATTTTACATCTTGTAAAACTAAAACTCAATATCCATTAAATAACATTTACCCATTTTATGCTCTCTTTAGCCCTTGAGAAGCACTTTTCCACTTTCTGTTTTTACAAGTGTAATTGTCTTATATATCTAAGTGAAATCGTAACATCCATCATTTCTTTACTGGTTTATTTCAGTTGGCATAATATTCTCAAAGTGTATCTTCAAATGTGACGATTTTTTTCAAGGCTGAATAATATTCCATTGTATCAAATATGTCTTCAGGTTCCTATGTTATGTATTTTAGATATAGATTCATAAATGGAATCACTTTATTTAATAATTTATATTATTTGAAGTACATTTATAACATTATAAAATAATTGGTACATCTTTATTTTCCACCGACAATCAACCCAACTAACTTTTGTATTTTTAGTAGAGACGGGATTTCACCATGTTGGTCAGGCTGGTCTCAAACTCCTGACGTCAGGATTCACCCACCTCTGCCTCCCAAAGTGCTGGGATTACAGGCTTGAGCCACCACGCCCGGCCAAGGGTTTTATTTTTATTGCATCATCAACAGATTTGGTGTTTTCAAAAAATTGATAGTGGCCATTTAAATGAGTGTGAGGGGATTTTGTTTTTTATTATGACTTTTATGCATTTCTCTACAAATTAGTTTTGAGTGTCCTTTCAAATTTTTGAAGAAAATTTATTTCAATTTGTCTATTTCTAAATAAAGTTATTCAATTTGATTGTTCAGTTTTTCTTTTCTTTTTTTTTTTTTTTTTTTGGGAGATGAAGTCTTGCTCTGTCACCCAGGCTGAAGTGCAATGGTGAGATCTCGGCTCCCTGCAACCTCCGCCTCCTGGGTTCAAGCGATTCTCCCACCTCAGCCTTGTGAGTAGCTGAAATAACAGGCGTGTGCCACCATGCCTGGCTCATTTTTGTATTTTTAGTAGAGACAGAGTTTCACCATGTTGGTCAGGATGGTCTGGAACACCTGTCCTCGTGATCCGCCTGCCTCTGCCTTTCAGTGTGCTGCAATTACAGGTGTGAGCCACCACGCCCGGCTATTGTTTGGTTTTAAAAGTTTATAGTTTTTGAATATTGACTCCCATCACATGTAATTTGTAAATATTTTCACCCATTTTCTAGAATGCATTATCCATCTTTTAAATATTTATATGTGCAGAAATGTTGAAGTGTAGTGTAGTTAAATTTTTTGTTTTTTTCTTTGGTGCTCATGCATTTAATTTTATATCTAAGAAAATGGCCCCAAGACTGATGTCGTGTTTTCCCTATATATTTTAAAGAGATTAAGAAGTTATCCGGTCGGGTGCGGTGGCTCATGCCTGTAATCCCAGCGCTTTGAGAGGCTGAGGTGGGCGGATCATAAGGACAGGAGTTCAAGACAAGCCTGGCCAACGTGGTGAAACCCCGTCTCTACTAAAAATACAAAAAAATTAGCTGAGCGTGATGGCGTGCATGTTAATCCCAGCAACTCAGGAGGTTGAGGTGGGAGAATCACTTGAACCCAGGAGGCGGAGGTTGTAGTGAGCCGAGACCATGCCACTGCACTCCACCTGGGCTGCACTCCAGCCTGGGCAACAGAGCAAGACTCTGTTCCAAAAAAAAAAAAAAAAAAAAGTTATCTTCCTATGTCTAATGAAAAGATTTTTCACATATGGTATAGAGAAATAATCGAACTTCATTTTATCGTTATGGATGTTCAGCTTTCAACATAATTTTTTGAAAAGATTATCTTTTTTCTACTGTGTGCTCATGTTAATTTTGTGGGAGATTATTTGGCCTTACACAGAAGGGTTCATTTCTGGGCTCTCTATTCTGTTCTTTCATCTCTTTATCTGTCTTTGTGTCAGTACCAAATTGTTTTTGTTATTGTTGATTTTAATGTGTTTCAAAATCAGAAAATATAATGTCTCTGTTGTTTTTCATGGGTGTTTGTCTATAGTTCATAATAAAATTTTAACATTTTAAACAATGTTTCCTTAAAAAACCCCTATTTGGATTTATATAAAAATTATTATTTTTTGAGATGGAGTCTTGCTCTGTCGCCCAGGCTGGAGTGCAGTGGCACTATCTCGGCTCACTGCAACCTCTGCCTCCCAGGTTCAAGCAATTCTCCTGTCTCAACTTCCAGAGTAGCTGGGATTACATGCCCAGCTAAATTTTTTTGTATTTTTAGTAGAGACGGGGTTTCACTGTGTTGCCCAGGCTGGTTTAGAATTCCTGAGTTCAGGCAATCCACCCGCCTCAGCCTCCCAAAGTGCTAGGATTACAGGTGTGAGTCACCTCACCCGGCCATAAAAATTATATTAAATATGTCTACCACTGTAGGTTGTATTGACATTTTGAAAAATTAATGTTTTTTTATTCCTGAGCAAAAATATGTTGAAAAGTGTGTTTTATTTTTATATATTTTTATATTGTTCAGTTTTACTTTTAATTTCTAGTTTAATTCAGTTTTGGTCAGACAACACAAAGTGTGTAATTTTGGTCTTCTTAAATTTATTTGTTATTGTTGTGTTTGTTGTGGTTTTTGTTTGTATACAGGATCTTACTCTGTCACCCAGGCTGGAGTGTACTGGCATGATTTTGGCTCACTGCAGCCTCAACCTACTGGGCTCAAGTGATCTTTCCACCTCAGTGTCTCCAGTAGTTGGGACTACAAACATAACGTACCATGTCTGAATAATTCTTTGATTATTTGTAGGGATAGAGTTGCCCAGGCTGGCCTCAAACTTTTAACTCCAAGTGATCCTCCCACCTTGGTCTCTCTAAGTGTTGGGATTATAGGCATGAGCTACACCACCCAGCTGGCATTCTTAAATTTGATAAAACTTAGTATGTGTCCTAACAGAATACACCAGCTGCAAATAAGAATATTGTGTATTTTCTTGCTTTTGACTGGAAAGTTCTGTACTCATCTGTTAAACCTAGTTGGTCTATAATATGGTTTTGATGTTCATGTCCTCCAAACCTTATGATTAAATGCAATTTTTAATGTTGGATGTGAGACCTGGTGGGAGGTGTTTGGGTCATGGGGGCAAAGTCCTCATAGATAGCTTGGCACCATCCTCTCAGTAATGAAAATGTTTATACTCCATTAATTCAAATGAAAGCAGGTTTATTAGAAGAACCTGGCTCCTTCGCCTCATACTTGCTCTGTCTCTCATCATGTAATATGTGCAGTTACTCTTCGCCTTCAATCATGACTGTAAGCTTGGTGACACTCTCACCAGAAGCAGATGCTGGCACACTTTCTACAGTCTGCTAAATTGTGAGCCAAATAAATATTATTTCTTTATAAGTTATCCACTCTCCAGTATTCACCTATATGCAAAATAATTGATACAGTCTATAATGTTGTCTAGGTTTTCTGTTTTCTTATTTTTTGTTTAATGTGAATTTTCTATTACGGAAAATGGGGTCTTGATGTCTACAATTATTATGTTGCTATGTATTTCTTGCTTTACTTTTGTCAATATTTACTTTATATATTTTGGAGCCCTGATATTGTACATACACATACAGATAGATAGAGAGATAGATAGATAGATAGATATAGTAGTTATACATTTGTGGTAATATCAACCCATTTTACCAATATATACTACCAATGTTTGTCTCACGTTAGCACTTGACTTAAAATATATTATGTCTAAAACCCAAGTGTAGTTACTATTTTCATAAAATACAGGTTTTTGCACTATGTAATTTTCAGCCTATTTGACTCAGTGCTAAAATGAGTCCCTTGTAGGTGGCATATGGTTTGCTTTTTCTTAAGCCACTAAAGCATTTTATTTTTTCTTTTTATAATTTCATTTATTTACTTGTTTATTCATTTATTTTTGAGATAGGTCTCACTCTGTCAACCAGGCTGGTTTGCAGTGTTGTGATCATGGCTCACAGCAGCCTCAGTTTCTCAAACTCAGAAGATTCTCTCATTTCAGCCTCTCAGGTAGCTGGGTTACAAGTGTGTAGCATCACACCTAGCTAGTTTTTTTTGTATTTATGGTTGAGACAGTTTTGCCGCGTTGCCAAGGCTGGTCTCAAACTTCTGAGATCCAGTGATCAGCCCATCTTAACCTCTCAAAGTCCTGAGATTATATTTTTTTCTATTAAGTAGTTTAATTTATATTTAAAATTATTTATTAAAAATGAAGTTACTACTTTTATTGTGATTGTTTTATGTGTTCCTCAGTGGTATTTTTTATATGTTGGTTTATTGCCTTAAATTTCATTTTAATTGTGTAGTGATGTGCTTCAATTATTTTTTATATCTTGTTTTGCATAGTTTCTATAAATATTATCTTCATAATCATCTTGTGTATTCGTCTGTTTTTATGCTGCTAATGAAGACATACCTGAGACTGGGCAATTTAGAAAAGAAAGAGGTTTATTGGACTTACAGTTGTGTGTGACTGGGGAGACCTCACAATCATGGTGGAAGGTGAAAGGCATGTCTCACATGGTGGCAGACAAGAGAGGGAGCTTGTGCAGGAAAACTCTGCCTTATAAAGCCTTCAGATTTCATGAGACTTATTCACTATCATGAGACCAGCACAGAAAAGACCTGCCCCCATGATTCAATTACCTTCCACCACGTCCCTCCCACAACATGTGGGAATTAAAGATGAGTCTTGGGTTGGGACATGGGCAAACCATATCATCTTAAAAAATGGAGTTTACATGAAACATCTTAAAATTAAAACAATATATTTATATCTCATGACAACTTCAATTGAATATAAAGATTATACCTCTATATTTTTCAGTTTATTAATGTTAAAATTATTTTATATTGTGTATTAACATATTTATGCAGGTTTTTATTCTGTTTTAAATATTCTACAGAATAGCTTTAAGAGTTATATGCATCATCATTATAATAGTAAAAATTTCTATATTTGTATATTTACATTTAATAGAGAGCTTTATTTTATATATGGTTTTATGATGCTGTCCAGTAGTATTTTTAAACAAAATGGACTTATTATAGCAGTTCTTACTATATGTAGAGTCTCACTGTATTACTCAGGCTGACCTGAAACTCCTGGCCTCTAGTGTTCTGATAGCCTTGGCCTCCTAAAACTGTAAAATTAGAGGCATGAGCCACGGTGCCTGGCCACCATGTACCATTTTTTTTGGTAGAACTGTGCTACTGGTGATGAACACCCTTACCTTTTATTTTGGATTTTTTAATTTTCATCTTTTTAAAGAGAAATACATTTAAATCAAATATTATTGGTTAGAAATATTTTTTCCTTTTATTACATCAAAATTTGGGAATTTTTATCTTCAAGTAATCTCTATGTTATTTTTTTCCCATATTCTTCCTCTGAGATTTTCTTAATGAATATATTGATCTAGTTGATGGTATCCAATCACTTTTACATTCCATGTTTTAATTTTGTTTTGGAAGTTTATATTTTTATGTTATATATTTTAGGGTATGCTACCACACATCCATTAATTGTGTTTTGATTTTTTAGTATATATTATAATTGTGCATGCCAATATTTTAACTTTATATAATTTAAGACATTGTGGAGCAAAATCATATATGAATTAGCCATATGTCTTTTTCTGATAGAATTATCTGTATGTTTGTTTGCCTGTATAAATGTTATCCTTGTATTTTTTTAATAACGTGTATATTTGTTGTGTAAGTTTGTTGTGAATGGTTTTCTAATCCTGTGTAGATGTGAAGTCATAAAATTATTGTAATTTCAACATCCTATTTATTTGTGAGTCTATGTAATTTTTGTGTGGTAGAAACATTTTTGGATTTGAATATAATTTAAAACAATCATAATTATTTATCTCTTTTAGGTATTATTGTTTATTTTTGCTTGTCTAAAAAACACGACAAAATTTACCACAAAATATTTTTAAATATTCAGTTTAGTCATATTGTCTTGACATTGTAATGCAACATATTGCTAAAATGTTTCTATCTTGCAAAGCTAAATCTTAATACGTATTAAACAGCTACCAATTTTTCCTTCTTTTTTTCTTTTTTGAGATGGAGTCTTATTCTGTCACCCTCACTGGAGTGCAGTGGCGTGATCTCAGCTCACTGCAACCTCCACCTTCCAGGTTCAAGCAATTTTAGTGCTTCAGCCTTCTGAGTAGCTGGGGCTGCAGGCACCTGCCACCATGCCCAGCTAACTTTTTGTATTGTTTTAGTAGAGATGGGGTTTCACCCTGTTAGCCAGGATGGTCTTGATCTCCTGACCTCATGATCCACCTGCCTCAGCCTCCCGAAGTGCCGGGATTACAGGCATGAGCCACCGCTCCCCAGCCAAAACCGCAACTGAGCTTCTTTATTTTTACATCATTTTTTCTAACTTTTAGGATCTGTCAGTTTCCTTTTGTATTTTTTACCTCCACAGTTTCCGTTTTTATGAAATGTTAAATATTTTTGTTCTCGTCCTCATTTTTGTGATTTTCCATACTTGTCTCTGTTCCTGTTTTAATCAGTATTATTCAATTTATTACCAATTCTTAAAATTAATGTATAAATCTTATTTTTTTATGGTTTCTTTCAGAAAATTTTATGATATTTTTGGTGGGATGATACTGCTATATTTTGTATATATTATAAGCTTTCAGTTTTTTACATTAGAAAAATCTACCTGTCAAAATTTTTATAATGTGGCTTTGTCCTGGCATAGTCTGAAAACAATTGTCTTGGCTCATCATTATGGCAGTTTTTCAAACATATTCTTAGGACCTGTATTGTCTGAAATTTTGTGTTCAGTTTTTAGTTAAGAGAGTTTATTCATATTACTTTGTAGGAGTCAGTAATCACTTGCTACACCTGTTCCTTTTCTGTGGTACTGCAGTCTGGCGGCTGCTGGAACATTTCTCTTTGGTCTCAGTGGACTCAAACTCTCATTCCGAAGTATACCACCATTTCTGTCAGCACTTTATGTCATGAGAGACAGAAAACAGTGTCCAAAAAAAGCCCCTAAAAGCCAGAAATGATAATGAATGTGCCAGTATTTTACCTTTCTTTTAAAACAGAAATGAAGAGTTTGCAATTTACTTCTAAAGGCACTATGTTATAGTGGGAAGCAGGAAAAGCTGTGTTGGGTAAATTTAGACTTTTCTTTTTCTTCTATGTGGTTTTTTGCATTGTGCTCTTCTGGAACACTGCACACAGTGAATGTTCACATCTGTGAACATTTCCCACAGATGTATTTTGGTTTGTAAGTTTTTGTTACATTTAAATGTCTATGAAAGAATTAGGGTCTGTGGTATTTTGCAAAACCATCTTGTTTTTGTAGGTTGTATAATTTTATAGGTAAGATTTTTAAACTATATTTATGTCAGTATAGTAAGTGGAGTAAATTATTTTAATTTTTTTTTAGGTATATGTCCTCATTTTGCTCAAGACATTTGGCCAGAGCAGGGCGTGGAAGATTCTTTTCAAAAAGTAATACTAAGAAGATTTGAAAAATGTGGACATGAGAATTTACAGTTAAGAAAAGGTTGTAAAAGTGTGGATGAGTGTAAGGTACACAAAGAAGGTTATAATGGACTTAACCAGTGTTTCACAACTACCCAGGGCAAAGCTTCTCAATGTGGTAAATATTTGAAAGTCTTTTATAAATTTATAAATTTAAACAGATATAAGATAAGACATACTAGAAAGAAACCTTTCAAATGTAAAAATTGTGTCAAATCATTTTGCATGTTTTCACACAAAACCCAGCATAAAAGCATATATACTACAGAGAAGTCCTACAAATGTAAAGAATGTGGAAAAACCTTTAATTGGTCCTCAACCCTTACTAATCATAAGAAAACTCATACTGAAGAAAAGCCCTACAAATGTGAAGAATATGGCAAAGCTTTTAATCAATCCTCAAATTATACTACACATAAGGTAACTCATACTGGAGAGAAGCCTTACAAGTGTGAAGAATGTGGCAAAGCATTTAGCCAATCCTCAACACTAACCATACATAAGAGGATACATACTGGAGAGAAACCCTGCAAATGTGAAGAATGTGGCAAAGCATTTAGCCAACCCTCAGCACTAACCATACATAAGAGGATGCACATTGGAGAGAAACCCTACAAATGTGAAGAATGTGGCAAAGCATTTGTTTGGTCCTCAACCCTAACTAGACATAAGAGGCTGCACAGTGGAGAGAAACCCTACAAATGTGAAGAATGTGCCAAAGCTTTTAGCCAATTCGGACACCTTACTACACATAGGATAATTCATACTGGAGAGAAACCCTACAAATGTGAAGAATGTGGCAAAGCATTTATATGGCCCTCAACCCTAACTAAACATAAGAGGATTCACACTGGAGAGAAACCCTACAAATGTGAAGAATGTGGCAAAGCTTTTCATCGATCCTCAAATCTTACTAAACATAAGATAATTCATACTGGAGAGAAACCTTACAAGTGTGAAGAATGCGGCAAAGCGTTTATATGGTCCTCAAACCTTACTGAACATAAGAAAATTCATACTAGAGAGAAACCCTACAAATGTGAAGAATGTAGTAAAGCATTTAGCCGATCCTCAGCCCTAACTACACATAAGAGGATGCACACTGGAGAGAAACCCTACAAATGTGAAGAATGTGGCAAAGCTTTTAGCCAGTCCTCAACCCTTACTGCACATAAGATAATTCATACTGGAGAGAAACCCTACAAATGTGAAGAATGTGGCAAAGCATTTATATTGTCCTCGACCCTATCTAAACATAAGAGGATTCACACTGGAGAGAAACCCTACAAATGTGAAGAATGTGGCAAAACTTTTAATCAATCCTCAAATCTTAGTACACATAAGATAATTCATACTGGAGAGAAACCTTACAAGTGTGAAGAATGTGGAAAAGCGTTTAATCGATCCTCAAATCTTAGTACGCATAAGATAATTCATACTGGAGAGAAACCTTACAAGTGTGACGAATGTGGCAAATCATTTATCTGGTCCTCAACCCTTTTTAAGCATAAGAGGATTCATACTTGAGAGAAACCTTAAAAAGGGTAAAGAATGTGGCAAAGCATTTATATGGTCCTCAACGCTAAACATAAGAGGATGCACACTGGAGAGAAACCCTACAAATGTGAAGAATGTGAAAAAGCTTTTAATCCTCAAATCTTACTAAACATTAGATAATTCACACTGGAGAGAAACCTTACAAGTGTGAAGAATGTGGGAAAGCTTTTAATCATTCTCAAATCTTACTACACATAAGATAATTCATACTGGAAATAAACCCTACAAATGTGAAAAATGTGGCAAAGCATATGGTCCACACCCCTAAGTAGACATAAGAGGATGCACACTGGAGAGAAACCTTACAAATGTGAGGAATGTGGCAAAGCCTTTAAATGTTCCTCAACTGTTACTGAACATAAAGTAATTCATACTGAAGAGAAACCCTACAAATGTGAAAAATGTGTCAAAGCCTTTAAGCAGTCTTCAATCCTGAGTAACCATAAGATAATTCAAACTGGAAAGAAACCCTGCAAGTCTGAAGAATGTGGGAAATCTTTCTTTTTTTTCCATTGCACCTTTATTGTTTATTCTGTTCACTGTTCAGAATTTTCATACAGTCTTTCTAGAATCAAGAAGGGTGTACAGTGGTATTCCTGTGGCTTTCTCTCCTCTCCAGCTCCTCTCTTGTTCAGCAGCCTCCGGACCCCCAAGGGCTAAGGAATCAGACACACCGGGTTTGGATCCTGACTCCACTAGGAGCCATGTGATCTCAGGGATATTTCTTGATCTCTCTGAGCTCTTTTTCCTTTTTCTGCAATGTGGGGAAAAGGCTCCCTCTCTCACAGAGTTACTACCAGAATTCAATGACTCCAAGTATCCAAAGCATCTGGCACAGTGCCTGGGCACACAGTATGCCCAGATGCACCTTAGCTTCCTTCCTTCTGGCAGGGAAAAGATACCTGATAAAGCCAGAGCCAGCTGCTTAGGGGCATTTGCTTTATAAAGAGCCTGGTCCCTTTAACAGAGGCCAAGAAATGACTCTCTAATGGTGGAATTTCAGACACCATAGCATGGGTGAGGGAGAGATCTGGAGGCATAGACTATAGAAGTCTCAGAATCATTTGAATCCAGCCAGGCAGACTGCTGCTGCTTCTGCCCAGGGGCAAGGCTGGTGATACAGTTTGGCTGTAACCCCACGCAAATCTCGTCTTGAATCCCCACATGTTGTGGGGAGAGACCCAGTGGGAGGTAACTGAATCACAGGGGCAGGTTTCCCATGGAATGTGGGAAATCTTTTAACCTGTCTTCAACTTTTATTAAACATAAGGTAATTCATACTGGAGTAAAACTCTACAAATGTGAAGAATGTGGCAAAGTGTTTTTCTGGTCCTCAGCCCTAACTAGACATAAGAAAATTCATGCTGGACAGCAACCCTACAAATGGGAAAAAATTGGCAAAGCCTTTAACCAGTCCTCACATCTTACTACAGATAAGATAACTCATATTGGAGAGAAATCTTACAAGTGTGAATAATATGGAAAGCCTAAAAAAGTCCTCAATTCTTAACAGATATAAGATTATTCATACTGAAGAGAAACTCTACAAATCTGAAAGATGTGCCCAGTGCCTTTGACAGCATCTCAAACTTTTCTAAACAAAATCATGCTGCTGACAAATCCTAGAAATGTGAAGAATGTGACAAAGCCTTTAAATGATTGTTGCACTTCATTGTATGTAAGATCATTTATACTGGAAAAAACTACCAATGTGAACAATGTGGCCAAGCTTCTAACCAATGCTCATAGCTTATTGCACCGGTAAGCATTTATATTTGAGAACAAATGTACAAATATAGACAAAGCAAAAAAGCCATTAATACCTGCTCACATCTTACTCAAAATCAGAGTTCATACTGAATAAAAGCATTAAAAATCTAATTACCGTCAAAAGATCAGAAAATATGTCTTTAAAGTGCAGAAGCATATTTATTTTGAAAAAGCATTACAAATATGAAGAGGGTTGTAATACATTTACTTGTCTCACAGATCTTATTGTACACATTTTGTACTAGAGGAAAACCCTGAGGCAGTTATTAAAATTTTGTTCAACATCAGGGAGTTTATATTGAAGAAAACCCTGCAAATGTAATGAATTTGGAAAAACATTTTTTCAAAAACTACAAATTATGAAACACCAAAGCGTTCATACTAAAATATATTTTTGCAGATGCATTAAATATGAAAGATGTTCAATCCAAAATTAAGTCTATGTAAATATCAGGGAATAATTCACAGTAGAAATATTTAGGGCACTCAAACTTTAGACATTACACTAAATCAGTGCTGAGTATAGGAAATAATACAAACTAAAGTTCGTGTAAACATTATTTGTATATAACTTTAAAAGAAGAATATTTTTTGGAGAGTTATAATTACAATCAAAGTATAACTTTTTTTTGAAAATACAGAATTTTAAAAAAGCAAATAATGGAGTTAAACTCTTAAATTACTTCATGCTGTTCCATCATTCCTGGTGTATTCACATGTGAAAACATGTGACTAATTGTAGCTGCATTAAAGATATGAGAGATTCTTTTTTATTAGGTAGGCCTTTATGACTTTTTCTATGGAAAGGTAAGGACATTAAAATGTAAGATACATGATGAAAATTTAAGTAGAGAGGCTCTTTGGGTTAACTTGTAATGTTGAGTGATGCATGAGGTAGGTGTTCAGAGTAATATTTTTATGCATTATCATGAAAGAAAAACTTTTTTTTTTTCATGGCAGTTTGATTTTTATTTTTATTTTAATTTATTTTTTATTTATTTATTTTTTAAGGTCACAGATCAACAGGATCCCAAGGCAGAAGAATTTTTCTTAGTACAGAACAAAATGAAAAGTCTCCCATGTCTACCTCTTTCTACACAGACACGGCAACCATCCGATTTCTCAATCTTTTCCCCACCTGTCCCCCCTTTCTATTCCACAAAACCGCCATTGTCATCATGGCCCGTTCTCAATGAGCTGTTGGGTACACCTCCCAGACGGGGTGGTGGCCGGGCAGAGGGGCTCCTCACTTCCCAGTAGGGGCGGCTGGGCAGAGGCGCCCCTCACCTCCCGAACGGGGCGGCTGGCCGGGCGGGGGGCTGACCCCCCCCACCTCCCTCCCGGCCGGGGCGGCTGGCCGGGCGGGGGGGCTGACCCCCCCACCTCCCTCCCAGACAGGGTGGCTGGCCGGGTGGGTGGCTGACCCCTCCACCTCCCTCCCGGACGGGGCGGCTGGCCGGGCAGGGGGCTGACCCCCACCTCCCTCCCAGCCGGGGCGGCTGGCCGGGCGGGGGGCTGACCCCCCCACCTCCCTTCCGGACGAGGTGGCTAGCGGGCGGAGACCCTCCTCACTTCCCAGATGGGGTGGCTGCTGGGCGGAGGGGCTCCTCACTTCTCAGACGGGGTGGCTGCCGGGCAGAGGGGCTCCTCACTTCTCAGACGGGGCGGTTGCCAGGCAGAGGGGCTCCTCACTTCTCAGACGGGGCGGCCGGGCAGAGACGCTCCTCACATCCCGGACAGGGTGGCAGGGCAGAGGTGCTCCCCACATCTCAGACGATGGGCAGCCGGGCAGAGACGCTCCTCACTTCCCAGATGGGATGGCGGCCGGGAAGAGGCGCTCCTCACTTCCTAGATGGGATGGCGGCCGGGCAGAGATGCTCCTCACTTTCCAGACTGGGCAGCCAGGCAGAGGGGCTCCTCACATCCCAGACGATGGGCGGCCAGGTAGAGACGCTCCTCACTTCCCAGATGGGGTGGTGGCCGGGCAGAGGCTGCAATCTCGGCACTTTGGGAGGCCAAGGCAGGCTGCTGGGAGGTGGAGGTTGTAGCAAGCCGAGATCACGCCACTGCACTCCAGCCTGGGCACCATTGAGCACTTGAAAAACATTCTTTAGTTAACATTAAGTTAGTAGTATGTTACTGTACTTTTATGGAATAATATACAGTATATTTTTAAATTATGTGTGAACTTAACTTTTCAATTCAGCATTTTTAACATGTTAAATACTATCATGAATTCATTGAAGCATTATGCCACTAACTTTAACCTATTCCACCTTACTCAATGGTGTAGGTAAAAGATGGTAACAATACACTATTTGGTAAGATAATGGACTGACATCTCTAGTAATCTTTTTGTCAGTGGCTTTAAATTGCCAATAAGTTAAAGAATGTTGTTCCTATAGGTTAAATTTTATTCTTATTTTTACATTTAAATTTATTTTTCTTAATTTTTGTGGATATGTAATATGTGTATATGCTTATGCCATATATGGCATATTTTGATACAGGCATGTGATATATAATCTTAGATGTAAATAAATTATGGAGTGTGTTTGTGTTAGTGTAAGTTTGAAACTATTTTTAGCCAAAAAAAAGTAATATTGGAACAAAATAAATCATTTTAAGAAGGTGTCTAATTTACTAGAAAAAAACCAAAATTCTCAAAATTACTGAAAGTAAATCTATCCTCTGTACTTTGTATTAAATTTATTACTGTATAACCTTTTGGCTTATGCTTCAGAATCTCCCCATGCAAATTCTCTGTTTTAACTTGACTGTTACTCATGTTAGAACCATAATTTTGTTTGTTCGTTTAATAGTTTTTTTTTCTTTTTTTTTTCCTTTTTTTTTTTTTTGAGCTGGAGTCTTGCTCTGTTGCCCAGACTGGAGTGCAATGGTGTGATGTTGGCTCATTGCAATCTCTGCCTTTCAGGTTCAAGCAGTTCCCCTGCCTCAGCCTCCCAAGTAGCTGGGATTACAGGTTCCCGCCACCAGCCCAGCTAATTTTTGTATTTTTAGTAGAGACAGGATTTTGCTATGTTGGTCAGGCTGGTCTTAAACTTCTGACCTAAGGTGATCCACCCACATCAGCCTCCCAAAATACTGGGATTACAGGTGTGAGCCACCGTGCCTGGCCTGTGTGTAATAGTTTATGAAATATTCATTATGTGAGCTGGTCTGTAAGTATAAGAATGATTTTTTTTTTAATTTCATTGTTCCATTTATTGGGGTACAGGTGGTGTTTGGTTAGATGAGTTAAGTTCTTTAGTGGTGATTTGTGAGACCCTGATGGACCCATCACCTGAGCAGTATATACTGCACCATATATGTTGTCTTTTATCCCTCCCCCTTCCCACTCTTCCCCCCCAAGTCTCCAAAGTCTATTTTATCATTCTTATACCTTTGCATTCTCATATCTTACCTCCCACATATCAGCAAGAACATATGATGTTTGGTTTTCCATTCCTCAGTTACTTCACTTAGAATAATAGTCTCCAATATCATCCAGGTCATTGCAAATGCTGTTAATTTCTTTTTGTGGTGAGTAGTATTCCAACATATATGTATATGTCATAGTTTCTTTATCTGTTTGTTGATTGATGGGCATTTTGGTTGGTTCCACGAGTTCAAAATTGTGAATTGTGCTGCTGGAAATATGGATGTTCAAGTTTCTTTTTCAAATAATCAGTATTTGGGTTTATTTCTGGGTTCTCTGTTCCATTGGTCTATATTTCAAATAATGACTTCTTTTCCTGTGGGTAGATACCCAGTGGTGAGATTGCTGGATCAAATGGTAGTTCTACTTTTAGTTCATTAAGGAATCTCCCCACTTTTTTCCATAGCGGCTGTACTAGTTTAGATTTCCACTAGAAGTGTAGAAGTGTTCCCTGATCACTGCATCCACGCCAACATCTACAGTTTTTCGATATTTTGATTATGGCCATTCTTGCAGGAATAAGGTGGTATGGCATTGTGGTTTTGATTTGCATTTCCCTTATCATTAGTGATGTTGAACTTTTTAAATGTTTGTTAGCCATTTGTATATCTTTTGAGAATTGTCTATTCATGTCTTTGGCCCACTTTTTGATGGGATTTTTTTTTTTTTTTTTTTTCTGACTGATTCGTTTGAGTTCACTGTAGATTCTGGATATTAGTCCTTTGGCAGATGTATAGATTGTGAAGATTTTCTCCCACTCTGTGAGTTCTCTGTTTACTCCGCTGACTGTTTCATTTGCCATGCAAAACCTCTTTAGTTTAATTAGGTCCCAGCTATTTATCTTTGTTTTTACTGCGTTTGCTTTTGGTCATGAAATTTTTGCCTAGCCAATGCCTAGAAGGGTTTTTCCAAGGTTATCATGCAAAATTTTTATAGTTTCAGGTCTTAGGTTTAAGTCCTTATTTCATCTTGAGTTGATTTTCATATAAGGTGAGAAATGAGGATCCAGTTTCATTCTCCTACATGTGGCTAGCCAATTATCCCAGCACCATTTGTTGAAAAGGGTGTCCTTTCCCACATTATGTTTTTGTTTGCTTTGTTGAAGATCAGTTGGCTGTATTTGGGTTTATTTCTGGGTTCACTCTTCTTTTGGTCTATGTGCCTATTTTTATACCAGTACCATGCTGTTTTGGTGACTAGAGCCTTATAGTTTGAAATCAGGTAGTGTGGTGCCTCGAGATTTGTTCTTTTTGCTTAGTCTTGCTTTGGCTATGTGGGCTCTATATGAATGTTAGAATCGTTTTTTTTAACTGTGTGAAGAATGATGGTGGTATTTTGAAGGGGATTCTGTGGAATTTGTAGATTGCTTTAGGCAGTATGGTCATTTCCACAAATTTAATTCTATCCTTCCATGAGCATGGGATGTGTTTCTATTTGTTTGTGTCATCTATGATATCTTTCAGCAGTGTTTTGTAGTTTTCCTTGTAGAGTTCTTTTGACTCCTTCATTAGATATGTTCCTAAGTATTTTATTTTTATTCAGCTATTGTAAAAGGGGTTGAGTTCCTGATTATTTCTCCATTTGGTTGCTGTTGGTAAATAAAAGAACTACTGATTTGTATACGTTAATCTTGTATCCAGAAACTGCTGAATTCTTTTATCAGTTCTAGGAGCTTTCTGGAGGAGTCCTCAGGGTTTTCAAGGTAAATTATCATATCATCAGCAAACAGGTACAGTTTGACTTCCTGTTTACTGATTTGGATGCCCTTTATTTCTTGTCTTATTGCTCTAGGTAGGACTCCAGAACTATGTTGAAGTGGAGTGTTGAGAATGGGCATCCTTTCTTTTTTCTGTTCTCAGAGGGAATGCTTTCAACTTTTCCCCATTCTCTATTATGTTGGCTGCGGGTTTGTCATAGATAGCTTTTATTACATGAAGTTGTGACCCCTGTATGCCAACTTTGCTGAGAGTTTTAATCATAAAGTGATGCTGGATTTTGTCAAATGGTTTTTCTGCATCTATTGAAATAATCATTTGATTTTTGTTTTGAATTCTATTTATGTGGTGTATCACATTTGTTGACGTGTGTGTGTTAAACCATCCCTGCATCCCTGGTATGCAACCCACTTGATTATGGTGGATTATCTTTTTGACATGTTGTTGGATTTGGTTAGCTAGTATTTTGTTAAGAATTTTAGCATCAATGTTTGTCAAGGATATTAATCTGTAGTTTTCTTTTCTGGTTTTGTCTTTTCTGGTTTTGGTTGTAGGGTGATGCTGGCTTCACAGAATGAATTAGGGAGGGTTCCTTCTTTCCCTATCTTGTGGAACAATGTCAAAAGTATTGGTACCAATTCTTTGAATATCTGGTAGAATTCTGTGAATCAGTCTGGTCCTGGACTTTTTTTCTTGGTGATTTTTAAATTACCATTTTAATTTCACTCTTTTTTATTGGTCTGTTCAGGGTATCTAATTCTTCCTGATTTAAGCTAGGAGGGTTGTATTTTTCCAGGAATTTATCCATCTCTTCTAGATTTTCTAGTTTATGTGTGTAAAGGTGTTCATAGTAGCCTTGAATAATTTTTTGCGTTTCAGTGGTGTCAGTTATAATATCTCCTGTTTCATTTCTCAGTGAGGTTATTTGGATTTTCTCTCTTCTTTTCTTGGTTAATCTTGCTAATGGCCTATCAATTTTATTTATCTTTTCTAAGGAGTAGCTCTTTGTTTCATTTACCTTTTTTATTTTTTCTTTTAATTTCAATTAGTTATGTTCTGATCATGGTTATTTCCTTTTTTCTGCTGGGTTTGGGTTTGGTTTGTTCTTGTTTCTCTGGTTCCTTGAGGTGGACCTTAGATTGTCTGTGCTCTTTCAGACTTTTTGATGTAGGCATTTAGGGATATGAACTTTCCTCTTACCATCTTCGCTGTATCCAAGAGGTTTTGATTGGTTGTGTCATTATTGTCATTCAGTTTGAAGAATTTTTATGTTCCATATTGGTTTTGTTTTTGACCCAGTGCTCATTCAGGAGCAGGTTATTTAATTTCCATGTATTTGCATGGTTTTGAAAGTTCCTTTGAGAGTTGATTTCCAGTTTTATTCCACTGTGCTCTGAGAGAGTGCTTGATGTAATTTCAATTTTCTTAAATTTATTGAGGCTCGTTTTATGGCCTATCATATGATCTATCTTGGAAAAAGTTCCATTCGCTGTTGAATAGAATTTGTGTTCTGCGGTTGTAGGATTAAATGTTTTGTATATACCTGTTAAGTTCATGTGTTCCGGGGTATAGTTAAATCCATTGTTTCTTTGTTTACTTTCTGTCTTAATGATCTGTCTAGTGCTGTCAGTGGAGTATTGAAGTCCCTCCCTCTTATGGTATTGATGTCTATCTCATTTCTTAGGTCTATTAATAATTGTTTTATAAATTTTGGAGCTCCAGTGTTAGGTGCATATATGTTTAGGATTGTGATGTTTCCCTGTTGGATCAGGCCACTTACGATTATATAGTGTCCATCTTTGTCTCTTTTAACCACTGTTTCTTTAAAATTTGTTTTGTCTGATATAAGAATAGCTACCCCTGTTTTCTTTTGGTGTCCATTTGCATGAAATGCCTTTTTCCATCTCTCCACTTTTGAGTCCTTATGTTAAGTGAGTCTCCTGAAGACAGCAGATAGTTGGTGAGTTCTTGTCCATTCTGCAGTTCTGTGTCTTTTAATTGGAGCATTTAGGCCATTTCCATTCAGTGTTAGTATTGAAATGTGATGTACAATTACATTCATCATGCTCTTTGTTGTCTGCATACTTTGGTGTTTTTTTTTGGGGAGGGAAGGTGAGGGGAATGGAGTCGTGCTCTGTCTCCAGGGTGGAGTGCAGTGGCTTGATCTTGGCTCACTGCAACCTCCACCTCCCAGGTTCAAGCGATTCTCCTGCCTCAGCCTTCTGAGTAGCTAGGACTACAAATGTGCACCACCACGCCCAGCTAATTTTTGTATATTTAGTAGAGATGGGGTTTCACCCCCATGTCTAGAAATTCAATGGCAATAAATATTGTTGCCCACATATTAAAATCCAATATCCAGGACCAATTTTAAATTCAATGGTATTGGATAGCAGAGCTACAGACCCAGAAATGTAAAATATGTTCTAAATATTCTAAAGGTTCTATCAGAAAACAGTATTTTGAAATTAAATATGTAGAAGCTTTCATAATATTTTCTCTACTGAACATGGTACTAGGTTGCTAACTGGAGAATCCCAGCAAGTCATATTACTTTTTTCTAACAAAACAGGCCTTGCTGTCTCTAACCCTGATCTGATCTCCTGCCTTGAGCAAATAAAAGAGCCCTGGAATGTGAAGAGACATGAGACAGTAGTCAAATACTCAGGTAGGTAAGCATGAATGAAGCCGATAACACAGATGACAGGTTCAAAGGTCAAAAAGAATGCCAGACTTTAAAATGTGATATGGGATGCTCTGCTTCAGTGGAAAGATTTCCTAAAAAGCCTTTTTTTTTCCTCTAGCTCTGAAGTAGGAGCATTTTTGTCCCATACCCTTAAATTATTTCTAAGGACTCTACTTCCTATTTAGTGATTTTCCTTTGAGGGTACCATGAGAACTAAACTCCTCTTTATGGCTTATAAGGTACTGCATGATATACCTGCTCTTCCATTGCTTCGGGGGAATATAAAAATATCTCGAGTATTTTTGAGGAACTGCATGTTAGATTATTTCTCAAATTTTCCCATCATGTCTGAAATGTATGAGAGCAGTGGTGATATTAAGATTTGTTTCAGAAATCTCAGGAACATCAATGACAGAGGTTACTTATTTCTCTATTTTCTGTTTTTAATATTAGCAATCCTAACTCAAGTGATAGCTCATTATTGTTTTCATTTGCAGTTGCCTGTTGTTAGGTGATATTGACCACTTTTTTTATATACCTATTGGTCATGTGTATATATTTGCTGGCAAAATATTTTTTGAATCTTTTGACCATTTTTCTGTTGGGTTTTTATTGTTATACTTGCCTTTGCTTTGAATTTCCTGTATATTTTGAATATTAAGCTTTTCTTGTATATATGGTTTGCTATTGTGAGCATGCAATAAACATTCAAGTATAGGTATCATTTTCTTATAATAAACTATTTTTCTTTGAGTAGATACCCAATGATGAGACTTTTAAATCAAATGGTAGTTCTATTTATAGTTGAGACTGAGCATTTTTGTCATATGTGTGTTGGCTATTTGCATGTCTTTATTGAAAAATGTTTACTAATGTTATTTGCCCATTTTTCAATGGGATTCTTTATTATTATGATATTTTTGAGTTGTTTGAGTTACTTGTAAATTCTGAATGTTAGTTTCATTTTGGCACATAGTTTGCAAATATGTTCATTTATTCTGTAGGTTGCCTATTTACCCTGTTGATTATTTTTTTTGCTGTGCCAAAGCTTTTTAGTCCCGTTTGTCTATTTTTAATAATAATATAATAAATAATAATACAATAATAGTTTTCTTTGTTGTGTCCTTGCCTAATGTTGGTATCAGGGTGAAACTGACCTCAGAGTGACTTAGGAAGAATTTCATTTTTGGGAAGAGTTTCAAGAGGATTGTTATTCAAATACATTTGGTAGAATTTGGCTGTGCATTTTTCTAGTCCTAAGCTTTTCTTTGTCAAGACATTTTTAATTACTGACTCAATCATGCTACTCATTATTGGTTTGTTCAGGTACTCTATTTCTTTCTGGCTCTATCTTGGGAGGTTGTATGTTTCCATAAATTTATTTACTCTAAGTTTTCAGGTTTGTGAGTGTCTAGTTGTTTATAATCATTTCTAGTGATCTTTTGTATTACTGTTGTATCCATTGTAATGTCTATTCTTTCATTTCTGATTTTGTTTATTTAGATCTCTCTTCTGTTTGTGATGAATCTAGCTAGCAATTTATCAATTTTGTCTTTTTGAAAAACCAACTCTTTATTCTGTTGATAATTTTTATTGTTTTGGTTTTTATTTCATTTGGTTCTGTTCTGATTTTTGTTATGATTTTCTTCTAACTTGGAATTTGTTTTTTTATTAATATTCTAGTTCCTCGAAGTGTGATGCCAGGTCCTTAATATGTAAGCTTTCTACTTTTTTGATGCAGGCATTTAGGCTATAAACTGCCCTCTTAGTACTATATTTACTGTATCTCACAGATTTTATTATACTGTGTTTCTATTTCCATCTTTTTTCCCACAAAGTTTTAAGTTTCATCTTAATATTATTTTTGAGATGGGCTTTACTCTGTCACCCAGGCTGGAATGTAGTGGCACAGTCTTGGCTCACTGCAACCTCCACCTTCCAGGCTCAAGCGATCTTTTTATCTCAGCCTCCTGAGTAGCTAGGAACATAGGTGCGCACCACCACATCTAGCTATTTTTTTGTATTTTTGGTAGAGATAGTGTTTTGCCATCTTGCCCAGGCTAGTCTCAAACTCCTGACCTCAGGTGATCCACCTGCCTCAGCCTCCCAAAGTGCTGGGATTACAAGTGTGAGTTACCACCCCTGGCCATCCATGTTAATTATTTCGTTTACACAGTGACTGTTCATGAGTATGTTGTTTAAATTCTTTGTAAATTTATAGTTTCTGAAATTTTTATTGCTATTGATTTGTAGTTTTATTCTGTGGTCAAGGTAGTTAATATAATTTTGTTTTGGGGGTACTTTTTTGATTTGCCAACTCTTCTATCTCAGTGGTCTCTCTAATGCTGTGAGTAGAATGTTACATTTTTCCACTATTATTGTATTACTATCTGTCTCTTTATATAGGTTTAATAATATTTCTTTTTAAAATCTGGGTGTTTTGATGTTGGGTGCGTGGATATTTAGAATTGTTATATCCTTTCACTGAAATGATTTCTTTATTATTGGGTGATGACCTTTATCCTTTTTGTTACTGCTTTTTATTTGAAGTCTGTTTTATTTGATGTAAGTATAGATACTCCAGTTTGCTTTTGGTTTCTGTTTGTGTTACTGTCTTCCACCTTTTACTTTTAATCTACATGTGTCTTACAAGTAAGGTGAGATTCTTGTAGGCAACATACAGTTGGATCATTTTTTCTTATTCATTTCATAAATCTATGCATTTCAATGAAGGATTTCATTGATTTATATTCAAGGTTAATATTAATATGTAAGGTTTTGTTACTCTCATAATGTTAATTTTTTTCTTTTTATCTATCTTTGTGGTTTAATAAAGTTCTGTCATGTTGTAATTTGATTTATTTCTTTTTCTCTTTTGTTTTATAAGACCTGTTAGTTTTATACTTTTATATGTTTTAATGATGGTGAATATCAAACTTTTTTTTTATATTAGAAATCCCTTGAACATCTTTTGTAGGCCCAGTCTAGTGGTAATTAGTCAGGGTAAGATTTTATATCTTTTTCATCTGTGAAGGTTAATCTAGCTTGATGTAAAATATTTGGCTGGCACTTTTCTTTCAACACTCTAAATGTGCCATCTCATTCTCTTCTAACCAGTAAAGTTTCTGCTGAGAAGTGTGCTTTTAGTCTGATGGGGTTTTCTTTATTTTATAATTACTTCTTTCACTTTCACTTTAGATATTCATCATGTGCCATGATGAAGTCTGTTTTGCAATGTATTTTGCTGGTGATTGCTGAGCTTCCTGTATATGTATGTCTAATTCTATTGGTAAAGTTGGGAAGTTTTCATCAATTATTTTCTTACATAGTTGTTCTAAACTTTTTGATGTGTTTTATTTCTCAGAAACACTGATAATTTTTAAGTTTATTCACTTTAGTCGCAAACATCTCACAGTCTTTGTTTATTCTTTTCTCCTTATTTTTGTCTGAGTAGATTTTTTATAAAAACCTCTTTGATGGCAGTCTTACACTGCTAGGGTCATCAGAAAGGAAAGGAAAGGGAAATAGAAGGGAACCGCCAAGTGGGTATTGAAGCAAAAAGAGCTACAAGGCAGGACCCTCCATTAGAAATGCTTATAGAAGGACCACCTAGTATGGGCTAATCCCCTCTGGGAAACCAAGCCCCAGTACTCAGCAGAAGAAATAGAATGGGGAACCTCATGAGGACATAGCTTCCTCCCCTCAGGATGGCTAGCCACCAAAGAAGGAAAAATACTTTCACCTGCAGCTAACCAATGGAAATTACTTAAAACCCTTCACCAAACCTTTCACTTAGGCATTGATAGCACCCATCAGATGGCCAAATTATTATTTACTGGACCAGGCCTTTCCAAAACTACCAAGCAGATAGTCAGGGCCTGTGAAGTGTGCCGAAGAAATAATCCCCTGCACTGCAGGCCATACATTTCAATCCCTGTATCTTTAACCTCCTTGTTAAGTTTGTCTCTTCCAGAATCAAAGCTGTAAAGCTACATTCTTCAAATGGAGCTGCAGGTGCAGTCCATGACTAAGATCTACCACGGACTCCTGGACTGGCCTGCTGGCCCATGCTCTGATGTTAATGACATCGAAGGCACCCCTCCTGAAGAAATCTCAACCGCACAACCCCTACTATGCCCCAGTTCAGCAGGAAGCAGTTAGAGCGGTCATTGGCCCACCTCCCCAACAGCACTTGGGTTTTCCTGTTGAGAAGGGGGACTGAAAGACAGGACTAGCTGGATTTCCCAGGCCAACTAAGAATCCCTAAGCCTAGCTGGGAAGGTGACCGCATCCACCTTTAAACACAGGGCTTGCAACTTAGCTCACACCCGACCAATCAGGTAGTAAAGAGAGCTCACTAAAATGCTAATTAGGCAAAAACTGGAGGTAAAGAAATAGCCAATCATCTATTGCCTGAGAGCACAGTGGGAGGGACAGTGATCGGGATATAAACCCAGGCATTCGAGCTGGCAATGGCAACCCCCTTTGGGTCCCCTCCCATTTTATGGGAGCTCTGTTTTCACTCTTAAATCTTGCAACTGCAAAAAAAATCAAAAAACAAAACAAAAGAAAAAAATCCTCTTTAAAGGTCTGAAAATTTGGGCCATGCACGGTGGCTCACACCTGTAATCCCAGCACTTTGGGAGGCCAAGGTGGGTGGATCAGCTGAGGTCAGGAGTTCAAGACCACTCTGGCCAGCATGTTGAAACCCCGTCGCTACTAAAAATACAAAAATTAGCTGGGCATGGTGGCAGGTGCCTGTAATCCTGGCTACTCAGGAGGCTGAGGCAGGAGGATTGCTTGAACCCAGGAGGCAGAGGTAGCAGTGAGCAGAGATTACACCGTTACACTCCAGCCTCAGCAACAGAGTGAAACTCTGTCTCAAAAAAAAAAAAAAAAAAAGGCTGAAATTCCTTTTATGCCTGTTTCAGTCTATTGTATTGTTGAATCTTTGAATGTATTTTCTTTTTCCTTCAATCTTTCAGTTTCACAATTTTTGTTTTGGTTTCTTTTAAAAGATATCCATCTCCTTGGCACATTTCCCACTTATACTCTAAATTTATTTATTTATTTTTGATTTGGTTTTTGGGTTTCTCTCACATCTCTTTGAGCTTCTTTTAAATATATATTTTGAAGCCTTTTTAAGGTCTTTTAAAGTAATTTCAATGATTTTTTTTTCTTAGAATACTGGAGGATTATTGTGTTCCTTTGAAAGTGTCATAAACCGTGCTTTTCTGTGTTTCCTGTGTCTTTGTGTGTCTTTTTGTTGATTTCTGTACATCTAGAGAAACAGTTCCTTCATTTTATTTTTGAATTTACGTTCATTTGAGAAAGCTTTTTTTTTTTTACGTTATTACCATGATGTTTATTGCATAGAGCCATTTGGCTTTACTTTTGGGTTTGTGCATAGGAAAGACTCTGTGTAAGTTTCTCGAGTATAAATATAATATATATATATACATATATATATATATATATATATATATATATATATATATATATATAAAACCAATGTTTTACTGGCTTAGGAGTCATCTTTTCTCTTAGGTTGATTTTTAATTCTAAGTCTCAGAAAATAATTTATCTATTTTGTGTTGGTCATTGAGGGCCAGCACTCCTGACGTAAAAGGGTGAGAAGGTAGGATGGTGGTGTATGATGACAGATTACTTAATAGTTATAATGTACATTGAGTGATGGATACCCTAAAAGCCCTGACTTTACCACTATGCAATCTATGCATGGAACTAAATTACACTTGTACCCAACACATTTGTATAAATAAATTAAAAACATCCACTATTTGGGTTTGCTATCTTGCTTATTCATACATAAAAATACATTATAAATGTTTCCTTTGACATTATTATTGTTACAGGAGTTGAAATTATTTAGGCAGATAGAGCAAAAAAGTCATTGGTAAAGTTTTCTTTTTAATAAAAAGAAGTCCACAAATTATGGTTTTTTTTTTTGTTTGTTTGTTTTGTTTTGTTTTTTTTGTTTTAACAAAGAGCAGCCTGTAAAATTGAGCTGCAGACATAGATAAGCAAGCTGGAATCTTGCATGAATAAATGCCGGCAGCTGTGCTGCAGCTTGCTCTGCAGTGAACACCAAGAAATAAGTATTCAGACAATTACAGCTGAAAGGGAGGGGAGCAGCTCCTCCAAGACAGTGCTGCTTTAAGATTCATCTGCCAAGTATTTATTGAGAAGGCTAGTTGAACTACAATTTAGACAAACAAGAAACATCTACAAGGTGGCTATTTGGGGTCGGGTCATGAGGCACATATGGCCTTGTTTATAACATCTAAAAGCACTCAAACCACATTCTTAGGAGGCTGTGTTCAGCACTCCTTATTACAAATTCTATTCCTTGTCCTATTTTCAGGGTCAAGGAATTACAGTTTCATGCACAAACAACATACACACAGTGCCTCAGTATTTTTCCATGCCTCAACCTCAAATGCCTTGTACATAAGCTTGAATGTATTGTCATACACCCCTCACATTTCCCCCTTCTTTAATTCTTAGAACATGCGGATTATCCAATGCAAAGTAAGCTTCTATCATTCTTCCCTGGTCATAGTTGGTTGAGTGGCAGCACAGAGCCATTTGCAGATGCCTAAAAGATACAAAAAAGGATAAACAGTGGCTATCACCCAAATTTGTATGTTTAGCCCAGACAACCAAGTATTTGGGTTCAACCACTGAAAGTCTTGTAATAACTGAAGGGTGTTTGTAATTGCTGCAACCATCGCTTAAACTGTTTATTTAATTCACACTAACGAGTAGAAACTCGAGAAGACAGGTGGTCGCCGTAAGCCCTGTGTAGGTGTGCCTTCACTCTCTCCCAGGTATATTGGGAGCTATTATATGGCATAAATGTGACACAGATGGAATTATATTGCTAATCACAATGTAAATTTTGACAAGTAACGAATGCCTGCTGTGGATCCCCTAGCCATTCAGTGGCAGCTTCAAGGGCCTCTAGGTGAGATAAAATATTTTTATCAGTATTTACATGTTTTTGAAATTCATGGATTACATTGTATACCATGTGGTTCACCACTGAGGCTGTATGAATAGATTCCGTCAAAGAGACAGCTGCAGTAGTAGCAGTTGTTAGTATAATAATAGCTGAAACTAAAAAGGCAATTAGAGTGGCCAGAAATTTTTTTTTTTTTGAGTATGAGACAATGCTTTTCTAAATAACTGCAAGATAGAATCCCCTTTCCAGTTCCGGGTTGGATATACAGGGAGCCACAATCCTGACCACCACTTTAAAATAATGACATAGGGCCGGGTGTGGTGGCTCACACCTGTAATCCCAGCACTTTGGGAGGCTGAGGTGGGCAGATCACAAGGTAAGGAGTTTGAGACCAGAATGACCAACATGGTGAAACCCTGTCTCTACTAGAAATACAAAAACTAGTTGGGCGTGGTGGCACATGCCTGTAATCCCAGCTACTTGGGAAGCTGAGGCAGGAGAATCGCTTGAACCCAGGAGGCAGAGGTTGCAATAAACTGAGATCACACCACTGCACTCCAGCCCATGTGGCAGAGTGAGACTCTGTCTCAAAAAAAAAAAAAAAAAATCATGACATAGTTTATAATTGTGTAATGTTTTGATGAGACAAGCATGTAGCGTATCAACTACTGGAAGAGACAGTAATACTATAAAAGGATTGATTCTGTTCTGTGTTAGGAATATCCTGCGCAAACAAAAGTATATAAGGGTGTATAGCACAAATCAGGACTGTATCAGTAACATTATTGTGCAAGGAGAGGGTGTAGTTGTGACCGCTATAAATGTAATCACTTTTATTATGAAAGAACCCATTCAAAAAAGGGAAGACCTAGTTTCCAAATTTGGGTATGAGCAGGGCTTAAAACTTATTCCCCTTTTGATTGTAATATTCATCCTGAAATCCCATACTCTGACCAGGTGATGGAACTATTGGATGGAGTCCCAAATCCAATAGTCTGATTTGCAGACATGAGATATCCATGGGGTCCCCAGTCAAGTAAGGTGCCATTATCAAACAGAGGTCCTTGATGCGGCACAGGTTGTCTGCATGGGGACCACTGGACAGCCTCAAACTTATGTCGCCAGTCTTTTCTCAGATGGCATATCAGAAGATCAGGCATTTGTATAATTTCATTAGAAACCTCAGTAAGATTACTGGTAACAGCAGAAATAAAAGTCAAGTTTGCAGGCTTAGCATCCCTTTTGGGCTGATAGTAAAGATACTCCTGAGGAATGAGAGTAATACACTTAGGTGCCCATGTAGAGAAACAGAGAGGAGGATTGCTAGACAATAAAGTCAAGGAGTCATTAAGTTTAATCCATCCCAAATTTCCAGTTAGGGAGTAAGACAGGGGCATCCATCGACCTCCCATCCAAGAAGTATTATAAGATGACAAAGGCGGGTCAGCATCCCACCACATAATAACATTGAAAATTGAGGGATTCAGAACATGACTCCAATAAACATGTTCTTGAGCTAAGCCCAGTTGGCAAAGAACAAGAATTACCAGCCACCCCAACATCCATGTCTGTCTTACCTTCTCAGAAGCTCCCCCAATTACCATCAGATACATAAGAAACTGGTTCTCTGCAGTTTCAGGGGCTCCCATAGATGCAAGCCAGATAGTTCCCTGTTGGTCCAGTTTCTTTAGCTGTCCCCAGGTAATGTCAGGTGCCTTCCAAGTTATCACTGTCAGTTTTGGTCGATTCTCCAATGACAGGTCCTTCATCATCAGGAGGGGCTTTTTCAGTAGTCTCTAACTCATATTATGGCTTCACTCATTTTATGGGGATCCACTCTAGTCCTGTAGTTCATGAAATACAAACCGCACCTTGACCCCATTGCAATGCCTCATAAAGTCCCTCCCAATTCCCTGTACAAATGTCTCGAATTAACACCTTTCATTTTGTGACCTCAAACAGCTTCATCCTATGACCAATAGCCATCTGGCCATCTTATCCAATATTCAAAAAATGAAGAGTAAATAAAATTTTTGCTCATTCTCGAGGAGAGAGCTCCCATATTCCCCCCTTTTCATTTATTAAGATATGCTTTAAGGGTTTGATGAGCTTGTTCAACAATGGCCTGACAGGTTGAGTTATAAGAACTATCAGTTTTGTGTTGTATGTGCCAAAGTTGCAATGCATATAAAAAGCTAGTGCTAAGATAGCAAGGACCATTATCAGTTTTAATAGTCTGTGGAGGGCCTAAGGTCATAATAGATTCAAAAAGATAAGCAATTGCATCTTTAGTTTCTTCTCCAGTCCATGGAGTCACATATATGAGGCCCATATAAGTGTCCACAGTAACATAGAGAAATTTAAAGCATCCAAAAGGTGGATGCTGAGTAATACCAGTTTGCCAGGTAGCATTAGGTACCAGACCTTATGGGTTGGCACCAAGTCCCAATGAAAAAAGGGAGAGAGAATGCTGTTGGCAATCAGGACAAGTTTTAATAATCATGCAAGCTTGATCAAGTGTTAAATGAAACTTGTTTAAGACTGTAGGCAGACTGGGCACAGTGGCTCACACCTGTAATCCCAACACTTTGGGAAGCCGAAGTGGGTGGATCACCTGAGGTCAGGAGTTTGAGACCAGCCTGACCAATATAATGAAACCCTGTCTCTATTAAAAATACAAAAATTAGCTGGGCATGATGGCATGAGCCTGTAATCGCAGCTACTCAGGAGGCTGAGACAGGGGAATCGCTTGAACCTGGGAGGTGGAGGTTGCAGTGAGCCGAGATCACATCATTGCACTCCAGCCTGGGCAACAAGAGTGAAACTCCATCTCAAAACAAAAACAAAAACAAAAGACTGTGAGCATTCTGATGAAAAAAGGAATGATCAGCTTGAGCTCACAAATATGCAGGACAGTCTGCAAACCTCATCTGTGTTTGTACCAGAGCATCAGCTGGAGTGTTCCCTGCTGACAAGGGACCAGGTAGCCCAGAATGAGAGCGAATATGTGTGATATAAAAAGGGTGATGATGGGGACAAAGGAGCTCCTGTGTTGTGAGAAACAGGGTTAGTAGGGGTTCATTAGTAATGCCTTTTAGATGTGTGAGATCTAAATGAGTAATACTATACACCGCATAAGTGGAATCACTAATTATATTCATGTCTTGGTGAGGAAAAGTTTGTAACACCAATATTAGGGCACCTAACTCAGCCTATTGAGTAGTTTTGAAATGTTCCTGGATTTTGTGCTGCCAATTTTGCATGGCATCTTGCCACACTATAGCTGACTTTCCCATTTTCCTTGAACCATCTGTAAAGACAGTAGTGGTGTGAAGCAAGGGCTCAGAGACAACAATACATGCAAATTTAACAGGCACAGTTTGTAAAAAGTTCAGGAGCTTAGAGGCTGGTAAATGGAAACTAATATTACCAATAAAGTTGATCATTGCAACTTGCCAATCAAGATCACAGGCTAAGAGAGTATGAAATTGTTCCTTGCTTAAAGGTAAGAAAAGAGTAGTAGGGTCATATCATGACAATTGGATGCAATGTCGGCATCCCGTTGTGAGAAGCTATTAAATCTGTGGTCTTTTGTATGTGTTTAGGGAGGGGGTTACAAGACAGGTAAAGCTGCCCCAAAGGAGAAACATTTGTTCCAACTTGCCCAAGCATTCCTGTAGGACTTTGAGGGGTATTAAAGATCAAAAGATGTATAGGTCTGTCAGGATCTAGACCCAATATACACCTTTGGGTCAAGGCTTGCTCCACAGCATTAAGCTCAGCCTGTTCCAGCCAAGAGAGGTCTTGCAGTGAATTTAAAGCAGAGTCACCTTTCAGGGTGTCAAAAAGATTAAAGTAATTTGTAGGAATGCCTAAATAGGATCATATCCAACTAATCTTTCCTAGGACTCAATATCATGTATTAAGGGTTAAGTGCTGTGGAAGAATTAATTCTGTAAGTTGTGGCCTGAGGGTAGTAGATAAGAGCCACAGAGTATATAGAGCCACAGAGCCATCAGCTGGACTTTTTCTTGTGCAATAATGAGACCATATAGTGACATATGCTGTACTACCATTGCATGAAGTTGATGCAGTAATGACTGATGCTGAGCAGCTACCAAAATATCATCCATATAGTGGAAAATTTTTGCCTAGGGGAAGGATTGATGCACAGGAAGTAAGCCTTCATGTACGTAAAGCTGACATATAGTAGGGCTATTCATGATCCCTTGGGGTAGAACTGTCCATTGGTGACATTAAACTGGTTGCAGAGTATTGTAAGTGGAAACAATAAAAGCAAAATTTTCTCGATCTTCGGGATGCAAGGGTATGGTTAAAAAAAAAATCCTTTAGGTCAATTAAAATAAGAGGCCAGTCTTTGGGGATCATAACTGGAGAAGGTAATCCTGGTTGCAAAGGCCCCATAGGAAACATTACAGCATTAATAGCACAGAGGTGATGCAATAACCTCCACTTTCCTGACCTTTTTAGAATGGTAAAATAGGAGTGTTCCAGGGACTAGTAGTAGGCTCAATGTGGCCCGTGTCTAGTTGTTCTTGTACGAGACATTGGATGTGTTGCAATTTTTCCTTCTTAATGGGCCACTTCTCCACCCATAGCAGGCTAGTAGTTTTCCACTTGGTTTTGATACTTTTCAAAGGAGCAGTGGCCCCTACCAAAAAGGGGGCAGGACAGAGAGGTTTAAGCCCCACTGTTCTAGGCCATCTCATTACCACAGAGAAAATAGAATCTCTTAAGATAAAGGGCTGAACATGGGTGACCTTGCCTTCCGGGCCCAAAAGTGGAAGAATATGCCTACTTTTTAATGGCTGTTGATACCCTCCAACACCCATGACAGAACATCAGGCAGGAGAGGCCCAATCTGAAGGCCACTGTCTTTTAGCTATTATAGTTTGATGAGCCCCCATGTCAACAATTCTCATAAACATAACTCCATTAATTGTTACTTCTAAGTATGGTCTATGACATGACACTGGAGTACTCCAAAAAACCTTCATGCCTGAGTGGCCGAATCCTGAGGCCCCACAGGTCTGTTGAACATTACTTGAAGGTAAGGAGTAAGAATAATCTGAGCAAGGCAAGTCCCTTTAGAGATGGCATGGACCCCTGACACCTGTGCCATAACTTTAATTTCTGCTAAATAGTCTGAATCTATGACTCCAGAGAAAATTTGAATTCCTTGAAGTGTACTTCTGATAATCAATCCAAACGTTCCTCTGGGTAATGGGCCATAGATTCCAGTAGAAATCAGCTGGACCCCATCTTGCTCTTTAAGCACCATATCTGATATGACTGTGAGGTCCAGCCCTGCGCTGCCAGAGGTGGCTGAAGAGAGGTTATGGATGCTATTTCTGGTCCTGACTCAGAGGGGAAAGTCATTCCCCAAGTCTGGGAATTGGTGTTCCTCCATGGATTTTTCTGGGCATTGGAGGTCTTGCCCCTCTTCCCGTTTCCCAATAATGGGTTTCATCCTTATCAAATTTTGAATTTCACTGATTAGCCCAGTGCTTACCTTTGCTGAATCGCAGGCATTCTTGAGAGGGTATTTTAGGGGCCTTTGATTTCTTTGGGACTCCCTTCTGTTGGCATTCTTTGGCCATATGCCCAGTTTGGCCACAATTATAACATGTGGCCCCAGTCATCACTGCAGCAAAAGTCTGAGCCAGATAAGTTGTAAGTGCCTACATTCTGGCACGTTTTAATAAACACACCGATTTCAGTGGCAGTGGCTCAGACTAGGGTTATTGCTGCCTGACAATCCTTATTGCATTTTCAAAAGCCAATTGCAACATAAGAAGTTTAGCGACTTCAGGATGAGGTACCTGTCTTTCAATTGCAGCCTGCAATCGGTTGATAAATTCAACATATGTTTCTGTGGCACCCTGTTTAACCATCACAAAGGAACTCTGGAATTGTCCCATGAGTATCCTCTTCCATGCCTGTATCGCTAGCTGTGAGCATTGAGGAAATAGACGGCCATCCACCTGAGCCTAAGCCTGAGCTGAAGCAAAAGGCCCTGTCTCCAACAGCATACATATCAAGCTGTATCAGGATATTATCCAAATTTTGCAAGGATTGCTGCATGGCTAGATCACTGTACTCTCTCCACCACACAGTATATTCAGCAGCTGAAGCCAAAACTTTTCCCAGAGTTTTCCAGTCATGCACAGCCATCTCATAACCATTTCCCAGAGCCTCAACCATCCCCTGCGTAAAGGGTGAATGTACACCATTTTTGCAGATACTTCTTTTTAATTCCTTAAAGACAATAAAAGGCAAGCGCTCATGCCGTCTCCTATTATTTTGAACAATGACAGGGAATGCACTAAAAAGCGCCTCAGGATCTTCCTTCCTCAGTCCCTCCTGGAGGCATCCTTCTAGTAGGGAGGTTTTTTGAGGGGACACGGCCATCCAGTCATATAAATGTTCACTGCCTGGAGGTCTTATCCAAGAACAGTCCCTTGGACGGCCTCCAATCTACTCAAGGGGGATGGGAGGTGCTATTGCCTGAATGGGGCCAACAGATGCAGGTCGTGTGAAGGGTGGAGGAAAAGAGGGCAATGGCTTTTCTATTGAGAGAGGAAAAGGCTCCAGTCCGTCCTCATCATCACTAGAAAAAGTGTCTTCTTTATGCCCTACTGAAGGGAGTGAAGTTGGGGGAGGAACTCCTTCCTGTTGTTCTGCTTTCTGTGTCCCCTTTTCCTTTAAATTTTCCGAATTCCCTTCAGGTGAAGAAAATGGGCAATCTGACTCACCACGATCTGGCATATAAAGAGGGTACAACACAGAACATGCCAGACTCCAGGTGATCAAAACGGTAACATTAGTAAAATGGACCTGCTCAAATCCTCTTTTCAGGCAGCAATCTGCCTGCTCCCATAACTCTAAGTCTAATGTTCCTTGGTCAGGGAACCAAGGGCATTCCTGCCGAATTAAAAACATAAGCTTATGCAAAGCTTCAGACTCTATGGTGCACTGAATAACCTTAAGTAAATGTTGCACCGTTTTAAAAAATACTTTCTGCTCTTTGGACAACTCCTGATCCATGGTAACCCGACCCCTGGTATTATAGACGTCGGTGCTGTCCTCCTGAAAATGGGTAGGGACTGTCCCTTACCGGTATTCCCCGAAGATTGGTGAGTCATCCTACTCCATGCATAACTTCAAGGCAATCACGTCGGAGTCACCACTTGATCATGTCCGAGTCACCACTTGATCACGTCCGAGTCACCACTTGCAGCTTGTTCTGCAGTGAATGCCGAGAAATAAATATTCAGACAATTACAGCTGAACGGGGAAGGGAGCAGCTCCTCCAATGGAGTGTTGCTTTAAGATTCATCCGCCAAGTATTTATTGAGAAGGCTTGTTGAACTACAATTTAGACAAACAAGAAACATCCACCAGGTGGCTATTTGGATTCGGGTCATGAGGCACATATGGCCTTGTTTATAACATCTAAAAGCACTCAAACCACATTCTTAGGAGGCTGTGTTCAGCACTCTTTATCACACATTCTGTTCCTTGTCCTGTTTTCAGGGTCAAGGAATTACAGTCTCATGCACAAACAACATACACACAGTGCCTCAGTATTTTTCCATGCCTCAACCTCAAATGCCTTGTACATAAGCTTGAATGTATTGTCTTACAACCCCCACGCTATGCCAGTAGGAAAAGGGGTTGCCTGGGGACTATGCCTGTTCAAAATGGTGGCTCCATCTTCCCTTTTCTTTGTAAACCACATGTACAGTAACAACCAAGAAAGGGTGAAATTAAAGTAAAACTTTTGATTGTTGACTTGTCAAACTGGATTTGTATGGATTAATAGGTCTAGCACAGGTAGAAGAGAGACAAATACTTCTGGTTTATCTGATTTAATGCAAATACAGGCAAACCTGGCTAAGAAATGCTTTTCACCAAAGTTTGTCTGCAATTTGAACGCTGTAGGTTAAACTTATTTAAAAGTACTCTGGACAGATTCACTTGTAATATAAGCATGTTGTAGTTTCTGGTGTTTAGGACTGATTTCTGTTTATTTAGTTTTCTGAAGAGACACAAGAGACAGCCCTAGCTACTATCAGACTTCCTAGAGACAAATTGGGCAAATGAGCCCTACAAAATTCCATTTACTTTAAATATAATAAATAATAATCTCTAAACATAAGAATTTGACCAGCGTTAACCACTTTACTTTCCCAATGCACTGATACTTCTCCTTTTTTCTTAGCATAACACAAAACAAACACATGACCACACACTATCCACTCTCCAGTGCAGATCAGAGTAACAAAGGCACAAAGCAAGCTTCAGAACACACAGACCACCATGTTCACCACATCTACATTTAGAGCTGATTAAGAAGAGAAGCAAAATCAATGAGAAGCTGACATTAGTGACTACCCTGTTTTCAGCACCTATTGTCACAAGAAGACCAAACACTCTCATTTTAAGTCAGAGCATTCACTTTTTTGGAAAAAAAAAAAAAAGTAACTTTACAGCATATATCCTGATCTCTCACTCTTTGCAAGATGACACTGGCTTTGGGCATATTACAGACACCCTTAAGACACATCGCCTGGCCTGGCTTACCTGATACAATTTTTAATTTCTCTGAAGTAAACTCAAATTTTAAACATGTATTTCTTTATTAACTTATTTCATTAATTTCCTCGGGGACTTAACAGAAAATATATTCAATTTTCATTCACTTAATCTTACCACAATAGATGGTGTAACATATCCAGAAGACAGCCATATGTAAGACATGCCCATACTCCGAAGCATGGAAAGCTTAACACACCAGGGACTTGAGGAATCAACACTATAACAGTGCAAATACACAAATATTTAAGGAAAAATACGTCACCCAACAGACAGCATCTGTGGTCACCACTATCCAGCATTCTCCAAAATAAGTAGCTGTTAATGGCTTATCTAAAAGTTGGCTTATATATAATTGTCACCACAAATTGGTTCTGAACATAATTTAGATTCCAATTTTTGATATTAACAACACAGTAATTATCTGGTAAGATATATTTATAGCTAACTTGTAATTAGACTTATGAATGCACGCATATGCCTTGGGTCACAGTGAGAGAAAAACTCTTGAGTTATTTGTAGAGTACCTTAAGATTTACATTTTCAAAACATGTCCTTAAGCTTAGTTTTAGAAGTATTCTTCCCAGCATCTCTTCACCAAACTGTATCAGTTTTATTTATTTATTTATTTATTTATTTTTGAGATGGAGTTTTGCTCTTGTAGCCAAGGCTGAAGTACAATGGCACAATCTCAAATCACTACAGCCTCTGCCTCCTGGGTTCAAGCAATTCTCCTGCCTCAACCTCCCGAGTAGCTGGGATTACCGGCATGCACCACCATGCCCAGCTAATTTTTTTGTATTTTTAGTAGAGATGGAGTTTCACCAAGTTGGCCAGGCTGGTCACGAACTCCTGACTTCAGGTGATCCACCTGCTTCTGCCTCCCAAAGTGTTGGGATTACAGGCGTGAGCCACCACACCCAGCAACAATTTTAATTTTAATAACTGAGGAGTGGGGAGGGCTTTTTAAAGTTTTATTCCTTTCTATTCAGTTTATCTTATCCTATACGGAAATGGAATAAAGTGTGGTGTCTGTCCTAATGATATTTATTTGTGGTGATGCAGAAATATCTACGCTCCCAAGCAAGAGATGAAAAATCATGTTCTCCCCAAAATGGGGAAACCAGTGTTACCTGGGGCCCAAAGAGATGTTCAGGCTACATCTGTCAGGATTGATACCATAAGAGAGGATCATCTCTCGAGCACAGTGGGGCTCACCTGAGATTTTGGTGAGTCATGTGGATGACATCAGAGACAAGCATTACCCAAAATTAGAGTCCCTATAAGACTTTCACATAAGATGGTCTTAGAATATGGTGGCCCAACTCACACAGAAGAGGATGGCTGTGCATCCAAGTGAGACTGATATTTTTTTCTCAGGAGCCGAAATCTTAATGTAGGAGATGGCCACTCACTAAGTAGTCGAAGCATGCCCTGATGGAACTCTCTGGTGGTCAGATTTCCCACTGTCTCCCTGAGTTGCATAAAGCACAGAACAACTTGCCTGCACTCCAGCTTCTAGCATGTACCAACTCAGCAGAAAACACATCCCTGTCTATTTTGTTTCAAAAATACTTTGTTTGCCATAAAAAAGTGAATTAATATAGTAAAAGCCCAAGGACTGCCTAGGGTAGGTAGCAGGTCTGTCATCACCAGAAGTATTTAAATGCTGGCCAGACAAATACTCTGTGGAAATAAGTTTCACTCTTTGTGAAAGGGGTAAAATAAATCTTTGTCTTGGGCACTCTCAGATTTAGTGAAGATCTTAGCATACAATAGATAAACAACAACTTCTGTTTACTAAATAAACTTTATTTTCACAGATTACAGGTGAAGCAAAATATTGATATAACTCTAAGACATTAAGGTATCACAAGACAACTTATGTTCTTTATGGGGTTTCAATTAAGAAATTACATGAAAAATAAGTCCATGAAAGGAGTTCTGATGCTCTAATTAGCATCAGAACTGCTCTGATGGGCTTAAACCATTGTGAAAGTCCTAGCTTGCTTCCTACTCAAAGTCTCTTCTCATGAATCCTATGCTTAAAAGTCAAACAGATAAAGCATCACTACATCAAACACAAACTTCAACACTCTTAACATTTAGGTGTAAATCTCATCTGAAAATCATTCAAAAGCTCAGGTCATCTACAAGAAATCTGTTCTTTGCAGTTTAGTATCAGTAAATTAAAAGGAAAGCAGGAAAATAATAAGATAAAGCCATTTAATTATTTTTGTAGGTAAGAACATAACATTGGTTTATCAGTTACATAGTATTTTCATGCTTCATCCATGCCAGGTACTTAATTTTTAACCAACTATAACACATTACAAGTGGAGAAATAGCTAAAAACATAGAAAACATATTAACTCTTTAAAGGGTAGAGAACATGCCCAGTTCATATACATTGCCTAATCTAGCATTCCAATCTTAGTAAGACACCACCATCCACCCAGCTATAAAATCTAAGATCAGGAAGTCATCTATCCCTTCCCCATACCATCCCATCATCAAGCCTCTCCTACCTCTTAAACCTCTATCAAATCCATCTGAGCTCCCGTCTCTACTGTCACTATGCTTCAGGCCACCAATGCTTTTCAATTTTTTCATAAACTAGCCTTCTAACTGATCTTATTCCAAACAGAAGGCCAATAATTATTTCCTTCTACCAGGTCTATTTACTACTATGGGTAAAAATAGTCCGTAACATTCAAATCTCACCACACTACTTTTGGGGCCAACACTTTTTACAGCTTTCCAGAGCTCCTACAAGCCTACTCTAACCCCTGCCTACTTCATCATTCCTGTCATTCCCCTCATTCAGTGTCTTTTCTTCTTCCAAACACACTGTACTTCTCCCACTTCCCTGGACACATCCACCTTTTCAACCTCAGCTTCTGTACCTGCTGTTCTCTGAAGCATTCTTTTTCTTCCTGTCACCCATTCTTCAGATATTAGCTCAAATGTCACTTCCACAGGATGCCTTCCTTGACCTGCATCCCGACATCCTCCATTCCTCTTCCATACACAAAGGCCAAACTTTACTTCATAAGTTCTTGTCATACTTTGAGCAGTTAACACTGATATAAGTGAGCTTTTCCTGGCTGGATGAGTCTCTTTCACTGTGATATGTCCTCTATGATATTAGCAACTGTCTATCTTTGCAATGCAAGTAAGTTTGGTGGTAAAGACAGAACCTTCACAAGCAGATAATCAGATATTTATGGAATAAATAAAATCTGTAAATGTGAAAAAAGAATCATGGGAATGGTAAATTTGATAGTGAAAAACTGTCTCTTAAAAAGAGGCTAGGCCGGACATGGTGGTTCACGCCTGTAATCCCAGCACTTTGGGAGGCCGAGGCGGGTGGGATCACAAGGTCAGGAGATCGAGACCATCCTGGCTAACACGGTGAAACTCCGTCTCTACTGAAAATACAAAAAATTAGCTGGGCATGGTGACGGGCACCTGTAGTCCCAGATACTCGGGAGGCTGAGGTAGGAGAATGGTGTGAACCCAGGAGGCGGAGCCTGCCGTGAGCCGAGATCGTGCCACTGCACTCCACCCTGGGTGACAGAGGGAGACTCTGTCTCAAAAAAAAAAAAAAAAAAAAAAGAGGCTAAATCTAATACAGAACTGTACTTAGAAAAATTAAATTGTAAAACTTTAATAAGCTTTTAACACAAAATGGCTCTTATAAAACTTATTTTTATAATTTAAATACAAATCAAATTCAGAGAAACACAAGTTAAGCCTCCTTTAAGTTACTTTTGGTTTAAAACTTTTGAGTGTTTTAACCAAATACATACAGATTTAACTGACCAAATCACAGAAAACCTGTTTGAGATGTTAAACCATTGTAAAACAATCCGCTGAACCAACAATTAAAAGCTCTAAAGTAAAAGATAAAATGGCCTAAAAAATCTATTTTCTGTATCATAAAGGAAAATATAGAAGCCTCCTCAGAAATAAAACTAAGTTAGAATATTATGTCTAAATGTATCTGTCAGGTATGAATCTAAATTCTAGTTAGCATGCAGCACTTATTAATTGACATTTACAGTTAGTAATGTATCCTTAATCAATTAGGATTTCATGTTGTATAAAAGACACTAAGTCACACACAATGCTAACTTTTTCTTTGTTAAAAATTTACTCTTTGAGCCCTCTCCCTCTCCCTCTCCCTCTCGGTCTCCCTCTCCCTCTCCCTCTCTTTCCACGGTCTCCTTCTGATGCTGAGCCGAAGCTGGACAGTACTGCTGCCATCTCGGCTCACTGCAACCTCCCTGCCTCGTTCTCCTGCCTCAGACTGCCGAGTGCCTGCGATTGCAGGTGCGCACCGCCACGCCTGACTGATGTTCATATTTTTTTGGTGGAGATGGGGTTTCGCTGTGTTGGCCGGGCTGGCCTCCAGCTCCTAACCGCGAGTGATCTGCCAGCCTCGGCCTCCCGAGGTGTCGGGATTGCAGACGGAGTCTCGTTCACTCAGTGCTCAATGTTGCCCAGGCTGGAGTGCAGTGACGTGATCTCAGCTAGCTACAACCTCCACCTCCCAGCTGCCTGCCTTGGCCTCCCAAAGTGCCAAGATTGCAGCCTCTGCCCGGCCGCCACCCCATCTGGGAAGTGAGGAGCGTCTCTGCCTGGCCGCCCATCATCTGGGATGTGAGGAGCCCCTCTGCCTGGCTGCCCAGTCTGGGAAGTGAGGAGCCCCTCTTCCCTGCCGCCATCCCATCTAGGAAGTGAGGAGCGTCTCTTCCCGGCTGCCCATCGTCTGAGATGTGGGGAGCGTCTCTGCCCCGCCGCCCCGTCTGGGATGTGAGGAGCGCCTCTGCCCAGCCGCGACCCCTTCTGGAAGGTGAGGAGCTTCTCTGCCCGGCCGCCCCGTCTGAGAAGTGAGGAGGCCCTCAGCCCGGCAGCCGCCCCGTCTGAGAAGTGAGGAGCCCCTCCGCCTGGCAGCCACCCCATCTGGGAAGTGAGGAGCGTCTCCGCCCGGCAGCCATCCCATCCGGGAGGGAGGTGGGGGGCAGCCCCCGCCTAGCCAGCCTCCCCGTCCGGGAGGGAGGTGGGGGGCAGCCCCCGCCCAGCCAGCCTCCCCGTCCGGGAGGGAGGTGGGGGGCAGCCCCCGCCCGGCCAGCCGCCCCGTCCAGGAGGGAGGTGGGGGGCAGCCCCCGCCCGGCCAGCCGCCCCATCCGGGAGGGAGGTGGGGGGCAGCCCCCGCCCGGCCAGCCGCCCCGTCCGGGAGGGAGGTGGGGGCCAGCCCCCGCCCGGCCAGCAACCCCATCCGGGAGGGAGGTGGGGGGCTCCTCCGCCCGGCCGCCGCCCCATCCGGGAGGTGGGGGGCGCCTCTGCCTGGCCGCCCCTTCTGGGAAGTGAGCCCCTTTGCCTGGCCGCCACACCATCTGGGAGGTGTACCCAACAGCTCATTGAGAAGGGGCCGTGATGACGATGGTGGTTTTGTGGAATAGAAAAGGGGTAAATGTGGGGAAAAGATAGAGAAATCAGATTGTTGCTGTGTCTGTGTAGAAAGAAGTAGACGTAGGAGACTCCATTTTGTTCTGCACTAAGGAAGATTCTTCTGCCTTGGGATGCTGTTGATCTATGACCTTGCCCCCAACCCTGTGCTCTCTGAAACATGTGCTGTGTCCACTCAGGGTTAAATGGATTAAGGGCGGTGCAAGATGTGCTTTGTTAAACAGATGCTTGAAGGCAGCATGCTCATTAAGAGTCATCACCACTCCCTAATCTCAAGTACCCAGGGACACAAACACTGTGGAAGGCCGCAGGGTTCTCTGCCTAGGAAAACCAGAGACCTTTGTTCACTTGTTTATCTGCTGACCTTCCCTCCTCTATTGTCCTACGACCCTGCCAAATCCCCCTCTGCGAGAAACAGCCAAGAATGATCAATTAAAAAAAAAAAAATTACTCTTGAAAAGAAAACCCATTCAAAGGGTTCACCTTGTGTTTCAGGACACCCACCTTATCTTCTGGGTATCTCTTTTATTTCTAAAAATATATGTACCTCTATTAAAGGAAAGTTAAAATTTTGATTGTGTGTATTTATAGAAGTGCTTTGTTGTTGTTTTTAACAATAAAGTACCAGGGTAAAATAACTTCCCCTAAAACAGTAAAAATGGTTCTTTTTATGAGTATGATACATAATCAATTATTATCAAGTAGGTACATTGCACATACACATATCAAGCAAGATTTATACCCTGCAGGTTTCTGGTTTTACATTCAATTTTAAAACCAAGAAATAATGGAATAAAGGAAAGTTAAATTACATATAAACCAACACTTCTATTAACTCATACCACTAGTGAAACAAAACTCTAAATAAGTAGAGAAAATGAATTCACACATTGGAGCTCTGAAATGTTCTGGGTCTTTTATCTGTGCATTTATTTTTCCCATTGAATTTAAAGTTCAAGCCAAAATCCATTAATAATGTTTAGAATTATTAAAGGCCACAGTGTGACAGATTTTAGTGCAACCAGGCATTAAGAAGCATGCTTTTCTCTTTAAGCTGAGCCAACTTTTATTTTAGAATTTCTGTAATTCAACATTCTTTCCCACCAAAACACCTAAATCTTTTTCATGTAGCTGCAAACGACTACATGACAGATGTGACAAAGTTGTTAGTTTATGTCCACTTCCTTTACTGAATGTGGAGTGAAAGGCCTTAGTTTTCAATTTACATGTGGCTCTTCTCCAAAATCTTAAAAAATCTCATGTTTATATTAGAAATCAACAGGCAAGTTCAGGCATGGTGGCTTACACCTGTAATCCCAGGACTTTGGGAGGCCAAGGCAGGCCAATCACCTGAAGTCAGAAGTTCGAGACCAGCCTGACCAACATAGTGAAACCCTGTCTTTACTAAAAATACAAAAAGTAGCCAGATGTGGTGGTGGGTGTCTGTAATCCCAGCTACTCGGGAGGCTGAGGCAGGAGAATTGCCTGAATCCGGGAAGTGGAGGTTGCAGTGTGCCGAGATTGCACCACTGCACTCCAGCCTGGGTGACAGAGCAAAACTCCATCTTAAAAAAAAGAAAGAAAGAAAGAAAGAAAAAGAAATCAACATGCAGTAGTCAGTGAGCACCAACCATGCAATTGTGCTAGGTACAAGAGATGGAAAAAATATTCCTGAGGTGGGAGAAACATGTTAACAGATAAATTACAGAAGACAGACTTGACACATGGGAGTAAAAGTCATTAGAAACAGAAGGCCTAATTATTTCTAGAAAAGGTAGTATTTGAGATGGGTCTCAGGAGAAAAGTAAATGTTCTTTGCTGGGAGAAGAAGATGGAGACACAACGAAAAGAACCCATGCAACAGCAGAGGCAGTAAATAATTATTCAGTGTGGCAGTGATGTGGAAGATAGAGACAAGAGCCAAGACTAGCAGTTTGGTTTGGAAGCAGATGAGAGTCTTTGTAAAACAAGTTAAGGGGTTTGGATTTTCCTTTTTGTAGACAACATGGTGCCAAGAGATGTCATTAGGCAGGCAAGCAATGAGAGCAGCTTTAGGCTTTGAGGATAATGCCTCTGGCAGCAAGGTGGAAGGTTAACAGCAGTAGGGAGAAACTGGTGGCAGAAAATTAAGAGGTGTTTATGACTCAGTGAGGTCCTCAGGTCAGGAGTGATTAAACAGCCCATGTCAGTGATTGAAGCATGGTTTTGAGGAGAGCCTGGTGACTGATGGACATGAGGGTGAGAGAGACATGCATCAGGACAGCCAGCAGTAATGTTCCTGGCCTAGTAGGTTGTGTGCATGGTAATCACCTTCCAGAAAGGATGGAGATTACTTTCATTTTTACAAGTACTTGGCAGGATGAGGGAATTGTACTGTGATCAGGATGACAAAAGATTACAGCTTCAGATAAGTTGTAGGTGAAAATATAGAGCTGGAGTTGCCAGTTTATAGGTTAGAGGGGAGGTCAGAAAAGCACCAGGATGCACAGGGCATTCAGCAGGAACAGAACTCACTCCCATGTATGGGACTGCAAAGGTTGCTGCAGAGAACAGGCATTGGGTACCTGGCCACTGATACCAATGGGATGCTTACAGTCTCTCCACTGATTTAAGAATTTTAGGCTGGGCACGATGGCTCATGCCTGTAATCCCAGCACTTTGGGAGGCTGAGGTGGGAGGATCACAAGGTCTGGAGATCGAGACCCTCCTGGCTAACGTGGTGAAACCCCGTCTCTACTAAAAATACAAAAAATTAGCCGGGCATGTGGCAGGTGCCAGTAGTCCCAGCTCCTTGGTAGGCTGAGGCAGGAGAATGGCGTGAACCCAGGAGGCGGAGCTTGCAGTGAGCCGAGATCACACCACTGCACTCCAGCCTGGGTGACAGAGTTGGACTCTGTCTCAAAAAAAAAAAAAAAAATTTTTAAAACAACTATTCTCAAGTGTTGCCCATGTCTCTGAGGTAAGTGGGGGCCCACACCACTTTGGGGGCAACTGTCTCCTTTCTGCAGGCAGCCCTTTCTTATCTGGAATTCAGTCTCCTCATCTTCCTGCCTTCTCCCTTGCATATCTCCTGCTTGTGTAATAGGGTGGAAAGTGGAGGGCAGGACAAAGTTCAGACCAGTGGCACTGGTTAGCTAAAAGATCACTCGTTTCATTCTACTAGACAGTTCTGGTCTGAGGCCTGGGTTCTCAGAACATAAAATTATCACTGTCTCCTTTATTGCATCCCTGTATTATCCCTATCCCTCTTAGCCAGGGCAGCTGGCTGACATCCACCCTCTCAAGAGGAGATGTATGGACAGAAGACCTGGCTCAGAAACACTGCTCTATGAAAAGGGCAGATAGTTATGTAAGAATTTTGCAAAAACTTGAGAAATTAAAATAAGGGAGACTATGAATGCAAAAACATTAACTGTCAAGCAAGTAAGAGATAATTCAAAGAATTTTTTAAAAAGATGTAGTCCACATAACTTAAATCATGAGGAAGACTGGCAGATGACAGCATCAGAGTGGATTTCCTAAATAACTGAGGAGGTGACTGGGAAAACTGAGCCACCTACCAAAACAGCTTTACAGAGCCAATGCATCTCAATTGTTGTAGAAGAAGATGAGTTCTAGAACTCTTATTTACTCTAAAGTTTTCAAATACATTGAACACCACTTAATGTTTTCCTCAATCCCAAGCTTCTTGTAAAACTTTGACCCTGCCAACCATGGCATCTTAGAGGCAGATAAAAGCTTACCTACTTTCTGGAACTTCAGATTTCTAAATATAGCACATGCAATACAGGGAATGCACTCAGTATGCTTGTGGATACAATAAAGTCCACTACTATACCTCTCAAGCAGGCTTTGTTGACTTCAGCTCTCCTGACATTTGGGGCTGTCCTATGCATTGTAATATGTGGAGCAGCATTTCTAGTGTCTGTACACTAAATGCCAGTAGCACCCTTTCCCAAAGCAAGACACTAAAAATTTTATCATTCTGTAAAGGAAATCCACAGTGGACACCCACAAAGCTTCCTGATCTCAAAACATGCCACTTTATTCCATATGTAGATTTTGAGTTTCTGGAACAGTTATTTTATCCTTATGACAATCCCATGAGGTAGAAAAGCTACTGACAAGATGCCTGTCATATTCATCAATGGCAGTGCCACCAAAGGCTAAAGTTTCATTTTAAATTCCCTTATACTTTCAAAATCAACCGAATTTATTTTGAAAAAAATATGGCCTTCTTTATTAAAAATAACAACACACATACACGGAGGTAAATAAGCAGTATACATTTAAAGCTACATTGTTTTGAGATCAAGCTGACTCTATAAAGCAGCTGTCCCATGGAGCTAAGCGGTAGTTAGGAATTGTGGATTCTGAGCTTAATTTATTGTCAGCCCTTGGGTAGATCATAAAGCAGCTATAACAGGAGTCAATATACCCACCCAACCCTAATAGTTTTGCTCTGAGTGGAAATGTGAAATCTTTGCTGAATGCTTTTGAAAAAGCGGAGTGAAAATAACTTAGTCCAGGAAGGTACAGCAAAATAAATAAGGAATATTTTAAAGTAATTAAACCACCAGAAATATCTGATATATAATCCTACCCCATTGTCTCTGAGAAAAGGGAAAAAGAGAAAAACACAAAGCAAGCTATCAAAAGCAGATACAGCTTTTAAAAGTTCTATCTAATTAACCCCACTAAGAAATTTTTTGGCTACCTGGTGTATGCCAGGCACTGTATAATGTAGGACAGTGGTTTCCAATCTTTTTGGCACCAGGGTCTGGTTTTGCAGAAGACAACTTTTCCGCACATGTGGCGGGATGGTTTCCTTTTGGGATGATTCAAGCACATTACACTTACTGTGCACTTTGTTGCTATTATGATTGCATTGTAATATATAATGAAATAATTAAACAACTCACCATAATGTAGAATCAGTGAGAGCCCTGGGATTATTTTGCTGCAACTAAATGTTCCCATCTGGAAGTGATGAGGGGCAGTGACAGACCCTAAGGCATCAGAGTCTCATAAATAGTTTGCAACGTACATCTCTCACATGCTCAGTTCACAATAGTGTTTGCACTCCTATGATAATCTAATGCTGCTGCTGATCTGTTATGCAAGTGATGGGGAGTGGCTGTGAATACTGATGAAGCTTCACTCACCCACCATTCACCTCCTGCTGTGCAGCCTGGTTTGTAACAGACCACAGACTGGTATCAGTCTGTGCCCTGGTGTTGAGGAACACTGATGTGGGGCAACTACATTGATTGATTGAGTGAGTGAGTGGGTGAGTGCAATGGCGCAATCTCAGCTCACTGCAACCTCCACCTCCTGGGTTCAAGTAATTCTTCTGCCTCAGTCTCCCAAAATAGGTGCTATTACAGGCATGTGACACTATGTTTGGTTAATTTTGTATTTTTAGTAGAGATGGGGTTTCACCATGTTGGTCAGGCTGGTCTCAAACTCATGATCTCAGTTTATTCTCCCGCCTCAGACTCCCAAAGTGCCAGGATTACAGACCTGAGCCACTGTGTTCTTCTGACAACCACATTTATTACCAGCCATTTATTACCAGGACACCTATGTTGTGCAGTGCCTGGCATACACCAGTTACTTAATAAACAGCTATTGATCTAATGCAGGACTAATAAGGTAAGGTGTATTTTTTTTCCTTCAACATGCTGTGCCTGTTTCAGATGCAAATAAGACCTCAGGAGTCGGCCTGAAGAGACTTAAAATAAAAAATGTTCCCCCAGATGGGAACATTTAGTTGTAGGAAAATCAAGCAGTCACTTGGATGGTGTAACAAGTTAGGTATGAATGTATTACCTGTGCCAGCTTAGTGAGATGCATGTTTACATCACATAACAAACACGTGTCTGCCATGCTCAGGGCTTAGAGTCTAAATTTCTGATGAGAAATAAAGTGGTATCTAGACAACCCCAGAGAGTGATATTCCATACATCCATAAGCATTAGTAGCATTTCTAAAAATTATCAAACATCCAACAAGTCTTTTAAAAACAAGATATGCTAACATGCAAGCAGTTTAGCAGTATTTCTAAAAATGATAAACAGTACAACTTCATTCACCTGAAATGGAGCACAAGACCCTTCTGAAGGAATTCATATCCATTCCTGCAAAAGTTCTGTGGACTCTTGAAGGTAGCACAGAACTAAGTGTTTTTTGTGTGTGTTTCCAAAGAGGTTTTAGCCGAGCCTTTGGCCTCTAACAGACTCTCTGATTAAAATATGGCTTAGAAACTCTACCTGCCTACTTGAAAAAGCATCAAAACTAGAGAATGCTTTTCACAGGTGTGAAAAAATGAAAACAAAATCACATTCTTCTCTTTGCAATTCCCTTTCCCCCACCTTCCACTTCTATTAAATATACTTCAGAATAATTGTGCACAGGTACAGAGACCACTACATATCTAAAAAAGGAAAAAACCCTCAAATATATGGGGATGCACTGGCAATCTTGCCTTTGCGGAAATCATTTTGTTTCCTCCAGACAGAAGTGTCTCACTATTTTCAGCATTCTCATCTAACAGGCAGTTTCCACTGACTTTGAAAGGGGTAAGCTTGAATCTAAACTCTTAAACAAGAACGAGGGTTCAATTTTCTAGTAATGAAAATCCCAGACATGTTTTTCAACCTACCAAATCGTTATATTTTTAATTCACCCTTCTTTCTCTCTCCACAAACACTAACATCACCACCCACAAAAGAAAAAGGCAATCCCTCCAATTTTCCCCAAATGTGCGCTGCTGCTAGCTGGGAAGCTGTGTAGAGTTTTGTAATGGAGTGTGAACTGCTGCCCGGGATCTGGGCTCATGTTCTATCTCCTAACCAGTAAGAAGAGAAGGAGGACAAATCCACTGAGCAGGAAAAAAAAAAAAAAAAAAAAAAGAAAAAAAAAGAAAGAAAATCTTTCCTCCTCATTTATAACCTCTCATGGATGCAGCGCTGACGAGGGTCGCCAGGTGCCCAGGGCGCCTGCCAAGCGGCCCACTGGCCAGCGCGTTTCTGCGCCGGGCCGGGTCCCCGAGCTCTGCAGTTCTCCGCCCTGCCTGGAAAGGAAGCGGCCCCGCCAGGTAGTGGGATCGGCCGCCGCGTCCCGTCCTCACCCTTGGCCCCGAGGGGGTGACATCCTCGATGTGCCCTCGGCCCAGAAAACGCGCCGCTTCCCATGGAGGGCGTCGGCGACAGGAAGGACCTCCCCTGCTCCTTAACAAACGTTAGGGTCGCAGTTTCCTAAGAGACGCGACTGGGATTGGGGGAGGGGGTCCAGGCAGAGACTAGTGCTGGGGGCAGAGGAAGCGACACTAGGCTGCAGGCTGGTGTGGAAGGAAAAAAGGAAGCCCTGGAAATAGCCACAGATTTTTCCAGCGGGAGTAGGCCCCCCCCGCATTTTTCCTGGACTCAACGATGGCACCCGGCACCGAGCCCCCCACTCGCGCGAAGAAGGTGCACTCCACACTGACGGATCCCTGTAAAACACACGCCCCGCCATCGGAAGGACCAGGAAAGATAGGCGCCCCCATGGCAAGGCCCTGGCCCCCTTCTTTCCTGGGCGCCTTAGGTGGTAGTCGGCCACACCAAAACCGCCAGCCAGGAAAGGGCCAGGGCTCAGGGCTTCCTGCTGCCCCTTGACTCCAGTGTCCTCTGCCCAGGAATTTCAAATCCGCAGAGCAGGGCGCGGCAGGCGCTTCCACCAAACACCCCGGCTAGAGCACCCCAGGAGGCCGCCTCCTGGCCAGCATCCCTGATGCTTTGCGGCTGCTGGGGAAAGCAGGAACCCTAGTTTCCAGGCTTCCCCGCCAGAGAGGGACTGGAAAGGCCATAGAAGGAAAGTTCCTCATTCCATAGGGGAAGGATGCCAGGAGAGAGAGGGCAGAAGGTGGGGAGCAGCGTCGGGAAGATGTTTCTGGCTTAGGAGGCTTATACCATCCAAGTCCCGGCGGTGCTATAATAAATAAATTCACCCCAGTATTCCGGGAGGCCAAGGCAGGAGAAGCACTCGTGTCCAGAAGTTTCAGACCAGCCTGGGCAACGTGGTGAGACCTCCGTCACTAAAAAAGACATTTAGTCAGGTGTGGGCCACGGCTGCAATTCCAGCTACTCGGGAGGCTGAGGTGAGAGGATCTCTTGACACTATAGTGAGTCATAAGCTTGTGCCACTGCACTCCAGCCTGGGTGATGGAGCAAGACCCTTTCTCATAGAATAAATAAATATATAAATAAACTCGGCCGCCTGGGTTGGGCCGTATTCCTACCCTCCAAAACCTAATATAGATGCATGTCAGGTCTTTCTAGCACAGCGCTGCAGAGACTGCCACTACGCGTGCTGGGTGCTGCTTGACATGGCCAGTGGCTCAGTAAGAGGAGGAGTAGGAGTGAAGGAGTGGAGAAAGAGGAGGAGGAAAAGAGAAGGAAGAGAGGAAAAAGTAGAGAGAAAAAGGGAGGAGGAAACAAGAAGAAGAGGAGAGGAGGAGAAAATGAGAAGACAGTAAGAATAGAGGAAGAGGAGAAAATAAACAGGAGAGGAGGACAAGGAGACTAGTAGCAATGAGGATAAAATGAAAGTTGGGAGGAGGAGAAATAGGAGGAGCAGGAGAGGAGGAGGAGAAAAAGAGAAGGAGAAGATGAGAAGGGAGGAGGAGGAGAGGAGGAGGAAGAAAAGGAGAGGAATAGACGAGGACAGGAGAAGGAGGAGGAGGAGAAGGAGTAGAGAAGAAGGATGAGAGGAGAGGAGGAGGAGAAGACAAGGAAGAGCAGATGAGGATAAGAGTAGGAGGAGAGGAGGAGAGGAGGAGGAGGAGAAGAGAGGAGGAGACGAGGATGAGAGGAGGAGGGGGAGGAGAGGGGGAAGAGTAAAAAGAAGAGGAGAGGAGGAGAGGAGAAAGAGAAGGCAAGGAGGTGGAGGAGAGGAAGAGGAGATGGAGAGAAGGAGTAGAAGGAAAGCAGGAGGAGGAAAAAGAGAGGAGGAGAGAAGGAGGAGGAGGAGAGGAGGAGGAGAGAAGGAAGATGAAGGGAAGAAAAGGAGAGGAGGAAGAAGAGAGAGGAGAAAAGGAGGAGGAAGAAGAGAGAGGAGAAAATGAGGAGGAAGAGAGGAGGAAGTGGGGGAGAAAGAGGAGACAATGATGAGGAGGAGAGGAGGGGGAGGAGAAAGAGAAAAGGAGGAGATGGAAAAGAAAGAGAAAAGGAGGAAGAGGAGAAAAAAATTATCACTTTGAGGCATTCAGTAATTATGACTATTGTAATCGCTTTTGGAATAAAGTTTAAACTTAATAGGAGAGATGGGAACAAAGATCAAAGATCCAGATTATTTCAGAGCTCAATTTCAGAGCTAAAAAAAAAAAAAACGATATGTGGTAATACACCTGTGGACGTTGCCAATACAAAAGAGTTGCAGTATTTTGGTTTTGGATCTAGCCATGTGTCACCATACACAATGTATGCAGTGCCTAGGAGAGAGCAGAGAGCCACAACACTTAGGTGCTGGGCCCAGTGAAACATCACAATCTCTTTTTGGTCAGAGCCCAAACAATAGAGGAGAGCCACATCACCTAGTTTCTAGGTTCAGCAATACATCACGATACCTTCTGAGAGGAAGACCAAAGCAGGAGTGCCACATCACCTAGGTGAGAGCCCCAGAGATACGGCACAATGCCTTCTGTGGGTAGGGCTCAGGAAGAAGAGGAAAGTTACATAACCTAGGGGCTACAGCCAGCTATATGTCACAATCACCCGAAGGGGCAGGGACAATGCATGAGAGGAGAGTCACATCAAGTAGGTGGTGAGCAAAGCAATATGTAACAATCAGAAGAGAGTGTCATCTTCTACATGCTGGGCCATGAGATATGTCACAACATCCCCTATGGGCAAAGCCCAGGTAAGAGAAGAGATACACATCAAATAGTTGATGGGCTAAGAGATACTTCACAATGCCCCCTGTAGAAAGAGATGAGGAGAAATAAATCAGATTGCCTGTGTGCTGAGCCCAGGGATAAGTCACTATTTCATCTGCGGACATGGCCCAGGCAGGCGAGGAGAGTTACATCACTTAGATGCTGGGAACAGAGATATGCAACAATCTCTTCTATAAGCAAGACCCTGGTAAGAAAATAAAGATACATCAAATATTTATGGACCCACAGATGCCCCCTTTTTGACAGAGTCAAGGCAAGAAAGTCACATCAACTTTGTCCTGGGCCCAGCAATATGTCAAAATACCTTCTGAAGACAGGGCCAAGGCAAATGAGTAACACCTTGGAGCTGGGCCCAGGATATATGTAACAATCTCCCCTGTGGGCAGAACTTAGGAAGAAGAGAAGTGTCACATTAGCTAGGTGCTGAGCCCAGGGATATGTCACCATCCCTCCAGGCAAGAGATGAGAATACATTACCTGGGTGAGGAGTGCAGGGAGATATCACAATCCCCTTTTTAGGCTGGGCCCAGGCAGAAGAGTCACATTGCCTAAGTGTTAGAATGAGCGATGTGTCACAATGCCCCTTCTGTGCAGCACCAAGGTAGGAGAGAAAACTTACATCACCTGAGTGCAAGTCCCAGCGTTATGTCACAATGCTTCCTGTAAGAGGCACCAAGGCTTGAGAATAGACTCATCTCACCTAGGTGCTGGGTCCAGCAATATATCACCATTCTATTTGTGAACCAAGCCAAGGCAGGAGAGTCAAATCAGGTGTTTGGCAGAGGCGTATGTCACAATCACACCTTCAAAAAATCCACGGATGAGATTATCAATCCCTCACATGTTCTGGTTCTAGGTATGAGAGTCAACATGTCTTGTATGTTGTGTGAAGTACATGAGTCATAATCTCAACTGTGAACTGGATCTGTGCAGCAGCTTCTCAATGTTTTCTGGGCATTGTGTCCCCTTAGATAAGTCGCAGCCTGACACGTGTGCTAAATTATGGTTTGAGGGTCAACAAATCCATGCATAACAAAAATCCATGTATGAGAGTCAACATTGCAACTTTTGACTGCCTCTAGATATAAGATTCAAAACCTCAACAGTGGGCCATGCTCATGTGAGAGGACAACAATCTTTACGCTTGACTGTGTCTGCTTACTAGTGTTACAATCTCACCTTTGAGCTGGGCTCTGTTAGTACACTCTCTGTACCACCCAAAGAATTTATGAGATACATGGTTTGGCTCTATGTCCTCACCCAAATCTCACCTACAATTGTAATCTCCACGTGTCAAGGCAGGAAGGTAATTGGATCATGGGACAGTTTCTCCCATACTGTTTTCGTGATAGTGAGTGAGTTCTCAGGAGATCTGATGGTTTTATAACTGTTGGAAGTTCCTCCTTTATTCACTTTCTCCCTCCTGCCACCTCGTGAAGAAGGTCCCTGCTTCCCCTTCTGCCATGATTATAAATTTCCTGAGGTCTCCCCAGCTATGTGGAACTGTGAGTCAATTAAATCCCTTTTCTACCTAAATTACCTGGTCTTGGGCAGTTCTTTATAGCAGTGTGAAAATGAACTAATACAATATGATATGCATGAGAATTGCAATCTGCATTAAGACCTTCATGCTGATATGAGCCCATGATTGTACGTGTCACTCTAAGCTCAGATATGAGAGTCAACACCTCCCCAGTTGGCTGTGCCTAAATAGAAGAGTACTCATTTGCCTATGAGCTGGGTTTAGAAATGGGTCACTATCACATATGTGTCCAGATGTTCACATATGACTGACACAATTCCATCTGTAGACTGTGTCTATGTGTGAGATTCAGGATCTCACCAGTGGGTTGTGTCCATGTGTGAGGATGACTATTTTAAGGATTGGCAGGGTGTGCATACCAGAAACATAGTATCTCTTGTGTCCGTGGACCTGTGATGACACTCTCTGTACCACTTGAGGGCTTTATGCAATATGCAAGAGCGTGGTGAACCTCTGTGACCCTTGTACAAAGAGGACACCCAGGATCTTACCTTTTATCCTGTGCCTAGCTATAAGAGACAGTATCTCTCTCATTGGCTAGTTCAAGGTATGAGAGTCATCATCACATCTGTGAGCTGGGCCAAGATATATGTCACAGTCACTCTTCTGGATTGGGAGTAAGCAGGAGAGTAACATTACCTGGGTTTGGGGCCAGATGTATGTCACAATCTTCTGTGAGGGCTCAGCAATATGTCACAATGATCTACGTATTCAAGACTCAGTCAAAAAGACTCACAACCTTGTCGCGGGGTCCAGTGATGTGTCATAATCTTTTCTGTTAGGAGGGTGCAGGCAGAAAAGAAGAGTCACATTTCCTAGGTAGTGTATGCAGATATATGTCACAAGGCCCACTGGGCAGGGCCCAGGCAGGAGCCTCTTATTTTCTAGGTGTTGGATCCAGTGTTATTTCACAATACACCAAATATGTGGGGCCTGGGAGAAAGGAGAGTCACATCACATAGGTGCTGGGCCAAAAGATATGTTATAATAACCCTCTTTAGCAGAGCCCAGGCAGAAAAATAAATGTGTCACATCACCCAGGTGATAAACAAAAAGGTATGGCATAATACCCCTATGGGCAGGGCTCATGCAGAAGAGTTGCACCACATAGTTGTTAAGATAGGCCATACGTCACAATACACAATTTATGCTGAGCTCAGGCAGGAGAAAAGAGTAACATTACCTATGTGCTAGGCTCAGCGATACATCACAATACCTCCTTGGTCAGAGCCCAAGAAGTAGAAGAGAGTTACCTCACCTAGGTGCTGAGTCCATCAATATGTCACAGTACTCATTGAGTGAAGGGCCCAAGAATGAGGATTGCATCATTTCGGTGAGGGGCCCAGAGCTATGTACCCATACTCCCTGTAGGTAGGGCTTAAGAAAAAAGGAGAGAGTCACATAACCTGTCACATAACCTAGACAGATGAGCCCAGCCCTATGTCAAAATTACAACAGTGGTCAGAGTCCAGACATGAGAGGAGAATCACAACACTTAAATGTTGGGTGAAGGAACATGTCACAATCCCAACTGGGGACAGAAGCAGAAAAATAAGGAGAATTACACCATCTAGGTAATGGGCCCAGAGATACATTGCAGTGACCCCTGTGGGCAATGACCAGGCAGTAGAATCACATCACCTGTGTGATGGGCCTGGGGATAATTCACTCTACCTTCTGTGAGCATAGCACTGGCAAACGAGGAGAGTCACAACACCTAGGTGCTGGAATCAGAGACACGTCACAATCTCTTCTAATGGCAAAGTCCAAGTAAGCGAGAAGAGTCACATCAAATAGTTCATGAACTTAGAGATATGTCACAATGCCCCCTGTGGGCAGGGTCCAGGCAAGAGACTCACATCATCTAGGTGCTGAGCCCAGCAATATGTCACAAAGCTTTCTGAGGTCAGGAGCAAGGCAAAAATGTAACATCACCTTACTATTGGGTCCAGAGACACATCACAACCTTTCCTGCAGGCAGAACCTAAAAAGAATAGAAAAGTCACATCAACTCAATGCTGGGCCCAGTGATAGGTCACAATATTCCCCGTGAGCAGATATCAGGCAGAAGTGAGTCACATCACCTGGCTAATTGGTGCAGAGATGTCACAATGCTTCCTGTAGGCAGGGCCAAGTCAAGAGAGTAACATCACCTGGGTAATTGGTGCAGAGATGTCACAATGCTTCCTGTAGGCAGGGCCAAGTCAAGAGAGTTACATCACCTGGGTTCTGGACCCAGCAATATATGACAATGGGCCATGTGGGAAGAGTATAGGCAGGAGAATCACATAACTTGGGTGTGGAGCCCAATGTCACAATGCCTTCTGTGCAGGGTGACAAAACAGAAGGGTAGACTCACATTAACTGAATATAAAGCCTAGTGATAGTGATATGTCACAATGCTGTCTGTGGGAAGTGCCAAGGCAGTGGACTAGAGTCCCATCGTGAAGGTGCTGGGTTTAGCAATATGTCAAAATTCCATCTGTGGGTTGGGCCAAGGCAGAAGTGTCAAATCACTTAGTTGCTGGACAGAGGCATAAGTCACACAGTCTCACACGCAGAAAGATACAGGTACAAAGTTAAAATTCTTGCATATGACCTAATTCTAAGTATGGGAATCAATATCTCCTTTATTTTGGGCCTAAGTCATGAGTCTTAATGGTGGACTAGGTCTGTGCGTGGGAGCCTCGCTTTCTTCTGTGCACTATGCCTCCTTAGTAGAGTCACAGCCTCACAGGTGTGCTGAATCCTGGTCTGAGAGTCACCAGCCCATCTGTGGACTGGATCCCCATATAAGAGTCACTTTTTCAAGTTTCAACTGCATCTAAATGTGACACTCAGAACCTCAAAAGTTGGCCATGTTCATGTGGCAGTATGACAATCTTTATTGTCAACTGGATGTGCATACAAGTGTCAAAATATCACCTGTGCTGTGCCTTGTCAGGAAACACTTTGTAGCCCCTGAGGGCTTTATGCATGAGAGTCTCAATATGCTCTGAGACCTCCCTGCTGGTCTCAAAGTTCTGGTATGGACCCATGGTTATAATTTTTACCCTAATCTCTTGTCTCAGATTCACCTTCTCTTCAGTTGGCTCAGTCCAAATAGAAGTGTCCTCACCTACCTATGAACTAGGTTTAGAAATGAGTCACCATCCCAACTGTAGCATATGACAGAAACAATTCCAGCTGTGGACTGTATCAACCTGTGTGATTCAGGACCTCACCTGTGGGCTCTGTCGACGTGTAAGAGTGAAAATCCTAATGGATGTTAGGGTGAGAATATAAGAAACACAATCTCATTTGAATGCTGGGCTCTGTGGTAGCATTTTGTTCCTTGCTAGGGCTTTATACAATGTGTAAGAAAGTAGTGATTTTCTATAACCTTCATACAAAGAGGAGACATGGGATCTTACCCATTTCTCTAATCCCAGCTAAAACAGATAGTATCTTTTCTGTTGGCTGGTGTGTGGTAATAGAGTCATCATTGCAACTGTTAGCTGGACCAAGATATATGTCCCTACCTGTGGGTAGGGAGCAAACAGGAGAGTCACATCACCTATGTTTTGGGCCAGGAATATGTCACAATCTTCCCTGACAGAAGTGACCAGGCAGAAGAATAATATCACCTGGGTACTTAGCCAGGAATATGTTACAATCACAATCCCCTCCTGAAAGCTGGGTGCAGGATGCAGGCTGCAGAACCACATCACCTTGGTAATTGGGCTCAGCGATGTGTCAAAATGCTTTCTGTGGGCAAAGCCCAATTAGGAGAGACTCATCATCTGTTTGCTGAGGCCAGCAATATGTCACAATTTTCCCTGTAGGCAGGGTGCAGGCAGAAGAAGAGAGCCACATCGCTTAGGTGATGAATGCAGAAATATGTCACCAGGTCTTCTGTGGACAGGCCCCAGCCAGGAGCCTTCCATTTTCTAGGTATTGGGCCCAGCAATATGTCACAATACCCAAAACATGTGGGGACCAGAAGAAAAAAAAAAAAAAAAAAAGAGACATCACCTAGATGATGGATCAAGTGATATGTCACAATCTTCTTATTTGGCAGGTCTCAGGCAATAAAAATGTGTGTCATATCTCCTAGGTGATGAAAAAACAGTATCTTATAATACCCCTGTCTTCACGGCTCATGGGGAAGAGTCACATCACCTACTTGTTGGGTGCAGCCATATATTACAATATGCAATGTATGCCGGGCCCAGGCAGGAGAGGAAAGTAACATCCCCTAAGTCCTGTGCCCAGGGATACATCACAATGCCTCCTTGAGCAGAGCCCAAGAAGTAGACAAGAGTCACATTACTTAGGTGCCAGGTACAACAATTTGCCACAATACTTCCTGAGAGAAAGGCCTAGGCAGAGGTCTCACAACACTTTGGTGAGGGAACAAGAAATATGTAACAATGTCCCTGGTAAGTAGAGCTAGAAAAAAAGATAAGCATCACAGAACATAGGGCCAGTGCCCACTTATCTGTCACAATCACACCAGTGGGCAGGGCTCAGGCAAGAGTAGAGAGTAATATAATGTAGGTGCTACAGCAAGCAATATTTCACAATTTTCAGTGTGGGCAGGTCCCAGAAAGAAAATGAGTATCACATCACCTAGGTCATGGGCCCAGAGATATGTCGCAGTGGCCCTTGTAGGCAATAATCAGCCAGAAGAATGGCATTGCATGTGTGCTGGGCCTAGTGATAATTCATTATTCCTTCTGGGGGCCTGGCACAGGCAAAAGCAGAGAGTCACAACACCTAGCTATTTGGCCCAGAGATATGTCACTATTTCTTCTATGGGCAAAGTCCAGGTAAAATAACAGTCACATCAAATAATTGATGCAACCAGAGATTTGTTATAATGCCTTCTGTTGGCAGGGCCCATGCAAGAGAGTCACATCACCTAGGTGTTGGACCCAGCCATATGTCACAATACACGACGTATTCAGGGCTCAGGCAAGAGATGATAGTCACACCATTTAGATCTTGAATCCATTGAAACATTACAATTTTATATTGAGCAAAAGCTAAGCAGTCTAGAAGAGTCACATAGCCTAGGCTTTAAGTCCAGCAATACCTTGCAATAACCCCTGAGAGGAGGGCCCAGGTAAAAGGGTAACTTTATTTAGGTGAGAGGCCTAGAAATAAGTCACAATTATCTGTGTGGGTAAAGATCAGAACGAAGAGGGAAGTTACATAAAGTAATAGATGTGCTGATATGTATGTCACAATCACTCTAATGGGAAGAGCTAAAACATGAGAGGAGAGTCACACCACAAAGGTGCTGCATATTTTGCAATACAGAATGTATGCAGAGCCCAGAAAGGAGAGGACAGTCACATCACCTAGGTGCTGTGCCCAGCAATACATTACAATCTCTTCTTGGACACAACCCAAGCAGTAGAGGTAATCCTTGCTGCTGGACCCAAAAATATGGCACAATATACCCTGAAAAAAGGGCCCAGGTAGCAGTGTCACATCACCTGGGGAGGGTTTCAGAAATATGTCAAAATGCCTCCTGTGGGTAAGGCTCAGGAAGAAAAGAAGAGAAAAATAACCTAGGGGCTGGGGCCAGCCATATGTTAAAACAACCTCAGTGAGCAGGGCCCAGGCATGAGAGGAGGGTCACATAACATAGATGATGTGCCAAGTGATATGCCACAACTCATACTGTGGACAGGTCTCTGCAATAAAGGAGAGTCACATAATCTGGCTGACGGTCACAGAGATACATCACAATGTATTTATCTCTTGTCCTTACGGACAGGAATCAGGCAGAAGAATCACATCTCCTCTGGGCTGTGTCCTGGGATAATTTACTCTCCCTTCTGTGATCTGAGCCCAGGGAGAAAAGGAGACTCACATTACCTAGGTGTTGGGGCCAGAGGTATGTCACAATGTCACCTGTTGGCAAATATGAAGTAAGAGAGGGGAGTAACATCAAATAGATGATGGGTCCAGAAATATGTCACAATTCCCCTTGTAGGCAGAATCTGGGCAGGAGATACACATCACCTGGGTTTTAGTCCTAGAAATACATAACTAGATGCAATGTGGGCAATGCCAAGGCAGAAGAATAAAAAACACATACCCTAGGTGTTAGGTGCAGAAATATGTCACAATTTCATGTGACATTCCTGGACCTAACACCTAGGGTATATGTCTTTATGGTGACATCCTCACTCAGGTGCTTGGAAGAAGTGTATGTCACAATCAGAGCTGCAGGTAAGTTCAAGGATAAGATTAAAACTCCCACACATATCCTTCTTCTGGGTATGAGAGCAAACACCTGCTGTATGTTGGGTCTGAGTACAAAATTCACAGTATCAACAATGGACTGAATCTGTGCATGAGAACTTCCGTCCCTTCTGTGCACTGTGTCTTATTTGTGGAATAATAGCTTTACAGGTGAGTTGAATCTTAGTCTGATATTCACCAACCCACCTGTGAATTACTTCGAAGTATGAGACTCAATTATCTGACTTTTAACTTCCTCCTAATGTGAGATTCAGAACCTAAGCAGTAAGCTGAATTCATGTGCAATAATGAAAATCTTTACTATGAGCTTTGTGTGCATAAGAGTGTCACAATCTCACCTGGGCCAGAGATACATTACAATCTCCTCCTGAAAGCAGGAAATGGGCAGCAAAGTCGCCTCACCTGGATGCCGAGCCCAGCAGTAAATCACAGCATTCTCTGGACTCAGCTTTTGGTTCAGGAACATGAAAGAGAGGCACATCACCTGGTTTCTGGGTGCAGTGATGTGTCACAATCTGTTGCCCTCAGAGAAGAAGATGAACAGAAAAGGAGTCACATCAGCTAGGTGCTGGGTTAGTCACAGGTCACAATCACCCCTGTAAGCAGGAACCAGGCCGAAGTGAGTCCCAAAAATGTCCCCTGTGGGCAGCGCCAAGGCAGGATAATAAAGCCACATCACCTAGGTGCTGGGTCGAGCGATAACTCACAATCCTGTATTTGGGCTGGGCCCCGGCTACAAAGTCAAATCACTCAGTTGCTGGCCAGAGGGATATATCACATTTACACCTGTTGGAATGTCAGAGAATGATATCTACAATCCAGCACATATCCTGTTTCTGAGTATGTGAGTTAACACCTCATGTATGTTGGGTCTTAGTACATGAGTTCATCTCAACAATAAACTGGATCAGTGCATAAGAGGCACAATCCTTCCAGTGCACTGTTTTATCTGAGTGAGTTACAGCCTCAAAGGTGTGCCGAATATTGGTCTTAGAGTCATCAACCTACCTGTGGACAAGATTCACCTATGAGAATCAATTTTCCAACATTTGACTGCTTTTGGTTGTGAAATCCAGAGCCTTAACAATGGGCTGTGTTCATGTGGGAAGATGACAATCTTTTTCTGTCGACTTGGTGAGTGTCACAATCTTGCCTGTGTATTGCCCTAGGGCTTTATACTTGATGTATGAGATTCTCAATCTGCTCTGAGACATTTGTGCTGGTATGAATCATGATCATTCCTATGGCCTTAAGCCCAAGTATGAGAATCAACATCTCTCCAGTTAGCTGAGTCCAGAATGAAGAATCTTCACCTTCCTATGAGCTGAGCTTAAAATGAGACACCATCCCAACTGTGCTTACATGTTTATATATGATAGCTGCAATCTCAAATGTAGACTGTGTCCACCTGTAAGATTCAGGATCTCAATAATGAGCTTTGTTCAATTGAGAAAATAATGAGAAATACAACCTCACCTTTGTCTTGGGCTCTGTGTTGACACTCTCTGTACCACCCAGGGGCTTTCTATTAAATGTGAGACAGTAGTAATTCTCTATGACCTTCATACAAAAATGAGACCTAGGGTTTGACCAATTTTCCTAAGCCTAGCTAAGAGAGACAGTATCTTTCATATTGGCTGGCTCAAGTTATGAGAGTCATTATGACACCTGTAAACTGAATGAAGACATATGTGACAATCCCACAATTGGGTAAGGAGGGAATGAACAGGAGAATCACATCACCTGGGTGCTGTGCCAGAGATATTTACAACCTTCTCTGAGAGCAGTGGCCAGGCAAGAGAGTCACATCATGTTGTTGCTGGGCTGGAATTATGTCATAATTTGTTCTGAGAGTAAGGACCAGGCAAGAGAGGCACAGTACCTGTGTTTTTAGCCAGCGATATGTTATCCCCTCCTGAAAGCAGGACTAAGGCAGCAGAGTCCCTTCACCTGGTTGCTGGGCCTAATGATATGTCACAATGTCTTCTGTGTCTAGGTCCAATCAGCAAATGCACATTTCCTACTGCTGGCTCCAGTGATGCTTCACAATTCTTTTTATTGGGATGGCCCAAGCAGAAGAGGAAATCTGAAACACCTAGGGGATGAACAAAAAGTCACTTCCCAATAACTCTGTGGGCAGGACACATGCAGGAGAGTCACATCACCTAGCTTCTGGGTTCAGTGATATGTCACAATCCCTTCTGTGGGCTGGGCCCAAACAAAGAGAGTCAAATCACTTGGGTGCTGGGAAGAGGCACATTTCACACCTGCAAGAAGGTCCAAGAATGAGATTAAAAATTCCACACATGTCCAAATTCTAGGTATGAGAGTCAATGCTTCCTGTATGTTGCTTCTATATACATGAGCCACAATCTCTACAATGGACTGAATCCACTTATGAGAGCCTCAATTTTTTCTGTGTACTGTGTTCCCTTATTAGAATCACAGTCTCACAGGTATGCTAGATTTTTGTCTGAGAGAAACCAATCAATCTGTGGACAAGATCCACTTATGAGAGTCAATTTTCCAACTTTTGACTGTCTCCAGGTATGAGATTCAGAAGCTCAACAGTGGGCTGTGAAAGGATGATCATCTTTACTGTTTGCTGTGTGTGTGTAAGAGTGTCACAATCTTACATTTGTTTAGGGCCATGTTAAGACATGTTCTGTATCACCCAAGGGCTTTATATGGTATGCATGGGAGTCACAACTTCCTCTAAATCCTTTGTGCTGTTATGGACCCATGATAGTGTCTGTAGCTTTAAGCCCAGGTGTGACAGTCAACATCTTTCTAATTGGTTGTGTCCAGATAGGAGAGTTTTCACCTGCCAGAGCTGGGTTTAGAAATGAGTCACCATCACAACTCCGAACAGAAATTCACAAATAAATGTCACAATTTTAACTGCAGACTGCATCCATGTGTGAGATTAAGTGCCTCACCAGTGGGCTTTGTCCATGTGTGAGGGTGACAATCATAATGGTTGTCAGGGTGAGCACACAAGAAACACAATCTCATCTGCATGCTGGACCTTGTGATGACACTCTCTCTACCACCCAAGGACTTTATACAATATGTGAGAGAGTGGTAACCTTTTATAACCTTTGTACAGAAAGGAAACCCAGGATCTTACCCATTTTTCTACACCTAGCTATGACAGACAGTATTTGTCCCCTTGGCTGGTTCAAAATATTAGTCATTATCACACCTGTGCACTGGCCAATACATATGTCAAAATACTACCTGTGTGTAGGGAGCAAACAGAAGAGTCACATCACCTAAGTGCTGAGCCAGGGATATGTGCCAATCTTTTCTGAAAGAAGGGGCCAGGCAAGAGAGATGTATCACCTGGGTTCTCAGCCAGGGATATGTTACAATTCCCCACTGAAAGCAGGGCACAGACAACAGCAACACATCACTTGGATTCAGGGCTCAGTGTTATGTCACACTGTGACCTTTGGGTAATACCCAGGCGTGAAAGACACAACACCTGGTTTCTGGGTTCCACGATATGTAGCAATCTTTCCTACAAACAACATGAAAGCAGAGGAGGAGAGTCAAATCCCTTAGGTGGTGAGTGCAGTATGTCATAAGGCCTCTGGTGGGCATAGCTCAGGCAGGAGTCTCTCATCCAGTATAAGTTGGGATCAGTATTAAGTCACAATATTCAACATATGCAGGGCCCAGGCAAAACAGAAGAGTTACATTACCTAGGTGCTCAATCCAGTGATATGTTACAATAACCTTATTTTTTTCTTTTCTTTCTTCTTCTTCTTTTTTTTTTTTTTTTTTTTTTGGCAGGGCCCAGGCAGAAGAGAAGAGTCATATCATCTAGGTGATGAATAAAAAGGTAAGTCATTATTCCTCTGTGGGCAGTGCTTGTGCAGAAAATTTCACCTTGTAGGTATAGGACTCAGCAATATATCACAATGTCTGCAGCGCTTTGGAAGGAGAGGAGAGTCACATCACTTAGGTGCTAGGCCCAGCAATACATCTCAATCACTTCTTTGGCAAAGCTCAAGCAGTAAAAAAGAGTCACATCACATAAGTTCTGGGTATAACAATATGTCAAAATACCCCCGAGAAGAGGGCCCAGGAAAGAGAGTCACTTTGGTGAGAATATCAGAGATATGGGACAATTCCGTTTTTGGGTATTCACAAAAAAAGAACGTCCCATAACCTAGAAGCTGGGCTCAGCTCTATGACACAATCACCCTAGTAGGCAGGTCCATTAAAGAGAAGACTGCCACATCACATAAGTACTGGGCAGTGATATGTCATAATCCCCATGCTGATAGACCCAGAGACATCTCACAATAACCTCTTTAGGCAGAGATCAGGCAGAAGAATTACATCATTTGTGTGTTGCACCTAGTGATAAGCCATTACTCTCATTTCTGTGGACATGGCCCAGGCAGAAGCGCAGAGTCACATTACCTAGGTGCTGGGCCAAGAGATATGTCACAATCTTTTACATAAGCAAAACCAAGGTAAAAGGGAAGAGTAACATCAGATAGTAGGTGTTACCAGAGACATGTCACAATGCCCCCTGTATGAGAGAATCAAGCAGTAAAAACACATCACTACATTGCTTAATCTAGTGACATGTTAAAATCTTTCCTGTGGGCATGATGCAGGCAGAAGATGAGAGTCATATCTCCTATGTGATTGATGCAGAGATATGTCACAAGGTCTCCTGTGGACAGGGTCGAGACTGAAGCCTTCCATCCACTAGGGTTTGGGTCCAGTGATATGTTACAATACCCAAATTATGCAGGGCCCAGGCAAAAAAAGAGAGTCACATCACCTAGGTACTGGGTCCAATGATATATCACAATTTTCTATTTTGGCAGGGCCCAGGCAGAAAGAAAAGTTACATTACCAAGGTAATGAATAAAAATACATGTCATAATAGTTTTGTGGACATGATCCATGCAAGAGAGTCACATCACCTAGGTGTTGGACCCAGAAATATGTCACAATATACAATGTATACTGTATGCCTCTCAGGGCTGAGGCAAGAGATGATAGTAACTTCACTTATTTGTTGAGCCCAGCTATACAATCATTTTTTGGGCAAAGCCCAAGTAGTAGAGGAGAGTCACATCACTTCGGTGCTGGGTCCAGCAAGTTGTCACAATACCTGCTGAGGGGAGGGTACAGGCAAGAGAGCCATGTCACTTAGGTGAGGGGCCCAGAGATATCTCACAATACCCCTGTAGGTAGAACTCAGGAAAAAGAAGAGAGTCACATAATCTAAAAGCTGGGCCTCGCTGTATGTTACAATCAGCCAGTGGACAGGTCCCAAGCATGAGAGTAGAGTCACATCACATAGGTGCTGGGCCAAGCAATTTGCCACAACCTTCACTGTGGACAGGTCCCAGGAAAAAGAAGAGTCACATCATTTAGGTAACAAAACCTGAGTTATGTCACAGTTACTTGTTTGGGCAGAGGTCAGAAAGAAGTATCACACAACCTGTGTGCTGGACTAAGCAACACGTCACTCTCTCTTTTTTAGGCATGGCCCAGGGAGGAGAGAAGATTCATATCACCTAAGATCTGGATTCATGGATAGGTCCCAATTTCTTTTTTGGGCAATGATCAGGTAAGAGAGCAGAGTCACATCAAGTGGTTGATGGGCCTGGAGATATATGACATTGCCCCCTATGGACAGGGACCAGGCAGGAGACTCACATCACCTTGGTGGTAGGACGAGCAATATATCACAACACGTTTTGAGAGCAGAGCCAAAAGAGGAACACCATCTTGGTGTTGACTGCAGCAATATCTTACACTTTTTTGTGTGTGGGCAGAACCTATAAAGAAGGGAAAGGTTGGCCAGGCACCGTGGCTCATGCCTATAATTCTAACACTTAGGGAGGCCGAGGTGGACAGATCACCTGAGGTCAAGAGTTTAAGACCAGCCTGGCCAACATGGGGAAAACCTGTCTCTACTAAAAATACAAAAATTAGCTGGGTGTCCTGGTGGGTGCATGTAATCCCAGCTACTCGGGAGGCTGAGGAAGGAGAATCACCTGAACCTGTGAGGCAGAGGCTGCAGTGACCTGAGATTGCACCACTGCACTCTAGCCTGGGTTACAGTGTGAGACTCCATCTCAAAAGGAAAAAAAAAAAAGAAAAAGAAAAATCACATAAGCTAGGCGCTGGGCCCAGTTATATGTTATAGTCACCCCTTTGAGAAGGGAACACTCAAGAGAAGAGACTCACATCACCTCTGTGGTGGACACAGAGATACTTCACCATGCTCTCTGTAGGCAGGGCCAGAACACAAGAGTTACATAACTGCGGTGTTAGACCAAGCAACATGTCACAATGGCTGATATGGGCCAGACACAGTCAGGAGAGTCACATAACCTGGGTGTGGGACTCAGTTATATGTCAAAATGCCCACTGGGCAGCGACAAAGCAGGAGAGGAGATTCACATCACCTGGATGTAAGGCCCAGTGATGTTACAATTCCCCTGTTAGCAGTGATAAAGCATCACCTAGGGGCTGAGTCCAGTGATGTGTCACAATTCCATCTGGGCTGGGTCAGGCAGATGTGTCAAAAAGGTTCTGTGAAGGTGCATATGTCACAGTCACACCTTCAGGAAGGTCCAGTAATGAAATTAACAATCTCACACATGTCCCGGTTCTAGGTATGAGAGTCAACACCTGTGTGTTGGATCCAAATAGATGAGTCACAATCTCAACAATTGACTTGAACCATGTGTGAGATCCTAGTTTCTAGTTGCATTACTATTAGTACCAGTACCTATTAATTCTTCCACATTCTACATCTTTGTTCTGTATGAATGTGCATACAAATATCGATACATATACAAGGTTATATGAGTATTTCTATGTAAATACGTACACAAAAATTGTACCTCAAAAAACATTTTTCAATCTTTTAGCATATTCTAAGGGTGCAGATATAGAATTATTTCCCTTCTCTAGCTCAGTAGCATGTCAGAATGGGACATAGCTATACAATGTTATTTGTATAGACAAACAAAACTTCACTTTCGGGCAAGTTCTGAAAAATAAGCTGATAGTAAAACCATGTAACACTTTCTGTCCAGGTTAGCATTTCTGGACCTTGTTTTTCTTCTCAGAGTATGCATGAGCTATTCTCATCCACTACTGGTGGCCCGTCTTGATTAAATCTATAGTTGCTATTTAGAGAACTGGCTGACTGAATCCACCTGGGCTCATCTGAGTGACTGACTGAAATCACCTGGCCTGAAATTATTGGTCAATTAAAATCATCTGGGCTCAAATAGTTGCTGACTGGAGCTAAATTGAAATCACCTGGACTTAACTAATTGCCTGATTTTAATCTCCTGGGATCAGCTAATTGACTGTAATTACCTGGTTTGAGTTAATTGGCTGATTGAAATCAAAAGTGCTGACCTAATTGGCTGATTAAAATCACCTGGAATGAGGTAATTGACTGACTGAATTTACCTGATCTGAGCAAATTGGCTGATTAGAATGACCTAGACCAAGCTAATTGGCTAATTGGGATAAACTGGGCTAAGCTGATTGGCTGATAGAAATCATCAGGGCTGAGTAAATGGGCTGATTGTATTCACCTGCCCTGAGAATAAGTAGGGAAATGACCTCTGACTTTGAAGTTTTTTTTACAAGACATACTCATAAATGGACATTACATAGACATATTTATATATCTGTATGTGTTTGCATATGCTTATCTATCTACATATACCTGTTAATAAATATTCAAGTTAAAGTGTGCAAAGAAATCTGAAATTTGCTTTCAATATTGCAGTCTATCTTGAATTTACAGACCTTGGCTTTTCTACCCATATTCAATAAGTCACTTCTTCAGCCAACCAAACCAATTACAGAATTGTGTTCCAATGTCACAAGTTCAAAAACAAAGAGCTCCTGAAAAGATGTAAGCTTTAAATGGAATTAGCATTTTCAATTTTTGTTTGGGCCTTTAATTTAAAGCTAGTTTATCTCTGTTCCTGTGTTAATCAGAATGAAAAGAAATATTTTTGACTTGGCATTGAATAACACTTGTGGTTTTATTAAATTTCTTGCTTACAGATTGGAGCAACAAAAATTTTTTTCTTTTTTTTTTTTTTTTTTTTTTTTTTACAGAGTTTCACTCTGTTGCTCAGGCATGAGTGCAGTGGCAGGATCTCGGCTCACTGCAACCTCTGACATCTGGGTTCAAGTGATTCTTTTGCCTCAGTCTACTGAGTAGCTGGGATTACAGGTGCCCACCAACATGCCCAGCTAATTTTTGTATTTTTAGTAGAGATGGGGTTTTACCATGTTGACCAGGCTGGTCTCAAACTCCTGACCTCAAATGATTCACTTGTCTTGGCCTCCCAAAGTGTGTTGTGAGCCACCATACCCAGCCAAAAAATACTTTCTTTAAACATGTTAAATGCAGCTAAATTCACATCAGAGTATTCTTCCATTTGTGTACTCTTGTGGATATACTTTAGCGAACAAATAAGATTTTACATGTATGGAAATTTATTTTTATATAACTATCAGTAAAAATACCTATCAATGCTTTGAAATTCTATATCTTTATTCTGTATAAATATTGAAATAATGATAGATAGACCTGGATAGAAATACACTGTCATGCTCAGGGTCAGGTTACATCCCCAGCTGAGAGCCAAGGGGAGTGGGTGGATGTGGGGCAGGGAGCTGGAGGAACACTTGAGAGACAGCAGGTAAATGAGACATGGCTTTATTCAGCAGCCCCTTCACAGGGTCAGTGTTACATTTATACACTACACAAACAATAGTGGCTGAGTGCCAGGTGGTGAGCTTCTCTATGTTATGTCTACATGAATATGCTTTATTCAGCAGCCCTTTCACAGGGTCAGTGTTACATTTATACACTACACAAACAATAGTGGCTGAGTGCCAGGTGGTGAGCTTATCTATGTTATGTCTACATGGCTGTGGTTATACAAAGCTGTGCACCTGTGCCACAAACCTGCTGAGTCATCCAGACTGTTTACCTCAGCCTATGTCTGCTGCCCTATGCCTGCTTGGTTGCAGCAAAGCCATTTTCTTTACATATACATGAGTAGATAAATAAACATATACGTACAAGATTATATAAGTTTATCTATGTAAATAATTGTATATGCAAAAAATGTTCATCAGGAGACATTGTCAATTCCCCAGCCTATCTTAGAAACACAGATGAAGACTTTACTTCTCACCTATATAGCTCCATACCATCTCAGACTGAGAGACAGCCATACATATATACATCAACAAAGCTTCACACTTCAGGGCATGGCCTGGATATAAGCTTCCAGTACTGCCACATGAAGCTTTATGTGCATCTTAACATTTCAGGGCCCTACTTTCTTTCTGTTTGTATTTCTGTGTTATTCACATGTGCCATCTTTGTTCTCCCTTGATGCCTCTGCTTCCTAATTTAACTAGTTGTCTGATTATATCCACCTGAGCTGTGCTAAGGGAACTAGTGAATGAAGATATGCTAGTGAATGAAGATGACTTCTGATCTAGATTTTTTCTGAAGTGTTTTACTAGACATATGCACAAATGGACATTACATAGCCATACCCATGGGGTCCACACTGTGTTTATATATATGTACATTTCCCCCACCTACTTGATATGAAGGTATATGTGTGCAGAAAAATAACACAAAGTAAGCATGGTCAGAGGTTATATTAATTTTTTTCAGGCCATTTGAATGCAATCAGCCAATTAGTTCAGTGATGATTTATTCAATTCAAGCTACACACCAGCTGATATTTTAAAAATAAATGTGAAAATGTGTTTTGTTATCTGGAACACGGAGGTTTTTCTTTCTGGGTCTCGTTAAGTTAGCCCAAAGTGGCTCTGTACATTCAGGTAGAAACATCTAGAAATGCTCAACACCAGTCACCTAGCTTTCCTCAAAAAGAAGCTTTTGCCGAGCCAGTAAGAATTACCTTTGTCATTTCAGTGAATGTTCACTCTATCCTGGTTAAAATGTGGCCAGGTACTATGTACCATTATATTTGCTTTCAGTTTCACAATCTATCTTCTAAAAAGTAACCTAAACTTTCTCTCTCTTACCACAAAAACCCTATTTCAGCCTCAGAGATGATAAGATAAGAGTGTACTTTTACATCGTGCACGCATTGGGAAAATAATAAACAGCCCCTGTCTTGACTGAGGCCATAATGAGAAATAATAAGTATACTCAAATTAAGGTGAGGACCTTTGGACTGGGGCTGGTTCATCTCTGTCCCTATGTACAAGATAAAGGAAAAGGTCAAACTGAAAATGGGAATGAATGACATTTTCATCTCTCAGAAGTGAGCAACAAAGACCAATGTTTTCTTTGTAAATGATAAATATAGCAGAATGTTTGCAAGGCTGTATCTTTATTTGTGTACTCTTGTAGATATACTTTATAGGGCAAAGAGTTTATACTTGTATGTAAGTTTCTTCTTCTGCTACTGTTAGTATCAATACCTATCAATACTTTCACTTTCTATAAATTTATTCTATATCAATATAGATACAAAGATTAATATATCTGTATACAGATATACATAGGCAGATATAAAAACACTCACAGAATTATATGTCTATGTAATTATTTATATTTACAAAAAATTGCTGGGCACGGTGGCCAACGCTTGTAATCCCAGCACTTTGGGAGGCAAATGCGGGCAGATCACGAGGTCAGGAATTCAAGACCAGCCTGGCCAACATAGTGAAAAAAAATACAAAAAAATTAGCTGGGCGCAGTGACGAGCACCTGTAATCCCAGCTACTTGAGAGGCTGAGGCAGAAGAGTTGCTTGAACCTGGGATTCAGAGGTTGCAGTGAGCCGAGATCACACCACTGCACTCCAGCCTGGTTGACAGAGTAAGACTTCGTCTCAGAAAGAAAAAAAAATGTACTCCAAAAGACATTTTCAATCCCATAGCATATTATAAGAATGCATATGTAGAATTACTTCTCTTCTCTTTGGCTCAGTAGCATGCCAGAATGGAACATAGCTATACAATGTTTTTGTATAAACATAAGCAATGCTTCACCTTTAGGGAAAAGAACCGGGAAGTAAGCTGACAGGAAACCCATGTAATACTTTCTGTCCACATTAGCACTTAAGAACACTTATTTTCTTCTTGTTTTATGCATGCATCATTCACATCTACCTTCCTGGGCTTGCCTGGATGAATACTTAGTCATCACTTACATAATTGGCTGATTGAATCCACATGAACTAAACAAATAGGCTAATTGAAATCATGTGAGCTGAGCTAATTGGCTGGCTGGAATCACCTTGGCTGAGCTAGTTTACTGGTTGGAAATACATGGGCTGAGCCAATTTGCTGATTGCATTCACCTTTCCTGAGGGGGCTGTGTAGGACCGATTTACTTATATTTTGGGACTGGTTTACTCATATGTGATTCAGCTTTATTATATTTTGGGACCTTTTTTTATAAGATGAACTCATAGATAGATATCACATAGACATATTTATATGACCCAGTGTGTTTGAATATATTTATCTACATATCTTATATCTGTATATAAATCTACAGAAAAAAGCATTAAAAGAAAGTTGTAATATGATTCCAGTATCACAGTCTATCTTTGGCTTTTCAACTCCTACCTAAAATCATGTCTCTAGCCAACAAAACCAAAAGACAAGATGGTATTCCCTTTTCGCTTAAAACAACAACAACAACAACAACAACAAATAGTGCCCCTGAAATACTGGAAGCTTTAAAAAGAATTATTCAGCATTTTCAATTTGAGTGAGGATCTTTAAGCTGAGGCTAGATAATCTCTGGCTTTGTGCTCACCAGAATTAAAAGGGTCATCTTTGGCTTGGCAATAAATGACTCCCATATCATATAAAGCCCCTGAGTGTTACAGATAGTGTTATCACAGGGAACAATATGCAGGTGAGATTGTGTTTCTCATATGCACACCCCACCAAACATTAGAATTGCCACCCTCACTCATGGAAAGAGCTCACTGTTGAGGTCCAGAATTTCACATGCAAATACAGTCCACAGTTGGAATTTTGACTGTAATATGTAAAGACCTAGCCACAGTTGGATTAGTGACATATTTCTAAGCCCAGATAAGAGGCAGGTGAGGACTCCAGTATCTGGACCCAGCCAATTTAAGAGATGTTGACTCTCATACCTGGGCTTGGGGCAGCAGGTATGGTCATGGGTCCATACAAGCATGAAGGACTCAGAGTTAATTGTGATTGCCATTCATATTGTATAAAGTCCTTTGGTATTATAGACAGTGTAGAAATAGAAAAGAACAACAACAGATAAAACAATAGCAAGTCACTCCAAGTATTGTGGGAACAAACGAAATTCAGGTTAGAAAAAAAAAACAGGAAGAAGGTCTGAGTAGTGCCAGGTACTCAGGAGGCCGAGATGGGAAGAGCACCTGGGAGAGACCAGGGAGGTCAAGGCCACAGTGAATCATGATTGCATCCTTCTCCTGGACCTGAACGGTACTGCTGCCAGTGAGATTTATCTGGTTGACCTTAGACATGGCAAGGCGAGACCCATCTGGTTGACCTTAGACATGGCAAGCTGGCAGCTAAGTCCAATGCTTTCAGCCAACATCTGTCTCAAATTAAAAAGCCAACAGTAAATATATAACAATAACAAAGATATAATAATTAAAAACCAATACATAAATAAGTGGGAGTGAACAATAGTAAAAGGTAATTAATATCACAATTAAGGTCTCTCTCTCTTTCTCTCTCTGTTTGTCACACCCAGGCTTGAGTGTGAAAAAATATAAACCAAAATGTCAACTTCAGCATGCAGGAAGGAGCATAGGAGAATAGAGAGAAAAAAGAACAAAGAAGAAAAATAACAGCAAGTCATCCTAAGTATTGTAGAAACAAACTGAAATTGTAGTTAGAGAAAAAAAAAGAAAGAGAGAAAAGTAAGGTTCTATCTGTCGCACGGACTCGAGAGGCCGAGATGGGAAGACCACCAGGCAAGACAGGGGAGATTGATGCCACAATGAATCACGATCGCATTTCTCTTCTGAGCCTGAACTGTACTGCTGCTGGTGAGAGCCATCTGGTCGACCTTAGACATGGAAAGGCGAGAGCCATCTGGTTGAACGTAGACATGACAAGCTGGCGGCTAAGTCCAACGCTTGTAGCCGACATCTGTCCCAAAATAAATAAATTTTTAAAATGAGTAAATATATAACAGTAACAAATAAATAATAACGAACAATATTAAAGACCAGTACATAAATAAGTGGGAGTGAACAATGGTAAAAGGTAATTAATATCACAATTAAGATCTCCTTCCTCTCTCCATTTGTCACACCCAGGCTGGAGAGTGACAAAAAATAAACCAAAAAGTCAACTTCAGTGTGCAGGAAGGAGCATAGGAGAATAGAGAAAGAAAAGAACAAAGAAGAAAATCAACGGCAAGTAACTCTAAGTTTTGAGAAAACAACCTAAAATTAGGGTTAGGAAAAAAAAAAAAAAGCAGAGGAAGAAGGACCCTGTCATCCCAGCTACGTGGGAGGCTGAGATGGGAAGACAACCTGTGCGAGACCAAGGAGATAGAGGCCGAAGTGAATGATGATCGCGTCCTTCTGCTGGATCTGAATAGTACTGCCGCCAGCGATAGCCATCTGGTAGACCTAAGATATGGGCAGACGAGAGCCATCTGGACGACTTTAGACATGGCAAGGCGAGAGCGATCTGGTCGATCTTCGACATAGGAAGGTGAGAGCTATTTTGTTGATTTTAGACATGAGAAGGTGAGAGCCATCTGGTAGACCTTAGACATGGCAAACTAGCAGATAAGCCCAACGCTTCTGGCCGATATCCATCTTAAAATAAATTTAAAAACCAACAGTAAATATATAACAATAACGAAGAATAAAAACAATATTAAAGACCAATACATAAAAAAGTGAAAGTGAACAATGGTGAAAGGTAATTAATGTCAAAATTAAGATCTCCTCACTCTGTCTCTCTTTCTCTCTCTCTCCCTCCTTGTTTCTCTCTCTCTTGGTTTGTCACACCAAGGCTGGATTGTGACAAAAATAAATCAAAAGGTCACTGTGCAGGAAGGAACATAAAGAAACAGAGAAAGAAAATAACAAAGAAGAAAAACAACAGCAAGTCACTCTAAATATTGTGGAAACAAACTGAAATTGAGGTTAGAAAAACAACACAGGAAGGTCCAAGTAGTCCCAGGTACTTGGGAAGCCGGAGATGGGAAGACCACCTGAGGGAGACTGGGGAGATTGAGGATCCAGTGAATCACGATTGCATCCCTCTCCTGGACATAAATGGTACTGCCACTAGTGAGATCCGTCTGGTCAACCTTAGGCGTGGGAAGGCGAGAGCCATCTGATCGACCTTAGACCTGGCAAGCTGGCGGCTAATTCCAATGCTTGCAGCCAACTTGTGTCTCAAAATAAATTTTTAAAACCACCAGTAAATATAGAACAATAACAAATAATAACAATATTAAAGACCAATACATAAATAAGCGGGCGTGAACAATAATGAAAGATAATATCACAATTAAGATCTCTCTCTCTCCTCCGTTTGTCACACTCAGGCTGGAGTGTGACCAAAAATAAATGAAAACGTCAACGTCAGCATGCAAGAAGGAGCATAGGAGAAGAGAGAGAGAAAAGAACAACGAAGAAAAACAAAAGCAAATCACGCTAAATATTGTGGAAACAAACTGAAATTGGGGTTAGAAAAACAACACAGGAAGAAAGTTCATGTATTCTCAGGTACTTGGGTGGCCCAATTGGAAAGATCACCCAGGTGCGACCAGGGAGATTGAGGCCGCAGTGAATCACAATCACATCTTTCTGCTGGACCTGAATGATACTGCCGCCAGCCAGAGCCATCTGGACGGCCTTAGACGTGGGAAGGCGAGAACCATCCGTTCGACTTCAGACATAGCAAGGCGATAGCCATCTGGTCGACCTTAGACATGGGAAGGTGAGAGCCATCTGGTCGACCTTAGATATTGGAAGGTGAGAGCCATCTGGTTGACCTTAGGCATGGCAAGCTGTGGACTCATTCCAATGCTTCTGGCTGAGATGGGAAGATCACCTGGATGAGACTGGGAAGATCGAGGCTGCAGTGAATCACAATCCCATCTCTCTGTTGGACTTGAACAGCACTGCCGCCGGTGCGAGCCATCTGGTCGACCTTAGACATGAAAAAGCAAGAGCCATTTGTCATGTCTCCACCTCAGACATTACAAGGTGAGAGCCATCTTGTCAACCTTAGACATGGCAAGGCGAAAGCCCTCTGGTCGACCTCAGCCATGGCAAGAGGAGAGCCATCTAGTCGACTTCAGACATGGCAAGGCAAGAGCCATGTGGTCAACCTCAGACATGAAAAGGCAAGAGCCATCTGGTCGACCTGAGACATGACAAGGTGAAAGCCATCTGGTCGATCTCAGATATGGAAAAGTGAGAGCCATCTGGTCGACCTTAGACATACCGAAGCAAATGCCCTGTGGTAGACTGTAGACATGGCAAAGCGAGAACTGTCTGGGCAATTTCAGACATGGCCAGGCTAGAGCCTTCTTGTGGACCACAGACATGGCAAGAGGAGAACTGTCTGGTCGACCTGAGACATGAAAAGATGAAAGCCATCTGGTCGAACTCAGACATGGCAGAGTGGCATCTGGTTGACCTCAGACACAGCAAAGCAAGAGTGATCTTGTCGACCTCAAACATGGCATGGTGAGAGCCATCTTGGCCACCTTAGACACGGCAAGGTGAGAGCCATCATGTCAACCTCAAACATGGGAACACAAAAGCCATTTGGCTGACCTTAGACATGGCAAGGCAAGAGCCATCTGGTCGACCTAAGACAGGGCAGGGCGAGGGCCATCTGGCCCACCTCAGAAATGGCAAGGTGAGAGCCATCTGGACATGTGACATGGCAAGGCAAGAACTATCTCGTTGACCTCAGACATGGCAAGGCAAGAGCCATCAGGAAGCCCTCAAACATGGCAAGGTGAAAGCCATCTCATCGTCCTTAGGGATGGCATGGTGAGAGCTATCTTGTCCACTCACACATGGCAAGGTGAGAGCCATCTTGTTGACCTCACACGTGGCAAGGTGAGAGCCATCTGGTTGACCTTAGACATGGCAAGGCGAAAGTCATCTGGTCCACCTTAGACAGGGAAGGGTGAGAACCATCTTGTCCACCTAGACATGGCAAGGCAAGAGCCATCTGGTCGACTTCAATCATGGAAGCTGAGGGCCATCTGGTCAACCCCAAAAATAGGAAGGCAAGTCCAGCTAGTCAATCTTAGAAATTGCAAGGTGAGAGTTATCTGGTGGAACTTAGACATGGCAAGCTGGTGGCTATTTCAGTGCTTGAGGCTGACATCTGTATCAAAATAAATTTAAAAATCAACTATATATATAATATCAAACAATATTAAAACCCAAATAAGGTGGGAGTGAACAATAATAAAAGGTAATTAATATCACAATTAAGAACTCCTCTCTCTGTGTGTGTCTTTCTCTCTCTCTCTTTTTGTTTGTGACACCAAACGGAAGGGTGAAGTGTGACAAAAAATAAAACATGACATGGGAAGGTGAGCACCATCTAATCTACCTTACATATGGCAAAGTGAGAGCCATGTGGTGGACCTCAGATATGGCAAGGTGAGAGCCATCTGGCCGAACTTAGTCATGGCAAGCTGGTGGCTAAATCCAAGGCTTGTGGCTGACAACTGTATCAAAAAAAAAAACCAAAAGTAAGTATATCACAATATCAAACAAATAACAACAATCTTAAAGATGAAATAATTAAGCTGAAGTTAACAATAATAAAAGGTATTTAATACCACAATTGAGAACTCCTATCTCTCTCTCTCTCACTGTGTGTGTGTGTGTGTCTGTTTGTCACAACCAGTGTGAACTGTGACAAAAAATAAACCAAAGGTCAACTTCAGTGTGTAGGAAGGAGCATACAAGAATAGAGAGAGAAAAGAACAATGAAAAATTACAGCAAGTTACTCTAAGTATCGTGGAAACAAACTGAAATTGTGGTTAGAAAAAATACAGAGGAATAAGTTCCCAGTAGTCCCAGGTACTTGTGAGGCCGAGATGGGAAGACCCTTGTTTAAAAGACTGTTGTATAAAACTAACCTGTCTCATGACGTTCTAAACCAAGCTCAGGTTCCCTGCTATTGGGTGAACCATCCAACGCTTGGTGAATTCTGTTTCACAATAGGAAGATCCAACACCAAAGGATCAAAAAGCGATGTCGCTATGAACTCTTGGCCACTGCAAGGCAGTTATCCCTTGTCCACCTCAGACATGGCAAAGCAAGAGCCGTCTGGTCGACTTCAATCATAGCAGCTGAGGGCCATCTGGTCAACCATCTGGTATCTTCTCTGACACGTCTTGCTTAAAACCCAACCAAAACGTCAAAAGGATCATGAGGCCCTGCTTTCCCGGTCTGTATTCATACTGAAAATCAAGATCAAGCAACTTCTGCCCTTCTGCTCCACAGGAGGTTTTGGTACTCCCTGCACTCACCTTCAGACACCTGCATTACTGTTTGACAGGTGTACCGCACCAGTCCGACTCTGCACTTGGCACTATTCCAGGACCAGTTAACATCCAGCCAGCATGTGGCCAGGTGCTTGGCGCCAAAAGTGAGCCCCTTTTGGCTTTCCTCCCCAGCCCCAACTTCACCAGGTCAGTGAAAAAATGATCAGGGTAGTGGAATTTCACCGGCAGCCCACAAGGCCAGTGGACCTCACCCCATCTCCTCAGAGAAACAGAGGGGTGCTGGGGCCTTTCACTTATTCTACACCTCTCATGTCTCTTCACCATACCAGACTAGAGTCAGTCTCAACAGAGTCTTTGTTCCCTGCTGATTCTGTCAAGCCCATTCCTTTGGCTGTGGTTTCACTGGATAGCAGGTAGGAACAGTGGGAATCTTGTCCATCCATTCATATGAGTCACTAATTAGATGATGAGGCATTTGGCTACACTTAAGAGAGACATATTTACTCCTGCCATTTACTCGTGCTTCATTGAATTTCTTCATTTTGACATTCAGAGCACTGGGTAGAATTCACGTTGTGTCAACACCCACCATAGGCCTTCACCATGCTTTGTTTTAAAAAGTCAGATTCCCCTGGTCTGCATCAGTTCTAAGAAGGCTGCTAGGAAGTGGCAATAGCAAGGTGGGCAGGGATAGGGAAGAGGAAGGTATGGCAAGGTGGGTGGAGGATGTCTGCAGAGGGGTGCCGCTAGCGTTGAGGGGTGGAGTACAGCACCTCATCCAGCCACTGCCTGCACCCAGCCCCATTTCAAGCCCCAGCCAGACTGGCAAAGCCCTTAGAGCAAATTCTTACCCTGAACTTACTGATCCAGCTTGCTGATTTCCCTTACCTACATTGTTCTAACATGCCAGAGGCTGTTTACCTTGGAGACCTGCTGTGGATATGGTTACAGCCTGGTGTGAGATTTACACCCTCTCCCCCAGATTTTCAAGGGCCTGTGAGAGCTCACCAGGTGCCTCCTGATCTATGATTCTTTCCAAGGCACAGACCTCTCTCTAAGGGTGAATCCACTACAGGGTGCCCTGCTCTTCACAAAAAGAACTCTCCCCTGGGCTCCCACCAGCTTCTCCAGGATCACTTCCATTACCTCCCTGAATGCCTCATGGTGCCCATCTCTGCCACTCCGGATTCAGAAATCTGAACTTGACTCCGTTTCCATTGGCTGAGGGCAATGGAAGTCATCATCCATCCCTTCGGAATGGCACTCTCCTATCTCTGGGGACCGAGTGACCCATCTTCAACTGGAACCCTTCTCCACTTCGGCCTTCAAAGTTCTCATTTGAATATTTGCTACTACCACCAAGATCTGCACCTGGGACAGCTCCACCCAGGCTCATGCCCAAGGCTTCAAGGCTCATTGCAGCGGTCCTCCCACTCATAGCAGCATAGCATCCTCGGGGCTCCAGCGGGAGCGACCACCCTCACCACTCCCATCCACTCTCAACTGCTGGCAATGGCCGGGTATGGGCCCAATGTTTCAGTACCATCCATTTTTCAGGGCGAGTTGATTCTTTGTTGTTAAACACTCCTTAGTGGATTCTGACTTCCATGCCCACCGTCCTGCTGTCTATATCAACCAACACATTTTCTGGGGTCTAATGGGCATCAGCATCAGGCACCCTAACATGGCATTTGGTTCATCCCACAGCAGCAGTTCTGCTTACCAAAAGTTGCCCGCTAGGCACTCGCATTTCATACCTGGCCCCATGCCATCGAGCTGGGCTTCTAACCCATTTAAAGTTTGAGAATTGGTTGAGATCATTTTGACTCCAAGACCCCTAATCATTCGCTTTACCAAATAACTGCGTGGCATGGGGTTTTTGCGAGAGCGCCCGTTATCCTTAGGAAAACTTCAGAGGGAACCAGCTACTAGATGGTTGGATTAGTCTTTTGCCCCTATACCCAGATCAGATGACCGATTTGCACGTCAGGACCACTACAGACCCCCACCAGAGTTTCCTCTCGCTTCGCCCTGCCCAGGCATAGTTTATCATCTTTTGGTGCCTAACACAAGCGCTCATTCTCCACCTGCCCAGCACAGTGGGCGAGAGTGGACGGTGGTGCTCCCTTGGCAAACTGGAGAGGCCTCAGGATCCCGCCTCAGCCAGCCAGCGCATCAGCCTTCACCTTCATTGCGCCACAGTGGCTTTCGTGCGAGCCCCTGACTCGCACACGTGTTAGACCCTTTGGACCATGTTTCAAGATGGGTCATGTGGGTAGCCAACAGCGCCACCGGCCTCGTGCACTTCTTCCACTGTTCTTTTGAAATGAGTGCATGGCCGAAGAGTCCCCCCAGACCCGACAGCACAACCAGCCTGGGGCACACCACAGTCAGCCCCTGCCCCTCACATGCGGCCTACTCGCTGGGGGCAGGGAAGGGGTGGTAGAGTAGTTACACCGTGGGAGGGGTGGCCCAGCCCCCTAGAGGGACGCTGTCATGCCCCCACGGGGGATCCCCTCATGGGGGGCTCCCACTGGGGTGGGAGCAGGGAAGGGGAGAGCAGGGCAACAGGTCTCACTACCTCAGTCCCGGGATTCTGCGAGTGCTACTGCTGAGGGACTGTAACACTCGGGGTGTGGCCCAGCTCACCCCCCTCCAGAGGGATGGGGAGGACATGACCCCCCGAGCCACCTTCCCTGCCGGGCCTTTCCAGCCGTCCCAGAGCCAGTCACGGCGCAGCACCACAGTGGAAATGCATCTGGCGGTGGCCAGTCGCCGTCTGGAGGACAGTCCCCAAGGACTCCCCCGCCTGCCCAACCCACCCACCTCCGCACCTGCTGGGGCCCGCCACCTCCAAGGAGGAGGAGGGGTGGCCGAGGAGGGAGGGCGGTTGGAGGGGTCGGGAGGAACGGGAGGCAGGAAAGATCCGCCAGACCACTGGCACAGCCCGACCCGCCGCCTGTTTGAATCTTCCATCAGACTGCATGGATCCCACACATTTAAGTCTTAACGGTTTCACGCCCTCTTGAACTGCGTCTTCAAAGTTCTTTTCAACTTTCCCTTACAGTACTTGTTGACTATTGTCTCTTGAGCCAGTATTTAACCTTAGATAGAGTTTGCCACCAGCTTGAGGTTGCATTCCCAAGCAACCCGACTCTGGAAAGACCCAGGCGTGGCAGCCAGGGGCTGCTAATGGCCTCACACCGTCCACAGGCTGGCTGGGCCTCAATCAGAAGGACTTGGGCCCCCACAAGTGGCGTTGGGGAGTGAGTCTTCCATACGCCACATTTCCCGCACCCTACCAAGGGGCAGGGATTTGGCACTGGGATCACTGTTCACCTAACTTTACTAAGGGCATCCTGGTTAGTTCCATTTTCTCCGCTGACTAATATGCTTAAATTCAGCAGGTTGCCACCTCTAGCCTGAGGTCGCGTCTTGGAATAAAGGAAGAGACGGGCGGGCATGGAGGATGCGAGCCTGGACACTCGGTTGGGAGACAGGCCCAGTGAGGGAGGGGGGCGGGGGTGACAGAGAAGAGCTGCGGCTGACGGCGTCCCTGCCGCACCAGAGCCGGATGACGGGAGGGAGAAGCAAGAACTAGGGGCAGGGAATACACAGTACCCTCACCGTCCAGAGGACTGCGACTGAGGATGTGCTTCCACCCCCCCCCAATGCGGAAGCTCAAGGGGGCCACACGGGCGGCACAGCCATGAACCAGAGGCAAGCACACAATGGCGGATGCTGCCATGGTGTCCCATGAGTCACCACCAGGGCACCGCCAGCACGCAGCTTGGCCTTGACCCCGACCGGGGGGGTCACGCAGGGCAGACTTCTGGCCCCAGAAGTGCACAGCAGGCTGGGTGGGAGAGGAGGAGGGTGCAGGGAGGAGCAGCATTTGGCCGGACACCAGGCTGCCACCGGGGCGGGCGGTAAACTGTGGTGGGCGGTGAACTGTGGCGACCGGGATGAAATCTTGCTTTCCACCCCCCCAACCTTCCCCACCCCCCACCCGCCAATGTAGGACAGCACAGGACATTTTGCCCAGGCCCAGGCGAACCCTGGACCGCTTGCAGCACGAGGGAGCTCTCTAGGGGAACCCGGACTGTGGCAGCCACAGGAACTCGGCCCCAGCCGGCTCTTTTCCTTCCTCTCACAGGCAGTGGGATCCCTCCTAACCAAGGCTCCTTCCCCCACCACGTGGTCCCTCACAGGGTTTGCATGGATGAATGGGAGGTGGGAGGAAGGTGCTAATGGAAAAGGAGGGGGGCACCACAAGGCCTGTACTTGGGAGGACAGAGGGGCCAACGAGCCCTGCAAGGGAACCGCCAGCCATGCACCCCTGGGAGGCCAGAAGCACCCCTTGGGATGATTGCTCAGCAAGTGATGACTCAGACAGGTGTAGCCCTGGGAGGAACACGGAGTCACAAGTGCATTTGAAATGATGATCAGTGTGTCCTGCAACTCACATTAATTCTCACAGCTGGCTGCATTCTTCATCAATGCAGGAGTGGAGTGATCCACCGCTAAGAGTTTCACAAAGTTCTTTGGTGAGGGACTCCCAACACCGGGAGGCCCTCCTGGCACAGCACATCCCCGAAGGGATTGCCTCAGGTCAGCCAATGAGACAGCACTGAGACAGAACTCTCAGAGGGGTTGGAAGGTTTCACCACAGGGGCATGCACACCACCCCCACAGGGGTGAGCACAGACACCCAACAGTTGCCAGGGGGTTCCCACCCCTGACAACGCAGAGCCCAACATGGGCAGCACACACAATGGCACGATGGCCACCAGGTAAGCCCCCACTCAGCAGCTGCAACCATGGCAATGACAGGAGAAAAACAAACAACTCCATTAAAAAGTGAGCAAAAAACATAGACACTTCTTAAAAGAAGGCATGCATGTGCTCAACAAGCATACGAATAAAAGCTCAACATCACTGATCATTAGAGAAATGAAAAAAACACAATGAGATACCATCTCATACCAGTCAGAATGGATATAATTAAAGGGTGAAAAAATAAATTCTGGTGAGGTTGTGGAGAAAAGGGAAGACTTATACCCTGTTGGTGGGAGTGTAAATTAGTTCAGCCATTGTGAAAAGCAGTTAGGTGATTTTTCAAGGAGCTAAAAGCAGAACTACCATTTGATAGCTCTGCTAGCCATCCCATTACTGCATATATATCCAGAGAAATGTAAATTATTTTACCATAGAGACCCATGCATTCAAATGTTCATTCCAGCACTATACAATAGCAAGATATGGTCAACCTAAATGCCATCAATGACAGACTGGATAAAGAAAATGTTGTATATATACACCATTTCCTCTCATAATAGTGATTTGATCCAAATAAGGAGTCAAAGTCCATGAATGAGTATGTGGAATGAAAAGCCACTCTACAAGATCTTGCTCTTGAACAATAACACCAGTAGGTGAATGCTGAGTTGGAAAAATTAGCAAATCTAGAGTCTTCTCTGGATCTATTCTATTTATTTGAGCCTTATGGACTTGCTTTTTGATTAGCTGTAACTCGACCTCAGCCTCCTTTGTTAATTGCTGAGGGCAAGTGAGACTAGGACCTCCTCTAAGGATGGAAAATAGATTACTCATGGCATAGGTAGGAATGTCTAGAGCAAGTCGTATCCAATTAATGTCCCTAGTAATTTTTGAAAGTCATTAAATGTTTTCAGTTGATCCCTATGTATGGTTACTTTCTGTGGCACAATGGTAGTGTCATTTACTAAGGTCCCCAAGTAAGAGTAAAGATTAGTAGTCTGAATTTTGTCAGGAGCTATAATTAAACCAGCATGAGAAATTGAATTTTGCAAGTAATCATAACATTGGAATAATATTTCTTGAGTGGGGGCACCACAAAATATATCATCCATCTGATGAATAATGTAACACTGAAAGTTTTTTACCAGTAGGTTCAATTGCTTGCCCTACATAAGTCTGGCAAATTGTTGAACTGTTTAACATGCCTTGTGGCAACACTTTCCAGTGAAAATGCCTAGCAGGCTGCAGGTTGTTTACAACAGGAATCATGAATGCAAACCATTCACAGTCTTGCTCAGCTAAGGGGATAGAAAAGAAAGTCTTTTAAATCTATGATTATTAAAGGCCAATTTTTCCAAATCATAGCAGGAGAAGGCAATCCTGGCTGCAATTCCCCCATAGGTTGTATAACTGAATTAATGGCTCTTAAGTCAATTAACATTCTCCATTTACCTGATTTTTTCTTAATTACGAAAACTGGAGAATTCCAAGGGGAAAATGTTGGAGCTGTGTGTCCTTTTTCTAATTGTTCAGTAATTAAGTCTTCTAAAGTCTCCAGTTTCTCTTTACTCAGCGGCCATTGTTCTATCCAAATTGGCTTATCTGTTAACCATTTTAAAGGCATAGGTTTTGGAGGCTTAACAATGGCCACCATCAAAAATGATATCCTAAACCTTGGAGGGAACTTTTCTTCCTGCTTGAAGCAGTTCCTTCAAACCTTGCAAAATTCTTCTAGTCCCACACCAGGGACATACCCTATTTCATGCATCATATGCTGACTTTGAGGGCTATATAATTGTTCTGGAATTAGAACTTGTGCTCCCCATTGTTGTAATAAATCTCTCCCCCACAAATTTATAGGTACAGAAGTTATAATTGGTTGAATAGTCCCAGATTGTCCATCGGGCCCTTCACTATGTAAAATATAGCTACTTTGATATACCTCAAGGGCTTTACCAAGTCCAACTATGTTAAATTGAGTGGGTTGAATTGGCCATGTGGACGGCCAGTGCTTTAGAGAAATGATTGAAATGTCTTCTCCTGTATCTGCCAAACCTTTACACTTCTTTCCCTGAATAGTTATTTCACAGGTAGGATGTTTATCAGTAATTTGATTCACCCAATAAGCTGCTTTGCCTTGTTTATTTGTGCTTCCAAATCCTCCTGTTCATTTAATTTCACTTTTCCCCATTTCCACATATGGCACAATCAGGAGCTGTGTTATGTGCTCTCCTGGCTCTGCTTTCCAGGGAACAGAAGTAGATATAACAATTTGAATTTCTCCATTGTAATCTGAATCAATGACTCCTGTATGTATTTGCACTCCTTTTAAATTGAAACTAGACCTACCTAGAAGCAATCCTATCCTCCCCACTGTCAAGGGTCCACAGACTCCTGTTGGGAACTTTTGCAAGGGTTCCCCAGGCAGAAGGCTCACAGCTTTTGTGCAGCATAAATCTACTGCAGCACTATTGGCTGTGGCAGGGGACAGACAAAAATTAGTTGGGCACACACGTATAGTCCCAGCTACTCGGGAGGCTGAGGCAGGAGAATGGCATGAACCCAGGAGGCGGAGCTTGCAGTGAGTGGAGATTGTGCCACTGCACTCCAGCCTGGGTGACAGAGCGAGACTCTGTCTCAAAAAAAAAAAAAAAAAAAAAAAAAAACCTAGGAACAAGTATAAGTAAAAATTCTTTCTGATGTGATCTTTATATGATAAACCTACACATGTACCCTTGAACCAAAGATAAGAGTTAATATGAAATAACTCCATGGCTGGAGGAGAATGAAATGTAGGTGGAAAGACCGGTTTGTGCTACAGATAGTGACCCAAATGGGACTGTACTCTGATTTACTTCTGTGTCCATGTAGGCAGATGAGATTATGAACAAGTTACCTAGAAACCTAATCTGGTGGAGAAGATGGGTTGCTGCTGCAGATCCAGTGCTTGGAGGTGGGGATATGCCGGGACAATTGTAGACACTTTTGTGTAGTGTATAGTGTTTTCTGTTAAGAAACGCTAGAATTAAAAACGCTGTGGTGAAGTTTCTGAGGGTGGTGCCTAGTCCTGAGAGAGGTGTGGGCACATCAATGTGTAGTGGGTATGTTTGTGAGTGGGTGAGAATCCTGTGGTGGCAGCTGTGGGAAAAGGGGGTCTGTCATCAGAGCACGTTTAAGTTTTTAGTCCTCTCTTACTCTGGGAGAAGACTTGAAATCACAGGACAATGGGCAGTGTGACTGCCTGTGTACTAGAGAGTGGAGACTTTCATTCCCAGACACCCAGTTTTATTCCCGGCCAGGCCTCCATGGTATCTTTTTTTCTGGCATCAAATTTGTAGTTTGCTGAATGCCAAGCACTTCTACACCAACTCATTGTCTAACATTTGAATTCTGATACCACCCAGAGTCAGCACACACCCTGATTCAGGGCTCAGTCCCACAACATTGTCCTTAGTGCAGTTGCCAGTCACAAACCCCATGGGCCCAGCTATGCCTCTGAGCTACTGTTTAAAAATTCAGGACTTCCTAGCCAGGCTTGGTGGTGTGCACCTGTAATCCCAGCTATTAGGGAGGCTGAGGCAGGAGAATCGCTTGAACTCGGGAGGTAGAAGTTTCAGTGAGCCAAGATTGTGCCACTGCATTGCAGCCTGGGTGACAGAGCAAGACTGTCCCAAAAAACAAACAAACAAACAAACAAACAAACAAAAACTAAAAAAAAATCAGGACTCCTATAAACGATCTAAAGTTCAATAATTTGATAGAGCTACCCACAGAACTCAGCAAAACACTGTAGTTATGTTGACCAGTTTATTATAAAAGATACAATCCAGGAAAAGTCAAATGAAAAATATGTGCAGGGCAAAGAAAAGAGGTGGCAAAAGATGAAGCACATAGAAAATCCTGGTAAATAGCTGTGATTAATAAAATAAAATTCTCCATCTATTATGTGCTCCAGGAACCATTTATGAAAAGAAACATCCTTCCCATTATGACTTAGATGCTCTTTTTTTCACCTATCACATAGTCAGACATAGACTCTGCACATTTCCTTCTTGTTCTCATTTAAAAATCAGCTGAATTTTTCTTCAGTGGTAAAAATAAAATACTTCTAAATAAAATTTCACTTAAGTCAGGCTGGGTGCAGTGGCTAACGCCTCTAATCCAGGCACTCTGGGAGGCTGAGGCAGGTGGATCACCTGAGGTCAGGAGTTCAAGAGCAGCCTGGCCAACATGGCAAACCCCATCTCTACTGAAAATACAAAAATTAGCTGGGTGTGGTGGCACATGCCTGTAATCCCAGCTACCTGAGAGGCTGAGGCAGGAGAATTGCTTGAGCCTGAGAGATGGAGGTTGCAGTGAGCCAAGATCACATGACCGCACTCCTGCCTGGGTCACAGAGTGAGACTCCCTCCCCACAAAACAAACAAACAAACAGACAAACAAAAAAACTTCACTTAAGTCTATCACCTTCCTACAGGCTCCTGAACTTTGAGCTATCCTCTGCCTAAACCAACATACAACTCCATTTTAGGTCTCTCCTAAGAACGTACGACTTGAGGGTAAAACATTCTCTGAACCAGAATCTGACTTTTTCACTCTCCATTTGCCATTCCCCTCCCACCTTCTTTCTAATCTTGTTTGCTTCTCCCTATAAAAGAAAGCACTTTTCTGCCTAAACTTTGCAATCTTTAAAGCTTTAAGGATTATAGTTGGTACTTCCTCCTGTTGCAATACTCTTTTGGAACTTAATTTTTTTTTACATAAATCTAACTTTGTTTTATTTTACAAAGTCTGGCAACTGTCTCAAAACAAGAACAAACTTATCTTCAGTAAGACCCTCCCAGTCCCCTTCTATCGTAACCTTAACAGCATCTGCCTATGGCTCCCCAGCTTTCCAGGGCTCTGTAGCTTCTCTCACTATAAAGTTTTCTTCTATGGCTGGGGTGAGCAGGCTGGGACACCTGCAGGGGAGGCTCCCCAGAAAAAACTAACTGGGCCTATAATAAACTCATTTTGCAGGCTCAGTATTAGCCTTAACTTGGAGTCACTGTGATCAGGCTTAATTTCCACATCAGTTACTTTCCTTTTTTTGTTTTTGTTTTTTTTTGTTGTTGTTGTTGTTTGTTTGTTTGTTTTTTAAGAAAGAGTTTGGCTCTTGTTGCCCAGGCTGGAGTGCAATGACACAGTCTCAGCTCACTGCAACCTCCGCCTCCTGGGTTCAAGCGATTCTCCTCCTGCAGCACCTCCCAATTAGCTGGAATTTCAGGTGCCTGCCACCACACCCAGCTAATTTTTGTATTTTTAGTAGAGACAGGATTTCACCATGTTGGTCAGGCTGGTCTCAAACTCCTGACCTCAGGTAATCCGCCTGCCTCGGCCTCTCAAAGTGTTGGGATTATTGGCATGAGCCACTGTGCCCAGCCACTCACTTGGATTTTGAAAGTAAGTGTTTCAAAAATCCAGCAAAATTACTCAAACACAATGTTCACGTAAAAAAAAGGAAATTTTAAGGTGCTTGTATTTCATACCTCAACAAGGAAAGCAAAATTATCCATTCCCTTCAGACAATAAATGTATTATTGTACTATTTTCATGAAAAATCATGTAGCAAACAATTAGTAATATAAAAACACTTCTAGGAGTTACCAAGTATTTGTTTGTTTGTTTTTGGAGATGGAGTCTTGCTCTGTCACCCAGGTTGGAGTGCAGTGGCACAAACCCAGCTCACTACAACCTCCACCTCCTCAGTTCAAGCAATTCTCCTGCCTCAGCCTCCCAAGTAGCTGGCACTACAGACACATGCTGCAATGCCCGGCTAATTTTTTTGTATTTTAGTAGAGATGGGGTTTCACCATGTTGCCCAGGCTGGTCTTGAACTCCTGAGCTCGGGCAATCTGCCCGTGTCAGCCTCCACAGGTGCTAGGATCACAGTTGTGAGCCACCGCGCCTGGCCTGAAGTTTTATCTCACAAAATTTAGAATAAAACTCAGAAATAAAAATCACAGGATACAGAACAAAAATATTCACATCATGAATTTACCCTGTAAAAAGAGAAACTGATGTTTTAATGAATCGATGTGACTCACTAGTTATCTACCACATTTTCTTGTGGAAACCTATTTATTTCCTGCAGCCAAAATAGAAGGAAGATTTCCCTTATTTTTACCCTTGGTAGCTAGTATTCTAATAGCTATTCCTTGGAATTCTTTTGGAAATCACTTAGCCATAAAAAATACACCTGACAAAATTTCTAAACTCACCCTGGGAAAGAAAAAGGTAAATGAGAATTTTTAGGCCGGGCACCATGGCTCATACCTGCAATCCCAGCAATCTGGCAAGTTGAGGCAAATGGATCACCTGAGGTCAGGAGTTTGGGACCAGCCTGGCCCACATGGCAAAACCCCATCTCTACCAAAAATTAAAAAATTAGCCAGGTGAGGCCAGGTGCCGTGGCTCACACCTGTAATCCCAGCACTTTAGGAGGTGGGGGTGGGCAGATCACCTGAGGTCAGGAGTTCAAGACCAGCCTGGCCAACATGGTGAAACCCCATCTCTACTAAAAATACGAAAATTAGCTGGGCATGGTGATGGGTACCTGTAATCCCAGCTACTCAGGGGGCTGAAACAGGAGAATCGCTTGATCCTGGGAGGTAGAGATTACAGTGAGCCGAGATCACCCCACTGCACTCCAGCTTGGGTGACACAGCGAGACTTCATCTCAAAAAAAAAAAAAAAAAAAAAAAATTAGGCCGGGCGCGGTGGCTCACGCCTGTAATTCCAGCACTTCGGGAAGTTGACGGATGGATCACCTGAGGTCAGGAGACCAGCCTGGCCCACATGTCTAAACCCTGTCTCCACTAAAAAAACACACAAATTAGCCGGCGTGGTGGTAGATGCCTGTAATCCCAGCTACTCCAGAGGCCGAGGCAGGAGAATCGCTTGAACTCGGGAGGCGGAGTTTCCCGTGAGCCAGATCACGCCCCGGCACTCCAGCCTGGGAAACAGAGTAAGACTCCATCTCTAAAAAAGAAAAAAAAAGGGAGAAAGAGAAAGAAATAGGTAAATGAGAATTTTTTTTTTTTTTTTTTGAGACGGAGTCTCGCTCTGTCGCCCAGGCTGGAGTGCAGTGGCGGGATCTCGGCTCACTGCAAGCTCCGCCTCCCGGGTTCACGCCATTCTCCTGCCTCAGCCTCCCAAGTAGCTGGGACTACAGGCGCCCGCCACTACGCCTGGCTAATTTTTTGTATTTTTAGTAGAGACGGGGTTTCACCATTTTAGCCGGGATGGTCTCGATCTCCTGACCTCGTGATCTGCCCGCCTCGGCCTCCCAAAGTGCTGGGATTACAGGCGTGAGCCACCGCGCCCGGCCATAAATGAGAATTTTTAACCAAAGAAATATACTATTAGATTCTTTTGAAACTCACCTGCTTTAGGCCCTTGTAAATACTTTACGTTTCAAGCTCTACTAATAATATGCAATTTATAGTTAAAAAACTGATGTTAATATAAGTGAACAAATCTTTTCAAGGTGACAAACCCAGGGAGTGGCAGTGCTGGTTAGAAAACAGATGTGTCTCACTCATGAGTCAAGTCAGGCCATCCAATCACTTGAGAGATTCTCCCACCCCAACTTGCTCACTGAAGTGCTCAATGACCACCCTCTCAGGAGACACTGCACTATGCCCCAGTGAGTTCCCGAAGTACGTTTTACTTCGCAAATTCTTGCACAATCTCACTGGGGTCATGTTTTTATTTTTTGTTTTTAGGGATACTATTTTTTTCACAAAACTTAAAGAATCCAGGGTGCAGAAATTACGTCTGTTTTCCCCTCAATACCAGCATCAGATTGGCTGACCAGCAATGAATCTTCAAGAAATGCAAGCTGAGTTGAGTGAAGACAATCTTTTTTTTTTTTTTTTTTTTTTTTTTTTGAGATGGAGTTTTCCCTCTTGTCACCCAGGCTGGAGTGCAGTAGCACAATCTCAGCTCGCTGCAACCTCAGCCTCCCAGGTTCAAGGAATTCTCTGGCATCAGCCTCCCAAGTAGCTGGGATTACAAATGTGCACCACCACACCCAGCTAATTTTTGTATTTTTAGTAGAGACGGGGTTTCACCACATTGACCAGGCTGGTCTCAAACTCCTGACCTCAGGTGATCCGCCCACTTCAGCCTCCCAAAGTGCTGGGATTACAGGCATGAGCAACTGCACCCGGCCCGAGTGAAGACAATCTTAAGTGTCTCAGGGGGTTAGCTTTTCAAAGGAAGAGTACACCAGGAGATTCCTTTCAGCTCCAAGCATTCCGCTGACTGCTCCCTTGAGAGGCTACACCCTGTATCTCAGGTTGTCGTATGGGAGAAAATGACTCAGGAGCTGGTATTCACTAGACACTCTAGCAGACATAGTCATGGCAGGTATATTGGTTTATTCACAGACAGTAGTGAAACCTGGGGTGCCTGAGAACACATCACCCAATAAAGCTCCCCCCCAAAAAACTTTGACCTCAAAACATTCTTATAAGATCCCCAAAACATTCTTATAAGGTCCCTGTGCCTAGGGAAGATGAAAGAAAAAGAGGCACAGAGATTTTTCTTTTCTTTTTTCTTTTATTTTATTTTATTTTTAATTTTATTATTATTATACTTTAAGTTTTAGGGTACATGTACACAACGTGCAGATTTGTTACAAATGTATACCTTTGCCATGTTGGTGTGCTGCACCCATTAACTCATCATTTAGCATTAGGTATATCTCCTAATGCTATCCCTTCCCCCTCCCCCCACCCCACAACAGTCCCTGGTGTGTGATGTTCCCCTTCCTGTGTCCATGTGTTCTCATTGTTCAATTCCCACCTATGAGTGAGAACATGTGGTGTTTGGTTTTTTGTCCTTGTGATAGTTTGCTGAGAATGATGGTTTTCAGCTTCATCCATGTCCCTACAAAGGACATGAACTCATCATTTTTTATGGCTGCATAGTATTCCATGGTGTATATGTGCCACATTTTCTTACTCCAGTCTATCATTGTTGGACATTTGGGTTGGTTCCAAGTCTTTGCTATTGTGAATAATGCCACAATAAACATACGTGTGCATGTGTCTTTATAGTAGCATGATTTATAATCCTTTGGGTGTATACCCAGTAATGGGATGGCTGGGTCAAATGGTATTTCTAGTTCTAGATCCCTGAGGAATTGCCACACTGACTTCCACAATGGTTGAACTAGTTTACAGTCCCACCAACAGTGTAAAAGTGTTCCTATTTCTCCACATCCTCTCCAGCACCTGTTGTTTCCTGACTTTTTAATGATTGCCATTCTAACTGGTGTGAGATGGTATCTCACTGTGGTTTTGATTTGCATTTCTCTGATAGCCAGTGATGATGAGCATTTTTTCATGTGTCTTTTGGCTGGATAAATGTCTTCATTTGAGAAGTGTCTGTTCATATGCTTTGCCCACTTTGTGATGGGGTTGTTTGTTTCTTTCCTGTAAATTTGTTTGCGTTCATTGTAGATTCTGGATATTAGCCCTTTGTCAGATGAGTAGATCGCAAAAATTTTCTCCCATTCTGTAGGTTGCCTGTTCACTCTGATGGTAGTTTCTTTTGCTGTGCAGAAGCTCTTTAGTTTAATTAGATCCCATTTGTCAATTTTGGCTTTTGTTGCCATTGCTTTTGGTGTTTTAGACATGAAGTCCTTGCCCATGCCTATGTCCTGAATGGTATTGCCTTTATTTTCTTCTAGGGTTTTTATGGTTTTAGGTCTAACGTTTAAGTTTTTAATCCATGTTGAATTGATTTTTGTATAAGGTGTAAGGAAGGGATCCAGTTTCAGCTTTCTACATATGGCTAGCCAGTTTTCCCAGCACCATTTATTAAATAGGGAATCCTTTCCCCATTGCTTGTTTTTGACAGGTTTGTCAAAGATCAGATAGTTATGGATATGCGGCATTATTTCTGAGGGCTCTGTTCTGTTCAATCGGTCTGTATCCTGTTTTGGTACTAGTACCATGCTGTTTTGGTTACTGTAGCCTTGTAGTATAGTTTGAAGTCAGGTAACGTGATTCCTCCAGCTGTGTTCTTTTGGCTTAGGATTGACTTGGCAATGAGGGCTCTTTTTTGGTTCCATATGAACTTTAAAGTAGTTTTTTCCAATTCTGTGAAGAAAGTTATTGGTAGCTTGATGAGGATGGCATTGAGTCTATAAATTACCTTTGGCAGTATGGCCATTTTCACAATATTGATTCTTCCTACCCATGAGCATGGAATGTTCTTCCATTTCTTTGTATCCTCTTTTATTTCATTGAGCAGTGGTTTGTAGTTCTCCTTGAAGAGGTGCTTCACATCCCTTGTAAGTTGGATTCCTAGGTATTTTATTCTCTTTGAAGCAATTATGAATGGGAGTTCACTCATGATTTGGCTCTCTGTCTGTTATTGGTGTATAAGAATGCTTGTGATTTTTGCATATTGATTTTGTATCCTGAGACTTTGCTGAAGTTGCTTATCAGCTTAAGGAGATTTTGGGCTGAGACAATGGGGTTTTCTAGATATACAATCATGTCATCTGCAAACAGAGACAATTTGACTTCCTCTTTTCCTAATTGAATACTCTTTATTTCCTTCTCCTGCCTGATTGCCCTGGCCAGAACTTCCAACACTATGTTGAATAGGGGTGTTGAGAGAGTGCATCCCTGTCTTGTGCCAGTTTTCAAAGGGAATGCTTCCAGTTTTTGCCCGTTCAGTATGATATTGGCTTTGGGTTTGTCATAGATAGCTCTCATTATTTTGAGATATGTCCCATCAATACCTAATTTATTGAGAGTTTTTAGCATGAAGTGTTGTTGAATTTTGTCAAAGGCCTTTTCTGCATCTATTGAGATAATCATGTGGTTTTTGTCTTTGGTTCTGTTTATATGCTGGATTATGTTTATTGATTTTCATATGTTGAACCAGCCTTGCATCCCAAAGATGAAGCCCACTTGATCATGGTGGATAAGCTTTTTGATGTGCTGCTGAATTTGGTTTGCCAGCATTTTATTGAGGATTTTTGCATCAATGTTCATGAAGGATATGGGTCTAAAATTCTCTTTTTTTGTTGCGTCTCTGCCAGGCTTTGGTATCAGGATGGGGCTGGCCTCATAAAATGAGTTAGGGAGGATTCCCTCTTTTTCTATTGATTGGAATAGTTTCAGAAGGAATGGTACCAGCTCCTTCTCGAACCTCTGGTAGAATTCGGCTGTGGATCCATCTGGTCCTGGACTTTTTTTGGCTGGTAAGCTATTGATTATTACCTCAATTTCAGAGCCTGTTATTGGTCTATTCAGAGATTCAACTTCTTCCTGGTTTAGTCTTGGGAGGATGTATGTGTCGAGGAATTTATCCATTTCTTCTAGATTTTCTAGTTTATTTGTGTAGAGGTGTTTATAGTATTCTCTGATGGTAGTTAGTATTTCTATGGGATTAGTGGATATCCCCTTTACCACTTTTTATTGCGTCTATTTGATTCTTCTCTCTTTTCTTCTTTATTAGTCTTGCTAGTGGTCTATCAGTTTTGTTGATCTTTTCAGAAAACCAGCTCCTGGATTCACTGATTTTTTGAAGGGTTTTTTGTGTCTCTATTTCCTTCAGTTCTGCTCTGATCTTAGTTATTTCTTGCTTTCTGCTAGCTTTTGAATGTGTTTGCTCTTGCTTCTCTAGTTCTTTTAATTATGTTGTGAGGGTGTCAATTTTAGATCTTTCTTGCTTTCTCTTGTGAGCATTTAGTGCTATAAATTTCCCTCTACACACTGCTTTGAAGGTGTCCCGGAGATTCTGATATGTTGTGTCTTTGTTCTCATTGGTTTCAAAGAACATCTTTATTTCTGCCTTCATTTCGTTATTTACTGAGTAGTAATTCAGGAGCAGTTTGTTCAGTTTCCATGTAGTTGAGTGGTTTTGAGTAAGTTTCTTACTCCTGAGTTCTAGTTTGATTGCACTTGGTCTGAGAGACAGTTTGTTATAATTTCTGTTCTTTTACATTTGCTGAAGCGTGCTTTACTTCCAACTATGTGGTCAATTTTGGAATAGGTGTGATGTGGTGCTGAAAAGAATGTATATTCTGTTGATTTGTGGTGGAGAGTTCTGTAGATGTCTATTAGGTCCACTTGGTGCAGAGCTGAGTTCAATTCCTGGATATCCTTGTTAACTTTCTGTCTCATTGATCTGTCTAATGTTGACAGTGGGGTGTTAAAATCTCCCATTATTATTGTGTGGGAGTCTAAGTCTCTTTGTAGATCACTCAGGACTTGCTTTATGAATCTGGGTGCTCCTGTATTGGGTGCATAGATATTTAGGGCAGTTAGCTCTTCTTGTTGAATTGATCCCTTTGCCATTATGTAATGGCCTTCTTTGTCTCTTTTGATCTTTGTTGGTTTAAAGTCTGTTTTATCAGAGACTAGGATTGCAACCCCTGCCTTTTTTTGTTTTCCATTTGCTTGGTAGATCTTCCTCCATCCCTTTATTTTGAGCCTATGTGTGTCTCTGCACGTGAGATAGGTTTTCTGAATACAGCACACTGATGGGTCTTGACTCTTTATCCAATTTGCCAGTCTATGTCTTTTAATTGGAGCATTTAGTCCATTTACATTTAGGGTTAATATTGTTGTGTGTGAATTTGATCCTGTCATTATGATGTTAGCTGGTTATTTTGCTCATTAGTTGATGTAGTTTCTTCCTAGCCTTGATGGTCTTTACAATTTGGCATGTTTTTGCAGTGGCTGGTACCAGTTTTCCCTTTCCATGTTTAGTGCTTCCTTCAGGAACCCTTTTAGAGCAGGCCTGGTGGCGACAAAATCTCTCAGCATTTGCTTGTCTGTAAAGTGTTTTATTTCTCCTTCACTTATGAAGCTTAGTTTGGCTGGATATGAAATTTTGGGTTGAAAATTCTTTTCTTTAAGAATGTTGAATATTGGCCACCACTCTCTTCTGGCTTGTAGAGTTTCTGCCGAAAGATCAGCTGTTAGTCTGATGGGCTTCCCTTTGTGGGTAACCTGAGCTTTCTCTCTGGCTGCCCTTAAAATTTTTTCCTTCATTTCAACTTTCTGGAGGAGTATCTTTGTGGCGTTCTCTGTATTTCCTGAATTTGAATGTTGGCCTGCCTTGCTTGATTGGGGAAGTTCTCCTGGATAATATCCTGCAGAGTGTTTTCCAACTTGGTTCCATTCTCCCCGTCACTTTCAGGTACACCAATCAGATGTAGATTTGGTCTTTTCACATAGTCCCATATTTCTTGGAGGCTTTGTTTTTTTCTTTTTATTCTTTTGTCTCTAAACTTCTCTTCTCACTTCATTTCATTCATTTCATCTTGCATCACTGATATCCTTTCTTCCAGTTGATTGCATTGGCTACTGAGGCTTCTGCATTCATCATGTAGTTCTCATGCCTTGGTTTTCAGCTCCATCACATCCTTTAAGGACTTCTCTGCATTGGTTATTCTAGTTAGCCATTTGCCTAATTATTTTTTCAAGGTTTTTAACTTCTTTGCCATTCGTTCGGACTTCCACCTTTAGCTCAGAGTAGTTTGATCGTCTGAAGCCTTCTTCTCTCAACTCATCAAAGTCATTCTCTGTCCAGCTTCGTTCCATTGCTGGTGAGGAGTTGTGTTCCTTTTGAGGAGGAGAGGTGCTCTGATTTTTAGAGTTTCCAGTTTTTCTGCTCTGATTTTTCCCCATCTTTGTGGTTTTGTCTACCTTTGGTCTTTGATGATGGTGAGGTACAGATGGGTTTTTGGTGTGGATGTCCTTTCTGTTTGTTAGTTTTCCTTCTAACAGTCAGGACCCTCAGCTGCAGGTCCATTGGAGTTTGCTGGAGGTCCACTCCAGACCCTGTTTGCCTGGGTATCAGCAGCGGTGGCTGCAGAGCAGCGGATATTGGTGAACTGCAAATGCTGCTGCCTGATCAATCCTCTGGAAGTTTTGTCTCAGAGGAGTATCGGCTGTGTGAGGTGTCAATCCGCCCCTACTGGGGGGTGCCTCCCAGTAGGCTACTCGGGGGTCAGGGACCCACTTGAGGAGGCAGTCTGCCCGTTCTCAGATCTCAAGCTGCCTGCTGGGAGAACCACTACTGTCTTCAAAGCTGTCAGACAGGGACAATTAAGTCTGCAGAGGTTACTGCTGTCTTTTGTTTGTCTGTGCCCTGCCCCCAGAGGTGGAGCCTACAGAGGCAGGCAGGCCTCCTTGAGCTGTGGTGGGCTCCACCCAGTTTGAGCTTCCTGGCTGCTTTGTTTACCTACTCACGCCTCGGCAATGGCAGGCTCCTCTCCCCCAGCCTCGCAGCCACCTTGCAGTTTGATCTCAGACTGCTGTGCTAGCAATGAGTGAGATTCCGTGGGCGTAGGACCCTCTGAGCCATGTGTGGGATATAATCTCCTGGTGTGCCGTTTGTTAAGACCATTGGAAAAGCACAATATTAGGGTGGGAGTGACCCGATTTTCCAGGTGCCATCTGTCATCCCTTTCTTTGACTAGGAAAGGGAATTCCCTGACCCCTTGCACTTCCCAGGTGAGGCGATGACTTGCCCTGCTTCAGCTCACGCACGGTGCACCGCACCCACTGTCCTGCACCTACTGTCCGGCACTCCCCAGTGAGATGAACCCGGTACCTCAGTTAGAAATGCAGAAATCACCCGTCTTCTGTGTCACTCACACTGGGAGCTGTAGACTGGAGCTGTTCCTATTTGACCATCTTGGCTCCGGGACCTTTTTTTTTTTACAATACAGTATCAGGGTATTATGCTTTGGTTTATTCTCACAGGAGATATTTACAAACAGAAACAAATCTCTTTAAATGTGCTATACAATGCTTTGTCAAAAAAGGATTAATTAAAATATGGTATCAAAAATGTACACTAAAGGACAAATAGTTAATAATGTGAATTAGGGAGAGGAAGTTGACATTTGGAATTTTCAGAAGAAGCTGTTAATTGAGTATATTATTGCAAGCCAGAGTTAGGCTGGAGGAATGGGGAGAAAGGGGTAGACTTGAGAAGCTGCTTGGGACACCTGTGGAAAATGCAGGAAAATATCAGTCCCCTGTGGAGTCTGAAAATATTTAAGTGGCAGGCAATTCCACTGAGGTAGCTCTAATCCTTGAATTCCTACTTTTAAAAAGTCTAACTGAAATCCTTTTTTTGGTAAATTACTACCTCAAGGGAAAAAAAAATTTAGGCTTAACCAACTGCAAACTGTCAATTAAGCTCTGACTACATAACCAGGAAATTTTTACACTCAAGGTAAAAAGTAAGAAACTATGTAACTGTAACTAACAGATTATTGAGTTTAAGTTTTTGCATCATGCACCTTAAAAAAAGTCTTTCTGGCTGGGTGTGGTGGCTTACTCCTGTAATCCCAGCACCTTGGGAGGCCAAGGTGGGTGGATCTCTTGAGGTCAGGAAAAAAAAAATCTTTCCTTCACGCTCCTCCCATTGACCACAAACTACAATATTTGAACAACACTTTCATTTAATTATTTAATATTTTTGCAGTGACTCCCATAAATTTTTCTTTTTACTCTTTGAGACGGAGTCTTGCTCTGTCACTCAGGCTGGAGTGCAGTGGCACGATCTTGGCTCACTGAAAACTTTGCCTCCCAGGTTCAAGCCATTCTCCTGCCTCAGCCTCCAGAGTAGCTGGGATTACAGGTGCCCACAACCACATCTGGCTAATTTTTTTATTTTTGGTAGAGACGGGCTTTTACCATGTTGGCCAGGGTGGTCTCAAACTCCTGGTCTCAAATGATCTGCCTGCTTTGGCCTCCCAAAGTGCTGGGATTACAGGCATAAGCCACTGCGCCTGGCAGACGCCAGTAATTTTTATTTTATTTTTTTCTGAGTCGGAGCCTTGTTCTGTCACCTAGGCTGGAGTGCAGTGGCAGGATCTTGGTTTGCTGCAACCTTCACCTTCTGGGTTAAAGTGATTCTCCTGCCTCAGTCTCCTGAGTAGCTGGGATTACAGGTGCCTGCCTCCACACCCTGGTAATTTTTTTGTATTTTTACTAGAGATGGTGTTTCACCATGTTAGCCAGGCTGGTCTGGAACCCCTGACCTCAAGTGATCCACCCTGATCACCTTGGCCTCCTGAAGTGCTAGGATTACAGGTGTGAGCCACCACGCCCGGCTCCCAAAATATTATTATTTTAATATGTAAGCAATATTTATTAATAAAGTATATATACTTAGAACTAAATTTTTGAAACCAACCCTGTATTTTACCTTTTTAGCACATTGCAGTTCAAAGCAGGAACATTTCAGGCACCTAGTAGCCACACATGGCCAATAGCTGCCACATTGAAGTACAGCTTCAATGTCAGTGGAGGTGAAGGGCTTGAACATCCCTTTTCTGCCACAGGGGAGGTCTCTACCTACCAACAACTTCTTCAGTTAAAAAGGTGAAACAGATAATGGCCATAGAAAGGGCAGAAGGTAGGAAGAGTAAAATAACCACAGGTGGACCACTGCTGGCCACCTGTTGTCCACCTTTCTTCCAGTGAACAAAAAATTCTCAGCCAAAGGAGAAGAAAACTCTGTGTTTTCAGATCTGTCCATAGTCTTGATGTCCAATGTTTAGATATGTAGAAAATAGGTTAAGGCAAACTTATTTTGCTATTTGGCCTTGGCCCTAATTGTCAGGCTGCGGTTATCTGTTTTCTCCTATGGTGTGGGTGACTATGTGAGTATAAGGACCAATTACATGCATACATGTCTGCATGTATTTTTTAATTACTCAACGTCATTTTGCAAGACATTCAACTTTAAATTAGGGGAAAAAATCAATACTTTTAGGGTGCACACTGTTAGAAGGTAACTAATAACCAATCTGTCATTGAATCCTGGCATCCTATCTGCACTGAGTGCATGTATTAGTTAGCTACCGCAGCATAACAAACCATCCAAAACTTTTTAGCTCATAATTGAGACGGTCAGCCATTTAGGCTGGGCTCAGTGGGACCATTCTTTTGGTCTCAGCTGAGCTCCTTCAGACATGTATCATCAGCTGCTTATTGACTAGGCAGCTGTGCTTCTGAAGGTGAGCATCTGCTTCTGGGGCTATCAACAGGGGCACCTTGCTTCTCTTCCTCATGTTATCTTATCCTCCATCTGGCTAACATGGGCGTTACTCATGGAGATGGCACATTCTGAAAGAAAAACAGGAGCATTTGAAATCTTTTGAGCCTAAGCCCCAAACTAGCCCACTGTCATAGTCACAGATTTCCATTGCCCTGAGCAAATAAGGCCAGCCAGATATATGGTTTGGAAACCAGATTCTGTACTTCAATGGGAAGAGCTGTAAAAGCATTGGCAAATGAATATAAAAGAGATAAAAAGCACCAGGTGCGGTGGCCAGGCCTATAATCCCAGTATTTTGGGAGACTGGGGCAGGGGGACAGATTACCTGAGGTCAGGAGTTCGAGAGCAGCCTAACCAACATAGAGAAATCCCGTCTCTACTAAAAATACAAACTTAGCTGGGCATGGTGGTGCATGCCTGTAATCCCAGCTACTCAGGAAGCTCAGGCAGGAGAATCACTTGAACCTTGGAGGCAGAGGTTGCAGTGAGCCAAGATTGCACCATTGCACTCCAGCCTGGGCAAAAAGAGCAAGACTCCATCTCAAAAAAATAAAATAAAATAAAATAAAAAATTGCAGCCAGACACGGTGGCTCACACCTGCAATCCCAGCACTTTGGGAGGCCGAGGTGGGTGGATTACTAGAGGTTAGGAGTTCAAGATCAGCCTGACCAACATGGTAAAACCCCGTCTCTGCTAAAAATGCAAAAATTGGCTGGGTGTGGTGGTAGCTGCCTGTAATCCCAGCTACTCAGGAGGCTGAGGCAGGAGAATCACTTGAACCCAGAAGGTAGAGGTTGCAGTGAGCCAAGATCATGCCTCTGCACTCCAGCCTGGGCAACAAGAGTGAAACTAAGTCTCAAAATAAAAAATTGCTGCAATTTTTGAAATCACTTTCATTCTGCCTTTTGCCTATGTGGTTTATACAACTATTTCACCTCAAGAAACTTGTTCAGCCAGGCGCAGGGGCTCACGCCTGTAATCCCAGCACTTTGGGAGGCTGAGGTGGGCAGATCACAAGGTCAGAAGACCCAGACCAGCCTGGCCAATATAGTGAAACCCCGTCTCTACTAAAAATACAGCAAAATTAGCCAGGCATGGTGGCCCATGCCTGTAATCCCAGCTACTCGAGAGGCTGAGGCAGGAGAATTGCCTGAACCCAGGAGGCAGAGGTTGCAGTAAGCTGAGTTCACGCCACTGCACTCCAGCCTGGATGACAGAGCGAGACTCTGGATTTAAAAATAAAACAAAACAACAACAACAAAAAACAGCCGGGTGTGGTGGCTCATGAGGTGGGTGAATCATGAGGTCAAGAGATCGAGACCATCCAGGCCAACATGGTGAAATGCCATCTCTACTAAAAATACAAAAATTAGCTGGGCATGGTGGCATGTGCCTGTAGTCCCAGCTACTCAGGAGGCTGAGGCAGGAGAATTGCTTGAACCTGGAAGACAGATGTTGCAGTGACCTGATATCACACCACTGCACTCTGGCCCGAGTGACAGAGCAAGACTCTGTCACCAAAAAAAAAAAAAAAAAAAAATTGACCGGGCACAGTGGCTCATGCCTGTAATCCTAGCACTTTGGGAGACCAAGGCAGGCAGAATGTCAGAGCTCAGGAGTTCAAGACAACCTTGGGCAACACAGGGAAACCCTGTCCCTACTAAAATAGAAAAAATTAGCTGGGCATGGTGGTGCATGCCTGTAGTCTCAGCTACTAGGGAGGCTGAGGCAGGAGACTTGCTTGATCCCAGGAGACGGAGGCTTGAACCCAGGAGGCAGAGGTTCAGTGAGCCGAGATCACACCACTGTACTCCAGCCTGGGAGACAGAGTGAGACTCTGCCTCAAAAAAAAAAAAAAAAAAATGCAGAAACATTTTGAAAGGACAAAATAATTTGGGAAAATAGGTGAGGGATGAGTTTAGAAAATTAAAACCCAAAAACACATTATTCATTTTAACGATAGAAAAAATTTGAGGAAATTTTTTTTTTTTTTAAATAAAGTCTCACTCTGTAGCCCAGGCTGAAGTGCAGTGGTGCAATCTTGGCCCACTGCAACCTCCACCTCCCGGGTTCAAGCGATTCTTCTGCCTCAGCCTCCAGAATAGCTGGGATTACAGGTGCACGCCACCACGTCCTGCTAATTTTTGTATTTTTAGTAGAGACAGGGTTTCACCATATTGGCCAGGCCAGTCTTGAACTCCTGACCTCATCATCCACCCGCCTCGTCCTCACATAGTGCTGGGATTACAGGCATGAGCCACCATGCCCGGCCTGGAAAAATTTTTAAATAAAAAAAAAACTTTAGAGAAATTAAATTCAACAGAGTTTAACTGAACAAAGAGTGATTTGCAAATAGAGTAGCATGTGAATCCAGAGTAGGCTCAGAGAGATTTCAGCATAGCCACGTGGTGGACAAAGACTTATGGACAGACAAAGCAAAGTGACATACAGAAAATGGAAGTGAGGTACAGAAACAGCCAAATTCATTACAACTTGAGGTTTGCCTTATTTGAACATGGTTTGAACAGTTGACATCCTTTTATTGACCAAACCACAGTGGTTGGTACAAGAATGGGTACAGTCTATTTACATATCCAGTTAGGTTTCAGTTCATTGTGTAAAATAAACGAACAAACAAACAAAAACTATTGACTAAAATTAAACGGGAAAAGGGGCAGCTTTAGGGTATAATTAATTTAACAATTTCTCCCTAGGGTCATAGACCAAAACTTTTTTTTTTTTTTTTTTGAGACAGAGTTTTGCTCTGTCACCAGGCTGGAGTGCAGCGGCGCTATCTCAGCTCACTGCAACCTCCACCTCACAGGTTCAAGCAATTCTCCTGCCTCAGACACCCAAGTAGCTGGGACTATACAGGTGTGCCCAGCTAATTTTTGTATTTTTAGTAGAGATGGGGTTTCACCGTGCTGCCCAGGCTGGTCTCAAACTCCTGACCTCAAGTGATCTGCTTCCTTCGGCCTCCCAATGTAGTGGGATTACAGGCATGAGCCACCACACCCGGCTGAGATAGACCAAAATTTAGACATTGATATCACTGTGTCATCATAAAAAATGAACTTATTTAGTCTCAGATCTCACTGTGAAATATCAGAACTGTGGGTTTTATAAAGTGGAAACAAGAACTTCAGGTTATTATTTTATTATTATTATTTTTAAAGGATTAGACTACAGGGGATCTCTTTGTGTTGAAATCTGCTATTTATAGAAGAAAACAAAAACTTGTTTGTATTTTCTCGTGTTTTTTTGAGATGGAGTTCCTCACTCTTGTTGCCCAGGCTGGAGTTTAGTGGCGTGATCTCCTCTCACTGCAACCTCTGCCTCCCAGGTTAAAGCAATTCTCCTGCCTCAGCCTCAGGAGTAGCTGGGATTAGAGGCATGTGTCACCATGCCCAACTAATTCTGTATTTTGTTTTTTCTTTTTTTCTTTCTTTTTTTTTTTTTTTTGAGACAAAGTTTCACTCTTGTTGCCCAGGTTGGAGTGCAATGGCATGATCTCGGCCCACTGCAACCTCCACCTCCCAGGTTCAAGTGATTCTCCTGCCTCAGCCTCCCGAGTAGCTGGGATTACAGGCGCTCGCCACCACGCCCAGCTAATTTTTGTATTTTCAGTAGAGATGGAGTTTCTCCAAGTTGGTCAGGCTGGTCTCAAACTCCCAACCTCAGGTGATCCACCCACCTCAGCCTCCCAAAGTGCTGGGATTACAGGCGTGAGCCACTGCACCCGGCCTTAATTCTGTATTTTTAGTAGAGACAGGGATTTCTCCATGTTGGTCAGACTGGTCTCAGACTCCTGACCTCAGGTGATCCGCTCGCCTCGGCCTCCCAAAGAAAAACTGGTCTGTTTTAAGATCTACCTATTTTCTTAAATTTTAGGTTTGATAAGCTCACTTTTAGCATGAGTGACTCATTTTGTTTTGTTTTGGTCTGTTTGAGATGAGTGCACATGCTCAGTCCACATGATGGCCATAAATAATTTTGTTTAAAAAATTCACCCCAGGCCGGGCGCAGTGGCTCAGGTCTGTAATCACAGCACTTTGGGAGGCCGAGGCTGGCAGATCAAAAGCTCAGGAGATCAAGACCAGCCTGGCCAATATGGTGAAACCCCGTCTCTAGTAAAAATATGAAAATTAGCCAGGCATGGTGGCACGCACCTGTAGTCCCAGCTACTCGGGAGGCTGAGGCAGAAGACTCTCTTGAACCTGGGAGGCGGAGGTTGCAGTGAGCCCAGATCATGCCACTGCACTCCAGTCTGGGCAATGCAGCGAGACTCCATCTCAAAAAAAAAAAAGAAAGAAAAAAAAATCACCCCATTTGTTTAAGTTCTTACATAGGTCATGGTGTGACCAAAACTCAGGGCCTTAGTGCCACTCTGTTTCCATTATTTTTTTTATTTTTTATTTTTTTATAGGTGGAATCTTGCTTTGTTGTCCAGGCTGGAGTGCAGTGGCACTATCTCAGCTCACTGCTACCTCCGCCTCCCGGGTTCAAGCAATTCTCCTGCTTCAGCCTTCCGAGTAGCTGGGACTACAGGCCCGTGCCACCATGCGTGGCTAATTTTTTGTATTTTTAGTACAGACAGGTTCTCGCCGTGTTACCCAGGATGGTCTCCATCTCCTGACCTCATGATCCACCCACCTTGGCCTCCCAAAGTGCTGGGATTACAGGCCTGAGCCACCGCGCCAGGCCAATTTTTGTATTTTCAGTAGAGATGGGGTTTCACTATGTTGGCCAGGCTTGTCTCAAACTCCTGACCTCATGATCCACCCACCTCAGTTTCCCAAAGTGCTGAGGTTACAGGCGTTAGCCACCGCGCCTGGCCTATTTTGGGTTTTTGTCCTTATCATGTCATTCATAGGTTATGGTGTCTTCATAGTCACATACGTCTTTGAGTTTCTGTCATTCTGTTTTACAAGAGACCATTTGACATTCTAGAAATGACTGCATGCAAACATTTATAACTTTTGAGAGAATACAGTGAAGTAGGGAGATATTACTATTTTAACTATCAGGAAGATGATACCAAGAGTTCGAAACATGCTTTTTAGCCAGGGTCCCCATGAACAACCAACTAAAATTAAATAGGTCAAATAGTTAGCTAGATAAGTGGTCTACTCATTTCAACCAAGCACACTGTTCATTAATCCTCTACAACTGCATCTCTGTGGATGCAGAGTAGGCTCAGGGAGCCTAATGGATGTATTTCTCCAGGTGCAACTATCAGTGTTAGCAAGTTCACAGGTACTTCTCTGTTCATCCAATAAGTAATTAAAAGAAATAATATTATTTAGCACAACTTCAGCAAGTACATTTAAAATCTATTGTGTAATCATAGCCTTTACAGTATAATCTTCTATAGGGCCCTATTAGGGGGGATGCATTTCTAACCATTGCCTCATTTACTCTACGCCATGGAAAGAAAGACCTAACAAATGATGGCCATTCAGAAAAGTAAGGGCATCCTGGCAATGCTGCTTAACTTATTGTGAAAAAGTTGTCCTTAACTTATGAAGTAAGTTAAGAGCAGTGGACCAATATTCTGTTTCTGATATTGTGAGGGAACAAATATCCCTTAAAAATTTCTCACCCACACTGGCCCTTCATCTTTTATCTATCAAGGTGTAAGTTTTTTCACACATAATGTTGGCTACAAAATTCTCTACATTTGAGTATACCCCATAAGTGCACACAAGAGACCCCTTTCTTTATTTCTATTGTTTGTAGAGCCATAAAAAACTGTGAAATAAGTGTGTCATGATAGCAGAGAAGTATGATCTTGTTCTGAGTGAGTGTGTCTCACCATGAAACAAGCAAAAAAAATACTGCTGTTATTTTGAGACAGTGAGTTAGCATTTTGTCCAAATATGTACTATGTAATTTTTTATTGATATGTAACATGCATAGAGAAATACATGCACAAATTCTTCATTCAAGTAAAGCTCAGTGAATTATGAAGAATACACTTGTGTAATCAGATAATAAAACTAGGCTGGACGCAGTGGCTCATGTCTGTAATTCAGTACATTGGGAAGCCAATGCGGGAGGATTGCTTGAGCTCAGGAGTTCAAGACCAGCCTACCCAACATGGCAAGGCTCTGTCTCTATTTTGAAAAAATACCAAAAAAAAAAAAAAAAAAGATCCAGGCAGGCTGGTTGCATGCCTGTTGTCCCAGCTACTGGGGAGGCTGAGGTGGGAGGATCACTTAAGACTAAAAGTTTGAAGCTGCAGTAACCCAGCATTCAGCCACTGGACTCCAGCTTGGGTGACAGAGTGAGACCTGTATGTGTAAACACACACACACACACACACACACACACACACACACGTGCACATGGTGGGGGATGTGAAAAAGAGAAAGTGTGGCTCCTGCAATTCAGTGAGACCTGGTTCTCCATCTTGGGAACTGCCCATCCACACTGAAACCACAACCTAGCACATGCCAATTAGCACACTAAACCTGCTGAGATACCACCGTTTACCCTTAAAAAAAATTGAAGTATTTCACCTAAAAGAAGGGAAAAAGAAAATGATTTCACATCTAAAGCCTTTGTTTCCTTTATAAAACAACTGCCCCTTGTCATTCGAGTTGTCCAGAGGTGTCTGACAACACTAACACACTTATGGAATCAGCCAGGAAAAATGGGCCTCTCAGGTGACAAACAGGCACAATGGTAACTAAAGGCAATCCATTCTCATCTCTACATGATGCCCCCAACTCATGAAGTGGTGTTAACTGTGTGAACCATACTCATCAGAGGAAAGTATGTTCAGGGCAACACAATCATGAGGCTGCAAATCAAACTGGGGGCGGGAAGCACGTAGGAGGTTTCCATGGCCAAGACACTGGTGGCTATCCTTGGGTGTCATTTAAAAATTTCAGGTGAAAAATCCTTTTCTTCCAGTTGGCTCAGGAAAACTAACAGACATTACTATTGGAATTCATTTTACTTTTTAGAATTTCTAAGACATAAATCATGCTTCAAACACTCCAAAAGACATTCAGCTATACCTGAGGCTGAGGACCTGCCTCCTCCTCCATGTTAGGGCCCTGACAGCAGGCAAAGAGAAGGAGCACAGGGGCCGGGTGTGGTGGCTCATGGCTGTAATCTCAGCACTTTGGGAGGCTGAAGCAGGCATATCACCTGAGGTCAGGAGTTTGAGACGAGCCTGGTCAACAAGGCGAAACCCCTTCTCTACTAAAAACACAAAAATTAGCCATGTGTGGTGGTGAGCACCTGTAATCCCAGCTACTTGGGAGGCTGAGGCAGGAGAATCATTTGAACCCAGGAAGTAGAAGTTGCAGTGAGCTGAAATCGTGCCATTGCACTCCAGCCAGGGCAACAAGAATGAAACTGCCATCTGAAAAACAAAACAAAACAAACAACAACAACAATAGCAACAACAAAAACAGAGAAGGAGCACAGGCAGGTGGGGACAGAGAACAGCCCGGGTCTATAGGGATCCCCAACCACCCCCAGAGCCGGTGTCTGTAGGAGGGACTGTGTGGCAAGAATCAGGTAGGGAGCTGGGCTTCATGGAGAGGTTACCACCACTTCTGCACCTTTAACTTTTATGATTCCACTGTGGTTCTCCCCAGGTCTCCCACCCATCCTACCCTCACTCCCTCATTGTGTGTTAGGCAGGTCTGGTTAAAATGGGGAGAATAATACATTCAGATTGTAGCCTTCAAGGTATTCCCATCTGGGGTACAGGGAGTAGAGAGGCAAGTCAAAGTCTATGGTGGTGCTTACTTCTGGGCCTGAGGGCAGGAAGGCCAGGGCTGGGCACATGGATATCTGGGGAAACACCACTGCTAATTCCTTCTCCCCACCCGGAGCTACAATGAGGCCAGGACAATCACAATTAATAAAACCACTGCAGCTCACATCCTGCATAAAACTAAAGTGTATCCCAACCCCCAGTCCTACCACAGATCTTCAACTTCCTATCCCAGAACACAGGAAGCCCTCCATCTTTTTGACCTAAAGCCTGGACTTTAAGCCAGGTTGGGCCTGGGGGTAGTGGCAGCAAAAGCAGCAGCCACAGTGTCAAATATACCAATGACTTGAGAAATCTCATCTGCACGTCATTCACTCAGAACAGACCTGGAGTTGTATACAAGTTAAGAAGGGCAGATCTATATACTCATGGGCATGGACACATTCCACACTTGCTGGGGAGAATGAGAGGCACCTGTTTCCCAGCTGCAGGCTGATGTCCACATACACCATTCACGTGTTTACATTTAGGCCTCTGTATTGTGTATTCAGTGAGCCAGTGCAAATACATATTTGGGGGGCACCATTTAGTGCAACACCACTCCCCACTTGTTCTGGGGGACAGTCAGGAGGGATCTGGTCAGCTCCTAATTCCCTAGGACAAAGGTGCCTCCCCCTTTCCAGCACTCATATCCAGCAGCGCCATCTCAGGAATTTTTTTTTTTAAACATGAACAGCATGAGGAAGCAGGCATGGTACGACAGGCTCAGCCCCAGCCCAGATAGCATTCACATCTTCCTGGATGGGGGTTGATGCCCATCACTCACCTGCTCTTTAGCACCGCCTTGTGTTGGTTACTCAGGGCCTGGGGAGAGGTGGGGGGGATTGTAGATCCATGGTGGGAACCATCTCACACCCAGAGTTCACCTGGCCACAGGCCAGCAAGCAAGTCCAAGTGCACAGCTCTCGACCCTGAGCCTCGGCACCTCCGGCTGCAATTTCTATTTATATATCAGGATTTTAAAAACCAAAAATAAACAAACAAACACAAAAACAGCCACTTTGATTGAGGAGAAAGTGGGAGCCTAAAGCAGCTGACCCTCAAACATCTCCGCCAAGCCCCAGGCCAGGCCATCTGAACACTCCAAGGCCACATGATAGTTACAGAGGATGACAGTTTCCACAGGTACTTGTCAAGCACTGGGCTAGCTTCTCACAGAGTCTCAGAATGCCTCCTCGCCAATACCCTGTGAGGGGAGGCCTTTCCTCACTAGGGCACAAGAGGTTCCTAAGCTCTTCCCAGGAAATGGTTAACAAAGTGTGGAGCTAGGGGAAAGCCCAGTCAGAACAAGTGACTAGCCAGGGTCTTCCTAGACTCCATCCCTTCCTCCACATGGGGCCCAGAGGTGTTGCGAGCAGCCTCCTGACCCCCTCCATCCCACTCTCTCCTCAATCAAAATGGCTGTTTTTGTGTTTACTCGTTTATTTATGGGATTTTAAAAACCTGATTTTTTTTTTTTTTTTGAGACAGAGTTTTGCTCTTGTTACCCAGGCTGGAGTGCAGTGGCACCATCTCAGTTCACTGCAACCTCTGTCTCCTGAGCTCAAGCAATTCTCCTGCCTCAGCCTCCTGAATAGCTGGGATTATAGGCATGTGCCACCATGCCCAGCCAATTTTGTATTTTTAGTAGAGAAGGAGTTTCTCCATGTTGGCCAGGCTGGCCTCGAACTCCCGACCTCAGGTGATCTGCCCGCCTCGGCCTCCCAAAGTGCTGAGATTGCAGGCATGAGCCACCGCTTCTGGCCAAAAAAAAACCCCTGATATTTTATTTATAGTACTTTCAGGCTTGTATGTATGTATTTGTATAGGCTTTATTGGAAGGAAGAGGGCTTAAGACAGTAACATTTTTAAAAGGTCTCAGTGGGGAATAGACTTCCATGGCACAAATGATGATGTTGACCTCCTTCTGTTGCCTTTGGGCAAAGTATAAATAGTGTGAGAATTGGCATGTGCTGGGTTGTGGTTTCAGTGTGGGAGGGCAGTTCCTTAAGATGGAAACTGAGCTGTAGGAGCCACACTCACCTTTTATCACATTCCCCACCATGGTCTTTCACTTTTCTTCTGTGCTTGAATTTCTTTCAACATACATATTATTTTGAGTATATATATATATATATATATATATATATATATATATAGACACACACACATATATATGTGTGTCTGTGGGTGTATGTATATATATGTTTGTGTGTGTGTGTACACATACAGGTCTCACTCTGTCACCCAGGCTGGAGTGCAGTGGCCGAATGATGGGTCACTTCAGCCTCAATCTCCAGTGATCCTTCCACCTCAGCCTCTCAAGTAGCTGGGACTGTAGGCATGCAACATCACACAAGGCCAATTTTTAAAATTATTCTAGAAACTGAGCCTCACTATGCTGCCCAGACTGGTCTTGAGCTCCTGGGCTTAAGCAATCATTCCACCATGGCTTTCCAAAGTGTTTGGATTACAGGTGTTTGCCATCAAACCCAGCCAAAAACATTTTTAAAAGAACCATTACAACCGAATTATGAGCTATGGTTGTACCACTGCACTCCAGCCTGGGCACCAGAGTGAGACCTTGTCTCCAAAAACAAAGCAAAACAAAAAAAACTTATGACCAAATTAAATTTCTGAGGTTGTGTCATCTGTGTCCCCTTTCTGCCCTGTAAGCTATCATTGTTAAATATAATGGCTATTGAGAAAACTGTTAGATATTAAGAAATTCCTATATATCCTCTAAGTGAGAATAAGGTATTCTGATGTGGCCCAATATTTCCTAACCTCTACCTCCAGGGTCTAAACTAGCAAATCAAATCAGGACAACCGACAAAGGACTGTTGGCCATTTTCAAATGGAAGATGAAATACCCTGTTAGTGAGAGTAATCCAGTAATTTTAAAAAAGAGAAGTCAGACTGAGATGCAGTGCAGTCAGGGCATGATTACCCTGGAATAGCCACTTCACACGGAACGATAGAGGAGCCTGTCTAAGATGAACAAATTTGGGTAACATAATTCTTGCTTAACCATTCTCAGCCTCTGCTGCCCCCGACCCCAGCCCCATTCCAAATGGACATCCCACGATATGGTCAGCAGTGTGGTACAGCATGGTTAGAAAGGGGCTCAGGGATGGGATGAAGATCTTTCCTGCATTATCAAAATGATTGAAAAGTTGTTAAAAAAAAATGTCCAAATGGGCGGGTCGCGGTGGCTCACGCCTGTAATCTCAGCACTTTGGGAGGCTCTGGCGGGCGGTCAGGAGTTCAGACCAGTGTGGCGTCAGGAGTTCGAGACCAGCCTGGGCAACATGGTGAAACCCTGTCTCTACTAAAAATACAAAAGTAGTCGGGCGTGGTGGCATACGCCTGTAATCCCAGCTACTTGGGAAGTTGAGGCAGGAGAATCATTTGAACCCGGGAGGCGGAGGTTGCAGTAAGCCAAGATCGCACCATTGCACTCCAGCCTGGGCAATAAGAGTGAAACTCGGTCTCAAAAAAAAAAAAAATCCAAATGATCTTTTCTTACCCTTAAGTAGCAAATAAGATGCATTATACAAGCAGACCCAGGTAAGGGAAAGAGCAAGTGCATTTCAAGTCTCAGCTCACTTCTTAATTAGCTGTAATTCCCTGTGCATTTTACCCTACCTACTTTAGCCTGTTTTTCTGTTCATAAAACGCACTAATGCTGAACGGGGCGGGGGCAGGGGGTGGGGGTGGGAGTGGTATGGGGAGAGTGCCGGTCCTTATCCAATCCTTGGCGCTGGAGCGGCAACCGCCCAATCAAGCGCGCAGTTGAAGAGGAGTGCATGGTTTCCGGCATTTGGCTGGGCCTTTGTCTCTCGCTCCCACCAGAGCTTGGAATCCGTCTCTGCTCTTCTGCATTCTCCACCTCGGGAGCCCCTGGGGACTCTGTGACGGCCTCTGTTGCCCTGTGATCTGCAGGTCCGGAGAGACGCACAGCTAAGATGTCAGGACATCCTGGAAGCTGGGAAAGGGTGAGTGTGCGGGGTTGGGCATCCCGAAAGGAGAGAGCGGGCTGTGAAACCGGCGGGACTGCCTTCGTCACCGCTCCCGGGTTTCCGACCTGAGGTCCCTGCTGGCGCAGTTCAGCCCCAGGCCCCTCTGGCCGCAAGATGGCGGCTGGGCCCGCAGCCGGGATCCCCGCGTTCAGCCCCGTCCCTGCGGCGCCCAGTCTGGAGCTCCCTGGGCAGCTCTGCATGCAGCCCCGAGTATTTCCCAGATTGTTCAGGGATGCCAGGCGGATCATCAGGGCGGAATCCTGACTTGGTGTGTGCGTGGCAGGAGCTGCGGCAGGTGGGGCTCCCGAGTCTCTTTTCTTAAACATTTTGTTTGTTTGAGACGGAGTCTTGCCCTGTCGCCCAGGCTGGAGTGCAGTGGCACGATCACTGCAACCTTCGCCTCCTAGACTCAAGCGATTCTCGTGCCTCAGCCCTCCGAAAAGCTGGGATTACATACCTGCGCCACCACGCCTGGCTAGTTTTGTATTTCTAGTAGAGAAGTGGTTTTGCCATGGTGGAAGCTGGTCTGGAACTCAAGTGATCCGCCCGCCTCGGCCTGACCGGGAAATAGAAGCCTGAACTCAGTGACTCAAGCTAAGGATAGTTTAGTTCTGCCGGCGGAGCCTCTCCTGCAGATGTCCCAGCCTGCTCACAATAGCCATGGACAGAACCTTTATGCTTAGAGAAGCTGCAGAGCCCTGAAAATCTATACATCCACAGGCAGATGCAGTTGGGGTTGGCACAAAAATGGGGTTGGGAGGCTTTTTCTGGGAATAGAGTTATTGTTCTGAGGTTGTTTCTAGATTTTGTGATATATGACAAATTTAGATTTAGGTAAGTGGGTTTTTTTTTTTTTTTTTTTTTTCTTTTGTGCCAGAGTCTCATTCTGTCACCCAGGCTGTAGTACAGTGGCACGATCTCGGCACACTGCAACCTCTGTCTCCCAGATTCAAGCGATCCTCCAGGCTCCCTAGTACCTGGGACTACAAGCAGGCGACCCGACGCCCAGCTAATTTTTGCGGGGTTTCACCATTTTGGCCAGGCTGTTCTCCAACTCTGGACAAGAGGTAATCCACCCACCTCGGCCTTCCAAAGTGCTGGAATTACAGGTGTGAGCCACTGTGCCTGGCAAGAAGTTACTTTTTTTTTTTTTTTTGAGACGGAGTTGCCCTCAGTCGCCCAGGCTGGAGTGCAGTGGTGCGATCTTGGCTCACTGCAGCCTCCGCCTCCCGGGTTCAAGCGATTCTCTTGCCTCAGCCTCCCGAGTAGCTGGGATTACAGGCACCTGCCGTCATGCGCAGCATGAAGTTACTTAATTTTAAAGGAGTATTGCAGCAAGGGGAAAGCACCAGCTATAAGATATTGGAGAATTTTAAAGGTTAGAGAGAAAAGGACTTTCTTTCATAAGAAGAAAAGAAGGTCAGAAAAAAAGTGGGAAGGGGAGGGAGGGATAGAACATGGTGAAAGCAGATGCTAGATTAGGGAATATTTTACCCAGAAGTCAGCCTGGTTTTTTTGTTGTTGTTTGTTTTTTGTGAGATGGAGTCTCGCTCTGTTGCCTAGGCAGGCGGGCACTGGCGTGATCTCCGCTCACTGCAGCCTCCGCCTCCCAGGTTGGAACAATTCTCCCACCTCAGCCTCTCAGGTAGCTGGGATTACAGGCGCACCACCATGCCTGGCTAATGTTTTGTATTTTTAGTATAGGCGGGGTTTCACCATGTTGGCCAGGCTGGTCCAAAACTCCTGACCTCAGGTGATCCACCCTCCTCAGCCTCCCAAAGTGCTGGGATTATAGGCATGAGCCACCACACCCGGCCAAGTCAGCCTGTTTTTGAGGAACATAGGCCGAGTGCGGTATTTTTAATATAAAAATACAAAAAATTAGCCGGGCTTGGTGGCACGCTGTATTCCCAGCTATTCGGGAAGCTGAGGCAGGAGAATAACTTGAATCTGGGAGGTGGAGGTTGCAGTGAGCCGAGATTGCACCACTGCACTCTAGCCTGGTGACAGAGCGAGACTCGGTCTCAAAGAAAAAAGAGGAACATAAAGAGGGGTTGTGGTTGGGTCAAAATTTGGGAGCCTGAGGAAAGAAAGAAACCTAAGCAAAGTTTGATTAACAGGTATTTTGTTCTAACTACTGAAGACGAATGTATTAATTGTTTATAAGGCAAAAAAATAGCAATTTAGACAGTCTGTGGCTTCATAATATCAAAAATAGGAAGGGTGTTTCTTTGCAATAAGATGCTCTTGAAAACACAAAAGTTCAGGAATTTCTTTAATCACTGCTCTTACCTGCCCACTTCATCTTCCACCATGAGTTTTCCTTGCCCTGTATGTTTCTTACATTTAGCTTTTCCTGACTTGTGTGTTTTATAACAAACTGGTAAATGCAAGTATAATGCTTTTGTTTTGTTTTGTTTTGTTTTGTTTTTTTGAGATGGAGGCTCACTCTGTCGCCCAGGCTGGAGTGCAGTGGCGCGATCTTGGCTCACTGCGAGCTCCGCCTCCTGGGTTCACACCTTTCTCCTGCCTCAGCCTCTCCGAGTAGCTGGGACTATAGGCGCCTGCCACCATGCTCGGCTAAATTTTTTTTTTTTGTATTTTTAGTAGAGACGCGGTTTCACCGTGGTCTTGATCTCCTGATCTTGTGATCCACCCGCCTCGGCCTCCCAAAGTGCTGGGATTACAAGTGTGAGCCACCGCGCCTGGCTGCAACTATAATGTTTTGCTAAGTTCTGTGAGTAGCTGTATCATTATTTAACTTGAGAAGATTATGAGAGCCCCCAGTTTATAGGAACTGGCTCAGAAGTATAGATGAGACCCTAGGAATTGTGACTGGGATCTGCAGTGGTGGCAGTGTTGTGGGACTGAGCCCTGAACTTGTAGGGTCTATGCTGACTCAAGGAGGTATCAGAATTGAGTTATTGGACAACCAGTTGGTGTTGGAGAATTGGTTGCTGTTCAGCAAACTCCACACATTTGTTGTCAGAAAAAGAATATCACAGATATTTGAGCTGGAGGGAGACTCTTGGTTTCTCTGGGAAGGGGAACTCTGTTCTGCACACAGGCTGTCACAATGCACATTGTCCTGTGATTCCAGATCTCTTCCCAGGGTGAAAGGGGACTGAGGGCTTGGAAGAAAGAAGTTCTGAAAACAGACTCCCTGCCCTCAACCTGCTACCACCAATGATTTCCGCCTACTAATGAACATACCCACTAGGAATGGGTGTGGCCAGAATCTTCACAAAACAAGAAGACTTGATCTGAGGAATTACTCTATAGTGGCTTTACCTCTAAAATTTCTCACCAAAGAATTACACAAGTGCCTAGAGGACTCCTGGATTATCCCTACCACAAACCCTGAACCTGAAGCAGCAACCTGGTCTCTCTATCACCCTGGGCTTGTGGACTACCAATCATAATCTCATCCACCTGCATGGACACAGGAATATGTCAGAACATAACCCTGCCTGAATCAGTATCTGTAGCATAAACCAGTCTTTCCAGCTACCATGCACTGTCCCCCACTCACGGGTCCTTGATAGCACCTTTCCCTCTTCTGTCTTTTGCTTTTCTACAAACCCTTTCTGATGTGCACAGTGTGCCTCAGGTGCCTGAATCCAGCACCTACTGGGAGTCAGATGTCCATGAGTTCAAGATTATAGCCCTAGACCTGGCTGTCATAAGAACAGACAAAAATTAGAAATACAGTCTTCATCCTTGAAAATAAAAGATTTTTCTCTTTCCTTTTCTTAAAGCATTTACTTTAGAAAACTTTTGTATTTATTTATTTTTATGTTTTTTTTGAGACTGAGTCTTGCTCTGTCACCCAGGCTGGAGTGCAGTGGCACAATCTCGGCTTACTGCAACCTCCACCTCCTGGGCTCAAGCAGTTCTCCTGCCTTATCCTCCCAAGTAGCTGAGATAACAGGCGTGCACTACAATGCCCGGCTAATTGTTTTTTTATTTTTTATTTTTTTTGAGATGTAGTTTCGCTCTTGTCCCCCAGGCTGAAGTGCAGTGGTGTGATCTCGGCTCACCGCAACCTCCACCTCCCAGGTTCAAGCGATTCTCCTGCCTTAACCTCCTGAGTAGCTGGGATTACAGGCATGTGCCACCACGCCCAGCTAATTTTGTATTTTTCATAGAGATGGGGTTTCTCCATGTTGGTCAGGCTGGTCTCGAGCTCCCGACCTCAGGTGATCCACCTGCCTCGGCCTCCCAGAGTGCTGGGATTATAGGCGTGAGACATCACACCTGGCCCTAATTTTTTGTACTTTTAGTAGAGATGGAATTTCACCATGTTGACTGGGCTGGTCTCGAACTCCTGACCTCAGGTAATGCACCCGCCTCGGACTCCAAAAGTCCTGGGATTACAAGCGTGAGCCACTGTACCTGGCCAGAAAACTTTTATATAATTCTTTTCTGCCTACTTGAAATAGATACAAATTATTCTAACTGCTAAATAGGCTTTTTGTCAGTATTTTTGACTCAGGACTGTTTTTAGAACCTAGGAATCATTTATTTAAAATGTAAATAGCAAAGAAAATAGAACTTTATTCCATTTTCTGTTGGAAGATAGGAGTTTACCTTCAGCACAGTCCTGGTTCCAAGTTTCAAAACTACCTCTCATGAAGACATTAGTTTATTTTTCCTTTAATTATAGCCAATTAGCAACCAAAGAAGACCTCCAATTTTTAGGTGAATTTAAGATAAACTGTATGTGACCAATGGTGCTGTCAGTTCTTCTACTTGAGAACTAATTATGGTGGCTATTTGCAATTGAGTGTCTTTGCAATCTCTTAGCAGTTTGCTTATAATGGCCTTCACATTCTGGAGTAATTCTGTAATAATTTTTTTTTCTCTTCTCCAGTTGTGTATAATTTTTCTGAGGCTTCAGATAATTCTGTTTATAATTATGTTTCTCTAAGTTTGTCCAGAATTACTAAACAGGATATGAACACATACTGTGCCCACCATGCTTCATTCTGTATGGACCAGTCACAACATACAATTGTGCAATTGGGCTTCCATTCACAACACACAATTGTGCAGTAAAGTGCACACTGCCCTCAAAGTCTGCAGGCAGAATGGCCTTTCTTCGTATTTGGGATCTGCAATCATTAATAGCATACTTTTACCAGATTTCTACGAAAATTACTACAGGGCAACAATTAACTATTCCAGCTCTGTCTTTCTATCCCCCTGGCATCTTCAGATGCGAAATTCTTTCAAATACCATTTGGCCTGAAAACTCAACCAGGTTCACACATTTGCATTGAGTAAGCCTGAGAATCTAAACATTTTGCTTATTCTCTTGTCCAAATGCCTATGCATGTGGCAAGGGTGCCTTTGGCTTGCTTTTCTGCCCTCCTAAACCTAAATCTGCAGTTCCAAATTTTGAGTCCAGCTAATAGGGTTCTCCATTCTGTGTTGGAGCAGTCTTCATGTGGGGATTTCTCCTCTACTTTTCCTCTCCTCACTGTAACACAATATGGAGCCAAGTTAATGGTACCTAGAATCCACACATAAGGGCTGAAATCCACCTGGGATTAACAAGACAGGGCCAGGCTTTGGATCTTGTCCAGTGAAATTTTGAGATTGTGTGAGGAGCTCCTGGTATAAACTGAATCTGGTGGCAGAATCTCTAAGTGTAAAGAAGCATGTTAGCCAAGGGAAGTTAGGGCCACAACTGTCCAGAGCCATGAATGCATGAATGCAACCCCATCTCCTATGTGTGAGTTGTATTACTGGAGAAAGTTTTTTTGTTGTTGTTTTTTATTTGTTTATTTTTTTATGAGACAGAGTCTCTGTCTGTTGCCAGGCTGGAGTGCAGTGGCGTGACCTTGGCTCACTGCAACCTCTGCCTCCCTGGTTCAAGTGATTCTCCTGCCTCAGCCTCCCAAGTAGCTGGGATTACAGGCTCTCATTTCTTGATACTTGGGTGAAGAACAAGTAGGAGGTCTGGAGGCTCAAACTGATATGTAAACAAATTGCTTTTATTATTATTATTTGCCATTAGAAAAACAGGTGAAACAGTCATGGACTCTACTATTCAGGAATTATTATTCTAGAGCCAGTAAATACATGGTTGAATTAAGAGTAATGTGATCAGAATGAAGAAGGGAGTTGCACAGAAGACTTGGGCTTTATTTGGGACACTGCTCTTATGTTGTTGTGAGTTCTGATGTCACCACCTGAAGGGACATCATAGACAGAAGAGTTGTTACAATTATTTCTGTTGCTTTTCCCTTGTTAAGAATCGTTTCTAATATAGTTTTTCTAGAAAGTACTACATGTTTTGGTTAAGTCGGTTGTTAGTGTGTCATGCAAAATAGAGAAGAGGCTTAAACCATTAAAATCAGAAAAATTCTGGGAGTCAAGTTCTTGTTGGTCCAGCTTAGAAAAGATAGAACACAAAATAAGCCAGCAGCACAGAGAAGAGAAGCTGAGGGCCAACTCCCTGCCCCAGCCCTATCCAGACCTATGCTCTATGAGCCTTGTCCAGGTCTGGCCCCACCCTGAAATCTCCCCTCACAGAACTAATTAGAACTAATTACAGGAGATCAGACTCCTGTTTGGAACAACTATTGGATCTGCAGAAGTGTAAAACGGGTGTCTACCCTTGGTGTTTCTTCAGAGCTGGAGCTCAGAATTTTTCCAAACCTAAAAGCAAATAAATGAGAGCAAAGGAGTATACATTTGGAATCTTAATGTCTTTCTTTCTCAATGAAACCAGTGCTTACATTTTACACAGCAACCTGTTTTACACTTCTGCAGATCCAATAATTGTTCCACAGTCATGAGAAAGTAAATAGAAACACAACAATTAAAAGTCTCTCTACTTATCCCTTCCTTTCTATATCCCTCCCATCTGTCTGTATTTAGCTTTTATAGTGATAGGGAAACCAGAAGAAATAGCCTAAGCCATCATCTAAATCCTACTGGGAATTATGAGACACTTAGTACCCACCTTTCAAAATTTTTTGAGGCTTAACCGACACAATGCGAGTTTCCCAGCACAGCACATTACAGCATACATGGTGAGCACATAGTACAAGCTCAATAAACACTGTATTAATGTATGTGTACATGTTGTTCAAATGCAGATGTAGACATTACTACATTCTCCAGCCTCTGTAAACTTTAAAAAGCTGGCAAAGCATGTGATCCTCTGAGACAGTGACTTGTGGTCTTCACTGTAACAAAAAGTATTTGTGTTGCAATAAAGGTATTAGATGTAAGGGACTCTGTGTGCTATACTTTCTCTGAGTGCTGGAGAGCAACATCAGCATTAACAGGGAACTTTCGATAAAGAAGCCAATTTCTGGACCCCTCCAAAACCTGCAGAATCACATTAGTTAGAGAGTGGCTCAGAATACCAAATGAGCTATATGCACATCGAAGCTTGAGAAGCAATGGTCAGCTAAGTGGTTCTTAGCCCAGGCTTCCAGTTAGGATACATGACAAGTTTGAAGAAATACCAGTGAGAGGTGACAGCGTGCTGGCAGTCCTCAGAGCCCTCGCTTGCTCTCGGCACCTCCCCTGCCTGGGCTCCCACTTTGTGGCATTTGAGGAGCCCTTCAGGCCCCCCACTGCACTTGGGAGCCCCTTTCTGGGCTGGCCAAGGCCGGAGCCCACTCCCTCAGCTTGCAGGGAGGTGTGGAGGGAGAGGCATGAGCGGGAACCGGGGCTGCGTGCGGCGCTTGCGGGCCAGCTGGAGTTCCGGGTGGGCGTGGGCTTGGTGGGCCCCACACTCGGAGCAGCCAGCCAGCCCTGCTGGCCCCGGGCAATGGGGGACTTAGCACCCGGGCTAGTGGCTGCGGAGGGTGTACTGAGTCCCCCAGCAGTGCTGGCCCACCGGCGCTACGCTCGATTTCTCGCCGGGCCTTAGCTGCTTTCCTGCGGGGCAGGGCTCGGGACCTGCAGCCCGCCATGCCTGAGCCTCCCACCCACTCCATGGGCTCCTGTGCGGCCCGAGCCTCCCCGACGAGCACCACCCCCTGCTCCACGGCGCCCAGTCCCATCGACCACCCAAGGGCTGAGGAATGCGAGCGCACGGCGCAGGACTGGCAGGCAGCTTCACCTGCAGCCCCGGTGCGGGATCCACTAGGTGAAGCCAGCTGGGCTCCTGAGTCTGGTGGGGACGTGGAGAGTCTTTATATCTAGCTCAGGGACTGTAAATACACCAATCAGCACCCTGTGTTTAGTTCAAGGTTTGTGAGTGCACCAATCCACACTCTGTATCTAGCTGCTCTGGTGAGGACGTGGAGAGTCTTTATATCTAGCTCAGGGATTGTAAATACACCAATCAGCACCCTGTGTTTAGCTCAAGGTTTGTGAGTGCACCAGTCGACACTCTGTATCTAGCTGCTCTGGTGAGGACGTGGAGAACATTTATGTGTAGCTCAAGGATTGTAAATACACCAATCGGCACTCTGTATCTAGCTCAAGGTTTGTAAACACACCAATCAGCACCCTGTGTTTAGCTCAAGGTTTGTGAATGCACCAGTCGACACTCTGTATCTAGCTGCTCTGGTGGGGCCTTGGAGAACCTGTGTGTTGAAACTCTATATCTAACTAATCTGATGGGGAGGTGGAGAACCTTTGTATCTTGCTCAGGGATTGTAAACGCACCAATCAGCGCCCTGACAAAACAGGCCACTCGGCTCTACCAATCTGCAGGATGTGGGTGGGGCCAGATAAGAGAATAAAAGCAGGCTGCCCGAGCCAGCATTGGCAACCCGCTCAGGTCCCCTTCCACACTGTGGAAACTTTGTTCTTTAACTCTTTGCAGTAAATCTTGCTACTGCTCACTCTTTGGGTGCACGCTGCTTTTAAGAGCTGTAACACTCACCGTGAAGATCTGCAGCTTCACTCCTGAAGCCAGCGACACCACGAGCCCACCAGAAGGAAGAAACTCCGAACACATCTGAACATCAGAAGGGACAGACTCCAGACGCGCCACCTTAAGAGCTGTAACACTCACTGCGAGGGTCCGCGGCTTCATTCTTGAAGTCAGTGAGACCAAGAACCCACCAATTCCGGACAAACCAGTACCTGTGTCTTCCCTACAGGTTATGTTTTTTCATGATTAGATTCAGATTAGTATTTACTTTCCTCTCCACTAATATCACGGCAGTAATTATGGGCCCATCTGTGCATTGGCCTCTGGATCCAATTTGTCTAATTACAGCTGACACTAACTTTATTCATCTGGCTAAGGTGTTTTCTGCCAAGTTTCTTCACTATAAAGTTATTTTTCTCTTTATTATGAATGAGTATCTTGGAGGGATGGATTTCCCAAGTGAGGTTTATAAATTGTCACATTTAATTGAAAAACTCTGTTTCTTTTTCTTTTTAGGTTTTTTTGTTTGTTTTTTGCTTATAGCTTGCTTTGGAGAACAAATCTCATTTTTGTTGACTGTAGATATCAGCTTTTGAAACTGGAAGTTCTAAAAAAGGTATCAGTTTTGTAGGTTTTTATTTTATTTCATCTTTATTTTACAAGCATACATTTCATTTTCTGTATTTTCAGAGAAAGAGAACAAAAATTAATATATAGCTAATATGTCATCTTAAAAATCTAAAATATAACATGGCACATAAAGCCAAAAAAAAATTTTTTTTTTTTGAGATAGAATCTTACTTTGTCGCCCAGGCTATAGTGCAGTGGCACGATCTGAGCTCACTGCAACCTTAACCTCCTGGGTTCAAGCAATTCTCCTGTCTCAGCCTCCCGAGTAGCTGGTACGACAGGTGCATGCCACCATGCCTGGCTAATTTTTGTATTTTTACTAGAGACGGCATTTCACTATATTGGTCAGGCTGGTCTCAAACTCCTGACCTCAGGTGATCCACCTACCTCAGCCTCCTAAAGTGCTGGGATTACAGGCATGAGCCACTGTGCCCGGCCAAAGCAAAAAATTTTAAGAAACACCCGATTCAGTAACAATAGCTCTTAATTTAGTTTATATCATTAAATGTTTTGATCTTCATCCTTGTTTTAGGAAACACAAAAAAGCATGCACAAAGAGGCTTATAATTTTTATATAATTTAAAATATTTCTTCATTTAAACAGAAATGTTCTACTCTCCAACTTTTCATGTGTACATACTTACCATTTCTGTGGGTGTGTGCATAAAATGTAAGCATCATTTGATCAATTTTCTGTTGTTGCCTTGTTTATATCAATCTTCTCAGTTATGAAAACTGCTCTGGATGTTGTTTTACAGTTATCTCTGTATATTGGCTCATAAGTCCTTTTGAGATAAATTTCAAGTCAGATAAATAGGGGTAAAACGCAAAGCTCAGCTGGGCGTGGTGGCTCACGCCTGTAATCTCAGCCCTTTGGGAGGGTGAGGCGCGCAAATCATGAGGTCAGGATTCCGAGACCAGCCTGGCCAACATGGTGAAACCCCATCTCTACTGAAAATACAAAAACTTAGCTGGGCGTGCTGGCAGGCGCCTGTAATCCTAGCTACTCAGGAGGCAGAGGCAGGAGAATTGCTTGAACCCGGGAGGCGGAGGTTGCACTGAGCCAAGATTACACTACTGCACTCCATCCTGGCGACAGAGCAAGACTCCGTTTAAAAAAAAAAAAAAATACAGGCTGGGCGCGGTGGCTCACGCCTATAATCCCAGCACTTTGGGAGGCCGAGGCGGGTGGATCACGAGGTCAGGAGATTGAGACCATCCTGGCTAACATGGTGAAACCCCGTCTTTACTAAAAATACAAAAAATTAGCCGGGCATGGTGGCAGGCACCTGTAGTCCCAGCTACTTGGGAGGCTGAGGCAAGAAAATGGCATGAACCCGGGAGGCAGAGCTTGCAGGGAGCCGAGATCGCGCCACTGCACCCCAGCCTGGGTGACAGAGCGAGACTCAGTCTCAAAAAAAAAAATAAATAAATAAATACAAAAATAGCACTCAAAAATGTATATTCTTATATTGATTCGTGTTTATATTTTGTTTTATATGTGCATATTTATGCTAGTTTTGTGGATCTTATATTTCCACAGAATTAGAGAATATATTCGAAATATTACTGTGTTTAAAAGTATCTTATTTAGTAACTCAGGTCACTCATAAGTCAGAACCAGTTGTCTTAACTTTCTTATTTCATCTTGGGTCAAATTAGGAACTCTGCCCTTGACTGCATGATCAATGTGTTATTTATTTTTATTAGAGAAACTGTTGACATTCAGGGATGTGGTCATAGAATTCTCTCTGGAGGAGTAAAAATACCTGAACCCTTCTCAGCAGAATATGTATAGAGATTTGATGTTAGAGAACTATACATACGTTGTCTCTGAGTCGGAATAACTTACCTTCAGAATATCTAATGTCTAATAACTATGATACCGTACCTTGTTTTAACCTGATTGTCTCTCTTAGCTGAGAGAGCCGGACAGACTCCATTTTAGTTTCTTTACTTGCAGCCCCTTTACCCCTCTCCCTTAAGGGCATAACCAGTGCAAGCTGACTCCAAGCACATCCAGGAATACACTTACTGATAAGATACTGAGGCAAGCTGTACCAGCAGCTCCTGGGAATGCGCTCAAAGCCCCTGCGTTTATCACTTTGTGATAGTTTAAGCCCCTGCACCTGGAACTGTTCATTTTTTCTGTAACTGTTTCTGTAACCATTTATCTTTTTAACTTTTTGCCTGTTCTGCTTCTGTAAAATTGCTTCAGCTAGGCTCCCCCCTCCCCTTGTAGACTGAGGTATAAAAGGAAATCTGGCCGGGCGTGGTGGCTCACATCTGTAATCCCAGCACTTTGGGAGGCCGAGGTGGGCGAATCACGAGGTCGGGAGATCGAGATCATCCTGGCTAACATGGTGAAACCCCGTCTCTACTAAAAATACAAAAAATTAGCTGGGCGTGGTGGCGGCGTCTGTAGTCCCAGCTACTTGGGAGGCTGAGGCAGGAGAATGGCGTGACCCCGGGACGCGGAGGTTGCAGTGAGCTGAGATCGCGCCACTGCACTCCAGCCTGGGTGACACAGCAAGACTCTGTCTCAAAAAAAAAAAAAAAAAAAAGGAAATCTAGCCCCTTCTTCGGGGCCGAGAGAATTTTGAGCGCTAGCCATCTCTCGGTCGCTGGCAATAAAGGACTCCTGAATTAGTCTCAGAGTGTGGTGTTTCTCTACAACTCGCTGGGTTGCAACATAACAAGGGCTTTATTTCTTTCCTTTTTAGAATGTCTCCTTGGGAGGTAGTGCTTTGTCTGAATGAATTTCAGAGTTTTGCTTTCAGGAAAAAAAAAATTCTAAGTTTGTTGATGTAGAAAAAAATCTTCCTAGTGTTTCCAGCCCTCCCCCTTAGTTTTGATTCATTCAAACTTGAAAATGAAGCACAGAATTTCTAAACGTAAAATACTTCCTACATATTCTAAAGAAGCTGGTAGGAAACAGTATTTTGGGGAATAATTTTTAAAAATCTTATATAATGTCCCCTTTTCTCCACTGAGCACAGTACTGAGCTGGCAATTACATATCCTCCAGCATTAATCATCTGACTTTTTATTAAAAAACAGGTCTTGCCATCTCTAAGCTGGACCTGGTGACCTTTTTGGAGGGAAAGAAAGAGCCCTGGACTGTGAAGAGTGAGGAGACCATAGCTGCACAGCCAGGTAAGTGGGAGTAAAGATGGTAGGTGGCCTGGGTGAGAGGTTCAAAGGTCAATAAGCCAGATTTTCTTTTGTCTTCCATTATTTTATTATTTTTTATATATATATATATATATATATATATGTGCAGATCTGTTTTATGTGCAACAATTGATTCTATCAGATAATCAGACCAAGGCATTCCACTGGTAATTTTCCCTCAAATCAATTCAGGTGAAATTAGATATTTATGTACTTCCTGGGCTATCAAAACTTGAGATTTCATTATCAACTTCAGTTCTGAAGCCATACACACAATTCAAAATATACATTAACTAGGTTAAGTCAATAAAAGTGGGCTGAAAGAAACCACAGGATTCAAACAATGAAACCATGTATTTTGTTTGCCTGAGAGTCACAATGTGAACAACAATTATTTCGCATATCTCATAGCTCTTCAGTGTAGAGGGAGTGGCTTCTGAACATAAGGTCATTGCACAGCAGGTGGGCAAACAGCTGGTGTGGCCTCCTGGAGGCTTCACCCAGTGCTGATTTCTTCTCTGCCTCTCCTTTTTTAGGTTCTATTTTTTTCATCTTTCATCTTTCCTTTTTTTTTTTTTTTCCCTTGAGATAGAGTCTTGCTCTGTTGCCCAGGCTGGAGTGCAATGGTGCAATCTTGGCTCACTGCAACCTCTGAATCCTGAGTTCAAGTGATTCTCATCCTTCAGCCTCTGAATAGCTGGGATTACAGTTGTGCGCCACGATGCCTGGCTAATTCTTTGTATTTTTTTTTAGTAGAGACAGGGTTTTGCCATGTTGGCCAGTCTGGTCTCGAACTCCTGACCTCAAGTGATCCTCATGCCTCGGCTTCCCAAAGTGCTGGAATTACAGGTGTGAGCCACTGTGCCTGGCCTCCTTTCCTATTTTCCTATTTTTTTCTCCCTTTTTGTCTCTCTCTTTCTATGTGTCTTTCCCTCTGTTTCTCTCTTCCTTTTTTTTGTTTTGTATTTCTCTCTTCCTCCTTCTCTCTTTCCCTTTGTTTCTTTTTAATTTTTTTTCCTTGTAGAACTTGGTTTATTTTTTCCTTCCTTCCTACCTTTCTTTCTTCTTTTCTTCCCTCCTTTCCTCCCGCCTGTTTTCTTTCCTACTACATGAGCATGCCATCATGCCTGGCTAAATTTTTTATTTCTTGTAGTAGAGACGAGGCCTCGCTATGTTCCCAGGGCTGGCGTCAAGCTCCTGTGCTCAACTAGTTCTTCCATTTCAGTTTCCCCAAGTGTTGGGATTATAGGTTTGAGGCACCATGTTCTGCCCTCTTTTTATTTTCTTTTTCATTCTTCCTTTTTTTTTTTTTTTTTTTGCTCTCTCTCTTGCTTGCTTGCTTCTTTCCTTCATTTCTTTCTTTATTCTACATTTTTCTTTTTTTCTTTTTTCTTTTCTTTTTTTTTGGAGATGGAGTTTCACTCTTGTTGCCCAGCCTGGAGTGCAATGGCGTGATCTTGGCTCACCACAACCTCTACCTCCCTGGTTTAAGTAATTCTCCTGCCTCAGCCTCCCAAGTAGCTGGGATTATAGACATGTGCCGCCACGCCCAGGTAATTTTGTATTTTTAGTAGAGATGGGGTTTCTCCATGTTGGTCAGGCTGGTCCTGAACTCCTGACGTCAGGTGATCTGCCCACCTTAGCCTCCCAAAGTGCTGGGATTACAGGTGTGAGCCACTGCACCCGGCTCTTTTTTTCTTTTCTTCTTTTTTTTTTTTTTTTTTTTTTTGCGTTAGTCTCGCTCTGTCACCCAGAGGTAGGTGGGAAGCTCTCAGACTTAGTCGCCAGAGGGACAGCTTTGGGCGCGAGCTCCACACGTGGCCTGCAGGGTGGACCTAGTGGCTTCCTGGTCACACCATCAGGTGACCAGATGTGGGCTGAGCTGTGGCCAGTACTTGTGGCCGCTGGCCACACGTTTGGGTTGATCAGAGATTCAAAGCTTAGGAAGGAAGGTCAGCAGACTTAGAGGCCGGCCACTGAGGTGGGCCACCTTGGGGGGAATAAGTTTCCAACGGGGACAGCTTCAGGCCGCAAGCGCCACACATGGCCCAGGGTGGAACTGGTGGGCTTCTGCCTCCGCCATGAGCTGGCTTCTCCTTCTGGCTGCCAGGTCTACAGGATGTCGGCCACAAGCGTAGGACTTGGTCGCCAGCTTAAAATGTTTAAGGGGGACCAGATGGTTCTCGCCAGTGCAGTACCGCTTAGGTCCACCAGAAAAGCTCAATGATGGCTCACTGTGCCCTCCACCTTCCTGGGCTCATCCAGGTGATCCTCCCATTTTGGCCTCCCAAATAGCTGGGGATCTGGGGATAGTTCTGTGTTTTGTTTGTTTGTTTTTTTCTATCCCCACTTTGAGTTTGTTTCCACAGTACATTGAGTTTTGTTGGTTTTTGTTTTTTGGGTTTTTTTTCCCTCTCTCTCTCATGCTCCTTCCTGTACACTGCAGTTGCTGTTGTTTTAGATTTCTTTCACCTAGGCTTAAGTGCAGTTACTTGATCACAGCTAACTACAGCCTCGACCTCCCTGGGCTCAGGTGATTCTTCTGTTTCAGACACCCTGCTTCCTTAGTAACTGGGACTAAAGGTATACGGCACCACACTGGCACATTATTTTGCATATCTTGCTTTTTATTTTTGTAGAGATGGGGTTCCATCATGTTTTCCAGGCTGATCTCAAACTCCCACGGTCAAGCGATCTGCTGGCCTCGGCCTCTCAAGGTACTGAGCTTACAGGCGTGAGCCACCATGCCTGGTTCTATCTCTGTCTGTCTGTCTACCTACCTAACTACCTACCTACCTACCTACCTACCTGTAATCAATCTATCATCTATCTCTCCTTTTTTTTTAAGAAGAGACTTGGTCTTGCTATGTTTTTCAGGCTCTGGTTTTATATATATATATATATATATATATATATATTTTTTTTTTTTTTTTAATTTATTTATTATTTTTTAATATAGGGGTTGTCTCACCATGTGGCCCCCAGGATAGTCTCAAACTCCTGGGCTCAAAGTATCCTCCCGCCTTGACCTCCCAAAGTGCTGGGATTACAGGCATGCACCACCATGCACAATCTGGTCATATTTTTGATGTGTTGATTCTTTCCAGTCCAGATGTATAATCTCATCCCTGAACATTTCTGATGGTGTGATTATGACATGTGACTTTATCTGGCAACAGAGTGAGTTGTTGCTCCCGCCTGAGCCCAGCCCCCAGAAAGGATTGTGACATATCGTTGGACCCAGAATTGAGGTAATGTAACTATTCCACTGCCTTGGCACTGCCCACAGAAGACATTGTGACATATTGCTGGGTCTTGTACCCAGGTGGTGTGAATCTTCTCTCCTGCCTTGGCTCTTCCACAGGGGGCATTGTGTCATATCGCTGGGCCCCACACATAGGTTATGTGACTCTTCTGCCTGTGCCCTGCCCATGTGGCCCATTGTGACATACTGTTGGGTCCCAAACCTAGGTGATGTAACTCTACTGCTTAGGCCCTGCCTACAGAGGACATTGTGACATATCCCTGCATCCATCACACAGGTAATGCAGCTCTCTTCTGCTTGGCCCCTACTCACAGAAAGGATTGTGATGTATCACAGGGCTCAGCACCTAGCTAACATGACTTTTCTCCTCTTCTAGGTTTTTGCCCACAGGGGATATTGTGACATGTCACTGGGCCTAATACTAGGGTGACAGTACTCTTGTGTCATGGCACTGCCCTCAGCAGGTGTGGTGATATATTACTGGGCCCAGAACAAATGTGATATGAGTCTCCTGCCTGGACCCTGCCTACAAGGTGCATTGTAACATATCTGGGGCCCTTTGACTATTTTATTTTATTTATTGTATTATATTTTATTTATTTTAATTTTATTTTTGAGACAGAATCTCACTCTGTCACCTAGGATGGAGTGCAGTGGCGTGATCTCTGCTCACTTCAACCTTTGCCTCCTGGGTTCAAGTGATTCTCCTGCCTCAGCCTCCTGAGTAGCTGAGACTACAGGTGTGTGCCGCCACGTCTGGCTGATTTTTGTGTTTTCAGTAGAGACAAGATATCACCCTGTTGGCCAGGCCGATATCAAACTCCTGACCTCAGCCAGTCCACCCGCCTTGACCTCCCAATGTGCTGAGATTACAGGTGTGAACCATTGCTCTTGGCACCCTTTGACTATTTTATGTGACTCTTCTCTCTTACCTGGACATTGACCAAATGGGCCCAGCACCAAGGTGATATGACTCTCCTCTCCTGCCTGGGCCTTGCCCTTAGAAGAGAGAGTGACTTACTGCTGAATTTAGCATACAGGTGATATGATTCTTCTGCTGACTCGCAGAAGTCACTGTAACATATATGTGGGCCCATTGCTGAGGTTGTGTGACTCTCTTCTCCCTGGGACCTGTCCACAGTAGGGATTGTGACATATTGCTTGGCCAAGCACCTACATTGTGTGACTTTTTATTTATTTATTTTTTTAAGACAGAGTTTTGCTCTTGTTGCCCAGGCTGGAGTGCAATACCATGATCTTGGCTCAGCTGGGATTACAGGCATGCGCCACCACACCTGGCAAATTTTTTTTATGTTTTCAGTAGAGATGGGGTTTCTCCATGTTAGTCAGGCTGGTCTCAAACTCCCAACCTCAGGTGAGCCGCCTGCCTTGGCCTCCCAAAGTACTGGGATTCCAGGCATGAGCCACTGCACCTAGCTTCGATATGACTGTCTTCTTATGCCAGGGCCCTGCCGACTGGAGTGATTTTGACACATAGCTGGGGCCAGCTCAAATGTTATGTGACTCCACACTTCTTCCTGAGCCCTATCTGTGAGGGGCACTGTGTCTTATCTCTGAGACCGTTAATTAGGTAATATAACTTTTATTTTTTTGAGACAGAGTCTGGCTTTGTTGCCCCGGCTGGAGTGCAGTGGTGTGATCTTGGTTCACTGCAACTTCCGCCTCCTGGGTTCAAGTGATTCACCTGCCTCAGCCTCCTGAGTAGCTGGGATTACAGGTACACATGCCACCACGCCCAGCTAATTTTTGTATTTTTAGTAGAGATGAAGTTTCACCATGTTGGCCAGGCTGGTCTCGAATTCCTGACCTCAAGTGAGCCACCTGCCTTGGCCTCCCAAAGTGCTGGGATTACAGGCATGGGCCACCACACCTGGCCAATGTAACTCTTTTGTTTGGACTGTCTTCTTGGGGTATTGTGATATATTGCTGGGCCCAGAATCCGGGTGATGTGACTCTGCTGTTTCATCTCTGCACAAAAAGGGATTGTGACATACCACTGGGTCAAGAACCTAGATGAGGTGACTCTCCTCTCCAGCCTGGGACCTGCACACATTGTGTACTAAGACATATCACTGAGTCTAACACCTAGGTAATGCAACTCTCCTGCATGGGCCCTGCCCATAGGGGTATTATGAAATATCTTTCTGTTAATCACCTAGGTGATGCGACACTCCTCTTCTACCTGGGAACTGCCAAAACAAGTATTGGTACATATCACTGGGCCCAGCACATAGGTGATGTGACTCTTTTCTCATGCATGGGCTCTGCGAACTGGGGTGTTTTTTACATATAGTTGGGCCTAAACCCTAGGTCGTGTGATTCTTTTATTTTCCTGAGCTGTACTCACAGAGAGCATTTTGACATGTTTTTGGGCCCGTAATTTAGATGATGTGACTCTCTTGGATGGGCCTTCCCCGGAATGGGTATTGTGACATATTGCTGAGCCCATTATATAGGTGATGTGACTCTCTTGCATGGGCCCTCCACATAAGGGGTAGTGTGACATATTGCTGAGCCCAGTAGGTGATGTGACTCTTCTCTATGGTTTGGGCTTTGCCCAAGCAGGGATTGTGATGTGTTGCTGGACTCACCACCTATGTGTTGTGACTCTCCTCTTCTGCCTAAGCCCTGCATGCATTGTGTGTTGTGACATGCCTGGATTCAACACCTAGGTGATACAACTTTATGGCAGGGGAACCACCCACAGAAGTATTGTATCATCTTTCCATCACTTAGGTGATGTGATTCTTTTATTTTTCCTGTTTCTGGCATATTTTGGGTATAGTGACATACCATTGAGTTCAACACCCATGAAATCGGAGGCTTCTGCCTGAGCCCAGCACATAAGTGACCTTGTGACATATCTTTGCATTCATTATCTAGGAGATTTAACTCCCCTTTTTGCCTGCACCCTGACCACTGGGAAGATTGTGGCAAATCACCGGTCTCAGCAATCAAGTGATGTGTTTTTCCTGCCTGGTCCTTGCCCACAGATCATTGTAACATGTCACTGGGCCTAGCATCCAGGTGATGTGACTCTGCTGACTATATTCTGCTTTCAAGAGGAGATTGTAACGTATCCCTAATCGAGCACCCAGGTGGTGTGACACTTCTGCCCTATCCCTGCCCTTAGAGATGATTGTGACATATTGCCCCAAAAGGCAGGTGATGTGAGTCTTCTGGTCAATCCCTATTCACTGGTGGGATTGTGATACATATCTTATCCAAACTTATAGGGGCAATATGACTCTCATACCTCTAAACAACCAATAGCAGATACACTAGTTCTCATAGCCAGGGTCAGGAAAATGAGTAATGTCTTGGGTTTCTTCTTTGTATGAAGGTCATAAAGAATTAACACTCTGTCACATACTGTGTAAAGTCGTCAAGAGGTACAGGGAATGTCCTAACAGAACTCAGCACACAGGGGAGGTTGCGACACTCATATGCATAGCCTGCCAACAGTAAAGACTGTCATCCTTCCACATAAACACAGCTCACTGTTGAGGTTCTGAATCTCATACCCAGATGAAGTTGAAAGTTAGAAAATTAAATCTCATGTTAATTCGATCCATAGAGAGGTTAGTGTCTCTGAGACCAAGATTCAGCACACCTGTGAGTCAGTGACTTCATTAAAATGACAGAATTTGCAGGAAGGATTGAAGTTCTCATGCACAAATCCAGACCATCATTGAGACTGTCACTCAGGTACTTACACCCAACATACAGAGGGTATTTTGTCTCATACCTAGAACTAAGAAATGTGTGAAATTGTTAATCTCATACCTCGACCTTAATTCAGGTGTGTTTGTGACATACACCTTTTTTAAGCACCTAAGTAATTTGACTCTCCTGCCTGGGCCCAACGTACAGATGGGATTGTGCCATATTTCTGGACCCAGCATTTAGGTGATGTGAGTCTATTCTCTTGTCTTAGTGCTTTCCACAGAGAACACTGGACATATCACAGGGCCTAGTGCCCAGGTGATATGACTTTCCTCTACTTCCTAGGCTTTTCCTAAGAAGGGATTGTAATATATTGCTGGGTCAGAACCTAGGTCGTGTGACTCTCCTGTGCTGCCTGGTTCCTCTTGTACATTGTGTATTGTGACATGTGGCTTGTTCTAACACCTCGATGATGTGAATCTCCTGCATGGGCCCTGTCCACAGAGGTATTATAACATATCTTTTTATTCATCACCTAGATGATGTAACTCTTTTCTATCTGGGCCCTGCCAAAAGGGAGGATTGCGGCATATCACTGGACCCAGCATCTAGGTGATGTGATTCTCCTGTTTTCCCTGGGCCTCAAATATTTTGGATATTGTAAAATATTGCTAGGCCCACTACCTATGGGATTGCATGCTCCTGCCTGGGCTCTGCCCACAGGGACCTTGTGACATATATCTGCGTCCATGACCTAAAAGGTGACACTTCTTGCCTGCACTGTGCCCTGAACAGGAAATATTGTGACATATCCCTGGAACCAGACACCAGGTGATATGGCTCTTCTGCCCCTGTCTTGCCCCCAGGGAGCATTGTGACATAGTGCTTAGCTCAGCACCCAGGTGATGTGACTCTGTTGCCTGTGCTGTGCTTTCAGGAGAGAATTGTAACATATCCCTGGCTGAGCACCCAGGTGATATGACACTCCTGCTTGTTTCCTTCCCTCGGGGAAGATTGTGAGATACCTTGGCTGAAATCCCAGGTGATGTAACTCTCTTGCTAACTCCCTACCTACAGGTTAAATGGTGACATATACTATAGTCAGCTTATAAGTGGAATGATGACTCTCATACCTCTAGTCAGCTATTGGAAGAAATACTGTCTCTCATAGCTCGACTTAGATAAATGAGTCACTTCCTTGGTCTTCTCTTTTTATGAAGGTCATAAAGAATTGCCACACTCTAACATATTGTATAATGCCCTCGAGTGTTACAAACGTGTTATCCCAGGGCACACAGCACAAAGGTGAGATTGTTTCTTATATGCACACCTCACCAATTATTAGGATTATCACCCTCACACAGGGAAAGAGCCTATGGCTGAAGTCTTGAATCTCAAATGCAAACAGAATCTCAAATGCAAACACTGTCCACAGTTGGAATTGTGACTCATGTATGAGCCTCCAACCACAGTTGAGATGGTGACACATTTCTAAACTCAGAACATAGCAGATGAGGACTCTACTCTCTTAAACCCAACAAATTAAGAGAGATGTTGACTAATACCTGGGCTTAGGGCCACAAGTATGGTCATGGGTGCTTACAAACATGATTTTAGAGTAAATTGTGCCTCTCATTTATACTGGATAAAGCCTTTGAGTAGTATAGTGTACTAACCAGGCGCAGTGGCTCACGCCTGTAATCCCAGCACTTTGGGAGGCCGAGGTGGGTGAAACGAGGTCAGGAGTTCAAGACCAGCCTGACCAACATGTTGAAACCCCATCTCTACTAAAAAATACAAAAAATTAGCTGGGCATGGTGGTGGGCACCTGTAATCCCAGCTACTTGGGAGCCTGAGGCAGGAGAATTGCTTCAACCCGGGAGGTGGAGGTTGCATTGAATTGAGATCATGCCACTGTACTCCAGCCTGGGTGATAGTGCGAGACTCTGTCTCACCAAAAAAAAAAAAAAAAAAAAAAAAAAAGAGTGTACTAACAAGACCCAGCACACAGAGGAGATTTTCTCTTTTTCTTTTTCTTTTTTTCTTTTGAGATGAAGTCTTGCTCTGTCACCCCAGCTGGAGTGCAGTGGCGCGATCTCAGCTTACTGCAATCTCCACCTCCGGGTTCAAGTGATTCTCCTGCCTCAGCCTCCTGAGTATCTGGGATTACAGGCACATACCACCATGCCCGGCTAATTTTTGTACTTTTAGTAGAAACAGGGTTTCACCATGCTGGCCAGGATGGTCTCAATCTCCTGACCTCGTGATCCACCTGCATCAGCCTCCCAAAGTGCTGGGATTACAGGTGTGAGCCACTGCAGCCGGCCTGGAGATTTTCACTGTTATATGAACACCCATCAAAAAGTATACATCATCATATTCTCACATAAACACAGCCCACTTTTGAAGTTCTGGATCACACCTAGAGGAAGTCAAAGGTGGAAAAATTGACTCTTATATATGGATCCAGTCCATAGGTGAGTTGGTGACACTCAGAGCAAGATTCAGCATGCGTATGAGGCTGTGACTTCACTAATTAGACAAAGTCCACAGGAGGAGTATAGGCTGTCAGGTACAAATTTAGTTCACTGTTGACATTGTAACTCCTGTTCTTAGACACAACATATAGGAAGGGTTAACCTCCTTTACCTAAAACCGGAACATGTGTGGGATTGTTAATTTCATCTCTGCACCTTCCCACAGGTTTAATTGTAACATTTTTCTCTGCCCAGCACCTGAGTGATCTGACTCTCTTGCCTAAGACCAGCCCACAGATGGAATAGTGACACATAGCTGAACCCAGAACTGAGGGGATGTGATTCTATTTTTCTGCATTGGTGCTGCTCACAGGGGACATTGTGACATATCGCTGGACCTTACACTTAAATGATTTGAGTCTCCTCCCCTGCCTTGGCACTGCCTACGGAAGGCGTTGGGACATGTCTCTGAGCCCTATGCCCAGGTTATGTGACTCTCCTGCCTGTTCCCCGACCACATAAGCAATTGTGACATATTGCTGGGTTTGACACCCTGGTAATGTAACTCTACTGCCAAAAAGGAGCATTATGACATATATTTCCATTCATTACCCAGGTGTTATGACTCTCTTCTCCTGCCTGGTCCCTGCTCACAGAGGGAATTTTGACATATCCCTTGGCTCAGTACCAACAAGTGTGGTTCTTCTTCCATCATAAGTTCTGCTGGCAAGGGAGATGGAGACATATTGTGGAGCTCTATGCCAATGTGACATTACTGTTTGCTTTGGCCTGGACCTCAAAAGGCATTGTGACATATTGCTGGGCCCAGCAACATGGTGACATGAGTCTCCTGTATGGACCATGACAACAGAGCATTGTGACATATCTTTAAGAGCATCAACTATTTGATGTGACTCTCCTTTTCTACCAAGGTTTCCCCACAATGAGAGATTGTGACGTATCTTCTGACCCAGAAATCAGGTGATGTGTTTCTCCTGCCTGAGCTTTGCTCATAGGGAGCATTGTGACATATCACTCGTCTCAGCTCCCAGGTGATGTGACTGTACTGTCTGTGCCCTGGTTTCAGGAGGAAATTTAACATATCCCTGACTGAGCACCCAGGTTTTAATTCTTCTGCCTGGTGCCTTCTCTCAGAGAAGTTTGTGACATATCCCTGGCCTATTACCCAGATGATATAAGTCTCCTGCTCACTCCCTATCCACAGTGGAGATTGTGACATCTTTTTTCAGATCATAGGCACAATGTTGGCTGTCATATCTGAAACCAGTCAATAGGAGACATACTATCTCTCATATGTGGGCTTAGGTACATGGGTAAGATTGTCACTCTTCTCTTTTTAGGAAGGTCAGAGAAAATTACACTCTCTCACATATTGTATAAAGTCCTCAAGTGGTATACAGAGTGTCATAACGGCTCTAGAAAACAGATGGGATTGTGATTTATGTATGCACACTTTGCCAATTGTTAAGATTGTCACCCTCATCCATGGACAAAGCCTACTGGAGAGGTCTTAAATCTTACATGTGGATGCAGTGCAGAGTTGAAATTGTGACTGTCATATGTGAACATCAGGCAACAGCTGAGGTGGTGACTCATTAGTAAGCCTAGCTTATAGGGAGGTAACAACTCTCATATCTGGACCCAGTCATTATAGAGGTGTTAACTCTCATATCTGGGCATAGAGCCACAGGTACGATTATGGGTCGATACCATTACAATTGTCTCCCAGTCACAAAAGATTGCGACTCTCATGGGAACCTTATAAATTCCTCGGTTGGTACAGGGAATGTTCTAACTAGGCTCATTGTACAGTTGAGGTTTTGACACTCAGGCACACCCAGCCGACAGTAAAGATTGTCCTCTTTTCACATGAATACAATCCACTGGATGTTCTGAATCTCATATCCAGAGACAGTTGCAAGTTGGAAAATTTACTCTTATAAGTGAATCCAGTCCAAAGTTAAGTTGGTGACTTTCAGACCAAGATTGAACACACTGTTAGTCTGTGATTCCACTAAGGTGAAACAGCCAGTAAGAGGGATTGTGTCTCTCATTCAATGATTCAATTCATTCTAAAAATGTGACTTGTGTACTTGGATTTAACATACAGGAGGTGTTGACTCTCATACCAAGAATTGGGGTATATACAGGATTGTTAGTCTCATCCTTGGTCTTTCCTTCAGGTGCAGTTTTGACACACTTCTGTCTAGCAGCTGAGTATTGTGATCTTCAGAACTGGCCCAGCCTACAAATAGGATTGTGCCACACTGCTGGACCCAGCACCTAGATGATGTAACTATTCTCCTGCCTTGGTGCTACTCAAAAAAGACATTAACATATCTCAGAGCCTTGCACCCAGGTAATGTGAGTCTCCTCTCCTGCCTTGCTGCTGCACACAGAAGCGGGTTATGTACAGGATTGTTAATCTCATTTGGACCTTCCTGCACCTATGATTGTGACACATGCCTCTGTGTAGAACCCAAGTGAGTTTTCTCTCCTGTTTGGATTTAACCCACAGATGGAATCGTGACATATCGCTGCACCAGAAACTAGGTGATGTGACTCCATTTCCTTGCCTCTGTGCTTTCCACATTAGGCATTGGGACATATCACTGGGCCTTGCATCCAGGTGATGGGAGTTTTCTTTTTCTTTCTTTCTTTCTTTCTTTTTTTTTTTTTTGAGACAGAATTTCGCTCTTGTTACCCAGGCTGGAGTGTAATGGTGCAATCTTGGCTCAAGGCAACCTCCGCCTCCTGGGTTTAAACAATTCTGTCTCAGCCTCCCAAGTAGCTTAGATTACAGGCATGCGCCACCACGCCTGGCTAATTTTTGTATTTTTAGTAGAGACAGGGTTTCTCCATGTTGGTCAGGCTGGTCTCGAACTCCTGACCTCAGGTGATCCACCTGCCTTGGCCTCCCAAAGTGCTGGGATTACAGTTGTGAGCCACCGTGCCCGGCCAGTGATGGGAGTTTTCTCTCCTGCTTTGGTGCTGACCACAGTGAGCATTGTAAAATATTGCTGCCATCACCCCTAGATTATGTTAACTCTCCTCTGCTTTGCCCACGTGGTTCACTGTGACATATTACTGGGTCTAAAACCCAGAAAATGTAACTCCCTTATTTAGGTTCTGCCTGCAGGAGCCATTGTCACACATCTCTGTGCTCACCACCCAGGTGATGTGACTGCCTTTTACTGCCTAGTTCCTTCTCACAAAACATCTTGTGGCATACTGCTAGGCCCAGTACCTGGCTGGTGTGACTCCTCTCTTCTTTCTAGGTTCCACCTGCAGCAAAGATTGTAACATACCGCTGGGCCCAACAGCATAATGACGTTATTCTTTTGCCTTGGGCCTGCCCTCAGAAGGCACTATAAAATATTCATGGCCCCAGCGCCAAGGTGATGTGTGTCTCCAGCCTGGATCCTGCCCACAGAGGGCATTATGACATATCTCTTGGCCCATCAGATGTTTAATATTATCTCCTCCCATTTCCTACCCTGTGTTTGCCTGTAAGAGACATTGTCACATGTTCCTGGGCCCAGCACCTAGGTGATGTCTTCCTGAGACCTGTCCATATGGGGATTGTGATATATTGTGTGGCCCAGAACTTACTTGATGCGACTCTCCTCTCATGACTAGGCCCTGCTTACAGGTGTGATTGTGACACACAGCTTGGCCTAGCCCCTAAGTTATGTTACTCTGCTCTTATTCTTCAGTCATTTTCACAGGGGGCATTGTGACATATTGCTAGACTGAGAACTTAGGTGATGTGACTCTCCTCTACTGCTTGGAATATTCCCAAAAAGAGAGTTTGATATATTGCTTAGCCAGGATCCTAGGTGATGTTACTCTTTTCTCCTGCCTAAACCCTGCATACATTATGTATTTTGGCACTGGGGCCACAACCTAGGTGATGTAACTCTCCTGCATGGGCTTTGCCTACAGGGGTATGATGATGTTTCTTTTCTTTCATCACCCAAGTGGTGTGACTCTCCACTTATGCCTGGGTCTTGATGAAAGAGGAATTGTGACATATCCCTGGCCCTAGCACTTAGGTGATGTAACTTGCCTTTATTGCCAGGGCATGGCATATTATGAATATTGGACGTATCTCTGGGACTGACACCTAGGGGATGAGAGGTTCCTGCCTTGGCCCTGCCCACAGGAGGCTTTGTGGCATGTCTCTGGCCTCATTACCTAGAAAGATGTGACTCTTCTCTTCTACCTGCATTCTTCCCACAGAGAAGATTGTGACATCACTGGATCCAGCAATTAGAAAATGTTTCTCTCCTGCCTGAGCCTTGCCCACAGGAATATTGTGACATATCCTTGGGCTCAGCACCCAGGTGATGGAACTCTGCCACCTGTGCCCTGTCTACTTAGGCTATTGTGAAGCTGGTTTCAATACCCAGGTGATGTAACATTCCTGCCAGGCCACTGCCTTCCAGGGATATTGTTACGTACCTTTGTGCCAATCACCAAGGTGATGTGAATCTTTTCACCTGCCTAGTCCTTGTTCACTAGGGGATAATGATATCTATTGCTGGTTTCAGCACCAAGCTGATGTTACTTGCCTCTTCTTCACAGATTCTGCTCACAGAAAAACTAACACATCACTAGGCCCATCAGCGAAATTATTTTGCCTGGCCCTGCCCTTAAAAGACATTGTGACATACTACAGTGCCCAGCATCAATGTAATTTGTCTCCTGCCTAAACCCTGCCTACTGGGGGCATTGTGACATATCTCTTGGCCCATCAACTATTTGATGTGACTCTACTTTCTTACCTGGGCTTTGCCAATAGTAGAGCTTGTGACCTATCTCTGGGCCCAGCACCTAGATGTTATGACTCTCCCGCCTGGTCCATGCACACAAAAAAGAGAGTGACTTATACTAGGATCAACACACAAATGATTCTATTCTTCTGCATTATCCCAGCCCACATGGCTTATTGTGACATCTCTAGGTTCATCATCTAGATGATATGACTCTCCTTCCTGGGAACTGTCCATAATGAAGATTGTGACACATCACTTGGCCCAGCACCTATGTGATATGACTCCTTTCTTTTGCCTGGGCCTATCAGTTTGGGTGATTGTGTCATATAGCTTTACTCAGCACCTTGATTATGTGACTCTCCTGTTTCTCCTGAGTCCTACCCACAGAGGTCATTGCAACATATCCCTGAGCCCCTAATTTAGGTAATTTGACTCCTGCCTGGGCCCTACCCTCATTGATTTTTGTGACATAGTTTTTGACTCAGCACCTAGGTAATGTGATTCTTCTCCACTGCTTGGACTCTGTCACAGAAGGTATTGTGATGTATCACTGGGGCTGACACCTAGGTGAAGGTACTGTCTTCTCCTGCCTGGGCCCTGCATAAATTGTATATTTTGACATTTCACTAGGTTCAACACATGGGTGATTCAACTCTCTCACATGGACCGTGAGCATGGGGTTATTGAGACATTTATTTTTGTTCATCACCTAACCGATGTGACTCCTCTCTGATCCCTGTCAAAAGGAAAGATTGTGACATATCACTGGAACCAGAACTTAGGTGATGTGACTCTTCTGTCTAACAACCACATATTTTGGTTATTGTGACATTTCACTGGGCCAAACACCTCAGCCCTGTCCACAGGGGTTCTTGTGACATATATCTGCATCCATTACATAAAAGATGTGATGCCTTTTCTACCTGCACCCTCCCCACAGGAAAGGTTGTAACACACTGCAGGGCCCAGCCACCAGGTGATATGTCTCTCCTGCATGTGCATAACTTTCAGGAGAAAATTGTAACATGCCACTGGTTGAAAACCCAGATGATGTGACTCTCCTGCCTTTTCACAGCCCTCAGGGAAAAAAATTACATATCATTTGCCCAGCATCCAGGTAATGTCACTCTCCTGGGTGGTTTGTGCCAACAAGTTGGTTGGTAACATATATCTCGGCCCAGCTCACAGGTTTGATGGTGACTCTAATACCTCCTACCAGCCAATAGAAGAGACACTGTCTCTCACAGGTAGGCTTAGAAAGAGGAGTAAAATTCCTGGCTGGGTGTGGCGGCTCACGCCTATAATCCCAGCACTTCAAGAGGTAGAGGTGGACGGATCACCTGATGTCGGGAGTTCAAGACCAGCCTGACCAACATGGAAAAACCCTGTCTCTACTAAAAATACAAAAAATTAGCCAGGTATAGTGGCACGTGCCTGTAATCCCAGCTACTCGGGAGGCTGAGGCAGGAGAATCGCTTGAACCCAGGAGGTGGAGGTTGTGGTGAGCTGAGATCACACCGTTGCACTCCAGTCTGGGCAACAAGAGTGAAACTCTGTCTCACAAAAAAAAAAAAAAAGAAAAAGAAAAAGGAGTAAAATCCTGGTGGTCTCTCTGTATGAAGGTTATAGAGAATTACCACTCTCTTGTATATTGTGTAAAGCACTTGGATGGTACAGAGCATGTCTTCTGTACCATAGGACCCAGCAAACAGGTTAGATCATGTTTCATGTAAGCACATCCTGCCAGTTTTTAGGATTGTCATCCTCACACATGAAAGAGCCCACTGACTGATGAGGTCATAATTCTCATGGATGGATGCAGTCCATACTTAAAATTGTGACTATCTTATGTGAACATGTGGCCACACTTGAGATGGTGAATCATTTCTAAACCCAGCTCATAGTGGTGAGGACTCTCCTCTCTGGACCCAGCTAATTGGAGAGATGTTAAATGTCATACCTAGACTTGGGACCACATTAGATCATGTGTTCAGAGCAGGTTGCAACTCTCAGGCACACCATATACAGTCCACAAGAGAGTGTCCTGACAGAGAGAAGCACACAGGTGAGACTGAAATTTATATTCACACCCAGTCAATACCAAAGATTGTCATCCACTTAAACACACTCTTCTTTTGAGGTTCTGAATCTCACTTTTGGAGGCAGCTGAGTGTTGGAAAATTGACTCTCATTTGTGGATTTTTGTCCACAGTTGGGTTAGTGACTCGTTAACCAAAATTCAGCACACCTTTGTGACTGCAACTTCACTAAGGAGCATAATTTATTTATTTTGAGATGGAGTTTTGCTCTTGTTACCGAGGCTGGAGAGCAGTGGCACGATCTTGGCTCACTGCAAACTCTGCTTCCTGGGTTCAAGTGATTCTCCTGCCTCAGCCTCCTGAGTAGCTGGGATTACAGGTGCCCACCACTATGCCAGCTAATTTTTTGTATTTTTAGTAGAACTGGGGTTTCACCATGTTGGTCAGGCTGGTCTTGAACTCCTGACCTCAAGTGATCCACTTACCTCAGCCTCCCAAAGTGCTGGGATTACAGGTGTGAGCCTCCTTGCCTAGACTAAGGCACATAATTTGCAAAAGAAATTGAGGCTCTTATGCACAAATCCAGTCCACCATTGAGACTGACCCCTGTACTTAGACCCAACATGCAGGAAGTGTTGACTGTCATTCCTTGACTCAGGACATGAGTGTAATTGTTAATGTCATCACAAGACCTTTCTACAAGTGTCATGTGACATACATCTTAGCCCAGCATCTGAGTTATTTGTCTTTTCCTGGGACCAGTCCACAGTGCCATATCACCGGGCCCATACCCTTGGTAATGTGATTCTATTCTGCTTTGATAAAGCGCACAGTGGTCATTGTGACATTGCTTGGTGTTGCACCCAGGTGGTGTGAGTCGGCTCTTCTGCCTTGGTGCTGCCCACAGATGTATTGTGACATATTGCTGGGCCTATGTTATGTTTATCTTTTGCTTGTGCCCTAAACACATAGCCTGAGTCCAACGACCAGGTGATGTAACACTTCATCCTGGACCGGTCTACAGAGGGGATTGTAATATATGTCTTCACCAATCACCCTGGAAATGTGACTTACTTTTCCTGCCTGTCCCTAATCACAGGGGGTACTGGAACATATTGTTGGGCCCAGCACGTAGCTGATGTGACAATTTTTTTTTGGGTTCTGCTCACAAAAGAGATTATGACATGTGATTGTGCCTAACACTAAGGTGATGTTACTTTTTTTTTTTTTTTGCTTTGGCTCTGCCCTTAGAAGGCATTGAGACATGGCTGGGCTCAGCACTAAGAAGATGTGAGTCCTCTGCCTGAAGCCTGACCACAGGGAGCATTGTGACACATTTCTTGACCCATTACAATCTCTTCTACGGGCAAAGCTGAGGTAAATGCCCGTTTTACCTATGTGATGTGACATTCCTCTTCTGCCTGGGCCATGCCCACAGAATAGAGTGACGTATTGGTGGGGCAAGCAAAACAGTGGTGTAATTATTCTGCCTGGTCCCTGTACACAGGAGTCACTGTGATACATGTTTGGGCCTCCCACCTAGATGATGTGACTTTTTTCTTCTGGAGTTTGTCCACAGTGGGAATTGTGATATGCCACGTGACATAGCTCCTATGTGATGTGACTCTTTCTCATTCTTGGCCTCTTTCCACTGGGGTTACTGGAACATAAAGCTGAGCCCAGCTCCTAGGCTGTGTCTCTCCTTTCTAAGCCCTACCCACAAAGGACATTGTGACGTATCTCTAGGCTTCTCACCTAGGTAATATTACTTTTTTACCTAGGCCCACCCCTCAGGGGTATTGTGAAATACTGCTGGACCAACATGCTAGATGATAGGAGTCTCTGCTACTGCTTGGGGTGTGATTAAGAGGAAATTGTGATGTGCATTTGGGTGCATCCAGCACCTAAGTGATGTTAACTCTCCTCTTGTGCCTGAGACCTGCATGCAATATGTGTTTTTGTGTTTTTTGTTTGTTTTTGAGATGGAGTTTTGCTCCTTTTGCCCAGGCTGGATTGCAATGGTGCAATCTCAGCTCACCACAACCTTCATCTCCCAGGTTCAAGCAATTCTTCAGCCTCAGCCCCCTGAGTATCTGGGATTACAGGCATGTGCCACCAAGCCCGGTTAATTTTTCTAATTGTAGTAGAGATGGGGTTTCTTCATGTTGGTCAGGCTGGTCTCGAACTCCCAACCTCAGGTGATCCACCGACCTCAGCCTCCTAAAGTGCTGGGATTACCGGTGTGAGCCACCGCACCTGGCTGGCATCATGTATTTCAACATGTCTCTGGGTCCAACAACATTATGATGAGACTTTCCTGTGTGGGCTCTCACACAGAACTATTCTAACACATCTTTTCATTCATTATCTTGGCGATTTGACTTTTCTGTTCCGCTTGAGCACTGCCAAAAGAAAAATTTGTGGCAGATCACTGGACCTAGCACCTAGGTGATGTGGCTCTTCTCACTTGCCTGAGACCTGCATATTTTGGTTATTGTGACATATCACTGAAACAAACACCTAGGGGTTGGAAGGCTTCTGCCTGAGCCCCTCCCACAGAGGGCCTTGGAATATATTTTTTTATCCATCACCTGGGAGATGAAACCCTCTACTTCTACCTGCCTTCTTCCCATAGAGAAGATTGTGATATATTGCTGGGCCCAGGAACCAGGTGTTTTGTCTATCTTTTCTGGGCTTTGCCTACAGTGAGCCTTGTGACACCCAGGTGATCATACTCTTCTTCCTATGCCCTGCTTTCAGGAGAGGATTATAACATCTCTGGTTGAGAACTCTGTGATGTGACTCTCCTTGCTGGTGCATGCTGTCAGGGAAGATTGTGACATAACCCTGGCTCAGCACACAGTTGATGTGACTCTTGTGCTTGTTCTCTACCCACAGGTGGAATTGTGACATATAACTTGGCCAAGCACACAGATGTAATGGTGTGGTGACTCTCATACCTAGAACTGGGACCTGTGCAGGATTGTTAATTCATTACTGGACATTCCTGTGGGTGTGATTGTTACATATGCCTATGTTCAGCACCCGAGTGATTTGATTTTGCTGCCTGGTCTCAGTCCAAATGTAAGATTGTGATTTATCGCTGAATCCAGCACCTCGGTGATTTGACTCTCCCTTTTTTTGTGGGAGGGATCCTGCAAATTTTGGGTATTGTCAATTATTGCTGAATCCTGTACCCATGTTATGACTCTCCCAAATGTGCCTTACCTGTTGTGGCACAATATATCACATTAGACATTGTTAAATATTGTTGGGTTCAACACCTGGGTGATGGATGTAACTTTTTTTCTGGGCCTGCCTACAGGGGACCTTGTGACATAACTCAATGCCCATCATCATGGTAATGTTACTCTCTTCTCCTGCCTGATCTCTGCTCACAGAGAAATTGTGACACATCACTGGCCTAGCATCTAGGTGATGTGACTCTCCTCTTTTTTTCAGGCTCTGCATATTTGGGTATTGTGACATATTGCTGAACTCAACACCTAAGGGATGGGAGTCTCCTACCTAGGCCCTTCCTACAGGGGACATTGTGACATGTCTCTGCATTCCTCATCCAGGAGATGTGACTCTCCTTTTCTGCCTACACCCTGCCTACACAGAAAGTTGTGGCATATTGCTGTGGTCAGCAACCAGATGATATATTTCTCCTGCCTGGGTCTTTATTACAGGAAAGATGATTGACATATTACTGGGCCCAGCATCCAGATGATGTGACTCTCTTCTTCTGTTGGTCCTTGCTTACAGGGAAACTGTAGCATATTGCTACACCCAACACCTAGCTTATGTGATTCTTCTTTTAGGTTTGCCTTCAGGGAACATTGTGACATATTGCTGGGCCCTGCACTGATAATTTGTGACTCTTCTGCCTGTGATTTGCCCACTTGGGGCATTGTGACATATTGCTGGGTTTAACACTCAGGTGATGTAACTTTTATGCCTAGGCCTTGCTTACAGGAGGCATTTTGAAATGTCTTTGTGGCTGGGCATGGTGGCTCATGTCTGTAATCCCAGCGCTTGGGGAGGCCAAGGTGGGCAGATCACAAAGTCAGGAGTTCGAGACCAGCCTGGTCAACATGGTGAAAACCTGTCTCTACTAAAACAAAACAAAACAAAACAAAACAAAACAAAACAAAACAAAACAAAACAAATAAAACCACAAAAATCAGCCAGGTGTGGTGATTGGTGCCTGTAGTTGCAGCTACTCAGGAGGCTGAGGCAGGATAATCGCTTAAGTCCAGGAGGTGGAGGTTGCAGTGAGCTGAGATTGCACCACTGCACTCCATCCTGGGCAACAGAGTGAGACTCCATCTCCAAAAAAAATAAAATAAAATAAAATAAAAATACAAATGTCTTTGCACCAATCCTACAGGTGATGTGACTCTCTTGTGTTACCTGGTCTCTGCCCCCAGGAAGAATTGTGACCTTTCACAGCGTATAGCTAATTTTTTTCTTTTATTTCTTAGTTTTTCTCCTGCAGGAAAGATTGTGAAATATTACTGAACTAAGCACCAAAGGGATATATTTTTTTTCTTGGACCTGCCCATGTAAGACCTTGTGACATATTGCTGGGCCCTACACCTAGATGATGTGAGTTTTCTGCCCGTCAACTATTTTATGTGACTCTCCTCTCTTATCTTCACTTTGTCCATAGGTTAGCTTTTAATATACCTTTGGGCCTGGGTCATGCTAATAGAAGCAAGAGTGACTTATTGTTGGGCCCAGCACACAGGGGATGTGATTCTTCTGCTTGGTTCCTGCCGAAATGGTCATTGTGACATATCTATGGGTCAGTTGGCTAAATGACAGGACTCTTTTTATCTTTCTGGAGCAGTCCACAGTAGGAAATTTGACATATCGCTGGGCCCAGCACATATCTGATGTGACTCTCCTCTCATGCCAAGGCCTTGCCTACTGTAGTGATTGTGCCATATAGCTGGGCCCAGCTCCTACGTTATCTGACTCCTGTTTTCTTCCTGAGCCCTATGAAAAGATTGCATTATTAAATATTTCTGGGTCTTTTACCTAGGTGATGTGACTTTTCTTTCTGGCTTGTCCTCTCAGAGGGTATTGTGACATGTTGCTGAATGCAGCATTTAGGTGATACGACCCTTCCTCTACTGCTTGGACTCTGACCAAAAAGGGATTGTGATGCATCACTGGGCCCAGCACCTACGTAATGGGACTCTTTTCTCTTGCCTGGACCCTACAAATATTTTGCATTGTGACGTGTAGCTGGGTCTGCCACCCAGGTAATGTGAGTCTTCCACATAAGCCCTGGCCACAAGAGTATTATGAAATAACTTTTTATTCATCACCTAGGTAGTGATGTGACTCTTCATCAGCCTGTACCCTGCCACAAGGGAATTGTGTTGTGTCAGTGGGTCCAGCACCTAGATGATGTAACTCATCTTTTGGCTGGACCTTTCATATTTTACATGTTGTTACATATCACTGCATCTGACATTAGGGGATGAGAGGCTTCTGCCTGGGCCCTGCCCACAGATGGCCTCGTGACATATTTTGGCATCCATCACCTAAGAAACGTGGCTCTCCTCACCTACATGCACCATGCACAAAGAAAATATTGTGGCATATCACTGGGATCAGCCACCAGGTATGTGTCTATCCTCTCAGGGTGTTGCTCACAGAGAGCGTTGTAACATATCACTGGGCCCAGCACACAGGTGATGTGACTTGTGGCCTGTGCCTATCTAGCCTTTTTTTTTTTTTGAGGCAGAGTCTCACTCTGTTGCCCAGGTTGGAGTGCAGCGATGTGATCTTGGCTCACTGCAAAATCTGCCTCCTGGGTTCAAGCAGTTCTCCTGCCTTAGCCTCCCAAGTAGCTGGGATTACAGGCATGCATTACCACACCGTTCTAATTTTTGTATTTTTAGTAGAGGTGGAGTTTCACCATGTTGGCCAGGCTGGTTTCTAACTCCTGACCTCAGGTGATCCACTTGCCTTGGCCTCCCAAAGTGCTGGGACTACCAGCATGAGCCACTGCACCCAGTCTACCTGCAGCCATCTTATAGGATTAGATTTTAATCCATCCCCAGCCAAGAACCTAGATGATGTGATATGACTCTCCTGTCTGGTCCTTGCCTTCAAAAAAGATTGTGACATACCTTTAGATGAGACCCAGGTGATGTCACTCTTCTGCTCACTTCCTACCCACCAGTGTCATTGGGACATATATCTTGCTTCAGCTTGCAATTGCTATGATGATTCTTATACCTTGAACCAGGCAATAAAAGAGTTATAGTCTCTCCTAGCTAGGCTTAGGAAAACAAACATAATCCTTAGTCTCCTCTTTTTGCCAAGGTCATAGAGAATTAACACTCTCTCAAATATTCTATAAAGCCCTCGGGTGGCACAGAGAGTGTCATCAAGGGACAAAAACACTGATGATATTGCGTTTCTTTTCTTTTCTTTCTTGGAGATGGAGTCTCACTTTGTCACCCAGGCTAAAGTGCAGTGGCATGATCTCAGCTCACTGTAACCTCTGCCTCCTGAGTTCAAGTGATTCTCCTGCCTCAGCCTCCCGAGTAGCTGGGACTACAGATGTGTGCCACCAAGCCCAGCTAATTTTGTATTTTTATTACAGATGAGTTTTCACCATGTTGGCCAGGCTGGTCTTGAACTCCTGACCTCAGGTGATCTGCCCACCTTGGCCTCCCAAAATGCTGGGATTATAGGTGTGAGCCACTGCTCCCAGCCCAAGATTGTGTTTCTTAAAAGAACATCCTGGCCAGGCTCAAGCCTGTAATCCCAGCACTTTGGGAGGCCGAGGCAGGTGGATCACGAGGTCAGGAGTTCAAGACCAGCCTGGCCAACATGGTGAAACCCCATCTCTACTAAAAATATAAGAACTCTCCAGGCGTGGTGGCGGGTGTCTAATCCCAGCTACTCAGGAGGCTGAGGCAGGAGAATTGCTTGAACCCAGGAGGCAGAGGTTGCAGTGAGCCAAGATCACGCCACTGCCGTTCAGCCTTGGTGACAGAGTGAGACTCCATCTCAAAAAAAAAAAAAAAAAAAAAAAGAATATTCTGCCAGGTGTGGTGGCTCACACCTGTAATCTCAGCACTTTGGGAGGCCGGCTCACGCCTGTAATCTCAGCACTTTGGGAGGCCGAGGTGGGCGGATCACAAGGTTAGGAGATTGAGACCATCCTGACTAACATGGTAAAACCCCATCTCTACTAAAAATACAAAAAATTAGCCAGATGTGGTGGCACATGCCTGTAGTCCCAGCTACTCAGGAGGCTGAGGCAGGAGAATCACTTGAACCCAGGAGGCCACTACACTCCAGCCTGGGCAGCAGAGTGAGACTTTGTCTCAAAAGGAAAAAGAAATAAAAACATCCTGCCGCTCATTACAATTGTAACCTCAAAATAGAGCCCACTGGTGAGGTCCTGAATCTCATATGCAGATGCAGTCCACAGTTGGAATTGTGACTGTGATATGCAAACATCGAGCCAGGAATGTCTCATTTCTAAAGCTACAAATGATGACTCACTTCTAAATGTAGTTCATAGGCAGATGAGGACTCTCCTATATTGATCAGCCAATTGGAGAGATGTTGACTCTCATTTCTGGGATTAGAGCAGCATGTACTATCAAGGGTCCATACCATCACAAATGTCTTAGAGTGGATTGCGACTCACATGCATATTGCATAAAGTCCTCAGGTAATGCATTGAATGCCCTTACATGGCCCAGCACACAGGTGACATTGTGATGCTGGTTTTCACAACCAGTCAACAGTAAATATGTCATCCTTTTAGAAAAACACAACCTACTTCTGAAGTTCTGAATCTCAACCCTGGAGGCAGTGGGAAGTTGCAAAGTTGACTCCCATGTGTGGATCTGCTCCACAGCTGGGCTGGTGACTCAGACCAAGATTCAGTGCACCTGTGAGGCTATGATTTTACTGAGAAGACAGAGTCTAAAGGAGAGATTGAGGCTCTTTTTCATGAATTCATCCATATTGAGATTGTGATTTCTGCACTTAGACCCAACCTCCAAATGGTCTTGCCTCTCATACCTAGAATGGGAATATGTGAGGAATTATTCATGTTATTCCTGAGCCTTTCTGCATGTGTGATTGTGACACACATCTCTGCTCAAAACCTGAGGAATTTGACTCTCCTGCCTGGGCCTGGCACACAGATGGGATTGGGACATATTGTTTGAAGCAGTATTTAGATGATGTGACCCTATACTCTTTCCTTGTTCCTGTCACAGAGTACATTGTGACATATCACTGGTCCCTGCACCCAGGTAATTTGTTTGTCTTTTTTATGCCCTGCCCACATGGGCTATTGTAACATATTGCTGGGTCTAACACCCAGGTAATATGAATCTCCTACCTATATCCTGACTACAGGGGCCAATTTTGCCATATTTCTGAACCCGTCATCTATTTGATGTTACTCTCCACTTTTTTTTTCTTGGTTTTAAGGAGTGGAGAGTTTAATAGGCAAGAAGGAAGGGAGAAGACAGAAAGAAGAAGCTCCCCTATGCAGAGACAGAGGGAGGGGAGCTCCAAAGCCAAAAGAGAAGGCCCCCTACTCTCGACTTTTACATAGGCTTTTCCCTAAGAGACATTGTAACATATCTGGGCCAAGCACCTACGTGATGTTACTCTTTGCTCCTTCCTGGGCCCTGACCAAGAAGGGGGAGTGACTAATCCCTAGGCACAGCACACAGGTGATGTAATATTTCTGCCTGTTCCCTGTCCACAGGAGACATAGTGAATGTCCCTGGCCTACTAAACAAGATGATATGACTATTTTTTGTCTCTGAGACCTGTCAACAGTGGGGATTGTGACAGATCACTTGTCTCAGCACCTACATAATTTTTCCCCATGCCTGGGTGCTTCCCACTGGGGTGATTGTGGCGTATAACTAGGTGAAGGGCCTAGGTTATGCGACTTTTCTCTTCTACGTGAGCCTCACCCACATAGGGCATTTTGACATACCTCTGAAGCTCTAATTTAGGTAGACTGCTGCATGGACCCTTCATTTTTCAGGAAGTATTGTGCCATATTTTTTTGACCTAGCTATAATGCTTCTAATGCCACTGCACTCCAGCCTGGGTGACAGAGTGAGACTACATCTCTTCTAATGCTTGGGCTCTGCCCAAGGAGGGATTGTGATGTATTGCTGGGCCCAGCACCTTGGTGATGTGACTCTCCTCTGCTTCTACAGGGTTCAGGACGGAAAGGAGAGTTACATCACTTAGGTGATGAACAAAATGATATGTCATAATTCCCCTATTAGCAGGGCTCATGCAGGAGAGTCACATCACCTAGGTGTTGGACTCAGCCATATTTCAATATGCAAATTGTATATTGTGTTTATTAAAAATTGTATATATTGAAATATGGCTGGGTCCAACAGGTAGATGGTGTGATTCTCCTGCTTGAGCCCTTCTAATAGGGAAATTATGACATAATCATTTTGTTTATAACCTAAGTGATGTAACTGTCCTTTTCTACTTGAGCTCTGTATAAAGGGGGGATTGTGACATATCACTGGACCCAGCATCTGGTGGTACCAGTCTCTTTCTGTTTTTCTTTTTCATTTTTTTTTTTTCTTCTGAGATGTAGTCTCGCTCTGTCACCCAGGCTGGAGTGCAGTGGCATGATCTCGGCTCACTGCAACAGCCACCTCCTGGGTTCAAGCAATTCTCCTGCCTCAGCCTCCCGAGTAGCTGGGGTTAGAGGCATGCACCACCACACCTGGCTAATTTTTGTATTTTTCGTAGAGATGGGGTTTCGCCATGTTGGCCAGGCTGGTCTCGAACTCCTGACCTCAAGCGATCTACCTGCCTCCGCCTCCCAAAGTGCTGATATTACAGGTGTGAGCCACTGTGCCACGCCTTATTACCCTCCTCATCAGCCCTGTGTATTTTGGGTATTAAGACATATTTCTGGGTCAAACCAAATGGGTGAAAGGCTCTTGCCTGGGCCCTGCCCACAAGAGGCCTTGTGACACATCTCTGCATCCACTGCTTTGGAGGTGTGACTCTCCTCTTCCATCTGCACCATGACCACACAGAAAATTGTGACATACCTCTGGGTTCAGCAACCAGGTGTGTACCCAGGTCTTACCTGCAGAGAAAACTGTGACATATAACTTGGCCCAGTATCCAAGTAATGTGACTTTGTTGTCTGTGCCTTGCTTTCAGGAGAGAATTGTAACATAACCCTGGTCAGGCAACCAGGTGATATGACTCTCTGTCTGATCCCTACCCTGGAAAAATTGTGACATATTTCTGACCCAGCACCCAGGTGATGTTACTCTCCTGTTTTCTTTCTACTCACAGTTTGGGTTGTGACATATACCTTAGCCAAGCTCACAGTTGTGGTGATGACACTAATACCACAAACCAGCCAAAAGGAGAGTTACTGGCACTTGTAACTATACTTGGAGAAATGGGTAAATTCCTGGGTCTTCTCTAGATAATGTCATAAAGGATTACTTTTCTTTCACATTTTATATAAAGTCTTTGGATGGTACAGAGAGTGTCATCACAAGACCAAGCACACAGGTGAGACTGTGTTTCTCATATGCACAACCTACCAAATGTTAGCATTGTCACCCTGACCCATGGACAGTGCCCACTGGAGAGATCCTGAATTTCACAGGTGCATGCAGTCCACAGTAAAAATTCTGTTACATGTGATCATGCCACTACAGTTAACATGGTGACTAATTTCAAAATCCAGCTCATAGGCAGGTGAAGAGTCTCTTCTTGGGACCCAGCCATTTGGAGAGATGTTGACTCAAATACATGGACTTAGGTTCACAGGTATGATTATGAATCCATACCAGGAAGAAAGTTTCAGAGAAAATTGTGACTTTCATGAATACTGTATAAAGACCTCAGATGGTACAGAGAGTTTTATAATGAGGCCCAGAACACAGGTGACATTGTGACACATGCACACCCAGCCGACAGTAAAGATTGTCATCTTTCCACATGAATACAGCTCACTGTTGAAGTTCTGATTCTCATATTTGGAGGTAGCCAAAAGCTGGAAAATTGACTCTCATACATGGATTTGGGCTATATGTGGGTTGATGACTCTCAGACCAAGATTCAACATACCGCTGAGGCTGTGACTCCACTAAGGGGACACAGTCCACAGCATAGATTGAGGCTCTTATGCATGTATTCAGTCCACCTTTGAGATTGTAACTGATGTACTCAGACTCAACATACAAAAAGTGTTGACTCTAATACCTAGAAATGGGACATGTGCAGGATTGTTAATTTTATCCCTACATTTTCCTGCAACTGTATTGCAACATACACCTCTGACCAGCACCTGAGTAATTTGATTCTCCTCCCTGGTGCCCAGCCCACAGATTAGATCATGACACATCACTAGACCCAACACCTAGGTGGTGTGACTACATTTGCCTCAGCACTGCCCACAGGGAGGCATTGAGACATATGGCTGAGCCCCACACCTTGGTTATGTGACTCTCATTCCTGTGCCCTGCCATTATGGGTCATTGTGACATATTGCTATGTGCAGCATCCAGGTGATGTAACTCTCTTTGCTGGGTTCTGCCTAAAGGAAGCATTACAACCTATCTCTGTACCAATCACCAAGGTAATGTGACTCTCTTATTCTACCAGGTCCCTGCACACATAAATAATTTTTTCTATTACTGGGCCCAGCATCGAGCTGAAGTGACTCTTCTCTTCTAAGTAGGTTCTGCTCTCAATGTAGATTGTGACATACTGCTGGGCTAAACAAGGTGATGTGAGCCTTCTGTCCAAACCCTGCCCATAGCAAGCACAGTGACATATCTGTGAATCCATCATCTTTGTGCTGTGACTCTTACTTGGGTTTGGCCTATAGGAGAGATTGTGACATATCTCTGGGACCAGCACTTAGATGATGTGACTATTCTTTCTTCCCATGGCCATGCTTCCATGAAAGAGCGTGACTTATCCCTGGGATAAGCACACAGGCTACGTCATTCTTCTATCTGGCCCCTGTCCACAGGGATTATTGTGGCATATCTCTGGGCCCATTACCTAGATGATGTGACTCTACTCTTCTTTCTGGGGCCTGTCCACAGTGAGGATTGTGATGTATCACTTGGCCCAGCACTTATGTGATGTGACTCTTCTCATGCTTTGGCTCTGCCCACTGGAGTGATTGTGATATGTAGCTGGGTCCAGCTCTTAGGTTATGCAATCTATCTTTTCTCTGTGAGCCCTACCCACAGGGGGCATTGTGACATATCTCTGAGCCTCTCACTTAGATGATGTGAATTTTCTGCTAGGGCTGTTTTCCCAGAGGGTATTGTGACATTTCTGGGCCCAGAACCTAAATGATGTGACTCTTCTATGGCTTGGGCTCTGCCCAAAATATGACTCATTTTTGTGACTGATCTCTGCATACATGTATTGTGATGTATGGCTGGAACCAGCACCTGCATAATATGAGTCTTCTGCATGGACTCTTTTCAGGAGGGTATTATGAAATATCATTTTGTTTATCACTTAGGTGTTGTGACTCTCTTCTTATGACTGGAACCTGCCACAAAGGGCAATTGCAACATATCACTTGACCCAGCACCTAAGTGATGTGATTCTCTTTTTTTGGGGGAGGGGGTCTCACATATTTTGAGTATTGCTGGGCCCAACACCTAGGGAACAGACTGCTCCTTTCTTGACCCTGCCCATGGGGGCTTTGTGACATATCTCTATCAGGGGAACCAGCACCCAATATTTCAATGTAGGTTCTTTTCTGTTTTCCCTAAGTGTTGGCCAGTCTGAGAAATAAAGAGAAAGAGTACAAAAGAAATAAATTTTACAGCTGGGTCTCCGGGGTGACATCACATGTCAGCAGGTTCCACGATGCCCCCGAGCCGCAAAACCAGCAAGTTTTTATTAGCGATTTTCGAAGGGGAGGGAGTGTACGAATAGGGTGTGGGTCACAGAGATCACATGCTTCAAAGGCGATAAAATATCACAAGGCAAATGGGGGCAGAGCAAGATCACAAGGCCAGGGTGAAATTAGAATTACTAATGAGGTTCCATGTCCCGCTGTGCATGCATTGTCATTGATAAACATCTTAACAGGAAACAGAGTTCAAAAGCAGAGAACTGGTCTGACTAGAATTCACCAGGCTGTAATTTCCTAATCCTAGCAAGCCTGGGGGCGCTGCAGGAGACCAGGGTGTATTTTATCCCTTATCTTCAACTGCATAAGACAGACACTCCCAGAGTGGTTATTTTAGAGGCCTCACCCTGGGAGTGCATTATTTTGCCAGGCCTGTTCCTTGCTGAGAAAAAGAATTCAGTGATATTTCTCCTATTCACTTTTGCAAAAAGAGAAGTATGACTCTGTTCTGCCCAGCCCTACAGGCAGTCAGGGTTATCTCCCTTGTTCCCTGAAAATCACTGTTATTGTGTTCTTTTAGGATGCCCAGAGTTCATATTGTTCAAACACACATGTTTTACAAACAATTTGTACAGATAATGCAATCATCACAGGGTCTTGAGGTGACATACGTCCTCAGTTTATGAAGATGACAGGATTAAGAGATTAAAGACAGGCATAGGAAATTATAAGAATATTGATTGGGGAAGTGATAAGTGTCCATGAAATCTTCACAATTTCTGTTCAGAGATTGCAGTAAAGACAGGCACAAGAAATTATAAAAGTATGAATTTGGGGAACTAATAAATGTCCATGAAATCTTCACAATTTATATTCTGCTGCGGCTTCAGCCAGTCCCTCCGTTTGGGGTCCCTGACTTCCTGCAACATATCTCTGCATCCATGACCTAAATATGTGACTCCTCTATTCTGGCTGCACCCAGCTTACAGGAAGATTATGACATTTTGCTAAGTAAAGTGTATCTTGTGCTGATCTCCTATGTTATTCTGTGACTAAGAATGCCTAACCTGGGGTTGCAGCCCAGTAGGTCTCAGCCTCGTTTCACCTCAACACTATTCAAGATGGAGTCGCTCTGGTTTGAATGCCTCTGACATAGAGATCCATTGTAAAATTATGAAAAAAATTTATTTGAATTGCAGTGAATAAGAAATGGAAGACCTAGGATGGGCTATTCTGAAAGATTTAGCAATATTTGTATTTGTCAAAATTTAAGTTTTCCGTTAATACTTCTGAATAGATACATTGTTTTATTCTGTCAAGTTTAAATAGATACGCTTGATAATACAAGGAGTTCCCACTGTGAAAGAAAAATAAATCTCCTGATGCCAAAATTACTAATCCAATAGAAAAGTCAAGCTGGAGACTACATCAGGCAAACCTGTTTCCTATTTTATTCTTAAATAAGATAGCTACACAGATAAAAAGCTACATACCTACCTCACAATTTGCTCAGAAGGAAATTCCTAGTGAATAGATGACAGACAGAACTCAAAGTTATCTCTCTGAGGCTCACCTGAGACAAATGCAGATCTGTTTGTTTCCTCTGCCCTATTGTTAATTTTAAAATGCAGATTCACTGAGCCAGGCTAAATTGTGTATTCAGTGGGAGACTTATCAAGGACTCAAATAAATTTATTATTTTTTCTCTTATCTACTTATGACTTGGAAGCCCCAACCTCAAGTTTTCCTGTCTTACCTGACCACACCAATGTACATCTTAAACATGTTATTGATGTCTCTTGACTTTCTAAAATGTATTAGAAGACTGTACCCCAACCACCTTGGGCACCTGTCATCAGGACCTCCTGAGGCTGTGTCACAGGCTCCTACTTAACCTTGGCAGAATAAACTTTCCAAATTTATTGACACTTGTCTCAGGTACCTTTTGTTTTACACAGCCAAGGCACTGCTAGCTGGTCACTACTGCACCCCAGACTTATCCACCACCATTGCAGGGACTCTGGTTTCTTGATAGCAATTGTTTCACTTCAATGGAAGATGGACAGGTGTGTACCTGAGAATGCAGCACTGAGCTCCTGGGTGATGTGGGATGTTCCAAGCATCAGCTTTCAGCCAGTCTATCTTATAACTGTTGAAAGTTACTTAGTGTAGTGTGAAGATGGGAATAAACAGCTCCTGAATGCTAACAATGGCTGTTCATTATAGGGTGACCCAAGGTGGCCATGCCATGGTTCTGGGTTCTTCTGTGGCTTCTCAGTGGCTGATGGAGTGGTTTTTTTGGTCTTGTGATACAGGGTGTGTGTGTCTAAAGGAGTGGAGGGCAGGGTGGGGAAAGGAGGTGACAGGCAGGTTCCTGGAGGTCACCTCCTGGCATTATTCTTGTGGATTGCCAAGTTTCTTGTTTGAATTTGTTTCTTGTTAATAGTACATGTGTCCTCAGCAAGGAGGTGAAAATAAAAAAAAAGAGCTTGGAACAGTCTCAGCTCTGTGAGGTCTGCACAATTTATCAAGCCCAGAGAGATGAGACTGTGGAACTTCACCCAGGGGCATTTTTTGTTGTTGTTGTTGTTTGTTTTGAGACGAAGTCTCACTCTGTCACCCAGGCTGGAGTGCAGTGGCATGATCTTGGCATGCTGCAACCCTGCCTCTTGAGTTCAAGTGATTCTCCTGCTTCAGCCTCCCACATAGTTGGAATTACAGGCACATGCCACCACACACGGCTGATTTTTGTATTTTTAGTAGAGATCGGGTTTCACCATGTTGGCCAGGCTGGTCTCCAACTGCTGATCTCACCTGATTTGCCCACTTCGGCCTCCCAAAGTGCTGGGATTAGGGGCAATTCTTTAAAGACATTTACTTTCTGACTAGCAGTCTCACCCATTATTTCTTTATTAGGAATTTGGAAAATAAAAGAATATATGCAGCCAATCAATAGCTTATGCATTTAAATATGAATTCTTGGTAAATAACTTAGGAACTGCCTTCTCACTTTTTCAAAAAGACTCACTTTCAATGGCTGCTAATTAAAATATATATTCAGGGCAACTTAAATCTGTCCTCCTCTTGGCTATCCTCAATATCTGACATTGAGTAAATGTATTTCAGGTTACATTTTAACCTTTTTTATTATTTTAAGTTGACTGAGGGCTGGCCTGGAACATTCTCCTTGGTATAAATACTCCAACTATAAGCTACCTGCTCAGTAGAGGAAACTAATCAACAGCAGGGCCTAGCATAGGTCAAAGACACAAGCAGTGGGAAGCTTTTTGGGGCCTGGCTCCTAATTGCAAGGACAGTTGCACAGGTGTCTCTGAATGCTTAGACAGCCTGGCCTTTCCTGACCCAATGCCCCCCATCAGCTTTTTCAAGCACATCTTGATCTTTTGTCATTCTGTTCTCTGGGGTGAAAACTCATCGTCAGGGCTGTCTACAACAAAACAGAAGTATCAGGTTACTAAAACCTCAGGAACAGAGATTACGGATTGGGTTAAGAGTGTGCCCTTTCTTAAGGATGGTACGCATGGAAAAGCAGCAAGCAGTTTCAGAAAGATACAGGAAAAATTGCCTCTAACGGATATTTATACTTCAACTCAATTTATTCTGTAAGTGGTAGGGAAAATGGGATAAAATACCATATGTTCAAGCATTTTTGCTTCTCAGTCAGAATGAAACCCTGCAGCAGGCATGTCCATGTTTCATGAGAGAAATAGAAGAAAAAGAGTTGGACATACAAGATGATCCTTATTTCAAGCCCCCCTGCCACTTGGTTCAGCGGGCATTTTTGGGTGAAGCAGAACCTTTCTGTCAGGTCTGAAGGTTCAGATGTGTTGGTCTTTTTTCCCACTAATACACCTGAAAGTTCTATTGAGAACCATTTGTCCCTCCTCCCTACCCTTCTAGTCCCACTCTGTACCCACCACTCCCTGAAGAACTTAGCCCAGTGAGTACTACTCATAGTGGAGCTGCCTATCAACCTCCAAGGGGAAATCTTTGTCCACCTACAGAGGTTGCAAATGGGGAAGAAGGCCTGTGAGAGGAGGTGTCCCCTTTTCTCTGTCTGGTTTGGCTCTATAATAAGACAAGTTTGGTCATTTCTCTGAAGATGCAGGAAAATTCATAGGTGAGTTTGAGAAGTTAACTCTGACCTACAGTTTAACATGGCAGGATCTGTACATTTTGTTGTCTCTGTGTTATACAGTGGAAGAAAAACAATGCATTTTGGGGACAGCTAGGACTCATGCAGATGAGGTATTGGCTTGCAACCCGAACCATAATATATATCAGACAGGAGGTATAGCAGTTCCAGATCAAGATCTAGAGTGGAACTATCAAAGGGGGTGTGAGGACTTGGAAGAAGAGATCATATGGTCACTTGTTTGTTGAAAGAGATGAAGAAATGTATGAAAAAACCTGTTAACAATGAAAAGGTTAAGCAACTTTCTCAGGGCAAAGATGACAATCCAGCTTTGTTTTAATAGTGTTTAGTTGAGGCAATCAGAAAATATACTAACACTGATCTTGCCTCAATGAAAAGATAGACCCTTCTGGGAGTACATTTTATAACCCAGTCTGCCCCTGATATCCATAGAAAACTACTAAAAGCAGCTATGGGTCCCCAAACTTCTCTGGAACAGCTTTGGATATGGCATTTTTAGTTTTTAATAACAGGGACAAAGCGGAGGTAGCGGAAAGAGGAAGAAGGACCTCCCACAAGTTGCAGGTCTTGGTTGCAACCTTAAGCTAACCTCCCACATGGGGTTGCCCTCCTGGGTCTTGGGTTGAACAAGGGAAGCTGAAAGGTGGGAAGCCTAAACCTGGGTGTCCGAGTCACTGTGCCTTGGGCATAAATCAGGTTGCACACTGTAAGAAAACTGACCACTGGAAGAGGGTTTGTCCAGTGTTCTGAAGAGAGCCATCAGCACGTGAACTAATGATGGGTAAAACAGCCAGGCAAGCACCCAAGAGTGACGGGGACTGAGACCTTCCACCACGGTTTCCATCAGACAACTAGCCATATATCTGGAAAAGCCTCAGTATTTTTTGCCATGGCAGTTAAGAATATGAAGTTTCACCAGGTGCGGTGGCTCACACCTGTAATCCTAGCACTTTGGAAGGCCGAGGTGGGTGGATGACTTGAGGTCAGGAGTTCAAGACTAGTCTGGCCAACATGGTGAAACCCCATCTCTACTAAAAATACAAAAAATTAGCCAGAAATTGCTTGAACCTGAGAGGCGGAGGTTGCAGTGAGCTGAGATCGTGCCACTGCACTCCAGCCTGGGAAACAGAGACTCCGTCTCAAAAAAAAAAAAAAAAAAAGGAAGCTAGATGAGTTGCGAGTTGCCTCATGCCTGTAATCCCAGCACTTTGGGAGGCTGAGGTGGGTGGTCGGGAGTTCGAGACCAGCCTGAGCAACAAGGAGAAACCCCATCTCTAGTAAAAATACAAAATTAGCTGGGCGTGGTGGCACATGCTTGTAATCCCAGCTACTCAGGAGGCTTAGGCAAGAGATTCACATAAACCCGGGAGGCCGAAGTTGCAGTGAGCTGAGATCATGCCACTGCACTCCAGCCTGGGCGACAGAGTGAGACTCCTTCTCAAAAAAAAAAAAAAAAGAATATTAACTTTCTTCTGGACTGCTTACTCTGTTTTGACCCATTATAATGGGTCTGTTTCACCCCCAAACTGTATGGTCACGGGGATAGATTGACAAGCCCATAGATGCCATTTTACATAATCTCTAAGCTGTTTTTCAGTGACTTCGGTTTTCTTACATAACTTCCTTATCATGCCCGGATGCCTCAGGGAAGTCGTAGCAATTTCTCTTTCAGTAGATAAAGCCAATAAACTGGCTTTAGAACAACATTCTGAGGTTTAAGCCCACACCAAGTATGAGGAGTTCTATAAGCCAAAAGACACCAGTGGATGACAGGGGACACTTATTGAAATAGCAGACATTTTGCTAGACACTCCAATTAACCTGATATGAGGTGCTAATCAATAAAAAATAGTTAAACATTTGCATGACTCTACTCATTTGGGAATAAATTCCCTGTTTAATATCTCGGCTTTTTATAGAAAAATAATTACTTAAAAGAGTAAACCAGGTAACCCAGGCCTGTGAACTATATGCCTGGAACAACCCAAATGACCAATGTTTACCTCCTCCTTTAGTAAGGCCTGTTCAGCATAGAGGAGCATACCCTGGTGAAGACTGGCAAATAGACTATACTCAGATGCCCCCGTGTAAAGGGTTTAAATATTGATTAGTATTCATTGACACCTTTACCGTTTGGATTGAGGCTTTTCCTACCAAGTCTGAAAAGGCAATCAAGGTTTCTAAACTACTAAAAGAAATAATTCCGATGGGTACAGTATCTCACGCCTGTAATCCCTGCACATTGGGAGGCCAAGGCAGGTGGATCACCTGAGGTCAGGAGTTCGAGACCAGCCTGGCTAACATGGCGAAACCCCGTCTCTACTAAAAATACAAAAATTAGCTGGGTGTGGTGGTGTGCACCTGTAGTCCTAGCTACTCTGGAGGATGAGGCATGAGAATCACTTGAACCTTGGAGGCAGAGGTTGCAGTGAACCAAGATTGTGCCATTGCACTCCAGCCTGGGCAACAAGAGTGAAACTCTGCCTCAAAAGAAAAAAAAAAAAAGATAATATCGAGTCTCGCAAAATATAGTAATTAAGAAGATTCTTTATCACAAACCCTTGTGGCAGAGCACATCTCCTCATAGGTAAAAACATTGTAACTATGGTAAATGTGTTCCTCAATAGTAAATTAATTATTAAACTTATTCAAAATTATTTTATTTAATTTTTCAGAACAATGCTTATGTTTTGTATAGCTAATTGCTGTAATTCTTTAACAAAAACTGGGCCAGACACAGTGGGTCATGCCTGTAATCCCAGCACTTTGGGAGGCCGAGGCGGGCGGATCACGAGGTCAGGAGATCGAGACCGTCCTGGCTAACACGGTGCAACCCCATCTATACTAAAAAAAAAAAAAAAAAATTAGCCAGGCGTGGTGGCGGGTGCCTGTAGTCCCAGCTACTTGGGAGGCTGAGGCAGAAGAATCTCTTGAACCTGGGAGGCGGAGGTTGCAGTGAGCCCAGATCGCGCCAATGCACTCCAGTCTGGGCAACAGAGTGAGATTCCATCTCAAAAAAACAAAAAAAAAAAACCCAAAAAACTATTTGATTGATGTCTCATTACAAAATGTATAAAAGCAAGCTTTGCCCCGACCACCTTGGGCACATGTTCTCAGAACCTCCTGAGAGCTGTGTCACAGGCCATTGTCACTCATATATGGCTCAGAATCAATCTCTTCAATTTTTTTTTAAACCATCTGTGACAAACCCACAGCAAACATTAAACTGAACAGGAAAAAGTTGGAAACATTTTCTCTGAGAAATGGAACAAGACAATAGTGCCCATTTTCATCACTTCTATTCAACATAGTACTTGGAAGTCCCAGCCAGAGCAATTAGAGAAAAGAAATAAGTAGCGAGCCTCCAAGTTGGTAAAGAGGTAGTCAAATTGTCACTGTTCACTGATGTTACAATCATATAATTAGGAAACCCTAAATACTCATAAAAAAGCATCTAGATCTGATCAATTCAGTAAAGTTTTAGGATACAAAATTAATGTGCACATATTAGTGGCATTGGTATACACCAACAGTGACCAAACTGATATTTAAATCAAGAACTCAACCCCTTTTAAAGCAGCTGCAAAAAAATAATACTAATAATTAGGATTATCCCTAATGAAGGCCATGAAAGATCTCTACAAGAAAAACTGTAAAATATGTCTGAAAGGTATCATAGATGACACATACAAATAAAAACACATCCCATGCTTATAGATGGGTAGGGTTAGTATTGTAAAAATCATATTACCAAAAGCAAGCTACAAATTCAATACAATTCCTATGAAAATAACATCATAATTTCCTCACATAACTAAAAAACTCTAAAATTCATATGAAACAAAAAAGAACCTGCATAGACAAAGCAAGACTAAGCAAAACAAAAATAAACTCAAGATGGATCAAAAATGTTAAGACCTGAAACTATAAAAATTGTAGAAGGTAATACTGGAAAAACTCTTCTAGACATTGGCTTTGGCAAAGCGTAGATGACCAAGAACCCAAAAGCACATGCAACATGAAACAAAGACAGATGAGACTTAATTAATTCTCAAAAGAAGATATACAAATGGCCAACTAACGTAGATAAAAATGCTCAACATTACTAATGATTAATGATCAGGAAAATGCAAATCAAAACCACAATGTGATACCACCTTATTCCTGCAAAAATGACCATAATTAAAACATCAAAAATAATGCATGTTCGCATGGTTTTGGTGAAAAGGGAATACTTTTACATTGCTGGTGGGAATGTATACTAGTACAACACTATGGAAAACAGTATGGAGATTCATTAAAAAATTAAAAGTAGAACTACCGTTTGATTCAGCAATTCCACTACTGGGTATCTACATGGTGAAAAATAAGTCATTATATGAGTAAGATACTTGCACATGCATGTTTATAGCAGCACAATTTGCAATTGCAAAAGAATGGAAGCAGCCTAATTAATGCCCATCAACTAATGAGTGGAAAAGGAAAATGTGGCATATACCACATTTTCTTTATATATATATAATATATATAAATAATATATAATATATTTATAATAATATATATACACCAATGAATGCTACTCAATCATAACAAGGAATAAAATAATAGCACTTGCAGCAACCTCAATGGAGTTGAAGAACATTATTCTAAGTGAAGTAACTAAAAAATGAAAAAAACAAATATTGTATGTTCTCACTTATAAGTGGGAACTAAGCTATGAGAATGCAATGGCATAAGAATTATATAATGGACTGTGGGTACTCAGTGGCAAGGGTAGGAGAAGAGTGACGGATAAAAGACTACATATTGGGTACAGTGCACACTGCTTGGGAGATGGGTGCTCCTAAATATTAGAAATCACTACAAAAGAACTTATCCATGTATCCAAACATCTTCTGTACCTTAAAAACTTTGGAAATAATAATAATAATAATAAACAAAAAATAATCCCAAACCCCGTAAGTTTAACTTTCTATGCTTTGGCTGTTTTTGGTTTATTTTTTATTTTTTAGAAAGGGTCTCACTCTGTCACCCAGAATAGAGTGCAGTGGCTTAATCAGGGCTCATTGCAGCCTCGACCTCCTTGGTTCAGGCAATCCTCCTCCCTCCGCCTCCTGAACAGCTGGTACTAAAGGTACAGGCCACCATGCTCAGTTAACTTTTGTATTTTTTTAGATACATGTTTTTGCCATGTTGCCCAGGCTGATCTCAAATTCCTGGGCTTAAGCAGTCTTCATTTCTTGGCCTCCCAAAGTGCTGGGATTATAAACATGAGCCATCATGAGTGACCACAATCTTTTTTTTTTTTTTTTTTGAGACAGAGCCTCACTCTGTCACCCAGGCTGGAGTGCAGTGACCTGATCTTGGCTCACTTCAACCTCCTCCTGTCAGGTTCAAGCGATTCTCCTGCCTCAGCCTCTGAGTAGCTGGGACTACAGGCACGCGCCACCACGCCCAGCTAATTTTTGTATTTAATAGTGGAGATGGGGGTTTCACCATATTGGCCAGGCTGGTCTTGAACTCCTGACCTCGTGATCCACCCACCTCGGCCTCCCAAAGTGCTGGGACTACAGGCGTGAGCCACTGCACCCAGCCCAGAATTTTTTTTAACATGATATAGAAAAGCTAACTATATTTAGATCTGTTACTTAACAGAAAATTTGAATAAACGTCTTTTATTAAAAAACATAAAATTTTTTATCTACAAATATTGATACAAAACAGTTCAAAATTACTTCCTAGGGGTTTCACTAAAAATTAGTTTGTTAAGGGTATATATATATATATATAAAAACTAAGATTTCTAGGTGTAAAACAATTTTTTTATAGAGAGTGTATAAACAAAGGCCAGGCGCAGTGGGTCACGTCTGTAATCCCAACACCCAACACTTTGGGAGGCCAAGGCAGGTGGATCATTTCGAGCTTAGGAGTTTGAGACCAGCCTGAACAGCAAGGCAAATTCCAGTCCCTACTTAAAATACAGAAATAAACCGGGCATGATGGCTTACACCTGTAGTCCCAGCTACTCCAGAGGCTGAGGCTGGAGAATCGCTTGAACTTGGGAGGCGGAGGTTGCAGTGAGCCAAGATTGCGCCACTGCACTTCAGCCTGGGCGAAAGAGCAAGCCTCTCCTGGAAATAAAAAAACAGTGTATAAACAAAAGCAAAATATGCTTTTGATGAAGAAAGTTAGAAACATTTTGTCTACTTTGAAATTATTTAAAGGTTGTTTCAAATTGAAAATATAAAAATAATGTAGATTAAAATACAACATAAAAATTTAAAAAATGGCCAGGCACGATGGCTCACGCCTGTAATCCCAGTAATTTGGGAGGCTGAGGCGGGTGGATTACCTGAGGCCAAGAGTTCGTGACCAGCCTGGCAACATAGTGAAACCCCGTCTCTACTAAAAATGCAAAAAATTAGCCAGGTTTGGTGATGCACGCCTGTAATCCCAGCTACTCGGGAGGCTGAGGCAGGAGAATCGCTTGAACCCAGGAGGCAGAGGTTGCAGTTAGCCAAGATGGCGCCACTGTACTCCAGCTTGGGCGACAGAGCTAGACTTCGTCTAGACAAAAAATAAAAAATAAAAAAAAGTATAAGAGATCATAAAATATGTATAAAAATCTAGAATGGTCAAAAAGACAAATTTGATGGACTTTATTTTTGTTATTTTATTTTATTTTTTGAGACAAAGTCTCGCTCTGTCGCCCAGGCTAGGGTGCAGTGGCAGGATCTTGACTCACTGCAACCTCAGCCCCCCGGGTTCAAGGAATTCTGCTGCCTCAGCCACCCGAGAAGCTGGGGTTATAGGCGTGCGCCACCATGCCCAGCTAATTTTTTTTTCTTTTATTTTTTTGAGACGGAATTTTACTCTTGTTGTCCAGGCTGGAGTGTAATGACGCGATCCACGCTCACTGCAGCCTCCACCTCCCAGGTTCAAGCAGTTCTCCTGCCTCAGCCTCCCGAGAAGCTGGTATTACAGGCACGTGCCACTACGCCCAGCTAATTTTGTATTTTTAGTAGAGATGAGGTTTCACCATGATAGTCAGGCTGGTCTCCAACACATGACCTAATGTGATCCGCCCGCCTTGGCCATCGAAAGTGCTGGGATTACAGGCGTGAGCCACCGCGCCCAGCTGATGGATTTACTTATAACGGTTTATCAAATTAGCTTTAGTGCTGATAATACATTATTACTAAAGTAAAAGTTGATTTTCTCTTGAACAAAAATTATATGTATTATTAATATACATAAAATATGTTTGTTCACATTTTGAATACATTGAAAAAGAGAGAGAGCAAAAAAGATATAGAATTTTCCCATGCTCTGGGGTGGGCCTGGCTCAGCTCAGGGAGGAAGCCCTGCCCGATAAGGCTGCAGCTTAGGCTGTCACTCTTTCTTCAGCCTAGGGTGTGATCACATCTTCTATCACTCAGGGTCTGAGTAGGCGGGGCCTTAAACGTTATCCAACTAGGGACGTTGGGCTGGGAACTGTCCAATCAGGCACACAGCTGGACTGGACAAAGCGGCTTCCGGGATATGGCGGGGCCTTTGTCTCTCGCTGTCGCCGGAGTCCCAGGTCTGTCTTCACTGCTCTGTGTCCTCTGCTCCTAGAGGCCCAGCCTCTGTGGCGCTGTTACCAGCAGGTATTGGAGATCCACAGCTAAGATGCCAGGACCCCCTAGAAGCCTAGAAATGGTGAGAATGCCAGTCCGACATCCCGAGAGAGGGGAGGGGGCTGGTTGGAACTGGTGGGAAGCGGCTGTGGCGGGACTCAGGCCTCCCCCCAGTCAGCTCCACAATCTGCGCCCAGCTCGACCTCAGTCCCCTTCAGAAATAAGATGGCGGCTGCGCTGACAGCCAGACCCCCAGGAGTCCTGTTTCTTCCCTGCGCAGTGACTGTGCCCTGTCCTGGAGCCCTCTCTGGGCAGCTGTGGACCCGCAGCCCCGCGTCTCTCCCAGATTGTTCAGGGACCCGGGGAGGGTCGTCAGGGGAGAATCCTGACTCGGGTTGCGGGTTCATGAACGGGAAGAGCTTTGGTCTGTGGGGTTCCCAGGCCCTCTTTTTTCCCATTAAAAATTTATGGGCGTCACTGCAAAAATATTAAATACTTTAATAAAAGAATGATTCAAAAATTGTACCACACCCAGCTGTGGTTTGTACTTTTGTGGTCCATGGAAGGGGCCTGAAGAAAAGATTGTTACAAGGTTCATGATAAAGAAAACCAAATTCAATAATTGGCTAGGTACAGCAATCTAGGTTGTCGTTTTTTTTTTTTTTTTTTCTTTTTTTTGAGACAGAGTCTCACTTTTTTGCTCAGGCTGGAGTGCAGTGGTGTGATCTCGACTCACTGCAACCTCCGCCTCTTGGGTTCAAGCGATTCTCCTGCCTCAGCCTCCCTAGTAGCTGGGACTACAGGCGCCCGCCACCACAATTTTTTTATTTTTAGTAGAGACGGGGTTTTACCATGTTGGCCAGGCTGGTCTCCAACTCCTGACCTCAGGTGATCCACCCACCTTGGCCTCCGAAAGTGCTAGGATTACAGGCGTGAGCCACCGTGCCCAGCCTCGTTTCTTAATTTTTACATTTAAGGTGGGAATATCCTGGTTATGTAATCAGAGCTTAATTGTCAGCTTATTCTTGGTTAAGCAAGAATTTTGTTTCCGCTAATGTAGTAATTTACCAAAAAATGCTCTTGAGTTTAGATTTTTTTTTTAGAAGTAGAAATCCGGGGACTAGAGCCACCTCAATCTAATTGCCTGCCACTTAATTATTTTCACACTCCACAGGGGACTGCTTTTTTCCTGAAATTTTCACATGTATCCCAAGCAGGGCCTCAAGTCCACCCCTCATCCCCTATTCCTCCAGCCTAACTCTGGCTTGCAGGAAAATACTAAATTTCCCGTTTTGTCTGACATTCCCAAATGCCAATGTCCCCTCCCTAATTCACTTTATCATCTATTTGTCCTTTAGGGTAGATTTTGATACCTGTTTTAATTTTTATTTATTTATTTATTTTAATTTTTGAGACAGAGGCTTGCTCGGTCACCCCGGATGGAGTGCAGTGGTGCAGTGGTGTGATTTAGGCTCACTGCAACCTCTGCCTTATGGGATCAAATGATTCTCTTGTCTCAGTCGCCCAAGTAGCTGGAATTATAGGCGCCCGCCCCCACGCCTGGCTAATTTTTGTATTTTTAGTAGAGACCGGGCTTCACTATGTTGTCCAGGCTGGTTTCAAACTCCTAGCCTCAAGCGATCCGCCTGCATCAGCCTCCCCAAGAGCTGGTATTACAGACGTGAGCCATCTCGCCTGGCCAATTAATCTTTTTTTTTTTTTTTTTTTTTTTTTTTTTGAGACAGAGTTTCACTCTTGTTGCCCAGGCTGGAGTGCAATGGCACGATCTCGGCTCACCGCAACCTCCGCCTCCCAGGTTTAAGCGATTCTCCTGCCTCAGCCTCCCTAGTAACTGGGATTATAGGCATGTGCCACCATGCCTGGCTAATTTTGTGTTTTTAGTAAAGACAGGGTTTCTCCATGTTGGTCAGGCTGGTCTCAAACTCCCGACCTCGGGTGATACGCCCGCCTTGGCCTCCGAAAGTGCTGGGATTACAGGCGTGAGCCACTGCACCCGGCCAATTAATCATTTTTTGACAAAGCATTTGATGGCACATTTAAAAAGGTTTGTTTTCTTTTTGTAAATATTTCCTATGAGAAGAAAGCAAAGAATAATCTCCTGACACTGTATTGTAAAATATCTCTGCGTTTTTTTTTCTTCTATCTTCCCTAGTCACAGATATCTTATCAGAATGTTTTTGGGTCAAGTTTTCCTTTTGGAAACTATAGTGTGATGTGTCTTCAGTCACCATTCGGTTTTCTTGGACCTGGGTTTCAGTACTGTATTGGGATAAACGAAGATACCCACCATGGCTATGTCTGCTTAGAGTGTCTAGTAAATATCAGCTTCTGGGTCATATTCTCTCATAGGAAAATCTGAGGTATTGAGTGTAGCGTCCCAAGTGCGCAGGTGGATGCCCTGAGTCTAAAAGGCATTTCCTAGTGCACTTTTTTTTTTAAAGCTAATTTTATGAGACATTAATATTGTCTTCACCCAACCCAGCTTTCATTTCTTAAAGACACATTGCTGGTCAGTCAATCAGATACCAGTATTGAGGAGAAAACAAATAATTTCTGCCTCCTGGTTTCCTTTAGAGAACAGAAAAATAGTAAAAAATTTCTAGAAAACAAAACAAAACAAAACAAAAACGAGGGCCAGGCATGGTGGCTCATGCCTGTAATCCCTACACTTTGGGAGGCCAAGGAGGGTGGATCACGAAGTCAGGAGTTCGAGACCAGCTGGCCAACATGGTGAAACCCCATCTCTACTAAAAATACGAAAAAAAAAAAAAAAAAGCTGGGTGTAGTGGTACAGGCCTGTAATCGCAGCTACTCAGGAGGCTAAGGCAGGAGAATCAGTTGAACCTCAGAGGCGGAGGTTGCAGTGAGTGGATATCACGCCACTGCACTCCAGCCTGGGCGACAGAGTGAGACTCCATTTCAAAAACAAAAACAAACCGCAAAAAACTGACCCCAGTGAGATGGTGTAAGAACTTGCAGAGTAAAATGCGCCTGAGACACTCACTGGGGCATAGTTCAGAGTCTCCTGAGAGGGGGTTATTGAGCACTTTAGTGAGTAGGATGGGGTGGGACAGTCTCTCAAGTAATTGGATGGCCTGACTTGACACATGATTAAGACATATCTGTGTCTTGAAAAGGTTTTTTCACTTATTTTGACCTAAGGCTTGTTTTCGTTGTCTTGAGACAGTTTCCCTCTGTCACCCAGGCTGGAGCGCAGTGGTACCATCTCGGTCCACTGCAACCTCCAGATCTTGAGTTCAGGTGATTCTCATGCCTCAGCCTCCCAAGTAGCTGGGACTACAGGTGTGCACCACCACACTCAGCTAGTTTCTGTAGTTTTAGTAGAGACAGAGTTTCACCATGTTAGCTAGGCTGTTCTCAAACTTCTGGCCTCAAGTGACTCACCTGCCTGAGCCTTCCAAAGTGCTGAGATTACAGGCGTGAGCCATTGTGCCCAGCTCACCTCGGTTTTTTAACTGTGTATTGCATTTTATTAGTAGAGCTTGAAAGGTAAGAAAATATTTGCAAAGGGCATAAAAGAGGTGAGTTTCAAAAACATTAATATCTAATAATATATTTTATTTGTTGAACATTTTCATTTACCTTTTTCTTTCTCAGAGTGAGTTTAGGAAGTTTCTCGGACATGTTTTTTTTTATGGAGGAGTGATTTTTTTTTTTTTTTTTTTTTTTGAGACAGAGTCTCACTCTGTCGCCCAGGCTGGAGTGCAGTGGCGCCACTTTGGCTCACTGCAACTTCTGCCTCCCGGGTTCGAGCAATTCTCCTGCCTCAGCCTCCTGCGTAGCTGGGATTTCAGGCACACACCACCACACCTAGCTAATTTTTGTATTTTTAGTAGAGACAGGGTTTCACCATGTTAGGCTGGTCTTGAACTCCTGACCTCGGGTGATCCGCCCGCCTGGGCCTCCCAAAGTGCTGGGATTACAGGCATCAACCACCGTGCTTGGCCTATGGCTGAGTGATTTCAAACAGAATTCCATCTAGCTTTTAGAATGGTAGCTACCAAGGAAAAAAATAAAGAAAAAAAAAAAAAAATCTCTCTTCAATTTCAGCTGTAGACAATGAATACATTTCCACAAAACAATGTGATAGATAATTGATGAGTTAAATAGATTCCTGAAAACTTCAATTCCTTTTTTTAGCAGGGTAAATCCTTGGTAGTGAACATCTTTGTTCTATATCCTGTGTTTTTTTGTGTGTTTGATTGTTTTTTGAGATAAAGAGTTGCACTGCGACACCCAGGCTGGAGTGCAATGGTGCAATCTTAGCTCACTGCAACCTCCAATTCCCAGGTTCAAGTGATTCTCCTTCCTCAGCCTCCGGAGTAGCTGAGACTGCAGGCCTGTGCCACCACACCTGGCTAGTTTTTGTATTTTTAGTAGAGATGGGGTTTCACCATGTTGGCCAGGCTGGTCTCGAACTCCTGACCTCAAGTGATCTGCCCACCTCAGCCTCCCATAGTGCTGGGATTACAGGTGTGAGCCACTGCGCCCAGCCCTATATCCTGTTATTTTGATTTTTGAGTTTAATGCTAAATTTTATGTGATGAAACTTGGTACCTCCTAGAAGTGTTCCTATGTGATTAATTTTTTTTTTTTTTTTGAGATGGAGTCTCGCTCTGTTGGCCAAGCTGGAGTGCAGAGGCGCAATCTCAGCTCACTGCAAGCTCTGTCTCCCGGGTTCACGCCGTTCTCAGCCTCTCGAGCAGCTGGAACTACAGGTGCCCGCTACCACGCCCAGCTAATTTTTTGTATTTTTAGTAGAAACAGGATTTCACCATGTTGGCCAGGATGGTCTCGATCTCTTGACCTCGTGATCCACCCACCTCGGCCTCCCAAAGTGCTGGGATTACAGGCATGAGCCACTGTGCCTGGCCTTTTTTTTTTTTTTAAATGGAATTTTGATGTTGTTGCCCTGAGTGGAGTGCAGTGGGCGATCTCGGCTCACCTCAACCTACACCTCCTGGGTTCAAGCAATTCTCCTGCTTCAGCCTCTCGAATAGCTGGGATTACAGGCACCCACCACCACCATGCCCAGCTAATTTTTGTATTTTTAGTAGAGATGGGGTTTTATCATGTTGGCCAGGCTGGTCTTGAACTCCTGACCTCAGGTGATCCACCCTCCCCCCCGGCCTCCCAAAGTGCTGGGATTACAGGTGTGAGCCATCACGCTGGGCCAAGCAATCCTCTTGTACCTCAGCCTTCCACGTACCTGGGACTACAGGCATGCACCACCATACCTAGGTAATTTTTGTTTTTGTATTTTTTTAGAGATGGGATTTTTCCATGTTGCTCAGGCTGGTCTCAAACTCCTGAGCTCAGGCAATCCACCTGCCTTGGCCTCTCAGAGTGCTGGGATTACAGGCATGAGCCATTGTGCCTGATCATACCATATTTTCTTTATTCAGTCTACCATTGATAGGCATTCAAGTCGATTCCATGTCTTTGCTATTGTGAATAGTGCTGTAGTGAACACCCTTGTGCATGTGTGTTTATGACAGAATAATTTATATTTCTTTGGGTATATACCCAATTATTAGGTTGCTTGATGAAATGGTAATTCTGTTTTTAGTTCTGTGAGAAATTGCCACACTGCTTTTTACAATGGTTGAATTAATGTACACTTTAACAGCAGTGTATAAGCGTTCCCTTTTCTCTGCAACCTTGACATCATCTATTTTTTTGCTTTTTAATAGCCGTTCTCACTGGCATGAGATTGTATCTCGTGGTTTTTCTTTGCATTTCTCCAATAATTATTGATAGGCATTTTATTATATGTGTGTTAGCCACATGTTTGTCTTCTTTTGAAAAGCATCTTTTTCAAGTTTTTTGTCTGCTTTTTAGTGAGGTCTTTTTTTTCTTGTAAACTTAAGATTTTTATGAATTCTGGACATTAGACCTTTGTTAGAAGCATAGTTTGCAAATATTTCCTATTATTCTGTTGGTTCTCTGTTTTCTGTGTTGATAGTTTCCTTTGCTGTGAAGAAGCTCTTTAGTTTAATTAGGTCCAATTTGTCAATTTTTGGTTTTTTTGCAGTTGCTTTTTGTATCTTCAATTATGAATTCTCTGCTAGATTCTATGTCTAGAATGACATTTCCTAAGTTATCTTCCAGGGTTTTTTATAATGTTAAAATAAACATTTCAGTCTTTAATCTTGAGTTGATTTTTGTATATGGTGTAATAAAGGGGTCCAGTTTCAATCTTCTACATAGTGCTTGCTAGTTATTCCACCACCATTTATTACATAGGGAATTGGTTCCACATTTCTATTGTCACCTTTGTTAAAGATCAGATGGTTGTAGGTGAGTGACATTATTTCTGGACTGTCTATTCTGTTGCATTGGTCTATGAGTTTGTTTTTGTACCAGTTCCATGTTGCTTTGTTTACTGCAGCTCTGTAGTATAATTTGAAGACAGGTAATGTAATGCCTTCAGCTTTGCTGTTTTTGCTTGTGATTACCTTGGCTATTCAGACTCTTTGGTTTTATATGAATTTTACAATAATTTTTTTTTTTAGTTCTTTTAAAAATATTTTGGTCATTTGATTAGAATAGCATTAAATCTGTAAATTTTGGGGGGCAGTATGATCATTTTTAGGATATTGATCTTTTCTATTTATGAGCATAAAGTTGTTTTCCATTTGTGCCATTTCTGACTTCTTTAAGCATTGTTTTGCAATTCTTATAGAGATCTTTCACCTTCCTGGTATTCGTAGATATTTTATTCTTTTTGTGGCAGTTGTGAAGGGATTGTGTTTATGATTCGTATTTGGCTTGGATGTTGTTGATTTACAGGGACGCTACTAATTTTTGTACACTTACTTTGTATCCTGAAATGATACTGCAGTTGTTTGTAAGTTAAAGAGCTTTTCTATGAAGACTATATGGTTTTCCAGATGGAGAATTATGTTGTCTGCAAACAGGGATAGTTTGACTTCCTCTCTTCCTGTTTAAATGCCTTTTATTTATTTTTATTTTTATTTTTTTGAGATGGAGTCTTGCTCTTCGCCCAGGCTGGAGTGAAGTGGCAGTCTTGGCTCACCGCAAACTCCACCTCCCAGGTTCAAGTGATTCTCTTGCCTCAGCCTCCTGAGTAGCTGGGATTACAGGCATCCGCCACTGCGCCTGGTTAATTTTTGTATTTTTAGTAGAGGTGGGGTTTCACCATGTTGGCCAGGCTGGTCTCGAACTTCTGATCTCGTGAGCCACCCACCTTGGCCTCCCAAAGTGCTGGGATTACAGGCGTGAGTCACCTTACCTGGCCAAATGCCTTTTATTTTTATCTTTTGCCTAATTACTCTGACAAGTACTTCCAATTTTATGTTGAATAGTAGTGTTGAGAGAAGGCATCTTTGCCTTGTGCCAGTTTCCAAAGAAGAATGCTTCGGGTTTTTTTTTTCTTTTCTTTTTGAGATAGAGTCTCACTTTGTCTCCCAGGCTGGAGTGCAGTGGCACAATCTCGGCGCTCTGCAGCCTCCACCTTCTGGGTTCAAGTGATTCTCTTTGCTCAGCCTCTCAAGTAGCTGGGATTACAGGCACCTGCCATCACACCTGGCTAATTTTTATATTTTTAGTGGAGACAGGGTTTTGCCATGTTAGCCAGGTTGATCTCAAAATCCTGACCTCAGGGGATCCACCTGCCTTGGCCTCCCAAGTTGCTGGAATTACAGGCATGAGCCACTGCACCCGTCCACTTCCAGGTTTTGTCCATTCAGTATGTTGGCTGATGGTTTGTCATATAGATAACTTATTATTTTAAAGTATGTACCTTCAATGGCTAGGTTGTTGAGGGTTTTTAACATGAAAGATGTTAAATTTTATCAAAAGCTTTTTCTGCATCTATTGTGGTAATCTTGTGGTTTCTGTCTAGTTTTGTTTATATGATGAATCACATTTATTGATTTGTGTATGTTGAACCAACCTTACATTCCCAGAATAAATTCTACTTGATCATACTGGGTTAGCTTTTTGATATGCTGCTGGATTTGGTTTGTCAGTATTTTGTTGAAGATTTTTGCATCAATGTTCAAAGGTATTGGCCTGAATTTTTTTTTGTTTGTTTTATCTTTGCCAGGTTTTGGTATCAGAATAGTGCTGTTCTTATATAATGAGTTGAAAACAAGTTACTTTTTCTTAATTGCTTAAAATAGTTTCTGTAGAAATAATAATCAGCACTTTTTTGTACATCTGATAGAATTCAGCTGTGAATCTGTCTGGTCCTTGGCTTTGTTTGGTTGGTAGGCTATTTATTACTAATTCAATTTTTGAGCTTCTTATTCATCTATTTAGGGGTTTCATTTCTTTTTTGTTAATTCTTGGAAGGATGTATTTGTTCAATACCTTTTTCATTTTTTCTAGATTGTCTTGTTTGTGTGCACAGAGGTGTTCATAGTACATTTCAAGATATTTTTGTGGGGTCAGTGGTAATGTCTCTTTTGTTATTTCTAATTGTGTTTATTTGGGTCCTTCTTCCTTATCTAGTTAGTGGTTTATTTATTTTTTCATAGATTTAATTCCTGGATTTTTTGATATTTTGTAAAGTTTTTATGTCTAAATCTCAGTTTAGTTCTGATTTTGGTTATTTCTTGTCTGCTGCTAGCTTAGGGATTGATTTTCTCTTGCTTCTTTCATTCTTTTATTGATTATATCAGGTTGTAAAATGAAGATCTTTCTAACTTTTTAATTTGAGCATTAAATGCTATAAATTTCCCTTTAACATTATCTTAGCTATATTGCAGAGATTCTGATGTGTTGTTTTTTAGTTCTTTTTTTTTTTTTTTTTTAAGATGGAGTTTTACTCTTGTTGTCCAGGCTGAATGCAATGGCACAGTCTCAACTCACAGCAACCTCCGCCTCTTGGGTTCAAGCATTCTCCTTCCTCAGCCTTTCAAGTAGTTGGGATTACAGGCATGTGCCACCATGCCTGCCTAATTTTTGTAATTTTAGTAGAGACAGGATTTCACCATGTTGGCCAGGCTGGTCTCAAACTCCTGACCTCATGTGATCTGCCTGCCTCAGCCTCCCAAAGTGCTGGGATTACAGGTATGAGCCACCATGCCTGGCCTGTTTTTTTTGTTCTTATTTGTTTAAAATAACTTCTTGGTTTCTGCCTTAATTTCATTATTTACCAAAAAGTTATTCAAGTGCAGGTTGTTTAATTTTTATGTAATTGTATCAGTTGTTTTATTTTTATTGAACTATATTTCTGTTCAGCTGTGGTCTATGTGTTTGTTCTGTATAATTTTGAGTTTTTTGAATTTGCTGAGGATTATTCTATTTCTGATTGTGTGGTCAGTTTTTGAGTATGTGCCACATGGTGATGAGAACAATGTATGTTATGTTATTTTTAGATGAAGACTTCTGTAGATGTCTATTAGGACTATTTGGTCAAGTGTAGACTTTAGGTCCTAATGTTTTGTTAATTGGCTTCTTCAGTTATCTGTTTGTTAGTGCCTGTGGGATGTTGTAGTCTCCCACTGTTATTGTGTCATAATTTAAAACTCTTATAGATCTCTAAGAACTTGCTTTATTCATGTGAACCCATGAATTTTATACAACACCTTTCTCTCTTCTGCTTTTTCTCCCATAAGCATTCTTACGTGTGCACACAGTGTGCAAAATTCAGATGTCCAAGAGTTCAAGCACATGTGATGGACCTGTCTGTTGTAAAACAAAATATAAATTAAAAATAAGAGGCTTGGTCCACATTAAGATAAGAGAAAATATCTTACTAAAATCTCTTTTCTTAAAACATTTAGATTGTGTGTAGATTTTTATCCCTGTTTTTTTGAGATATATGTAAATCATATTAACAGCAAAATAAAACTTTTGTCATTTTTTTTGACTCAGGATTGTCTTTATCTGGGACCTGAGATTAATTGCTCTTTTTTTGCTTTGGCAAGAGATTATTCTTATGATAGTCTTTTAAAGTTGACACAGATTTGTTCAGAGTAAAGCTCATTCCAAGAGCACACAAAAGTTGAGCATAAAAATAGACAAAATTTAGCAGTACAGAATTATAAAGATTAAAAGATACTGAGTAAGTTGTTTGACAGAAACCTGATTATCCATGGTGATCGTTTGCAGGCTGAATTATAAAGATTAAAAGATACTGAGTAAGTTGTTTGACAGAAACCTGATTATCCATGGTGATCGTTTGCAGGCTGAAGTATTTATACTACAAAAACAAAAAGAGTTCAGTTTATGGCCGGACGTGGTGGCTCATGCCTGTAATCCCAGGATTTTGGGAGGTTGAGGTGGGCAGATCACCTGAGGTTGGGAGTTCGAGACCATCCTGACCAACATGGAGAAACCCCATCTCTATTAAAAATACAAAATTAGAAGGGTGTGGTGGTGCATGCCTGTAATCCCAGGTATTTGGGAGGCTGAGGCAGGATAGTTGCTTGAACCTGGGAGGCGGAGGTTGTGGTAAGCTGAGATCATGTCATTGCACTCCACCCTGGGCAACAAAAGCAAAACTCTATCTCAAAAATAAAATAAAATAAAATAAAATAAAATAAAATAAAATAAAATATACAAGCAAACAACAACAAAAAAAACAATTCAGTTTATAAACTGAACCAGTGGAGTCTGTTGTCATACCTTGGTTTCTATTTATTACTTCAGTACAATTAGCATAGTTATGCAGTGTTTGTAGACAACCTCATTCAAACACATTCACTAGTATTTTCTACAATAGTATGAATAAAGCCATAATATTTACTTTAAATGAATTCCTTAAATAGCTATTTTAATATTGTGATTCATACTTTTGAAATGTAGTTTTTGAGCTGAATTATAAAGAAAATGTTTAAAAATTCCACATACATTATGAGTAGTACATTAAAATTATTCATACTTACATATTTATGTCTAATATCCAAAGAAAATTTACTACCAAATTGTTACAGTAGATGTTAGTCTGATAGGCTTATTAATTTAACCAATAGGGATAATTATAAGTAAGCATAATGTTAGTGTCTTTCATTTCACAAATTGGAATGCTGCTATTACAGGACAAATAAAGGCAAGTGATGTGGCCATCCCAAAACTGTAATACCTCTCTAGTAAGCTATGTTGTAGGCTCGCATATATTCCATTATATTATCACAGTCATATTTTAATTTTTTATCAAAGGTACTGGTGTAAGTTGTCAAATATATTTCAATATAGATTTTGCCTTCAATGGCTAGATGAGCGCAGCAGAGATGAATAAAAACTTTTAAAATTCCAATGATAATATGCCCCCTTTCTTCATAGTACTCATGTTACTCATGCTGAGAGTAGCTATGCACTTTGGGTATTTAGAGAGAAATTCTTTTTAGAGGAATATTTTCTGACTGACTTGAGCAATCTTATATCTAATCTCAGGTTTTTTAAAGAGGCTTTTAACTTCCTTTTTTCTCAATATAATCTTTCTTGGAGTGAGAGCTGTTTTTCTTTTGAATGCTTTGTATATCTGTTTTAGAAGCCCTATTGGTATCCCATAATATCTCTGAAAGACAGGCTATTACAGTGAGAACTCTTGGAGCTAGCTTTATCTGGATGCATGCTGGAAATCCAGCAGTATTTTTTTCATGTAACCATTATAAATAGAAACTGTGGCTTAAACAATGCTCTCTTTACCATTATTGTGAAGGTGCAATTCTACCCAAGAGGCCTGCAGGCTCTTCTTCTGCAGCTCAGGCTTCGCTCTTTTTTTTTTTTTTTTTTTTTTTTTTTTGAGACAGTCTTGCCCTGTCTCCCAGGCTGGAGTGCAGTGACACGATCTCAGCTCACTGCAACCTCTGCCTCCTGGGTTGAAGCAATTCTTCTGCCTCAGCCTCCGAGTAGCTGAAATTACAGGTGCCCTCCACCATGCCCAGCTATTTTTTTTTTTTTTCTTGTATTTTTAGTAGAGATGGGGTTTCACCATGTTGGCCAGGCTGGTCTCGAACTCCTGACCTCATGATCCACCAGCCTCAGCCTCCCAAAGTGCTAGGATAACAGGCATGAGCCACCCTGCCTGGCCAGGCTTCACTCTTTGATGTGACACTAAAGTGCTGCTGTGGGAATTGGCATTCACCTAAGATGTGAGCTGCCAGCTGTGAGCCCTGCGCTATGGGCTGTATGTCAGTGGCAGGTGGTACGAAACAGAAGAGGACACTGGCCACCAGAAGAGGGGAAGCAAGAGTGCGCTAGCACAGTCTTCAGGGAGTAGAGAGCCACTGATTTAAAATGCAAGTAGCCAAAAAGACAGCACCCTTTTCAGTCACTTTTGTAGAAGAGTGAAAGTCTACCTTAAGCAGTTACCTGGCTTCAAGTTGCAAACTACCTTCTGTCATGAAGATGTGAAAAGCTTATTTTGTCATTGAATATAACCAGTTAGCATACATGGATGGCCTCCCCAATGACCAGGTGAATTTAGGATGAACTATGGCATGGTGCTGTAAATTCTTCTACTTGTGAACTAATTATGGTAACTGTCTTTCTGTCTTTTCAGTCTCTTAAGTAGACTGACTGTAATACATGTGATATTCAGATTTAAGTGTGTAATGAAACAATTTTCTGTCTGTTACATTATTGTGGTTTCTCTGGGGCTGAAGAGAATTTTTAAAAAATTATATTTTCCAAACAGTGTCTAGAATTACCAGACATAATATAAACACATAAGGTGCCAACCAAGCTTTATTGTAAAGGGGACTTTCCCTCTTAGTCTTCCAGTCAACTCACAATTATGCTCTAAAGTGCATGCTGTCACCTAAATATGCAGGCAGAATTGTGTCTCTGTCTATTTGGTGTCTATAGTCCTCTATAGTCACTTCTAGAGGGGCTAGACCAGATTTCTACAAACTTTATAGGGCAGATATTAATCATTTTACTTCATTCCATGACTCTTTTATCTTCAGAACTGAAACTGATTCAGAGACCATGGAGCCCAGAAACCTAATCAGAGTAACAGTGTGCATTGAGTAGACATGGAGACATGAGAATCTCCACTTCTTTTCCCTTCTCTCGCTAAAATGCTCACAATTGCAGGTAACAACTGCTGCTACTCCACCCATCCGGGACCTAAATCTGCAGCTCTGAATTCTAAATCTAGGTCTTGAAATTTGAAAAAAAAAAAAAAAAAATCCAAAACTTTTATTTGAGGAATGAAAGTCTTTTTACTTATAAAACTCAGAGAGACATTAAAATAAAAGCACAATTACATCTTTCTCCCTTCCTTCAACTATGTATTCATCTCTTGACATTGTTCACTATTGCCACAGGTAGGTGTAAGTTAAACTAATAATGTCACACTGGACACTATATTCTATACCCTTACCCTTAATGTACAGTCAATCAATAATTAAAGTTATTTATTTAAACAAGAATTTCTGACAAAGAAGTTTGTATGTCTCTCTCTCTTTTTTTTTTTTTGCCTTCACAAATCCACTTGTAACTGCTGCTAATCAAAGTGCAAATTCCAGGCATCTTGAATATTTCTTCTCAAGTTACAATACTTAAGCTTGGCCCAAATAAACTGTCTACTTATATTCATGTTGTGTCAGCTTTTTTTTTTTTTTTTTTAGATGTGGTTTTGCTCTTGTTGCTCAGGCTGGAGTGCAATGGCTTGATCTTGGCTCACTGCAACCTCCGCCTCCCAAGTTCAAGTGATTCTCCTGCCTCAGCTTTCTGAGTAGCTGGGATTACAGGCATGGGCCACCATGCCCGGCTAATTTTGTATTTTTAGTAGAGATAGGGTTTCTTCATGTTGGTCAGGCTGGTCTCGAACTCCCAACCTCAGGTGATCCTTCGACCTCAGGGGATCCGCCTGCCTTGGACTCCCAAAGTGCTGGAATTACAGGCATGAGCCATGGCACCCAGCCCGTATCAGCCTTTTTTTAGGTAAAATATTATTTAGAATTTTCTAGAGCAGCCTCTATGAGTAGATCTTTTGATTGTACTCTACTTGCTGTAACAGCCAGAAATGCAGAATGATGTTTATCTAGAATCTGCAAATAAGGTCTGGCCTCTGCCTGGAATTTATAAAACAGGGTCCTACTTTAGATTGAGAATGTACAGAAAACCAATAGGAGGCATTTTCTGCATTGTGAGATGTCAACATAGACATTTTAGATCCCTCCTTTGAGAGTGTGGCTCTTTGACCTTTTCACATCTTGTGTTTTCACCTGCTACAGTTATGTGAGAGGCTCCAGGTGTAAATAGAATCTGATGGCAGAATCTCTTAAGTGTAAAGAAGCATCTTAGGAGTGAGAGATCAAGGCCACAAAGTAGCCAGAGCTCTGAGCACAAGTATACTTACCTGGAAAATATGATATTAGAGTATTCTTGCACTTCTACATACCAAAAAGCTAGCTAATCAGGACAGGTGATCCAGGTTCTGCAGCTCCACCAGGGTACTTCCATTTTCTATTTAGAATCAGCCTGAGTCTCTCCTGCTGGCTTGCTATTGAACCATCAGTCCAGGGTCACTGGAAATGCTCTCACAATCACCTAGGTGTCTTTGAGACATTTGAGAATCTCCAGAACAGAATTGTGTCAGGCTGACAAGAGTGGGCAATTTTGCTTCTGTCTTAGTGTAAATGAAATGAGTCATCCTGTGATTGTTCCTCCCCTCATGCAAGAGCTGTCTTCGGTTGGTACCCAGATGAGAGTTTCTCCAGTTCCCTGGTACTTGGGTAAAAACAAGGAGGAGGTCTGCAGACTCAAAGAGATAAACTAATTGCTTCTATTTCATATAGTCATTAGAAAAATAGATGACGCAGTCATGGTCCCTACCATGCAGGAACTTTTAGTCTAGACTAGCAACTGGATAAATGATTTAATTATGCATCATATGGTGGGTACAATAAATAGATGTGTGCAAAAATATGGGCTTTATTTGGGCCATTTTCTTTATATTGTGACTTCAGATGTCTATACCTGAACATATATTAATAAACAAAATTTGTTTTTTTTTTTTTTTGCCTTGCTAAGTAAACTTATTTATCTTCTAAATTATTCTAGAAAACCTTAAGGGATTTGTTTAAATTGCTTATTAGTATGTGATATGAAATTAGAGGGCAATGGGGCTAAAAAAGATTAAAATTACACAAACTCTGAGATTTAAGTTTTTTTTTTTTCTTTTAGGTAAGCTTAAAAAAAGAAACATAAAAAAAAAATACTCCCCAGTGGTGTAAAGAACAGAATTTTACATCAACTCTACACCCTGCTTCAGCCCTGTTTAGATTCACCCTTTTTGAAGGCCTTATTTAAGTCTTGCCCTACCCTGGAGTTTTGCCTCACAGAACTAACTAGAAGAGATCAGAGTTTTGGGTGATGAATCCTGTTGCCTTTTTAGAGTTGGTGCTCACACTTTTCTGAAACCCAATAGCAGATAAATGGAAAAATAACATGTATTATAGGGTCTTAATTTAATAATTTTATATTAAAACCAGTGTTTACAGAGACATTCCATTTAGCAACTTGTTTTCTGTTCCTGCAGATATAGTAGTTGATTCACAAGTCACAAAATAGCAAATATAAATACAATAAAAATTCATCTACATTTCATTAAACTCTATCTGTGTCCTTCTCATCTGTCTGTATTTAGATTTTATTCCATGCATTTTAAAAAACTCAATGATAAACAGAAGAGGAAATAAAAATGCTGGGTCTTTATTCTAAATCCTTGGATTTATTGGACACTTAGTATCAACTCACAGGGTATTATTAGAATCAAATAATGTGCTATCACAGTGCTCTGTAACATCCTGTTGATCACATAGTACCTGCTTAATAAACATTGCATTAATACATGTGCACATGTTGTTTTCCAAATGCAGACTTACTCAGAAAATTGCTGCTTTCTGTTTTCTCTGTAAACTTTAAAGAGCCAGAAAATAATATGATACTTTAAGATAGAGAATGGTTGTCTTCATTTGCATCAGAAGTATTTGTGTTTTTACAAAAGTGCTGAGTGTAAGGGGCTCTGTGCTGTACCTCATTTTTCTAACTAATGCTAACAATGAGCCCAGAGAGAGTGACACCAGCATTGACAGAAGACTTGTTTAGAACACCCATTTATGGACCATTTCCAAACCTGCAGAATCGCATTACATAGAGTGGGGCCAATTTTACAAAGCGATTCATAAGCTCATTAAAGCTTGAGTGATAATGCTTAGGTAAGTGGTTATAAGATCAGGCTTCTAATTAGAATCACATGGCCAATATGCAGAACTCTCTTTACTTGTGCCCTTTTCACAGTTTCTGTTCTGGGTGAAAGCGTCTATTTGTTTTAATTAAGTGCCTCATGTGACTCTCAGGTGCCAGCATCAAATATGAGGAGTTCAAGATACATTCATTGAGTTAAGTTCCACTTTTGCACTAAAGAATGTTCTAGGAATCTGTTCTGTTTGAGTTTGGTAAGGATAGGACAGTGTGGCCAATATTTCTTTCCTTTTCTTTTTCTTTCTTTTTTTTTTTGAGATGGAGTCTCGCTCTGTCATCCAGGCTGGAGTCAATGGCACAATCTCGGCTCACTGCAACCTCTGCCTCCCGGGTTCAAGTGATTCTCCTGCCTCAGCCTCCTGAGTAGCTGCGATTACAGGTGCCTGCCACCATTCCCAGCTAAGTTTTGTATGTTAGGTAGAGGTGGGGTTTCACTCTGTTGGCCAGGCTGATCTTGAACTCCTGACTTCAGGTGATCCACCTGCCTTGGCCTCCCAAAGTGTTGGGATCACAGGCGTGAGACACCACACCCAGCCAACTTTTGTATTTTTAGTAGAGATGGGGTTTCACCATGTTGGCCAGGCTGCTGTTGAACTCCAGACTTCGTGATCCACCTGCCTTGGCCTCCCAAAGTGCTGGGATTCGATATTTCTATTACTGTAGCAGAAATTCCTGGTGTTTGTAACAGGGGAGGGCGCCTGGGGACAAAAAGAAGAGAAACTTATATTTTTCTCTCTGTGGAGCAGCTCATTGTTCCTGAATCTTTTTTGTTGTAAAGGACAGAAATGGGTAGAGTTTTTGTGTCTTGAGCCTTCTGACTTTGAGTGTGGTGGTAACAGGTGAACATGTGCTCAAATTTTTAAAGGCATATTGTCAAGATGCAGGTGTAATTAGTCCAGAATATCTCATCTGAGAAAGAATTCTAGAGGAGGAGGAGAGAGAAAAAGTGACTTTTTTTTTCAGCTAAACGTGTCCCAGATCAAGAGCTGTGTCTACTCTGCTTTCTGGAATGCCTTGCATTTAGTACTTGCAAATCTTCACTTCTATACCTGTGTTTTTTCTCCCTAATAAGTTTTTCTTAACTACTTTTAAAAATGCTTATGATAGTCGAGGGTGTCTGAAAAATTTTTCTATATACAAGAATCTTCTCTACATCATGGCTTTTTATATGCCATGTAAGATTCTCACCATGAATTTGTGATCTGCAATATTAAAAATGTTCTCCTTGTGGCTGATGAACATGGAGAGGGGTGGATACTCAATATTTCTGTGGGGAAAACCTGGGGTTCTTAGTAAAGACATAGAATATGTAATGTTGAGGTTCTATCTGTGTTCTTTATTATCTGTATGCATTACACAATTAAGAAAATACTCATTTAAACAGGATGGCATTTATTACCCAGAAAGCTCTGAAAAAATTATCAAGAGATACCTCCTTATTAGGGTGCTATAGAAAGACTACTTAAAATCACTATTACAAATTACAGAACATGAAAGATATCTGTATCTTGAACTTCCCATAAAACTGATGTTTTCTTATGATTAAATTCAGACTGTAATTTAGTGGGTACAATATCTCAGTAGTAATGTCGTGTCCTTCTGGGTGCATCAGCACACTATAAAAACCTGTCCTAGTGCAGTTGATGTTGATGCTAATAACTCAATAAGCTCTCTTACAGATTTTTTCACTATAGAATTATTTTTCTCTTCATCATTAGATATCTTTATGGAGCTGATGTGCATAAACCATCACGTTTAATCTGGCTGCCTTTTGTTTTTTGTCTTTTTCTTTTTTTTAGGTTTTCTTTACATTTATTTTTCTTTGGTAAATGAAAGCTCTCATCTTTGTTTACAGGCTAGAAAAACTAAAAAAAAAAACAAAAAACAAAAACAACAGGCTCTTCCACTTACTGGATGTTTGACAAAATAGTCTTTTGGGGCCAAAACATTGGCATTACTGGTGAGCTTGGTAGAGATTCATTAACTCAGACTTTATTTCAGATCTCCCCAAAAAATAATCTGCATTAACAAGATGTCCAGTTTATTGTACACGTTAAAATTTGAGTGGTACCTTCTAACTCAAGATGTCTATTTTGTCTGAAAAATATAAACAACTATGTCTTTTTCATCTGAAAAATATACATAACTCATTCTGCATTATGTAAACGTAGCACTCAAAAATGTATGTTAGTGTTTATGCCTTCAATTTTACATGTTATCTTCCAGACAAGTATCACATATACACTGATGTGGATATTTTGCCACTCTATTTTCTCAGAGTTAGAGAATACATTAGAAAATGTTCATGTGTTGACAATTATTTTATTGGATAATTTCAATCACTCTTATAAGTCAGAACCAGTTCTATTTACTCTAATTTTACCTTGAGTCAAATGAAAAATTCTGCCGATAGCCACTTTGTAAATATGTGTGTTTGTGTGTGTTTTCCAGGGACTGTTGACATTTAGGGATGTGGCCATAGAATTCTCTCTGGAGGAGTGGCAACACCTGGACATTGCACAGCAGAATTTATATAGAAATGTGATGTTAGAGAACTACAGAAACCTGGCCTTCCTGGGTGAGGATAACTTTAATACAAAATTCCTCACATAAACTAAAGCTTTTATTTTTCTTTAGAATGTTTTCTGGTAATTTACGCATTCAGATTTCTGTTTTCAAGAAAATACTGGGGATTTGTCTGTTGAGAAAGGAATTTCTTCAAGATGTTTCATCTTGACCTGAACTTTCCACATTCCTGAGCTAATCTGTGTCCTGCACTTTAGATTAAGGCTAATTTCAGAAGTTTAGTGGCATAAAATATTGTTACATCTTAAAATCCATTTGGCATCACCAATTTTTGATTCAGTAGTACCAGGCAGTGAAATTAAGAACCTAAAAAATTAAAATATTTCCTAAATATTTAAAAATTTCTGTTATAAATTAGTGTATTAGAATAACTTTGTTAGCATATTCTATTATATCCTCCTTACTGAGCACATTACTAAGTTGGTAATTGGAGAATATAAGCAAGATTCATTTAGTTATTTTTAATAAAACAGGTATTGCTGTCTCTAAGCCAGACCTGATCACCTGTCTGGAACAAGGGAAAGAGCCCTGGAATATGAAGCGACATGAGATGGTGGATGAACCCCCAGGTAGGTGAGAGTGAATACAACAGATGACATGGATGAGAGGTCCAAAGTCAAGAAGAAAGCCACTCTTTAAAGTGATTTAAGAAGCTGTGATCCAAAGGAAATAGTTTCTGGGAAGCCTAAATTTTTTTTTTAAATTATACTCTCACATAGGGGCATCTTCTGCTTATGCCTATAAAATCTAAGAATTCTACTTTCCCTTCAATGATCTTCCTCCAAGTTTACAGTGACAGCCGAAGTACTGTTCATGGCATACAAAAGAGTGTACAATCTGACTTCTTTTTTCTTGTTTTGTGGACAGACAGATCTGTCTCCATAATTTTGAGATACTGTATGTTAAACTGTTTTTTAAGTTCTCTTTTTGCATCATGTCTGAAATGTGTGAGAGTAGTAGTTTCTGTTATATTGGGTTTTTTCTTTTTGGTTTATTTTTCTGCACATTTCATCCTGTTTTCATTACTGTAGTCTTGAAATATAGTTTGAAAGTACAAAGTAGGATGTCCTTCTGCTTTGTTCTTTTTCCTCAAGATTGCTTTGACTATTCAAAGTTTATTGTAGTTTCATGTCCATTTTAGGATTGGATTTTTCATTACTGTGAAGAAAAACACTGGAATTTTGATAAGGAGTTCTTTAAATCTACAGGTCACTTTGGATAATATGGCAGTTTCATAATACTTATTCTTTCAATAGAAATAAAACATTTTAAAATTTATTAGTGTCCTCTCTAATTTTTTTCATTGATATATCTTTCACTTGAAAGATTTATGAGCTCCTTGTTTAAATTTGTTCTAAAATTGAGTATTTCATTGATATTGTACATAAGTTTTTTTTTCCTCTATTTTATCAGATAGTTTAAGTGTATGGAACCATATCTTGTATATTAATTTTATATTTTGCTAATTAACTGAGTGTATTCATTAATTTAAACAGGTTTTAATGTACTCTCTCTATATACATATATATATGATTACATGATCTACAAACAGCAACATTTTACTTATTGGTCTTCAATTTCAATGACTTTAAATTTTTCTTTTGACTATTTTGTCTTCCACATGCTTTCAGTGCTATGTTAAAATAGAAGCTAGTTTTGCATTAGTGTCTGTAAATTTGAAGGAGCAAACACCTCTTCAAGTTTCTATAAACTGGTTTCAGAAAGTAAAAATGTGTTTTTGTTGGGCCCCCAGAGTGATAGAATGTCCTCTGGGTTTGTAGTGAAGAGGGGTTGTAGCTTGGCCTTAAGGCTGCTGGGTTTGCACAAGGGTCCACCTTCAGTTGTCTTCTTAAAAGGAGCTTGGATAGTTGTAATTCTCATTTAATTTTTGGACAGATTGAATATCCTTCAGGACTTTGCTGTGCAGGGCAGACCCAAGGGCAGGTTTCTGCACTCAGGCCTGCATATGGTGAGTTTTATATCAGGATGTGGATGAGCATGGCTTTCACTGAGTACAGGAGAGGATTTTCCGAGGTAACTTTGGGTTTCTACATAGGCAAAACCGGCCATGAACTATGGCTCAGGGAGCTGGAACTGAGTCATGGAACTGCTTCAGGGACCACAGTAAAGGTCAAGGTCTGCAGGCCTGCCAGCATGGCTCTAAATGGGTGTATTTCTCCAGGCCTCTGGAAAGGCAGGACCCCCCCAGACTGTGACTGGGAAGAGTTTGGGATGTTTACAGAGTAAGTTTAAAATTCTCAGGGGAACCAAGTTAGGTGGAACAATTTCTTGTCTTTAGCCAAAAACAGTAGTTCTGTAGTTTGCCACCTGAATGAGGACCTGCCTTCTGAAAAGGGTTACCTTCAGTCTTGGGCTTTAGCAGAGTTTCACAACTCCTTTCCTGGATCTCAGAGTTCTTTTAAAGGCATTTATTTTTGATCTGGGGTATTGTAACATAACCCAGGCAGGTCTTAATATTTTGATCAAAAGCAATTCTCCAACTTTCATGTACCATGTAGCTGTCATTACAGGTGTGAACCATGATGCCTGGTTCTCTCATAAAGGCATTTTTGTCAGCAATGGCTGACAAATTTTCTTGCTGACAGAGGATAAGCAAATAAGGCACCTTTAATTTTTTATCTTATTAATGCCACTCTCCATATAAATTTTAACTGTTTTCTACTTCAAATTTGTCTGTAATTTTAGATTCAGACATTTAGGGCAATATAATAGAATATACATGTCGTGCCTGAATTAAATTAGATAATTAGTATGCAGGCAGGCAAAAAGGAATTATAGAGCCAGGCGCGGTGGCTCACGCCTCTAATCCCTGCACTTTGGGAGGCTGAGGTGTGTGGATCACGAGATCAGGAGATTGAGACCATCCTGGCTAACACGATGAAACCCCGTCCCTACTAAAAGTACAAAAAATTAGCCGGGCATGGCGGCACGCGCCTGTAGTCTGAGCTACTAGGGAGACTGAGGCAGGAGAATCGCTTGAACCTGGGAGGTGGGGGTTGCAGTGAGCCAAAATCATGCCACTTTGCTTCTAAACTTGGATTACAGTAGTTTTATTTTGTGTAAAATAACATGTATTTAAAACATAAAAATTGAGACTAGTTTCTTTTAAATGCTTATCTATTAAAAGTTTCTCATTAGCATCTCCTAATTATGATTTTACTGCATTTACTCTGAAATTTTATTGCTACATAATAGATGCCATTAATTTAAAACACCTGCCTTCCTTGAATGCACAGTTACAGTCAAACATTGCAGTTATCTAGACAAATTGTTTGTTAATGTACATTAATGTTGCCAACTAGATTTTATGAGTAAACATTTCTTTCATTATTATCTTCCAGTTCTATATTAGTGTGTTTTTTAAGTGCAGGTTTCTTAATATCAGTTTATTGTGTCTATTGATTTCGTGCATTATAATTTTAGACAATCGGCAATTCTGTTTGTATACTTTAAGTCAGTGTCTGGTTTAATTAAAAGATAAATGAGCCATATGTCTGTCATAGTCAGATTATCTATATGTGTGTGTTTATGTCTACAAATATGACCCAAATTTGGTTATAGTTTACTTGTATATATTCTTTCTTAGCTAATTTTCTTTTTCTTTTTTCTTTTTTCTTTTCTTTTCTTTTTTTTTTTTTTGAGACAGAGTTTTGCTCTTGTTGCTGAGTCTGGAGTACAGTGCATGTGATCTCGGCTCACTGCAACTTCCTCCACCTCTCGGGTTTAAGTGATTCTCTAGCCTTAGCCTCCTGAGTAGCTGGGATTACAGGCATGTGCCACCATCCCAGGCTAATTTTGTATTTTTTTTTTTTTTAGTAGAGACGGGGTTTGCCATGTTGGTCAGGCAGGTCTCAAACTCCTGACCTTGGGTGATCTGCTTGCCTTGGTCTCCCAAAGTGCTGGGATTACAGGCATGAGCCACCGTACCCGGCCTCTTAACTCATTTTCAGTGTTGGTTTTATCTTGTCTAAGTGAGTAGCCTTGGAAATAGTCTTATTTTCACCATGTGTTTAATGATAAATATGTATTTTCTTTGTGTGAGAAAAACACTTTTGTGATTTGAAGGTAATTTTTAAAAAGATGTATAATTCTGTATTTTTTCCAGTTTTTAAAAATTATTGTTGTAAAAACACTTAGCATATAATTTACCTTCTTAAATCTATTTAAATGTACATGTCAGGGCCAGGCATGGTGGTGGCTCATATCTTTAAAACCAGGATTTTGAGAGGCCAGGACAGGAGGATTGCTTGAGCCCAAAAGTTTGATACAAGCCTGGGCAAAATATGGAGACACCCTCTCTACAAACATTTTTTTTCTAAGAAATAGCCAGGCATGGTGGTGTACACCTGTGGTCCCAGCTACTTGAGAGACTGAGGGGCAGGATTAGTTGAGCCTGGGATTGTGAGGCTGCAGTGAGCCATAATTGTGCCATTGCGTGCAAGCTTGGGTGACAGATTGAGACCCTGTTTCAAAAAAAAAAAAGTGTATATTTCAGGCATGTTAACTATATTCACATCGTTATGCAAAAGACTTCTAGAAATTTTACATCTTGTAAAACTAAAACTCAATATCCCTTAAATAACATTTACCTATTTTATGCTCTCTACAACCCTTGGCAAACACCCTTCCACCTTCTGTTTTTATGAGTGTAATTACTTTAAATATTTATATAAGTAAAATCATAACATCCATCATTTCATTACTGGTTTATTTCAGTGGACATAATATTCTCAAAGTGTATCTTTAAAAGTGACAAGATTTTTTTTTTTCACTGTTAAATATTCTTCTTTATTTTCCATTTCAGTAAAACAATAGCTTAAGATGCAGGGTGAATCTATATTTCCTTTTTTAATTTTATATTTTAATATTATTATACTACAAGTTTTAGGGTACATGTGCACAATGTGCAGGTTAGTTACATATGTATACATGTGCCATGCTGGTGTGCTGCACCCATTAGCTCGTCATTTACCATTAGGTATATCTCCTAATGCTATCCCTTCCCCCTCCCCCCACCCCACAACAGTCCACAGAGTGTGATGTTCCCCTTCCTGTGTTCATGTGTTCTCATTGTTCAATTCCCACCTATGAGTGAGAATATGCAGTGTTTGGTTTTTTGTTCTTGCGATAGTTTACTAAGAATGATGATTTCCAGTTTCATCCATGTCCCTACAAAGGACATGAACTCATCATTATTGATGGCTGCATAGTATTCCATGGTGTATATGTGCCACATTTTCTTAATCCAGTGTATCATTGTTGGACATTTGGGTTGGTTCCAAGTCTTTGCTATTGTGAATACTGCCACAATAAACATACTTGTGCATGTGTCTTTATAGCAGCATGATTTATAGTCCTTTGGGTATCTACCCAGTAATGGGATGGCTGGGTCAAATGGTATTTCTAGTTCTAGATCCCTGAGGAATCGCCACACTGACTTCCACAATGGTTGAACTAGTTGACAGTCCCACCAACAGTGTAAAAGTGTTCCTATTTCTCCACATCTTCTCCAGCACCTGTTGTTTCCTGACTTTTTAATGATCGCCATTCTAACTGGTGTGAAATGGTATCTCATTGTGGTTTTGATTTGCATTTCTCTGATGGCCAGTGATGATGAGCATTTTTTCATGTGTTTTTTGGCTGCATAAATGTCTTCTTTTGAGAAGTGTCTGTTCATGTCCTTTGCCCACTTTTTGATGGGGTTGTTTTTTTCTTGTAAATTTGTTTGAGTTCATTGTAGATTCTGGATATTAGCCCTTTGTCAGATGAGTAGGTTGCGAAAATTTTCTCCCATTTTGTAGGTTGCCTGTTGACTCTGATGGTAGTTTCTTTTGCTGTGCAGAAGCTCTTTAGTTTAATTAGATCCCATTTCTCAATTTTGGCTTTTGTTCCCATTGCTTTTGGTGTTTTAGACATGAAGTCCTTGCCCATGCCTATGTCCGGAATGGTAATGCCTAGGTTTTCTTCTAGGGTTTTTATGGTTTTAGGTCTAACGTTTAAGTCTTTAATCCATCTTGAATTGATTTTTGTACAAGGTGTAAGGAAGGGATCCAGTTTCAGCTTTCTACATACGGCTAGCCAGTTTTCCCAGCACCATTTATTAAATAGGGAATCCTTGCCCCATTGCTTGTTTTTCTCAGGTTTGTCAAAGATCAGATAGTTGTAGATATGTGGTGTTCTTTCTGAGGGCTCTGTTCTGTTCCATTGATCTATATCTCTGTTTTCGTACCAGTACCATGCTGTTTTGGTTACTGTAGCCTTGTAGTATAGTTTGAAGTCAGGTAGCATGATGCCTCCAGCTTTGTTCTTTTGGCTTAGGAGTGACTTGGTGATGCGGGCTCTTTTTTGGTTCCATATGAACTTTAAAGTAGTTTTTTCCAATTCTCTGAAGAAAATCATTGGTAGCTTGATGGGGATGGCATTGAATCTATAAATTACCTTGGGCAGTATGGCCATTTTCATGATATTGATTCTTCCTACCCATGAGCATGGAATGTTCTTCCATTTGTTTGTATCCTCTTTTATTTCATTGAGCAGTGGTTTGTAGTTCTCCTTGAAGAGGTCCTCCACATCCCTTGTAAGTTGGATTCCTAGGTATTTTATTCTCTTTGAAGCAATTATGAATGGGAGTTCACTCATGATTTGGCTGGTTTTTTGAAAGGATCAACAAAATTGATAGACCACTAGCAAGACTAATAAAGAAAAAAACATAGAAGAATCAAATAGATGCAATAAAAAATGATAAAGGGAATATCACCACTGATCCCACAGAAATTACAAAGTACCATCAGAGAATACTACAAACACCTCTATGCAAATAAACTAGAAAATCTAGATGAAATGGACAAATTCCTTGACACATACACTCTCCCAAGAGTAAACCAGGAAGAAGCTGAATCTCTGAAGAGACCAATAAAAGGAGCTGAAATTGTGGCAATAATCAAGAGCTTACCAATGAAAAAGAGTCCTGGATCAGATGGATTCACAGCCAAATTCTACCAGAGGTGCAAGGAGGAACTGATACCATTCCTTCTGAAACTATTCCAATCAATAGAAAAAGAGGGAATCCTCCCTAACTCATTTTATGAGGCCAGCATCATCCTGTTACCAAAGCCGGGCAGAGACACAACCAAAAAAGAGAATTTTAGACCAATATCCTTGATGAACATCGATGCAAAAATCCTCAATAAAATACTGGCAAACTGAATCCAGCAGCACATCAAAAAGCTTATCCACCATGATCAAGTGGGCTTCATCCCTGGGATGCAGGGCTGGTTCAATATATGCCAATTAATCAATAAATGTAATCCAGCATATAAACAGAACCAAAGACAAAAACCACATGATTATATAATAGATGCAGAAAAGGCCTTTGACAAAATTCAATGACACTTCATGCTAAAAACTCTCAATAAATTAGGTATTGATGTGACGTATCTCAAAATAATAAGAGCTATCTATGCCAAACCCACAGCCAATATCATACTGAATGGGCAAAAACTGGAAGCATTCCCTTTGAAAACTGGCACAAGACAGGGATGCCCTCTCTCAACACTCCTATTCAACATAGTGTTGGATGTTCTGGCCAGGGCAATTAGGCAGGAGAAGGAAATAAAGGGTATTCAATTAGGAAAAGAGGAAGTCAAATTGTCCCTGTTTGCAGATGACATGATTGTATACCTAGAAAACCCCATTGTCTCAACCCAAAATCTCCTTAAGCTGATAAGCAACTTCAGCAATGTCTCAGGATACAAAATCAATGTACAACAATCACAAGCATTCTTATACACCAATAACAGAGAGCCAAATCATGAGTGAACTCCCATTCATAATTGCTTCGAAGAGAATAAAATACCTAGGAATCCAACTTACAAGGGATGTGGAGGACCTCTTCAAGGAGAACTACAAACCACTGCTCAATGAAATAAAAGAGGATACAAACAAATGGAAGAACATTCCATGCTCATGGGTAGGAAGAATCAATATCATGAAAATGGCCATACTGCCCAAGGTAATTTATAGATTCAATGCCATCCCCATCAAGCTACCAATGATTTTCTTCAGAGAATTGGAAAAAACTACTTTAAAGTTCACATGGAACCAAAAAAGAGCCCGCATCGCCAAGTCACTCCTAAGCCAAAAGAACAAAGCTGGAGGCATCATGCTACCTGACTTCAAACTATACTACAAGGCTACAGTAACCAAAACAGCATGGTACTGGTACGAAAACAGAGATATAGATCAATGGAACAGAACAGAGCCCTCAGAAAGAACACCACATATCTACAACTATCTGATCTTTGACAAACCTGAGAAAAACAAGCAATGGGGCAAGGATTCCCTATTTAATAAATGGTGCTGGGAAAACTGGCTAGCCGTATGTAGAAAGCTGAAACTGGATCCCTTCCTTACACCTTGTACAAAAATCAATTCAAGATGGATTAAAGACTTAAACGTTAGACCTAAAACCATAAAAACCCTAGAAGAAAACCTAGGCATTACCATTCCGGACATAGGCATGGGCAAGGACTTCATGTCTAAAACACCAAAAGCAATGGGAACAAAAGCCAAAATTGAGAAATGGGATCTAATTAAACTAAAGAGCTTCTGCACAGCGAAAGAAACTACCATCAGAGTCAACAGGCAACCTACAAAATGGGAGAAAATTTTCGCAACCTACTCATCTGACAAAGGGCTAATATCCAGAATCTACAATGAACTCAAACAAATTTACAAGAAAAAAACAACCCCATCAAAAAGTGGGCAAAGGACATGAACAGACACTTCTCAAAAGAAGACATTTATGCAGCCAAAAAACACATGAAAAAATGCTCACCATCACTGGCCATCAGAGAAATGCAAATCAAAACCACAGTGAGTTACCATTTCACACCAGTTAGAATGGCAATCATTAAAAAGTCAGGAAACAACAGGTGCTGGAGAGGATGTGGAGAAATAGGAACACTTTTACACTGTTGGTGGGACTGTCAACTAGTTCAACCATTGTGGAAGTCAGTGTGGCGATTCCTCAGGGATCTAGAACTAGAAATACCATTTGACCCACCCAACCCATTACTGGGTAGATACCCAAAGGACTATAAATCATGCTGCTATAAAGACACATGCACAAGTATGTTTATTGTGGCAGTTTTCACAATAGCAAAGACTTGGAACCAACCCAAATGTCCAACAATGATAGACTGGATTAAGAAAATGTGGCACATATACACCATGGAATACTATGCAGCCATCAATAATGATGAGTTCATGTCCTTTGTAGGGACATGGATGAAATTGGAAATCATCATTCTCAGTAAACTATCGCAAGAACAAAAAACCAAACACCGCATATTCCCACTCATGGGGGGAATTGAACAATGAGAACACATGGACACAGGAAGGGGAAAATCACACTCTGGGGATTGATGTGGGATGGGGGGATGGGGGAGGGATAGCATTGGGAGATATACCTAGTGCTAGATGACGAGTTAATGGGTGCAGCACACCAGCATGGCACATGTATACATATGTAACTAACCTGCACATTGTGCACATGTACCGTAAAACTTAAAGTATAATAATAATAAAAAAAGAAAAATAAATAAAGTTAATATTGTTATGTGTGAATTTGATCCTGTCGTTAGGATGCTGGCTGGTTATTTTGCTCGTTAGTTGATGCAGTGTCTTTCTAGCCTCGACGGTTTCTACAATTTGGCATGATTTTGCAGTGGCTGGTACCGGTTGTTCCTTTCTGTGTTTAGTACTTCCTTCAGGAGCTCTTTTAGGGCAGGCCTGGTGGTGACAAAGTCTCTCAGCATTTGCTTGTCTGTAAAGTATTTTATTTCTCCTTCACTTATGAAGCTTAGTTTGGCTGGATATGAAATTCTGTGTTGAAAATTCTTTTCTTTAAGAATGTTGAATATTGGCCCCCACTCTCTTCTGGCTTGTAGAGTTTCTGCCGAGAGGTCCACTCTTAGTCCGATGGGCTTCCCTTTGTGGGTAGTCCGACCTTTCTCTCTGGCTGCCCTTAACATTTTTTCCTTCGTTTCAACTTTGGTCAATATGACAATTATGTGTCTTGGAGTTGCTCTTCTCGAGAAGTATCTTTGTGGCGTTCTCTGTATTTCCTGAATCTGAATGTTGGCCTGCCTTGCTAGATTAGGGAAGTTCTCCTGGATAATATCCTGCAGAGTGTTTTCCAACTTGGTTCCATTCTCTCCGTCACTTTCAGGTACACCAATCAGATGTGGATTTGGTCTTTTCACATAGTCCCATATTTCTTGGAGGCTTTTTTCAATTCTTTTTATTCTTTTTTCTCTAAACTTCCCTTCTCGCTTCATTTCATTCATTTCATCTTCTGTCACTGATACCCTTTCTTCCAGGTGATTGCATCAGCTCCTGAGGCTTCTGCATTCTTCATGTAGTTCTCAAGCCTTGGCTTTCAGCTCCATCAGCTCCTTTAAGCACTTCTCTATATTGGTTATTCTAGGTATACATTTGTCTAAATTTTTTTCAAAGTTTTTAACTTCTTTGCCTTTGGTTTGAATTTCCTCCTGTAGCTGGGAGTAGTTTGATCATCTGAAGGCTTCTTCTCTCAACTCGTCAAAGTCATTCTCCACCCAGCTTTGTTCCATTGATGGTGAGGAACTGCGTTCCTTTGGAGGAAGAGAGGTGCTCTGCTTTTTAGAGTTTCCAGTTTTTCTGCTGTTTTTTCCCCATCTTTGTGGTTTTATCTACTTTTGGTCTTTGACGATGGTGATGTACAGATGGGTTTTTGGTGTGGATGTCCTTTCTGTTTGTTAGTTTTCCTTCTAACAGACAGGACCCTCAGCTGCAGGTCTGTTGGAGTTTGCTAGATGTCCACTCCAGACCCTATTTGCTTGGGTGTCAGCAGCAGTGGCTGCAGAACAGCTGATTTTCGTGAACCGCGAATACTGCTGTCTGATCATTCTTCTGGAAGTTTTGTCTCAGAGGAGTACCCAGCCATGTGAGGTGTCAGTCTGCCCCTAGTGGGGGGTGCCTCCCAGTTAGGCTGCTCATGGTTCAGGGGTCCGGGACCCACTTGAGGAGTCTGTCTGCCTGTTCTCAGATCTCCAGCTGTGTGTTGGGAGAACCACTGCTCTCTTCAAAGCTGTCAGACAGGGATATTTAAGTCTGCAGAGGTTACTGCTGTCTTGTTTGTCTGTGCCCTGCCCCCAGAGGTGGAGCCTACAGAGGCAGGCAGGCCTCCTTGAGCTGTGGTGGGCTCCACCCAGTTTGAGCTTCCCGGCTGCTTTGTTTACCTAAGGAAGCCTGGGCAATGGCGGGTGCCCCTCCCCCAGCCTCGCTGCTGCCTTGCAGTTTGATCTCAGACTGCTGTGCTAGCAATCAGCGAGACTCTGTGGGCGTAGGACCCTCCGAGCCAGGTGCAGGATATAATCTGCTGTTGTGCGGTTATTTAAGCCCGTCGGAAAAGCGCAGTATTAGGGTGGGAGTGACCCGACTTTCCAGATGCCGTCTGTCACCCCTTTCTTTGACTAGGAAAGGGAACTCCCTGACCCCTTGCACTTCCTGAGTGAGGTAATGCCTAGCCCTGCTTCGGCTCTTCCACGCTTTGCTGCCCCCACTGTCCTGCGCCCACTGTCTGTCACTCCCTAGTGAGATGAACCCGGTACCTCGGATGGAAATGCAGAAATCACCCGTCTTCTGCATCACTCACGCTGGGAGCTGTAGACCGGAGCTGTTCGTATTTGGCCATCTTGGCTGCTCAAGATTTTTTTTTTAAAACTGAATCATATTCCATTCTATCATACATGTCTTCAAGGTCTTTTGTTGCATATTTTATATATAGATTCATAAATGTAATTGCTGTATTTGATAATTTTATTTTTAGTTATTTGAAGTACATTTATAACATAATAAAATAGTATGTGCATCCTTGTTTTCCACCAACGATGCACATGGGTTTCTTTTTTTTCTTTTCTTTTTTTTTTTTTGAAATGGAGTCTCCCTTTGTCACCCAGGCTGGAGCTCAGTGGCACAATCTTGACTCACTGCAACCTCCGCCTCCCGGGTTTCAAGCGATTCTCCTGTCTCAGCCTCCTTAGTAACTGGGATTACAGGCACGTGCCACCACATCTGGCTAATTTTTGTATTTTTAGTACAGATGGGGTTTCACCATGTTGATCAGGCTGGTCTTGAACTCCTGACCTCAAAATCCGCCCGCATCAGCCTCCCAAAGTGCTGGGATTACAGGCGTGAGCCACCTCACTTGGCCAAGGGTTTTACTGCATCATCAACAGATTAGGTGTTTTTAAAAAATTGATAGTGGTCATTTAAATGGATGTGATGGATTTTCTTTTTCGTTGTGATTTTTATGCATTTCTCTATAAATTAGAAATTTTTTGTGTCCTTTCAAATTTTTTGTTTGTGTTTTTCGATGAAAATGTATTTCAATTATTTTCCTATTTGTAAATAAATTCATTCAAATTTATTTAGTTTTAAAAGTCGTTTCTATTTTTTGAATATTGACTCCTATCACATGTGATTTGTAAATATTTTCACCCATTTTCTAGGAGGCCTTATCCCTCTATTAAATGTTTACTTACATATGCAGAAATTTGGAAGTGTAGTATAGTTAAATTTTTGCTTTTTTCCTTGTTGCTTATGCATTTAATGTTGTAGCTAAGAAAATGGCGCCAAGATTATTGTCATGTGTTTCCCCTATATATTTTTAAATGATGAAGAAGTTATCTGGCCTGGAATGGCACCTCACACCTATAATCCTAGCACTTTGGGGGGCTGAGTGGGGTGGATCATGAGGTCAGAAGTTTGAGACCAGCCTGACCAATATGGTGAAACCTCATTTCTACTAAAAATACAAAAAATTAGCCAGGCGTGGTGGTGGGTGCGTGTAAACCCAGGCTACTCGGGAGGCTGAGGAAGGAGAATAACTTAAATCCAGGAGACAGAGATTGGAGTGATTGGAGAGCATGCCACCACATTCCATCCTGGGCAACAGAATGAGACTCTGACTTCAAAAACAAAAAAAGTTATCTTCTTATGTCTAATTAAAAGATTTTTCCACATATGGTTTAAGGAAATAAACTTTATTATTGTATTTTTTATTTTTTTTGAGATGAAGTCTCACTCTGTCACCCAGGCCAGAGTGCAGTGACACAATCTCGGCTCACTGCAACCTCTGCCTCCTAGGTTCAAGCGATTCTCCTGTCTCAGCCTCCCAAGCAGCTGGGACTACAGGTGTGTGCGACCATGCCTGGCGAATTTTTGCATTTTTAGTAGAGAAGGGGTTTCACCATATTGGCTAGGCTGATCTCAAAACCCTGACCTCAGGTGATCCACCTGCCTAAGCCTCCCAGAGTGCTGGGATTACATGTGTGAGCCACCATTCCTGGCCTTATTTGTTTGTTCTTGAGATAGGGTCTCACTCTCTCAACCAGGCTGGTTTGCAGTGTTGTGATCATGGCTCACTGCAGCCTCAACCTCCCAAACTTAGAAGATTCTCTGATTGCAGCCTCTCAGGTAGCTGGGTTACAAGTGTGTAGCTTCATGTCCTCCCAGTTTTTTTGTATTTTTGGTTGAGACAAGGTTTTGCCGCATTGCTGAGGTTGGTCTCAAACTTCTGAGATCCAGTGAACACCCCACTTTAACCTCCCAAAGTCCTGAGATTACATTTCTTTTTATTAAGTAGTTTAATTAATTTATATTTAAAATTATTTCTTAAAATGAAATTACTAGTTTTATTGCTATTGTTTTATGTGTTTGAGTGGTATGTTTTTTCTTATTTACTGTTTTATTGCCTTATTTTAATTGTGTAGTGACATGCTTCAATTATTTTTTAAATTTTGTTTTGCATACTTTCTATAAATATTATCTTCATAATCCTCTTGTATATTAGTCTGTTTTCATGCTGCTGATAAAGACATACCTGAGACTGGGCAATTTACAAAAGAAAGAGGTTTATTGGTCACAGTTTCATGTGACTGAGGAGTCATCACAATCATGGTGGAAAGTGAAAGGCATGTCTCACATGGTGGCAGACAAAAGAAAGAGCTTGCGCAGGAAAACTGCCTTATAAAGCCTTCTGCTTTCATGAGACTTATTCTCTATCATGAGAACAGCACAGAAAACATCTGCCCCCATGATTCAATTACCTCCTACTGCATCCCTCCCACAACATATGGGAATTAAAGATGAGACTTGGGTTGGGACATGGCCAAACCACATCATCTTAAAAATGGAATTTACATAAAACATCTAAAACTTAAAAATATATTTTAATCTCATGACAACTTCAGTTGAATATAAAAATTATACCTCTGTATTTTTCAGTTTATTAATATAAAAATTATTTTGTGTATTAACATTTATGCAGATTTTTATTGTTTTAAATATTCTACAGAAGAGCTTTAAGGGTTTTATGCATCATCATTATGATAGTAAAGATTTCTACATTTGTATATTTACATTCAATAGAGAGCTTTATTTTTATATATGGTTTTATGATGCTGTCCAGTATTATTTTATTTTTAAATAAAATTGACTCATTTTAGCATTTCTTTGTTGTTGTTGTTGTTGTTGTTGTTGAGATGGAGTCTTGCTCTGTCACCCAGGCTGGAGTGCAGCGGGACAATCTCAGCTCCCTGCAAGCTCTGCCTCCCGGGTTCACGCCATTTTCCTGCCTCAGCCTCCTGAGTACCTGGAACTATACGCGGCTGCCACCATGCCTGGCTAATTTTGTTTTTTTTGTGTATTTTTAATAGAGACGGGGTTTCTCCATGTTAACCAGGATGGTCTCAATCTCCTGACCTCCCGTTTCTTTTTTTTATATGCAAACTCTCGCTGTATTATTCAGGCTGATCTGAATCTCCTGGTCTTTAGTGTTGTGACAGCTTTGGCCTCTTAAAACTGCAGGATTACAGGCATGAGCCACAGTGCCTGGCCATCATGTAGCATTTTTTTGTAGAACTGTGCTAGTGGTGATGAACTCCCTCAACTTTTATTTTGGAGATTTTTAGTTTTCATCCTATTTTTAAAGGGAAATAAATTTAAATCAAATATTCTTGGTTACAATTTTTGTTTGTTTGTTTTACTACATCAAAATTTGGGAAATTCTCACCTTTTATCTTCAAGTAACCACTGTATTGTTTTTTTTTCCCCATATTCTTCTTCTAAGATTACCTTAATGAATATATTGATCTACTTGATGGTGTCTAATAAGTTTTACATTCCATGTTTTAATTTTGTTTTGCAATTTTATATTTTTGTGTTATATATTCTAGCATATGCCACCATACATCTGATATTTGTGTTTTGATTTTTTAGTATATATCATAATTGTGCATGACAATATTTAACTTTGTACAATTTAAGACCCTGTGGAGCAAAATCAAATATGAATCAGCCATATGTCTTTTTCCAGTAGAATTATATCTGTTTGTTTGCCTGTATAAATGTTATCTTTTTTAAATTTTTTTTTTGAGACAGAGTTTTGCTCTTCTTGACCAGGCTGGAGTGCAGTGGCACGATCTTGGCTCACTGCAACCTCCGCCTTCCAGGTTCAAGTGATTTTCCTGCCTCAGCCTCCCAATTAGCTGGGATTACAGGCGCCCACTACCAAGCCTGGATAATTATTGTATTTTTAGTAGAGACAGAGTTTACCATGTTGGCCGGGCTGGTCTTGAACTCCTGACCTCATGATCCACCCTCTTCAGCCTCCCAAAGTGCTGGGATTACAGGTGTGAGCCACCACACCAGGCTACCCTTGGTTTTTTTTTGTTTGTTTTTTGTATATTTGTTGTATAGGTTTGTTGTGAATGGTTTTCTAATCCTTTGTAGATGAGTAGTTATAAAATTCTTGTAATTTCAACATCCTATTTATGAATCTATATGATTTTTGTGTGGGAGAAACACTTTTGGATTTGAATATAATTTAAAACTCCCATAACTCTGTATCTCTTTTGGGTATTATTATTTTTACTTGTCAAAAAAATAACAAATTTACCACAAAATATTTTTAAATATTCAGTTAAGTCACACTAATTATCTTGACATTGTCATGCAACATATTGCTAGAATGTTTTTATCTTGCAAAGCTAAATCTTAATACATACTGACTACCACTTTTTTCTTGTTTTTTTTCTTTTTTGAGGTGGAGTCTTGCTCTGTCACCCAGGCTGAAGTGCAGTGGCACCATCTCAGCTCAGTGCAACCTCCACCTCCTAGGTTCAATTGATTCTCATGCCTCAGCCTCCTTAGTAGCTCAGATTACAGGTGACCGCCATCATGCCTGGCTAATTTTTGTATTTTTATTAGAGATGGGGTTTCACCATCTTGGCCAGGCTGGTTTTAAACTCCTGACCTTAGGTGATCCACCCGCTTGGGTCTCTCAAAGTGCTCAGATTACAGGTGTGAACCACCATGCCTGGCCCCAATTTTTTCTGTTTTATGGCACTTTGCAAACGCCAGTCTGTTCTTTGTTTCTAAGAGTGTAACTCCTTCATATATTTCATACAATCTGTCGTTTTGTGGCTGGCTCATTTCATTTTACATAATGCCATCAACATTTATCTTTATAGTTCGTACAATATTTCCTGCTTTTTGAAGACTGAGTGATATTTCAGAATTTTTATATTTCAAATTATATCTACTGAATGATTTGGTGAAAGAAATCTGCCTTGCTTTTACCTATTGGCTTACAGTAACAATGCTGCAATAATTATCACTATGTAAATGACTCCTTATATGACCATGTATGTGAAAGTTTATATATGTGCTGCATTCTATTTTATTAGTCTACTTTTTCACCTTTATACTCATACCAAATTGTTTTAATTCTGTAGCTTTGTAGTGTGATTTAATCAAGAACTTTAATGCCTCCAGCATTGTTCCTTTTATTTTTTGAAGATTGTTGGGTACTTTATTGTCTCTTGAGATTCTATATACTTTTGGGGTTGCTGTTCCTGTTTCTTCAAAAATGCAGTGAGAAATTTGAAAAACATTCATTAAGTCTGTCTGTTGCATTGAGCTGGATGGACCTTTTCAGAATATTAATTATTTCAACCTTTGTTTAAAAGCACACTCAAGGGTGTGTTGTTTAATTTCTATGTATTTGTAAATTTTTCAGTTTTTCTGTCTTATTGTTTTATACTCGTACTCCATTTTACTCATAGAAAGTAGTTCATAGAAGTTTACTTTTAAAAAGTTTGGTAAGACTTCCTTTTTGGCTTAAGATGTGGTTTATCAAGTAAAATGTATGAGCTATTGAGAAAGAGGTGTATTCTGATGTTGTCGAGGAGTGTTCTCCATAACTCTGTTTGGAATAATTGTTTTATACTGCCTTTAAGTAGTCTGTTCCCTTATTAACATTCTTTCTTGTTTTATTTTTATTACAGAAAGTGTGGTATTAAAATATCTTGCTATAATTGTATTGCTTTGTATGTGTTTCTTCCATTCTGTCAATATTTGCTTTATATATTTGGAACCCTAATGTGAGACACACACACACACACCTGCGTGCGTGCACAAACACATACACACACACACACAAATATACACAAATTTTTCATAGGTTCCCAGTGAATGAATCTATTATTTTTTGATGTCCTTTGTTTCTTTGGAGTTTAAATTTAAAGTACATTTTATAAAATATTATAATTTTTGACTTAAGATGTAGCTTGTGTAAGATTATTTTGACTGTTTCTGCTCTCATTTGATTAATATTTGCATGGAATGTCTACTTTCTTCCTGCCTCTTCCAGTCTTTTTTTATCATTAGATTTCAACTGACTCTTGTAGAAAGGCAAGATGAATCTCAGTTTTTAAAATATTTTAATAAAACTATTTATTGAAAATATGTCTCAATTTAAAAGTTAATTTTATATATATTGAAATAATTTTCTGAAATAGAAAGACTTACTGTTATTTTATTAAGTATTTTATTTGATTCTTGCATCTTTGTCTTTTATTCTCTTTCCATCTTTCTTTGTGTCTTTTTGATATTTGTATTGATAGGCTTTGACTTATTTTGTTTTGTGTATTTATACAAATATTTTTGTGGTACATTGGGGATTACATATAACCTCTAAAAGATACAACAACATATTTTAATCTGGTAAATAAACTTAAGTTGCGTACAAAAATTTGTTCTTATTATACCTTCCCTCAAATTTGTCATTGATGTTGTTAATTATATCTTTTTATATTGTATATTCATTAATGAATATTTAAAATGTTTTCTATGCTTTTATCCTTCAAATTTCAGAGAATAATTAAAAATGTTTTCTGCACCACTAGGGTAATGCTAAGAAATTTGACTTTTGTGTATTTGCATATTTTTCCCAGAAAATCATGTATTTTTATATGATTCTGTGTTTTTATTGGAATCATGTTATTTTCAGTAGAAGGAACTCTTTTCAGCACCTTTTATATGTAGGGCATATGCATTTCCAATATACTTTTTTAGAATTTGGTTACTTTGGAAGGTTTTTACTTTTTTTATTTGGCAGGACAGATTTGCTGATGGTATTATTCTCAATTAATTAAACCTTTTTTTTTTCCACAATTTTTGTCATGACTACATCACACAGTTCCCTTATGGCCTGCAAAATTTTTGTTAACAGTTCACTGACTATCTCATAAGATTATGTTTGTAAATGGCACATCACTTTTTTTCTTTTTCTTTTTTTTTTTTGGAAACAAGAGTCTCACTGTATCCTCCAGCCAGGCTTGAGTGTAGTGGTGTGACCTGAGCTCACTGCAAGCTCCACTTCCTGGGTTCAAGTGGTTCCCCTTCCTGGGTTCAGCCTCAGCCTCCTGAGTAGCTGGGATTACAGGCATGCACCACCATGCCTGGCTAATTTTTATAGTTTTAGTAGAGACGGGGTTTTGCCATGTTGGTCAGGTTGGTCTTGAACTCCTGACCTCAGGTGATCGGCCCACCTTGGCCTCCCAAAGTGCCTGGATTACAGGTGTGAGCCACTGTGCCTGACCTGGCACATCAGTTTTATCTGGCAGCTTCAAAGGTAATCTTTTTGTCTGTGACTTTTGAAATTGTGCTTATGTATGTGTTTGTTATAAATATCTTTTTGTTATTCTAGTTTGTTTGTTGAGCTTTTTTATTTTTACATCTTTTTTTTTTTTTTTACTTTTAGGATCTGTCAGTTTTTTTGTGTATATTTTATCTCCACAATTTGTTTTTTGATATCTTAACTATTTTTTATTCTTGTCCTCATTTTTCTGATTTTCCATAGTTGTTTCTGTTCCCATTTTAATCAGTATTATTCAGTTTATTACCAATTATTAAAATTAATGTATACATCTTTTTTATGATTTCTTTCAGAAAATTTTGTGATATTTTTGGTGGGATTGTATTGCCCTATTTTGTATATATTATAATCCTTGATTAAGATTTAGACATTAAAAAAAGCTACTTGTCAAAATCTTATAATGTAGCTTTGTCATGGCATATTCTGAAAACAATTGTCTTTGCTGGTGATTATGAGAGTTTCTTAAACATATTCTTAGGATATGTGTTGTCTGAAATTTTATTTTTATTATTTAATTAGGAGAGATTACTCGTTAATTTGTAGCGTCATCACTTGCTACACCTTTTCCATTTCTGTGGTACTGCAGTCTCTCTGCTGCTGTAACATTTTTCTTTGGTCTCAGCAGACTCAAACTCTCATTCCAAAATATACCACCATTTCTTTCAGTACTTTATGTCATGAGAGACAGAAACCAGTGTCAGGAAAAAACCCTAAAAGCCAGAAATGGCAATGATTGTGCCGGTATTTTACCTTTCTTTTAAAACAGAAACCAAGAGTTGGCAATTTACTTGTAAAGACACTATGGTATAGTGGGAAACAGGAAAAGATGTATTGAGTAAATTTAACAGACTTTTCTTTTTCTTCTTTGTGTTTTTTTGCATTGTGCTCACCTGGGACACTGCACACACTTAAATCATTTATGAATTTTCCACAGATGTATTTTGGTCTGAATGTTTTTGTTACATTTATGTCTATGAAAGAATTAGAGCCTGTGGTATTTTGCAATGCTATCTTGTCTATGTAGTTTGTATAATTTTATAGGTAAGATTTTTAAACTATATTCATGTGAGTCTAGTAAGTGGAGTAATTTATTTATTTTTATTTTTTTTTCAGGTATGTGTCCTCATTTTGCTCAAGACCTTTGGCCAGAGCAGGGCATGGAAGATTCTTTTCAAAAAGCAATACTGAGAAGATATGGAAAATATGGACATGAGAATTTACAGTTAAGAAAAGGCTGTAAAAGTGTGGATGAGTATAAGGTGAACAAAGAAGGTTATAATGGACTTAACCAGTGTTTCACAACTGCCCAGAGCAAAGTATTTCAATGTGATAAATATTTGAAAGTCTTCTATAAATTTTTAAATTCAAACAGACCTAAGATAAGACATACTGAAAAGAAATCTTTCAAATGTAAAAAACGTGTCAAATTATTTTGCATGCTTTCACATAAAACCCAACACAAAAGCATTTATCATAGAGAGAAGTCCTACAAATGTAAAGAATGTGGAAAAACCTTTAATTGGTCCTCAACCCTTACTAATCATAGGAAAATTTATACTGAAGAGAAACCTTACAAATGTGAAGAATATAACAAATCTCCTAAGCAACTCTCAACCCTTACTACACATGAAATAATTCATGCTGGAGAGAAACTCTACAAATGTGAAGAATGTGGTGAAGCTTTTAATCGATCCTCAAATCTTACTACACATAAGATAATTCATACTGGAGAGAAACCTTACAAGTGTGAAGAATGTGGCAAAGCATTTATCTGGTCCTCAACCCTTACTGAGCATAAGAAAATTCATACTAGAAAGAAACCCTACAAGTGTGAAGAATGTGGCAAAGCATTTATATGGTCCTCAACACTAACTAGACATAAGAGGATGCACACTGGAGAGAAACCCTACAAATGTGAAGAATGTGGCAAAGCTTTTAGCCAGTCCTCAACCCTTACTACACATAAGATAATTCATACTGGAGAGAAACGCTACAAATGCTTAGAATGTGGCAAAGCTTTTAAGCAACTCTCAACTCTTACTACACATAAAATAATTCATGTTGGAGAGAAACTCTACAAATGTGAAGAATGCGGCAAAGGTTTTAATCGATCTTCAAATCTTACTACACATAAGATAATTCATACTGGAGAGAAACCTTACAAGTGTGAAGAATGTGGCAAAGCATTTATCTGGTCCTCAACCCTTACTAAACATAAGAGAATTCATACTAGAGAGAAACCCTACAAATGTGAAGAATGTGGCAAGGCATTTATATGGTCCTCAACCCTAACTAGACATAAGAGGATGCACACTGGAGAGAAACCCTACAAATGTGAAGAATGTGGCAAATCTTTTAGCCAATCCTCAACCCTTACTACACATAAGATAATTCATACTGGAGAGAAACCCTACAAATGTGAAGAATGTGGCAAAGCCTTTAACTGGTCCTCAACTCTTACTAAACATAAGATAATTCATACTGAAGAGAAACCCTACAAATGTGAAAAATGTGGCAAAGCCTTTAAGCAGTCTTCAATCCTTACTAACCATAAGAGAATTCATACTGGAGAGAAACCCTATAAATGTGAAGAATGTGGCAAATCTTTTAACCGGTCTTCAACTTTTACTAAACATAAGGTAATTCATACTGGAGTAAAACCCTACAAATGTGAAGAATGTGGCAAAGCATTTTTCTGGTCCTCAACCCTAACTAAACATAAGAGAATTCATACTGGAGAGCAACCCTACAAATGGGAAAAATTTGGCAAAGCCTTTAATCGGTCCTCGCACCTCACCACAGATAAGATAACTCATTGGAGAGAAATCTTACAAGTATGAATAATGTGCCAAAGCCTAAGAAAACCCTCAATTCTTAATAGATATAAGATTATTCCTACTGGAGAGAAACTACAAACCTGAGAGAGGCGCTAATGCTTTTGACAGTACCTAAAACTTTAAAGAAAATCATTCTGCTGAAAAATCCTAGAAATGTGAAGAATGTGAAAAAGCCTTTAAATGATTGTCACACTTGATTGTAGGTAAGATAATTCATACTGGAGAAAACTACCAGTGTGAACAACGTGGCCAAGCTTCGACAATGCTCACACCCTATTGCACAGGAAAGCATTTATACTTGAGAAGAAATGTACAAATATTGGCAAAGTAAAAAATCCATTAACACCTGCTCACATCTTACTCAAAATTGTAGAGTTCATAGTAAATAAAAGCATTAAAATTCTAATTACTCTCAGAAGATCTGTCAGAAAGTATGTCTTTAAAGTATAGAAGAGCATTTATTTTGAAAAAAACATTACACATATGAAGAGGATTGTAATATCTTTACTTGTACCACAGATCTTATTGTACACATTTTATACTAGAGAAAAACCCTCAGGCAGTTGTTAAAATTTTGTTGAACATCAGGGAGTTTAAGAAAACCCTGCAAGTATAATGAATTTGGAAAAACATTTTTTCAAAAACTACAAATTATAAAACACCAAAGTGTTCATACTAAAATATATTTTTGCAGATACATTAAATATGAAAGATATTCAATCCAAAATTAAGTCTATGTAAATATCAGGGAATAATTCACAGTAGAAATATCTAGGGCATTCAAGCTTTAGACATTACACTAAATCAGAGTGCTGAGTATAGAAAATAATACAAACAGATTTGTCTAAACATTTGTATATAACTTTAAAAATAGAATATTTTTTGGAGGGTTATAATTACATTCAAAGTACTTTTTTTTGAAAATACAGATTTTTTTTAAAAGTGAATAATGTGTTCAACTCTTAAATTCATGCTGTTTCATCATTGCTGGTGTATTCATATGTGAAAGCATGTGACTAATTGTTGCTGCATAAAAGATATGAGATTCTTTTTTATTAGGCATTATTTATGACCTTTTCTATGAAAAGATAAGGACATTAAAATGTAAGATGCGTGAGGAAAATTTAGGTAGAGAGGCTCTTTGTGGTTAACTTATAATATTGAGTGATGCATGAGGTAGGTGTTCAGAATAATATTCCTCTGCATTATTATGAATGAAAAGCATTCTTAATTTTAGTTAAAATTAAGTTAGTCATATGTTATTTTATTAATTGTACTTCTATGAAATAATATGCAGTCTATTTTTAAATTATAAATTATGTGTGAACTTAGCTTTTCAATTCAACATTTTTAACATATTAAATACTATTGTGAATTCAATGAAGTGTTCTTATGCCACTAACTTTAACCTATTCCCTTACTCAAGGATGTAGGTAAAAGATGGTAACAATACACTATTTGGTAAGATAATGTACTGACATCTCTAGCAATCTTTTTTGCCAGTGGCTTTAAATTGCCAATAAGTTAAAGAATATTGTTCCTATGGGTTAAATTTTTATTCTTATTTTCACATTTAAATTTATTTTTCTTAATTTTTGTGGATACATAATATGTGTATATATGTATGCCATATATGGTATATTTTGATGCAGGCATACTCTATATAATAATCACATTAGAGGAAATGAGATATCCATTACCTCTAGCATTTATTCTTTTTATTACAAGCAATTCAATTGTACACTTTTAGTTATTTTTAAATTTACAATGTTATTGATTACAGGGTCATTTTTATGGTCATAATAAAAAATTTTATACAAACGTGTAAAATCTATACATTTCTGAGTTCTGAATAAATATTTTTAAAAATTTTAATATATTTTTCTTTGAATATGTGACCTTTGCCTGCAAGCACATATGGACTCTTAGAATTGATTTACATAAAATTAAATATATACTTCTATTAAAGATAAACCTTAGGTGTAAATAAATTATGGAGTAAGTATGTTTGTGTGAGTATAAGTTTGAAACTATTTTTAGCAGCAAAAAGAAATACTCGAACAAAATAAATTATTTTAATAAGGTGTCTAATTTACTAGAAAACAAAAATTTTCAAAAATGCTGAAACCAAATCTATGCTATTTGCTTTGTATTGAATTTATTACTGTACAGTCTTTGTGCTTATGATTCAGAATCTCCGCATGCAAATTCTGTGTTTTAACTTGACTGATACTCATGCTAGACTCATAACTTTCTTTGTTTGTTAATTGTTTGTTTATTTATTTATTTTTGAGACGGAGTCCTGCTCTGTCACCCAGGCTGAAGTTCAATAGTGTGATCTTGGCTCACTGTAACCTCTGCCTTTTAGGTTCAAGCAATTCTCCTGCCTCAGCCTCCCAAGTTGCTGGGACTACAGGTGCCCACCACCATACCCAGCTAATTTTTGTATTTTTAGTAGAGATGAGGTTTCACCATGTTGGTCAGGCTGGTCTTCAACTGACCTTAGGTGATCCACCCACCTTGGCCTCTGAAAGTGCTGGGATTACAGGCGTGAGCCACCACGCCCAGCCTGTGTAATAGTCTTTGAAGTATTCATTATGTGAGCTGGTCTGTAATTATAAGAATATTTTTTTTTAATTTTATTGTTCCATAAGCTATTGGGGTACACATGGTGTTTGGTTAGATGAGTAAGTTCTTAAGTGGTGATCCGTGAGATCCTGGTGCACCCATCATCCAAGCAGGATACACTTCACCATATAAGTTGTCTTTTATCCCTCCCCACTCCCACTCTTCCCCTCAAGTCCCCAAAGTTCATTGTATAATTCTTGTGCTTTTGTGTCCTCATAGCGTATTTCCCACATATCAGTGAGAACATATGATGTTTGGTTTTCCATTCCTGAGTTACTTCACTTAGAATAACAGTCTCCAGTCTCATCCAGGTCATTGCAAATGCTGTTAATTCATTCCTTTTTGTGGCTGAGTAGTATTCCTGTGTGTGTGTGTGTGTGTGTGTGTGTGTGTGTGTGTGTGTGTATCCACTCGTTGATTGATGGGCATTTCACTTGGTTCTATGATTTTTTAGTTGTGAATTGTGCTGCTAGAAACATGTATGTGCAAGTATCTTTTTCAAATAATTACTAGTTTTTCTTGGATAGATACCCAGTAGTGGGATTGCTGGATCAAATGGTAGTTCTACTTTTAGTTCTTTAAGGAATATCCACACTGTTTTTCATAGCAGCTGTACTAGTTTACATTCCCACCAGCAGTGTAGAAGTTGTTTGAAATGTTTGTTCCTCAGTGCCATAAAGAAATAGCACTTGAACATAAATTTAACTTATTTAGTAAGGCCATTTTTACTTCCTGCAGAAAGTATACACTCGTCAGCAGTTTTGCCACGAGAGTACAATGAATAAAGGAGACAGGGTCATTTATAACCTGACGCATCCACCCTACTGCTGTGTCCGGTTTCCATTGGCTAGAATGGGACCTCACATTCTGTATTTATCCCAATTGGCTAGCATCTTAGAACTTTTTAAAAGAGGCAAAGGTAAAGGAGAACAAAGAAAGGAGTAAGTAACTTGTGGGATGCTGAGAAAGGTAAAACCACTTTTAAATAAGGAAGAGGAGCAGGCTATGACCTAATGCTTGCTTGGACCAGTATAAGCATGCCAGGGCAAATATTTAGGAGCACAGGTCTTTGAATAAATTTTGTCTCTAAGAAAAGTTACAATTTATTCCTAATTAGATGGGGGGGGGGAATCTTTGAAGAGGAACCTCTACTTTACTTTTTACAAAGTGTTCCCTAATCACCACATCCATGCCAACATCTACAGTTTTTTGATCTTTTGATTATGACCATTCTTGCAAGAATAAGGTGGTATTGCATTGTGGTTTTGATTTTCATTTCCCCGATCATTAGGGATGTTGAGCATTTTTTCTTATGTTTGTTGTCCATTTGTATATCTTCTTTAGAAAATTGTCTATTCATGTCCTTAGCACAGTTTTTGATGTTTTTTTTTTTCTTACTGATTTGTTTGAGTTCCTTGTAGATTCTGGATATTAGTCCTTTATCAGATGTATAGATTGTGAAGATTTCCTCCCACTCTGTGAGTTGTCTGTTTACTCTGCTTACTGTTCCTCTTGCCATGCAAAAGCTCTTTAATTAGGTCCCAGCTATTTATCTTTGTTTATACTGCATTTGCTTTTGGGTTTTTGGTCATGAAATTTTTGCCTAGCCAGTGCCTGGAAGGGTTTTTCCATTGTTATCTTCCAGAATTTTTAGAGTTTCAGGTCTTAGGTTTAAGTCCTTAATCCATCTTGAGTTGATTTTTTTTATAAGGTGAGAGATAAGGATCTGGTTTTATTCTCCTACATGTGGCTACCATCCCAGCACCAATTGTTGAAAAGGGTGTCTTTTCCCCACTTTATGTTTTTGTTTACTTTTTTGAAGATCACTTGGCTGTAATTATTTCAGTTTATTTCTGGGTTCTCTGCCATTGGTCTATGTGTCTATTTTTATACCAGTACCACGCTGTTTTGGTGACTATGGTTTTATAGTATAGTTTGAAATCAGGTAGTGTGGTGCCTCCAGACTTGTTCTTTTTGCTTAGTCTTTCTTTGGCTCTGTGGGCTCTTTTTTGGTTCCATATGGTTTTTAGAATTTTTTTTTTCTAACTCTGTGAAGAATGATGGTAGTATTTTGATGGGAATTGTGCTGAATTTGTAGATTGCTTTTGGCAGTAGGGTCATTTTCAAAATATTGATTCTACCCATCCTTGAGCATGGGATGTGTTTCCATTTGTTTGTGTCATCTATGATTTCTTTCAGTAGTGTTTGGTAGTTTTCCTTTTAGAGGTCTTTTGACTCCTTCATTAGGTGTATTCCTAACTTTTTTTTGTTTTTTTCCAGCTATTGTAAAAGGGGAGTTCTTGATTTAATTCTCCATTTGGTTGCTGTTGGTGAATAAAAGAGCTACTGATTTGTGTACATTAATCTTGTATCCAGAAACTGCTGAATTCTTTGATTGGTTGTAGGAGCCTTCTGGAGGAGTCCGTAGGGTTTTCAAGGTAAATTATCATATCATCAGCAAACAGGGACAGTTTGACTTCTTGTTTACTGACTTGGATGCCCTTTATTTCTTTCTCTGTTCTGATAGCTCTGGAGGACGTCCAGGAATATTTTGGAGAGGAGTGGTGAGAGTGGGCATCCTAGTCTTTTTCCCATTCTCAGAGAGAATGCTTTCAACTTTTCCTCATTCAGTATTATGTTGGCTATGGGTTTGTTGTAGACAGCTTTTATTAAATTAAGCTGTTCCTTGTATGCCAACTTTGCTGAGAGTTGTTTTTTTTTTTTTTTTTTTTTTTTTTTTTTTTTTTTTTAACAGAGTTTTGCTCTTGTTGCCCAGGCTGGAGTGCAATGGCAGGATCTTGGCTCACCACAACCTCCGCCTCCCGGGTTCAAACGATTCTCCTGTGTTAGCCTCCCAAGTAGCTGAGATTACAGGCACATGTCACCATGCCTGGCTAATTTTTGTACTTTTAGTAGAGATGAGGTTTCATCATATTGGTCAGACTGGTCTTGAACTCCTGACCTCAGGTGATCTGCCTGACTTAGCCTCCCAAAGTGCTGGGATTACAGGCATGAGCCACCATGTGCCCGGCCAAGCTGAGAGTTTTACTTTCAAAGGGATGCTGGATTTTGTCAAATGCTTTTTCTGCGTCTATTGAGATGATCATGTGATTTTTGTTTTCAATTCTATTTATGTGGTGTATCACATTTGTTGACTTGTGTGTCAAACCATCCCTGCATCCCTGGTATGAAACCCACTTTATCATAGTGGATTATCTTTTTGACATGTTGTTGGATTCAGTTAGCTAGTATTTTTTTTAAGGATTTTAGCATCAATGTTTGTCAAGGATATTTGCCTGCAGTTTTCTTTCTTAGTTGTGTCTTTTCCTGATTTTGATACTAGGGTGATGCTGGCTTCATAGAATGAATTAGGGAGGGCTCCTTCTTTCTCTATCTGGTGGAATAGTGTCAAAAAGATTGGTACCAGTTCTTTGAATGTCTGGTAGAATTCTGTGAATCCGTCTGGTCCTGGACATTTTATTGGTAATTTTTTGAATTACCATTTTAATCTCACTGCTTGTTATTGGTCTGTTCAGGGTATCTAATTCTTCCTGATTTAAGCTAGGAGGGTTGTATTTTTACAGGAATTTATTCTTCTCTTCTAGGTTTTCTAGTTTATGTGTGTAAAGGTGTTCATAGTAGCCTTGAATGATTTTTTTGTATTTCAGTGGTGTCAGTTATAATATTTCCTGTTTCATTTCTCAGTGAGGTTATTTGGATTTTCTCTCTTTTCTTGGTTAATCTTGCTAATGGTCTATAAATTTTATTTATATTTTCAAAGAAGCAGCTTTTTGTTTCATTTACCTTTTGTATTTTTTTTGTTTCAGTTAGTTCTGCTCTGATCTTGGTTATTTTCTTTTTTTGCTGGGTTTGGGTTTGGTTTGTTCTTGTTTCTCTAGTTTCTTGTGGTGTGTCCTTAGATTTTCTGTTTGTACTCTTTCAGACTTTTTGATGTAGGCATTTAGGGCTATGAACTTTCCTGTTAGCACCACCTTAGCTGTATGCCAGAGGTTTTGATAGGTTGTGTCATTATTGTCATTCTGTTTGAAGAATTTTTTAATTTTCATATTGATTTGGTTTTTGCCCCAATGGTTATTCAGGAGCAGCTTATTTAATTTCCATATATTTGCGTGGCTTTGAAGTTTTCTTTGGGAGTTGATGTCCAGTTTTATTCCACTGTGGTCTGAGAGAGTGCTTGATATAGTTTCAGTTTTCTTAAATGTTTTGAGGCTCGTATTATGACCTATCATATGATCTGTCTTGGAGAAAGTTCCATGTGCTGTTGAGGAGAATGTGTGTTCTGCAGTTGTTGAATGAAATGTTTTGTATATATCTGTTAAGTCCATTTTTTTCCAAGGTATGGTTTAAATCCACTCTTTCTTTGTCGACTTTCTGTCTTGATGGCCTGTCTAGTGCTGTCAGTGGAGTTGAAGTTCCCCACTATTATAGTGTTGCTGTCTATCTCATTTCTTAGGTCTATTAGCAATTGTTTTTATAAATTTGGGTCCTCCAGTATTAGGTGGATATATCTTTAGGGTTGGGATGTTTTCCTGTTGGACCAGCCATTTACTGTTATATAATGTCCCTCTTTGTCTCTTTTAACCACCGTTGCTTTAAAGTTTGTTTTGTCTGATATAAGAATAGCTGCCCCTGCTTGTTTTTGGTGTCCATTTGCATGAAACGCCTTTTTCCACCCCTTTACTTTAAGTTTATGTGAGTCCTTATGTGTTAGGTGAGTCTCCTGAAGATAGCAGATAGTTGATTGGTTAGTTCTTATCCATTCTGCAGTTCTGTATCTTTTAGTGGAGCATTTAGGCCATTTACATTCAATGTTACTATTGAAATGTGAGGTGCCATTGCATTCATTATGCTCTTTGTTGCCTGCATACTTTGGTGTTTTTTTTGTTTTGTGTTTTTTTTTTTCTGTTTTTTGTTTGTTTGTTTGTTTTTGAGATGGAATCTCACTCTGTCACCCAGGCTGGAGTGCAGTGGCGCCATCTTGGTTCACTGCAACCTCCCCCTCCCAGGTTCAAGCGATTCCCCTGCCTCAGCCTCCCAGGTAGCTGGGAGTAGAGGTGCCCACCACCACGCGTGGCTAATTTTTGTGTATTTAGTAGAGACGGGGATGCACCATATTGGCCAGGCTGGTCTTGAACTCCTGACCTTGTGATCTGCCCGCCTTGGCCTCCCAAAGTGCTGAGATTACAGGCATGAGCCACCACACCTGGCCTTTTTTTTTGGTTTTTCATTTTTGTTTTTTATCTTGTATTTGTGTTTTATAAATCCTGTTTGATTTATGCTGTAAAGAGATTCTGTTTGGTTGTGTTTTCAGGATTTGTTTTATGATTTAAGGTTTCTTTTGGCATTTTTGTATTAGGGGCTTGTTAATGGTGAATTCTCTCAGCATTTGTTTGTCTGAAAATGACTGTATCTTTCCTTATATATAATGCTTAGTTTCACTGGATGCAAAATTCTTGACTGATAATTGTTTTGTTTGAGGAGGCTGTAGGTGGGGCCCCAATCCCTTCTAACTTGTAAGGTTTCTGCTGAGAAATCTGCTGTTAATCTGATAGGTGTTCCTTTATAGGTTACCTGGTTCTTCTGTCTCACAGCTCTTAAGATTTTTTTGTCTTAACTTTGGATAACCTGATCACAATGTGCTAAGGTGAAGATCTTTTTGCTATGAATTTCCCAGGTGTTCTTCGTGCTTCTTATATTTGTATGTCTAGGTAAGGCCAGAGAAGTTTTACTTGATTATTCCCTCAAATATGTTTTCCAAGCTTTTAGAATTGTTTTCTTCCTCAGGAACACCAATTATTCTTAGGTTTGGTCATTTAACATAATTCCAGACTTCCTGGAGGCTTTGTTTATATTTTCTTATTCTGTTTTGTCTTCGTTGGATTGGGTTAATTCAAATACCTTGTCTTTGAGCTCAGAATTTCTTCTTCTACTTGTTAATTTTTATTGCTGAGAATTTCCTGATCATTTCACATTTCTAAAAGTGTGTCCAATGTTTCCTGAATTTTTTTTTTAAGCTATCTGTTTCATTGAATATTTTGCCCTTCACTTCTTGTGTGATTTTTTGTATTTCCTTGTGTTGGGCTTTGCCTTTCTCCCATCTCTCCCTGATTAGCTTAATAACTAACCTCCTGACTCCTTTTTTTTCAGATAAATCAGGGATTTCTTCTTGGTTTGGTTCTGTTGCTGGTGAACTAGTGTAATTTTTTTGGGGGGTGTTGATGAACGTTGTTTTGTCATATTACCAGGTTTGCTTTTCTGTTCCTTCTCATTTGGGTAGGCTTTGTCAGAGGGAAGGTCTATGGCTGAAAACTGTTTAGATTTTTTGACCCACAGGGTATTCCCTTTTTCTGTGGATGTGGCTTTCCATGAGCTGAACTGTAGTGATTGGTGTCTCTCTTCTGGGTCTAGCCACCCAGTGAGTCTTCCCTGCTCCAGGCTGATACTTGGGGTTGTCTGCACAGAGTCCTGTGATGTAAATCGACTGTGGATCTCTCAGCCATGGATACCAGTGCCTGTTCCAGTGGAGGTGGTGAAGGGTGCAGTGGCCTCTGTGGGAGTCCTTAGTTTTGATGGTTTAATGCTTTATGTATGTATTTATTTTTGCTAGTGGGCCTCCTGCCAGTAGGTAGCACTTCTAGAAAGCATCAGCTGTAGTAGTGTGCAGAGGGACTGGTGGTGGGTGGGGCCTTAGGACTCCCAACATTATATGTCCTTTGTCTTCCCCTACCAGGGCAGATAGGGAAGGACCATTGGGTGCAGGGGGCACTGGTCGTGTCTGAGTTCAGACTCTCCTTGGGCAGGTCTTGCTGTGGTTGGTGTAGGGGATGCAGGTGAGAGTCCCAGGTCACTGGAGTTGTGTACCTAGGAGAATTATAGCTGTCTCTGCTGAGCCACACAGAGTGTCAAGGAAGTGGGGGAAAGCGAGTAGTCACAGGCCTCACTCAGCTCCCATGCAAACCAGAGGGCCATTCTCACTCCCACTGTGTACTCCACAACAACCCCAAGTCTGTTTCCAGATGGAAGGCTAGTTGGGCTTGAAAATTGCTCAAGGCTTTCTGCCTTCCAGTTGCAGGAAAAAAAAGGGCTTTAGTTCTTCCCCGCCTGTGAAGTCTGCAAGCCAGATTCGCGCCTTTCCCTGAGTTCTGGGCAGGAGGCTTCTTGGCCCGTTCAAATTGTTACAAAGTTCAGCTAAGGAAGTCTTTTTCCACTTGGAATTTTACCTCTGCTCCTCTGTCCTCCCTCCTGAAGGATCCCTGTGGTGCCAGGCAGGAATGGGCTGCTTGGGGATTTATCAAGCCCCCAGGGCCTCCCTGCTGCCTGCTCCACCCCTGTATTTCACTCAGCTTGGCTCTAATTTGATGCAGCTCCAGGTAGTCAGGAAATTATCCCACAAACAGACTTTCAGCTTCTCCAGTGGGGGTGCGTGTTTGGGAGAGGAGGGTCTCCCTTTCTCACTTCTGCATTTGGGGCACTCACAGTATTTGGAGTGTCTCCAGGGTCCTGCAGTAGCAGTCTGCTTCCTTCAGAGGGTCTGTCCTGATGCCTTTAAAGACACATTCTCAAGATTCTCAGATAAGTGTGTCCCAGGTAAAAACAGTGTCCACATTTTCTTTTAGAATGTCATGTGTTTAGAATTGCAGTCATTTACATTTCTACTTCTGATGCTTTTGCCTAAGAAGATTATTTCAACTACCTTTCCCCTTTTCTTCTCATGACAGTGAAAGGACTTCTTTAAAATAATTCTCCCCTATATATCAGAGACTTGTCTTTATTCTCTCCATCCAGGCTTCTTACATATCACAAATAATACTCATCTTGAGTTTATATGCTGAAATATTGGAAGTATTCCCTATGTTGACAGGTCAGCCTGGGCAGGTGGGAATATAAAACATTCTTATTGGGGATGGTGCTGGGTCCTCAGATATCAGTGAGGGAGAAAAGTGCACTGTTTAGGTTCCATCTGAATGCTCCATCAGCTCTATGAAGAATATAATTTTTAAATGCACACTTAAAAAGGATGGAATTGGCCAGGTGTGGTGGCTCATGCCTGTGATCCTAGCAGTTTGGGAGGCCGAGGCGGGTGGATCACGAGGTCAGGAGATCGAGACCATCCTGGCCAACATGGTGAAACCCCATTTCTGCTAAAAATAAAAAATTAGCTGGGCTTGTTGGCATGTACCTGTAACTCCAGCTACTCAAAAGACTGAGGCAGGAGAATCACTTGAAACTGAAAGAGGTTGCAGTGAGATGAGAAGATGAGATCACGCCACTGCAATCCAGCCTGGTGACAGAGCAAGACTCTATCTCAAAACAAAACAAAAGGATAGAATTAGGCTGGGCACGGTGGCTCACACTTGTAATCCCAGCACTTTGGGTGGCCAAAGTGGGTGGATCATGATGTCAGGAGTTCAAGACCAGCTTGAGCAGCATGGTGAAACCCTGTATCTACTAAAAACACACACACAAGCAATAAATCTGGAAAACATTTTCCAGTTAAAAACACACACACACACACACACACACACACACACAAAATTAGCTGGGCAAGGTGGTGTGTACCTGTAGTCCTAGCTACTTGGGAGACAGGCAGGAGAATTACTTGAACCCAGGAGGCAGAAGTTGCCTTGAGCCAAGATTGTGCCATTACACACCAGCCTGTGTGACAGAGTAGACTCCATCCCCCCCCCAAAAAAGAAAAAGAATGGGTAGCCTGGAATAATTAGAAAGATATGCAAAGGAAGTAATTCAAAGAAATGTGACTTCTAGAATGCTACAGAGAGTATTTAAATACACTATTAGAAATTACAAAACATGGGCAACATGTGGCTTGAACTTTACATAAAACATGTTTTTCATAATTAGATTCTGATTCTGATTTACATTTTTTGGCCAGTAATTTCACCGAAGTCATGTTGCATCATCCTATATGTATCAGCACATAATACCAATCTGTCCCATTAATTTTATTCACTTGGTTAATGTGTTTTCTGAAAGACTTCTTCCCCCTTCCCCGAGATGGAGTCTTGCTCTGTCATCCAGAGCTGGAGTGCAATGGCACGGTCTCAGCTCACTGCAACCTCTGCCTCCTGGGTTCAAGTGGTTCTCCTGCCTCAGCCTCCTGAGTAGCTGGGATTACAGGCATGAGACACCACGCTCAGCTAATTATTGTATTTTTAGTAAAGATGGGGTTCACCATGTTGGCCAGGCTGGTCTTGAACTTTTGACATCATGATCCCTCTGCCTTGGCCTCCCAATGTGCAGGCATTACAGGTGTGAGCCACCACTCCCAGCCAGGATTTCTTCACTCTAAAGTTACTTTATAAAAACTGTATTATTCACAATTACTTTGGAGAGACTTTCTGATTAATGTGAATAAACACATTTAATCTGAAATCTCCCCTGTTACACCAAGTATCAGGTTCCAGTCCAAGCTGAGGTCTGACGGGAGTCGGTGGGTGAGTGGTGGGTTGCTGGAAAAACAATCGAGGATTGGTGGGGAGTTTTGGCATGGCTTTATTCTCTCTATGGTCACAAGCCTGGTCATGAGCCCTGTGTACAGGGTCAGCAGCTTTACTCTCTCTCCCTCTCCTGTCCACCTTTCTGTGTACTCCTAACACATAATAGTGGCTGAGAGCCAAGTATGATCTTACACAACCAGGTTACATAATGAGTAGAATTGTGCATGTGTGCTCCAAACTCACTGAGTCATGCTGAACCAGATGTTTACCTCGGCCTATTCTTGACCACAGCACATCCATTTTTCTTACATTCCTTTTCTTAATAGTTTATCTTTGTTTATACGTTGCTTTGGAAAATGAAGTGTGTCATCTTTTTTTTACTGGTCATATACAGTGGGATAAAACCCAGGTTCAGTCACTTACTATATGTTTTAAAAAGTATTTTCCTTAAGCTAGAATCATTGACATCATTGGTCAGTTTGTTAGCAATGCAGTAACTCAGGTCTCATCCCAGATCTGTTGAGTTAGAATACATATTTTAACAAAATCTCCAGTTTATTGATGTATGCATTAAAATTTGAGAGGTAATTTCTAATGTCCTGTGACTTCTCCATATGGGAACTATACACAGTTTACTCTGTATAATGTAAATATAGCACTCAAAACTGTATATGCTTGTGTTTGTGCCATACATTTTATGCTGTATCATCAGAAAAGTATAGTACCTACACTGGTTTTGTGGATCTTATTCTCTTTCCTCAGAATGATGGAATACATTAGAGAAGCTTTCTCTATTAAATAATATTTTACTGGATAATTTCAGTCTCATGTAAAACAGAGCCAGTTCTCTTAACTCTCAAACACCTAGAGTAAAATTAACCATTCTGCCTATGGCCACTTTCTAAATATGTGTGGGTGTTTGGGGTTTTTTAGAAGATGTTAATATTCAAGGCTGTGGCCATAGAATTCTCTCAGGAGTAGTGGGTGTGTCTGAATCCTGCTCAGTGAAATTTATATAGAGATGCGGTGTTAGAGAACTACAGAAACCTGCTTTCTTTAGGTGAGAGTAATTTTTCCCCAGATTTCCTAATATACCTTAAAGCTTCTATTTTATCCCTTTGTAGAATGATTTTGGGAATTTTTGCTATGCATAAATTATTTTTAGATCAATAAAATTAAGGAAAACTTGAAGTTATTGGAATAGAAAAGAAAATTTTCAAGATGTTATATCTTAACAGGAAACTTCCCCTTTCTTGAGCTAAACTGTATCTTTCACTCTAGATTAATGATAATTCTAGAAATTCAGTGGCATAAAGTATTTTCCCCAAGTATTAAAATCCAATATTCATCACCAATTTTAAATTCAATAGTATTGAACAGTAGAGCTAAGGATCCAGAAAACTAAAATACATATTAAATATTTTAACCTAAATATTCTAAAGGTTCTGTCAGAAAACAGTATTTTGGAATTAAAATTCTAGAATCCTTCATAATATTCTCTCCTCTCTACTGAACAGAGTACTAGGTTGGTAACTGGAGAATCCCAGCAAGTCATATTACTTTTTTTTCTAACAAAACAGGCCTTGATGTCTCTAACATTGATCTGATCTCCTGCTTTAAGCAAATAAAAGAGCCCTGGAATGTGAAGAGATATGAGACAGTAGTCAAATACTCAGATAGCTAAGCATGAATGAGGCAGATAACAAAGACAAGAGGTACAAAGGTCAAAGAATTCCAGACCTTAAAATGTGGTATGTGTTGCTCTGCTTCAATGGAAATATTTCCTAGAAAGTCATTTTTTTTTCTAGCTCTCAAATAGGAGCATCTTTTGTTCCATACCCTTAAATTCTCTAAGGGCTCCACTTCCTACTTAGTGATTTTCCTTTGAGGGTCTTGTGAGAGCTAAGGTCCTCTTTATGGCTTATGAGGTATCACATGTTATTCCTGTTGTTCCATTGCTTTGGGGGGATATAAGAACGCCTCTTGATTATTTTTGAGCAGCTGCATATAAGATTATTTCTTAAGTTTTCTTTTCCCATCATGTCTGAAATGTGTGAGAGCAGTGGTGATATTAAGATTTGTTTCAGAAATCTTAGGAACATTAATGACAGATGTTACTTGTTATTTTTCTATTTTTTCATTTTGATATTAGCAATCCTAACAGATTTGAAATGGTAGTTCCTCATTGTTTTCATTTGCAATTGCCTGTTGGTAGGTGATATTGAACACGTTTTTATATATCTATTGGTTATTTGTATATGTTGGCAAAATATTTTTTCAGTCTTTTGACCATTTTTCAGGTGGATTGTAATTGTTTTTATTATACTTGCCTCTACTTTGAATTTCCTATATATTTTTAATATTAAACTTTTCTTGTATATATTGTTTGCTATTGTGAGCATGCTGCAGTAAACATGCAAGTATAGGTAGCATTTTTTTTTTTTTTTTGAGTCGGAGTCTTGTTCTGTCGCCCAGGCTGGAGTGCAGTGGCTCGATCTTGGCTCGCTGCAGGCTCCAACTCCCAGGTTCACACCATTCTCTTGCCTCAGCCTCCCGAGTAGCTGGGACTACAGACGCCCGCCACCATGCCCGGCTAATGTTTTGTATTTTTAGTAGAGATGGGGTTTCACCGTGTTGGCCAGGGTGGTCTCGATCTCCTGAGCTCATGATCCGCCCACGTTGGCCTCCCAAAGTGCTGGGATTACAGGCGTGAACCACCGCACCTGGCCCAGATATCATTTTCATATAATAAATGATTTTTCTTTGGGTAGATACCCAATGATGAGATCTCTGAATCAAATGGTAGCTCTATTTTTAGTTGAGATTGAGTTTTTTTTTTTCATATGCATGTTGGCTATTTGTATTCTTTATTGAAAAATGCTTAGTAATGTTATTTGCCTATTTTCAATGGAATCCTTTTTTTATTATTATGACATTTTTGAGTTGTTTGAATTATTTGTAAATTCTGAATATTAGTTACATGTTGGCACATAGTTCGCAAATATGTTCTTTTATTCTGTAGGTTGCCTATTTACCCTGTTGATTATTTTTCTTGCTGTGCCTAAACATTTTAGTTTGAATCCCATTTATCTATTTTTTATAATAATAACATAATAATAGTTTTTTTTGTTGTGTTCTTGACTAGTTTTGGTGTCAAGGTGATACCTCAGAGTGACTTAGGAAGAATTTCATTATCCTGAATTTTTGGGAAGAGTTTCAGGAGGATTATTATTCTTAGTGCATTTGGTAGAATTTGGCTGTCCATTTATCTACTCCCGAGCTTTTCTTTTTCAAGACTTTTTTTATTACTGCCTCAATCATGCTACTCATTATTGGTTTGTGTTACTGTTGTATCCATTGAAATGTCTGTTCTTTCACTTCTGATTGTTTATTTAGATCTGTCTTCTGCTTTTGGTTAAGCTAGCTAGCAGTTTATCAATTTTGTCTTTTTGAAAAATCAACTATTCTGTTGATCATTTTTATTGTTTTTGGTCTTAAATTCATTTGGTTCTGTTCTGATTTTTGTTTTTTTTTTTCTTGTAACTTGGAATTTGGTTTGTTATTAATTTTCTAGTTCCTTGAAGTGTGATGTCAAGTCCTTAATATGTAAGCTTTCTACTTTTTTGATGCAGGCATTTAGGCTATAAACTGCTCTCTTTGTACTATATTTGCATATCTCACAGGTTTTATTATATTGCATTTCTATTTCCATCTTTTTTCCCACAATTTTTAAATTTTCATTTTAATTTTCTTTTTGAGATGGGTTTTACTCTGTCACCCAGGCTGGAGTGTAGTAGCACAATCTTGGCTCACTGCAACCTCTGCCTTCCAGGCTAAAGCGATCTTTTTATTTCAGCCTCCCGAGTGGCTAAGACTATAGGTGTGCACCACCACATTTAGCTTTTTTAATATGTATTTTTTGTAGAGATGGGGTTTGCCATGTTGCCCAGGCTAGTCTCAAACTCCTGACCTCAGGGGATCCACCTGCCTCAGCCTCCCAAAGTGCTGGGATTGCAGCTGTGAGCCACCACCCCTGGCCGGCCATCTTAATTACTTCATTTACACCGTGACTGTTCAGGAGTATGTTGTTTAAATTCTTTGTAAATTTATAGTTTCTGAAATTTCTCTTGATATTGATTTGTAGTTTTATTCTCCTGTGATCTAAGTAGGTAGTTGATATAATTGTGATTTATGGGGGTACTTTGTTGATTTGCCAATTTCCTATCTCAATGGTCTCTCTGATGCTGTGAGTAGAATGTTGAATTTCTCCACTATCATTGTGTTACTATCTCTTTCTATAGGTTTAATAATATTTCTATTTAAAATCTGGGTGCTTTGATGTTGGGTGCATAGATATTTAGAATTGTTATATCTTTTTGCTGAAAAGATTTCTTTATTATTGGATGATTACCTTCTTTACCCTTTTTGTTGCACTTTTTATTTAAAGTGTTTTATTTGATATACATACAGATACTCCTGTTTGCTTTTGGTTTCTGTTTCTGTTGATATCTTTCCTCCCTTATTTTTAATCTATATGTGTCTTACAAGTAAGGTGAGATTCTTGTAGGCACCATAGAGTTGGACGATTTTTTCTTATTCATATCATAAATCTATACATTTTGATGAAGGATTTAATTAATTTATATTCAAGGTTAATTTTTTCTTTCTTTTTCTTTTTATTTTTTGAGATGGAGTCTCATTCTTGTTGCTCAGGTTGGAGTGCAATGGTGCGATCTCGGCTCACTGCCACCTCTGCCTCCCAAGTTCAAGTGATTCTCCTGCCTCAGCCTATTGAGTAGCGGTGATTACAAGTGCCCACCACCGTGCCCAGCTAATTTTTTGTATTTTTAGTAGCGATGGGTTTTCACAGTGTTGGCCAGGCTGGTCTCAAACTCCTGATCTCAGGTGATCCACCCTCTTTGGCCTCCAAAAGGTATGAGCCACCTCACCCGGCCATGGTTAATATTAATATTAACATGTAGGTTTTGTTACTATCATAATGTTAATTATTTTGTTTTTTTTTTCATCTATCTTTCTGGTTTAATAAAATTCTGTCATGTTGTGATTTGATTTATTTCTTTTTGTCTTTTGTTTTATAAGACCTGTTAGTTTTATACTTTTGTATGTTTTAATGATGGTGAATATCAATCTTTTGTTTTTCTATTAGAAGTACCGGCCTGGCACAATGGCTCATGCCTGAAATCTCAGCACTTTGGGAGACTGAGGTGGGTTGATCACCTGAGGTCAGGAGTTTGAGACTAGCCTGGCCAACATGGTGAAACTCCGTCTCTACTAAAAATTCAAAAATTAGCTGGGTGAGGTGGCGGGTGCCTGTACTTTCAGCTACTTGGGAGGCTGAGGCAGGAGAATCACTTGAACCTGGAAGGCAGAGGTTGCAGTGAGCCGAGATTGTGCCATTGCACTCCAGCCTGGGCAACAAGAGCAAAACTGTCTCAGAAAAAAAAAAAAAAAAAAAAAAAAGAAATCCCTGACATCTTTTATAGACCCAGTCTAGTGGTAATTAGTTTCCCCAGCATTTATTTGTCAGGGTAAGACTATTTCTTCTTCATTTGTGAAGGTTAATTTACCTTGATGTAAAATTTTTGGCTGGCACTTTTATTTCAACACTCTCTAAGTGCCATTCCATTATCTTCTGGCCAGTAAAGTTTCTGTTGAGAAGTGTGCTTTTAGTCTGATGTGGTTTTCTTTATAAATGACTAGATGCTTTTCTTTTGCTGATTTTATAATTAGTTATTTCATTTCGACTTTAGAAATTCTGGTTATCATGTGCCATGATGAAGTCTGTTTTGCAATTTATTTTACTGGTGATTGCTGAGCTTCCTGTATATGTATGTCTAATTCTATTGCTAGACTTGGAAATTTTTCATCATTTATTTTCTTAAATAGGTTTTCTAAACTTTTTCATGTTTTTTTCTTTCTAAGAAACACTGATAATTTTTATGTTTAGTCACTTTATGTAGTCAGAAACATCTCAAAGTTTTCGTTCGTTTTTTAAAATTCTTCTTAGTTTTGTCTGAGTAGATTATTTTAAAAGACCCATTTAAAGGTCTGAAAATTCTGTTTATGCCTTTTCAGTCTACTATTGGATCATTGAATGTATTTTCTTTTTCCTTCAGTAAATCTTTCAGTTCCATAATTTTGTTTTGGTTTCTTTTAAAAGATATTTATCTCCTTGGCACATTTCCCATTCATACTCTAAATTTATTTATTTATTTTTGTATTGGTTTTTAGATTTCTTTTGCATCTCTTTGAGCTTCTTTAAAATCTATATTTTGAAGCCTTCTAAAAGTCTTTTAAAGTCCTTTCAATTATTTTTTTTTTCTTGGAATACTGGAGAATTATTGTGTTCCTTTGAAAGTGTCATAAACCTTGCTTTTCTGTGTTTTCTCTGTCTTTATGTGTCTTTATATTGATTTCTGCACATCTGGAGAAACAGTTGTTTCATTTTTTTAAATTTACATTCACTGGAGGAAGCTTTTTTTTTTGTTTTTTGAAGTTATTACCATGATGTTTATCACATAGAACCATTTGGCTTTAATTTTGGATTTGTGCAGAGGGAAAGACTGGATAAGTTTCTTGAGTATAAACAAATATATACACACACACACACACACACAGAAACATGTTTCTGTGTGTGTGTGTATATATACACACACATATATATATATATATATATCACAAATTTTGGCTTAGGAGTCATCTTTTCTCTTAGGTTGATTTTTAATTCTAACTCCCAGAAAACAATTAATTTATCTTTGTTTTATTTGTCATTGAGGCCCAGCAAACCTGAAGTAAAAGGGTGAGAAGGTAGGGTGGGTGCTGGATAATGAGAAATTACTTAAGGGTTATAATGTAAATTATTTGAATGATGGATACCCTAAAAGCCCTGACTTCGCCACTATGCAGTCTATGCATGTAACTAAATTACATTTGTACACAACACTTTTGTAAAAATAAATTAAAAAGAACAACTAGAGTTTGCTATCTTGCTTATTCATACATACAAATACATCATAAATGTTTCCCATGACATTATTATTGATACAGGAGTTAAAAAGAAATTATTTAGGCAGATAGTGAGTGAGGGCAAGAAAGTCCTTCGTAAAGCTTTCCTTTTAATAAAAAGCAGCCCACAAATTATTTCTTTTTTAACAAAGAACAGCCTGTAAAATCAAGCTCCAAACATCGATAAGCAAGCTGAAAGCTTGCATGAATAAATGTCGGCAGCTGTGCCAATAGGAAAAGGGACTAACTGCGGACGGCGCATGTTTAAAATGGTGACACCCTCTTCCCATTTCCTTGTTAACCACATGTACAGTAAGAAGCAGGCAACAGGGTGCTGGCAAATGCTCCATTTGCATAATAGAAGATTAGGGTGGAGCAGCCAGATTCCTTGTGTGCTGTGTAAACTTTCTTTATTTTATTTTATTTTATTATTATACATTAACGTTTAGGGTACATGTGCACAATGTGCAGGTTAGTTACATATGTATACATGTGCCATGCTGGTGTGCTGCACCCATTAACTCGTTATTTAGCATTAGGTATATCTCCTAATGCTATCCCTTCCCCCTCCCCCAAGCCACAACAGTCCCCAGAGTTTGATGTTCCCCTTCTTGTGTCCATGTGTTCTCATTGTTCGATTTCCACCTATGAATGAGAACATGTGGTGTTTGGTTTTTTGTCCTTACGATAGTTTACTGAGAATGATGATTTCCAATTTCATCCGTGTCCCTACAAAGGACATGAACTCATCATTTTTGATGGCTGCATAGTATTCCATGGTGTATATGTGCCACATTTTCTTAATCCAGTCTATCACTGTTGGACATTTGGGCTGGTTCCAAGTCGTTGCTATTGTGAATAGTGCTGCAATAAACATACGTGTGCATGTGTCTTTATAGGAGCATGATTTATAGTCCTTTGGGTATCTACCCAGTAATGGGATGGCTGGGTCAAATGGTATTTCTAGTTCTAGATCCCTGAGGAATCGCCACACTGACTTCCACAATGGTTGAACTAGTTGACAGTCCCACCAACAGTGTAAAAGTGTTCCTATTTCTCCACATCCTCTCCAGCACCTGTTCTTTCCTGACTTTTTAATGATCGCCATTCTAACTGGTGTGAGATGGTATCTCACTGTGGTTTTGATTTGCATTTCTTTGATGGCCAGTGATGGTGAGCATTTTTTCATGTGTCTTTTGGCTGCATAAATGTCTTGTTTTGAGAAGTGTCTGTTCACATCCTTTGCCCACTTTTTGATGGGGTTGTTGTTTTCTGGTAAATTTGTTTGAGTTCATTGTAGATTCTGTATATTAGCCCTTTGTCAGATGAGTAGGTTGCGAAAATTTTCTCCCATTTTGTAGGTTGCCTGTTGACTCTGATGGTAATTTCTTTAGCTGTGCAGAAGCTCTTTAGTTTAATTAGATCCCATTTCTCAATTTTGGCTTTTATTGCCATTGCTTTTGGTGTTTTAGACATGAAGTCCTTGCCCATGCCTATGTCCTGAATGGTAATGCCTAGGTTTTCTTCTAGGGTTTTTATGGTTTTAGGTCTAACGTTTAAATTGTTAATCCATTTTCAATTAATTTTCTATAAGGTGTAAGGAAGGGATCCAGTTTCAGCTTTCTACATATGGCTAGCCAGTTTTCCCAGCACCATTTATTAAACAGGGAATCCTTTCCCCATTGCTTATTTTTCTCAGGTTTGCCAAAGATCAGATAGTTGTAGCTATGCGGCATTATTTCTGAGGGCTCTGTTCTGTTCCATTGATCTATATCTCTGTTTTGGTACCAGTACCATGCTGTTTTGGTTACTGTAGCCTTGTAGTATAGTATGAAGTCAGGTAGCATGATGCCTCCAGCTTTGTTCTTTTGGCTTAGGATTGAGTTGGCGATGTGGCCTCTTTTTTGGTTCCATGTGAACTTTAAAGTAGTTTTTTCCAATTCTCTGAAGAAAGTCATTGGTAGCTTGATGGGGTTGGCATTGAATCTATAAATTACCTTGGGCAGTATGGCCATTTTCATGATATTGATTCTTCGTATCCATGAGCATGGAATGTTCTTCCCTTTTTTGTATCCTCCTTTATTTCATTGAGCAGTGGTTTGTAGTTCTCCTTGAAGAGGTCCTTCACGTCCCTTGTAAGTTGGATTCCTAGGTATTTTATTCTCTTTGAAGCAATTGTGAATGGGAGTTCATGCATGATTTGGCTCTCTGTCTGTTGTTGGTGTATAAGAATGCTTGTGATTTTTGTACATTGATTTTGTATCCTGAGACATTGCTGAAGTTGCTTATCAGCTTAAGGAGATTTTGGGCTGAGACAATGGGGTTTTCTAGGTATACAATCATGTCATCTGCAAACAGGGACAATTTGACTTCCTCTTTTCCTAATTGAATACCCTTTATTTCCTTCTCCTGCCTAATTGCCCTGGCCAGAACTTCCAACACTATGTTGAATAGGGGTGTTGAGAGAGTGCATCCCTGTCTTGTGCCAGTTTTCAAAGGGAATGCTTCCAGTTTTTGCCCATTCAGTATGATATTGGCTGTGGGTTTGTCATAGATAGCTCTTATTATTTTGAGATACGTCACATCAATACCTAATTTATTGAGAGTTTTTAGCATGAAGTTTTGTTGAATTTTGTCAAAGGCCTTTTCTGCAGCTATTGAGATAATCATGTGGTTTTTGTCTTTGGTTCTGTTTATATGCTGGATTACATTTATTGATTTGTGTATATTGAGCCAGCCTTGCATCCCAGGGATGAAGCCCACTTGATCATGGTGGATAAGCTTTTTGATGCGCTGCTGGATTCGGTTTGCCAGTATTTTATTGAGGATTTTTGCATTGATGTTCATCAAGAATATTTGTCTAAAATTCTCTTTTTTGGTTGTGTCTCTGCCCGGCTTTGGTATCAGGATGATGCTGGCCTCATAAAATGAGTTAGGGAGGATTCCCTCTTTTTCTATTGATTGGAATAGTTTCAGAAGGAATGGTACCAGTTCTTCCTTGTACCTCTGGTAGAATTCGGCTGTGAATCCATGTGGTCCTGGACTCTTTTTGTTGGTAAGCTGTTGATTATTGCCACAATTTCGGAGCCTGTTATTGGTCTATCCAGAGATTCAACTTCTTCCTGGTTTAGTCTTGGGAGGGTGTATGTGTCGAGGAATTTATCCATTTCTTCTAGATTTTCTTCTACATTTATCCATTTCTTCTAGATTTCTAGTTTATTTGCATAGAGGTGTTTTTAGTATTCTCTGATGGTAGTTTGTATTTCTGTGGAATCGGTGTTGATATCCCCTTTATCATTTTTTATTGCATCTGTTTGATTCTTCTCTCTTTTCTTTATTAGTCTTGCTAGCGGTCTATCAATTTTGTTGATGCTTTCAAAAAACCAGCTCCTGGATTCTTTAATTTTTCTGAAGGGTTTCTTGTGTCTCTATTTCCTTCAGTTCTGCTCTGATTTTAGTTATTTCTTGCCTTCTGCTAGCTTTTGAATGTGTTTGCTCTTGCTTTTCTAGTTCTTTCAATTGTGATATTAGGCCGTCAATTTTTGTTATTTCTTGCTTTCTCTTGTGGGCATTTAGTGATATAAATTTCCCTCTACACACTGCTTTGAATGTGTCCCAGAGATTCTGGTATGTTGTGTCTTTGTTCTCGTTGGTTTCAAAGAACTTCTTTATTTCTGCCTTCATTTCGTTATGTCCCCAGTAGTCATTCAGGAGCAGGTTGTTCGGTTTCCATGTAGTTGAGTGGTTTTGAGTGAGTTTCTTGATCCTGAGTTCTAGTTTGATTGCACTGTGGTCTGAGAGACAGTTTGTTATAATTTCTGTTCTTTTACATTTGCTGAGGAGAGCTTTACTTCCAACTATGTGGCCAATTTTGGGATAGGTGTGGTGTGGTGCTGAAAAAAATGTATATTCTGTTGATTTGGGGTGGAGAGTTCCGTAGATGTCTATTAGATCCACTTGGTGCAGAGCTGAGTTCAATTCCTGGGTATCCTTGTTAACTTTCTGTCTCGTTGATCTGTCTAATGTTGACAATGGGGTGTTAACGTCTCCCATTATTATAGTGTGGGAGTCAAAGTCTCTTTGTAGGTCTCTCTGGACTTGTTTTATGAGTCTGGGTGCTCCTGTATTGGGTGCATATATATTTAGGATAGTTAGCTCTTCTTGTTGAATTGATCCCTTTAACATTATGTAATGGCCTTCTTTGTCTCTTTTGTTCTTTGTTGGTTTAAAGTCTGTTTTATCAGAGACTAGGATTGCAACCCCTGCCTTTTTTTGTTTTCCATTTGCTTGGTAGATCTTCCTCCATCCTTTTATTTTGAGCCTATGTGTGTCTCTGCACATGAGATGGGTTTCCTGAATACAGCACACTGATGGGTCTTGACTCTTTATCCAATTTGCCAGTCTCTGTCTTTTAATTGGAGCATTTAGTCCGTTTACATTTAAAATTAATATTTTTATGTGTGAATTTGATCCTGTCATTATGATGTTAGCTGGTTATTTTGCTCGTTAGTTGATGCAGTGTCTTTGTAGCTTCGACAGTCTTTACAATTTGGTGTGATTTTGCAGTGGCTGATACCGGTTTTTCCTTTCCATGTTTAGTGCTTCCTTCAGGAGCTCTTTTAGGGCAGGCCTGGTGGTGACAAAATCTCTCAGCATTTGCTTGTCTGTAAAGTGTTTTATTTCTCCTTCACTTATGAAGCTTAGTTTGGGTGGATATGAAATTCTGGGTTGAAAATTCTTTTCTTTAAGAATGTTGAATATTGGCTCCCACTCTCTTCTGGCTTGTAGAGTTTCTGCTGACAGGTCCGCTGTTAGTCTGATGGGCTTCCCTTTGTGGCTAATCTGACCTTTCTCTCTGGCTGTCCTTAACATTTTTTCCTTCATTTCAATTTTGGTGAATCTGACAATTATGTGTCTTGGAGTTGCTCTTTTTGAGGAGTATCTTTGTGGCGTTCTCTGTATTTCCTGAATCTGAATGTTGGCCTGCCTTACTTGATTGGGGAAGTTCTCCTGGATAATATCCTGCAGAGTGTTTTCCAACTTGGTTCCATTCTCCCCGTCACTTTCAGGTACACCAATCAGACGTAGATTTGGCCTTTTCACATAGTCCCATATTTCTTGGAGGCTTTTTTCATTTCTTTTTATTCTTTTTTCTCTAAACTTCCCTTCTCGCTTCATTTCATTCATTTCATCTTCCATCACTGATACCCTTTCTTCCAGTTGATTGCATTGGTTCCTGAGGCTTCTGCATTCTTCACGTAGTTCTGGAGCCTTGGCTTTCAGCTGCATCAGCTCCTTTAAGCAGTTCTCTGTATTGGTTATTCTAGTTGTACATTCGTCTAAATTTTTTTCAAAGTTTTTAACTTCTTTGCCTTTGGTTTGAATTTCCTCCTGTAGCTGAGAGTAGTTTGATCATCTGAAGCCTTCTTCTCTCAACTCCTGAAAGTCATTCTCTGTCCAGCTTTGTTTCATTGCTGGTGAGGAACTGCGTTCCTTTGGAGGAGGAGAGGCCCTCTGCTTTTTAGAGTTTCCAGTTTTTCTGCTCTGTTTTTTCTGCATCTTTGTGGTTTTATCTTCTTTTGGTCTTTGATGATGGTGTTGTACATATGGGTTTTTGGTGTGTATGTCCTTTCTGCTTGTTAGTTTTCCTTCTAACAGGCAGGACCCTCAGCTGCAGATCTGTTGGAGTTTTCTAGAGGTTCACTCCAGACCCTTTTTGCCTGGGTATCAGCAGCGATGGCTGCAGAACAGCTGATTTTTGTGAACCGCGAATGCTACTGTCTGATCGTTCTTCTGGAAATTTTGTCTCAGAGGAGTACCCGGCTGTGTGAGGTGTCAGTCTGCCCCTACTGGGGGGTGCCTCCCAGTTAGGCTGCTTGGGGTTCAGGGGTCAGGAACCCACTTGAGGAGGCAGTCTGCCTGTTCTCAGATCTCCAGCTGTGTGCTGGGAGAACCACTGCTCTCTTCAAAGCTGTCAGACAGGGATATTTAAGTCTGCAGAAGTTACTGCTGTCTTTTTGTTTGTCTGTGCCCTGCCCCTAGAGGTGGAGTCTACAGAGGCAGGCAGGCCTCCTTGAGCTTTGGTGGGCTCCACCCAGTTGGAGCTTCCCATCTGCTTTGTTTACCTAAGCAAGCCTGGGCAATGGCAGGCGCCCCTCCCCCAGCCTCGCTGCCACCTTGCAGTTTGATCTCAGACTGCTGTGCTAGCAATCAGCGAGGCTCCATGGGCGTAGGACCCTCCGAGCCAGGTGCAGGATATAATCTGCTGGTGTGACATTTTTAAGCCTGTTGGAAAAGCACAGTATTAGAGTGGGAGTGACCCGACTTTCCAGGTGCCATCTGTCACCCCTTTCTTTGACTTGGAAAGGGAAGTCCCTGACCCCTTGTGCTTCCTGAGTGAGGCAATGCCTCACCCTGCTTCAGCTCGCACATGGTGTGCTGAACCCACTGTCCTGCGCCCACTGTCTGGCACTCTCTAGTGAGGTGAACTCAGTACCTCAGATGGAAATGCAGAAATCACCTGTCTTCTGCGTCACTCATGCTGGGAGCTGTAGTCCAGAGCTCTTCCTATTTGGCCTTCTCAGCTGCCCGCCTCAGCTGTGTAAACTTTCAAACCTGATCCAACCAATGTTTGGGCCCTATGTAAACCAGCCACCTGCTCCTGAAGCCAGTGTGTAAAATCCATTGCGCTTCACTGCAGGCTGGAAGTCCCACTGAGAGGCACTGCTCTTTCTCAGAAGAGAAGACTATTCTCCTTTCTCTTTCTTTTGCCTATTAAACCACTGCTCCTAAACCATCTTCTTGTGTGTCCATGCACTGATTTCCTTGGCATTAGATGACGAACCTCGGGTCTTTACCCCACACAGGTGATGCCACTTCAGTATGTTAAAACTCATTAATTTATTAGTTAAAATTGCTTTATTAATAAATATAGCACTTTTTTTTTTTGAGACGGAGTCTCACTCTGTCACCCAGGCTGGAGTGCAGTGACGTGATCTCAGCTTACTGCAACCTCCACCTCCCTGGTTCAAGCGATTCTACTGTCTCGGCCTCCTGAGTAGCTGGGAGTACAGGCGTGTGCCGCCACGTCCGGCTAATGTTTTCTATTTTTAGTAGAGACAGGGTTTCATCGTGTTAGCCAGGATGGTCTTGATCTCCTGACCTTGTAATCCACCTGACTTGACCTCCCAAAGTGCTGGGATTGCAGGCGGGAGACACCACGCATGGCAAAATATAGCACATTTTAAAGACCACTGATGCACAGTGCAAAAACTGCCATATATGAATATGACATCAAATTATACTTCCAGTAACAGTGTTAGGAAAGGTCTTGTTACCCTACACTAACTATTTATGAATAGTTTAATGGAATATGCTGTTTTAAAAAATATTTTCCATTTTGGTATGTGAAAAAATGGCATCTCATTATTTATTTATTTATTTATTTATTTATTTATTTATTTATTTATTTTTGAGATAGAGTCTCGCTCTGTTGGCCAGGCTGGAGTGCAGTGGCATGATCTTGGCTCACTGAAACCTCTGTCTCCCGGGCTCAAGCAATTCTCCTGTCTCAGCATCCCTAGTAGCTGTGATTATAGGTGTGTGCCACCACGCCTGGCCAATTTTTGTATTTCTAGTAGAGACAGGTTTACATCATTTTGGCCAGGGTAGTCTCAAATTCCTGACCTTGGCCTCCCAAAGTACTGGGATTACAGGTATGAGCCACCGCGCTTGGTGACATCTCATTATTTTAATATGAATTTTAGTAACTATTAGGTAACTTGTTTTTATATATGTTTAGTGTACTACTTTTTGAATTGCCTAGTCATGGCTTCTGCTTATTTTGCTATTAAATTATTTAACTTTTTACTGATTTATATAAGCTTTTGCTATCCACATTATAGTAATAAGTTGTCTAAAATTATTTTACATGTATCTTCATTCAGCTCCCAGAGTCCATCTTCAATGCTTTTGATAGAAAAGGAGTTCCTCCCTTCTAAAGATGTCTACTCTTAGTTTAAATATGTACCAATTAGTAATACACAATTAGGGAAGTTTAAACACTGTCTAATTAAATTTGATTTGGGGAAAATAAATGTTCTCACCTTTCCATTTTTATTTAACCATGTGTAAGAAGGCAGCCTATACATTCTGGGGTAAAAAGTCTCTTTTTAAAAAGAGAAAATGTATTCTATCAAAGAGGGTACCAAATTCCAAGTTTGCACTGCACTTTGCTGAACACCTTGTATTTTTTCAAGCTTAAACTTTCTAAAAGGTTAGCAGTATTCTCTGTGAAACACAGAGCTGCTCACATTGCAGCCCTGCTCCAAAACATTTGGTGGTTCATAACAGCCTGCAAAGCTGAGCCCCCATCCATGTTTCTAAGGCCAACATCTCTTAACATCCCAAATCTATACGACACTCCCAAAGTATATTCTTTTGTCAAACTCCACTTCTTGTCCTACCCTGTCCTTAAATAAGCCTCATATTTTTATACTTCATGTCCTGTACTTAAACTGCTTTTTTGCCTAGATGTACATTTTTCTTTTCCCACATTCTTCTTCTCCACATGGAAAACGTGCACATTTGTGAGTATCACCTTTACTCTCTACTGCAACTTCTCACTTGCCAGTTCTCCACTTGTTCTTGCTGGTTGTAAGGCACTGATGAATTTTAGAACTGGAACCATATTATATCCATCTTTGCAGTTCTAGAGCCTGGTATCAGGTGTAGGTGTCAAGAAATGGTTCCCAATGGAAGCTTGCTGATAGTGATCTTCAACAGATGAGACAAGAAAGGAGCCAGAATGCTGATTTACTAATCCAGATTACTTTCCACTATTGTTTTGCTGAAACTCTCCAATGTCATGAGAAAAATAACAATGATAATAATAATACTAGTAGCAAATACAGAAGATAAGTCAGTTAAAATTGAGCTGGTAGCATGCATAACTTCAATTCTGTATTTATTACTGGTTTCAAAATATTCCTTATCCACAAATTGGAAGAAACAGGAAACAGACCCTCAAGTGTCTTTCACAATGCAAGACCTGCCAATTTCATAACTTGCTCAGCCACCCTCATAAAAGAAACTAGGCACACTGGTGACCCCATCTCACACACACTCAAAGGAGACAGAAGGTCTTCCTCTCACTGTCCTCCAGTACATGTGGCTCCTCCTTCTTAAAAAGCAAAACAACAAAGAAATAATACCTCCCAGAGGGTATGACACTTGAACTTGGACAAGTGTTTTTTTTTTTGTTGTTTTTTTTTAAGATGGAATCTCGCTCTGTTGCCCAGGCTGGAGTGCAGTGGTGGGATCTTGGCTCACTGCAAGGTTCGCCCACGCCAATTCTCCTGCCTTAGCCTCCCGAGTAGCTGGGACTACAGGCGCCTGCCATAACGCCTGGCTAATTTTTTAGTATTTTTAGTAGAGACCAGGTTTCACCGTGTTAGCCAGGATGGTCTCGATCTCCTGACCTCGTGATCCACCTGCCTCAGCCTCCCAAAGTGCTGGGATTACAGACGTGAGCCACTGTGCCCGGCCTGATCTTCAAGTTTTTAGATTCGATTAGTAATCAAGTCAATTCAATTTTTGCCCTTACTTGGCTCATATCACATATTATGGACCTCTTAGGATCACTCTATGCAAATTCTGAGGCAAAACCTTGAGTTTCCATATTATGTAAAATAACAGTAACCTGTTATGAAACAACAGTAGAGCTGTTCTTAAGGCATTGACCCTGCCCAAAGCACAACTTAATTTCCCAAACAGTTATGAGTTTAGTTTCAAAATCTCTTCAAAAATAGGCTTCATATGAGTCTTTGAACAGGGCTCAGCACTTTCAGTGAGGTTAAAAGTGGGTGTCCACAAGGAAGGTTTCAAGAGATAAGAAAGCCCCCCATTAATCACCACACAGAGGACTAGCAGAATCATAGAGTCCATGCCCACCCTTTTTCACTTCTAGAATATCTCCCACCATGTGAAAAACCACCTCTCTTCCACATGCTATCCTTTTCAATGAGAACATGGTAAACATTTCATCCTCAGCAGGATTTGTTCAGGGTTTCACTCTACTTTCCCACTGGGTCTCAGTCTGCCAGCTTTCTGCTTTAGTGTCTTTTTGAACTCCCCCTCTTTAAGGGCACAGAAATCCTCATCAGTCAGTTCATCTACTAATATGACCTCTGCAAGCCCCTCACTCTACAAAACACCATTCCTGACCATCACAGAAGGGAAGGTCTAACTTATGTGGTCAAATATTAGCTAAAATGTGTTGTTCAATAGGTAAGCTGTAATTTAATTCTGGAAACCAGACCCCTGTCCTGGCACACTTACACTTTTTCCTTGGTGTGCCAATCTTTTCCCTTGATGTGCCTAATAGGGAGGACTCTGAACACAGGAGGTTTTCAGTTAGTATTTGTTTGGTGAATGGATCATGTCTCTATGGTAGGTAGTCTGGCATGGGTCAGGAGCACAGCCCTGGAGACAAACTTAATAGTTTGAGTTCTAATAGCTGGCTGCCTCTCTGGGTCTTTATATCCTCATCTGAATCCTGAGGATAATAATTACATCTACACCTCTCTGTCGAAGAATTGTGATGAATGAAAAAGATGATGCATAAAGAAAAATTAGGATGCTGGTAGCTAGCTCTCAGTAATTGTTAGATCTGATGACATTTGCTCCTACTGCTATCAAGCTGAGTGTGTTTCTATGTATAAAAGCTAACAACCAACAAGCTGAGTGTGTTTCTATGTATAAAAACTAACAACCAACAAAGGGTGAAAATTAAAGTAAAACTTGATTGTTAACTTGTCAGACTGGAGTCCTATGGATTAACAGGTCTAGCACAGGTAGAAGAGAAAGAAATACTTAACTTCTGGTTTATTTGATTTAATGCAAATACAGGAAAACCTGGATAAGAAATGCTTTTCACCAAAGTTTGTCTGCAACTTGAATGCTGTAGGTTAAACTAATTTAAAAGTACTCTAGACAGATTCATTTGTAATATAAGCATGTCATAGTTTCTGGTGTTTAGGACTGGATTTATGTTTATTTAGTTTTCTGAAGAGACACAAGAGACAGCCCAAGCTGCTATCGGAATTCCTAGAGACAAGTTGGGCAAATGAGCCCTTACAAAATTCCATTTATGGTAAAGATAATAATGAAATAAATAATTACTGAGACCAGCTCCATCAGCGAGACCCTAACCCAGCAGTGCTAGAGGAATTAAAGACACACTCACAGAAGGTGTGAAGTGGGAAATCGGGGTCTCACAGCCTTCAGAGCTGAGAGCCTCGAACAGAGATTTACCCACATATTTATTAACAGCAAGCCAATCATTAGCATTGTTTCTATAGATATTAGATTAACTAAAAGTATCCCTTATGAGAAATGAAGGGATGGGTCAAAATAAAGAGATGGGTTGGGCTACGTATCTGCAGCAGGAGCATGTCCTTAAGGCACAGATTGCTCATGCTGTTGTTTGTGGGTTTTTTTTTTAAGAGACAGAAAAATTTTATTAATGAGTATGCATACAAATAAACCTAGACAACCATGAAGAGTCCCTCACAGTTTCATGTATTCACAATATTATTTCATCTCTAAAGCCATCAGTGAACGACTAGTTCTGCTACTTGTTAAAGTTGTGCAAAAATTCTCAATTTAAACATACAGTCTTAATTATACCAGTGTTCTAATGTCCCAAGACTGATTGTAGGTAATGGAATCTCAACAATATCTTAAATAATAATTTAAAAAACTCAATATGATCTACAAGACTAATATATTTAAAGGAAAATAATTCACATTCACTAAATTCCTCCCCTTTCTTCCTTCTTCCCTATTCTCCCTTTCACTTGCCAATTTTTTTCTACAGTATATGATGATGGCCAAATTACCCAATATCAACTGTTTCAAAAAAGAAATGTTATTTTAGAAGATACCATACAGCAAGAGACTTATAGGTGTAACACCACTGAAATTATTTACTAAGCCCTGGCCGGGCATGGTGGCTTACACCTGCAATTCCAATACTTTGGGAGGTTGAGCAGGCAGATCACTTGAGGTCAGGAGTTCAAGACCACCCTGGGCAACATGGTGGAACCCTGTCTCTACTAAAAATACAAAAATTAAGTGGACATGGTGGCTATCCCAGCTACTCAGGAGGCTGAGGCAGGAGAACTGCTTGAGCCCGGGAGGCGGAGGTTGCAGTGAGCCAAGATTGTGCCACTACATTCTAGCCTGGATGACAGAACCAGACTCTGTCTCAAAAGAAAAAAAAATTATTTACCAAGCTGTGTTTTCATAGTGTTTTTTAATTCTCTGAACTGCTTCAGTATCTGCAGTGTTTTTTTTACATTTCAAAGACTTCCCACATGTAACATTTCATTGGAATTACCACTTTACATCATAGTTGATATGGAAATTATTACATCTAACAGATGAAGAAAATGTAGACATAAAGAACCATTCGCTCTAATGTCATCCAGTGTAACTGCTAAGAGTTAGGATTAGACTCAAGTCCTATTCCTAATCCTGTATACTACCCTAAACTCCTAAGCCCCCATACATTGTACTTCACAGAATGCTACTAGTGACTGTGCTCATGCATTCAAACAAGTTTTGGAAATGTTGTGTTAAGCAAAGCTAACCAGATTCCCAGAGTCTTTATTATGCATCATAAATCCCCAGGAAAGATCCAGAGTATAGAGCAGGTGCCATAAAGTTAAAAGTCCCACAAGTTTCAAGCAGGTAACAAAGGTGAGCATGCAAGGGAAAGTAAGGACTTGGGGATTAGAGGATGCATCCCCATCTAGTGGAAGCCTGGTCACATAGCAATCCAGCCCAATCTTGCTGGGTCTTTCCAGAGAAGCTATAAATCTTGGCTTTAATTTCAAATCTCCAGTTTTGTGCGTATTGCCTCAAATTTAAGAAAAAAAGGCACTATAGTTTAAAACAAATAAAATTTTTGACCAGATCGGGCCAGCCACATTTGGGAAAACTGAAATACCATGTATCATAATCTCATTTGCCCACAGAATTTTCCTTCAAAGGACTTATACATTTCCTAGAATGATAACGGTGTTAAAAAATGTTGCCTCTGGCTGGGCGCAGTGGCTCATGCCTGTAATCCCAACACTTTTGGGAGGTCAAGGCAGGTGGCTTTCCTGAGGTCAGGAGTTGGAGACCAGCCTGGCCAACATGGTGAAACCCCATCTCCACTAAAAATAAAAAATAAGCTGGGTGTGGTGGTGGGCATCTGTAATCCCAGCTACTCAGGAGGCTGAGGCAGGAGAATCACTTGAACCCGGGAGGCGGAGGTTGCAGTGAGCCAAGATTGTGCCATTGCATTTCAGCCTGACAAGAGCAAAACTACATCTCAAAAAAACAGAAATGAAAACAAACGTTTTCCTCTGAAAGCAAGCATCCTGTTACCCCAGACAACTATGGTATGGGTAGCTCTGAACCTCAACCATGAATTATTTCAGAGTTTTTTCAAACTGAAATTGAAATTAATGCCCAGCCTTAACTGTTCATGTAGAAATATTTCTTTTCTGACAAATCTAGCTCTTGCAAATCTATGCTTAGTAGAGACGGGGTTTCTCCATGTTGGTCAGGCTGTTCTCAAACTCCTGACCTCTAGTGATCCACCCGCCTCAGCCTTCCAAAGTGCTGGGATTAGAGCATAAGCCACCATGCCTGGCTGGCAAATATATACTTCTAAACAATTATGCTGCTTTAGTATAATTGTTTTTTATATATTTTTGTACTGATTAAAGATATCCTTACAATAAGTCTAATTGAATTATAAAAAAAAAATTACAGGAATTGACTAGATATGAGAAGGACACTTTGCCTTTCCAAAACAATTTTATCTTTCTTTTTTTTTCTTAAAATTTTTTCTTAATAGAGATGGGGTCTTGCCAAGTTGCCCAGGCTGGTCTGAAATTTCTGGGCTCAAGCTATCTGCACACCTTGTCTTCCCAAAGTGCTGGGATTACAGGCATGAGTCATGGCACTAGCCTCCAAATCAATTTTAAACATAAAAGTGGTTTGGAGACGATTTAGAATTTGGGTCAAAACTAGTGAGTTTCAAACACTTATATCTGCAATGTAACTTATAAGTCAGAAAAGGCAGCCTTTTCCCTACCGCAGCCTTTTTTTTTCTCTCTTTTATTTCTGACCTTCTTGGTTCTAAAAATTTGTTCAGAAATCCTGATGGTTGTTTAAATGCTTAGCACCATGACACACATGTAATACAAATTGCATAAATGGACGGGGCGTGGTGGCTCATGCCTGTGATCCCAGTACCCTGGAAGGCCAAGGCAACTGGATCACCTGAGGTCAGGAGTTCGAGATCATTCTGTCCAACATGGTGAAACCCTGTATCTACCAAAAAAATACAAAAAATTAGCTGAGCATAGTGGCAGACACCTGTAATCCCAGCTCGTGAGGCTGAGGCAGGAGAATCGCTTGAACCCGGGAGGTGGAGGTTACAGTGAGATGAGATTTCACCATTGCAATCCAGCCTGGGCAACAAGAGCAAAGCTCCATCTCAAAAAAAAAAATAATGTATAAATATGTTGAATCACCTGGCAAATGATTTTCTTCCCCTGGTGTCTATGTGTTCCATACTATTGTAGCCTCTTTTAACTGGTAAAATAACTACCCCAATTCAGAGATCCAGTACTTAATGCATCACATTTCCAGAGTCGTGAGAAAACAGCTAAACCTGTTAGAGTGAATTATACTCACTTTGTTTCCCCATAGAGGAAATAAAACCCACGATTAGAAACCTTTGGAAAACATAGGAAATGCAACATTTGGAAGTATATAGAAACAAGAGATAATCATGCAATGCTTCCAAATGAAGTCTCACATTGGATTTGCTGATTTTGGAGACAGATTCCCCTCTTCTGGACAGCTTTGATGGCCAAGATAGAAGTTCATTTGCTATGTTTCCAGGGACTATTCTCTTTGATGGATACAGGATTTATGGGGTCTAAAGAGAACATACAATTCTAAAGTGTTCATGTTTGAGAGAAAACTCTGCAATGATCAGAAGGATTGAGCCAGTTTTAGCAAAACAAATTAGGACTACATTAATGATGAGGTTGACTATACACAGTTTGGAGTGGGAGAGTTACTCTACCCAGTATCACTGACATGTTGGAATGCCAGATGAAACTGAAACAGAAAAATTGTCTTGGAGTCTAAAAGACATCTGATGTGCTGATACCTGTTCAGTCTTCTGCAGTCATGGGCGTAAACTCTCAAAGAGCACCACTGGGTCTTAGTCCGTGGCATAAACATTATTCTCAATGTAGATATTGTCTTCTGCTTGGACTTCCTTTTTAACTGCATTTTGCAAAGCTTTAGTTTGAAGACTGCTAAATGAAACACTTAGTTGTTGAGTCTCCTCTTTGAAGAAATACTTTTTGGCAATGATGACACCCAAAAGAGCAAGAAGCACCAAGACAGAAATACAGACTCCAGCACAGATTCCTTTAGTGGTGTTGACCATCTGTGGACTATATGCTGGGGACAGTTGAGTTTGATTGTTATTCCAAAGGCCATCTGAAGACTCTGTCATGGTGTCATTCCCATCTGTTGTGAAAGAGTGCAATGGTGAGCTGGTGGGTTGTGTCCTTATTTCTCCCTGAAGTGTCATAGGGTGGGTTTCTGCTGGCTGAGGTGAAGATGGTGAAGTGGCTACTGATTGATGGTTCTGCGTGGGCAATGGCGTTGGAGGAACAAAGGTAGAGACCATTGTTGTCATTGGAACACTTGTTTTCATTGAAATGCTCGTTGTTGTTGGAACAGTCTTTGTCGTTGGAACAGTTGTTGTCGTTGGAACGCTTGTTGTCATTGGAACAGTGATGCTCGTTCAAACAGTAGTGGCGGTTGGAACAGTTGTGACAATTGGTGTAGTCGTGACCCTGGGTGGCACAATCTCCAATGATAGAGTGATTTTCATGTCATTGAACCACCCACTGTGCTCAACATGGCAACAATATAAGCCACTGTCAGACACAGCTGTATTTTCTATAGTCAAAGGGACATCCCTTCTTGAAAGGTCCCCCAATACCTTATAGTGTGTGTCCTTCCGATAGGTGACGTGGGTTCCATTGGTCCAGACAATGCTATTTCAGCATGTGAATAAAGAACGTGCGCCTCTATTCCAGCACATGGATGTGACAGCTCCATTGTAGTGGCAGGGTAGCGTGATAGACGGACCTGCCATTCCACCAACCTTTACAGAACCAGCTACAGAATCTGCCAGATGTAGGATGAGGCTTAAGATGGCCACTTCAGGATACATTATGGGATCAGCCAGTTAGTTAGAAGGCAGTTTTCCAGCTTCTTCTCCCTCCTCCTAGTCTCTGTTTGTGGACGGCTTTAAATGGTTTTCCACCCTGGGTGGGCCAGGTGTTCCTTGCCCTCATTCTGGTAAATGCACAACCTCCCAGCATGGGCATTATGGCCATCATGTACATGTCACAGTGCTGCAAAGATTTTGTTTATGGCCAGTTTTGGGGCCAGTTTATGGCCAGATTTTGGGAGGCCTGTTCCCAACAAATAATAATCTCTGAACATAAGAATTTGACTAGTGTTAATCACTCCACTTCTCCAGTACACTGATACTTCTCCCTTTTTCTTAGCATAACACAAAACAGATACATGACTACACACCATCTGCTCTCCAGTGCGGAACAGAGGAACAAAGGCATAAGCAAGCTTCAGAACACAGTCAGCCATGTTCACCACATCTATATCTAGCACTGCTTAAAACAAAGTCAATGAGAAACTGAGAAGATGAGTGACTACCCTATTTTCAGCACTTATTGTCACAAGAAAAGAAAACATGCCCACACACTGTCTCCTTCTAAGGCACAGCATCCACTTTCCTGAGGAAAAAGTAACTTTACAGCATATATCTCAATCTCACATTATTAGCAAGATGACACTGGCTTTGAGCACACAAAGAACAGGCATATTATAGACACTCTTAAGACACATCACATGGCCTGGCTTACCTGATACAATTTTTAATTTCTCTGAAGTAAACTCAAATTTCAAACATGTATTTCTTTATTAACTTATTTCATTAATTTCCACAGGGACTTCACAGAAAGTATATTCAACTTTCATTCACTTAATCTTACCACAATAGATGGTGTAACATATCCAGAAGACAGCCATATGTAAGACATGCTCATACCCCAAAGCATAGAAAACTTAACACAACAGGGCCTTGAGGAAGCAACACTATAACAGTGCAAATATACAAATATTTAAGAAAACCTACATCACCCAACAAAGAGCATGTATGGTCACCACTACCCAGCACTCTCCAAAATAAGTAGCTATGAATAGCTTATTCAAATTTGGCTTATATATACTTGTCACCACAAATTGGTTCTGAACATACTGTTCCAATTTTGGATATTCACAACAAGGGTAATTATCTGGTAAGATATATTTATAATAACTTGTAATTAGATTCCTAAATGCACACATATACTTGTGTCACAGTGAGGTGAAAAAAACTCTGAGTTATTTGTAGAGTACCTTAAGATTTAAATTTCCAAAAAACATTCTTAAGCTTAGTTTTACAAGTATTCCACCCAGCATCTCTTCAGCAAGCTATTTCAATTTTAAAAAGTGAGGACTAGGGAGGGCTTTTAAAAGTTTTATTTCTTTCTGTTCAGTTTATCTTATCCCATACAGAAATGGAATAAAGTGTGATGTCTGTCCTAATGATATTTATGGTTGTGGTAATACAGAAATATCTATGCTTCCAAGCAAGAAATGAAAAATTATGGTTTCCCCAAAATAGAGAAACCAGTGCTACCTGGGGCCCAAAGAGATGTTCAGGTTACATCTGTCAGAATTGATACCATGCAAGACAACCATCTTTGGAGAACAGTGGGGCTCACCTGAGATTTTGGTGAGTCATGTGGATGACATCAGAGACAAGCATTACACAAAATGAGCATCCCAATAAGACTTTCATGTGAGATTGTCTTAGAAGATGGTGGCCCAACTCACACAGAAGAGGACGGCTGTGCATCCAAGAGAGACTGATATTTTTTCTCAGGAGCAGAAATCTTAATGTAGGAGATGGCCACTCACTGAGTAGTTGAGGAATGCCCTGATGGAACTCTCTGGGGGTCAGATTTCACACTGTCTCCCTGAGTTGCATAAAGCACAGAACAGCATGCCTGCACTCCAGCTTCTAGCATGTACCAACTCAGCAGAAAACACATCACTGTCTATTTTGTTTCAAAAATGCTTTGCCATTTAAAAAAAGTTAATTAATATAGTAGAAACCCAAGAACTACCTAGGGGTAGGGAGCATGTCTGTCATCAGAAGTTTTTAAATGCTGGCTAGACAAACACTCTGTGGAAATAAATTTCACTCTTTGTGAGAGGGGTAAAATAAATCTTTTTCTTGGGCACTGACAGATCTAGCCAAGATCCTAGTATACAGCAGATAAACAGCAACTTCTGTTTACTAAACTTTATTTTCACAGATTACTGGTGAAGCAAAATATTGATATAACTCTAAGACATGAAGGGTATCACAAGACCACTCATGTTCTTTATGTGGTTTCAATTAAGAAATGAGGTGAAAAATCTGGCCATGAAATGAGTTTTGATGCTCCTAAGTAGCATCAGAACTGCTCTGATGTGCTTAAGCCATTGTGACAGTCCTAGCTTTGTTCCTACCCAAAGTCTCTTCTCATGAATCCTAGGCTTACTGGTCAAACAGATAAAGCATCCGTAAATCAAACACAAACTTCAACGCTCTTAACATGTAGGTGTACATCTCATCTGAAAATCATTCAAAAGCTCAAGCCATCTACAAGAAATCTTTCCTTTGCATTTTAGTATCAATAAAAGGAAAGAAGGAAAAGAATAGGAGAAAGCCATTTAATAATTTTCATAGGTAAAAATGTAACATTGGTTTCTCAGTTACATAAGTACTTTTCTTGCTTCATCCATGACATACATAATTTTTAACCAACTAAAACACATTACAAGTAGAGAAATAGCTAAAATCATGGAAAGCATACACATAACTCTTCAAAGAGTAGGAAACATTCCCTGTTCATATGCATTGCTTAATCCAGCATTCCAATCTCACTGAGGCACCAGCATCCACGCTGTTCTCTGAAGCATTCTTTTTCCTCCTGTCACCCATCCTTCAGATATTAGCTCAAATATCACTTCCATGGGTCACCTTCCTTAACCTGCATCCCGGCATCCTCCATTCCTCTCCCATACAAAAAGGCCAAACTTTATGTTGGGGTGATCAGACCCAACACCACATCGTTGGGGTGACAAAGTCCGGGGGAGTCAAAGGATTGAGAAAAAGACAGAGAGAAAAAAGTGGGACACCAGGGGGCCATCATTATCATGGAGGCTGCAAAGGCACTGAGCTCTGGGAGCCCATGGTATTTTTTGGTAATCCAGCAAAGAAACAGGTGGTGAGAATGTGGGGGTCAAAAGAGCAGGCACATGATCTACAGCTGTGACGGTTTAGCATTTATATGGAACATGTTCTGCTACTTGAGATAATGGGAATAGGGGCCTAGGAAGGCTAGAAACAAGGAGCCAGCAAGTCTAGACACATTCCAGAGGACATTATGCAAGCCCTGTCTCAGTTTCCCTCCCAACACAGCTTTTTCCCAACATGCCCCCTTATCTTTTTTGTAAAAGAGAAGGTATCATTATTACTAGCTATCATTATTACTAGCATAAAAAGTGCCCTCTTTTAATTGAGCAAGGCGATTGCAGGCTTTGCAGCCCTTAATTGATGGTGGGTGATCCAGCTTTATTTTTCTTAGCCTTTATTCAAACTGGAGTCGCTCTGGTTTGAATGCTTGCCATATAGCTCCCCTTTCCCTTTTACATAAGGACCTTAACCCTAGGGGTTGCAGAAGGATGAAGGTCCATCTTCTGTAACTTCATGCTGAATAGAGGTGATGATATTCCTGCCTAACTATTAGCATTTCTTGTATTCACGACAGAGAGGAGCTGAGTCAGAAAGCATTGGTCCATTAAGCGTCATGACTCTGGTCGGTCCTCGTTCCATCTTCTCATTCAGATTCGATTGTCTCATGGCTCATACTGGGGAAACCCGTTCCATGGTTGGTATCCATGTGTCCCTCCAGTCTCCCATTCCATGGTCGTACACATCTTGAGGGTGTCCACATGGTTTGTTCATCTCCTGCAAAAACAAAAGCATACCCTCACCCCCACGTTAGTAAATCTACTGAAACAGAAGCAAAAATTTTGTGGCTGTAGCCAGGAGGCCACTGATAATGAGAAACAGGCTTTTTCTGATTAACAGAAGGTATAGAGAAAGCAAATCGAGACTTTTCAAACCTTCAATTCTCACTGTACAGGTGGGTCCACTAGATGCTGTGGCTTATGATAGATCTTCAGATATTTGGTGGGCACCCACATAGGCACCTGATTGTCACCTGGAGAGACACAAGCAAATCCCCTTCCCCATAAAATTATCTTTAGGCAGGGATCGGAGGAAGTAGACTCAGAGGTAAGGAGAATTTTGGGGCCTAATGGCTTCCTGATGTTTGATAGGTGTTCCTTTGGAAGTTAGGAATTCCCTTTCCATATTGCTGTGTGGGCATGGAGGTCTAGCTAAGCATAAAGTTTGTACATATATTTACCCTTTTTCATTCTCCTAATTCTAGTGTATAATGGCTCCTGCTTTTGCTAGGATGTCTCTCCCTAACAAAGGTGTGGGGCTTTCAGGCATAATTAAAAAGGCTTGTGAAAAGAGTCAAGTTCCCCAGTCACAACTTAGTGGCTGGGAGAAGTATCTAGTGACTGCCTGTTCTAGGACCCCTTGGATAGTGACACATCTGGAGGACAGTTGTCCAGGACAGGAGAATAAGACTGAGAAGTCCACACAAGTGTCCAAGAGACAGTTAGCCTCCTGGACCTCAATGGCCAAGCATACCTGGGGAGGGTGATGGCGTGGGCTGGTGCTTGCCCTGGGCACCCTCATTCCTGCTGCTGGATAATTTGGTTAGGGCTTCTGACGCAGAGGACCTTTGTCCCCTGGGGCAGTGGGCCTTCCAGTGATTCCCTTGACATAAGGGGCATGGACAAGGAGGTGGCTTATTTCTATTCGGACAATCTTTTTAAAAGGGTCCTTGCAGACCACACTGGAAGCAAGCCCTATTAAGCATTTGATTTTCCCAGCCTTTCCCTTTTCCAGAGCCTCCAAAGTCTGCTTGCCTGAGGGTCATGACTAAAGCTATGGCCTTTTCTCGTTGTTGTTAGTTTGTCCCATTCTGCCTGCTCCTCCTGATCTATAGTATAAAAAAAAACAAAAACAAAAACACTGAGGTTGCCAAGTTCAATAGGGTTTCTAAGTTTTGTTCCGGGCCTAAGGCGGACTTTTGAAGTTTTTTCTAAAGCCTGCAGCTGACTGAGTGATAAACTTGTCCTTTAAGATTAGTTGGCCTTCAATAGAGTCAGGTGACAGAGAGGTATGCTTTCTCAATGCCACCCTTTGTCTCTCCAGAAAGGCAGTGGGGTTTTATTCCTTTCCCTGTGTTATAGTGGACATCATTGAATACTTTATAGGCTTCTTCCTAGTTTTCCTCAGTCCTTCTAGCATGCAAGTTAGCAAATGTCTGTGGCACCAATCTCCATGTTCTGATCCTGCATCCCAATGAAGGTCTACACTGGGAACTTCCTACTGGCCTGTGGGGAATTGTTCTCTTTCCTCTGTTGTCATCCTATCATTGACCTGACTGAGATACCAGAGATCACCAAACTCTCGGGCTGCAGTTATGGTGGATTAGTGTCTGATCTAGCTGTAACATTTATATCTCACTATGTCAGATCAAAGGATTGTCCTAACCCTTGTAAAACATCATGGTTATCTGAGAATTTACCTAGGTCTATTTTAATTTGTTTCAAGTCTGACAGGAAAAAAGTTACATAAACTCTGACTGGGCTGAATTCTCCAGAATATATCTTAGGGGTGTTTTTGCCTTGGGGAGAACATTTCCCATCTGAAAAAAAGAACATAGAGATGACAGAACCCCTAGTCACTTTCCACTGAGCATTAGTCCTAGAGCATCCTCTATGTCCTAATGCTTATTCCTTTCCAGGGTGCATAATACCCATGGACTTCTGCTTATTGGATTAGTTATGTTCACCGATGTAGCAGTCCTGCATCTGTTTTCTCACCTTTCTTGACCACAGAGAAAGGGGTCTGGGCTGCTGGATTCCAGTGGTCCTTTACCAGCATGCCCAACATTGCCTTTGCACTCAAGAGGTGAGTTCTAGAGCTGGGCTGGGTTCCTATTTGATAACAACCCAGCTGCCCCATCAAGATGCACTCCCATAAACAGTTCTTATGTAAATTAATTTCAGAGAGGGTGTAGGTAAACTTTTGAGTCAGGATTGAGATAAGAGTTGTTTTATTCTGAAAGTACTTTAAGGATTGGCTGAGTGCAAAGAGCTCGCACGCTTGAGAGGACTAATTATTAGATAATTTTCCTAACTGCTTCTACAAGAGTTTCCCTATTGTTCCCCCGACCCCCACCTCAATCACCCAGGAGGAACCATCTGTCATCCTGTCCTGGAGGGAGTTCCTCCTAGGTCTGGTCAGACCTTTGTATGGTAATTAAGATTTAAATACCTCATTAGGAAATCTGCTGGGTTAAGGGAATTTTCAGTGGTTAATGTTAAATCAACTTTTTCTAACAGAATAGCCCCATACTTTAAGATTGAGTTAGTAAGCTACCTTTTTGCTCCTTTTACTTTGGATAGCTCTGAACTGGTGAGATGTGCTCACAATGAAGTTTCTTCTAAAAGTTATTTTTCTCTTTTCTTCTGTTAGCAAAGCAGTGGCTGCTACCGATGGAATACATTTGGGCCATCTACAGGTTACTGGGGTTAAGGATTTTGATAAGAAGGCTACTGGTTGTCAGTGGTCTTAGTGCTTTTAGGCAATGCCCTTGTTTACACTGACAACAATATAGTATTGGAGTGTTATAGGGTCACGGAGAAGACCATTAGTTATCAATTATAGGTTTTAAATTTATCCTGGCTTTTAAAGGAATAAGTTACACTGTTTTTTCTTTAACTACTTACATCTCTCTTTCTCCTTTGTAGATGGATTTTGGAAACACAGCGGAAGGACATTTGCGGTCCTCCCTGCTGGATTAAAGTTACAGGAAATTGCCATGCTTCAAGGTCTTCATCTACTCTAGCCTTTTGAATATAATTTTATATAGCACCACCAATTGCTCCAGGTTTTAATGTTGCAACTACAGGAGCAGTAAGTCTCATAGCTAATTCATCTTCTCACCCATTAAGGGGAGAGAGAGGAGGTGGCCTTCACTTAATTGATCAGGTGGAGCCAATGGGCTAGTAAAACATACTTTTTTCAGTTTCCCTTTCTTTTAATTTCTGTTTCCTGTTCCTCACATTCAGAATCTGAAGTTAGTTTTTACACTCGTCCTCCTCTTCTTTATCTGAATCTGCTTCATCATGTGTTTGAAATACCTCAAGAGCTGCTTTTATTAGCACCCACATTGAACAAACCAAGACTGGAATTTTTGCTCCATCTTTATACACTTTTTAAAAATCTCTGCTAATTCTCTCCCATTCCTCCAAAGCCATAGTCCCTTGTTCCGGGAACTATGGACAAAACTGCTTTATTGCACTAAAAAGTGAGTGATAACAAATTCTGAGTACTAACTTTCACTCCCCCTCTTCGTAATAAGTGCTTTAAGAAATTTAAATAAGCAGAATGCTTTCACGTTGTCCCATTTTTTTACCCTGGTTCTTCCAAGCCCTCAACTTTCCCGCCGACGTTCTTTTAAACGTCCTCGGGTTACCTTTGGCGATGCGTCCTCTGCTTTCACATGCTCTAGTGTTCCTTCACCGGGGTCTTTGTCACCCCACATTGGGCGACCAGGAATGTTGGGGTGATCAGACCCAACACCAGGTCATGGGAGTGACAAAGTCCAGCAGAGTCAAAGGACTGAGAAAAAGACTTTGAGAGCGAAAAAGGTGGGACACCAGGGGGCCATCGCTAATTGAGGAGGCTGCGAAGGCCCTGAGCTCTGGGAACCCACCGATTTTATTGGTAATCCAACAAAGAAACAGGTGGTGAGAACGTGGAGGTCAAAAGGGTGGGCCCATTATCTACAGTTGTGACGGTTTAGCATTTATATGTAACATGTTCTACTACTTGAGATAATGGGAATGGAGCCTAGGAAGGCTAGAAGCAAGGAGCCAGCAAGTCTAGTCACATTTCAGAGGACTTTATGCAAGTCCTGCCTCAGTTTGCCTCCCAACACTCAGCTTTTTCCCAACAACTTTACTTCTTACAACAACTTATCATGGGAATGGTAAATTTGGTGGTGAAAAACTGTCTCTTTTCTAAAAGAAGGCTAAATCTGAATCAGAATTGTACTTAGGAAAATTAAGTTGTGAAACTTTAAGAAGCTTTTGAACACAAAATGGTTCTTAGAAAACTTATTTTCATAATTTAAATACACATCAAATTCAGAGAAACACAAGTTAAGCATCCTTTAAGTTACTCTTGGTTTAAAACTTTTAAGTAGAATATTTTAACCACATACATATTCATTTAACTAAACAAGGAGGAGGGCAGGACAAAGGTCAGACCAGTGGCACTGTATGGCTAAAAGATCACACCTTTCATTATACTAGACAGTTTTTGTCTGAGGCCTGGGGTCCCAGAACATAAAAATGATCACTGTCTCCTTTATTGCTTCCCTGTATTATCCCCATCCTTCTCAGCCAGGGCAGCTGACTGACATCCACCTTCTCAAGAGGACATGCAAGGACAGAAGACGTGGCTCAGAAACACTGCTCTATGAAAAGGGCAGATAGTTATGTAAGAATTTTGTAAAAACATGAGTTTTTAATGAATGCAAAAACATGAACTGTCAAGCAAGTAAGAGCTGTTCAAACAATTTTTTTTTTTTTGGAGGGGGGAGACGGAGTTTTGCTCTCTTGTTGCCCAGGCTGGAGTGCAGTGGTGTGATCTTGGCTCACTGCAACCTCTTCCTCCTGGGTTCAAGCAATTCTCCTCCCTCAGCCTCCTGAGTAGCTGGGATTACAGGCGCATGCCACCACGGCCAGCTAATTTTTTGTATTTTTAGTAAAGACGAGGTTTCATCATGTTGGCCAGGCTGGTCTTGAACTCCTGACCTCAGGTGCTCTACCTGTCTTGGTCTCCCAAAGTGCAGGGATTACAGGCATGAGTCACCATGCCTGTCTGTCAAACAATTTTTTAAAAAGATATACTCCACATAACTTAAAACATGAGGGAGACTGGCAGATGACAGCATCAGAGCGAGTTTCCTTAATAACTGAGGAGGTGATTGGGAAAACTGAGCCATCTACCAAAATAGCTTTACAGAACCAATGCATCTCATTTGTTGTAGAAGCTGATGAGTTCTAGAGCTCTTATTTACTATGGAGTTTTCAAATACATTGAACACCACTTAATGTTTTCCTCAATCCCAAGCTTCTTGTAAAACTTTCACGTTGCCAACCATGGCATCTTAGAGGCAAATAAAAGCTTACCTACTTTATGGAATTTCAGATTTCTAAAAATAGCACATGCAATACAAGTCATGCACCCAGTATGCTTGTGGATGTTTTAAAGGCCACTACTATACCTTCCAAGCAGGCTTCCTTGACTTCAGCTCTGCTGACATCTGTGGCTGTTCTGTGCATTGTAATATGCGGAGCAGCATTTCTAATGTCTGTGCACTAAAGGCCGGTAGCATCCTTCCCCAACACAAGACATTCAAAATTCCGGAAAGGAAATCCACAGTGGATGCCCACGAAGCTTCCTAATCTCAAAATATAACACTTGATTACATATGTAGGTTTTGAGTTTCTGGAACATGTATTTTATCCTTACAACTATCCCATGAGGTAGAAAATCTACTGAAAAGATGCCTATCATCGTAGTCAGCAATGACAATGCCACCAAAGGCTAAAGTTTCATTTTAAATTCCTTTATACCTTCAAATTCAATAAAATTTTGAAAAAAAGATCTTCTTTATTAAAAATAACAACACACACACAGAGGTAAATAAGCAGTATACATTTAAAGCTACATTTTTTTTAGATCAAGTTGACTCTATAAAGCAGTTTTTCCATGGAGCTAGGGGTAGTTATGCATTGTGGATCCTGAGGTTAATTTATTTCCAGCTCTGGGCATATCATAAAGCAGCTATCAAATAGGTCAACATACCCACCCAACCCTAATAGTGTTACTCTGAGTATAAACATGGAATCTTTGCTGAATGGTTTCAAAAAAGCAGGGTGAAAATAACTTAGTCCAAGAAGATACATCAAAATAAATAAGGAACATTTTTAAGTAATTAAACCACCGGAAATATCACACATTTTATGTAATCTTATCCCATTGTCTCTGAGGAAAGGGAAAAAAGAGAAAGTACAAAGCCAGCTAGAGAAAGACAAATACAGCTTTTAAAAGCTCTAATTAACCCCACTAAGAAATTTTTTTGGCTACCTGGAGTACGCAGGCACTGTATAATGTAGGGCAGTTGTCCCCAACCTTTTTGGCACTAGGGTCTGGTTTTGCAGAAGACAGGTTTTTCACATATGTGGTGGGACGGTTTTCTTTTGGAATAATTCAAGCACACTACATTTGTTGTGCACTTTCTTTCTATTATTACATTGTAATGTATAATGAAATAATTATGCAACTCACCATAATGTAGAATCAGTGAGAGCCCTGGGATTGTTCTCCTGCAACTAGATGTTCCCATCTGGTGGTGATGAGAGACAGTAACAAATCCTTAGGCATTAGATTCTCATAAATAGTGTGCAACCTACATCCCTCACATGTGCAGTTCACAATAGGGTCTGCACTCCTAGGATAATCTAATGCTGCCACTGATCTGTAATATGAACAATGGGGAGTGGCTGTGAATACTGATGAAGCTTCGCTCACTCACTGTTCATCTCCTGTTGTGCAGCCTGGTTTATAACAGGCCACAGACTGGTATCTGTCTGTGCCCTGGGTGTTGGGGGCCCCGATGTAGGGCAATTACATTTATTCATTTATTTATTGAGTGCAATGGCATGATCCTGGCTCACTGCAATTTTCAACTTCCAGGTTCAAGCAATTCTCCTGCCTCAGCCTCCCCAGTAGCTGTGATTACAGGCATGAACCACTATGCCCGGTTAATTTTGTATTTTTACTAGAGATGGAGTTTCACCATGTTGGCCAGGCTGGTCTCAAACTCCTGGCCTCAGGTAATCCACTCATCTCAGCCTCCCAAAATGCTGGGATTACAGGCACAAGCCACCATGCCTGGCTGGCAACTACATTTATTACCATCCATTTATTACCAGGGCACCTATGTTGTACAGTGCCTGGCACACAACAGGTAGCCAATAAACAGCTATTGATCTAATGCAGGAATAATAAAGTAAGGTTTATTTTTTCTCCTTTAACATGCTGTAGTTGTGTCAGATGTTAATAAGACCTCCGGAGTCTGCCTGAAGTAACATAAAACAAAAGACCCATTCATCAAACAATCACCTGGACCCCCTAACTTGTTACAAGTTAGGTATGAATGTACCACCTGTACCAGCTTAGTGAGATGAATGTTTACCATCACATAACAAATACTTGTTTGCCACGCTAAGGGCTTAGAGTTTGAATTTCTGATGAGAAATAAAGTGGCATGTACAAAACCCCAGAGAATGATATTCCATATATCCATAAGCATCAGTAGCATATCTTAAAAGTCTCACACATCCAGCAAATCCTTTAAAAACAAGATATCCTAATATGCAGCCAGTTTAGCAATTTTTTTTTTTTTTCAGAGTCTCTCTCTGTCACCCAGGCTGGAGTACAGTGATGCTAGATGGGCTCACTGCAAGCTCCGCCTCCTGGGTTCACGCCATTCTCCTGCCTCAGCCTCCCTAGTAGCTGGGACTACAGGCGCCCGCCACAACGCCCGGCTAATTTTTTGCGTGTGTGTTTTTTAGTAGAGACGGGGTTTCACTGTGTTAGCCAGGATGGTCTCGATCTCCTGACCTCATGATCCGCCAGCCTCGGCCTCCCAAAGTGCTGGGATTACAGGCGTGAGCCACCGTGCCCGGCCAGCAATATTTTTAAGAATGATAAGACAGTGCAGCTTCATTTACCTGAAATGGAGCACAAGTTCTTTTTGAAGGAATTCATACCCATTCCTGCAAAAGTTCTGTGGTCTCTTGAAGGTAGCACAGAACTAAGCGTTTTTTTGTGTGTGTGTTTCCAAAGAGGTTTTAGCCAAGATTTTAGTCTCTAACAGACTCCCTGATTAAAATATGGCTTAGAAACTATACCTGCCTACTTGAAAAAGCATCAAATCTACAGAATACTTTTCACGGATGTACAAAAATGAAAACAAAATAACATTCTACTTTTTGCAATTCACTTTTTCTCACCTTCCACTTCTCTTAAATATACTTCAGAATCATTATGCACAGGTGCAGAGACCACTACATATCTAAAAAAGGAGAAAACCCTCAAATATTTGGGGATGGACTGGCAATATTGCCTTGCAGAAATAATTTTGTTTCCTTCAGACAGAAATGTCTCACTATTTTCAGCATTCTTACCTAACAGGCAAATTTTGTTTCCATTGACTTTGAAAGGGCTAAGCTTAAATCTAAACTCTTAAACAAGAATGAAGTTTAAATTTTTTATTAATGAAAATCCCAGACAGGTTTTTCCAAATCTTTATATATTTATATATAAACGTAACAAATCTTTATATATTTTTTTGAAAAGGTGGCTTATTTTTTTAATTTTATTATTATTATACTTTAAGTTTCAGGGTACACTGCACAGTGTGCAGGTTTGTTACATATGTATATATGTGCCATGTTGGTGTGCTGCACTCATTAACTCGTCATTTAGCATTAGGTATATCTCCTAATGCTATCCCTCCCCCTTCCCCCCTCTCCACCACAGTCCCTGGTGTGTGATGTTCCCCTTCCTGTGTCCAAGTGTTCTCACTGTTCAATTCCCATCTATGAGTGAGAATATGTGGTGTTTGGTTTTTTGTCCTTGCAATAGTTTGCTGAGAATGATGGTTTCCAGCTTCATCCATGTCCCTACAAAGGACATGAACTCATAATTTTTTATGGCTGCATAGTATTCCATGGTGTATATGTGCCACATTTTCTTAATCCAGTCTATCATTGTTGGACATTTGGGAAGAACCTGCATTGCCAAGTCAATCCTAAGCCAAAAGAACAAAGCTGGAGTCATCACGCTACCTGACTTCAAACTATACTACAAGGCTACAGTAACCAAAACAGCATGGTACTGGTATCAAAACAGAGATATAGACCAATGGAACAGAACAGAGACCTCAGAAATAATGCCACATATCCACAACCATCTGATCTTTGACAAACCTGACAAAAACAAGAAATGGGGAAAGGATTCCCTATTTAATAAATGATGCTAGGAAAACAAGCTAGCCATATGTAGAAAGCTGAAACTTGATCCCTTCCTTACACCTTATACAAAAATTAATTCAAGGTGGATTAAAGACTTAAACGTTAGACCTAAAACCATAAAAGCCCTAGAAGAAAACCTAGGCAATACCATTCAGGACATAGGCATGGGCAAGGACTTCATGTCTAAAACACCAAAAGCAATGGCAACAAAAGCCAAAATTGAGAAATGGGATCTAATTAAATTAAAGAGCTTCTGCACAGCTAAAGAAACTACCATCAGAGTGAACAGGCAACCTACAGAATGGGAGAAAATTTTTGCAATCTACTCATCTGATAAAGAGCTAATATCCAGAATCTACAATGAACTCAAACAAATTTACAAGTAAAAAAGAACAACCCCATCAAAAAGTGGGCAAAGGATGTGAACAGACACTTCTCAAAAGAAGACATTTATGCAGCCAAAAAACACATGAAAAACTGCTCCTCATCACTGGTCATTAGAGAAATGCAAATCGAAACCATAATGAGATACCATCTCACACTAGTTAGAATGGCGATCATTAAAAAGTCAGGAAACAACAGGTGCTGGAGAGGATGTGGAGAAATAGGAACACTTTTACACTGTTGGTGGGACTGTAAACTAGTTCAACCATTGTGGAAGTCAGTGTGGCAATTCCTCAGGGGTCTAGAACTAGAAATACCATTTGACCCAGCCATTCCATTACGGGATATATACCCAAAGGATTATAAATCATGCTGCTATAAAGACACATGCACATGTATGTTTATTGCAGCTCTATTCACAATAGCAAAGACTTGGAACCAAATCTTTATATTTTTTATTCACCCTTCTCTCTCTCTCCACAACCACTAACATAACCACCCACAAAAGAAGAAGACAATCCCTTCAATGTTCCCCGAATGTGTGCTGCTGCTAGCTCGGAAGCTCTGTAGAGTTTTGTAACGGAGTGTGAACTGCTGGCCTGGATCTCCTAACCAGTAAGGAGAGAGGGAGGACAAATCCGCTGAGCAGGTAAAAATTCTTTCCTCCTCGTTATAATCTTTCATGGATTCAGCACTGAGGAGAGTGGCCAGGGCATGGGGCCCGTGCAAAGTGGCCCAATGGCCAGCACGTTCTGCACCGAGCAGGGTCCCCACGCCCTGCATATCTCCGCCCTGCCTGGAAAGGAAGTGGTCCCGCCAGGCAGTGGAATCGGCCGCTGTGCCCCATCCTCACTCTGGGCCAGGGAATGGGTCACATCCTCGATGTGCCCTCGGCCCAGAAAACGCGCCGCTTCGCAAGGAGGGCGTCGGCAACTGGAATGACATCCCCTACTCCTTAGTAAACATTAGGGTCGCAGTTTCCTAACAGACATGAGTGGGATGGGGAGAGGGGTCCCAGGCAGAGGCTGGTGCTGGGGGCAGAGGAAACCACAGTAGGATGAGGGCCGGTGTGGGAGGAGGAAGGGAAGCCCCGGAACTGCTACAAATTTTTTCAGCGGGAGAAGGTCCTCCGCCTTTTTCCAGGACTCACGAGGCACCTGGCACCGAGCCCCCGACTCGCACAAGGAAGGTGAACTCCACACTGATGGATCCCTGTAAAACACGCACCTGTCCAATGGAAGGGCGAGGAACGATCGGCGCCCCCATGGCAAGTCCCTGACACCCTTCTTTCCTGTGTGCCTTAGGTGGTAGTCGGCCACAACACAACCGCCAGCCAGGAAAAGGCCAGGGTGCGGGGATGCCCGCTGCCCCCTCGACGCCAGTGTCCTCTGCCCAGGAAGATCAAATCCGCAGAGCAGGGTGCGACAGGGGCTTCCACCAAATACCTTGGCGAGAGCACCCCAGGAGGCCACCTCACGGCTGGCACCCCCAATGCTTTGCGGCTGCAGGGGAAAGCAGGAGCCCTAGTTTCCAGGATTCCCTGCCAGAAAGGGCCTGGAAGGACCACAGAAGGAAAGTTCCTCATTCCACAGGGGAAGGATGCCGGGAGACAGAGGGCAGAAAGTGGTGGGCAGCGTTGGGAAGATGTTTCTGGCATTCAAGGCTTGCACCTTCTGAGTCCTGGTGGTGCTGTAGCAAATGAATTCACCCCGCTATTCCGGGAGGCCAAGGCAGGTGGAGCATTCGAGCCCAGAAATTTCAAATCAGCCTGGGCAACGTGGTCAGACGCCGTCACTACAAAAAACATTTAGTCAGGTGTGATGGGCCACGCCTGTATTCCCAGCTACTCGGGAGGCTGAGGTGAGAGGATCTCTTGAGACTACAGTGAGTCATAATCTTGTGCCACTGCACTTCAGCCTAGGTGACGGAGCAAGACCCTTTATCAAAAAATAAATAAATAAACAACTATATAAATAAACTCAGCCACGGGGGTTGGGCCCGATTCCTATCCTCCACAAGCTAATATAGATACACATTAGGTTTTGCTAGTGCAGCGCTGCAGAAGCTGCCACTATGTGTGCTGGATGCTGATTGGCATGACCAGTGGCTCTGTAAGAGGAGGAGTAGCAGTGGAGGAGTGGAGATAGAGGAAGAGGAAAAAAGAAGGGGAGAAGAAAAGGAGAAGAGGAAAAGGAGGAGAGAAAATGGGAGGAGAAAATGAGAAGAACAAGAGGAGAGGAGGAGAAAATGAGAAAAAGATAGTAAGAATAGAGGAAGTGGAGAAAAAAAAACATCAGAAGGGGACAATGGGACCAGGAGAAGAGACGAGGAAAAGGAAGCTGGGACAACGAGAGGAGAAGGAAAAGATAATGAGGAGGAGGAAAAGAGGAGGACTAAGAGGAGAGGTGGAGAGAAAAAGGAGGGAAGGAGGAAGAGGAGTAGGAGAGGAAGAGGAGCAGGAGGATGGGAGAAGTATGAAGAGAAAATGAATAAGGAAGCGAAGGAGGAGAGGAAGAGATGAGAAGGACGAGAGGAGGAGGAAGAGGAAAGAAGAAAGAGGAGAGGAGGAAAGAAGAAAGAGGAGAGGAGGAGCAGAGAAGAGGAGGAGGATAAAAAGGAGAAGGGTAGGAGAAGAGAAGGAGGAGAAGAGTGAGAAAAGGAGGAAGACAGGACGAGGAGGAGCAGAGGAGGAAGTAAAGAGGGAAGAAGGAGAGAAGGAGAAGAAGAGACAGGAAAAGGGGAGGAGGAGGGGAGGGGGAGAAGAAGACGAGAAGGAGGAGGAGAGGAAAAGGAGAAGCAGGAAAAGAGATGGAGGAGAAGAGGAAAGGAAAAGAAGGAGAAGATGAGGAGAAGAGAAGAGGAGGAAGAGCAGGAGATGAGAAGGAGAAGAAAAGGAGGAGAGGAAGAGGAGAAGAAAGGTGAGAGGAAAAAAGAGGAGTAGAAGAGGAGAAGGTGGAGGAGGAGAGAAGGAGGAAGAGGAGGAGAAGGAGGAGAGGAGGAGCAGAGAAGGAGGAGGAGAGAAGGAATGGAGGAAGAATAGGAGAGAAGTAGGAGGAGGGAAAAGAAGAAGGAGGGGAGGATGAGAGGAGAAGGAGGAGGAACAGGAGAAGAGGAGACAGAGAGGAGGAAAAGAAGGAAAGGAAGAGGAGATGCAGGAGGAAAAAGAAGGAAAGGAGGAGGAGAAGGTAGACGAGGAGAGGAGAAAGAGGAAGAGAAAATGAGGAGAAGTAGAAGGAGGTGAGGAGGAGGAGAGAAGGAGAAAAGGGGAGGAGAATGGGGGGATTAGGAGAGGAGAAAAAGGAGAAGGAGAGTAGAAAAAGGAGTAGGAGGAGAACAGGAGAAGGAGGAGGAGGAAAAAGAGTAGGAGAGGAGAAGGAGGAGGAGTGGAGGAGGAAGAGGAAGAGGAGACAAGGAGAAGGAGGAGAGCAGGAGGAAGAGAGGAAAAGGAGTGGAGGAGGAAGAGGAGATGAAGAGAGGAAGAGAAGGAGGAGGAAGGAGGAAGAGGAGAGGAGAAGGAAGAGTAGGAGGAGAAAAGGAGAGGAGGAAGAGGAGAAGGAGGAGGAGATGAGGAGGAAGAAAAGGAAAGAAAGAAGAGGAGGAGAGGAGAAGAAGGAGGAGTTGAGGAGGAGAGGAGTCAGAGAAGGAGTAGGAGAGGAGGCAAAGTAAAAGATTGGTAGTAGGAGGAAAGGTTTAGGGGGAAAAGGAGAGGAGCAGAATCAGGAGGAAAAGAGGAGGAGATGGGGAGGAACAGAGTAGGAGATGAGAAAAAGGAGGAGGAGAAGAGAAGGAGGAGAAAGACAAGAGCAGGAGATGAGAAGGAGGAACAGAGTAGGAGATGAGAAAAAGGAGGAGGGGAAGAGGAGAAGGAGGAGGAGGATGAGAGCAGGAGAGGAGAAGGACAAGGAGAGGAGATGAAGGAGAAATAAAGTAGAAGGAGGGAGAGGAGAAAAAGAGTAGGAGGAGAAGCAGAGGAGCAGGAGATAAAGGATAAAATGAGAGGAGGAGGAGAAATAGAGGAGAAGCAGAGGAGCAGGAGATAAAGGATAAAATGAGAGGAGGAGGAGAAATAGAGGAGAACCAGTGGAGAAGGAGGAGGATGACAGGAGGAGGAAGAGGCAATGGAGAAGAGGAGAGGAGGAGAAGAGGAGAAGGGGGAGGAACTGTGGAGGAGGAGGAGGAGAGGAGAAGGAGGATGGGAGAAGGAGGAGGGGAGAAGGAGGAGAAGAAGACAAGTAGGAGAAGGAGAGAAGGAGGAGGAGGAAAAGAAAAGGAAGAGGGGGAAAGGAGAAGGAGGAGGAGAGGAGGAGTAGAGGAGGAAGAGGAGAGGAGGAGGAGGAGAGAAAGATGAGAGGAAGAAAAGGAGAGGAGGATGAAGAGAGAAAGAGGAGAAAATGAGGAGAGGAGGAAGAGGAGGAGACAGAGGAGAAAAAGGGGGAGGGGAGAGGAGTAAGAGAGGAGGAGGAGAGGACAAGGATGAGAGGAGGAGCAGAAGAGGAAGAGGAAAGGAGGAGATGGAAAGGAGGAAGAGAAAAGGAGAAGAAGATGAAAAAAGCCATCACTTTGTGGTGTTTAGTAATTATGACTATTTTCATGGCTTTTGGATTAAAGTTTAAATTCAATAGGAGAGATGAGCACACAGATCCAGATTATTTCAGAGCTCAATTTCAGAGCTAAAGGAAAAGATATGTGGTAATACACCTGTGGACGTTGCCAATGCAAAACAGTTGCATTATTTTGGTTTGGGATCAAGCCATATGTCTCCATACACAATGTATGTAGTGCCTAGGAGAGAGAAGAGTGCTTGGCCCAGTGATACATTGCAATCTCTTCTTGGTCAGAGCCCAAACATCACCTAAGTTCTAGGTCCAGCAATACATCACAATACTTTCTGAGATGAAGACCAAAGCAGGAGAGCCACATCACCTAGGTAAGAGCCCTAGAGGTATGGCACAATGCCTTCTGTGGGTAAGGCTCAGGAAGAAGAGGAAAGTTACATAACCTAGGAGCTACAGCCAGCTATATGTCACAATCACCCCAAGGGGCAGGGACGATGCATGAGAGGAGGGTCACATAAAGTAGGTGCTGAGCAAAGCAATATGTAACAATCAGAGGAGAGTGTCATCTCCTACTTGCTGGACCATGAGATATGTTACAACATCCCCTTTGGGCAAATCCCAGGTAAGAGAAGAGATTTGCATCAATTAATTGATGGGCTAAGAGATACTTCGCAATGTCCCCTGTAGAAAGAGACTAGGAGAAATAAATAAGATTCCCTGTGTGCTGGGCCCAGGGATAAGTCACTTTTTCATCTGTGGGCATGGCCCAGGTAGGAGAGGAGAGTCATATCATTTAGATGCTGGGCACAGAGATATGTAACAATCTCTTCTATAAGCAAAACCGTGGTAAGAAAAGAAAGACACATAAAATATTTTATGGACCCAGAGATATGTCACAATGCTCTCTCTTGACAGAGTCAAGGCAAGAATGTCACATCACCTTGGTCCTGGGCCCCGCTATAGGTCACAATGCCTTCTGAAGGCAGGGTCAAGGCAAATAAGTAACATCTTGGAGCTGGGTCCAGTATATATGTAACAGTCTCCCCTGTGGGCAGAACCTAGGAAGAAGAGAAGTGTCACATTAGCTAGGTGTTGAGCTCAGGGATATGTCACCATCCCTCCTGTGAGCAGAAACCAGGCAAGAGATGAGAGTACATTACCTGGGTGAGGAGTGCAGAGAGATGCCACAATCCCCACTTTAGGCTGGGCCCAGGCAGAAAAGTCACATCACCTGGGTGTTAAAATGAGCAATATTTCACAATGCCCCTTGTGGGCAGCACCAAGGTAGGAGAGAAAACTTACGTCACCTGAGTGCAAGTCCCAGCGATATGTCACTATGCCTTTTGTAAGAAGCACCAAGGCTTGAGAATAGAGTCATCTCATCTAGGTGCTGGGTCCAGCAATATATCATGATTCTATTTGTGAAGTGAGCCCAGGCAGGAGAGTCAAATCAGGTATTTGACAGGGGCATATGTCAAAATCACACCTTCAAAAAAATTCAGGGATGAGATTACCAATCCCTCACATGTCCTGTTTCTAGGTCTGAGAGTCAACATGTCTTGTATGTTTGGTGAAGTACATGAGTCAAAATCTCAACTGTGAACTGGATCTGTGCAGCAGCTTCTCAATGTTTTTTGGGCATTATGCCCCTTAGATAAGTCATAACCAGCCATGTGTGCTAAATTTTGGTTTGAGGGTCACCAAATCCATGCATAACAAATCCATGTATGAGAGTCAACATTGCAACTCTTGACTGCCTCTAGATATAAGATTTAAATCCTCAACAGTGGGCCACATTCATGTGAGAGGACAACAATCTTTACTCTTGACTGTCTGCTTACTAGTGTTACAATCTCACCTTTGAGCTGGGCTCTGTTAGTACCTATCTGTACCACCCAAAGAATTTATGAGATACATAGTTTGGCTCTATGTCCTCACCCAAATCTCATCTACAATTGTAATCTCCACGTGTCAGGGGAGGAAGGTAATTATATCATGGGGCAGTTTCCCCCATGCTGTTTTCATGATAGTGAGTGAGTTCTCAGGAGATCTGATGGTTTTATAAGTGTTGGAAGTTCCTCCTTCATTCACTTTCTCTCTCCTGCCACCTTGTGAAGAAGGTCTCTGCTTCCCCTTCTGCCATGATAGCAAGTTTCCTGAGGCCTCCCCAGCCATGTGGAACTGTGAGCTAATTAAACCTCTTTTCTACATAAATTACCTGGTCTTGAGGAGTTCTTTATAGCAGTGTGAAAATGAACTAATACAATATGATATGCAAGAGAGTTGCAAACTGCATTAAGACCTTTATGCCGATATGAACACATGATTGTACGTGTCACTCTAAGCTCAGGTGTGAGAGTTAACACCTCCCCAGTTGGCTGGGTCTAAATAGAAAAGGACTCATCTGCCTATAAGCTGGGTTTAGAAAGGGGTCACTATCCCATATGTGGCCAGATGTTCACATATGACTGACACAATTCCATCTATAGACTGTGTCTTCATGTGAGATTCAGGATCTCACCAGTGGGTTGCGTCCATGGGTGAGGATGACTATCTTAAGGATTGGCAGGGTGTGCATACCAGAAATACAATAGTTCCTGTGTCCTTGGACCTGTGATGATACTCTCTGTACCACTTGAGGGCTTTATACAATATGCAAGAGAGAGGTAAACCTCTGTGACCTTTATACAAAGAAGACACCCAGGATCTTACCTTTTTCCCTAAGCCTAGCTATTACAGACATTATCTTTCTTATTGGCTAGTTCAAGGTATGAGAATGATCATCACACCTGTAAGCTGGGCCAAGATATATGTCACAATCCCTCCTATGGATTAGGAGTAAGCAGGAGAGTAACATTACCTGGATTTGGGGCCAGTTGTATGTGGCAATCTTCTCTAAGGGCTCAGTAATATGTCACAATGATCTATGTATTCAAGACCCAGTCAAAAGGGCCTCATCACCTTGTTGTGGGGTCCAGTGATATGTCATAATCTTTTCTGTTAGGAGGGTCCAGGCAGAAAAGAAGTCACATTTCCTAGGTAGTGTATGCAGATATATGTCACAAGGCCCCCTATGGGGAGGGTCTAGGCAGGAGCCTCTTATTTTCTAGGTGTTGGACCCTGCATTATTTTGCAATACACCAAATATTTGGGGCCTGGGAGAAAGGAGTCACATCACATAGGTGCTGGGCCAAGTTATATGTTAAAAAATATGGTATAATACCCCTGTGGGCAGGGATCATGCAGAAAAGTTGCATCTCATAGTTGTTAAGATAGGCCACATGTCACAATACACAATTTATGCTGAGCTCAGGCAGGAGAAAAGAATAACATTTACCTATGTGCTGGGCTAAGTGATACATCACAATACCTCCTTGGTCAGAGCCCACAAAATAGAAGAGAGTTACCTCACCTAGGTGCTGAGTCCATCAATATGTCACAATACTCACTGAGGAAAGGGCCAAAGAATAAGAATTCATTATTTTTGGCGAAGGGCCCAGAGCTATGTACCAATGCTCCTTGTAGGTAGGGCTTAGGAAAAAAGAAGAGAGTCACACAACCTGTCACGTAACCTAGACAGATGAGACCAGCTCTATGTCAAAATTAAAACGGGTGTAAGAGTCCGGGCATGAGAGGAGAATCACATCACATAAATGTTGGGTGAAAGAATATGTCACAATCTAGATAGTGGTGCCAGAGATATGTTGCAGTGACCCCTGTGGGCAATGAGCAGGCAGTAGAATCACATCACCTGTGTGTAGGGCCTAGTGATAATTCACTCTAACTTCTGTGGGCATAACACAGGCAAACAAGGAGAGTCACAACACCTAGGTGCTGGTATCAGAGACATGTCACAATCTCTTCTAATGGCAAAGCCCAAGTAAGTGAGAAGAGTCACATCAAGTAGTTCATTAACTTAGAGATATGTCACAATGCTCCCTGTGGGCAGGGTCCAGACAAGAGACTCACATCATCTTAGTGCTGAGCCCAGCAAAATATCACAAAGCTTTCTGAAGTAAGGACCAAGGCAACAGTGTAACATCACCTTACTGTTGGGTCCAGAGACATGTCACAACCTCTCCTGCAGACAGAACCTAAAACGAATAGAAGAGTCACATCAACTCAATGCTGGGCCCAATGTTGAGTCACAATATTTCCCATGAGCAGAGATCAGGCAGAAGTGAGTCATATCATGTGGGTAATGGGTGCAGAGATGTCACAGTGCCTCCTGTAGGCAGGGATCAGGCAGGAGAGTTACATCACCTGGGTTTTGGACACAGTAATATATCACAATGGGCCATTTGGGCAGTGTACAGGCAGGAGAATCACATAACCTGGGTGTGGGGCCCAGTGATATGTCACAATGCCTTCTGTGCACAGTGACAAAAGAGAAGGGTAGACTCACATTAACTGAATATAAGGCCTAGTGACAGTGATATGTCAAAATGCTGTCTGTGGGCAGTGCCAAGGCAGTGGACTAGAGTCTCATCATGAAGGTACTGGGTTTAGCAATATGTCAAAATTCCATCTGTGTGATGGGCACAGGCAGAAGGGTCAAAGCACTTAGTTGCTGGACAGAGGTGTACGTCACACAATCTCACATGCAGAACGATACAGGGATAAGATTAAAATTCTTGCGCATGACCCATTTCTAAGTATGGGAGTCAACATCTCTATGTTGGGTCTAAGTACATGAGTCACAATCTCTTTTTTTTTTCTTTTCTTTTTTTTTTTTTTTTGAGATGGGATGTCTCTCTGTTGCCCAGGCTGGAGTGCAGTGGCATGATCTCAGCTTTCGGCAACCTCCACCTCCCAGGTTCATGCGATTCTCCTGTATCAGCCTCCTGAGTAGCTGGGACTACAGGTGCACGCCACCACACCAGGTTAATCTTTGTATTTTTAGTAGAGAGGGGGTTTTGCCATATTGGTCATGCTGGTCTCAAACTCCTGACCTCAGGTGATCTACCCGCCTCAGCCTCCCAAAGTGTTAGGATTACAGGCATGAGCCACCACACCTGGCCAAGTCACAATCTTAATGGACTAGGTCTTTGCATGAGAAGCTCACTTTCTTCTGTGCACTATGCCTCCTTAGTAGAGTCGCAGCCTCACAGGTGTGCTGAATCTTGGTCTGAGAGTCAGCAACCCACTTGTGGACTGGATCTACTTGTAAGAACAACTTTTTCAAGTTTCGATTATCTCCAAATGTGACATTCAGAACCTCAAAAGTTGGCCGTGTTCATGTGGCAGTATGACAATCTTTATTGTCAACTGGATGTGCATACAAGTGTTAAAATCTCACCTGGGCTGTGCCTTGTCAGGAAACTCTTTGTAGCACCTGAGGTCTTTATGCATGAGAGTCTCAATATGATCAGAGGCCTCCCTGCTGGTGGGAGCCATGGTTATAATTTTTACCAAACCTCTTTGAGAGTCAACTTCTCTCCAATTGGGTGGGTCCAAATAAAAGTTTCCTTACCTACCAATGAACTAGGTTTAGAAATGAGTTACCATCAACTGTAGCATATGACAGAAACAATTCCAGCTGTGGACTATGTCAACCTGTGAGATTCAGGATCTCACCTGCAGGCTCTGTCCACGTGGAAGGGTGAAAATCCTGATGGATAGTAGGCTGAGAAACACAAACTCATTTGGATGCTGGGGTCTGTGATGGCATTTTGTTCCACACTAGGGCTTTATATAGTGTGTGAGAAAGTGGCAATTTTCTATACCTTCATACAAAGAAGAGACATGGGATCTTGCCCATTTCTCTAATCCCAGCTAAAACAGACAGTAACTTTTCTATTGGCTGGTGTGTGGTATGAGAGTCGCCATTCCAACTGCTGGCTGGACCAAGATATATGTCACAGTCTTACCTGTAGGTAGGAAGCAAACATGAGGGTCACATCACCTGTGTTCTGGGCCAGGAATATATCACAATATTCCCTGACACAAGGGACCAGGCAGAAGAGTCACATCACCTGGGTATTCAGCCAGGAATATGTTACAATCCCCTCCTGAAAGCAGGGTGCAGGCTGCAGAGTCACATCACCTCTTTAATGGGCCCAGCTTTGTGTCAAAATTCTTTCTGTGGGCAAGGCCCAATTACAAGAGACTCATCATCTGTTTGCTTAGGCCAGCAATATGTCACAGTCTTTCCTGTAGGCAGTGTGCAGGCACAAGAAGACAGCCACATCAGAGATATGTCACCAGGTCCACTGTGGACGGCCCCAGGCAGGAGCCTTCCATTTTCTAGGTATTGGGCCCAGCGATATGTCATGATACTCAAAACATGTGGGGACCAGGCAAAAAAAAAAAAAAAAAGAGAGAGAGAGACTCACCTCACCTTGATGCTGGGTCAAGTGATGTGTCACAGTCTTCTCTGGCAGGTCCCAGGCAACAAAAATGTGTCACATCTCCTAGGTACTGAACAAAGAGTATCATCTAATACCCCTGTCTTCAGGGCTCATGAAGAAGGGTCACATCACCTACTTGTTGGGTGCAGCCATATATTACTATACACAATGAATGCTGGGCCCATGCAGGAGAAGAGAGTAACATCCCCTAGGTGCTGCGTCCAGGTATACATCGCAATGGCTCCTTGAGCAGAGCCCAAGAAGTAGAGAAGAGTCACATTACTTAGGTGCCAGGTACAACAATTTTTCACAATACTTCCAGAAAGGCCTAGGCAGAAGTGTCACATCATCTTGGTGAGGTGACAAGAAATATGGGGCAATGACCCTGGTGGGTAGGGCTAGAAAAAAAGAGATGCATCACATAATGTAGGGTCAGTGCTCATTTATCTGTCACAGTCTCACCAGTGGGCAGGGCTCAGGCAAGAGTGGAGAGTAATATTATGTAGGTACTGCAGCAAGCAGTATGTCACAATTTCTACCGTGGACAGGTCCAAGACAGAAAACGAGAATCAAATCACATAGGTCATGGGCCCAGAAATATGTCACAGTGGCCCTTGTGAGCAACAACCAGGCAAAAGAATGACATTGCTTGTGTGCTGGGCCCAGTGATAATTCATTATTCCTTCTGTGGGTCTGGCACAGGGAAGAGGAGAGTTACAACACCTAGCTGTTTGGCCCAGAAATATGTCACTATCTCTTCTATGTCACTATCTCTTCAAAGTCCACATAAAACAGCAGAGTCACATCACATAATTGATGCAGCCACAGATATGTCATAATGCCTTCTGTTGGCAGGGCCCATTCAAGAGAGTCATAACATCTAGATGTTGGACCCAGCCATATGTCATAACACAGAATGTATTCCAGGCTTAGGCAAGAAATGATAGTCACATCAGTTAGGTCTTGGACCCATGGAAACATTAAAATTTTTTATTGAGCAAAGGCTAAGTAGCAGAGGAGAGTCACACCTCCTAGGCTTTAGGTCCAGCAATATCTTGCAATGACCCCTAAGAGGATGACCCAGGTAAAAGGGTAACATCATCTATGTGAGAGGTCTAGAAATATGTCCCAATCTCTGTGTGGGTAAAGAACAAAATGAAGAGGGAAGTTATATAACCTAATAGGTGGGCTGATCTATGTGTCCCAATCACTCTAGTGGCAAGAGCTCAAACATGGAAGGAGAGTCACACACATAGGTGCCGAATATTTTGCAATACAGAATGTGTGCAGAGCCCAGAAAGGAGAGGACAGTCACATCACCTAGGTGTTGTGCCCAGCAATACATTGCAATCTCTTTTAGGGCAAAGCCCAAACAGTAGAGGTAATCCTTGTTGCTGGACCCAAAAATATGGCATAACACACCCTGAAAAAGGGCCCAGGCAGAAGAATCACATCGCCTCAGGAGGGTTCCAAGAATATGTCAAAAGGCCTACTGTGGGTAAGGCTCAGGAAGAAGAGAAGAGAAAAGTAACCTAGGGGCTGGGGCCAGCCATATGTTACAACAACCTCAGTGAGCAGGGCCCAGGCATGAGAGGAGGGTCACATAATGTAGATGATGTGCCAAGTGATATGTCATAACTCACACTGTGGACAGGTCTCTAGAAATAAAGGTGAGTCACATAATCTGGTTGATGGTCACAGAGATACATCACAATGTATTTATCTCTTGTCCTCATGGGCAGGAACCAGGCAGAAGAATCACATCTCCTCTGGGCTGTGTCCAGGGATAATTTACTCTCCCTTCTGTGACCAGAGCCCAGGAAGAAAAGGAGAGTCACATTATCTAGTTGGTGGGGCCAGAGATATGTCACAATGTCACCTGTTGGCAAATATGAAGTAAGAGAGGAGAGTAACATCAAATAGATGATGGGTCCAGAAATATGTCACAATTCCCCCTGTAGGCAGAATCTAGGCAGGAGACTCACATCACCTGGGTTTTAGACCTAGAAATATGTCACAAGATGCAATTTGGGCAATGCCAAGACAGAAGAATAAAAAACATATACCCTAGGTGCTAGGTGCAGAAGTATGTAACAATTCCATGTGACCTTCCTGGACCTAACACATAGGGTATATGTCTTTATTGTGACATCCTTACTCAGGTGCTTGGAAGAAGTGTATGTCACAATCAGAGCTGCAGGTAGGTTCAAGGATAAGACTAAAAATCCTACACATGTCCCTATTTGGGTATGAGAGCAAACACCTCTTCTATGTTGGGTCTGAGTACAAAATTCACAATATCAACAGTGGACTGAATTTGTTCATGAGAACTTCAATCCCTTCTGTGGACCGTATCTTATTCATGGAGTAATAGCCTCATAGGTGAGTTGAATCTTAGTCTGAAATACACCAACCCACCTGTGAATTACATCGTAGTATGAGTCAATTATCCAACTTATAACTTCCTCCTAATGTGAGATTCAGAACCTCAGCAGTAAACTGAATTCACAAATGCAAGAATGAAAATCTTTACTAAGAGCTTTGTGTGCATAAGAGTGTCACAATCTCACCTGGGCTAGAGATATATTACAATCCCCTCCTGAAAGCAGGTCACGGACAGCAAAGTCACCTCACCTTGATGCTGAGCCAGCAGTAAATTACAATGTTCTCTGTTAGCAAGGAACATGAAGGAGAGACACATCACCTGGGCTTTTGGGCCCAGTAATATCTCACAATCTCCCCTGAGGGAAGAACATACAAAGAAGAAGAGTCACGTCAGCCAGGTGTTGCGTTAGTCATAGGTAACAATACCCCCTGTGAGCAGGAACCAGGCAGGGAAGTGAGTCCCAAAAATGTCCCCTTTAGGCAGTGCCAAGGCAGGATAATAGAGTCACATAACCTAGGTGCTGGATCCAACAATAAGTCACAATCCTGTACGTGGGCTGGGCCCAGACTATAGGTCAAATCACTCAGGTGCTGGCCAGAGGCATATATCACATTTACACCTGCAGGAAGGTCATAAAATGATATTTACAATCCAGCACATGTCCTGTTTCTAAGTATGTGAGTTAACACCTCATGTATCTTAGATGTAAGTACCTGAGTTAATCTCAACAATAAACTGTATCTGTGCATGAGAGGCACAATCCTTCCTGTGTGCTGTTTTATCTGAGTGAAGTTACAGCCTCACAGGTGAGCTGAATATTGGTCTTAGAGTCACCAACCTTGTGGACCAGATTCACATATAAAAGTCAATTTTCCAATGTTTGACAGCTTTGGGTTGTGAAATCCAGAGCCTTAACAATGGGCTGTGTTCATGTGGGAAGATGACAATCTTTTCTGTCGACTTGGTGAGTGTCACAATCTCACCTATGTATCGCCCTAGGGCTTTATACCTGATGCATGAGATTCTCAATCTTCTCTGAGACATTTATGCTGGTATGGATCATGATTGTACCTGTGGCCTTAAGTCCAAGCATGAGAATCAACATCTCTCCAATTAGCCGAGTCCAGAATGAAGAATCTTCACCTTCCTATGAGCTGAGATTAAAATGAGTCATCATCCCAACTGTGCTTACATGTTTACATATGATAGTCACAATCTCAACTGTGGACTGTGTCTGCATGTAAGATTCAGGACCTCAATAATGGGCTTTGTTTAAGTGAGAAAATGATGAGAAATACAACCTCTCCTATGTCTTGAGCCCTGTGTTGACACTCTCTGTACCACCCAAGGACTTTCTATGAAATGTGAGACAGTGGTATTTCTCTATGACTTTCATAGAAAAATGAGACCTAGGATTTGACACGTTTTCCTAAGACAGACAGTATTCTCATATTGGCTGACTCAAGTTATGAGAGTAATTATGACACCTGTAAACTGAATTAAGATATATGTGACAACCCCACAACTGGGTAAGGAGGGAGTGAGCAGGAGAATCACACCATCTGGGTGCTGTGTCAGAGATATTTACAACCTTCTCTGAGGGCAGTGACCAGGAAAGAGAGTCACACCATGTTGTTGCTGGGCTAGGGTTATGTCATAATTTTTCATGAGAGTAGGCAACAGGCAACAGAGTCACAGCACCTGTGTTTTTAGTTATGATATGTTATAATCCCATCCTGAAAGCAGGACTAAGGCATCAGAGTCCCTTCACCTTGTTGCCGGGCCTAACGATATGTCATAATGTCTCTGTGGCTAGGCTGAGTCAGCAAAGGCACATTACCTAGTGCTGGCTCCAGTAATGTGTCACAGTGCTTTTGGCATGGCCCAGGCAGAAGAGGAAATTTGAAATACCTAGGTGATGAAGAAAAAGACACATCTTAATAACCTTGTGGGTAGGACCTATGCAGGAGAGTCATATCACCTAGGTGTTGGACCCAGCCATATTTTACAATGCACAATATACGTGGGGGCCAGGCAGGAGAGGAGAGTTTCATCACATGCTCACTGGGCTCAGTAATATATCCCCATCTTCCCTGTGCACAAGGTGCCAGCAGAAGAGGAGAGTCACATTTCCTAAGTGATAGATGTAGAGATATGTCACAGGTCTCCTATGGGCAGGACCCAGGCAGGAACCTTTTATTTTCTAGATGTTTAGTGCAAAAATATGTCATAAAGCCTTAAATATCCAGGGGCCAGGCAAAAGAGGAGTGTCATGTTACCTAGAATCTGTGTCCAGTAGTATGTCACAACCCCTCATTTTTTGTAAGACCCAGGCAGAAGAGGAGAGACACATCACATAGGTAATAGACATAAAAAATATATTAAAATGCCTTTGTGAGCAGGGCTTATGTGAGATAGTAGTTATCACCTAGGCGTGACAACATGCAATATGTCACAACACACAATGTATGCAGGGCCCAGGCAGGAGAGGAGAGTCACATCACCAAGGTGCAGGGCACATCAACACATAAAAATTCCTTATTGGACAGAGTCCAAGATGTTGAGAAAGTTGCATCACCTAAATGCTTGGTCCAACAATATATCACAATACCCTCTGAGTGAAGGCCCCAGGCAGGAGAGTGAGTCACATCACCTAGCTAAGAGACCCAGAGATATGTAACGATGCTTTTTCTGACAAAGGTCCAGGCAAAAGAAACACATTATCTGGTTTCTGGATCAAATGATATGTCACAATTCTTTCTGTTGTCAGGGTGCAGGCAGAGATGAGGAGTCACATTTTCTAGGTGATATGTCACAATGCCTACTGTGGGGAGGGTCCAAGCAAGAAACTCAAATCACCTTGGTAATAGTCCAAGCAATTTTTAATAGTGCCTTTAGAAGGCAGGACTAAGGCTAAAAGTGACATCACCTTTGTGTTGAGTCCAGCAATGTGTCACAATGCTTCCTACAAACATCACCAAGGCAGAACAGGAGACTCATATCACCTGGGGGCAAGGCCTACCTGTATGTCACAATGCCCCTGTGGATTTTGGTAATGAAAAAGAGGAGAGTCACATCACCTAGCTGAACTCATTGTCTTTTTTCCAGCTTAAACTTTCTAAAAGCTTAGCAGTGTTCTCTCCAAAACACAGAGCTGCTCACATTACAGCCCAGCTCCAAAACGTTTGATGGCTCATAACAGCCTACACAGCTGAGCCAACATCCATTTTCCTAAGGCGAACTCCTGTTATCATATCAACGCTACACCACCCCGCTAAACTATATTCTCTTGTCACACTCTACTTCTTGTCCTACCCTGTGCTCAAATAAGCCTCATATTTTAATACTTCAAGTCCTGTACTTAAACTGCTTTTTTGCCCAAATTTACATTTCTTCTTTCCCACGTTCTTCTTCTACACATGGAAAACCTGCACATTTGAGGGTATCACCTTTTCTTTCCACTGCAACTTCTCACTTGCCAGTTCTCCACGTGTTCTTGCTGGTTGTGAGGCACTGGTGAATTTTAGAACCAGAACCATATTACATCTATCTTTGTAGTTCTAGAGCCTGGTACCAGGTGTAGGTGTCAAAAAATGGTTCCCAATGCAAGCTTGCTGAAAGTGATATTGAAGAGATGAGAAAAGAAAGGAGCCAGAATGCTGGTCTACTAATCCAGATTGCTTTCCAATATTGTTTTGTTGAAACTCTCCCAATGTCATGAGAAAAATAACAATGATAATAATAATACTAGTAGTAAATACAGAAGATAAGTCAGTTAAAATTGAGCTGGTAGCATGCATGACTTCAATTCTCTGTTTATTCCTAGTTTTGAAATAGTCCTTATCCACAGATAGGAAAAAACTGGAAACAGAACCTCAAGTGCCTATCACAAGGCAAGATTTGCCAATTTCATAACTTGCTCAGGCACCCTCATAAAAGAATCTAGGCATGCTGATGACCCCATCTCAAACATTCAAAAAAGACAGAAGGTTTTTCTCTCACTGTCCTCCAGTACATGTAGCTCCTCCTGCTTAAAAAGCAAAACAACAAAGAAATAATACCTCCCAGAGGCTATCACAGTTGATCTTGGACAAATCTTTAGATTAAATTAGTAGTCAAGTCAATTCAATTGTTGCCCTTACTTGGCTCCTATCATATGTTATGAACTTCTTAGGATCAACCCAATGCAAATTCTGAGGCAAAACCTTGAGTTTCTATATTATGTAAGTGACAATAACCTATTATAACAAACCAATAGACCTGTTTTCACAGTGTTGGGCCTACCCAAAGCAAAACTAAATTTCCCAAACACTTATGAGTTTACAGTTTCAAATCTCTTCAAAAGTAGGTTTCATATGAGTCTTTGAACAGGGCTCAGCACTTTCAGTGAGGTTAAAAGTGGGTGTCCACACAAAAGGTTTCAAGAGATAAGAAAGTCTCCCACTACCCACCACACAGAAGACCAGCAGAATCACAGAGTCCATGCCCATTCTTTTTCACCTGTGGGAATATTTCCCACCATGTGAAAGACCACCACTTTTTCACATACTATTCTTTCCAATGAGAACATGGTAAAAATTTGATACTTGGCAGGTTTTGTTCAGGGTTTCACTCTACTTTTTCACTGGGTCTCAGTCTGCCAGCATTCTGCTTTAGTGTCTTGTTGAACCCCCCCTCTTTAAGGGCACACAAATCCAAATCAGTCAGTTCATGCACTAACATGACCTCTGCAAGCCCCTCAGTCCACAGAACAGGAATCTCCATTCCTGACCATCACAGGAGGGAAGTTCTAACTTACATTGTCAAATATTAGCTAAAATTAGCTGTTGAATAGGTAAGCTGTGATTTATTTCTGGAAACCAGAACCCTGTCCTGGCACATTTATACTTTTTCCTTGGTGTGCCCATCTTTTCCCTTGATATGCCTAACAGGAAGAACTCTGCACACAGGAGGTTTTCAGTTAGTATTTTTTTGGTGAACGAATCATGTCTCTATGGTAGGTAGTCTGTCAGGGGTCAGAAGCACAGCCCTGAAGACAAACTTAACAGTTTGCATTGTAATAGCTGGCCCACTATCTGGGTCCCTATTTTCTCATGTAAATCCTGAGGATAATAATTACTTCTACACCCCTCTGTCATAGAATTATAATGAATGAAAAAAGTGATGCTTAAAAAAAATTAGGATGCTGGCAGCTATTGCTCAATAATTGTTAGACCTTATGACTTCTGCTCTTACTGCTATCATGCTGAGTGTGTTTCTATGTAAAAAACTAACAACGAACAAAGTGGGAAAATTAAGTTACAGCTTTTGATTATTGACTTACCAGATTGGATTCCTATCGATTAATAGGTCTAGCACAGGTAGAAGAGGGACAGAGTAGGTCATAGGTCACAATTCCCACTGTGAGCAGGAACCAGGCAGGAGAAGTGAGTCTCAACAATGTCCCTTCTGGGCAGCACCAAGGCAGGATAATAAAGCCATGTCACCTAGGTGCTGGGTCCAACAATAAGTCACAATCCTGTATGTGGGCTGGGCCCAGGCTAGAAAGTTCAATCACTCAGGTGCTGGCCAGAGGCATATATCACATTTACACTTGTAGGAAGGTCATATAATGATGTTTACAATCCAGTGCATGTCCTGTTTCTGAGTACGTGAGTTAATGCCTTATGTAAGTTGGGTCTTAGTACATGAGTTCATCTCAACTATAAACTGGATCTGTGCATAAGAGGCACAATCCTTCCTGTGTGCTGTTTTATCTGAGTCAGTTACAACCTCACAGATGTGCTGAATATTGGTCTTAGAGTCATTAACCTACCTGTGGATCAGATTCACATATGAGACTCAATTTTCCAACGTTTGACTGCTTTTGGTGGTGAAATCCAGAGCCTTAACAATGGGCTGTGTTGCTGTGGGAAGATGACTATTGGAGGAACCAGCCCCCACTATTTTAACGTAGGTTTTTCTATTTTCCCTAAGCGTCAGCCTGTCTGAGAAATAAAGAGAAAGAGTACAAAGAGATAAATTTTACAGCTTGGCCTCCAGGGGTAACATCACATATAGGTAGGTTCATGATGTTCCCTGAGATGCAAAACCAGCAAGTTTTTACTAGGGATTTTAAAAGGGGAGGGGGTGCATGAACAGGGATTAGGTCACAAAGATCACATGCTTCAAAGGGCAACAAAGATCACAAGGCAAAGGCAAAATTAGAATTACTGATGAGGGTCTATGTCCCGCTGTGTACATATTGTCTTGATAAACATCTTAACAGGAAACAGGGTTTGAGAGCAGAGAGCCTGTCTGACCAAAATTTACCAGCTGGAATTTCTCAATCCTACTAAGCCTGAGGGTACTGCAGGAGACCGGGGCATATTTCAGTCCTTATCTCAACCGCATAAGACAGACACCCCCAGAGTGGCCACTTATAGACCTCCCCCCAGGAATGCAATTCTTTTCCTAGGGCCTTAATATTCAATATTCCTTGCTAGGAGAAGAATTTACTGATATTTCTTCTACTCTCACGTCCATTTATAGGCTCTTTGCAAGAAGAAAAATATGGCTCTATTCTGCCCAACCCTGCAGGCACTTAGACCTTATGGTTATCTTCTCTTGTTCCCTGAAAATCACTGTTATTCTGTTCTTTTTTAAGGTGCTCTGATTTCATATTGTTCAAACACATATGTTTTACAATCAATTTGGACAATAGTGATCCTGAGGTGACATAAATTCCCAGCTTACAAAGATAACAGGATAAAGAGATTAAAGTAAAGACAGACATAAGAAATTATGAGAGTATTATTAGAGAAGTGATAAATGTCCATGAAATCTTCACAATTTATGTTCAGAGATTGCAGTAAAGACAGACATAAGAAATAATAAAACTATGAATTTTAGGAACTGATAAAAGTCTATGAAATATTCACAATTTATGTTCTTCTGCCGTGGCTCCAGCCAGTCCCTCTGTTTGGGGTCCCTGACTTCCTGCAACAGATGACAATTTTTTCTGTTGACTGAGTGAGTGTCAAAATCTCACTTATGTATCACCCTAGGGCTTTATACCTTATGCATGAGATTCTCAATCTGCTCTGAGACATTTGTGCTGATGTGAATCATGATCATTCCTGTGCTCTTTAGCCCAAGTATGAGGTTCAATGTCTCTCCAATTAGCTGAGTCCAGAATGAAGAATCTTCACCTTCCTATGAGTTGACCTTAAAATGAGTCACCATCCCAACTGTGTTTACATGTTTACATATGATAGCCACAATCTCAAATGTAGACTACATCAACCAGTAAGATTCAGGACCTCAATAATGGGCTTCATTCAATTGAGAAAATAACAAGAAACACAACCTCACCTGTGCCTTGGGCTCTGTGTTGACACTCCCTGTAACATCCAATGGCTTTCTATTAAATGTGAGACAGAGGTAATTCTCTATGACCTTCATACAAAAATGAGGCCTAGGATTTTTTCTTTATACTTTAAGTTTTAGGGTACATGTGCACAATGTGCAGGTTAGTTACATATGTATGCATGAGCCATGTTGGTGTGCTGCACCCAGTAACTCCTCATTTAACATTAGGTATATATCCAAATGCTATCCCTCCCCCCTACCCCCACCCCACAACAGGCCCCGGAGTGTGATGTTCCCCTTGTTGTGTCCATGTGTTCTCATTGTTCAACTCCCAACTATGAGTGAAAAAATGCGGTGTTTGGTTTTTTGTCCTTGAGATAGTTTGCTGAGAATGATGGTTTCCAGCTTCACCCATGTCTCTACAAAGGACATGAACTCATCATTTTTTATGGCTGCCTAGTATTCCATGGTGTATATGGGCCACATTTTCTTAATCTAGTCTATCATTGTTGGATATTTGAGTTGGTTCCAAGTCTTTGCTATTGTGACTAGTGCTGCAATAAATATGCGTGTGCATGTGTCTTTATAGCAGCATGATTTATAATCCTTTGGGTTTATATCTAGTAATGGGATGGCTGGGTCAAATGGTATTTCTAGTTCTAGATCACTGAGGAATCGCCAAACTGACTTCCATGATGGTTCAACTAGTTTACATTCCCACCAATGGTGTAAAAGTGTTCCTATTTCTCCACATCCTCTCCAGTACTTGTTGTTTCCTGACTTTTTAATGATTGCTATTCTAACTGGTGTGAAATGGTATCTCATTGTGGTTTTGATTGCGTTTCTCTGATGGCCAGTGATGATGAGCATTTTATCATGTGTCTTTTGGCTGCATAAATATCTTCTTTTGAGAAGTGTCTGTTCATATCCTTCATCCAATTTTTGATGGGGTTGTTTGTTTTTTCTTGTAAACTGGTTTGAGTTCATTGTAGATTCTGGATGTTAGCCCTTTGTCAGTTGAGTAGATTGCAAAAATTTTCTCCCATTCTGTAGGTTGCCTGTTCACTCTGATGGTAGTTTCTTTAGCTGTGCAGAAGCTCTTTAGTTTAATTAGATCCCATTTGTCAATTTTGGCTTTTGTTGCCATTGCTTTTGGTGTTTTAGACATGAAGTCCTTGCCCATGCCTATGTCCTGAATGGTATTGCTTAGGTTTTCTTCTAGGGCTTTTATGGTTTTAGGTTTAACGTTTAAGTCTGTAATCCATCTTGAATTAATTTTTGTATAAGGTATAAGGAAGGGATCCAGTTTCAGCTTTCTACATATGGCTAGCCAGTTTTCCCAGCACCATTTATTAAATAGGGAATCCTTTCCCCATTTCTTGTTTTTGTCAGGTTTGTCAAAGATCAGACAGTCGTAGATATGTGGCGTTATTTCTGAGGGCTCTGTTCTGTTCCATTTGTCTATATCTCTGTTTTGGTACCAGTACCATGCTGTTTGGTTACTGTAGCCTTGTAGTATAGTTTGAAGTCAGGTAGCGTGATGCCTCCAGCTTTGTTCTTTTGGCTTAGGATTGACTTGGCAATGCAGGCTCTTTTTTGGTTCCATATGAACTTTAAAGTAGTTTTTTCGAATTCTGTGAAGAAAGTCAGTGGTAGCTTGATGGGGATGGCATTGAATCTATAAATTACCTTGGGCAGTATGGCCATTTTCACGATATTGATTCTTCCTACCCATGAGCACAGAATGTTCTTCCATTTGTTTGTATCCTCTTTTATTTCATTGAGCAGTGGTTTGTTGTTCTCCTTGAAGAGGTCTTTCATGTCCCAAGTAGGTTGGATTCCTAGGTATTTTATTCTTTTTGAAGCAATTGTGAATGGGAGTTCACTCATGATTTGGCTCTCTGTTTGTCTGTTATTGATGTATAAGAATGCTTGTGATTCTTGTACATTGATTTTGTATCCTGAGACTTCACTGAAGTTGCCTATCAGCTTAAGGAGGTTTTGGGCTGAGACAATTGGATTTTCTAGATTTACAATCATGTCATCTGCAAACAGGGACAATTTGACTTCCTCTTTTCCTAATTGAATACCCTTTATTTCCTTCTCCTGCCTGATTGCCCTGGCCAGAACTTCCAACACTATGTTGAACAGGAGTGGTGAGAGAAGGCATCCCTGTCTTGTGCCAGTTTTCAAAGGGAATGCTTCCAGTTTTTGCCCATTCAGTATGATATTGGCTTTGGGTTTGCCATAGATAGCTCTCATTATTTTGAGATACGTCCCATCAATACCTAATTTATGGAGAGTTTTTTGTTGAATTTTGTCAAAGGCCTTTTCTGCATCTACTGAGATAATCATATGGTTTTTGTCATTGGTTCTGTTTATATGCTGGATTATGTTTATTGATTTGCATATGTTGAACCAGCCTTGCATTCCAGGGATGAAGCCCAACTGATCATGTTGGATAAGCTTTTCCATGTGCTGCTGGATTTGGTTTGCCAGTATTTTATGAGGATTTTTGCATCGATGTTCATCAGGGATATTTGTCTAAAATTCTCTTTTTTATGTATGTCTCTGCCAGGCTTTGGTATCAGGATGAAGCTGGCCTCATAAAATGAGTTAGGGAGGATTCCCTCTTTTTCTATTGATTGGAATAGTTTCAGGAGGAATGATACCAGCTCCTCCTTGTACCTCTGGTAGAATTCGGCTGTGAATCCATCTGGTCCTGGACTTTTTTTGGTTAGTAAGCTATTAATTATTGCCTCATTTTCAGAGCCTGTTACTGGTCTTTTAAGAGATTCAACTTCTTCCTGGTTTAGTCTTGGGAGGGTGTATGTGTCGAGGAATTTATCCATTTCTTTTAGATTTTTTAGTTTATTTGCATAGAGGTGTTTATAGTATTTTCTGATGTAGTTAGTATTTCTGTGGGATTGGTGGTGATATCCCCTTTATCATTTTTTATTGCGTCTATTTGATTCTTCCCTCTTTTCTTGTTTATTAGTCTTGCTAGTGGTCTATCAATTTTGTTGATCTTTTCAAAAAACCAGCTCCAGGATTCATTGATTTTTTGAAGGGATTTTTGTGTCTTTAGGTCCTTCAGTTCTGCTCTGATCTTAGTTATTTCTTGCCTTCTGCTAGCTTTTGAATGTGTTTGCTCTTGCTTCTCTAGTTGTTTTAATTGTGATGTTAGGGTGTGAATTTTAGATCTTTCCTGCTTTCTCTTGTGGGCATTTAGTGCTATAAATTTTCCTCTGCACACTGCCTTGAAAAAACTACTTTAAAGTTGATATGGAACAATAAAAGAGCCCGTGTTGCCAAGTCAATCCTAAGCCAAAAGAACAAAGCTGGAGGGATCACGCTACCTGACTTCAAACTATATTACATGTCTACAGTAACCAAAACAGCATGGTACTGGTACCAAAACAGAGATATAGACCAATGGAACAGAACAGAGCCCTCAGAAATAATGCCGCATATCTACAAGTGTCTGATTTTTGACCAACCTGACAAAAACAAGAAATGGGGAAAGGATTCCCTATTTAATAAATGGTGCTGGGAAAACAGGCTAGCCATATGTAGAAAGCTGAAATTGGATCGCTTCCTAACACCTTATACAAAAATTAATTCAAGATGGATTAAAGACTTAAATGTTAGACCTAAAACCATAAAAACCCTAGAAGAAAACCTAGACAATACCATTCAGTACATAGGCATGGGCAAGGACTTCAGGTCTAAAACACCAAAAGCAATGGCAACAAAAGCCAAAATTGACAAATGGGATCTAATTAAACTAAAGAGCTTCTGCACAGCTAAAGAAACTACCATCAGAGTGAACAGGCAACCTACAGAATGGGGGAAAATTTTTGCTATCTACTCAACTGACAAAGGGCTAACATCCAGAATCTACAATGAACTCAAACCAGTTTACAAGAAAAAATAAACAACTCCATCAAAAATTGGGTGAAGGACATGAACAGACACTTCTCAAAAGAAGATATTTATGCAGCCAAAAGACACATGATAAAATGCTCATCATCACTGGCCATCAGAGAAATGCAAATCAAACCACAATGAGATACCATCTCACATCAGTTAGAATAGTGACCATTAAAAAGCCAGGAAACAACAGGTGCTGGAGAGGATGTGGAGAAATAGGAACACTTTTACACTGTTGGTGGGACTGTAAACTAGTTCAACCATCATGGAAGTCAGTTTGGCGATTCCTCAGTGATCTAGAACTAGAAATACCATTTGACCCAGCCATCCCATTACTGGGTATATACCCAAAGGATTATAAATCTTGCTGCTATGAAGACACATGCACACGCATGTTTATTGCAGCACTAGTCACAATAGCAAAGACTTGGAACCAACCCAAATATCCAACAATGATAGACTAGATTAAGAAAATGTGGCCCATATACACCATGGAATACTATGCAGCCATAAAAAATGATGAGTTCATGTCCTTTGTAGAGACATGGGTGAAGCTGGAAATCATCATTCTCAGCAAACTATCACAAGGACAAAAAACCAAACACCACATTTTTTCACTCATAGTTGGGAGTTGAACAATGAGAACACATGGACACAGGAAGCAGAACGTCACACCCTGGGGACTGTTTTGGGTCAGGGGAGGGTGGAGGGATAGAATTAGGAGATATACCTAATGCTAAATGATGAGTGAATGGGTGCAGCACACCAAAATGGCACATGTATACTTATGCCACAAACCTGCACATTGTGCACACGTTCCCTAAAACTTAAAGTATTATAATAATAAAAATAAAAAAAAGAAAAGAAAGGTTTAACTCTGTAAGATGAATTCACACATCACTAGGAAGTTTCACAAAGAGCTTCTTTCTAGTTTTTATCTGGGGATATTCAGTTTTTCATTGTAGGCTTCCATTGCCCCAAATGTTTCTTCACTGCTTCTACCAAAAGAGAACTTCCAAACTGCTACATGTTTAACTCTGTGAGATGAATCCATTGAACCAAAGCACTTTCACAGATAGCTTCTTTCTAGTTTTCATCTGGGAATATTTTGTTTCTTGCCATATGACTTAATGGGCTTCCAAATATGTAGGTGGACCCCCTGAAACTGTTGCTATGGAATAAAAGAAGAAATGCTCCTGATTATTGTAAATACAAAATTGCATGCAGGATTGTGTAAAGACAATGCCATGTTGGGCTGCCAAAACGAGCCAACAGCCTGTGATGTTCTTCCACCTGCAGGGAGCCTATAAACAGATATGCAGTCAGGGAGACTTCAAAAAATCAGTATTCCTGTCCCAGAGAAGCAGATGTTCATAACTTTTGGAATGCACATATCACAAATTGGTGTCTCAGAATGCTTCTTTTTAGTTTTTTTCTGAAGATATGTCCTTTTTCACCATAGGCCACAATGCATTCTGAAATATCCCTTCACAGATTCTATAAAAAGAGTGTTGTAAAACTGCTCAGTCAAAAGAAAGGTTTAACTCTTTGAGATGAATGCACATATCACAAAGCAGTTTCCCCAAGAGCTTCTTACTAGTTTTCATTAGAAGATATTTTCTTTTTCACCGTAGGCCTCAAAATGCTCCCAAATATACCTTCACAGATTTTAGAAAACCACAATTTCCAAGCTCCTCAATCAAAAGAAATGAATAACTCTGTGAAATAAAAGGAAACATCACAAAGCTCTTTCTTAGGAACCTTTCTAGTTTTTATGTGGAGATATTTCCTTTTTCACCGTAGTCCTCATTGAGATCTCAAATATCCCTTTGCAAATTAAACAAAAATAGTATTTTGAAACTGCTCAATCAAAAGAAAGGTGTAACTCTGTGAGAAGAATGTACTCATCACAAAGCAGTTCCTCAGAAAGCATCTTTCTGGTTTTTATCTGAGGATATTTCCTTTTTCACCATCAGCCTCATTACATTCCCTAGTATCCTTTCACAGATTCTACCAAAACAGTTTCCAAACTGCTAAATCAAAAGAAAGCGTTATTTCTGTGAGATGAATGCACACATCACAAAGTAGTTTCTCAGAAAATGTCTTTCTAGTTTTTATGTGAATATATTTTCTTTTTCACTGTAGGTCTCAATGCGCTCCCAAATATCCCATCCCAGATTCTGAAAAAACAGTGTTTCCAAACAGCTCAATCAAAAGAAAGCTTTAACTCTGTGAGATGAATGCACAAACCACAAAGCTGTTTCTCAGATATCTTTCTAGGTCTATCTGAAGACATTTAATTATTCACCATAGGCCTGAATATATTCTTAAATATCTCTCCACAGATTCTACAAAAACACTGTTTCCAAACTTCTGAATCAAAAGAAAGTTTTAACTGTGTGAGATGAATGTGCACATCACAAAGCACCTTCTCAGAAACTTCTTTTTAGTTTTTTGTGAAGATATTTCCTTTTTCACCATAGGCCTCGATGTGCTCCCAAATATCCCTTTGCAGATTCAACAAAAACAGTGTTTCCAAGATGCTCAATCAAAAAAATAATTTATCTTTGTGGGATGAATGCACACATCACAAAGCAGTTTCTCCAAAAGCTTCTTTCTGGTTTTCATTCGAAGATATTTCATTTTTCACCATAGGCCTCAATGCACTCCAAAACATCCCTTTAGGGATTATATAAAATCGGTGTTTCCAAACTGGTCAATCAAAAGAAACTTTAACTCTGTGAGATGAATGCACACAACTCAAAGAAGCTTCTGAGAAAGCTTCTTTCTCGTTTTTATTTGAAGATATTTCATTTTTCACCACAGGCCTCAATGTGTTCCCATATAACCCTTGACAGATTCTATAAAAACAGTGTTTCCAAACTTCTCAATCAAAAGAAAGGTTTAACTCTGTGAGATGAATGCATGCATCATGAAGCAGTTTCTCAGAAAGCTTCTTTCTAGTTTTTATGTTAATATACCTCCTTTTTCACCATAGGCCTCCATGTGCTCCCAAATATCCCTTTGCAGATACAACAAAAATTGTGTTTCCAAACTGCTCAATCAAAAGAAAGCTTTAAGTCTGTGAGATGAATGCACTTATCACAAAGCTGTTAATCAGAAAGCTTCTTTCTAGTTTTTTTGTGAAGATATCCTTTTTCACCATAGGCCTCAATTCGCTCTGAAGAATCCCTTAGCAGATTTGCAAAAACAGTTTTTCCGAACTGCTCAACTGAAAGAAAGACTCAACTCTGTGAGATGAATACACACATGGCAAATCAGTTTCTCAGAAAGCTTCTTTCTACTTTTTATCTGAAGATATTTCTTTTTCACCATAGTCCCCATAGCACTCTTAAATATCTTTTTGCAGATTCCACAAAAAATGTTTTTCTCTAAAATGTTCAACCAAAAGAAAGCTTAAACTCTATGAGACAAATGCAGACATCACAAAACAGTTTCTCATAAAGCTTCTTTCTAGTTTTTATCTGAAGGCATTTCCTCTTTCACCATAGGCCTCAAAACTGTCCTAAATATTCCTTCCCATTTTCTACAAAAACAGTGTTTCCAAACTGCTCAAGCAAAAGAAAGCTTTAGCTCTGTGAGAGGAATGCACACATCACAAAGAAGTTTCTCAGAAAGCTTCTTTCTAGTTTTTACCAGAGGATATTTCCTTTTTCACCATAGGCCTCAATTTGCTCCCAGATATCTATTCACAGATTCTACAAAAACGGTATTTCCCAGCTGCTCAATCTAAAGAAAGGATTAACTCCGTGATATGAATGCACGTATAAGAAGCAGTTTCTCAGAAAGCTTCTTTCTAGTTTTTATCTGAAGATTGTTCTTTTACAACATAGGCCTCATTGAGCTCCAAACTGTACCCTGACAGACTCTACAGAAACAGTGTTTCCAAACTGCTAAATCAAAAGAAAGTTTTAACTCTGTGAGAAAAATGAATACATCAAAAAGCAGATTCTCAGAAAGCTGCCTTCAAGTTTTTATCTGAGGATATTTCCTTTTTAACCATAGGCTTCAATTCACTCCCAAATATCCCTTAGCAGATTCTGCAAAAAAAGTGTTTCCAAACTCCTCAATCAAAAGAAAGATTTACCTCTATGAGAGGAATGCACACATCACAAAGCAGTGTCTCCAAATGCTTCTTTCTGGTTTTTATCTGAAGATATTTCCTTTTTCGCCATAGCCCAAAGTGCTTCTAAATATCCTTTCGCAGGTTGTACAAAAACAGTGTTTCCAAACTGCTCCATCAAAAGAAAGCTTAAACTCTGAGACGAATGCAGACATCACAAACCAGGTTCTCAGAAAGCTTCTTTCTAGTTTTTATGTGAAGTTATTTCCTTTTTCACTCTAGGCATCAATGCTCTCCCATATATCCCTTGACAGAGTCTACAAAAAAAGTGTTTCCAAGCTGCTCAATCAAAAGAAATTTTTAACTCTGTGAGAGGAATGAACACATCATAAAGCAGTTTCTCAGAAAGTTGCTTTCAAGTTTTTATCAGAGGATATTTCCTTTTTCACCACAGCACCAATATGCTCCCAAATATCCCTTCACAGATTCTACAAAAACAGTTTTCCAAGCTGCTCTATTGAAAGAAAGGTTTAACTCTGTGAGATGAATGCGCACATCACAAAGCAGTTTCTGGGAAAGCTTCATAATAGGTTTCATCTGAAGATATTTACTTTTTCACCATGGGCCTCAACTCCCAAATATCACTTCACAGATTGTACAAAAACAGTGTTTCCAAACTGCTCAATCAAAAGAAAGGTTTAACTCTGTGAGATGAATGCCCACATCACAAAGCAGTTTCTCAGAATGCTTCTTTTTAGTTTTCATCTGAAGATATTTCCTTTTTCACATAGGCCTCAATGTGTTCCTAAATATCCCTTCACAGATTCCACAAAATCAGTGTTTCCAAACTGATCAATCAAAAGAAATGGTTAACTCTGTGTGATGAATGCACACATCACAAATCAGTGTCTCAAAAAGCCTTTCTGTGGTTTTTATCTGAAGATATATCCTTTTCCACCATAAGCCTCAAAGTGTTCCCAAATATCCTTTAGCAGATTCTAACAAAACAGTGTTTCCAAATGCTAATTCAAAAGAGAAATGCAAATCAAAATCACAATGAGATACCATCTCACACCAGTTAGAATGGCAATCATTAAAAAGTCAGGAAACAACAGGTGCTGGAGAGGATGTGGAGAAATAGGAACACTTTTACACTGTTGGTGGGACTGTAAACTAGTTCAACCATTGTAGAAGTCAGTGTGGCGATTCCTCAGGGATCTAGAAAGAGAAATACGATTTGACCCAGCCACCCCATTACTGGATATATACCCAAAGCATTATAAATCATGCTGCTATAAAGACACATGCACACGTATGTTTATTGCGGCACTATTCACAATAGCAAAGACTTGGAACCAACCCAAATGTCCAACTATGGTAGACTGGATTAAGAAAATGTGGCATATGTACGCCATGGAATACTATGCAGCCGTCAAAAATGATGAGTTCATGTCCTTTGTAGGGACATGGATGAAGCTGAAAGCCATCATTCTCAGCAAACTATCGCAAGGACAAAAAACCAAACACCGCATGTTCTCACTCATAGGTGGGAATTCAACAATGAGAACACATAGACAAAGGAATGGGAACATCACATACTGGGGCCTGTTGTGGGGTGGGGGAGGGGGGAGGGATAGCATTAGGAGATATACCTAATGCTATATGATGAGTTAATGGGTGCAGCACAGCAACATGGCACATGTATACATATGTAACAAACCTGCATGTTGTGCACATGTACCCTAAAACTTAAAATATAATAACAAAATTTAAAAAAAAGAGAATGTTTTAAATCTGTGAGATGAATGCACACATAACAAAGAAGTTTCTCAGAAAGCTTCTTTCTATTTTTCATCTAGAGATATTTCCTTTTTCACCATAGGCCTCAAAGTGCTCCCAAATATCCCTTTACAGATTCTACAAACTCAGTGTTTCCGAACTGCTTAATCAAACGAATGCTTAAACTCTGTGGGATGAATGCAGACATCACAAAGCAGTTTCTCAGACAGCTTCATTATATTTCTTATTTGAAGATATTTCCTATTTCACCATATGCTTCAAAGTACTCCCATATGTCCCTTTACAGATTCTACAAAAACAGTGTTTCCAAGATGCTCAATTAATAGAAAGGTTTAATTTGGTGAGATGAATGGACACATCACAAAGCTGTTAATCCAAAACTTCTTTCTCGTTTTTATCTGAAGATATTTTTTTTTTCAACATAGGCCTCAATATGCTCCCATATATTCCGTGACAGATTATATAAAAACAGTGTTTCCAAACTGCTCAATCAAAAGAATATTTAACTCTGTGAGATGAATGCACACATCACAAAGCCGTTTCTCAGAAAACTTCTTTCTAGTTTTTAAATGAAGATACTCCCTTTTTCACCATAAGCCTCAATGGGCTCCCAAATAATCCTTTGCGGATTCAACAAAAACAGTGTTTCCAAGATGCTCAATAAAAGAAAGATTTATCTCTGTGAGATGAATGCGCATATCACACAGCAGTTAATCAGAAGGCTTCTTTCTAGTTTTTATGTGAAGATTATTTCCTTTTTCACCAGAGGCCTCATTGCATTCCCAAATATCCCTTCACAGATTCCACAAAAATAGTGTTTCCAAACTGTTCAATAAAAAGAAAGGTGTCACTCTGTGAGATGAATGCCTACATCACAAAGCAGTTCCTCAGAAAGCATATTTCTGGTTTTTATATGAGGATATTTCCTTTCTCACCATAGGCCACAATGAGCTCCCAAATATCCTTTCACAGATTCTTCAAAAACAGTGTTTCAAACGGCTTAATCAAAAGAATGCTTACACACTGTGAGACAAATGCAGACATAAAAAAGCAGTTTCTCAGAAAGTGTCTTTCTAGTTTTTATTTGAAGATATTTCCTTTTTAACCATAGGCCTCAATGCACTCCCAAATATCCCTTGGCATATTCTACAAAAACAGATTTTCCAAACTGCTCAATCAAAGGAAAGTTTTAACTCTGTGAGATGAATGCACTCATTACAAAGCAGATAATCAGAAAGCTTCCTTCTAGTTTTAATGCGAAGATATTTCCTTTTTCACTATAGGCCTCATTGTGTTTCAAAAAATCCTGTCACAGATTCTACAAATACAGCGTTACCAAACTGCTCAATCAAAAGAAAGGTGTCACTCTATGAGATGAATGCACACATCACAAAGCAGTTCCTCAAAAAGCATCTTTCTGGTTTTTATCTGAGGATATTTCCTTTTTCACCATCAGCCTCATTACATTCCCTAGTATCCTTTCACAGATTCTACAAAAACAGTGTTTCAAAACTGCTTAATCAAAAGAATCCTTACACTCTGTGAGACAAATACAGGCATAACAAAGTAGTTTCTCAGAAAGCGTCTTTCTAGTTTTTATGTGAAGATATTCCATTTTTCACCATAGGCCTCAATGCACTCCCAAATATCCCTTTGAATATTCTACAAAAAGAGATTTTCCAAACTGCTCAATCAAAGTAAAGTTTTAACTCTTTGAGATGAATGCGCACATCACAAGGCAGATAATCAGAAAGCTTCTTTCTAGTTTTTATGCGAATATATTTCCTTTTTGACTGTAGACCTCATTGCATTCCGAAAAATCCCTACACAGATTCTACAAAAACAGTGTTTCCAAACTGCTCAATCAAAAGAAGGGTGCTGCTCTGTGAGATGAATGTACACGTCACAAAGCAGTGCCTTAGAAGGCATCTTTCTGGTTTTTATCTGAGGATATTTCTTTTAGCATCATAGGCCCCAGTATGCTCCCAATTATCCTTTCACAGTTTCTACAAAAACAGTGTTTCCAAACTGCTTCATCAAAAGAATGTTTACACTCTGTGAGACGAATGCAGACATCACAAAGCAGTTTCTCAGAAAGCTTCTTTCTAGTTTTTATGTGAAGATATTTCCTTTCTCACCATAGACATCAAAGTGCTCCCACATATCCCTTCACAGATTGTACAAAAAAAGTGTTTCCAAGATGCTCAATCAACAGAAAGGATTAATTCCGTGAGATGAATGGACTCATCATCTCACATCTCACATCTCACATCTCACATCTGATTAACAAAGCTGTTAATCAGAAAGCTTCTTTCTGGTTTTTATCTGAGAATATTTCCTTTTTAACCATAGGTCTCAAAGGGCTTAAAAATATCCCTTCTTAGATTTTACAAACACACTGTTTCCAAACTTCTCAATCAAAAGAATAGTTTCACTCTGTGAGATGAATGCACACATCTCAAAGCTGTTTCTCCAAAAGATTCTTTCTGGTTTTTATCTGAAGTTATTTCCTTATTCACCATAGGCCTCAATGTGCTCCCAAACATCCTTTCCCAGATCCTACAAAAACAGTGTTTCCAAACTGCTCAATCAAAGGAAAGGTTTAGCTCTGTGAGATGAAAGCACACATCGCAAACTCATTCTGAGATATCTTTCTGGTTTTTATCTGAGGATATTTCCTTTTTCACTATAGGCCTCAGTAGGTTCCCAAATATCTCTTCCCAGATTCTACAAAAACAGTGTTTCCAAACTGCTCAATCAAAAGAAATGTTTAACTCTGTGAGATGAATGCATTAATCTCAAAGCAGTTTCTCACAAAGCTTCTTTCTAGATTTATCTGAATATATTTCCTTTTTCTCTGTAGGCGTCAAAGCACTCCCAAATATCACTTTGCTGAATCTACAAAAACAGTCTTTCCAAACTGCTTCATGAAAAAAAAGGATTAACTCCGTGAGATGCATGCACACATCACAAAGCAGTGTCACAAAAAGCTTATTTCTAGTTTTTATGTGAAGATATTTCCTTTTCCACCATTGGCCTCAAGGCACTCCCAAATATCCCTTCGCAGATTGTACAAAAACAGTCTTTCCAAGCTGCTATATAAAAAGAAAGGTTTAATTCTGTGAGATGAATGTACACATCACAAAGCTGTTTCTCAGAGCACATCTTTCTAATATTTATGTGAAGATATGTCCTTTTTCACCATTGGCCTCAATGTGCTCCCTTATATCCCTTGACAGATTCTATAAAAACAGTGTTTCCAAACTGCCTAATCAAAAGAAAGGTTTAACTCTGTGAGATGAATAAATACATCACAGAGCACTTTCTCACAAAACTTCTTTCCAGTATTTATGTAAAGATATTTCCTTTTTCACCGTAGGCCTCAATGCACTCCAAAATATCCCTTCACAGATTCTAGAAATACACAGTTTCCAAACTGCTTAATCAAAACAAAAGATTAACTCTGTGAGATGAAAGCACACATCACAAAACTGTTTCTCAGAAATCTTTCTGGTTTTTATCTGATGATATTTCCTTTTTCACCATAGACCTCAATGCTTTCCTGATTGTCCCTTTGCAGATCCAACAAAAACAGTGTTTCCAAACTGCTCAATCAGAAGAAAGTTTTAACTCAGAGAGACGAATGCACACATCACAAAGCAGTTTCTGGGAAAGCTTCTTTCTAGTTTTTATGTGAAGATATTTTCTTTTTCACCATAGGGCTCAAAGAGCTCCCATATATCCATTGACAGATTATATTAAAACAGTGTTTCCAAACTGCTCAATCAAAAGAAATATTTAACTCTCTGAGATGAATGCACACAACACAAATCAGTTTCTCTGAAATATTCTTTCTAGTTTTTATGTGAAGATGTTTCCACTTCCACCATAGGCCTGAATGTGCTCCAAAATATCCTTCACAGATTCTAGAAACACAATGTTTCCAAGATGCACCATCAAAGGAAAGGTTTAACTCTGTGAGATGAATGGACTCATCAAAAGCAGTTAGTCAGAAAGCTTCTTTCAATTTTTTATCTGAGGATATTTTCTTTTTCACCATAGGCCTCATTGCATTCCGAAGTATCCTTTCACAGATTCCACAAAAACAGTGTTTCCAAGCTTCCCAATAAAAAGGAAGCTTTATCTCTGTGAGACAAATGCACACATCACAAAGCAGTTTCTCAGAAAGTGTCTTTCTGGTTTTTATGTGAAGATATTTCCTTTTTTCACTCTCAGCCTCAAAGCGCTCCCAAATATCCCTTCACAGATTCTACAGAAACAGTTTATCCAAACTACTCGATCAAAAGAAAAGTTTAACTCTGTGATTTGAATGCACAAATTACAAAGCAGTGTCTCAGAAAGCTTCTTTCTAGATTTTATCTGAGGATAATTCCTTTTTCACCATAGGCCTCAATGTGCTCTCATAAATTCCTTGGCAGATTCTACAAAAGCAGTGTTTCCAAAGAGCACCATCAACAGAAAATGTAACTCTGAGATATTAATTTACACATCACAAAGAATTTTCTCAGAAAGCTTCTTTCTACTTTTCATTGGAAGATATTGTCTTTTTCACCTTGGTCCTCATTGTGTTTCCAAATATCCATTTGCAGATTCTAGAAAAACACAGTTTCCAAACTGCTCAATCAAAAGAAAGGATTAACTGTGTGAGATGAAGGCACACAGAAACAAAGCTGTTTCTCAGAAATCTTTCTAGTTTTTATGTGAAGATATTTCCTTTTTCACCATAGGCCTCATTGCATTCCCAAATATCCCTTCACAGATTCTACAAAAATAGTGTTTCCAAACTGCTCAATCACAAGAAATGTGTATCTCTGTGAGATGAATGCACACATCACAACCAGTTTATCAGAAAGATTCTTTCTAGTTTTTATCTGAGAATATTTCCTTTTTCACCATTGGCCTCAAAGGGCTCCCAAATATCCCTTATCAAATTCTACAAAAACAGTGTTTCCAAACTGCTCAATCAAAAGAATATTTTAACTCTGTGAGATGAATCCACACATCACAAACCAGTTTCTCCAAAAGAATCTTTCTGTTTTTTATCTGAATGTATTTCCTTTTCAACCATAGGCCTCAATGTGCTCAAAAATGTCCTTTCCCAGATCCTACAAAAACAGTGTTTCAAAACTGCTCAATCAAAGGAATGGTTTAACTTTGTGAGATGAATGCACACATCACAAAGCTGTTTCTCAGAAATCTTTCTGGTTATATCTAAGAACATTTCCTTTTTCACTATAGGCCTCAATCCATTCCCAAATATCCCTTCGCAGATTCTACACAGTGTTTCCATACTGCTCAATCAGCACATAGGTTTTACTATGTGAGATCAATGCATCCGTCACAAAGCAGTTTCTCAGAAAGCTTCTTTCTAGATTTATCTGAAGATGTTTCCTTTTTCTAAGTAGGCCTCAAAGCACTCCCAAATATCCTTCACAGATTCTACAAAAACAGTCTTTCCAAACTGCTCAATCAAAAGGAAGGATTAACTCTGCAAGATGAATGCACACATCAGAAAGCAGTTTCTCAGAAAGCTTCTTTCTAATTTTTATGTGAAAATACCTCCTTTTTCAACATAGGCCTTGAGGAACTCCCAAATATCCCTTTGCAGATTGCACAAAAAACAGTGTTTCCAAAATGCTAAATAAAAAGAAAGGTTTAACTCTGTGAGATGAAAGTACACGTCACAAATCTGTTTCTCAGAACACTTCTTTGTAGTATTTATCTGAAGATATTTCCTTTTTCACCATAGGCCTCAATGTGCTCCCAAATATCCCTTTGCATATTCTAGAAAAACAGAGTTTCCAAACTACTTAATCAAAGGAAAAGATTAACTCTGTGACGTGAAAGCACACACCATGAAGCTGTTTCTTAGAAATCTTTCTAGTTTTTATTGACGATATTTCCTTTTTCACCATAGGCCTCAATGTGTTCCCAAATATCCCTTTGCAGGTTCTACAAAAACAGTGCTTCCAAACTGCTCAATCAGAAGAAAGGTTTAACTCTGAGAGATGAATGCACACATCACAAAGCAGTTTCTCAGAAAGCTTCTTTCTAGTTTTTATGTGAAGATATTTCCTTTTTCAATGTAGGGCTCAATGCTTCCCATATATCCATGGACAGATTATATTAAAAGAGTGTTTCCAAACTTCTCAATCAAAGAAATCTTTAACTCTGTGAAATGAATGTACACATCACAAAGCAGTTTCTCAGAAATCTTCTTTCTACTTTTTATGTGAAGATGCTTCTTTTTTCACCATAGGTCTCAATGTGCTCCCAGAAATCCTTGGCAGATAGTACAAAAGCAGTGTTTCCAAGATGCTCAATCAATGGAAAGATTAAACTCCATGAGATGAATGGACACATCACAAAGCAGTCGATCAGAAAGCTACTTCTAATTTTTATCTGAGGATATTTCCTTTTTCACCTTAGGCCTCATTGCATTCTGAAGTATCCTTTCACAGATTCTACAAAAACAGTGTTCCAAGGTGCCCAGTAAAAAGGAAGCTTTATGTCTGTGAGACAAATGCATACATCACAAAGCAGTTTCTCAGAAAGTATCTTTCTGGTTTTTATGTGAAGATATTTCCTTTTTCACCATAGGTCTAAATATGCTTCCAAATATCCCTTCATAGATTCTACCAAAACAGTATTTTCAAACTGCTCAATCAAAAGAAAGGTTTAGCTCTGTGAGATGGATGCACACATCAGAAAGCAGTGTTTCAGAAAGCTTCTTTCTAGATTTTATGTGAAGATATTTCTTTTTCAGCATAGGCCTCAATGTGGTATCATAAATCCCTTCACAGACTTTATAAAAACAGTGTTTCCGAAGCACTCAATAAAAAGAAAATTTAACTCTGTGAGATGAATGCACACATCACAAAGCAGTTTCTCAGAAAGGTTCTTTCTAGTTTTCATCAGAAGATATTTTCTTTTTCACCATAAGCCTCATTGTGCTCCCAAATATCCCTTTTCAGATTCTAGAAAAATACAGTTTCCAAACTCCTCAATCAGAAGAAAAGATTAACCCTGTGAGATGAATGCACACATCACAAAGCAGTTTCTCAGCAATCTTTCTAGTTTTTATGTGAAGATATTTCCTTTTTCACCATAGGCCTCATTCCATTCCAAATATCCCTTCACAGATTCTACAAAAATGGTGTTTACAAACTGCTCAATCAGAAGAAAAAGTTCAATTCTGTTAGATGAATGTACCCATCACTAAGCAGTTTCTCATGAAGCTTCTTTCTATATTTATCTGAAGATATTCCTTTTTCACAGTAGGCCTCTATGCTCCCAAATATCCCTTCATGGATCCTGCATAAACAGTCTTTCCAAACTGCTCAGTGAAAAGAAAGTATTTACTCAGTGGGATGAATGCACACATCACACATCAGTATCTCAAAAAGCTTTTTTCTGGTTTTTATCTGAAGATATTTCTTTTTCCACCATAGGCGTCAAGGCACTCCCAAATATCCCTGTGGAGATTCTAACAAAACAGTGTTTTCAAACTGCTCAATCAAAGGAAAAGTTTATCTCTGTGAGACGAATGCACACCTCACAAGGCTGTTTCTCAGAAAGCGTCTTTCTAGTGTTTATCTGAGCATATTTCCTTTTTCACCATAGGCCTCAATGTGCTCCCAAATATCCCTTCACAGATTCTACCAAATCAGTGTTTCCAAACTGGTCAAACAAAAGAAAACTTTAAATGTGTGAGATGAATGCACACATCACAAAACAGTTTCTCAGAAAGCATCTTTCTGGTTTTTACCTGAGGATATTTCCTTTTTTGCCATAGGCCTCAATGTGATCCCAAATATCCTCTCACAGATTCGACAAAAAGTGTGCTTGCAAACTGCTCAATCAAAGGAATGCTTAACCTTTGTTAAACAAATTCAGACATTACAAGCAGGTTTTGAGAAATATTCTTTGTAGTTTTTATGTGAAGATATTTCCCTTTTCACCATAGGCTTCAATGTGTTCCCTTATATCCCTTGAAACATTCTACAAAAGCAGTGTTTCCAAACTGCTCAATCAAAAGACAGGTTTAACCCTGTGAGATGAATGCACACATCACAAAGCAGTTTCTCAGAAAACACCTTTCTGGTTTTTATCTGAGGATATTTCTTTTTCACCTTAGGCACCAGTGCACTCCCAAATATCCTTTCACAGATTTTACAAAAACTGTTTCCAAACTGCTAAATCAAAAGGATACTTAAACTATGTGAGACAAATGCAGACAACCCATAGCAGTTTCTCAGAAAGCTTCTTTCTAGTTTTTATGTGAAGATATTTCCTTTTTCACCCAAGTCCTCAATGTGCTCCAAAATACCCTTCACAGGTTCTACCAAAATAGTGTTTCTAAGATGCTCAATCAAAAAAAGGTTTAACTCTGTGAGATGAATGTACACCTCACAGAGCAGTTAATCAGAAAGCTTCTTTCTAAGTTTTGTCTGAGGATATTTCCTTTTTCACCACAGGCCTGATTGCGTTCCTAAGTATACTTTTGCAGATTCTAGCAAAACAGCGTTTCCAAACTGTTCAATAAAAAGGAAGTTTTATCTCTGTGAGATGAATGCACACATCACAAAGCAGTGTCTCAGAAAGCTCCTTTCTAGTTTTTATCTGAAGATATTTCCTATTTCACCAGATTCCTCAATGTGCTCCCAAATGTCCCTTCACAGATTCTACAAAAACAGTGTTTCCACACTGCTCATTGAAAAGAAAGGTTTAACTCTGTGAGATCAATGCACACTTCACAAACAGATTCTTGGAAAGCTTCTTTCAAGTTTTCATTTGAAGATATTTCCTTTTTCACCATAGGCCTCAATGTGTACCCAAATATCCCTTCACAGATTCTACAAAAAGAGTGTTTCCAAACTGCTCAAAGGAAATGTTTTACCCTGTGAGATGAATGCACAGATCACAAAGCAGTTTCTCAGAAAGCTTCTTTCTAGTTTTTATCTAAAAATATTTCCTTCTCCACCATTGGCCTCAATGCGCTCCCTAATATCCCTTCACGGATTCTAGAAAAACAGAGTTTCCAAACTGCTTAATCAAAAGAAAGGATTAACTCTGCGAGATGAAAGCACACATCACAAAACTGTTTCTCAGAAATCTTTCTATTTTTTATCTGAGGATATTTCCTTTTTCACCATAGGCTTCAATGCGCTCCCTTAGATCCCTTGATAGATACTACAAAAACAGTGTTTCCAAACTGCTCAATCAGAAGAAAGATTTAACTCTGTGAGGTGAATGCACACATCACAGAGCAGTTTCTCAGAAAGCATCTTTCTGGTGTTGATCTGACGATATTTCCTTTTTCACCACAGGCTTCAATGCACTCCCATATATCCATTGACAGATTCTGTAAAAACAGTGTTTCCAAACTTCTCAATCAAAAGAAATGTTTAACTCTGTGAGATGAATGCATTCATCACAAAGCAGTTTCTCAGAAAGCATCTTTCTGGTTTTTATCTGAGGTTATTTCTTTTTCACCTTAGGCCCCAATGTGCTCCCAAATATGCTTTTGCAGATTCTACAAAAACCGTTTTTCCAATCTGCTTAATCAAAAGAATTCATAAACACTGTGAGACAAATGCTGACATCACGAAGTGGTTTCTCAGAAAGCTTCATTCTAGTTTTTATGTGAAGATATTTCCTTTTTCGCCAAAGGCCTCAGTGTGCTCCAACATATCCCTTCACAGATTGTACAAAAACAGTGTTTCCAAGATGCTCAATTCAAAGAAAGTTTTACCTCTGTGAGATGAATGTACACATCACAAAGCAGTTAATCAGAAATCTTCTTTCTAGTTTTTGTCTGAGGATATTTCCTATATCACCATAGGCCTCATTGCATTCCCCAGTATACTTTCACAGATCCTACAAAAACAGTGTTTCCAAACTGCTCAATCAAAAGAAAGCAATATCTCTGTTAGTCAAATGTACACATCACAAAGCAGTTTCTCAGAAAGTGTCTTTCTAGTTTTTATGGGAAGATATTTACTTTTTCACCATAGGCCTCAATGCACTCCAAAATATCACTTCGCAGATTCTACAAAAACAGTGTTTCCAAACTGCTCAAGCAAAAGAAAATTTTAACTCTGTGAGATGAATGCACTCATCACAAAGGAGATTCTCAGAAAGATTCTGGCTAGTTTTTTCTGAAGATATTTCCTTTTTCCCTAAAGGCCTCATAGCGCTCCCAAATATCCCTTCTCAGATTCTACAAAAACAGTTTTGCCAAACTGCTCAATCAAAGGAAATGTTTAATTCTCTTTTAAGAATGAATTCTTCACAAAGCAGTTTCTCAGGAAGTTTCTTTCTACTTTTCATCTGAAGATATTTCCTATTTCACCATAGGCCTCAAAATACTCCCTAATATCCCTTTGCAGATTCTACAAAAACAGTGCTTCCAAACTGTTCAATGAAAAGAAAAGTTTAATTCTTTGAGATGAATCCACACATCACAAAGCACTTTCTCAGAAAGCTACTTTGTAGTTTTTATCTGAGGATATTTCTTTTTCACTGTAGGCCTCAATATGCTCCTAAATATCCTTTAGCAGATTGTACAAAAACACTATTTCCAAACTGCTCTATCAAAAGAAAGTTTTAACTCTGTGAGAAGAATGAACATATCAAAAAGCAGATTCTCAGAAAGGTGCTTTCAAGTTTTTACCTGAGGATATTCCCTTTTCCACCATAGCCTTCAATTTAATCCCAAATATCACTTAGCAGATTCTCCAAAAACAGTGTTTCCAAACTGCTCAATCAAAAGAGAGCTTGAACTCTGTGAGACCAATGCAAACATCACAAAGCAATTTCTCAGAAAGACTCCTTCTAGTTTTTATGAGAAGATATTTCCCTTTTCCGCCTAGGCCTCAATGCTCTCCATATATCCCTTGGAACAGTCCACAAAAACACTGTTGCCAAACTTCTCAATAAAAGGTAAGTAAAAACTCTGTGAGATGAATGCACACATCAGAAAGTAATTTGTCAGAATGCATATTTCTAGTTTTTATCAAGGGATATTTCCTTTTTCATGATATGATTGTAAGTGCTCCAAAATATCCCTTCACAGATTCTATAAAAACAGTGTTTCCAAATTGCTCAATCAAAAGAAAGGCTTAAGCCTGTGAAATGAATGGACTCATCACAAAGCAGTTTCTCAGAAAGCTTCTTTCCAGTTTTTATCTGAATATATTTCTTTGTTCAACATAGACCTCAACTGCTCCAAAATGTCCCGTCGCAGATTCTACATAAACAGTGTTTCAAAACTGCTCAATCAAAAGAAAGGTTTAACACTGGGAGATGAATGCAATCATTACAAATCATTTTCCCAGGAAGGTTCTTTCTAGTTTTTATCTGAAGATATTTCCTTTTTCACCATAGGCCTCAATGTGCTCCCTTATATCCCTTTGTAGATTCTGCAAAAACAGTGTTTCCAGAAGGCTCAATCAAAAAAAGATTTAACTCTTTGGGAAGAATGCACACATAACAAAGCCATTTTTGAGAAAGCTCCTTTCTAGTTTTTATCTGAAGATATTTCCTTTTTCACCATGGGCCTCAGCACGCTCACAAATATCCCTTCACAGATTCTATGAAAACATTGTTGCCAAACTGTTCAATCGAAAGAAATGTTGAACTCCTTGATATGAATGTACTCAAGACTAAGCACTTTCTCAGAAAGCTTCTTTCTAGTTTTTATCTGAAGATATTTACCTTTTCACCATAGGCCTCAACATGCTCCCACATATCCCTTAGCAGATTCTGCAAAACAGTGTTTTCAAACTGCTTATTCAAAAGAAAGTTTTAACTCTATATGATAAATCCACTCTTCACAAAGCAGTTTCTCAGAATGCTTCTTTCTAGTTTTAATCTGAAGATAATTCCTTTTTCACCATAGGCCTCAATGTGTTCCCGAATATCTCTTAGTAGATTTTGCAGAAACAGTGTTTCCCAACTGCTCAATCAAAATTATGTTTTAACACTGTGAGATGAATGTACACATAAGAAAGCAGGTTCCAGAAAGCTTCTTTCTAGTTTTTACCTGAAGATATTTCCTTTTTCACCATAGGCATCAAGGTACTCCCAAATATGCCTTCTCAGATTCTCCAAATCACTGTTCCCAAACTGCTCAGTCAAAAGAAAGGTTTAACTCTTTGAGATGAATTCACTCATCACAAAGAAGTTTCTCCAAAAGCTTCTTTCTAGGTTTTCTCTGAAGATATTTCTATTTTCACCATTGGCCTCAATGCGGTATAAAAATCCCTTCCTAGATTCTACAAAAACAGCATTTCTAAACTGCTCAATCAAAAGAAAGATTTAATTCTGTGAGAGGAATGCACAAATCACAAACCAGTTTCTGAAAAAGCTTTTTGCCAGTTTTTGTCTGAAGATATTTCCTTTTGCACCATAGGCCTCAATGTGCTCCTAAATATCCCTTCACAGATTCTACCGAAGCTGTGTTTCCAAAGTACTCAATTGAAAGAACAGTTTAACTCTCTGAGATGAATGCACACATCAAAAATCAGTTTTCCAGAATGCTTCTTTCTAGTTTTTTTCTGAAGATATTTCTTTTTTTTACCATAGACCTCAATGCATTCCCAAATATCCCTTGGTAGATTTTACAGAAGCAGTGTTTCCAAACTGCTCAATCAAAATAATGGTTTAACTATGTGAGATGAATGCACAAATCAAAAAGCAGTTTCTGAGAAAGTTTCTTCCTAGTATTAATCTGAAAATATTTCCTTGCTCACCATTGGCCTTTAAGTGCTTCCAAATATCCCTTCTCATATTCCACAAAAGCTGTGTTGTCAAACTGGTCAATCAAAAGAAAGGTTTAACTCTGTGAGATGAATGCACTCATCACAAAGCAGTTTCTCAGAAAGCTTCTTTCTAATTTTTAACTGACAATATTTCCTTTTTCACCCTAGGCCTCCATGCGCTCCCAAATATCCCTTGGCAGATTTTACCAAAACAGTATTACCAAAAGGCTCAATCAAAAGAAAGTTTTAATTCTGTGAGATGAATGCACTCATCAAAAAGCAGCTTCTCAGAAAGCTTCGTTCTAAGTTTTTATCTGAAGATATTTCCTTTTTCACCATAAGCCCCAATGTGCTACCAAATATCCCTTCGCAGATTCCACATAAACAGTGTTTCCAAACAGTTCAATCAAAAGAAAGGTTTAACTCTATGAGATGAATGCACTCATCCAAAGCAGTTTCACAGAAAGCTTCTTTCTAATTTTTATCTGAAGATATTTCCTTTTAAACAATAGGCCTCAATGCACTCCCAAATATCCCTTCACAGATTCTACTAAAACAGTATTTCCAAATGGCTCAATCTAAAGGTTTAACTCTCTTAGATGGATGCACACTTCACAAAGCAGTTTCTCAGAAAGCTTCTTTCTGGTTTTTGTCTGAAGATATTTCCTTTTTCACCATTGGCCTCAGTGGGCTATGATACATCACTTTGTAGACTCTATAAAAAGTGTTTCAAGACTGCTCAATCAATAGAAAGTTTTATCTCTGTGAGAAGAATGCACATATCACAAAGGGGTTTCTGAGAAAGTTTCTTTCTAGTTTGTATCTGAAGATATATCCTTTTTCACCGTAGACCTCAATGCATTCCCAAATGTCTCTTTGCAGATTATACAACAGCAGTGTTTACAAACTGCTCAATCAAAAGAAAGGTTTAACTCTGTGAGATGAATACACACATCACAAAGCAGTTTCTCAAAAAGCTTCTTTCTAGTTTTTATATGAAGATATTTCCTTTTTCTCCATAGGCTTCAAAGTGCTCCCAAATATCCCTAGGCAGATTCCACAAAAACGGTGTTGCCAAACTGCCCAATCAAGAGAAAGTTTTAACTCTGTGAGATGAATGCACTCATCACAAAGTAGTATTGCAGAAAACTTCTTTCTAGTTTTTATCCAAAGATATTTCCTTTTTGACCATAGGCCTCAATGTGCTCCCAAATATACCTTTGCAAATTCTACAAAACAGCGTTTCCAAACCACTCAGTGAAAAGAAAGTTTTAACTCAGTATGATGAATGCACATTTCTCGAAGCAGTTTCTCAGAATGCTTCTTTCTAGTTTTTATCTGAAGATATTTCCTTTTTAACCACAGGCCTCAATGCACTCACGAATATCCCCTTGCAGATTACACAAAAACAGTTCTTCCAAGCCATTGAATCAAAAAAAAACAAAAAGATTTAACTCTGTGAGATGTATGCACACATCCCAAAGCAGTTTCCCAGAAAGCTTCTCTCTAGTTTTTATCTGAAGTTATTTCCTTTTTCACCATAGGCCTTAAAGCACTACGAAATATCCTTTCTCAGATTCCATGAAAACAGTGTTGTCAAACTTCTCAATCAAAATAAAGGCTTCACTCTGTGAGATGAGTGCACTCATACTAATCAGTTTCCCAAAAAGGTCTTTCTAGTCTTTATCTGAATATGTTTCCTTTTTAACCATAGGCCTCAATGCACTCCCAAATATCCCTTCACAGATACTACGAAAACAGTGTCTCCAAACAGAGCAATCAAAAGAAAGGTTTAACTATGTGAGATGAGTGCACACATCACAAAGCATTTTTTTTCAGAAAGCTTCTTTCTAGTTTTTCTCTGAATATATTTTGTTTCACCATAGTCCTCAATGAGCTCCCATATATCTCTCGTAGATTTGAAAAAAACAGGTTTCCAAACAGCTCACACTAAAGAAAAGTTTAACCCTATGAGAAGAATGCACACATCACAACGCGGTTTCTGAGAAAGCTTCTTTCTAGTTTTTATCTGCAGGTATTTCCTTTTTCACCACAGGCCTCAAAGCGCTCCCAAATATTCCTTTGCAGATTATACATGAACAGTGTTTAAAAACTGCTCAATCAAAAGACAGTTTTAACTTTGTGAGATGAATGCACACATCACAAAGCAGTTTCCCAGAAAGGTTCTTTCCATTTTTTATCTGAAGATATTTGCTTTTTCACCATAGGCCTAAAAGCATCCCAAATATCCCTTCTCAGACTCTACAAAACAGTGTTGCCAAACTGCTCAATCAAAAGAAAGTTTTAACTCTATGAGTTGAATGCACACACTACCAAGCAGTTTACCAGAAAGATTCTTTATATTTTTTATCTGAAGATATTTCCTTTTTCACCATAGACCTTAAAGCACCCCCAAATGTCCTTTCACAGATGGCACAAAAACAGGGTTGCCAAACTGCTTAATCAAAAGAAAGTTTTAACTCTGTGAGATGAATGCATTCAACACAAAGCAGTTTCTCAGAAAGCTTCTTTCTAGTTTTTATCTGAAGATATTTCCTTTTTCACCATAGGCCTGAATGCACTCCCATATATCCCTTTGTAGAGTCTACAAAAATGTGTTTCCAGATGGCTTAATCAAAAGAAAGGTTTAACTCTGTGAGTAGAATGCACACATCACAAATTGTTTTCTGAGAAACCTTCTTTCCAGTATTTATCTGAAAATATTTCCTTTATTACCTTAGGCCTCAATGCACTCTCAAATATCCCTTCACAGATTCTACGAAAACAGTGTACCCAAACTGCTCAATTAAAAGAAAGGTTCACTCTGTGACATGAATGCACACAGCACAAAGCAGTTTCTCAGAAAGCTTCTTTCTAGTTTTTATCTGAAGTTATTTCATTTCTCATTATAGGCCTGAAATTGCTCCTAAATATCCCTTCTCAGATCCTTCAAAAACACTGTTGCCAAACTGCTGCGTCAAAAGAAAGGTTTAACTTTGTGAGATTAATGCACTCATCACAAAGCAGTTTCTAAGAAAGCTTCTTTCTAGTTTTTATCTGAAGATATTTCCTTTTTCAACATAGGCCTCAATGTGCTCTGAAATATCCCTTTGCTGATTCTACCAAAAGAGTGATTCCAAACAGCTCAATGAAAAGAAAGCTTTAACTCTGTGAGACGAATGCTCACATCACAAACCAGTTTCTCAGAAATCCTGTTTCTGTTTGTCTCTGAAGATATTTCCTTTTTCACCACAGGCCTCAATGCACTCCCATATATCCCTTCCTAGATTCTACAAAAACAGTGTTTCCAGACTGCTCAATCAAAATAAATGCTTAACTCTGTGAGAAGAATGCAGACAACACAATGCAGTTTCTGAAAAAGTTTCTTTCTAGTTTTTCTGAAGATATTTTCTTTTTCACTATAGGCCTCAATGCGCTCCTATATATCCTTTCATAGATTCTACAAAAACAGTGTTTCCAGACTTCTCAATTGAAAGAAGGGTTTAACTCTGTGAGAAGAATGCACACATCACAAAAGAGTTTGTAAGAAAGCTTCTTTCTTGTTTTTCTCTGAGGATATTTCCTTTTTCACCACACGCCACAATGCACAACAATATGTCCCTTCAGAGATCTACAAAAACAGTGTTTCCAAACTGCTCAATTAAAAGAAAGATTTAACTCTGTGAGAAAAATGCACACATCACAAAGGGTTTCTGAGAAAGTTACTTTGTAATTTTTATCTGAAGATATTTCATTTTTCATCTAAGGCCTCAATACTCTCCCAAATATCCCTTCACAGATTCTACAAAAATAGTGTTTCCAAAATGCTCCATCAAAAGAAAGGTATAAGTCTGTGAGAAGAATGCACACATCACAAAGTGGTTTCTAAGAAAGATGCTTTCTAAGATTCATCTGAAGATATTTCCCTTTTCACCATTGGCCTCAATGCGCTCCAAAATATCCTTTCACAGATTCTACAAAAACAGTGTTTCCAAATTGCTAAATCAAAAGAAAGGTTTGACTCTCTGAGATGAATGAACTCATCACAAAGCAGTTACTCAGAAAGCTTCTTTCTAGTTTTTTTCTGAAGATATTTCCTTTTTCAACATAGGCCTCAAAATGCTCACATATATCCCTCCACAGATTCTACAAAAAGAGTGTTGCCAAACTGCTCAATCAAAAGGAAGGTTTAACTCTGTGAGATGAATGCACACATCAGAAAGTAGAGTCTCAGAAAATTTGTTTCTACTTTTTCTCTGAAGATATTTCATTTTTCACCATAAGACTAAAATATCTCCCATATATTCCTTCGTAGATTGTACAAAAACAGTGTTTCCAGACTGCTCAACCAAAGGAAAGGTTTAACTCTGTGAGAAGAATGCACACATCACAAAGCAGTTTCTGAGAAAGCTTCTTTCTAGTTTTTATCTACAGATATTTCCTTTATCACGGTAGGCCTCAATGCACTCCCAAATCTCTTTGCAGATTCTATGGAAACAGTGTTTCCAAACTGCTCAAAAGAAAGGTTTAAACCTGTGAGATGAGTGCACACATAATAGAACAGTTTCCAGAAACCTTCTTTCCAGTTTTTATCTAAAGATATTTCATTTTTCACCATAGGCCTCAAAGCACTCCCAAATATCCCTTTGCAGATTGTACATAAACAGTGTTTCCAAACAGCTCAAGCAAAAGAAAGGATTAACTCTGTGAGATGAATGTACATATCAAAAGCAGTTTCTCAGAAAACTTCTTTCTAGTTTTTGTCTGAAGGTATTTCCTTTTTCACCATAGGCCTTGAAGCACTCCCAAATATAACTTTGCAGATTCTACAAAAACAGAGTTGCCAAACTGTGCCTTCAAAAATTGGTTTACCTCTGTGAGATGAATGCATTCATCACCAGGCAGTTTCTCAGAATGATTCTCTATAGTTTTGATCTGAAGATATTTTCTTTTCTACAATAGGACTCAATGTGCTCCCAAATATCCCTTCGCAGTTTCCACAAAAACAGTGTTTCCAAACTGCTCAATAAATATAAAGTTTTAACTCTATATTATGAATTTGCACATCACAAAGCAGTTTCTCAGAAAGCTTCTTTCTAGTTTTTATCTGAAGATATTTCCTTTTTCACCATAGGCCTCAATGCACTCCCAGTATCCCTTGGTAGATTTTACAGAATCAGTGTTTCCAAACTCTTCAATCAAAATATGGTTTAACATTGTAAGATCAATGTACACATCACAAAACAGGTTTCTGAAGGCTTCTTTCTAGTTTTTATCTGAAGATATTTCTTTTTTCACCATAGGCTCTGAAGCGCTCCCAATTATTCCTTCACAGATTCTACAAAAACAGTACTTCCAAACTGCTCTATCAAAAGCAAGTTTTAACTCTGTGAGAAGGATGCACTCATCACAAAGCAGTTTCTCTGAAAGATTCTTTCTAGTTTTTATGTGAAGACATTTCCATTTTCACCCTAGGCCTCAATGCACTCCCAAATATCCCTTCATAGTTTCTAGCAAAACAGGTTTTCCAACCTGCTCAATAAAATAAAGGTTCAACTCTCTGTGATGAATGCACACATCACCAAGCAGTTTTTGAGAAAGCTTCTTTCTAGTATTTTCCTGAAGATATTTCGTTTTTCACCGTAGGCCTCAATGCTGTCCCAAATATCCCTTCACAGATTCTACAAAAACAGTGTTTCCAACCTGCTCAATCAAAAGAAAGGTTTCACTCTCTGAGAAGAATGCACACATCACAAAGCAGTTTCTGAGAACAGTTTTTTCTATTATTTATATGAAGATATTTCGTTTTTCACCATAGGCCTCAATGGCTCCAAAATATCCCCTCACAGATTCTACAAAACTGGGGTTCCAAATTGCTCAATCAAAAAAATTTTAACTCTATATGATGAGTATGCACATCACAAAGCTCAGAATGCTTCTTTCTTGTATTTATCTGAAGATGTTTCCTTTATCACCTTAAGCCTCAATGCACTCCCAAGTATCCTATGACAGATTTTACAGAAACAGTGTTTCCAACTTTCCCAATCAAGATAATGGTTTAACTCTGTGAGACGAATGTACACATCACAAAGCAATTTCCAGAAAGCTTCTTTCTAGTTTCTATCTGAAAATATTACTTTTTTCACCATAGGCCTCGAGTCCTCCCAAATATCCCTTTGCAGATTTATAAAAACATTGTTTCCAAACTGCTCAATCAAAAGAGACGTTTAATTCTGTGAGATGAATGCACTTATCAACAAGCAGTTTCTCAGAATGATTCTTTATAGTTTTTATCTGACGGTATTTCCTTTTTCACCAAAGGCCTCAATGTGCTCCCAAATATCCCTTTGCAGATTCTACAAAGCAGTGTTTCCAAACTCCTCAACCAATAGAAAGTTTTAACTCTTTATGATGAATGTGCGCATCACAAAGCGGTTTCTCTGAAAGCTTCTTTCTAGTTTTTATCTGAAGGTATTTCAATTTTCAGCATAGGCCTGAAAGTGCTCCCAAATATCCCTTTGTAGATTCTACAGAAACAGTGTTTCCAAACTGCTCAATCAAAAGACAGTTTTTAGTCTGGGAGAAGAATTCAGTCATCACCAAGCAGTTTCTCACAAAGCTTCTTTCTAGTTTTTATCTGAAGGTATTTCCTTTTTCACCATAGGTCCCAAAGCATTCCCAAATATCCCTTTGAAGATTCTACGAAAACAGTGTTTCCAAACTTCTCAATCAAAAGAAAGGTTTAACTCTGTGAGATGAACGCACACATCACAACGCAGTTTCTCAGAAACATTCTTTCTAGTTTTTCTCTAAAGATATTTCCTTTTTCACTTTAGGCCTTAATACGCTCCCAGATATCCCTTCATAGATTATACATAAACAGTGTTTCCAGACTGCTCAATCAAAAGAAAGCTTTAACACTGTGAAAGTAAGACACACATCACAAAGCTGTTTCTGAGAAAGCTTCTTTCTACTTTTTGTCTGAAAATATTTCCTTTTTCACCATAGACCTCAGTGTGCTCAAAAATGTCCTTTCATGGATGCTACAAAAATAGTGTTTCCAAATAGCTCAATCAAAATAAAAGTTTAACCCTGTGAGATGAATGCATTCATCAGAAAGTAGTTTTCCAGGAAGCTTCTTTCTAGTTTTTATCTGTAGATATTTATTTCCTTTTTCACCATAAGCCTTGAAGCACTCCCAAGTATCTCTTCACAGATTCTACAGAAACAGCATTGTCAAACTGCTCAATCAAAAAAAAAGTTTAAGTCTGTGAGATGAATGCACTCATCACCAAGCAGTTTCTCAGAAAGCTTCTTTCTAGTTTTTATCTGAATATATTTCATTTTTTACAATAGGCCTCAATGTGCTCCCATATTTCCCTTCACAGATTCTACAAAAACAGTGTTTCCAAAGTGCTTGATCAGAAGAAAAGTTTAATTCTGTGAGAAGATTGCACACATCACAAAGCAGCTGCTGGGAAAGTTTCTTTCTAGTATTTATGTGAAGATATTTCCTTTTTCACCATATGCCTCAATGCACACCTAAATGTCCCTTCCCAGATTCTACAAAAACAGTGGTTCCAAACTGCTCAATCAAAAAAAAGGTTTTACTCTGTGGGATGAATTCACTGATCACAAAGCAGTTTCTCAGAAAGCTCCTTTCTAGTTTTTATCTGAATGAATTTCCTTTTTCTCCATAGGCCCTAATGCACTCCCAAATATCCCTTCACAGATTCTACGAAAACATTGTTTCCACACTGCTCCAACAAAGTAATTTTTAACTCTGTGAAAAGAGTGCACACATCACAAAGCAGTTTTGACAAGGTTTCTTTCTGGTTTTTATCTGAAGATATTTCCTTTTTCACCATAGGCCCCAAAGTGCTCTGAAATATCCCTACACAGATTCTACAAAAACAGTGTTGCCAAACTGCTCAATAAAAAAAAAAAGTTTTAACTCTGTGAGATGAATGCACTCATCACCAAGCAGTTTCTCAGAAAGCTTCTTTCTGGTTTTTATCTGAAGCTATTACCTTTTTCAACACAGGCCTCAAAGCGCTCCCAAATATCCCTTTGCAGATTCTACAAAAACAGTGTTTCCAGACTGCTCAAACAAAATAAAATCTTAACTCTATGTGATGAATTCACACATCTGGAGCAGTTTCTCAGAATGCTACTTTCTAGTTTTTTTTTTTTTTCTTTTTGAGACAGAGTCTTGCTTTGTCTCCCAAGCTGGAGTGCAGTAGTGCAATCTCGGCTCACTGTAAGCTCTGCCTTCCGGGTTCACACCATTCTTCCTCAGCCTCCTGAGTAGCTGGGACTACAGGCGCCCACCACCATGCCCAGCTAATTTTTTTGTATTTTTAGTAGAGACTGGGTTTCACTGTGTTAGCCAGGATGGTCTCGATCTCCTGACCTCGTGATCCACCCTCCTCGGCCTCCAAAAGTACTGGGATTACAGGCATGAGCCACCGCACCGGGCCCTGCTACTTTCTAGTTTTTATCTAAAGATATTTCCTGTTTCACCTATGGCTTCAATGCAGTCCCAAATTTCCCTTGGTAGATTTTACAGAAACAGTGTTTCCATAGTGCTCAATCAAAATAATTATTTACCTTTGTGCAAGGAATGTACACATCACAAAGCAGTTTCCAGAAAGCTTCTTTTCTGTTTTTATCAGAAGATATTTCATTTTCACCACAGGCCTTGAAGCGCTCCAAAATATCCCTTCGCAGATTCTACAAAAACAGTGTTTCTAAACTGCTCAAGCAAAAGAGAGGTTTTACTCTGTGAGATGAATGCACTCATAAAAATATGGTTTCTCAGAGAGCTTACTTCTAGTTTTTATCTGAAGATATTTTCTTTTTCACCATAGGCCTCAATGCGCTCCCAAGTATACCTTCACAGATACTACCAATACAGTATTTCCAAAATACTCAATCCAAAGAAAGGTTTAATTCTGTTAGATGAATGCACAAATCACGAAGCAGTTTCTGAGAAACCTTCTTTCTAGTTTTTCTCTAAAGATATTTCCTTATTCACCATAGGCCTCAAAGCATTACCAAATATCCCTTCACAGATTCTACAAAAACAGTATTGCCAAACCACGCAATCAAAAAGATTTAACTCTGTGAGATGAATGCACTCATCACCAAGCAGTTTCTCAAAATGACTCTTTCCACTTTTAATCTGAAGATATTTCCTTTTCACCATAGGCCTCAGCACACTCCCAGATATCCCTTCGCAGATTCTACAAAAACAGTGGTTCCAAGCTGCTCAATCAACAGACAGTTTTAACTATATATGATGAATGTGCACATCACAAAGCAGTTTCTGAGAAAGCGTCTTTCTAGCTTTTATCTGAAGATACTTCCTTTTGCACCATGGGCCTCAGTGCACTCCCAAATATACCTTCATAGATTCTACCAAAACAGTGTTTCCAAACTGCTCAATCAAAAGAAAGGTTTAACTCTGTGAGATGAATGCACACATCACATAGCAGTTTCTCAGAAAGCTTTTTTCTAGTTTTTCCCTGAAGATATTTCCTTTTTCACTATATGCCTCAATGAGCTCCCCTATACCTCTTCCTAGATACTACAAAAACAGTGTTTCCAAACTGCTCAATGAAAGGAAAGTTTTAACTCTATATGATGAATGGACACATCATAAAGCACTGTCTCAGCATCTGTCTTTCTACTTTTTATCTGAAGATATTTCCTTTTTCACCATTGACTTCAAAGTACTCCAAAATATCTCCTCGCATATTCTACCAAAACAGTGTTTCCAAATTGCTCAATGAAAAGAAATATTTAACTCTCTGAGATGAATGCACTAATCATTAAGTAGTTTCCCAGAAAGCATCTTTCTAGTTTTTACCTGAAGATATTTCCTTTTTCACCATAGTCCCCAATGCCCTCCCAAATATCCCTTCACAGATTCTACCAAAACAGTGTTTCCAAACTGCTCAACCAAAAGAAAGGTTTAACTCTGTGAGATGAATGCACACATCACATAGCAGTTTCTCAGAAAGATTTTTTCTAGTTTTTCCCTGAAGATATTTCCTTTTTCACTATAGGCCTCAATGAGCTCCCCTATAACCCTTCCGAGATACTACAAAAACAGTGTGTCCAAACTGCTTAATCAAAGAAAGGTTTAACTCTGTGAGATGAATGCACTCATCTCAAAGCAGTTTCTCATAAAGCTTCTTTCTAGTTTTTATCTGAAGATATTTCTTTTTCACCATAGGCCTGAATGCACTCCCAAATATCCCTTCACAGATTCTACCAAAACAGTGTTTCCAGACTTCTCAATCAAAAGAAAGTTTTAATTCTATGAGAAGAATGCATACATAATAAAGCAGTTTCTGATAAAGCTTCTTTCTAGTTTTTATCTGAATATATTTCCTTTTTCATCACAGGCCTCAAAGAGCTCCCAAATATCCCTTCACAGATCCTACCAAAGCATTGTTTCCAAACTGATCAATCGAAAGAAAGGTTTAATGCTTTGAGATGAATGCACACATCACATAGCAGTGTCTCAGAAAACTTTCTACTTTTTCTCTGAAGTTATTTCCTTTTTCACCATAGCATCAACGTGATTCCAAATATTCCTTCACAGATACTACCAAAACAGTGTTTCCAAAATGCTCAATCAAAAGAAAGGTTTAACTCTGTCATTTGAATACACGCATCACAAAACAACCTCTCAGAAAGCTTCCTTATACTTTCTCACTGCAGATATTTTGTTTTCTAACATAGGTCTCAATGCGCTCCCAAATATACCTTCGCAAATATTATAAAAACAATGTTTTCAAACTGCTTAATCAAAAGAAAGTTTTAAGTCTGTGAGATGAGTGTACTCATCACAAAGCAGTTTCTCAGAAAGCTTCTTTCAAGTTTTTCTCCAAAGATATTTCCTTTTTCACCATAGCCCTCAACGTGCTCCAAAATGTCAATTTAAAGGTTCTACAAAACCAGTGTTTCCAGACAGCTCAATCAAAAGAAAGGTTTAACTCTGTGAGATAAGTGCACACATCATTTAGAAGTTTCCCAGAATGCTTGTTTCTAGTTTTTATCTTAAGCGATTTCCTTTCTCACCATAGGCCTTAAAGCACTGCCAAATATCCTTTCTCAGATTCTACAAAAAAACAGTGTTGCAAAACTGCTCCATCAAAGGAAAGGTTTAACTCTCTGTGATGAATCCACTCATCACAAAGTAGTTTCTCAGAATGCTTCTTACTAGTTTTTATCTGAAGATATATGTTTTTTCACCATAGGCCTCAATGCGCTCCCAAAAATCCCTTTGCAGGTTCTACCAAAACAGTGTTTCCAGACTGCTCAATCAAAAGAAAGATTTAACTCTCTTAGAAGAATGCACACCTTTGTGGAGCCAAGTTGGCTGAAAAGGAACTGCTCCAGTCTACATCTCCCAGCATGAGTGACACAGAAGACGGGTGATTTCTAAGGTCAAACTGGGTGGAGCCCACCACAGCTCAAGGAGGCCCGCTTGCCTCTGTAGGCTCCACCTCTGGGGGCAGGGCACAGACTAACAAAAGACAGCAATAACCTCTGCAGACTTAAATGTCCCTGTCTGACAGCTTTAAAGAGAGTAGTGGTTCTCCAAGCACACAGCTTGAGATCTGAGAACGGGCAGACTGCCTCCTCAAGTGGGTCCCTGATCCCTGAGTGGCCTAACAAGGAGGCACCCCCCAGTAGGGGCAGACTGACAACACACAGGACCAGGTACTCCTCTGAGACAAAACTTCCAGAGGAACGATCAGGCAGCAGCATTTGCACTTCACCAATATCTGCTGTTCTGCAGCAACCACTGCTGATACCCATGCAAACAGTTTACGGACATCCAGCAAACTCCAACGGACCTGCAGGTGAGGGTTTTGACTGTTAGAAGGAAAATTAACAAACAGAAAGGACATCCAAACCAAAAACAAATCTGTACATCACTATCATCAAAGACCAAAGGTAGATAATACCATAAAGATAGGGAAAAAACAGACCAGAAAAACTAGAAACGTTAAAAATCAGAGTGCCTCTCCTCCCCCAAAGGAACGCAGCTCCTCACCAGCAATGGAACAAAGCAGGATAGAGAGTGACTTTGATGAGCTGAGAGAAGAAGGCTTCAGACAATCAAACTACTCTGAGCTAAAGGAGGAAGTAAGAACCAATGACAAAGAAGTTAAAATCTTTGAAAAAAAAATTAGACGAATAGCTAACTAGAATAACCAATGAAGAGAAGTACTTAAAGGACCTGATGGAGCTGAAAACCACGGCATGAGAACTACGTGACGAATGCATAAGCCTCAGTAGCTGATGCGATCAACTGGAAGGAAGGGTATCAGTGATGGAAGATGAAATGAATGAAATGAAGTGTGAAGAGAAGCTTAGAGAAAAAAGAATAAAAAGAAACAAAGCCTCCAAGAAATATGCGACTATGTGAAAAGAACAAACCCACGTCTGATTAGTGTACCTGGAAGTGACAGGGAAAATGGAACCAAGTTGGAAAACACTCTGCAGGATATTATCCAGGAGAACTTTCCCAATCTTGCAAGGCAGGCCAACATTCAGATTCAGGAAATACAGAGAAGGCCACAAAGATACTCGTTGAGAAGAGCAACTTAAAGACACATAATTGTCAGATTCACCAAAATTGAAATGAAGGAAAAAATGTTAAGGGCAGCCAGAGAGAAAGGTTGGGTTACCCACAAAGGGAAGCCCATCAGACTAACAGCAGATCCCTCGCCAGAAACTCTACAAGTCAGAAGAGAGTGGGGGCCAATATTCAACATTCTTAAAGAAAAGAATTTTCAACCCAGAATTTTATATCCAACCAAACTAACCTTCATAAGTGAAGGAGAAATAAAATACTTTACAGACAAGCAAATGCTGAGAGACTTTGTCACCACCAGGCCTGCCCTAAAAGAGCTCCAAATAGAAGCACTAAACATGGAAAGGAACAACCGGTACCAGCCACTGCAAAAACATGCCAAATTGTAAAGATCTTCAAGGCTAGGAAGAAACTGCATCAATTAACGAGCAAAATAACCAGCTAACATCATAATGACAGGATCAAATTCACACATAACAATATTAACTTTAAATATAAATGGGCTAAATGCTCCAATTAAAAGGCACAGACTGGCAAATTGGATAAAGAGTCAAGACCCATCAGTGTGCTGTATTCAGGAAACCCATCTCATGTGCAGAGACACACATAAGCTCAAAATAAAGGGATGGAGGAAGATCTACCAAGCAAATGGAAAATAAAAAAAGGCAGGGGTTGCAATCCTAGTCTCTGATAAAACAGACTTTAAACCAACAAAGATCAAAAAAGCCAAAAAGACCATTACATAATGGTAAAGGAATCAATTCAACAAGAAGAGCTAACTATCCTAAATACATATGCACCCAATACAGAAGCACCCAGATTCATAAAGCAAGCCCTGAGTGACCTACGAAGAGACTTAGACTCCCACACAATAATAATGGGAGACTTTAACACCCCACTGTCAACATTAGACAGATCAACGAGACAGAAAGTTAACAAGGATATCCAGGAATTGAACTCAGCTCTGCACCAAGCAGACCTAATAGACACCTACAGAACTCTCAACCACAAATCAACAGAATGTACTTTGTTTTCAGCAGCACACCACACCTATTCCAAAATTGACCACATAGTTGGAAGTAAAGCACTCCTCAGCAAATTTAAAAGAACAGAAATTATAACAAACTGTCTCTCAGACCACAGTGCAATCAAACTAGAACTCAGGATTAAGAAAATCACTCAAAACTGCTCAACTATATTGAAACTGAACAACGTGCCCCTGAATGCCTACTGGGTACATAATGAAATGAAGGCAGAAATAAAGATGTTCTTTGAAACCAACGAGAACAAAGACATAACATACCAGAATCTCTGGGACGCATTCAAAGCAATGTGTAGAGGGAAATTTATAGCACTAAGTGCCCACAAGAGAAAGCAGGAAAGATCCAAAATTGACACCCTAACATCGCAATTAAAAGAACTAGAAAAGCAAGAGCAAACACATTCAAAAGCTAGCAGAAGACAAGACATAACTAAGATCAGAGCAGAACTGAAGGAAATAGAGACACAAAAAGCCCTTCAAAAAATCAATGTATCCCAGAGTTGGTTTTTGAAAAGATCAAGAAAATTGGTATACCACTAGCAAGACTAATAAAGAAGAAAAGAGAGAAGAATCAAATAGACACAATAAAAAATGATAAAGGGGATATCACCACTGATCCCACAGAAATACAAATTATCATCAGAGAAAACTATAAACATCTCTACACAAATAAAGTAGAAAATCTAGAAGAAATGGATAAATTCCTTGACACATACATCCTCCCAAAACTAAACCAGGAAGAAGTTGAATCTCTGAATAGACTGATAACAGGATCTGAAATTGAGGTAATTATTAATAGCTTTCCAACCAAAAAAAGTCCAGGACCAGATGGATTCCCAGCCGAATTCTACCAGAGGTACAAGGAGGAAGTGGTACCATTCCTCCTGAAAATATTCCAATAAATAGAAAAAGAAGGAATCTTCCCTAACTCATTTTATGAAGCCAGCATCATCCTGATACCAAAGCCGGGCAGAGACAAAACAAGAACAGAGAATTTTAGACTAATATCCTTGATGAACATTGATGCAAAAATCCTCAACAAAATACTGGTAAACCGAATTCAGCAACACATCAAAAAGCTTATCCAACATGATCAAGTGGGCTTCATCCCTGGGATGCAAGGCTGGTTCAACATACGAAAATCAATAAACATAATCCAGCATATAAACAGAATGAAAGACAAAAACCACATGATTATCTCAATAGATGCAGAAAAGGCCTTTGACAAAATTCAACAACGCTTCATGCTAAAAACTCTCAATAAATTAGGTATTGATGGGACGTATCTCAAAATAATAAGAGTTATCTATGACAATCCCACAGCCAATATCATACTGAATGGACAAAAACTGGAAACATTCCCTTTGAAATATGGCAAAAGACAGGGATGCCCTCTCTCACCACTCCTATTCAACATAGTGTTGGAAGTTCTGGCCAGGGCAATCAGGAAGGACAAGGAAATACACGGCATTCAATTAGGAAAAGAGGAAGTCAAATAATTGTCCCTGTTTGCAGATGACATGATTGTATATCTAGAAAACCCCACTGTCTCAGCCCAAAATCTCCTTAAGCTGATAAGCAACTTCAGCAAAGTCTCAGGTTACAAAATCAATGTGCGAAAATCACAAGCATTCTTATACACAAATAACAGACAAACAGAGAGCCAAATCATGAGTGAACTCCCATTCATAATTGCTTCAAAGAGAATAAAATACCTAGGAATCCAACTTACAAGGGATGTGAAGGACCTTTTCAAGGAAAACTACAAACCACTGTTCAGTGAAATAAAAGAGGATACAAACAAATGGAAGAACATTCCATGCTCATGGGTAGGAAGAATCAGTATCATGAAAATGGCCATACTGCCCAAGATAATTTACAGATTCAATGCCATCCCCATCAAGCTACCAATGACTTTCTTCACAGAATTGGAAAAAACTACTTTAAAGTTCATATGGAACCAAAAAAAGAGCCCACATTGCCAAGTGAATCTTAAGCCAAAGGAACAAAGCTGGAGGCATCACGCTACCTGACTTCAAACTATACTACAAGGCTACAGTAACCAAAACAGCATGGTACTGGTACCAAAACAGAGATATAGACCAATGGAACAGAACAGAGCCCTCAGAAATAATGTTGCATATCTACAACTATCTGATCTTTGACAAACCTGAGAAAAACAAGCAATGGGGAAAGGATTCCCTATTTAATAAATGGTGCTGGGAAAACTGGCTCGCGAGAAGTAAAGAGCTGAAGCTAGATCCGTTCTTTACACGTTATACAAAAATTAATTCAAGATTGATTAGAGACTTAAACGTTAGACCTAAAACCATAAAAACCCTAGAAGAAAACCTAGGCATTACCATTCAAGACATAGGCATGTGCAAGGACTTCATGTCTAGAACACCAAAAGCAATGGCAACAAAAACAAAAGTTGACAAATGGGATCTAATTAAACTAAAGAGCTTCTGCACAGCTAAAGAAACTACCATCAGAGTGAACAGGCAACCTAGAGAATGGGAGAAAATTTTTGCAAGCTACTCATCCGACAAAGGGCTAATATCCAGAATCTACAATGTACCCAAACAAATTTACAAGAAAAAAACAAACAACCCCATCAAAAAGTGGACGAAGTATATGAAGACAGACTTCTCAAGAGAAGACATTTTTGCAGCCAAAAAACACATGAGAAAATGCTCATAATCACTGGCCATCAGAGAAATGCAAATCAAAACCACAATGAGATACCCTCTCACACCGGTTAGAATGGCTATCATTAAAAAGTGAGGAAACAACAGGTGCTGGAGAGGATGTGGAGAAATAGGAACACTTTTACACTGTTGGTGGGAGTGTAAACTAGTTCAACCATTGTGGAAGTTAGTGTGGCGATTCCTCAGGAATCTAGAACTAGAAATACCATTTGACTCCGCCATCCGATTACTGGGTATATGCCCAAAGGATTATAAATCATGCTGCTATAAAGACACATGCACACATATGTTTATTGCAGCACTATTCACAATAGCAAAGACTTGGCACCAACCCAAATGTCCAACAATGGTAGACTAGATTAAGAAAATGTGACACATATACACCATGGAATACTATGCAGCCATAAAAAATGATGAGTTCATGTCCTTTGTAAGGACATGGATGAAACTGAAAGCCATCATTCTCAGCAAACTATTGCAAGGACAAAAAACCAAACACTGCATTTTCTCACTCATAGGTAGGAATTGAACAATAAGAACACATGGATAGAGTAAGGGGAACATCACACACTGTGGACTGTTGTGGGTGGGGGAAGGGGGGAGGGATAACGTTAGGAGGTATACCTAATGCTAAATGACGAGTTAATGTATGCAGCACACCAACATGGCACATGTATACATATGTAACATACCTGCACGTTATGCACATGTACCCTAAAACTTAAAGTATAATAATAATAAAATAGGAAAAGAAGAATGCACACATCACAAAGCCTTTTCTGAGAAAGCTTATTTCTAGTTTCTATCTTTAGATATTTCCTTTTTCACCATTGGCCTCAGTGCGCTCCCAAATACTCCTTCATAGATGCTACCAAATCAGTGTTTCCAAAGTGTTTAGTCAAAAGAAAGCTTTAACTCTGTGAGATGAATGCACACATCACAAAGAAGTTTCTCAGAAAGCTTTTTTCTAGTTTTTCTCTGAAGATATTTCCTTTTTCACCATAGGCCTCAATGTGATCCCAAATATCCCTTTGCAGATTCCACCAAAACAGTGTTTCCAAACTGCTAAACCAAAAGAAAGCTTTAACTCTGTGGTTTGAATGCACACAATAAAAGGAGTTTCTCAGAATTCTTTCTAGTTTCTCACTGCAGATATTTCCTTTTTCACCATAGGCCTCAATGAGCTCCCAAATATCCCTTCACAGATTCTCCAAAAACAATGTTTTCAAACTGCTCAATCAAAAGAAAAGTGTAACTCTGTGAGATGAATGCATACATCACGAAGTGGTTTCTGAGAAAGCTCATTTCTCATATTTATCTGAATATATTTCCTTTTTCACCATTGGCCTCAATGTGCTGTCAAATATCCCTTCTCACATTCTACAAAAACTGTTGCCAAGCCACTCAATCAAATAAAAGTTTAACTCTGTGAAATGAACACAAGCATCACAAAGCAGTTTCTCAGAAAGCTTCTTTTTAATTTTTTTTGAAGAGATTTCCTTTTTCACTGTAGGCCTCAAAGCACTCCAAATGTCAATTTGCAGATTCTACAAAATCAGTGTTTCCAAACAGCTCAATCAAAAGAAAGGTTTAGCTGTGTGAGATAAATTCACACATCATGAAGCAGTTTCCCAGAAAGCTTCTTTCTAGTTTTTATCTGAAGATCTTTCCTTTTTCACCATAGGCCTTAAAGCACTTCCAAATATCCCTTCTCAGATTCTACAAAAAAACAGTGTTGCCAAACTGCTCCATCAAAAGAAAGGTTTAACTCTGTGAGATGAGTGCACTCATCACAAAGTAGTTTCTCAGAAAGTTTCTTTCTAGTTTTTATCTGAAGATATTTCCTTTTTCACCATAGGCCTCAATGTGCTCCCAAAAATCCCTTCACAGATTCTACCAAAACAGTGTTTCCAGACTGCTTAATCAAAAGGAAGATTTAACTCTGTAAGAAGAATGCACGCATCACAAAGTGGTTTCTGAGAAAGCTTCTTTCTAATTTCTATCTTTAGATATTTCCTTTTTCACCATTGGCCTCAGTACGCTCCCAAATATTCCTTCGCAGATGCTACCAAATCAGTGTTTCCACAGTGCACTATCAAAAGAAAGTTTTAACTCTGTGAGATGAATGCACACATCACAAAGAAGTTCCTCAGAAAGCTTTATTTCTAGTTTTTCTCTGAAGATATTTCCTTTTTCACTGTAGGCCTCAATGTGAGCTTAAATATCCCTTTGCAGATTCTACCAAAACATTGTTTCCAAACTGCTCAATCAAAAGCAAGTTTTAACTCTGTGATCTGAATGCACACAATACAAAGCAGTTTTTCAGAATTCTTCTTTCTACTTTCTCACTGCAGACATTTCCTTTTTCACCATAAGCCCCAATGAGCTCCCAAATATCCCTTCACAGATTGTACAGAAACAGTGTTTTCAAACTGCTCAATCAAAAGAAAAGTTTAACTCTGTGAGATGAATGCATACATGACAAAGCAGTTTCTGAGAAAGCTTCTTACTAGTTTTTATCTGAAGATATTTCCTTTTTCACCATAGGCCTCACTGCACTCCCATATATCCCTTTGCAGATTCTACCAAATGAGTGTTTTCAAACTGCTGAATCAAAAGAAAGGTTTAACTCTGTGAGATGAGCTGCACATCACAATGTGGTTTCACATTTATTTTCCTTCTGATTTTTATCTGGAAATATTGGGCTGTTCACCATAGGAGTTAATGGGTTCCAAAATGTCTCTTCACACAGTCTACAAAACTAGTGTTTCCAACCTGATGAATCAAAAGAATGGTTTAACCCATTGAGCTGAATCCACACTTAACAAAGTAGTTTCACAGATAGCTTCTTGATAGTTTTTATGTGGAGATATTCGGTTTCTCATCATAGGCATCTATGGGCTTATATATGTTCCTTCGCAGATTCTATCTAAAGGGTGTTTCCATCCTGTTGTATCAAAAGAAAGGTTTAACTCTGTTCAATGAATCCACACATCACAGAACACTTCACAGATAGTTTCTTTCTAGTTTTTATCTGGGAATATTTTGTTTTTCACAATAGGCCTCAAGGGGCTCCAAAATGTCCCTTCACAGATTCTGCAAAATGAGTGTTTCAAACCTGAGGATTCAAAGAAAAAGTTTAAGTCTGTGAGATAAATCCACACATCAACAAAGGAGTTTCACTGATAGCTTTTTTCTAGTTTTTATCTGAGGATATCTTTTTTTTTCACCATAGGCCACAATGGGCTGTGATATGTCCCTAGTGAGATTCTACGAAAACAATGTTTTCATCCTGCTGAATCAAAAGAAAGGTTTACCTTGGTGAGATAAATTGAAACTTCACAAAGCAGTTTCAAAGACAGCTCCTTTTTAGTTTTTATCTTGGGATATTTTGTTTGCCACCCTAGGCCTCAAAGGGCTCCATAATATCCCATCGCCAATTCCACAAAATGAGTGTCTCCCAACTACTGGATCAAAAAAAAAGTTTAAACCTGTGAGATGAATTGCACATCACAAAGCAATTTCACAGATAGCTTCCTTCTGGTTTTTATCTGGAAATATTGGGTTGTTCAACATAGGACTCAATGGGCTCCAAAAAGGCTCTTCACAGAGTCTACAATATGAGTGATTACAACCTGATGAATCAAAAGCTATGTTTAACTCTGTGATGTGAAGTCATACTTTAAAATGCAGTTTCACAGATAGCTTCTTTCTAGTTTTTATCAAGGTATATTCAGTTTTTCACAATAGGCCTCTAAGGGATCCCAGATTTCCCTTGGTAGATTCTACCAAAAGAGTGATTCCAACTTCCTGAATCAATATAAATGTTTAACTCTGTAAGATAAATCTAGACATTGTAAATAAGTTAAACAGGTAGCTTCTTTCTAGTTTTTATCTGGAGTTATTGAGTTTTTCACCATAGGCCTCTATGGGCTCTTAAATGTCCCTTTGCAGATGCTAACTAAAGACTTTTTCATACCTGTTGTGTCAAAAGAAATGTTTAACTCTGTGAGATGAATCCATACATCACAATGCAGTTACACATTTAGCTTTTTTCTACTTTTTATCTGGGGATATTCTGTTTTTTACCATAGGCCTCTATGGGCTCTTAAATGTCCATTCACAGATTCCATCTAAAAAATGTTTCAAACACGCTATATTGACAGAAATGTTTAACTCTGTTAGATGAATAAATACATCCCAAACAGTTTCACAAAGAGCTTCCTTCTAGTTTTTATCAGGGGATTTTTTTTTCATTATAAGCCTCAAAGGTCTCTCAAATGCCCCTTCCCAGATTGTACAAAAAGGTGTTTCAAACCTGCTGAATCAAAAGAAAGGTTTAACTCTATGAGATGAATCCACTCACCACAGAGTTCATTCACTGATCCCTTCTTTCTAGTTTTTATCTTGAAATATTTGTGTGTGTGTGTGTGTTTTTACCATAGACAATAGTGAGCTCACAAATCTATTTTCATAGATTCTAGCAAAAGAGTGTTTGCATCATGCTGAGTCAAAAGAAGGGTTTGAGTCTTTGAGATGAATCCACACATCACAAAGCAGTTTTAAAGATAGCTTCTTTCTGGTTTTTACCTGGGAATATTTGATTTTTCACCATGTACTTTAATGGGCTCCCAAATGTCACTATGCAGATTATAAAACAAAAACATTTGCAACCTGTTGAATCAAAACAAAGTTTTATCTCACTGAGATGAATCCACACATACCAAAGCAGTTAGACAGATTACTTCTTTTTAGTTTTTATCTGGGGATATTCAGTTTTTCACCTTAGGCCTCTATGGGCTCCCAAATGTCTTTCCACTGATTCTACCAAATGAGTGTTTCCAAGCTACTGAATCAAAAGAAATGTTTAACTCTGTGAGATGAATCCACACATTGAAAAGCAGTTTTACAGACGGAGTCCTTCTAGTTTTTATCTTGGAATATTTGGTTATTCACCAGAGGCCCAAAAACCGCTACAAAATATCCATTCATAGATTCTACCAAAAGAGTGTTTTTAAAATGCTGAATGAAAAGTAGGGTTGAACTCTGTGAGATGAATCCACACATCAAAAAGCAGTTTTACAGACAGAGTCCTTCTAGTTTTTATCTTGGAATATTCGGTTATTCACCAGAGGCCCAAAAACCGCTACAAAGTGTCCATTCGTAGATTCTACCAAAAGAGTGTTTTTAAAATGCCAAATGAAAAGTAAGGTTGAACTCTGTGAGATGAATCCACACATCACAAAGCAGTTTCACAAGTAGCTTGTTTTTAATTTTGAGATATTCGGTTTTTCACCGTAGTCCGTAAAGTGCTCCCAAATGTCTCTTGGAAGATTCTACCAAGAAAGTATTTCCAACCTGTTGAATCAAAAGATAGGTTTAACTCAGTGAGATGAATTCACATATCACAAAACAGTTTCACAGATAGATTCCTTCAAGTTTTTATCGGATTATATTGGGTTCTTCAACTTAGGTCTCTATGGGCTCCCAAATACCTCTCTGCAGGTTCTACAAAACGAGTGTTTCCAAGCTGCTGAATCAAAAGAAATGTTTAACTCTGTGAGATGTATCCACATATCACAAAGAGGTTTCACTGATAGCTTCTTCCTAGTATTTATATTAAGATATTTAATTTTTTAACATAGGCCTCTGTAGGCTTCCATATGTCCCTTCACAGATTCTTCCAAAAAAGTGTTTCAAATCTGCTGTATCAAAAGAAAGGTATAAGTCTGAGATGAATCCACATATCAAACAGCAGTTTCACTGATAATTTCTTTCTAGTTTTTATCTGTGGATATTCTGTTTTTCACCATAGGCCTCTAAGGGCTCACAAACGTCATTTTGCGGAATCTCCAAAAAGAGAATTTCCAATCTGTTGAATCAAAAAAGGTTTAACTCTGTGAGGTGAATCCACGTATGACAAAGCAGTTTGACTGATAGCTTCTTCCTAGTTTTTATCTGGGGATATTTTATTTTCATCATAGGCCTCAAAGTGCTCCCAAATGTAACTTCACAGATTCTACCTGAAGAGGGAGTTGCAGGAAGTCAGGGACCCTGAACTGAGAACTGAGGCACCCGCTGAAGCCATGGCAGAAGAACATGAATTGTGAAGATTTCATGGACATTTATTAGTTTCCCAAATTAATACTTTTATAATTTCTCACACCTGTCTTTACTGCAATCTCTGAACATAAATTGTGAAGATTTCATGGACATTTCTCACTTCCCCAATCAATACTCTTGTGATTTCCTATGCCTTTCTTTACTTTAATCTCTTAATCCCATCATGACCCTGTGATGATTCTGTTAACTGCACAAATTGTTTAAACAATATAAAATCTGGGCACCTTGAAAAAAGTTCATAGTAACAACGATGTTCAGGGACCAAGGGAGATAACCATTAGTTCTGGCTGCCTGAGACCTGGGTGGAACAGAGCCATATTTCTCTTCTTTCAAAAGCAAATAGGAGAAATATCACTGAATTCTTTTTCTTGACAAGGAACAGCTCTGAGAAAAAGAATGCATTCCTAGGGATAGGCCTCTGAAATGACTGCTCCGGGAAAATCTGTCTTTTACGGTTGTAGGTAAGGGATGAAATAAGCCCAGTCTCCCATAGCAGGCTTATTAAGACGAGAAAATTCCTGCCTAATAAATTTTAGTCAGACCAGTTGTCTGTTCTCAAACCCTGTCTCCTGACAAGATGTTATTAGTGACAATGTGTGCCCAAAACTTCATTAGCATTTTTAATTTTGCCCTAGTGCTGGGTGATCTCACCCTGCCTCTATTTGCCTTGTGATATTTTATTACCTTGTGAAGCAAGTGATCTCTGTGACCCACACCCTATTCCTATACTCCTTCCCCTTTTGAAAATCACTAATAAAAATTTGCTGGTTTTATGGCTCAGGTGGCATCATGGAACCTGCCGACATGTGATGTCTCCCCGGGAAAATAGAAAAGAACCCACAAAGAATTATTGGAGGTCGGATCCCCTAATATCTGGTGCACCAACGTGGTTTTTTCCTTTTCCCAAGTGCATGTGGGAACCCGATTCCCTTTTGTAGGTGCACAGAAACGTCATTGGTTTGGTCCACAGAAATGCAGGTTCGACTCCCTGACAACTGGTGAGTAGCCTCTGTATGGTCTGGGTTAACTGTGGGTTACACGGAGTATAAAAATTATACTCATCTCTTCTATATTAAACTCCAGTTAAAACAGAAAAGGGTTCGAGTGCCCATGGAAAACATGGTAACCATGGAAAATATGGTCACTCTATTCAGGGTGGTGGAAAAATACTGTCCTTGGTTTCCTGGAAAAGGAACTGTATATGTAAAAGTAAGGGATTGTGTTGGTGCAACATTCCAGGAACTGGTCTGGACAGGAAATTATGTTCCCATCACTGTTTGGGGGTGATTGGGACTTGGTAAGTGCCATCCTAATACCTCCTCAACTTTCCTCTCCCGCACGGCCTTCATTATCTGATCAGCCTCTCCCTTTGCCTACTCCTCCCCCATTTAATGATGCTGAGACTTCAATATCTAACTCTGCTGACTTTGGCTGAATGCTAACCCCTACTTATCTTACTTCTTTTCATGAAGAGCTGGTACTTGAAGCTCCCGTGGCCATGACTCACACAGCCCAGGACCATAGGTATGCTAATTCTTCTCTCCTCAAGCCTCCAGCATCAGATAATGGCTCCAGCAGCAAACTACAATTTACCTATAATTCTCCAGGCCCTCCCCCATCCACTACAGCCCCTCACCCTCCTGTCATTTTGGTTCCTCAACCAGCCACTTTGCCATCCACTCAACCTGCTTGTCTGTAGCCTTCTTCACACATGGATGCCAGTCATCATCAGTATACCTCTGCCTCTTTTACTCCTTCAATGTCCCTTTCTCACATTCTCAAACTAGTCTGCATCAGTATGTGGGACTCAATCTTACCTTTTTAAAAGAATTTAAGGATTCTTGTACTCAGTATGGTCCTACTTCTCCTAATGTTAAAACAGCATTACAAACTTTGTGTGGAGGCAACTTTGCTTCCTTTAGACTGGGACCTTTTGACATAAGCTCTTCTAACCCCATCTCAGCCTGGCGGGCAGAGAAGGGCCATCTCCAGGCTCAGCTAAATCAGACTAATGGCATTCTAATTACTCAGGCTCAGCTCACAGGCTCTGATAGTTTCTCTGATACTTATGCCCAATTAGGCTTTGATGCTCTTACCAGAAAACAAGTAACAAAGGTGTGTATGAGAGCTTGCAATACATTACGTGCCCCAGGCCAAGCTCCTGTTTCTTTTACTACTGTTAAAGAAGTTCAATTACTTTTACTACCTAATATCATTTTAAACAAATGAGATAAGACACGTGGCCCTGGGATTGGCTTCTGTGGTGAAAAGGCTGCTTATTGGATTAATGTAATTTCTAAACAATGGCCCACCCACACCATACACATTCCTGGAAAAAAGTTTGAGGGCCTAGTAGATACTGAGGCTGAAATTAATATTCCACATAACTCTTATGGTACTCCCCATCAGCATGTGATGGAAAACATGTTGTTTTTTCCTGGACTCGGTCTCAGTGCAAAACATGAAGGGATTACTAAACCCCTCCCAATTACTGTAAAATAAGACAGTAATGGTTTAGGTTATCCTTTTTAGTGGCAGCCACTGCCACGCCTCCTGATCCTATCCCTTTACAATGGAAATCTGACACACCCGTTTGGATTCAGCAGTGGCTGCTTTCTAAAGAAAAACTGGAGGCTTTAACTCACTTTGTTTCTAAACAGTTACAACCTCGAAATGTGGAACCTTATCTTTCCCCCTGGAAGTCTCCTGTGTTTCTAGTAAAAAAGAAATCAGGCAAGTGGCAGATGGTAACTGATTTAAGGGCCATTAACCCTTTAATTAAACCTATGGGTGCCATCCAAGATGGCATGCCTGCCCCTGCTTTAATACCTAAAAATTAGCCTCTCATAGTTATTGATCTTAAAGATTGTTTTTTTCATATTTCTTTACATAAATCAGATTGTGAAAAATTTGCTTTTGCTGTACCATCTATCAATAAGTAGGAGCCTGCAGCTCATTATCAATGGAAAGTACTTCCTCAGGGAATGCTAAATAGCCCTACAATCTGCCACGTTTATGTTGGGCAATTGCTTTCACCAGTTCAAGCCCAATTTCCCCAGGCCTATATTCATCATTATATTGATGATATTTAATTACTGGCCCCACTGATAAAGAATTAATGGACTGTTATCAAATTTTTTGCCACGATGTTACAGAGCCTGGATTACCCATCACTCAGGATAAAATTTAACAGACCACCCGTGTTCAATATTTAGGAATGGTGGTCGATAAACAACGTATTCAACCTCAAAAAGTTCACATTAGGAGAGATTCTTTGAAAACTTTAAATGACTTCCAAAAACTTTTGGGTGACATTAATTATTTAAGACCTACTTTAGGCATTCTGACCTATGCGTTGTCTAACTTGTTTTCTGTGCTTTGGGGAGATTCCAATCTCGGCAGTCCCAGAACTTTGACCCCTGAGGCTTCACTAGAACTGGAATTCATAGAGGAAAGAATCCAGATGGCCCAGTTATCTAGAATACATCCGTTTCAACCTTTTCAGCTTCTGGTTTTCGCTTCATTACATTCCCCTATGGGACTAATCGTTCAACATAATGATTTAGTGGAGTGATGTTTTCTTCCTCACTATGTGTCAAAAACTTTGATTATCTGGAACAACTGGCCATCTTAATTGGACAAGCTCAGTGCAAAATATTTAAAATTTCCAGATTTTTTCCAAATTTGACTGTAGTTCTTTTAAATCACCTTGAAGTTCAGCCCCCTTTCAACATTACCTACTGTGTCAAATTCACTTGACTGATTTTATTGGTGTTACTAACAATCATTATCCAAAGAACAAATTGTTTAATTTTATAAAAATGACTCCTTGGGTGGTCCCTCGATTAACCAAAGATCAGCCCATTTGTGAAACCGTTACAGTGTTCTCTGATAGTTCTTGTAATGGCAATGATGGTTGTGTAGGTCGTACAGATAAGCTTATTTTTACCTCTATATCTCTGCTAAAAAGGTAGAGTTGATTGCTGTAATTACTGCCTTACAGGATTTCCCCAAACCTTTAAATATTGTCTCTATTCTACTTAATGTGGGAAAGAGGATATGCTTGTGTTTTGCCAGGAGATCACCAAAAAAAACCACAGAGAAAAGACGTCCACGTCACCAAACGCCCTCAGACGTGGTGAGATCTGTGCCAACTCCTCAGAAGTTGGCACACCAAATCAAAATGGGTCTGACTCAAACCTTCCTGATTGCAACGGAGACCCATCTAACTAATCCCACTTCTTCTGATTACCTTTCTTTTTCTCCTTAAAAATCCAAAAATCTCACCATTTATATTAGCAAAAAAATGACATCCCTTTGTTCTTCTCTTCCTCCTTCACCACTAAATCTCGCTTACACTAGGTTTTATTTAATTATTCTCCTCCTTATACTTTCTCTCTCACCAGTTTCCTTTCACACTGATTTACCTACTACACAAAATTATTCTTATTGGGCTTATGTGCCTTTTCCTCCACTTATTCGACCTCTCACCTGGAATGATGCTCCTGCAGTAATCTGCACTAACGATAGTGTGTGGCTGCCTGGAGCTGCAGAAGAACATTGCCTTGCTCAACCAGGAGAAGAAGGCACAGCATTTAATGTTACCATTCATTATAAATACCCACCTCTGTGCCTCGGACATGCACCTGGTTGTATCCATCTAGAAATTCAAGTGTGGGTTGCTTGTCTTCTGGAGAAATCAGCTACAGAGGAACTGGACATTTGGTCTCTGGCCTCTCCCTTTATCCTTTAAAACAAATGAAAGGGGGAGTAACGGGAGATACCCCATACTTTCAATATAAACTTGCAGGAAAACCATGTTCTAAAAATTTTGAAGGCCCACCTACAACCTTAATTTGGGAAGATTGTGTTAACTCACATGCAGTAATATTAAAAAAGACTCGTATGGTTTAGTAATAGACTGGGCACAAAAGGGCTATTTAAAAAAAATTGCTTCTCTGGCAGAAAGGAATACCTGAAGGGTACTTATTTTATTTCTTATTGGGAGAACTAGAATCATCATTCTACTTTGCATAGGAGGTTCAACTCATTCTTTCCCTTAAAATGGGAAGATAAAGGCATTACCCCCCGAGGCCTTGTATGATACTCCCCATTCTGAGCCCAGAACACCCAGAACTTTGGAAATTTGCTATTGACATGTCTGTACTGTGAGTAGGGGAAGGGGAAACTATTCTGTCTGTTGTCCCCACTACTGTCCCCCTCTCTCAGCATCAACATAGATCCAGACATTCTACTTTACTTACCTCCATCCTGATGGTTCCCATATACAGTTTTGTTAAGCTTCCTTACATGCTGTTAGTGGGAAATATCAAAATTTGAACGAACAGTCAGAGTACCCAATGCATTAATTGTCATTTATAAACTTGTATTAACTTCCATTTTGACCCCAGGAAAAGTGTAACGTTTGTTCGAGCTTGAGAAGGAATGTGGATTCAGGTAACTTTGCCCAGACCTTGAGAATACTCCCTGTCAATACACTTAATTAATGAAGTGATACAGTGAATTCTAAAAAGATCTAAGAGATTTGTTTTCACTTTAATCGCTGTGATCATGGGCCTATACCCCACTGCTGGAATGGCACTACATCAATCTACTCAAACAGCTCCTTTTGTTAATGATTGGCAAGCCAATTCCACTCAAATGTGGAATTCTCAACAAGGCATTGAAGAAAAATTCGCTAATCAAATCAATGACTTAAGACAGTGTGTTCTGTCCCATTGATCTATATCTCTGTTTTGGTACCAGTACCATGCTGTTTGGGTTACTGTAGCCTTGTAGTATAGTTTGAAGTCAGGTAGAGTGTTGTCTCCAGCTTTGTTCTTTTGGCTTAGGATTGACTTGGTGTTGCAGGCTCTTTTTTGGTTCCATATGAACTTTAAAGTAGCTTTTTCCAATACTGTGAAGAAAGTCATTGGTAGCTTGATGGGGATGGCATTGAATCTATAAATTACCTTGGGCAGTATGGCCATTTTCACGATATTGACTCTTCCTACCCATGAGCATGGAATGTTCTTCCATTTGTTTGTATCCTCTTTTATTTCATTGAGCAGTGGTTTGTAGTTCTCCTTGAAGAGGTCCTTCACATCCCTTGTAAGTTGGATTCCTAGGTATTTTATTCTCCTTGAAGCAATTGTGAATGGGAGTTCACTCATAATTTGGCTCTCTGTTTGTTATTGGTATAGCGCCGCATATCTACAACTATCAGATCTTTGACAAACCTGACAAAAACAAGAAATGGGGAAAGGATTCCCTATTTAGTAAATGGTTCTGGGAAAACTGGCTAGCCATATGTAGAAAGCTGAAACTGGATCCCTTCCTTACACCTTATACAAAAATTAATTCAAGATGGAGTAAAGGCTTAAAAGTTAGAACTAAAACCATAAAAACCCTAGAAGAAAACCTAGGCGATACCATTCAGGACATAGGCATGGGCAAGGACTTCATGTCTAAAACACCAAAAGCAATGGCAACAAAAGACAAAATTGAGAAATGGGATCTAATTAAACTAAAGAGCTTCTGCACAGCAAAAGAAACTACCATCAGAGTGAACAGGCAACCTACAAAATGGGAGAAAATTTTCACAACCTACTCATCTGACAAATGGCTAATATCCAGAATCTACAAAGAACTCCAACAAATTTACAAGTAAAAAGCAAACAACCCCATCAAAAATTGGGCAAAGGATATGAACAGACACTTCTCAAAGGAAGACATTTATGCAGCCAAAAGACACATGAAAAAATGTTCATCATCACTGGCCATCAGAGAAATGCAAATCAAAACCACAATGAGATACCATCTTACACCAGTTAGAATGGCAATCATTAAAAAGTCAGGAAACAACAGGTGCTGGAGAGGATGTGGGAAATAGGAACACTTTTACATTGTTGGTGGGACTGTAAACTAGTTCAACCATTGTGGAAGTCAGTGTGGCAATTCCTCAGGGATCTAGAACTAGAAATACCATTTGACCCAGCCATCCCATTACTGGGTATATACCCAAAGGACTATAAATCATGCTGCTATAAAGACACACGCACACATATGTTTATTGTGGCACTATTCACAATAGCAAAGACTTGGAACCAACCCAAATGTCCAACAATGATAGGCTGGCTTAAGAAAATGGGGCATATATACACCATGGAATACTATGCAGCCATAAAAAATGATGAGTTCATGTCCCTTGTAGGGACATGGATGAAATTGGAAATTGTCATTCTCAGTAAACTATCGCAAGAACAAAAAACCAAACACCACATGTTCTCACTCATAGATGGGAATTGAACAATGAGAACACTTGGACACAGGAAGGGGAACATCACACTCCAGGTACAGTTGTGGGGTTGGGGGATGGGGGAGGGATAGCATTAGGAGATATACCTAATGCTAAATGATGAGTTAATGGGTGCAGCACACCAACATGGCACATGTATACATATGTAACTAACCTGTACATTGTGCACATGTACCCTAAAACTTAAGGTATAATAATAATAATAATAAAAAGAAAAAAAAGACAATGTGTTATTTGGCTTGGAGATCGGGTAATGAGTCTCGACCATTGCATGCAAATTCAGTGTGACTGGAATACTTCAGATTTCTGTATAACCGTGTACTCCTATAAAGAGACTGATCATTCATGGGAAATGGTCAAAGGACACCTTCTGGGTAGGGAAGGTAATTTATCATTGGACATAACTGAATTAAAAACAAATTTTTGAAGCCTCTGAATCTCACTTATCCATTATGCCTAGAGCTGAGGCATTAGATCATGTGGTAGAAAACCTTTATGGATTAAACCCCACGACTTGGATTAGGTCTATTGTGGGCTCCACTGAAGTAAATTTTGGAATTATGTTTCTCTGTTTATTTGCTTGTCTTTAGTGTGCCAGACCAGTCAAAGAATCCAGTGTCAAAATGGAGAGAATGAGCAAGTGTTCATCAACATGGCACATTTATATAAAAAGAGAAGGAGAAATGTTGCAGGAAGTCAGGGACCCTGAATGGAGGGACTGGCTGAAGCCGTGGTAGAAGAACATAAATTGTGATGATTTTGTGGACATGTATTAGTTCCCCAAATTAATACTTTTATAATTTCTTACATCTATCTTTACTGCAATCTCTGAACATAAATTGTGAAGATTTCATGGACATTTATCACTTCCCAAACCATACTTGTGTGATTTCCTATGCCTCTGTTAAATCTCTTAATCCCATCATCTTCATAAGCTGAGGATGAATGTTGCCTCAGGACCCTGTGATGATTGTGTTAACTGCACAAATTGTTAAAACATTATGCAAGCTGGGCAACTTGAAAAAAGCACAAGATAAGAGAGATGTTCAGGGAACTAGGGAGATAACCATTATGTCTGGCTGTCTGAGAGCTGGGCAGAACAGAACCATATTTCTCTTTTTTCAAAAGTAAATAGGAGAAATATGGCTGAATTCTTTTTCTCAGCAAGGAGCAGCCCTGAGAAAGAGAATGCATTCCTAGGTGTAGGCCTTTGAAATGGCCACTCTGGGAATGTCTGTCTTTTATGGATGTAGACAAGGGATGAAATAAGCCCTGGTTTCCCGCAGTGCTCTGAGGCTTATTAGGATGAAGAAATACCCACCTAATAATATTGGTCAGACCAGTTGTCTGTTCTCAAACCGTGTCTCCTGATAAGATGTTATGAACAACAATGTGTGGCCAAAACTTCATTAGCAATTTTAATATCACCCCAGTCCTGTGATCTTGCCCTGCCTGCATTTGCCTTGTGATATTTTATTACCTTGTGAAGCACGTGATCTCTGTGACCCACATCTTATTCGTACATACCCTCCCATTTTGAAAATCATTAATAAAAACTTGCTGGGTTTATGGCTCAGGGGGCATCACAGAACGTGCCAACATTGTGATGTCTCCCCCAGACACTCAACTTTAAAAATTTCTCTCTTTTTACTCTTTCCCTTTATTTCTTCGATGGGTTGACATTTAGGGGAAATAGAAAAGGACTCACGTTGAAATATCAGGAGCTGATTTTCCCCTGATAGAGAGTTTCAAACCCACTATATCAAAATCAAAATTTAATTCTGTAAGATGAATACACACATCATAAAGCAGTTTCAAAGACAGCTTTTTTCTAGTTTTTATCTGGGGATATTTGGTTTTTCACTATAGGCCTCAAAAAGCTCCCAAATATTTCCTCATACATTCTAAAAAAAGAGTGTTTCCAACATGCTGAATAAAAAGAAATGTTCAACATTGTGAGATGAAACCACATATCAAAAAGCAGTTTAACAAAGAGTTTATTCCTAGTTGTTATCTGTGGACATTTGATTTCTCACCAAAGGACTCAAAAGGCTTTCAAATGTCCCTTCGCAGACTCTACAAAAGTACTGTTTGCAACCTGCTGAATTAAAATGAAGATTTACCTCTCTTGGATGAGTCCATACATCACAAAGAAGTTTCTATGGGTTCTTAAATGTCTCTTTGCAGATTCTACCTAAAGAGTGTTTCAAATCTGTTTTAATGAAAGAACAATTTAACTCTGTGAGATAAATCCACACATTACAAAGCTGTTTTACAGATAGCTTTTTTCTAGTTTTTATCTGGGGATATTTGGTTTTTCACCATAGGCCACCATGGGCTCCCAAATGTCCCTTCATGGATTCTAACAAAAGAGTGTTTACAACCTGTTAAATGAAAAGAAAGGTTTCAAACTGTGAGATGAATCCACACATCACAAGGCAGTTTCACAGATAGCAGTTTTCTAGTGTTTATCTGGGAATATTCGGTTTTTCACCACAGGCCTCCATGGATTCTCAAAAGTTTCTTCACAGATTGTACAAAAAGAGTGTATGCAACTTGCTGATTCAATAGACAGGTTTATCTCTGTGAAATGAATCCACAGATCACAGGGCTGTTTCACAGATCACTTCTTTCTTGTATGAATCTGTGAACATTTCGTTTTTCTCTGTAGGTCTCAAAAAGCTCCATTTTTCTCTTTGCAGATCCTGTGAAAACAGTGTTTCAAACATGATGTATCAAAAGAAACGTTGACCTCTGTGAGAAGAATCCACACATCACAAAGAAGTACACAGATAGCTACTTCCTAGTTTTTATATGAGGATTTTTTTTTTAACCATACACCTCAAAGGGCTTCAAAATGCCCCATGTAGATTCTACACAACTAGTGTTTCCAGCCTCCTGAATTAAAGGAAAGGTTTATCTCTGTGAGATGAATCCACACATCAAAAAAGCAGTTTCACAAACAGCTTCTTTCTGGTTTGTGTCTGGGGGTATTCGGTTTTTCACTGCTTCCTGAAAGGGTTTCCAAATGTACCTTTGCAGATTCCATAAAAAGAGTGTTTTTAATCTGCTGAATCAAAAGAAAGATTTAACTTTGTGATTTCAATCCAGATATCACAAAGCAGTTTCACAGATAGCTTCTTTCAGTTTTTATCTGGGGATATTTGGTCTTTTACCATAGGCCTCTAAGGACTCTGAAATGTCCCTTGAAAGATTCTACCATAAGAGTTTTTCCAATTTACCGAGTCAAAAGTCATGTTTAACTCTGTGAAACGAATCCACACATCACAAGGCAGTTTCACAGATAGCTTCTGTCTTGTTTTTGTCTGGAAATATTCGGTTTTTCACCAAAAAAATCATGGGCTTCAAAAAGTCCCTTTGCATATCCTACGAAAAGAGGATTTCACACCTGCTGAATCAAAACAAACGTTTAATTCTGTGAGGTGAATCCACACATGACATGCAGTTTCAGAGACACTTTCTTTCTAGTTTTTATCTGGGCATATTCTGTTTTTCACCGTAGGCCTCTACGGTCTCCCAAATATCCCTTCGCTTATTCTAACTGAAGAGTATTTCAAACTTGCTGAATCAAAAGAAAGGTTTAACTCTGAGTGGTGAATCCACACATAACAAAGCAGTTCCACAGGTAGCTTCCTTCTGGTTTTCAACTGGGGATATTGTTTTTTTCACCATAGCCTCAATGGACTTCAAAATGTCCCTTCTCAGGTTCTACAAAACAAGTATTTCCAACCAGCTGAGTCATAGGACAGGCTTATCTCTGTGAGACGAATCCACACATCACAAAGCAGTTTCACAGGTAGCTACTTTGTAGTTTTATCTGTGGATATTCTGTTTTTCACCATAGGGCTCAAATACCTTCCAAACCTCCCTTCTCAGATTCTGCCAAAAAGTGTTTCCAACCCACTTAATCAAAAGAAAGATTTAACTCTGTAGATGAATCCAAACATCGCAGAGAAGTTTCACAGGTAGCTTCTTTCTAGTTTATATATGGGAATATTCAGTTTTTCACCATAGGTCTCAATGGGCTCCCACATGTCCCTTTCCCGATTTTACCAAAAGAGTGTTTCCAAACTGCTGAATCAATAGAAAAATTTAAATCTGTGAGTAGATTCCATACATCACAAAGTAGTTTCACTAAAACCTTCTTTCTAGTTTTTATCTTTCAATATTCAATTTTTCACAGTGTGCCACAATGGGCTGGCAATGTCCCTTCACAGATTCTAGCAAAAGAATGTTTGCAAACTGCTGAATCAAAAGAAAGGTTTAAGCCTTTGGGCTGAATCCACACTTAACAAAGCAGTTTCACAGAGAGCTTCTTTGTACTTTTTATGTGGGGATATCCAGTTTTTCACCATAGGCATCTGTGGGCTTATAAACGCTCATTCACAGGTTCTATCTAAAAAGTATTTCTATCCTGCTGTATCAAAAGAAAGATTTAACTCTGTGCAATGAATCTACACATCACAAAGCAGTTTCACTGATAGCTTCTTTCTAATTTTTATTTGGAGATATTCAGCTTTCCACTATAGGCTTAAAAGGGCTCCCAAATGTCCCTTTGCAGATTCTACCAAAAGAGTGTTTCCAACCTGCTGAATCAAAAGATAGGTTTAACTCAGTGAGGTGAATCCATACATCACAAAGCCGTTACATATTTAGCTTATTTCTACTTTTTATCTGGAGATATTCTGTTTTTCACCATAGACCTCTATGGGCTCTTAAATGTCCCTTCACAGATACTATTTAAAAAATGTTTGAACCATGCTATATTGACAGAAATATTTAACTCTGTTAGATGAATAAACACATCTCAAGCAGTTTCACAGTACTTACTTTGTAGTTTTTATCTGGGGATTTTTGATTCTTCATTACATGCTTCAAAGTTCTCTAAAATGCCCATTCGCAGATTCTTCAAAAAGGTGTTTACAATCTGCTGAGTCAAAAGAAAGGTTTAACACTGTGAGATGAATCCACACATAGGAAAGCAGTTACACAGACAGCTTCTTTCTACTTTTTATCTGGGGATATTCAGTTTTTCACCTCAGGCCTCTATGGGCTCCCAAATGTCTTTCCACTGATTCTAGCAAACAAGTGTTTCCAAGCGACTGAATCAAAAGGAATGTTTAACTCTGTGAGGTGAATCCACATATCAAAAACAGTTTTACAGACAGAGTCTTTCTAGTTTTTATCTTGGAATATTCGGTTACTCACCAGAGGCCAGAAAGCCTCTACAAAATGTCCCTTCATAGATTCTACCAAAAGAGTGTTTTTATAATGCTGAATGAAAAGGATGGTTGAACTCTGTGAGATGAATAAATACAAGACAAAGCAGTTTCACAGATAGCTTGTTTCTAGTTTTAATTTGCAGATATTTGGTTTTTCACTGTAGGCTGTAAAGGGCTCCCAAATGTCCCTTTGCAGATTCTACCAAGACAGTGTTTTCAATCTGCTGAATCAAAAGATAGGTTTAACACAGTGAGATGAATCCACACATCACAAAGCAGTATCACAGATAGATTCCTTCGAGTTTTTAGCTGGGGATATTGTGTTTTTCACCTTAGGTCTCTATGGGCTCCCAAATGTCACTCTGCTGGTTCCACAAAACAAGTGTTTCCAAGCTACTGAATCAAAAGAAATGTTTAAATCTGTGAGTTGAATCCACACATCACAAAGAGGTTTCACTGATAGCTTCTTCCTAGTATTTATATGAAGATATTCAGTTTTTTAACATAGGCCTCTATGGGCTTCCATATGTCCCTTCACAGATTCTTCCAAAGAAGTGTTTCAAATCTGCTGAATCAAAAGAACGGTTTACCTCTGTGAGATGAATCCCCATATCACAAAGCAGTCTCACTGATACCTTCTTTCTCGTTTTTATCTGTGGATATTCTGTTTTTCACCATAGGCTTCTAAGGGCTCACAAACGTCCTTTTGCAGAATCCTCAAAAAGAAGGTTTCCAATCTGCTGAATCAAAAGAAAGGTTTAAATCTGTGAGGTGCATCCACACAGTAGAAAGCAGTTTCACAGATAGCTTCTTACTTGTTTTTATCTGGAGTTATTTTATTTTTCACCATAGGCCTCAAAGTGCTCCCAAATGTACCTTTGTAGAATCTACCTAAAGAGAGTTTCCAACCTGTTGTATCAAAATGAAATTTTAACTCTGTAAGATGAATGCACACATCACAAAGCAGCTTCAAAGACAGATTTTTTCTTGTTTTTATCTGGGAATATTCTGTTTTTCACCATAGGACTCAAAAACTCCCAAATGTTTCCTCATACATTCTAACCAAAGAGTGTTTCCAACCTGCTGAGTAACAAGAAAGGTTCAACAATGTGAGATGAAACCACATATCAAAAAGCAGTTTAACAGATAGTTTTTTCCTAGTTGTTATCTGTGGACACTTAGTTTCTCACCAAAGGACTCAAAGGGCTTTCAGTGTCCCTTTGCAGACTATGCAAAAATACTGACTGCAACCTGGTGAATTAAAAGAAAGATTTTCTTCTCTTGGATTAATCCACACATTACAAAGAAGTTTCACAGATAGCCTCTTTCTAGTTTTGATCTTGTCATAGTTGGTTTGTCACTATGGACTATGGTGGGCTTGCAAATATCCCTTCAAAGATTCTAGAAAAAGAGTGTTTTTAAACCAGTGAATCAAAAACAAGTTTAACCCTTTGAGATGAATCCACATATCACTAAGCAGTTTCACAGAGAGCTTCTTTGTAGTTTTTATCTGAGGATATTCTGTTTTTCACCACAGGCCTCTATGGGTTCCCAAACCTCCCATCACAGATTCTACCAAAAGACTGCTTGCAATCTGCTTAATAAAATAAAAGGTTTAACTCTGTGAGATGAATCCACACATCATAAAACAGTTTGACAGACAGCTTCTTTCTAGATTTTATCTGGGAATATTCTGTTTTTCACCGTAGGCCTCTATGTGTCCCCAAATGTCCCTTCACAGATTCTACCTAAAGAGTGTTTCAAACATGGTTTATCAAAAGAAAAATTTTACTGTGTGAGGTAAATCCACACATCACAAAGCTGTTTTACAGATAGCTTTTTTCTAGTTTTTATCTCGGGATATTTTGTTTTTCACCATAAGCCCCCAAGGGCTCTCAAATGTCCCTTTGCAGATTCTAACAAAAGAGTGTTTCCAAGCTGTGAAATGAAAAGAAAGATTTGACACTTTGAGAGGAATCCACACATCACAAAGCATTTTCACAGATAGCTTTTTTCTAGTGTTTAAAGTTTCACCAATAACTTTTTTCTAGTGTATATCTGGGGATAATCAGTTTTTCACCATAGGTCTCCATGGACTCCCAAAAGTTTCTTCACTGATTCTACAGAAAGAATGTATGCAGCTTGCTGATTCAATAGATGGGTTTATCTCTGTGAAATGAATCCACAGATCACAGGACTGTTTCACAGATAGCTTCTTTCTAGTTTTTATCTGTGAACATTGGGTTTTTCATCATAGGCCTCAAAAAGCTCCCAAATTTCTCTCTGTGGATTCTACAAATCAGTGTTTCCATCATGGTGTATCAAAAGAAACGTTTATCTCTGAGATGAATCCACACATCACAAAGATGTTCACAGATAGCTTCTTCCTAGTTTTATCTGGGAATATATATATATATATATATATATATATATATATATATATATTTTAACATAAGCCTCAAAGGGCTTCAAAATGCTGCAAGAAGATGCTACAAAATGAGTGTTTCCAACCTGCTGAATCAAAGGAAACGTTTATCTCTGTGAGATGAATCCACACATCAAAAAAGCAGTTTCACAAATAGCTTCTTTCTGGTTTTTATCTGGGGATATTCAGTTTTTCACTATATTCCTGAAAGGGTTCCCAAATGTACCCTCAAAGATTCTATAAAAAGAGTGTTTTTAACCTGCTTAATCAAAAGAAAGATTTAACTTTGTGATTTGAATCCAGACATCAGAAAGCAGTTTCACAGATAGCTTCTGTCTATCTTTTATCTGAGGATACTTGGTTTTTTATCATAGGTCTCTAAGGGCTCCAAAATGTACCTGGAAAGGTTCTGCCATAGGAGTGTTTCCAATTTACTGAATCAAGAGAAATGTTTAATTCTGTGAAATGAATCCACACATCACAGGGCAGTTTGACAGGTTGCTTCTTTCTACTTTTTATCAAGAAATATTTGCTTTTTCACCATAAACCTCAATGGGCTTCGAAATGTCCCTTCCTACCAAAAGAGGGTTTCACACCTGCTGAATCAAAACAGACGTTTATTTCTGTGAGGTGAATCCACACATCACACAGCAGTTACACAGACAGCTTCTCTCTAGTTTTTATCTGAGGATACTCTGTTTTTTAGCATAGGCCTCTAAGGTCTCCCAAATGTCCCTTCCCATATTCTACTTAAAGAGTATTTCAAATTTGCTGGATCAAAAGAAAGGTTTAACTCTGAGTGGTGAATCCACACATTAAAAAGCAGTTTCACAAGTAGCTTCCTTCTAGTTTGTAACTGGGGATATTGTTTTTTTCACAATAGACCTCAGTGGGCTTCCAAATGTCCCTTCTCAGGTTCTTCAAAATGAGTGTTTCCCACCTGCTGAATCAAAGGAAAGGCTTATCTCTGTGACATGAATCCACGCATCACAAAGCAGATTCACTGATAGCTTCTTTATAGTTTTTATTTTGAAATATATATATATTTTTACCATCGACTACAGTGGGCTCACATATCTCTTTTTGCAGATTCTAGCAAAAGAGTGTTTCCATCATGCTGAGTCAAAAGAAAGGTTTAAGTTTTTGAGATGAATCCGCACATCACAAAGCAGTTTCAAAGACTGCTTCTTTCTGGTTTTTATCTGGGGATATTTGGTTTTTCCCTATCAGCCTCAAAAAACTCCCAAATATTTCCTGATACATTCTAACCAAAGAGTGTTTCCAACCTGCTGAGTAAAAAGAAAGGTTCAACACTGTGAGATGAAACCACATATCAAAAAGCAGTTTAACAGATAGTTTCTTCATAGTTGTTATCTGTGGACACCAAAGGACTCAAAAGGCTTTCAAATGTCCCTTCACAAACTCTGCAAAAGTACTGATTGCAACCTGCTGAATTAAAAGAAAGGTTTACCTCTCTGGAATGAATCCACATATCACAACTTTCACAGATAGCCTCTTTCTAGTTTTGATCTTGGGATATTCGGTTAGTCACTATGGACTACAGTGGGATCAAAAATGTCCCTTTACAGATTCTAGAAAAAGAGTGCTTCTAACCCAGTGAATCAAAAACAAGTTTAACCCTTTGAGATGAATCCACATATCACTAAGCTGTTTCACAGAGAGCTTCTTTCTAGTTTTTATCTGGGGATATTCTGTTTTTCACCATAGGCCTTTGGGGTTCCCAAACTTCCCTTCACAGATTCTACCAAAAGAGTGTTTCCAACATGCTTAACAAAAGAAAAGGTTTAACTCTGTGAGATGAATTGACACATCACAAAAGAGTTTGACAGATAGCTTCTTTCTAGATTTTATCTGGGGACATTCTGTTTTTCACTGTAGACCTCTATGTGTTCCCAAATGTCCCTTCACAGATTCTACCTAAAGAGTGTTTCAAACATGGTTTATCAAAAGAAAAACTTAACTCTGTGAGATAAATCCACACATCACAAAGCTGTTTTACAGATAGCTTTTTTCCAGTTTTTATCTCGGGATATTTTGTTTTTCACCAAAGGCCCCCAAGGGCTCTCAAATGTCCCTTTGCAGATTCTAACAAAAGAGTGTTTCCAAGCTGTTAAATGAAAAGAAAGATTTGACACTTTGAGATGAATCCACACATCACAAAGCAGTTTCACAGATAGCTTTTTTCTTGTGTTTATCTGGAGATATTCTGTTTTTCACTATAGGCCTCCATGGACTCCCAAAAGTTTCTTCACAGATTCTACAAAAGAGTGTATGCAACTTGCTGATTCAATACACAGGTTAATCTCTGTGAGATGAATCCACAGATCACAGGGCTGTTTCACAGAAAGATTCTTTCTAGTTTTTATCTGTGAACATTGGGTTTTTCACCATAGACCTCAAAAAGCTCCCAAATTTCTCTTTGCAGATACTACGAAAACAGTGTTTCAAACACACTGTATCAAAAGAAACGTTGACCTCTGTTAGATGAATCCACACATCACAAAGAAGTTCACAGATAGCTTCTTCCTAGTTTTTATATGGGGATATTGTGGGCTTTTTTGTCATAGACCTCAAAGGGCTTCAAAATGCCCCATGTAGATTCTACAACACGTGTGTTTTCAACCTGCTGAATCAAAGGAAAATTTTATCTCTGTGAGATGAATCCACATATCACAAAGAAGTTCACAGATAGCTTCTTCCATTTTTTATGGTGATATTATTATTATTATTTTTTTACCATAGGCCACAACAGACTCCAAAATGCCCCATGCAGATTATACAAAACGAGTGTTTTCAACCTGCTGAATCAAAGGAAAGTTTTATCTCTGTGAGATGAATCCACACATCCAAAAAGCAGTTTCCCAAATAGCTTCTTTCTGATTTGTATCTGGGGGTATTTTGTTTTTCACAACATTTCTGAAATTGTTCTCAAATGTACCTTCACAGATTCTATAAAATGAGTGCTTGCAAACTGCTGAATCAAAAGAAAGGTTTACCTTTCTGATTTAAATCCAGATATCATTAAGCAGTTTCACAGATAGCTTCTTTCTAGTTTTTATACTTTTTTTTTTTTTTTTTTTTTTTTACCATAGGCCTCTAAGGGCTCCAAAATATTCCTTGAAAGATTCTACCATAACAGTGTTTCCAATTTTCAGAATCCAGAGAAATTTTTAATTCTGTGAAACGAATCCACACATCACAAGGCAGTTTCACAGGCAGCTTCTTTCTAGTTTTTTTCTAGAAATATTTGGTTTTTCACCATAAACCTCAATGGGCTTCCAAATGTCCCTTCGCATATCCTACCGAAAAAGGGTTTCACATCCACTGAATCAAAACAAACATTTAATTCTGTGAGGTGAATCCACACATTACACAACAGTTTCACAGACACCTTCTTTCTAGTTTTTATCTGGGGATATTCTCTTTTTCAACATAGGCCTCTATGGTCTCCCAAATGTCCCTTTGCATATTCTAACTGAAGAGTATTGCAAATTTGCTGGATCAAAAGAAAGGTTTAACTCTGAGTGGTGAATCCTAACATCACAAAGTAGTTTCACAGGTAGCTTCCTTCTAGTTTGTAACTGGGGATATTGTCTTTTTCACCATATGTCTCAATGGGCTTCATATGTCTCTTCTCAGGTACTGCAAAATGAGTTTTTGCAACCTGGTGAATCAAAGGAAAAGCTTATCTCTGTGAGATGAATGCACACATCAAAAAGCAGTTTCACAGATAGCTACTTTGTAGTTTTTATCTGTGAATATTCTGTTTTTCACCATAGACCTCAAAAAGCTTCCAAATCTCCCTTCGCAGATTCTGCCAAAAAAGTGTTTCCAACGTGATGAATCAAAAGAAAGGCTTAACTCTGTGAAATGAATCCACACATTGCAGAGCAGTTTCACAGATAGCTTCCTTCTAGTTTTTATCTGGAAATATTCGGTTTTTCACCATAGGTCTCAATGGGCTTGAACATGTCCCTTTCCCAATTTTGCCAAAAGAGATTTTCCAAACTGCTGAATCAATAGAAAAGTTTAACTCTGTGAGTAGGATCCACACATCCCAAAGTAGTTTCACTAAAAGCTTCTTGCTAGATTTTATCTTCGAATATTCAATTTTCCACAGTGTGCTACAATGGGCTTGTAAATGCCCCTTTGCAGATTCTAGCAAAATAGTTTTCGCAACCTGCTGAATCAAAAGAGAGCTTTAAACCTTTGAGCTGAATAAACACTTAACAAAGCAGTTTCACAGATAGCTTCTTGATAGTTTTTACGTGGGGTTATTCGGTTTTTCACCATAGGACTCTATGGGCTTATAAATGTTCCTTCACAGATTCTATGTAAAGAGTGTTTCCATCCTGCTGTATCCAAAGAAAGGCTTAGCTCTGTGCAATGAATCCACACAGCACAGAGCACTTCACAGATAGTGTCTTTCTAGTTTGTATCTGGGGATACTTTGTTTTTCACAGTAGGCTTCAATGGGCTCCAAAATATCCCTTCACAGATTCTGCCAAATGAGTGTTTCAAACCTGCAGAATCAAAGAACGGTTTAAGTCTGTGAGGTAAACGCACACTTCAAAAGAACAGTTTCACTGATAGCTTCTTTCTAGTTTTCATGTAGGGACATTTGGTTTTTCACCATAAGCCTAAAAGGGCTCCCATGTGTCCCTTTGTAGATTCTACAAAAAGAATGTTTCCATCCTTTTGAATCAACAGAGATTTAACTCTGAGATAAAGGTAAAAATCACAATGAAGTTTCAGAAATAGCTTCTTTCTGGTTTTTATCTGGGGATATCTGTTTTTTCACCATAGGCCTCAATGGGCTATGATAGGTCTGTGTGCAGATTCTACCAAAAGAGGGTTTACAACGTGCTGAATCAAAAGAAAGGTTTAACTCTGTGAGATAAATCCAAACATCACAAAGCAGTTTCACTGGTAGCTCCTTTTCAGGTTTTATCTTGGGATGTTTGGTTTTCAACCATAGGCTTTAATGGGCTCTGAAATATCCCATCACTGATTCTACAAAATTAGTGTCTCCAACCTACTTAATCAAAAACAAAAATTTTAAATTTGTGAGACGATTCACACATCACAAAGCAGTTTCACTGATAGCTTTCTTCTGCTTTTTATCTGGAAATATTGGGTTGTTCAACATAGGACTTAATGGGCTCCAAAATGTCTCTTCACAAAGTCTACAAAAAGAGTGTTTCCAACCTGATGAATCAAAAGAAACGTTTAACTCTGTGGCATGAATCCACACTTTACAATGCAGTTTCACAGATAGCTTCTTTCCAGTTTTTATCAAGGAATATTCAGTTTGTCACAATAGGCCTCTAAGGGATCCCAGAATTCCCTTGGAAGATTCTATCAAAAGAGTGATTCCAACTTCCTGAATCAAAATAAATGTTTATCTCTGTGAGATGAATCCAGACATTACAAATAAGCTAAACAGGTACCTTCTTCCTAGTTTTTATCTGAAGTTATTCAGTTTTTCACAATAGGCCTCTAAGGGATCCCAAATGTCCCTTGGCAGATTCTACCAAAGGGTGATTCCAACTTGCTGGGTCAATGTAAATGTTTATCTCTGTTAGATAAATACAGACATTACAAATAAGTTAAACAAATAGCTTCTTTCTTGTTTTTATCTGGAGTTATTGAGTTTTTCACCATAGGCCTCTGTGGGCTCTTAAATGTCCCTTCGCAGACACTAATTAAGACTGTTTCATACCTGTTGTGTCAAAAGAAAGGTTTAACTCTGAGAGGAATCCATACCTCACAATGTAGTTACATTTTAGCTTTTATCTACTTTTTGTCTGGGGATATTCTATTTTTCACCATAGGCCTCTATGGACTCTTAAATACCCCTTCACAGACTCTATCTAAAAAATGTTTCAAACATGTTATATAGACAGAAAAATTAAACTCTGTTAGATGAATAAACACATCCCAAACAGTTTCACAAAGAGCTTCCTTCTAGTTTTTATCTGGGGATTTTTGGATTTTTTTTTGTTTTCTTATTATACTTTAAGTTTTAGCGTACATGTGCACAACAAACGTGCCGGTTTGTAACATATGTATACATGTGCCATATTGGTGTGCTGCACCCATTAACTCATCATTTAGCATTAGGTATATCTCCTAATGCTATCCCTCCCCCATCCTCCCACCCCACAACAGGCCCTGGTGTGTGATATTCCCCTGCCTGTGTCCATGTGCTCTCATTGTTCAATTCCCACCTATGAGTGAGAATATGCGGTGTTTGTTTTTTTGTCCTTGTGATAGTTTGCTGAGAATGATGTTTCCAGCTTCATCCGTGTCCCTACAAAGGACAAGAACTCATAATTTTTTATGGCTGCATAGTATTCCATGGTGTATATGGGCCACATTTTCTTAATCCAGTCTATCATTGTTGGACATTTGGGTTGGCTCCAAGTCTTTGCTATTGTGAATAGTGCCACAATAAACATACGTGTGCACGTGTCTTTATAGCAACATGATTTATAATCCTTTGGGTATATATCCAGTAAGGAGATAGCTGGGTCAAATGGCATTTCTAGTTCTAGATCCCTGAGGAATTACCACACTGACTTCCACAATGGTTGAACTAGTTTACAGTCCCACCAACAGTGTAAAAGTGTTTCTATTTCTCCACATCCTCTCCAGCACCTGTTGTTTCCTGACTTTTTAATGATCACCATTCTAACTGGTGTGAGATGTTATCTCATTCCTTCTCCTGCCTGATTGCTCTGGCCAGAACTTCCAACACTATGTTGAATAGGAGTGGTGAGAGAGGGCTTCCCTGTCCTGTTCCTGCTTTCAAGGGAATGCTTCCAGTTTTTGTCCATTCAGTATGATATTAGCTGTGGGTTTGTCATAGATATTATTATTTGAGATACGTCCCATCAATACCTAATTTACTGAGAGTTTTTAGCATGAAGTGTTGTTGAATTTTGTCAAAGGCCTTTTCTGCATCTATTGAGATAATCATGTGGTTTTTGTCTTTGGTTCTTGTTTATATGCTGGATTATGTTTATTGATTTTCGTATGTTGAACCAGCCTTGCATCCCAGGGATGAAGCCCACTTGATTATGGTGGATAAGCTTTTTGATTGCTGCTGGATTCCGTTTGCCAGTATTTTATTAAGGATTTTTGCATCGATGCTCATCAAGGATTTTGGTCTAAAATTCTCTTTTTTGGTTGCGTCTCTGCCCGGCTTTGGTATCAGGATGATGCTGGCCTCATAAAATGAGTTAGGCAGGATTCCCTCTTTTTCTATTGATTCGAATAGTTTCAGAAGGAATGGTAGCAGCTCCTCCTTGTACCTCTGGTAGAATTCGGCTGTGAATCCATCTGGTCCTGGACTTTTTTTGGTTGGTAAACTGTTAGTTATTGCCTCAATTTGAGATCCTGTTATTGGTCTATTCAGAGATTCAAATTCTTCCTGGTTTAGTTTTGGGAGGATGTATGTGACAAGGAATTTATCCATTTCTTCTAGATTTTCTAATTTATTTGCATAGAAGTGTTTATAGTATTCTCTGATGGTAGTTTGTATTTCTATGGGATTGGTGGTATTATCCCCTTTGTCTTTTTTATTGCATCTATTTAATTCTTCTCTCTTTTCTTCTTTATTAGTCTTGCTGGCCGTCTATCAATTTTGTTGATCTTTTCAGAAAACCAGCTACTGGATTCATTGATTTTTTGAAGGGTTTTTTGTGTCTCTATTCCTTCAGTTCTGCTCCGATCTTAGTAATTTCTTGCCTTCTGTTAGCTTTTGAATGTGTCTGCTCTTGCTTTTCTAGTTCTTTTAATTGTGATGTTAGGGTGTCAATTTTGGATCTTTCCTGCTTTCTCTTGTGGGTATTTAGTGCTGTAAATTTCCCTCTACACACTGCTTTGAATGTGTCCCAGAGATTCTGGTATGTTCTGTCTTTGTTCTCGTTGGTTTCAAAGAACATCTTTATTTCTGCGTTCTTTTCGTTATGTACCCAGTAGTCATTCAGGAGCAGGTTGTTCAGTTTCCATGCAGTTGAGTGGTTTTGAGTGAGATTCTTAATCCTGAGTTCTAGTTTGATTGCACTGGGGTCTGAGGGACAGTATGTTATAATTTCTGTTTTTTGCATTTGCTGAGGAGTGCTTTACTTCCAACTATGTGGTCAATTTTGGAATAACTGTGATGTGGTGCTGAAAATAGTGTATATTCTGTTGATTTGGGGTGGAGAATTCTGTAGATGTCCATCAAGTCCACTTGGTGCAGAGCTGAGTTCAATTCTTGGATTTCCTTTTTAACTTTCTGTTTCATTGAACTGTCTAATGTTGACAGTGGGGTGTTAAATTCTCCCATTAGTAATGTGTGGGAGTCTAAATATCTTTGTAGATCACTCAGGACTTGCTTTATGAATCTGGGTGCTCCTGTATTGGGTGCATATATATTTAGAATAGTTAGCTCTTCTTGTTGAATTGATCCCTTTACCATTAAGTAATGGCCTTCTTTGTCTCTTTTGATCTTTGTTGGTTTAAAGTCTGTTTTATCCAAGACTAGGATTGCAACCCCTGCCTTTTTTTGTTTTCCATTTGCTTGGTAGATCTTCCTCCATCCTTTTATTTTGAGCCTATGTGTGTCTCTGCACATTAGATCGGTTTCCTGTATACAACACACTGATGGGTCTTGACTCTATTCAATTTGCCAGTCTGTGTCTTTTAATTGGAGCATTTAGCCCATTTACATTTAAGGTTAATGTTGTTAAGTGTGAATTTGATTCTGTCGTTATGATGTTAGCTGGTTATTTTGCTTGTTAGTTGATGCAGTTTCTTTCTAGCCTCGATGGTCTTTACAATTTGGCATGTGTTTGCAGTGGCTGGTACCAGTTGTTCCTTTCCATGTTTAGTGCTTCCTTCAGGAGCTCTTTTAGGGCAGACCTGGTGGTGACAAAATCTCTCAGCATTTGCTTGTGTGTAAAGGATTTTATTTCTCATTCACTTATGAAGCTTAGTTTGGCTGGATATGAAATTCTGGGTTGAAAATTCTTTTCTTTAAGAATGTTGAATATTGGCCCCCACTTTCTTCTGGCCTGTAGAGTTTCTGCCACGAGGTCAGCTGTTAGTCTAAAGGGCTTCCCTTTGTGGGTAGCCCGACCTTTCTCTCTGGCTGCCCTTAACATTTTTGCCTTCATTTCAACTTTGGTGAATCTGACAATTATGTGTCTTGGAATTGCTAATGTCGAGGAGTATCTTTGTGGTGTTCTATGTATTTCCTGAATTTGAATGTTGGCCTGCCTTGCTAGATTGGGGAAGTTCTCCTGGATAATATCCTGCAGAGTGTTTTCCAACCTAGTTCTACTCTCCCCATTACTTTTAGGTACACCAATCAGACGTAGATTTGGTCTTTTCACATAGTCCCTTATTTCTTGGAGGCTTTGTTCACTTCTTTTTATTCTTTTTTCTCTAAACTTCTCTTCTTGCTTCATTTCATTCATTTGATCTTCCACCACTGATACCGTTTCTTCTAGTAGATCGATTCAGCTACTGAGGCTTATGCATTCGTCACGTGGTTCTTGTGCCATGGTTTTCAGCTCCATGAGGTCCTTTAAGGACTTCTCTGCATTGATTATTCTAGTTAGCCATTCGTCTAATTTTTTTCAATGTTTTTAACTTCTTTGCCATGGGTGCACACTTCCTCCTTTAGCTCAGAGTAGTTTGATTGTCTGAAACCTTCTTCTCTCAACTCGTCACAGTCATTCTCCATCAAGCTTTGTTCCATTGCTGTTGAGTAGCTGTGCTCCTTTGGAGGAGGAGAGGCACTCTGATTTTTAGAGTTTCCAGTTTTTCTGCTGTTTTTCCCCAATCTTTGTAGTTTTATCTACTTTTGGTCTTTGATGATGGTGACTTACAGATCACCTTTGGTGTGGATGTCCTTTCTGTTTGTTAGTTTTCCTTCTGACAGTCAGGACCCTCAGCTGCTGGTCTGTTGGAGTTTGCTGGAGGTCCACTCCAAACCCTGTTTGCCTGGGTATAAGCAGCAGAAGCTGCAGAACAGCAGATATTGGTGAACAGCAAATGTTGCTGTCTTATAGTTCCTCTGGAAGTTTTGTCTCAGAGTAGTACCTGGCTGTGTGAGGTGTCAGTCTTCCCTTACTTTGGGGTGTCTCCCAGTTAGGTTACTTGGGGGTCAGGGACCAACTTGTGGAGGCAGTCTGCCCGTTCTCAGTTCTCAAGCTGCATGCTGGGAGAACGACTATTCTCTTCAAAGCTGTCAGACAGGAATGTTTAAGTCTGCAGAGGTTTCTGCTGCCTTTTGTTCAGCTATGCATTGCCCCGAGAGGTGGAGTCTACAGAGGCAGGCAAGCCTCTTTTTGCTGCAGTCGGCTCCACCCAGTTTGAGCTTCCTGGCCACTTTGTTTACCTACTCCAGTTTCGGCAATGGTGGGCGCCTCTCTCCCAGCCTCACTGCTGCCTTGCAGTTTGATCTCAGACTGCTGTGCTATCAATGAGAGAGGCTCCATGGGTGTAGGACCCTCCTAGCCAGGCGCTGGATATAATGTCGGTGTGCCATTTGTTAAGACCATTGGAAAAGTGCAGTATTAGGCTGGGAGTGACCCGATTTTCCAGGTGCCATCTTTCACCTCTTTCTTTGATTCAGAAAGGGAATTCTCTGAGCCCTTGCATTTCCCAGGTGAGGCGATGCCTCACCCAGCTTTGGCTCACACTCGGTGCAGTGCACCGGCTGTCCTGCACCCACTGTCTGGCACTACCCAGTGAGATGAACCTGGTACCTCAGTTGGAAATGCAGAAATCACCCGTCTTTTGTGTCACTCACACTGGGAGTTGTAAACTAGAGCTGTTCATATTCTGTCATCTTGGCTCCAACCCCTTTGGTTTTTCGCTATAAGCTTCAAATATCTCTCAAAAGTCCCTTCACAGATTCTACAAAAAGGTGTTTCCAACCTGCTGAATCAAAAGAAAGTTTAACTCTGTGAGATAAATCCACAAATCACAAAGCAGATTCACTGATAGCTTCTTTCTAATTTTTATCTTGAATTTTTTTTTCTTTTTACCATAGACTACAATGGGTTCATGAATCTCCTTTTGCAGATTGTTGCAAAACAGCATTTCCAACATGTTGAGTCAAAAGAAAGGTTTAAATCATTGAAATGAATCCACACATCACAAAGCAGTTTCAAAGATAGCTTCTTTGTTGTTTTCATCTGAAGATATTTGATTTTTCACTAAAGGCTTTAATAGGCCCCCAAATGTCACTATGTAGATTATAAAACATAAGTATGTGCAACCTGCTGAATCAAAAGAAAGGTTTAACTCTGTGAGATGAATCCACACATAACAAAGCAGTTACACAGATAGTGTCTTTGTAGTTTTTATCTGGGGATATTCAGTTTTTCACCTTAGGCCTCTATGGGCTCCCAGATGTCTTTCCACCAATTCTACCAAATGAGTGTTTCCAAGTTACTGAATCAAAAGAAATTTTTAACCCTGTCAGATTAATCCCCACATCAAAAGGCAATTTTACACACAGAGTCTTTCTAGTTTTTATCTTGGAATATTTGGCTATTCAACAGAGGCCAAAAAACTGCTACAAGATATCCCTTCATAGATTCTACCAAAAGATTGTCTTTAAAATGCTGAAAGAAAAACAAGGTTGAACTCTGTAAGATGAATCCACACATCACAAAGCAGTTTCACCAATAGCTTCCTTCCTGTTTTTATTTGGAGATATTTTGTTTTTCACTGTAGGCCTTAAAGGGCTCCCAAATGTCCGTTTGCAGATTGTATCAAAAGAGTGTTTCCAACCTCCCGAATCAAAAGATACATTTAACTCAGTGAGATAAATCCACACATCACAAAGCAGTTTCACAGACAGATTCCTTCAAGTTTTTATCTTGGGATAATGTGTTTTTCACCTTAGGTTTCTATGGGATCCCAAATGTCTCTCTTCAGTTTCCACAAAACGAGTGTTTCCAAGCTGCTAAATCAAAACTAAGGTTTAACTCTGTGAGATGTATCCACATATCACATAGAGATTTCACTGATAGCTTCTTCCTAGTATTTGTATGAAGATATCCGGTTTTTGAACATAAGCCTCTGTGGGCTTCCATGTCTCCCTTCCCAGATTCTTCCAAACGTGTTTCAAATCTGCTGTATCAAAAGAAATGTTTTACTCTGTGAGATGAATCCAATATCAAAAAGCAGTTTCACTGATACCTTCTTTCTAGTTTTTAACTGTGGGTATTCTGTTTTTCACTGCTGGCTTCTAAGGGCCCACAAACGTCCTTTTGCAGAATCTCCAAAGACAGGGTTTCCAACCTACTGAATTGGAAAGGTTTAACCCTGTGAAATGAATCCACACATTACTAAGCAGTTTCACTGATAGCTTCTTTCTAATTTTTCCTGGGGTTATTTTATTTTTTGCTATAGGCCTCAAAGTGCTCCTAAATGTACCTTCCCAGATTCTACCTAAAGAGAGTGTTGGGGGAAGTCAGGGACCCCGAATGGAGGGACCAGCTGAAGGTATGCAGAAAAACATAAATTGTGAAGATTTCATGAACATTTATTAGTTCCCCAAATTAACACTTTTATAATTTCTTATGCTTGTCTTTACTGCAATCTCTGAATAAAAATTGTGAAGATTTTATGGACATTTATCACTTTCCCAGTAAATGGTCTTGTGATATCCTATGCCTGTCTTTTCTTTAATCTCTTAATCCTGTCACCTTCATAAACTGAGGATAAATGTTGCCTGAAGACCGTGTGATGATTGTGTTAACTGCACAAATTGTTTAAACAATATGAAATCTGGGCACCTTGATTAAAGAACAGAATAACAGCGATGTTCAGGGAACAAAGGAGATAACCATTAGGTCTGGCTGCCTGAGAGCCGGGTGGAACAGAGCCATATTTCTCTTCTTTAAAAAAAAATAGGAGAAATATCACTGAATTCTTTTTCTTAGCAAGGAAGAGCCCTGAGTGAGAGAATGCATCCCTTGGGGTAGGCTTCTGAAATGGCAGCTCTGGGAACATCTATCTTTTTTGGTTGTAGATAAGGGATGAAATAAGCCCCAGTCTCCTGTAGTGCTCCCAGGCTTATTAGGATGAGGAAATTCCCGCCTAATAAATTTTGGCCAGTCCGTTTTTCTGTCCTCAAACCCTGTCTCCTGATAAGATGTTATGAATGACAATGCTTGCCTGAAACTTCATTAGCACTTTAAATTTTGCCCCAGTCCTGTGATCTTGCCCTGCCTCCATTTGCCTTGGATATTTTATTACCTTGTGAAGCATGTGATCTCTGTAACCCACACCCTATTCGTACACTCCCTCCCCTTTTCAAAATCACTAATAAAAACTCTCTGGTTTTATGGCTCAGGGGGCATCATGGAACCTGCTTACATGTGGTGTCTCCCTTGGACAACTAGCTTTAAAAATTTCTCTCTTTGTACTCTTTCCCTTTATTTCTCAGACTGGCCAAACTTAGGGAAAATAGAAAAGAACCCATGAAGAATTGCCTGGGGTAGTTTCCCCCAATATCTGGCATGCCAAAACGGTTTTTTCTTTTTCCCAAGTGCATGTGGCAACCCGATTCCCTTTGGCAGGTGTGCAGAAACTTCATTGGTTTGGTCCACAAAAACCCACGTTCGACTCCCTGACAACTCATGAGTAGTCTGTATATGGTCCGGGTTAACTATGGGTCACAGGGAGTATAAAAATTATACTTATCTCTTCCATATTAAACTCCAGTTAAAACAGAAAAGGGTTTAAGACCCTGTGGAAAATATGGTCACTCTATTCAGGGCAGTGGTAAACTACTGTCCTTGGCCTCCTAAAAATAGAACCTTAGTTGTAGATCTACTAAAACAGGGAAGGGTCTGAGTAACCATGGAAAATGTGGTCACTCTATTCAGGGCGGTGGAAAAATACTGTCCTTGGTTTCCTGAAAAAGGAACCGTATATGTAAAAGTATGGGATCATGCTGGTGCAACATTCTGGGAACTGGTCCCAACAGAGAATTATGTTCCCATCACTGTTTGGGGGTGATTGGGTCTTGGTAAGTGGCGTCCTCATACCTGGGAATCCTCCCTGTCAATACATTTAATTAATGAAGTGTTACAGCGAATTCTGAAAAGATCTAAGAGATTTGTTTTCACTTTAATTGCTGTGATCATGTGCCTAATTACAGTCACTGCACTGGCCACCACTGCTGGAATGGTGTTATATAAATCTATTCAAATGGCTCATTTTGCTAATGATTGGGAAGCCTATTCCACCCAAATGTGGAATTCTCAACAAATCATTGATCAAAAATTGGCTAATCAAATTAATGATTTAAGACAGTGTTATTTGGCTTGGAGATGGGGTAGTGAGTCTCGAACATTGCATGCAAATGCAGTGTGACTGGAATACTTCGGATTTCTATATCACACCATAATCCTGTAAAGAGAATGATCATTCATGGGAAATGGTCAAAGGACACCTTCTGGGTGATGAAGATAATTTATCATTGGACATAACTAAATTAAAAACAACTTTTTGAGGCCTCTGAATCTCACTTATCCATTGTGCCTGGAGCTGAGGCATTAGACCAGGTAGTAGAAAATCTTTATGGACTAACCCACGACTTGGATTAAGTCTACTGGGGGCTCCACTGTAGTAAATTTTGGAATCATGTTTCTCTGTTTAATTGGCTTGTCTTAATATGATAGACCAGTCAAAGAATCATGCATCAAAATCGAGAGAATGAACAAACCTTCATCGCCATGGCACATTTATATCATCAGAAAGGGAGATATGTTGTGGGAAGTCAGGGACCCTGAATGGAGGGACCAGCTGAAGCCATGGCAGAAGAACATAAATTGTGAAGATTTCATGGACCTTTATTAGTTCCCCAAATTAATACTTTTATAATTTCTTACACCTGTCTTTACTGCCATCTCTGAACATAAATTGTGAAGATTTCATGGACATTTATCACTATGAATGTCGCCTCAGGACCCTGCAATGATTGCATGAACTGCACAAATTGTTTAAACAATATGGAATCTGGGAACCTTGAAAAAAGAACAGGACAACAGTGATGATCAGGGAACAAGGGAGATAATCATTAGGTCTGGTTTCCTGAGAGTTGGGCAGAACAGAGCCATATTTATCTTCTTTCAAAAGCAAATAAGAGAAATATCACTGAATTCTTTTTCTCCACAAAGAACAGCCCTGAGAAAGAGAATGTATTCCTAAGGGTAGAACTCTGAAATGGCCACTCTGGGAACATCTGTCTTTTATGGTTGTAGAGAAGGGAAGAAATAAGCCCCAGTCTCCTGTAGCCCTCCCAGGCTTATTAGGAGGAGGAAATTCCCACCTAATAAATTTTGGTCAGACCGGTTGTCTGCTCTGAAACACTGTCTCCTCATAAGTTGTTATCAATGACAATGTGTGCCTGAAAATTCATTAGCAATTATAATTTTGCCCCAGTCCTGTGATCTCACCCTGCCTCCAGTTGCCTTGTGATATTTTATTACTTTGTGAAGCATGTGATCTCTGTGACCCATACCCTATTAATACACACCTTCCCCTTTTGAAAATCACTAATAAAAACTTCCTGGTTTTATTGCTCATGCGGCATGACAGAACCTGCCTAGATGTGATGTCTCCCCTGGACACCCAGCTTTAAAAGTTTCTCTCTTTGTACTCTTTCCCTTTATTTCTCAGACCAGCCAACATGTAGGGAAAGTAGAAAAGAACTCACATTAAAATATCAGGGGCTGAATTTCCCCTGATAGAGAGATTCAAACATGCTGTATCAAAATAAAAATATAACTCTGTAAGATTAACACACATATCACAAAGCAGTTTCAAAGACAGTTTATTCTAGTTTTTATCTGGGGATATTCTTTTTTTCACCATAGACCTCTATGGGTTCCGAAACCTCCCTTCACAGATTCTACCAAAAGAGTGTTTCAAACCTGCTGAATAAAAGAAAAGGTTTAGCTCTGTGAGATGAATCCACACATCACAAAACAGTTTGACAGATAATTTCTTTGTAGATTTTATCTGGGGATATTCTGTTTTTCACCATAGGCCTGTATGGGTTCCCCAAAGTCCCTTCACAGATTCTACCTAAGAGTGTTTCAAACCTGTTTTATCAAAATAAAAATTTAATTGTGTGAGATAAATCCACACATCACAAAGCTGTTTTACAGATAGAATTTTCTAGTTTTTATCTGGGGATAGTTGGATTTTCACCATAGGCCTCTATGGACTCCCAAAGTTTCTTTGCAGATTCTACAAAAAGGCTGTACGCAACTTGCTGATTCAATAGATGGGTTTATCTCTGTGAGATGAACCAACAGATCATGGGGCTGTTTCACAGATAGCTTCTTTCTAGCTGGTATCTGTGAACATTCGGTTTTTTATCATAGGCCTCAAAAAGCTTCCAAATTTCTCTTTACAGATTATATGATACCAGTGGTTTCCAACATGTTGTATCAAAAGAAACGTTTACCTCTGTGAGATGAATCCACACATCATAAAGAAGTTCACAGATAGCTTTTTCCTAGTTTTTATCAGGGGATAATGGTTTTTTTTTGTTTTTTTGTTTTTTTTGTTGTTGTTATTTTTTTGTTTTTTTTTAACATAGGCCTCAAAGGGCTTCAAAATGCCCCATGAAGATTCTACAAAACTAGTGTTTCCAACCTACTGAATCAAAGGAATGGTTTATCTCTGTAGATGAATCCACACTCAAAAAAGCAGTTTCACAAATAGCTTCTTTCTGGTTTGTATCTGGGGGTATTCAGTTTTTCACTACATTCCTGAAAGGGTTCCCAAATGTACCTTCGCAGATTCCATAAAAAGTGTCTTTGTAACCTGGTGAATCAAAAGAAAGGTTTAAGTTTGTGATTTGAATTGAGACATCACAGAGCAGTTGCACAGATAGCTTCTTTCTAGTTTTTGTCTGGGGATATTTTGTTTTTACCATACGAGTCTAAGGGCTCTGATACAGCCCTTTAAAGATTCTACCATAAGAGTTTTTCCCATTTACTGAATCAAAAGAAATGTTTAACTCTGTGAAACAAATCCACACATCACAAGGCAGCTTCACAGGTAGCTTCTTTCTAGTTTTTATATAGAAATATTAGGTTTTTCACCTTAAACCCTAAAGGGCTTTGAAATGTCCCTTCGCAGAACTTACCAAAAGACGGTTTCACACCTGCTGAATCAAAACAAATGTTTAATTCTGCGAGGTGAATCCACACATCACACAGCAGTTTCACAGACACCCTCTTTCCATATTATATCTGGGGATATTCTGTTTTTCACCATAGAACTGTATGGTCTCCCAAATGTCCCTTCGCGTATTCTATCTGAAGAGTGTTTCAAATTTGCTGGATCAAAAGAAAGGTTTAACTCTCAGTGGTGAATCCAGATATCAGAAAGGAGTTTCACCAGTAGCTTTCTTCTGATTTTTAATGGGGGATATTGTTTTTTTCACCATAGGCCTCAATGGGCTTCCAAATGTCCCTTCTCAGGTTCTAAAAAATAAGTGTTTCCAACCCGCTGAATCAAAGGTAAAGCTTATCTCTGTGAGTTGAATCCACACATCACAAAGTAGTTTCACAGATTGCTACTTTGTAGTTTTTGTCTGTGAATATTTTGTTTTTCACCGTAGACCTCAAAAAGCTTCCAAAGACAAAAACGCCCTTCACAGATTCTGCCAAAAAAGTTTTTCCAACCTGCTGAAACAAAAGAAAGGTTTAACTCTGAGAGATGAATCCACACATCGCAGAGCAGTTTCACAGATAGCCTCTTTCTAATTTTTATCTGGGAATATTCTGTTTTTCACCATAGGTCTCAATGGGCTCCCACATATCCCTTTCCTGATTTTACCAATAGAGTGTTTCCAAACTGCTGAATCAACAGAGAACTTTAACTCTGTGAGAAGAATCCACACATCACAAAGTAGCTTCACTAAAAGCTTCTCTGTAGCTTTTATCTTTGAATATTCCATTTTTCAAAGTGTGCTACAATGGGCTCACAAATGTCCCTTAACAGATCTAGCAAAAGAGTGTTTGCAACCTGCTGAATCAAAAGAAAGGTTTAACCTTTGAGCTGAATCCACACTTAACAAAGCAGTTTCACAGATAGCTTCTTGATAGTTTTTATGTGGGGATATTCTGTTTTACACCATAGGCCTCTATGGGCTTATAAGTGTTCCTTCTCAGATTCTTTCTAAAGACTGTTTCCATCCTGCTGTATCAGAAGAAAGTTTAACTCTGTGCAATGAATCTACACATCACAGAGCACTTCACAAATAGATTCTTTCTAGTTTTTATCTGGGGATATTTTGTTTTTCACAATAGGCCTCAAGGGACGCCAAAATACCCCCTCACAGTTTCCAAAAACTGAGTGTTTCAAACCTGTGGAATCAAAGGAAAAGTTTAAAGTCTTTGAGGTGAATCCACACATCACAAAGCATTTTCAAGGATAGCTTCTTTCTAGTTTTTATCTGGGGATATTCGATTTTTCACCATAGGCTTTAATGGGCTCCCAAATGTCAGTATACAAATTATAAGGCAAAAGTATTTGTAACCTGCTGAGTCAAAATAAAGGTTTAAATCTGTGAGATGAATCCACACATTACAAAGCAGTTACTCGGATAGCTTTTTTCTAGCTTTTATCTGGAGATATTCAGTTTTTCACCTTAGGCCTCTATGGGCTCCCAAATGTGTTTCCACAAATTCTACCAAAAGACTGTTTCCAAGCTACTGAATCAAAAGAAATGTTTAACTCTGTGAGATGAACCCACACATAAAAGCAGTTTTAGAGACAGAGTCTTTCTAGGCTTTATCTTGGGATATTTGGTTATTCACCAGAGTCCAAAAAAACTGTTATTCTACCAAAAGAATACTTCCAACCTGCTGAATCAAAAGATAGGTTTAACTCAGTGAGATGAATCCACACATCACAGAGCAGTACAACAGATAGATTCCTTCAAGTTTTTATCTGGGGATATTGGGTTTTTCACCTTAGGTCTCTATGGGCTTCCAAATGTCTCTCTGCAGGTTCTATAAGACGTGTTTCCAACTTGCTGAATCATAAGAAATATTTAACTCTGTGAGATGAATCCTCAATCACATAGCAGTTTCACTGATACCTTCTTCCTAGTATTTATATGAAGATATTTGGTTTTTAAACTTAGGCCTCTATGGGCTGCCATATTTCCCTTTGCAGATTCTTCCAAAAAAGTGTTTCAAATCTGCTGTATCAAAAGAAAGGTTTAACTCTGTGAGATGAATCCACATATCACAAAATAGTTTCACTGATACTTTCTCTCTGGTTTTTATGTGTGGATATTCTGTTTTTCACCATATGCCTCTGAGGGCTCACAAACATCCTTTAGCAGAATCTCCAAATAGAGGGTTTCCAAACTACTGAATGAAAAGAAAGGATTAACTCTTTGAGGTGAATCTCAAATTACAAAGCAGTTTCACTGATAGGTTCTTTCTAGTTCTTTTCTGGGAATATTTTATTTTTCACCTTAGTCCTCAAAGTGCTCCCAAATTTACCTTCACAGATTTTACCTAAAGAGAGTGTTTCAGGAAGTCAGGGACCCCAATCAGAGGGACGAGCTGAAGCCATGGCAGAAGAACATAAATTGTGAAGATTTCATGGACATTTATTAGTTCCCCAAATTAATACATTTATTTCTTACACCTGTCTTTACTGCAATCTGTGAATATAAATTGTGAAGATTTCATGGATATTTATCACTTCCCCTATCAATACCCTTGTGATTTCCTTTGCATGTCTTTAATCTCTTAATCCCATCAGCTTCTTAAGCTGAGGATGAATGTCATCTCGGGACCGCGTGATGATTGCATTAACTGCAAAAATTGTTTAAACAATATGAAATCTGGGCACCTTGAAGAAAGAACAGGATAGCAGTGATGTTCAGGGAACAAGGGAGACAAACATTAGGTCTGGCTGCCTGAGAGCCGGGTGGAACGGAGCCGTATTTCTCTTCTTTGAAAAGCGTATAGGAGAAATATGGCTGAATTCTTTTTCTCAGCAAGGAACAGCCCTGAGAAAGAGAATGCATTCCTAGGGTTATGCATCTGAAATGGCTTCCCTGGGAACATCTGTCTTTTACTGTTGTAGATAAGGGATGAAATAAGCCCCAGTTTCCCATAGTGCTCCCAGGCTTATTAGAATGAGGAAATTCCCACCTAATATATTTTGGTCAGACCGGTTGTCTGTTCTCAAATCCTGTCTCATGATAAGATGTTATCAATGACAAAGCATGCCCGAAACTTCATTAGCAATTTTAATTTCGCCCTGGTCCTTTGATCTCACCCTGCCTCCCTTTGCCCTTTGATATTTTATTACATTGTGAAGCATGTGATCTCTGTGACCCGCATCCTGCTCGTACACCCCCTCTCCTTTTGAAAATCACTAATGCTGGTTTTATGGCTCAGGGGGCATCACGGAACCTGCCAACATGTGATGTCACCCCTGGACACCCAGCTTTAAAAATTTTTGTCTTTGTAATTTTCTGTTAATTTCTTAGACCAGTCAACACTTAGGTAAAATAGAATAGGACTCATGTTGAAATATCGGGGGCTGAATTTCCCCTAACAGAGAGTTTCAAACCTATTGTATCAAAATAAAAATTTATCTCTGTAAGATGAATGCACACATCACAAAGCAGTTTCAAAGACAGCTTTTATCTAGTTTTTAACTAGGGATATTCGGTTTTTAACCATAGGACTCAAAATTCTCCCAAATGTTCCCTCATACATTCTAACCAAAGAGTGTTTCCAACTTGCTGAGTGAAAAGAAAGATTCAACACTCTGAGATGAAGCGACATATCAAAAAGCAGTTTAACAGATAGTCTCTTCCTAGTTTTTATCTGCAGATATTTGGTTTCTCACCAAAGGACTCAAAGGACTTTCAAAAGTCCCTTCGCAGACTCTGCAAAAGTACTGTTTGCAACATGCTGAATGTAAACAAAGGTTTACCTCTCTGGGATGAATCCACACATCAAAAAGAAGTTTCACAGATAGACCCTTTCTAGTTTTGATCTTGGGATATTTGGTTTGTCACCATAAACTACAGTGGGCTCAAAAAAGTCCCTTCACAGATTCTAGAAAAAAAGTGTTTCTAACCTAGTGAATCAAAAACAAGTTTAACCCTTTGAGATGAATCCACATATCACTAAGCTGTTTCACAGAGAGCTTATTTTTAGTTTTTATCTGGGGGTATTCTGTATTTCACCATAGGCCTTTGGGGTTCCCAAACCTCCCTTTACAGATTCTACCAAAAGAGTGTTTCAAACCTGCTTAATAAAAGAAAAGTTTTAACTCTGTGAGTTGAATCCACATGTCACAAAAAAGTTTGACAGATAGCTTCTTTCTAGATTTTATCTGGGGATATTCTGTTTTTCACCATAGGCCTCTATGGGTTCCCAAATGTCCCTTCACAGATTCTACCTAAAGAGTGTTTCAAACCTGCTTTAGCAAAAGAAAAATTTAACTCTGTGAGACAAATCCACACATCACAAAGCTGATTTACAGATAGCTTTTTCCTAGTTTTTATCTGAGGATATTTTATTTTTCACCATAGGCCCCTGTGGGCTCCCAAATGTCCCTTTGCAGATACTAACAAATAGTGTTTCCAAGCTGTTAAATGAAAACAAATGTTTCCCACTGTGAGATGAATCCACACGTCAGAAAGCAGTTTCACAGATAGCTTTTTTCTAGTGTTTATCTGGGAATATTTGGTTTTCCACCACAGGCCTCTGTGGACTCCCAAAATATCTTCACAGATTCCACAAAAAGAGTGTACAAAACTTGCTGATTCAATAGAGTGGTTAATCTCTGTGAGATGAATCCACAGATTATAGGGCTGTTTCACAGAAAGCTTTTTTCTAGTTTTTATCTGTGAACATTTGTCTCAAAAAGCTTCAAAATTTCTCTTTGCAGTTTCTATGAAAACAGTGTTTCCAACATGCTGTATCAAAAGAAACGTTGACCTCTATGAGATGAATCCACTCATCAAAAAGAAGTTCACAGATAGCTTCTTCCTAGTTTTTATCTGGGGATATTGAGTGCTTTTTTTTTAAACATAGGCCTATACAAGGCTATAGTAACCAAACAGCATGGTACTGGTTCCAAAACAGAGATATAGACCAATACAACAGAACAGAGACCTCAGAGATAATACCACTCACACACAACCATCTGATCTTTCAAAAAACTGACAAAAACAAGAAATGGGGAAAGGATTCCCTATTTAATAAATGGTGCTGGGAAAACTGGCTGACCATAGATAGAAAGCTGAAACTGGATCCCTTCCTTACACTTTTTAAAAAATTAATTCAAGATGGATTAAAGACTTAATTGTTAGACCTAAAACCAAAAAATCCCTAGAAGAAAACCTAGGCAATACAATTCACGACATAAGCATGGGCAAGGACTTCATGTCTAAAACACCAAACCAATGGCAACAAAAGCCAAAATTGACAAATGGGACCTAATTAAACTAAAGAGCTTCTACAGAGCAAAAGAAACTACCATCAGAGTGAACAGGCAACCTACAGAATGGGAGAAAATTTTTGCAATCTACTCATCTGACAAAGGGCTAATATCCAGAATCTACAAAGAACTCAAACAAATTTACAAGAAAAAAACAACCCCACCAAAAAGTGGGCAAAGGATATGAGCAGACACTTCTCAAAAGAAGACTTTTATGCAGCCAAAAGACACATGAAAAAATGTTCATCATCACGGGCCATCAGAGAAATGCAAATCAAAACCACAGTGAGATACCATCTCACATCAGTTAGAATGGCGATCATTAAAAAATCAGGAAACAACAGGTGCTGGAGAGGATGTGGAGAAATAGGAACACTTTTACACTGTTAGTGGGACTCTAAATTAGTTCAACCATTGTGGAAGACATCATGGAAATTCCTCAATGATCTAGAATGAAAAATACCATTTGACCCAGCCATCCCATTCCTGGGTATATACCCAAAGGATTATAAATCATGCTGCTATAAAGACACACACACACGTATGCTTACTGTGGCACTATTCACAATAGCAAGGACTTGGACTCAACCCAAATATCCATCAATGATAGACTGGATTAAGACATATACACCATTGAACAGTATGCAGCCATAAAAAATGATGAGTTCGTGTCCTTTGTAAAGACATGGATGAAGCTGGAAACCATCATTCTCAGCAAACTATCACAAGGATAAAAAAGCAAACACCGCATTTTTTCACTCATAGGTGGGAATTGAGCAATAAGAACACATGCACACAGGAAGGAGAACATCACACACCGGGGCCTGTTGTGAGGTTAGGGTATGGAGGAGGGTTAGCATTAGGAGATATACCTAATGCTAAATGACTATTTAATGGGTGCAGCACACCTACATGGCACACGTATACATATGTGACAAAACGAAACACTGTACACACGTACCCCAGAAATTAAAGTATAATAATAAAAAAAGAGAGATTCAAACTTGCTGTATCAAAATAAAAATTTAACACCGCAAGATGAATACAGATATCACAAAGCAGTTTCTCTTTCTTAAATTTTATTATTATTATACTTTAAGTTTTAGGGTACATGTGCACATTGTGCAGGTTAGTTACATATGTATACATGTGCCATGCTGGTATGCTGCACCCATTAACTCGTCATTTAGCATTAGGTATATCTCCTAATGCTATCCCTCCCCCCTCCCCCCACCCCACAACAGTCCCCAGAGTGTGATGTTCCCCTTCCTGTGTCCAGGTGTTCTCATTGTTCAATTCCCACCTATGAGTGAGAACATGTGGTGTTTGGATTTTGTCCTTGTGATAGTTTACTGAGAATGATGATTTCCAATTTCATCGATGTCCCTACAAAGGACATGAACTCATCATTTTTTATGGCTGCATAGTACTCCATGGTGTATATGTGCCACATTTTCTTAATCCAGTCTATCCTTGTTGGACATTTGGGTTGGTTCCAAGTCTTTGCTATTGTGAATAGTGCTGCATTAAACATACGTGTGCATGTGTCTTTATAGCAGCATGATTTATAGTCCTTTGGGTATATACCCAGTAATGGGATGGCTGGGTCAAATGGTATTTCTAGTTCTAGATCCCTGAGGAATTGCCACACTGACTTCCACAATGGTTGAACAAGTTTACAGTCCCACCAATCTCCAGCACCTGTTGTTCCCTGACTTTTTAATGATTGCCATTCTAACAGGTGTCAGATGGCATCTCATGGTGGTTTTGATTTGCATTTCTCTGATGGCCAGTGATGGTGAGCATTTTTTCATGTGCTTTTTGGCTGCATAAATGTCTTCTCTTGAGAAGTCTCTCTTCATATACTTCGTCCACTTTTTGATGGGGTTGTTTATTTTTTTCTTGTAAATTTGTTTGGGTACATTGTAGATTCTGGATATTAGCCCTTTGTCAGATGAGTAGCTTGCAAAAATTTTCTCCCATTTTGTAGGTTGCCTGTTGACTCTGATGGTAGTTTCTTTTGCTGTGCAGAAGCTCTTTAGTTTAATTAGATCCCATTTGTCAATTTTGGCTTTGGTTGCCATAGCTTTTGGTGTTTTAGACATGAAGTCCTTGTCCATGCCTATGTCCTGAATGGTAATGCCTAGGTTTTCTTCAAGGGTTTTTATGGTTTTAGTTCTAACTTTTAAGCCTTTACTCCATCTTGAATTAATTTTTGTATAAGGTGTAAGGAAGGGATCCAGTTTCAGCTTTCTACATGTGGCTAGCCAGTTTTCCCAGAACCATTTACTAAATAGGGAATCCTTTCCCCATTTCTTGTTTTTCTCAGGTTTGTCAAAGATCAGATAGTTGTAGATATGCGGCGTTATTTCTGAGGGCTCTGTTCTGTTCCATTGATCTATATCTCTGTTTTTGTGCCAGTACCATGCTGTTTTGGTTACTGTAGCCTTGTAGTATAGTTTGAAGTCAGATAGTGTGACTATTTCCTTCAATTCTTCTCTGATTTTAGTTATTTCTTGCCTTCTGCTAGCTTTTGAATGTGTTTGCTCTTGCTTTTCTAGTTCTTTTAATTGTGATGTTAGGGTGTCAATTTTGGATCTTTCCTGCTTTCTCTTGTGGGCTTTTAGTGCTATAAATTTCCCTCTACACACTGCTTTGAATGTGTCCCAGAGATTCTGGTGTGTTGTGTCTTTGTTCTCGTTGGTTTCAAAGAACATCTTTATTTCTGCCTTCATTTCGTTATGTACCCAGTAGTCATTCAGGAGCAGGTTGTTCCGTTTCCTTGTAGTTGAGTGGTTTTGAGTGAATTCCTTAATCCTGAATTCTAGTTTGATTGCACTGTGGTCTGAGAGAGAGTTTGTTATAATTTCTGTTCTTTGACATTTGCTGAGGAGAGCTTTACTTCCAACTATGTGGTCAATTTTGGAATAGGTGTGGTGTGGTGCTGATAAAAATGTATATTCTGTTGATTTGGGGTGGAGAGTTTTGTAGATTTCTATTAGGTCTGCTTGGTGCAGAGCTGAGTTCAATTCCTGGGTATCCTTGTTGACTTTCTGTCTCGTTGATCTGTCTAATGTTCACAGTGGGGTGTTAAAGTCTCCCATTATTATTGTGTGGGAGTCTAAGTCTCTTTGTAGGTCACTCAGGACTTGCTTTATGAATCTGGGTGCTCCTGTATTGGCTTCATATATATTTAGAATAGTTAGCTCTTCTTTTTGAATTGATCCCTTTACCATTATGTAATGGCCTTCTTTGTCTCTTTTGATCTTTGTTGGTTTAAAGTCTGTTTTATCCAAGACTAGGATTGCAACCTCTGCCTTTTTTTGTTTTCTATTTGCTTGGTAGATCTTCCTCCATCCTTTTATTTTGAGCCTATGTGTGTCTCTGCACATGAGATTGGTTTCCTGAATACAGCACACTGATGGATCCTGACTCTTTATCCAATTTGCCAGTCTGTGTCTTTTAATTGGAGCATTTAGTCCATTTACATTTAAAGTTAATATTGTTATGTGTGAATTTGATCCTGTCATTATGATGTTAGCTGGTTATTTTGCTCGTTAATTGATGCAGTTTCTTTCTAGCTTTGATGGTCTTTACAATTTGGCATGATTTTGCAGTGGTTGGTACCAGTTGTTCCTTTCCACGTTTAATGTTTCCTTCAGGAGCTCTTTTAGGGCAGGCCTCGTGGTGACAAAATCTCTCAGCATTAGCTTGTCTGTAAAGTATTTTATTTCTCCTTCACTTATGAATCTTAATTTGGCTGGATATGAAATTCTGGGTTGAAAATTCTTTTCTTTAAGAATGTTGAATATTGGCCCCCACTCTCTTCTGGCTTGTAGAGTTGCTGCTGAGAGATCCGCTGTTAGTCTGATGGGCTTCCCTTTGAGGGTAACCCGACCTTTCTCTCTGGCTGCCCTTAACATTTTTTCCTTCATTTCAACTTTGGTGAATCTGACAATTATGTGTCTTGGAGTTGCTCTTCCCGAGGAGTATCTTTTTGGCGTTCTCTGTATTTCCTGAATCTGAATGTTGGCCTGCCTTGCTAGATTGGGGAAGTTGTCCTGGATAATGTCCTGCAGAGTGTTTTCCAACTTGGTTCCATTCTCCCCATCACTTTCAGGTACACCAATCTGACGTAGATTTGGTCATTTCACATAGTCCCATATTTCTTGGAGGCTTTGTTCATTTCTTTTTACTCTAAACTTCCCTTCATGCTTCATTTCATTCATTTCATCTTCCATCACTGATAACCTTTCTTCCAGTTGATCCCATCAGCTCCTGAGGCTTCGGCATTCTTCACATAGTTCTCAAGTCTTTGCTTTCAGCTCCATCAGCTCCTTTAAGCACTTCTCTGTATTGGTTATTCTAGTTATACATTCGTCTAAATTTTTTTCAAAGTTTTTAACTTTTTTGCCTTTGGTTTGAACATCCTCCTGTAGCTCAGATTAGTTTGATCATCTGAAGCCTTCTTCTCTCAACTCGTCTAAGTAATTCTCCATCCAGCTTTGTTGCGTTGCTCGTGAGGAGCTGCGTTCCTTTGGAGGAGGAGATGCCCTCTGCTTTTTAGAGTTTCCAGTTTTTCTGCTCTGTTTTTTCCCCATCTTTGTGGTTTTATGTACTTTTGGTCTTTGAGGATGGTGATGTACAGATAGTTTTTGGTGTGGATATCCTTTCTGTTTGTTAGTTTTCTTTCTAACAGACAGGACCCTCAGCTGCAGGTCTGTTGGAGTTTGCTAGAGGTCCACTCCAGACCCTGTTTGCCTGGGTATCAAGAGCGTTGGCTGCAGAGCAGCTGATTTTTGTGCACCACAAATATTGCTGTCTGATCGTTCCTCTGGAAGTTTTGTCTCAGAGGAGTACCTGGCCGTGTGATGTGTCAGTCTGCCCTTACTGGGGGGTGCCTCCCAGTTAGGCTGCTCAGGGGTTCGGGGTCAGGGACCCACTTGAGGAGGCACTCTGCCTGTTTTCAGATCTCCAGCTTCATGCTGGGAGAAACACTGCTGTCTTCAAATCTGTCAGACAGGAACATTTAAGTCTGGAGAGGTTACTGTTCTTTATTTTTGTCTGTGCCCTGCCCCCAGAGGTGGAGCCTACAGAGGCAGGCAGGCCTCTTTGGGCTGTGGTGGGCTCCATCAAGTTGGAGCTTCCCGGCTGCTTTGTTTACCTAAGGAAGCCTGGGCAATGGCGGGTGCCCCTCCCCCAGCCTTGCTGCCACCTTGTAGTTTGATCTCAGACTGTTGTGCTAGCAATCAGTGAGACTTCGTGGGCATAGGACCCTCCAAGAAGGTGTGGGATGTTTTCTCCTGGTGTGCCGTTTTTTAAGCCCATTGGAAAAGTGCAGTATTAGGGTGGGAGTGACCCGATTTTCCAGGTGCTGTCTGTCACCCCTTTCTTTGACTAGGAAAGGGTACTCCCTGACCCCTTGAATTTCCTGAGTGAGGCAATGCCTCGCCCTGCTTCGCCTTGCACATGCTGTGCTGCACCAACTGTCCTGTGCCCACTGTCTCGCACTCCCTAGTGAGATGAACCCGGTATCCCAGATGGAAATGCAGAAATCACCTCTCTTCTGTGTCACTCACACTGGGAGCTGTAGACTGGGGCTGTTCCTATTTGTCCATCTTGGCTGCCCACAAACCAGTTTCAAAGACAGCTTTTTTTCTAGTTTTTTTCTGGGGACATTTGTTTTTTCACCATAAGCCTCAAAATCTCCCAAATATTCCTCATACATTCTAACCAAAAAGTGTTTCCAACTTATTGAGTAAAAAGAATGGTTCATCATTGTATCTCATGGAGTTAAACCTTTCTTTTGATTGAACAATTTGGAAACACTTTTTTTTTGCAGACTCTGCAAATGGATAATTGGGAGTGTATTGAGGCCTATGGTGGAAAAGGAAATGTCTTCAGATAAAAACTAGAAAGAAGCTTTCTGAGATACTGCTTTGTGATGTGTGTATTCATCTCACAGAGATAAATCTTCGTTTTGATTGAGTAGTTTGGAAACACTGTTTTTCTAGGATCTGAGAAAGGATACTTGGAAAGAAATGAGGCCTTTAGTGAAAAAGGAAATATCTTGAGACAAAAACTAGAAAGAAGCTTTCTGATTAACTGCTTTGTGATGTGTACGTGCATCTCACAAAGTTAAACCTTTCTTTTGATAGAGTATCTTGGATACACTGTTTTTGTAGAATCTACATAGGAATATTTGGGAGCACATTGAATCCCCTTTTGAAAAAGGAAATATCTTCACATAAAAATTAGACAGAAGCTTTTCTGAGAAAATGCTTTGTGATGTCTGCTTTTATGTCACAGAATTTAATCATTCTTTAGATTAAGCAGTTTTGAAACACGGTTTTTTTAGAATCTGTGAAAGGATATTTGGGAGCACATGGGGCCCATGGTGAAAAAGTAATATTCTCAGATAAAAAGCAGAAAGATGCTTTCTGAGAAACTGTTTAGTAATGTCTGCATTCATCTTATAGAGTTAAACTTTTCTTTTGATTGAGCAGGTTGGAAACTATGTTTTTGGAGAATCTGCCAATGGATATATGAGCGCACATTGAGTTTTATGGTGAAAAAGGAAATATCTTAAGATAAAAATTAGAAAGAACCTTTCTGAGACACTGCTTTGTGTTGTGTTCATTCATCTCACACAGTTAAAACTTTATTTTGATTAAGCAGTTTGGAAAAACTGTATTTGTAGAATGTGCAAAGGGATATTTGGGAATTCATTGAGGCCTAAGGTGAAAAAGGAAATATCCTCAGAAAAAAACTAGAAAGATTAAGGAGAAACTGCTTTGTGTTGTGTGCATTCATCTCATAGAGTTAAACCTTTCTTTTGATTGAGCAGTTTGGAAATACTGTTTTTGTAGAATCAGGGAAGGAATATATGGGAGCACATTGAGGCCTACAGTGAATAAGGAAATATTCTCAGGCAAAAACTAGAAAGAAGATTTCTGATTAACTGTTTTGTGATGTGTCCATTCATGTCATACAGTTAAACCTATCTTTTGATTGAACATCTTGGAAACACTATTTTTGTAGATTCTGTGAAGGGATATTTGGGAGCACTTTGAGGTCTATGGTGAAAAAGGAATTGCCTTCACATAAAAACTAGAAAGAAGCTTTATGAGAAACGGCTTTGTGATGTCTGCATTCATCTCACAGAGTTAAATATTTCTTTTGATTGAGCAGTTTGGAAACACTGTTTTTGTGGAATCTGTGAAGGGATATTTTGTAGCATGTTGGTGCCTATTCAGAGAAAAGAAGTACCTCAGATAAAAATCAGAAAGATGCTTTCTGAGGAACTGCTTTGCAATGTGTACGTTCATCTCACAGAGTCATACCTTTCTTTTATTTGAGAAGTTTGGAAACACTATTTTTGTAGACTCTGTGAAGGGATATTTGGGAGCGCTTTGAGGCCTATGGTGAAAAAGGTGATATCTTCACATTAAAACAAGAAAGACACATTCTGAGAACGTGCTTTGTGATGTGTGCATTCCTCACACAGATATAAAGCTTTCTTTTGATTGAGCAGTTTGGAAACACTGTTTTGGTAGAATCTTAGAAAGGATACTTGTGAATGCAATGAAGTCTATGGTGAAAAAATAAATATCCTGAGATAAAAACTAGAAAGAATCTTTCTTATTAACTGCTTTGTGATTAGTCCATTCATCACACAGAGATAAACCTTTCTTTTGATTGTGCATCATAGAAACACTGTTTTGTAGAATCTGTGAAGGGATATTTGGGAGCACCTGAGGCCTGTGGTGAAAAAGGAAATATCTCCACATAAAAACTAGTAAGAAGCTTTCTGAGAAACTGCTTTGTGATATATGTACTCATCTCACAGAGTTAAAACTTTCCTTTTAGTGAGCAGTTTGGAAGCACTGTTTTTGTAGAATCTGTCAAGGGATATATGGGAATGCATTGATTCCTATGGCGAAAAATCAAATATCTTCACATAAAAACTAGGAAGAAACTTTCAGAGAAACTGCTTTGTAATGTCAGTTCCGTCTCACAGAGGTTAAGCATTCTTTTGATTGAGCAATTTTCAAAGACAGTTTTAGTGGAATCTGTGAAAAGATACTTGGGAGCGCATTGAAGCTCATGGTGAAAAAGGATAAATCCTCAGAAAAAACTAGAAAGAATCTTTCTGATTAACTGATTTGTGATGAGTCCATTCATCACACAGAGTTAAACCATTCTTTTGATTGCACAGCTTGGAAACACTGTTTTGTTGAATCTTTGAAGGGATATTTGGGAGCACAAGAGGCCAATAGTGAAAAAGATAATATCTTCAAATAAAAACAGAAAGATGCTTTCTGAGAAACTGCTTTGTGACATGGGCATTCATCTCATAGAGTTAAAGATTTCTTTTGATTGAGCAGTTTGGAAACACTGTTTTTGCAGGATATGCCAGTGGATATATGGGAGCACTTTGAGGCCTATGGTGAAAAAGAAAATATATTTTGAAGAAAACTAGAAAGAAGTTTTCTGAGAATCTGTGTGGTGATGTGTGCATTCATCTCACAGAGTTAAAACTTTCTTTTGATTGAGTGGTTTGGTAACAACATTTTTGTAGAATCTGTGAAGGGATATTTGGGAACACCTTAAGAACTATGGTAGAAAATGAAATATCATCAGATAAAATCTAGAAAGAAGCTTTTTTAGACACTGCTTTGTGATGTGTGCATTAATCTCAGAGTTAATCCTTTCTTCTCCTTGAGAAGTTTGGAAAGACTGTTTTGTAGAATCTGTGAGGGATATTTGGGAGCGCCTTGAGGACTATGGTGAAAAAGGAAATATCTTCAGATAAATCTAGAAAGAAGCTTTGTAGGAAACTGCTTTGTGATGGGTGCATTCATCTCATAGAGTTAAACCTTTCTTCTGATCAAGCAGTTTGGAAAAACTGTTTTTGTAGAATCTGCAAAGGAATATTTAGGAAAGCATTGAGGCCTATGGTGAAAAGGGAAATATCTTCATATATACCAGAAAGAACGTTTCTGAGAAACTGCTTTGTGATGTGTGCATACATCTCACAGAGTTAAACTACTCTTTTGACTGAGCAGTTTGGAAACACTGTTTTTGGAGAATCTGTGAAGAGATATTTGGGAGTGCCTTAAGGACTATGGTGGAAAAGTAAATATCATCAGATAAAAACTAGAAAGAAGTTTTTTGAGACACTGCTTTGTGATGTGTGCATTTATCTCACAGAGTTAATCCTTTCTTTTCATTGAGCAGTTTGGAAAGATTGTTTTTGTAGAATCTGTGAGGGATAGTCGGGAGCACATTGAGGCCTATGGTGAAAAAGGAAATATCTTCAGATAAATCTAGAAAGAAGCTTTGTGAGAAACTGCTTTGTGATGGGTGACTTCATCTCACAGAGTTAAACCTTTCTTCTGATTGAGCAGTTTGGAAAAAATGTTTTTGTAGATTCTGCAAAGGGATATTTGGGAACACATTGAGGCCTGTGGTGAAAAGGGAAATTTCTTCAGGTAAATACCAGGAAGAAGCTTTCTCAGAAACTGCTCTGTGATGTGTGCATTCATCTCACAGAGTTAAACATTTCTTCTGATTGAGCAATTTGGAAACACTGTTTTTATAGAATCTCTGAAAGGATATTTTGGAATGCATTGAAGCCTATGGTGAAAAAGAAAATATCTTCAGATAAAACTAGGAAGATTTCTGAGAAACACCTTTGGAACGTGTGCTTTCATCTCTCAGAGTTAATCTTTTCTTTTGATTGAGCAGTTTGGAATGTCTATTTTTCTAGAATCCATGAAGGGATTATTGGGAGCGCATTGGGGCCAACTGTGAAAAAGGAAATATCTTTAGATAAAAACTAGAAAGCAGCTTTCTGAAAAACTTCTTTGTGAAATCTGCATTTGGCTCACACCATTTTGCATTCTTTTGATTAAGCAGTTTGCAAACAGTTTTTGTAGAATCTTTGAAAGGATATTTGGGAGTGCATTGAGGCCTATGGTGAAAACTGAAATATCTTCATATAAAAACCAGAAAGATGCATTATGAGAAACTGCTTTGTGATGTGTCCATTCATCTCACAGAAATAAACTTTTATTTTGATTGAGCAGTTTGGAAACACTGTTTTTTTCTTCAATCTGCCAAGTGATACATGAGAGCACATTGAGGCCTATGGTGAAAGAGGAAATATCTTCAGAGAAAAGCTAGAAGGAAGCTTTCTGAAATACTGTTTTGTGATGTCTGCATTCATCTCAGAGAGCCAAACACTTCTTTTGATTTACTCATTTGGAAACACTGATTTTTTAGAATCTACGAAGGGATATTTGGGAGCACATTGAGGACTATGGTGAAAAAGCAAATATCTTCAGAGAAAAACTAGAAGCAAGCTTTCTGAAACACTGCTTTGTGGTGTCTGTATTCATGTCAGAGACTTAAACTTTTCTTTTGATTGACCTGTTTGGAACCACTGATTTTTCAGAATCTGTGAAGGGATATTTGGGAGCTCATTGAGGACTATGGTGAAAAAGAAAATATCTTCTGACAAGAACTAGAAAGAAGCTCTCTGAGAAACTGCATAGTGATGTGTGCATTCATCTCACAAAGTTAAATGTTTCTTTGATTTAGCTGTTTGGTAACAACACTTTTGTAGAATCTGTGAAGGGATATTTGGGAGTGCATTGAGGCCTATGGTGAGAAGGAAATATCTTCAGATAAATACTAATAGAAGCTTTCTGAGAAAGTGCTTTGTGATGTGTACATTCATCTCACAGAGTTAAAGTTTTGTTTTGATAGACCTGTTTGTAAACACTGATGGTGTAGAATCTGTGAAGGGATATTTGGGAGAGCATTGAAGGCTATGGTGAAAAAGGAAATATCTTCAGAAAAAAACTAGAAAGTAGCTTTCTGAGAAACTGATTTGTGATGTGCCCATTCATCTCACAGAGTTAAAACTTTCTTTTGATTGAGCAGCTTGGAAACACTGTTTTTGTAGAATCTGCGAAGGGATATTTAGGAGCACATTGAGGCCTATGATGGAAAGGGAATCATCTTCGCTTAAAAATTACAAAGAATCTTTCTGAGAAAATTCTTTGTGTTGTGTGCATTCGTCTCTCAGAGCTAAACATTTCTGTTCATTGAGAGTTTTGGAGATACTGTTTTCGTGGAATCTGAGATTGCATATTTCGGAGCACATTGTGGCCTATAGTGAAGAAGGAAATATCTTCCCATAAAAACCAGAAAGAAGCTTTCTCAGAAACTGCTTTGTGATGTGTACATTCATCTCACAGAGTTAAAGTTTTCTTTTGATTGACCAGTTTGGAAACGCTGTTATTGCGGAATCTGCAAAGGCATATTTGGGAGCGCCTAGAGGCCTATGTTGGAAAATGAAATATCTTCAGATAAAAACTAGAAAGAAGCTTTCAGAGACACTGCTTTCTGACGTATGCATTCATCTCACAGAGCACAACCTTTCTTTTGATTGATCAGTTTGGTAACAATGTTTTTGTAGAAATCATGAAGGGATATTTAGGTGTGCATTGCATCCTATGCTGAAAAAGGAAATATCTTCAGATAAATACTAGAAAGAAGTTTTCTGAGAAACTGCTTTCTGATGTTTGCATTCACCTCACAAAGTTAAAACTTTCTTTTGATTGGGCAGTTTGGAAACACTGTTTTTGTAGAATCTGTGAAGGGATATTTTGGAATGCATTGAAGTATGTGGTGAAATAGGGAATATCCTCAGGTAAAAACTAGAGAGGTTTCTGAGAAACAACTTTGTGATGTGTGCTTTCATCTCACAGAGTTAATCATTTCTTTTGACTGAGCAGTTAGGAAACTGTGTTTTTCTAGAATCTGTGAAGGGATATTTGGGATCACATTTAGGCCCATGGTGAACAATTAAATATCTTTAGATAAAATCTAGAAAGAAGCTTTCTGAGACACTGCTTTGTGATGTGTGTATTCATCTCTCAGAGGTAAACCTTTCGGCTGATTGAGCAGATTGGAAAGACTGTTTTTGTGAAAACTGCGATGGGATATTTGGGAGCGCATTGAGGCCTATGGTGAAAAAGGAAATATCTGCAGATGAAAACTAGACAGAAGCTTTCTGAGAAACTGCTTTGTGACGTGTGCATTCATCTCACACAATTAAAATTTTCTTTGACTGATCAGTTTGGAAACACTGATTTTGTGGAATCTGCAAAGTGATATTTGGAAGTGCATTGATGCCTATGGTGAAAAAGAAAATATCTTCAGGTAAAAACTAGAAAGAAGCTTTCTGAGACACTGTTTTGTGATGTGTGCATTCATCTTACAGAGATAAAGCTTTCTGTTGATTGAGCAGTTTGGAAACACTGTTTCTCTAGAATTTGCAGAAGGGTACTTGGGAATGCAATGAGTCTGCTGGTGAAAAAGGAAATCTCCTCAGACAAAAACTAGAAAGAAGCTTTCTGATTAACTGCTTTCTGATGTGTTCACTCATCTCACAGAGTTAAACTTTTCATTTGATTGAGCATCTTGGAAACATTGTTTTTGTAGAATCTGCAAAGGGATATTTGTGAGCACATTAAGGCCTTTGGTGAAAAAGGAAATATCTTCAGATAAAAACCAGTAGGAAGCTTTCAGAGAAACTGCTTTGTGTTGTCTGCATTCATCTCACACTGTTTAAGCATTATTTTGATTAATCTGTTTGGAAACACAGCTTTTGTAGAATCTGTGAAAGGATATTTGGGAATACATTTGGGCCTGTTGTGAAACAGAAATATCCTCAGATAAAAACCAGAAAGATGTTTTCTGAGAAACTGCTTTGTGATGTGTGCATTCACCTCACAGTGTTAAACCTTTCTTTAGATTGAGCAGTTTCAAAACACTGTTTTTGTAGAATCTGTTAAGGGATATAAGGGAATGCATTGAAGCCTAAGGTGGAAAAGGAAATATCTTCACATAAACACTAGAAAAAAGCTTTCTGATGAACTGCTTTGTGATGTCTGCATTCGACTCACAGAGTTTAAGCATTCTTTTGATTAAGCAGTTTGGAAACACAATTTTTGTAGAGTCTGTGAAAGCATACTTGGTAGCCGTTTGGGGTCTATGGTGAGAAAGGATATATCCTGAGATAAAATCCAGAAAGACTCTTTCTGAAGAACTGCTTTGTGATGTGTGCTTTCTTCTCACAGGGTTACACCTTTCTTTTGATTGAGAAGTTTGGAAACACTGTTTCTGTAGATTCTGTGAAGGGATATTTTGGAGCACACTGAGGTCTATGGTGAAAAAGGAAATAACTTCAGATAAAGATCAGAAAGAAGCTTTCAGAGAAACTGCTTTGTGATGTGTGCATTCATCTCACAGAGTTAAGCCATTCTTTTGATTGAGCAGTTTGGAAACACTGTTTTTGTAGAATCTGCAAAGGGATATTTGGGAGCACATTGAGGCCTATGGTGAAAAATAAAATATCTTCTGTTGAAAACTAGAAAGAATCTTTCTGAGAAACTGCTTTGTAATGTGTGCACTCTTCTCGCATAGTTAAACCTTTCTTCTAATTGAGTAGTTTGGAAACACTGTTTTTCTAAAATCATTGAAGGGATATTTGGGAACGCATTGAGGCCTATGGTGAACAATGTGATATCCTCAGATAAATACTGGAAAGATTTCTGAGAAACAGATCTGTGATGTGAGCTTTTATCCCACAGAGTTAATCCTTTCTTTTGATTGCAAAGTTTGGAAACTGTGTTTTTCTAGAATCTGTGAAGGGATATTTGGGAGCACATTGAGGCTTATTGTTAAAAAGGAAATATCTTTAGCTAAAAACTAGAAAGAAGCTTTCTGGAAAACTGCTTTGTGAGGTGTGTATTCATCTAACAGAGTTAAACGTTTCCTTTGATTAAGAAGTTTGGAAACACTGTTTTTATGGAATCTGCAAGGGGATATTTGGAAGTGCATTGAGACCTAAGGCAAAAAAGGAAATAACTTCAGAAGAAAACTAGACAGCAGCTGTCTGAGAAACTGCTTTGTGATGTGTGCATTCATCTCAGAGAGTTAATTTTTCTTTTGATTAATCAGTTTGGAAACACTATTTTGTAGAATTTGTGAAGGGATATTTGAGAGTCCATTGAGGCGTATGGTGAAAAAGGAAATATCTTCAGATAAAAACAAGAAAGAAGCTTTCTGAGACAGTTTTGTGATGTGTGCATTCGTCTCACAGAGATAATGCTTTCTTTTGATTGAGCAGTTTGGAAACACCATTTTTGTAGAATCTGTGAATGGGTAATTTGGAGTGCAATGAGGCCTACTGTAAAAAGGAAGTATCCTCAGACAAAAACTAGAAAGAAGTTTTCTGATTAACTTCGTTCTGATGTGTAAATTCATCTCACAGAGTTAAACTTTTCTGTTGATTGAGCATCTTGGAAACACTGCTTTTGTAGAATATATGAAGGGATATTTGTGAGTACATTGAGGCCTTTTGCAAAAATGAAATATCTTCACATAAAAACTAGAAAGAAACTTTCTGAGAAACTGCTTAGTTTTGTCTGCATTTGTCTTACAGAGTTTAAGCATTCTTTTGGTTAAGCAGTTTGGAAACACAGTTTTTGTAGAATCTGTGAAAGGATATTTGGGTGCACAATAGGGCCTATGGTGAAAAAGACATATTCTCAGATAAAAACCAGAAAGATGGTTCTGAGAAACTGCTTTGTGACGTGTGCATTCATCTCAGAGAGTTGAATGTTTCTTTTGATTGAGCAGTTTGGAAATGCTGGTTTTGTAGAATGTGTGAAGGGATATTTTGGAGCACATTTTGGCCTATGGTGAAAAAGAAAGTATCTTCAGATAAAAAACAGAAAGAAGCTTTCAAAGAAACTGCTTTGTGATGTGTGCATTAATCTTACAGAATTAAACTGTTCTTTTGATTGAGAAGTTTGGAGACATGTTTTTTGTAGAATCTGCGAAGGGATACTTGGGAGCACAATGAGGCCAATGGTGAAAAAGGAAATATCATCTGATGAAAACTAGAAAGATTCTTTCTGAGAAACAGCTTTGTGATGTGTGCATTCATCTCACAAAGTTAAACCTTTCTTTTGATTGAGCAGTTTGATAACAATGTTTTTGTAGAATCTGCGAAGGGATATTAGGGGTGCATAGAGGCCCATGGTTAAAAAGAAAATATTTTCTGATGAAAACTAGAAAGAAACTTTCTGAGAAACTGCTTTGTGATGTGTGCATTCACCTCACAGAGTTAAAGCTTTATTTTGATTGATCAGTTTGGAAACAATGATTTTGTAGAATCTGTGAAGGCATATTTTGGAGCACATCGAGGCTTATGGTGAAAAAGAAAATATCTTCAGATGAAAAATAGAAAGAAGCTTTATGAGAAACTGCTTTGTGATGTGTGCATTCGTATCACAGAGATAATGCTTTCTTTTCATGGATCCGTTTGGAAACACTGTTTTTCTAGAATCTGCAAAAGGGTACCTGGGAACACAATGAGGCCTATGGTGAAAAAGGAAATACCTTCAGACAAAAACTAGAAAGAAGCTTTCTGAAAAACTGCTTTGTGAAGTGTGCATTCGTCTCTTAGAGTTAAAGTTGTCTTTTGATTGATAAGTTTGGAGACACGGTTTTGGTAGAGTCTGTGAAGGGATATTTGGGAGCACCTTGAGGCCTATGTTGGAAAAGGAATTATCTTCAAATAGAAACTAGAAAGAAGGTTTTTGAGACACTGTGATGTGTGCTTTCATCTCACAGTGTTAAACCTTTCTTTTGATTGAGCACTTTGGGAAGACTGTTTTTGGAGGATCTGCAGAAGGATATTTGGGCGTGCATTGAGGGCTATATGGTGAAAATGGAAATATCTACAGATAAATCTAGAAAAAAGCATTGTGAGAAACTGTTTGTGATATGTGTATTCATCTCACAGAGATAAAGCTTTCCTTTGATTGAGCAGTTTGGAAACACGGTTTTTGTTGAATCTGCAATGGGATGTTTGGGAGCTCCTTGAGGCCTATGGCAGTAAAGGAAATATCTTCAGATAAAAACTAGAAGAAAGCTTTTTGAGACACTGCTTTGTGATTTGTGCACTCGTCTCACATAATTAAACCTTTCTTTTCATTCAGCAGTTTAGGAACACTGTATTTTTAGAATCAGCAAATAGATATTTGGGAGTGCATTGAGGCCCAAATACACTATGGCAAAAAAAAAGTGCATTGAGCACTTTGGGAAGACTGTTTTTACAGAATCTGCAAAAGGATATTCGGGAGTGCTTTGAGGCCTATATGGTGAAAAGGGAAATATCTTCAGATAAATCTAGAAAAAAACATTGTGAGAAACTGCTTTGTGATATGTGTATTCATCTCACAGAGATAAACCTTTCCTTTGATTGAGCAGTGTGGAAACATGGTTTTTGTTGAATCTGCGACGGGATGTTTGGGAGCTCCTTGCGGCCTATGGTGGAAAAGGAAACATCTTCAGATAAAAATTAGAAGGAAGCTTTTTAAGACACTGCTTTGTGATGTGTGCATTCGACTCACATAATTAAACCTTTCTTTTCATTCAGCAGTTTAGAAACACTGTATTTTTAGAATCTGCAAAGAGATATTTGGGAGTGCATTGAGGCATAAATCCCTATGGCAAAAAAGAAAATATCTCCAGATAAAAATTAGAAAGTAGTTTTTGAGAATCTGCTTTGTGATGTGTGCATTCCTCTCACAGAGTTAAACCTTTCTTTTGATTCAGCTGTTTGGAAACACTCTTCTTGTAGGATCTGTGAAAGGATATTTCAGAGCGCATTGACACTTATGGTGAAAAATAAAAGTTCTTCAGATAAAAACTAGAAGGAAGCTTTCTGAGAAACTGCTTTGTGATGTGTGCATTCATCTCACAGAGTTAAAGCTTTCTCTTGATTCAACAGTTTGGAAAACTGTTTTTGTCCATTCAGCGAATGGACATCAGACAGCTCTTTGACTCCAATGGTGAATAAGTGAATATCCCAGGATAAAAACAGGAAGGTAGCCATCTGAGAAACTGCTTTGTGAAGTGTGCACTCTTCTCACAGAGTTAAACCATTCTTATCATTCAGCAGTTTGGAAACACTGTTTTTGTATTATGTGCAAAGGGATATCTGGGAATGCATTGAGGCCTATGGTGAAAAAGAAAATATCTTCAGATGAAAGCTAGAAAGTAGCTTTATAAGAAACTACTTTGGGATGTGTGCATTCATCTTACAGCATTAAACTTTTCTTTTGATTCAGCTGCTTGGAAACACTGTTTTTGTCCATTCAACAAAAGGATATTTGGGAGATCATTGAGGTGAATGGTGGAAAAGTGAATATCCTAGTATAGAAACTAGAAAGAAGCTACCTTAGGAACTGCTTTTTGATGTGTGCACTCGTCTCCCAGAGTTAAACCTTTCTTTTCATTCAGCAGTTTGGCAACACTGTTTTTGTGCTTTCTGAGAATGGACATCTAGGGACTCAATGAAGCCTTGGCAAAGCAGTGAATGTGCAAGGATAAAAACTAGAAGGCTGGTATCTGAGAAACCACTTTGTGATGTGTGCATTCATTTTGCAGTTTGAAACCATTCTTTTCATTCAGAAGATTCAAAACACTGTTTTCCTTGAATATGTAAAGGGATATTTAGGAGTGTTTAGACGCCAATAGTGATAAAGAAAATACCTTCAGAGAAAAACTAAAAAGAAGTTTTCTGAGAAACTGCTTTGTGATGTGTGTATTCACCTCAGAGAGTTCAACATTTCTTTTGATTCAGCAGTTTGCAAACACTGTTTATGTCCATTCTAGGAATGGACATTTTGGAGATCATTGAGGCCAATGGTGAGAAAGAAAATATCCCAGGATAACAGCTAGAAGAAAGCTATCTGAGAAAGCACTTTGTGATTTTTGCATTCATCTCGCAGAGTTAAACTTTTCTTTTCATTAAGCAGTTTGGAAACACTGTTTATGTAGAATCTGTGAAGGGATACTTTGGAGTGCATTGAGGGCAATAGTGAAAAAGAAAATATTTTCAGATAAAAACTAGAAAGAAATTTTCTGAGAAACTTCTTTGTGATGTGTGCATTCATATTGCACAGTTAAACCTTTCTTTTGATTCTTCAGTTTGGAAACACTATTTTTGTAGAATCTACAAAGGGTTATTTGGGAGCGCCTTGAGGCCTAGAGTGAATAAATATATTCCAATAAAAACTAAAGTAAGATTTCTGAGAAACTGCTTTGTGATGTGTGCATCTTGCAGAGTTGAAAAGTTCGTTTCATTCAACAGTTTGGAAACACTGTTTTTTAGAATCTTCAAAGGGATATTTGGGAGTGCGTTGAGGCCTATGATGAAAAATAAAATATCTTCAGATAAAAAGTAGAAAGAAGCTTTCTGAGAAACAGTTTTGTGATGTGTCCATACATCTCACAGGGTTAAACCTTTCTATTGATTCAGCAGTTTGGAAAGACTGTTTTTGTAGAATCTGTGAAGTGATGTATGGGAGTGCATTGAGGCCAACAGAGAAAAAGAAAATGTCTTCAGATAAAAACAAGAAACAAGATTTTGAGATACTGCTTTGTGATGTGTGCATTCATCTCACAGAGTGAAATTTTCTTTTGATTCAGCAGTTTGGAAACACTGTTTTTGCATAATCTACAAAGGGATACTTGGGAGCACATTGAGGCCTATGGTGAAAAAGAAAATTTGCTCGGATAAAAACTAGAAAGATGCTTTCTGAGAAACTGCTGTGTGATATGTGCATTCATCTCACAGAGTTAAAAGTTTCTATTCATTCAGCAGTATGGAAACACTGTTTTTGTCCATTCTGTGAATGGACATTTGGGAGCTCATTGAGGCTGACTGTGAAAAAGAGAATATCCCAGGATAAAAACTAGAATGAAGCTATCTGAGAAACCTCTTTATGATGTGTGCATTCATCTGATAGAGTTAAACTATTTTTTCATTCAGCAGTTTGCAAACACTATTTTTGTAGGTTCTGCAAATGGGTATTTGGGAGCGTATTGTGGCCTATGGTGAAAAAGAAAATATCTTCAGATAAAAACTAGAAGGACTCTTTCTGAAAAACTGCTTTGTGATGTGTGCGTTCATCTCACAGAGTTGTACATTTCTTTTCATTCAGCAGTTTGTAATGTTTTTTGTCCATTCTACCAATGGACATTTGGGAGTTCATTGATGCCAATGGCGAAAAAGTGAATATCCCAGGACAAAAACCAGAAGGAAGCTATCTGAGAAACTGCTTTGTGATGTGTGCATTCCTCTCAGGGAATTAAAACTTTCCTTTCATTGGGCAGTTCGGAAATACTGTTTTTGGTGAATCTGCAAAGGGATATTTTAGAGCACATTGAAGCCTAAGGTGAAAAAGAAAATACCTTCAGATAAAAACTAGAAAGAAACTTTCGGAGAAACTGCTTTGTGATGTGTCATTCATCTCCCAAAGTTAAACCTTTCTTCTGATTCAGCAGTTTGGAAACAATTTTTGTCCATTTTGCAAATGGAAATTTGGCAGCATATTTAGGTCAATGGCAAAAAAGCAAATATCCCAGAATAAAAAGTAGAAGGAAGCTTTCTGAGAAACTTCTTTGTGATATGTGCATTCACCTCACAGAGTTAAAAGTTTCTTTTGATTCTGAATTTTGGAAACACTGTTTTTGTCCATTCTGTGAATGGACATCGGGGAGCTCTGAGACCAATAGCAAAAAAGCGAATATCTCAGGATAAAAACTAGAAGGAAGCTGTCTGACAAACTGCTTTGTGATGTATGCGTACATCTTGCAGAGATAAACCGTTCTTTTCATTAAGCAGTTTGGAAATACTGCTTTTGTAGAATCTGTGAAGGGATATTTTGGAGCTCATTGAGGCCTAAGGCGAAAAATCAAATATCCAAAGATAAAAACTAGAAGGAAGATATCTGAGAAACTCCTTTGTTATGTGTGCATTTGTCTCACAGACTTAAAACTTTCTTTTGATTCAGCACTAGAAAAAAGCTTTGTGTTTGCAGAATAAAACTTTTCATTCAGCAGTTTGGAAACACTGTTTTTGTAGAATCTGCAAAGGAATATTTGTGAGTGCATTGAGGCCTATGGTGATAAAGAGAATATGTTTGGATCAAAACTAGAAAGAAGCTTTCTGAGTAAGTGCTTTGTGATATGTGCATTCATCTTGCAGAGTGAAACCTTTTTATTTTGGCAGTTTGGAAACACTGTTTTTGTCCATTCTGCAAATGGACATCTGGGAGCTCAATGGAGTCAATGGTGAAAAAGAATATGCCAGGATAAAAACTAGAAGAAATGTATCTGAGAAACCACTTTGTGAGGTGTGCATTCATTTTGCAGACTGAAACCATTCTTTTCATTCAGCAGTTTGGAAACACTGTTTTTCTAGAATCTGCGAAGGAATATTTGGGAGCATTTTGAGGCCTACGGTGAAAAAGAAAATATCTTCCGATAAAAATTGGAAAGAAGATTTCTGAGAAACTGCTTTGTGATGTATGCATTCATGTCACAGAGTTAAACCTTTCTTTTGATTCACCAGTTTGGAAACACTGTCTTTGTAGAATCTGTGAAGGGATATTTGGGAACCCATTGAGGCCTATGGTGAAAAAGAAATCTTCTGATAAAAACTAAAAGAAGCTTTCTGAGAAACTGCTTTGTGATGTGTGCATTCTTCTTGCAGAGTTAAACCGTTCTTTTCATTCAGCACTTTGGAAACACTGTTTTTGTAGAATCTTTGAAGGGATATTTGGGAGCGCATTGAGGCCTATGTTGAAAAAGTAAATATCTTCAGATAAAAATTAAAAAGAAGCTACTGGAGAAACAGCTTTGTGATGTGTCCATTCATCTCACAGCATTCAACTTTTTTTTTGAATCAGCAGTTTGGAAAGACTGTTTTTGTAGAATGTGCAAAGTGATATATGGCCTCATTGAGGCCAATAGTGAAAAAGAAAATATCTTCAGATAAAAACAAGAAAGAAGCTTTCTGAAAAACTGCTTTGTGATGTGTGCATTCCTCTCACGGAGTTAAAACTTTCTTTTCTTTGGGGAATCTGGAAATATTGTTTTTTTAGAATCTGCCAAGGGATAATTTGGAGCACATTGAGGCCAATAGTGAAAACCAAATTATCTTCAGATAAAAACTAGAAAGAAGTTTTTTGAGAAACTGCTTTGTTATGTGTACGTTCATCTCATAGAGCTAAACCTTTCTTTTGATTCAGCAGTTTGGAAACACTGTTTTGGTCCATTCAGTGAATGGATATTTGGGAGCTCTTGGGCCAGTAATGAAAAAGTGAATATCCCAGGTTAAATAACTGGAAGGAAGCTGTCTGAGAAACTACTTTGTGATGTGTGCATATATCTCACAGAGATAAACCATTCTTTTCATTAAGCAGTTTGGAAACACAGCTTTTTTAGGATCTGTGAAGGGATATTTGGGAGCTCATTGATGCCAAAGGTGAAAAAGCGAATATCCAAAGATAAAAACTAGAAGGAAGATATATGAGAAACCCTTTGTTAAGTATGCATTCATCTCACAGAGTTAAAACTTTTTTTGATTCAGCATTTTGGAAATACTGTTTTTGTAGAATCTGTGAAGGGATATTTCGGAGCGCATTGAGGCCTATGGTGAAAAAGAAAATATCTTCAGATAAAAACTAGAAAAAAAGCTTTATGAGAAACTGCTGTGTGATGTGTGCATTTATCTCACTGAGTTAAAACGTTCCATTGATTCAGAGGTATGGAAACACTGTTTTTGTAGAATCTGCGAAGGGATATTTGGGAGCGCATGCGGCCTATGGTGAAAAAGAAATTATCTTCACATAAAAATTAGAAGGAAGATTTCAAAGAAGCTGATTTGTGTCTTGTGCATTCATCTCAGATAGTTAAATCTTTCTTTTATTCAGCAGTTTATAAACACTGTTTTTGTCCATTTTGTGAATGGGCTTTTGGGAGCCCATTGAGGCCAATGGCAAAAAAGCAAATATCCCAGGATAAAAGCTAGAAGGAAGCTATCTAAGAAACTGCTTTATGATGTCTGCATTCATCTCACAGAGTTAAACATTTATTTTCATTCAGCACTTTGGAAACAGTGTTTTTGTAGAATCTGCAAAGGGATATTTGGGAGCATATTGAGGCCTATGGTGAAAAAGGAAATATCTTCAGATTAAAACGAGAAAGGACCATCCTGAAAAACTGCTTCATGATGTGTGCATTCATTTCACAGAGCTAAACTTTTCTTTCAATTCTGCAGTTTGGAATGACTCTTTTTCTCCATTCTGTGAATGGACATTTGTGAGCTCATCGAGGGCAATAGCCAAAAAGCCAATATCCCAGGATAAAAACTGGAAGGAAGCTATCTGGGAAGCGACTTTGTCATGTGTGCATTCATCTCACATCATGAAACCTTTCTTTTTCATTTAGCAGTTTGGAAACACGGTTTTTGTAGAATCTGCGAAGTGATATTTGGGAGCACATTGAGGCCTATGTTGGAAAAGAAAGTATCTTCAGATAAAAACTGAAAAGAAGCTTTCTGAAAAACTGCTTTGTGATGTGTGCATTCATCTGACAGAGTGAAAACTTTCTTCTGATTCAGCAGTTTGGAAACACTGTTTTTATCCATTCTGCGAATGGACATTTGGGAGCTCATAGACACCAATGGCGAAAAAGTGAATATACCAGGATAAAACCTAGAAGGAAGCTATCTGAAAAACTGTCGTGTGATGCGTGAATTCATCTCACAGTGATAAACCATTCTTTCCATTAAGCAGTTTGGAAACACTGTTTTTGTAGAATCTGCAAAGGGATATTTGGGAGCACACTGAGGCCAATGGTGAAAAAGAAAATATCTTCAGATAAAAACTAGAAAGAAGCTTTCTGAGAAACTGCTTTGTGATGTGTGTATTCACTTCACAGAGTTAAAAGTTTCTTTTGAATCAGCACTTTGGAAAAACTGTTTTTTTCCATTCTGCAAATGGACATTCAGGAGCTCATTGAGGTCAATGGTGAAAGACTGAATATCCCAGGATAAAACCTAAAAGGAAGCTATCTGAGAAACCACTTTGCGATGTGTGCATTCATCTCACAGAGTTAAATTTTTCTTTTGATTCAGCAGTTTGGAAACACTATTTTTGTCCATTCTGCGAGTGGACATATGGGAGCTCATTGAGACCAATGGTGATTACACAAATGTCCCAGGATAAAAACTAGAAGGAAGCTCTCTGAGAAACAGCTTTGTGATGTGTGCATTCATTTCACAGAGTTTAAACTTTCTTTTGATTCAGCAGTTTGGAAATGCTGTTTTCCCAGAATCTGAGAAGGGATATTAGGGAGCTCATTGAGGCCAAAGTTGAAAAAGAAATTAGCTTCAGATAAAAACTGGAACTGAAAAACTGCTTTGTGATGTGAACATTCATCTCACAGAGTTAAATTTTTCTTTTAATTTAGCAGTTTGGAAACATTGTTTTTGCCCATTCTGCGAATGGACATCTGGGAGTTCTTTGAGACCAATGGCGATTATGCAATTATACCAGGATAAAAACTAGAAGGAAGCTATCTGAGAAACCGCTTTGTGAAGTGTGCATTCATTTCACAGAGTGAAACCTATCTTTTCATTCAGCAGTTTGGAAACACTGTTTTTGTAGAAATATCTAAGGGATATTTTGAGTGCATTGAAGCCTGTGGTTAAAAAGAAAATATACTCAGATGAAAACTAGAAAGAAGGTTTCTGAGAAACTGCTTTGTGATGTGTGCATTTATCTCACAGAGCAAAACTTTTCTTTTTATTCAGCCGTTTGGAAACACTGTCTTTGTCCATTCTGCAAATGGGCATTTTGGAGCTCACTGAGGTCAATGGCAAAAAAACAAATATCCCACGGTAAAAATAAGAAGAAATCTATCTGAGAAACCGCTCTGTGATGTGTGCATTCATCTCACTAAGTTAAACCTTTCTGTTGATTCATAAGTTTGGAAACACTGTTTTTCCACAATCTGCGAAGGGATATTTGGGAACATATTGAGCACTATGGTGAAAGGAAAATATCTTCAGATACAAACTACTAAGAAGCTTTCTGAGAAACTGCTTTGTAATGTGTTCATTCGTCTCCCATAGTCAAAACTTTCTTTTGATTTGTGAGTTTGGAAACACTGTTTTTGTCCTTTCTGTGAATGGATATTTTAGAGCTCATTGAGGCCAATGACAAAAAAGTGCAAATCCAAGGATAAGAACTACAAGGAAGCTATCTGAGAAACCGATTTGAGATGTCTGCATTCATCTTGCAGAGTTAAACATTTGTTTTCATGCAGTAGTTTGGAAGAACTATTTTTCTAGAATCTGCACAGTGATATTTGGGAGCGCATTGAGGCTTAGGGTGGAAAAGAAAATATCTTCAGATAAAAATTATAAAGAAGCTGTCTGAGAAAATGCTTTGTGATGTGTGCATTCATCTTACAGAGTTAAACCTTTCTTTTGATTCAGCAGGTTGGAAACCCTATATTTGTCCATTATTCGAGTGGATATTTGGCATATCATTGAGGCCAATGGCAAAAAAGCGAATATCCCAGGATAAAAGCTAGAAGGAAATTATCTAAGAAACCACCTTGTTGTGTGTGCATTAATTGCGCAGAGTTAAAGCTTCCTTTTCATTCAGCAGTTTGGAAATGCTTTTTTTTTGTAGAATCTGTGAAGGGATATATGTGAGTGCATTGAGGCCTATGGTAAAAAGAAAATATCATCTAGATAAAAAACTAGAAAGAGATTTTCTGAGAAACTGCTAGGTGATTGTCCATTCCTCTCACAGATTGAAACCTTCCTCCTATTGTAGCAGTTTGGTAACACCATTTTAGTCTATTCTGCGAGGGGACATTTTGGAGCTTATTTAGGCCAATAGCAAAGAAACGAATATCACAGGATAAAAACTAGAAGGAAGCTATCTGAGAAATGGCTTTTTGATGTGTGCATTTATCTCACAGAGTTATACCTTTATTTTGATTCAGTAGTTTGGAAGCACTGTTTTTGTAGAATCTGCAAAGAGATATTTGGTAGCACATTGACGCCTCTGGTGAAAAAGAAAATATCTTCGGATAAAAACTAGCAAGTAACTTTCTGAGATACTGCTTTGTGATGTGTACACTCATGTCACAGAGTTAAAACTTTCCTTGGATTCAGAGGTTTGGAAACACCATTTCTGTAGACTCTCTGAAGGTATATTTGGGAGTCCACTGAGGCCTAAGGTGAATAAGAAATTAACGTTGATAAAATGTAGAAAGAATCTTTCTGAGAAACCACTTTCTGATAGGTGCATGCATCTCATAGGGTTAAATGTTTCTTTACATTGAGCAGTTTGAACACACTGTTTTTGGAGAATCTCTAAAGGGATATTTGTGAGCGCATTGAGGCATGTGATGAAAAAAATGCCTTCAGATAAAAACTAGAAAGAAGCTTTCTGAGAAACTGCTTAATGAGGTGTGCATTCATCTCACAGAGTTAAACGTTTCTTTTGATTCAGCAGTTTGGAAACACTGTTTTGGTTCATTCTGCAAATGGACATTTTGGAACTCTTTGAGGCCTATGGGGAAAAAGCAAATATCCTTGGATAGAAACTAGAAAGAAGCTATCTGAGAAACCACTTTGTGATGTGTGCATTCATCTCACATAGTTAAACCTTTCTTTTCATTCAGCAGTTTGGAAACACTTTTTTTGTACAATCTGTGAAGGGATATTTGGGAGTGTATTGAGGCCTATGGTGAAAAAGAAAATATCTTCAGATAAAAAGGAGTAGGAATGTTTCTGAGAAACTGTTTCATGATGTGTGCATTCATCTCAAAAAGTTAAACCTTTCTTTTGATTCAGCAGTTTGGAAACACTATTTTTCTAAAATCTGTGAAGGGATATTTGGGAGTGCACTGAGGCCTAGGGTGAAAAAGAAAACATCTTCAGTTAAAACCTATAAAGAAGCTTTCTGAGAAACTGCTTTGGGATATGGGCATTCATCTCACAGACTTTAACCTTTCCTTTGATTCATATTTGGAAACACTGTTTTTTTTTTTAGATTATGCAAAGGGACATTTGGGAGCAATTTGAGGCCTATGGTGAAAAAGAAAATATCTTCAGGTAAAAACTAGAAAGAAGCTTTCTGAGAAACTGTTTTGTGATGTGTGCATTCGTGTCCCAGAGTTAAAATTTTCCTTTGAATCAGCAGTTTGGAAACACTGTTTTGTCTGTTCTGTGAATGGACACTTGGGAGCTCATTGAGGCCAATTGAGAAAAAGTAACTATCCCAGAATAAAAACTAGAAGGAAGCTATTTGAGACACCCCTTTATAATGTGTTCATTCATCTTGCAGAGTTAAACCATTCTTTTCAATCACCAGTTTGGAAAAACTGTTTTTGTACAATCTGCAAAGGGATATTTGGTAGCACATTGACGAGTATGGTGAAAAAAATCTTCAGATAAAAACTAGAAAGAAGGTTTCTGTGAAACTGAATTGGGATGTGTGCATTCATGTAACAGAGGTAAACCTTTCTTTTGATTCAGCAGTTTGGAAACACTGTTTTTGTCCATTCTGTGAATGGACATTTGAAAGCTCATTGATGAAAACAGCAAAAAAGCCAATATCCCAGGGTGAAAACTAGAAGGAAACTGTCTGAGAAACCACTTTGTGATGTGTCCATTCATCTCACAGAGTTAAACTGATCTTTTCATTCAGCAATTTGGAAACACTGTTTTTGTAGAATCTGCAAAAGGATATTTGGGAGCAAATTGAGGCCAGTGTTGAAAAAGAAAATATCTCCAGTTAAAAACTAGAAAGAAGATTTATGAGTAATTGCTTTGTGATGTGTGCTTTCATCTCACAGAGTTCAATCTTTCTTTTTATTCAGCAGTTTGGGAACATTGCTTTTCTAGAATCTGTGAAGGGATATTTGGTAGCGCATTGAGCCTTACGGTTAAAAACAAATTATCTTCAGATAAAAACTTGAAAGAAGCTTAGTAAGAAACTGCTTTGTGATGTGTGCATTCATCTCACAGACTTAAACATTTCTATTGACTCAGCACTTTGGAAACACTGTTTTTGTCCATTCTGCGAATGGATATTTGGGAGCTCATTGAGGCCAAAGGCAAAAAAGCCAATATCCCAGGATTAAAATTAGAAGGAAGCTGTCTTAGAAACCGCTTGGTGATGTGTGCGTTCATCTCTCAGAGTTCAACCATTAGTTGTATTCATCTGTTTGGAAACACCGTTTCCAGGATATTTCAGAGCACATTGAGGCCTATAGTGAAAAAGAAAGTATCTTAAGATAAAAACTAGAAAGAAGTTTTCTGAGAAACTACTTTGGGAAGTGTTCATTTATCTAACAGAGTTAAACCTTTCTTTTGATTCGGCAGTTTGGAAACCCTGTTTTTAACCACTCTGTGAATGGACTTTTGGGAGCTCATTGAGGTCAATGGTGAAAAAGCGAATATCCCAGTAAAAAAACTAGAAGGAAGCTATCTGAGAAACTGCTTTGTGATATGTGCAATTGCCTAGGGGAGTTAAATCTTTCTTTTCATTCACCAATTTGGAAACAACGTTTTTACAGAATCTTCAAAGGGATATTTGGGAGTGCAAGGAGGCCTATGGTGAGGAAAAAAATATCTTCAGATAAAAGTAGAAAGAAGTTTTCTGAAAAACTGCTTTGTGATGTGTGCATTCATCTCACTGAGTTAAACCATTCCTTGGAATCAGCAGTTTGTAAACACAATTTTTGTACATTGTGTGAAAGGGCATTTTGTAACTGATTGAGGTCTAAGGTGAAAAAGCAAATATCCCGGGATAAAAACTAGAAGGAAGCTGTTAGAGAAACCACTTTGTGATGTGTTCATTCATCTGGCAGAGTTAAATCTTTCTTTTCTTTCAGTAGTTTGGAAACACTGTTTTTGTAGAATCTGTGAATGGACATTTGGCAGCATTTTGAGGCCTATGGTGAAAAGGAAAATAACTTCAGATAAAAAATAGAAGAACGCTTTCTGAGAAACTGCATTGTGATGTGTGCATTCACCTCATAGATTCAAACCTGTGTTTTGATTCAGCAGTTTGGAGACAGTATTTGTCCATTCTGCCAAAGGACATATATGAGTTCATGGAGGCCAAAGGCAAAAAAGAAAATGTCCAAGAATAAAACCAGACATAAGCTATCTGAGAAACCGCTTTGTCATCTGCACATTCATCTCATAGAGGTAAAGCATTCTCTTCATTAAGTAGGTTGGAAACACAGTTTTTGTAGAATCTGTGAAGGGCTATTTGGAGCTTATTGATGCCAAATGTGAAAAAGCCAATATCCCAGGATAAAAACAAGAAGGAAGCTATCTGAGAAACTGCTTTGTAATGTGTACATTTAACTGGCAGAGTGAAAACTTTCTTTTAATTGAACAGTTTGGAAACGAGTTTTTGTAGAATCTGCCAAGGGATATTTGGGAATGCATTGAGGCTTATGGTGAAAAGGAAAATATCTTCAGATAAAAACTAGAGAGAATCTTTCTGAGAAACTGCTTTGTGCTGTGTGCATTCCTCTCACAGAGTTAAGCCTATCTTTTGATTCAGCAGTTTGGAAACACTGTTTTTGTAGAATCTGTGAAGGGATACTTGGGAGGGCATTGAGGCCTATGGTGCAATAAAAATATGTTCAGATAAAAACTAGAAGGAAGCTTTCAGAGAAATTACTCTGTGATGGGTGCATTCCTCTCACAGCATTAAACTTTTCCTTAGATTCAGCAGTTCTGAAAGTCTGTTTTTGTCCATTCTTCGAATGGACATTTTGGAAATGACTGAGGCCACTGATGAAAAAGCCAACATCCCAGGATAAAAAACTAGAAGGAAGCTGTCTGAGAAACTGCTTTGTGATGTGTGCATTCATCTCACAGAGGCAAACATTTCTGTTGATTCAGTAGTATGAAAACTGTTTTTGTCCATTCCATGAATGGAAATTTGGGAGCTCATTGAGGTTAATGGTGAAAAAGGAATATCCCAAGATAAAAACTTGAAGGAAGCTATCTGAGAAACACTTTATGATGTGCACATTCATCTTGCAGAGTTAAACCTTTCTTTTGATTGAGCTGTTTGGAAATACTGTTTTTATAGAATCTGCAAAGAGATATTTGGGAGTGCATGGAGGCTTATGGTGAAAAAAATCTCTTCAAATACATCTAGAAAGAAGCTTTTGGAGAAATTGATTTGTGATGTGTCCATTCACGTCACAGAGGTAAACCTTTCTTTTGATTCAGCTGTTTGGAAACACTGTTTTTATCCATTCTGTGAATGGAGAGTTGGGAGCTCCTTGAAGCCAATGGTGAAAAACTGAATATCCCAGAATAAAAACTAGAAGGAAGCTATTTGAGAAATGGCTTTGTGATGGGAGTATTCATCTCACAGAGTGAAACCTTACTTTTCATTCAGCAGTTTGGAAACACTGTTTCTCTAGAATCTGTGAAGGTATATTTGGGAGTGCATTGAGGTCTATGGTGAAAAATAAATTATCTTAAGATAAAGCCAGAAAGAAGCTTTCTGAGAATTTACTTTGTGATGTGTGCCTTTATCTCACAGAGTTAAACCTTTTATTCAGAAGTTTGGAAACACTGTTTTGTCCATTCAGCAAATGGACATTTTGGAGTTCTTTGAGGCCAATGGTGAAAAAACGAATATCCCAAGATGAAAACTAGAAGGAAGCTATCTGAAAAACTGCTTTGTGATGTGTGCAATCATCTCACAGAGTGAAACGTTGCTTTTCATTCAGCAGGTTCAAACAATATTTTTATAAAAACTAGAAAGATGTTTCTGAGAAACTGCTTGACGTGTGCTTTCATCTCACAGAGTTATACCTTTCTTTTCATTCAGCAGTTTGGAAACACTGTTTCGGTTTATTCTGTGAATGGACTTTTGGGAGTGCATTGAGGCCAATGGAGATAAAGGGAATATCCCAGGATAAAAACTGGAGGAAACTAACTGAGAAACTGTTTTGTGAGATGTGCATCCATCTCATAGAGGTAAACGTTTGTTTTCATTCAGCATTTTGGAAACACTGTTATTTTAGAATCTGTGAAGGGATATTTGGTAGTGCATTGAGGCCTAGGGTGAAAAAGAAAATATGTTGAGATAAAAACGGGAAAGAAGCTTTCTGAAAAAATTCTCAGTGGAGTGTGCTATCAACTCAGAATCAAACATTTCTTTTCATTCAACAGTTTGGAAACACTGCTTTTTTTTTACAATCTGCGAATGGACATTTGGGAGCTCATTGAAGCCGACAGCGAAAAAGCGAATATTCCAGGATAAAAACTAGAAGGAAGATGTCTGAGAAACAGCTTTGTGAGGTGTGCATTAATCTCTCAAGTTAAACTGTTCTTTACATTCTGCAGTTTGGAAACACTGTTTTTGTAGAATCTGCAAAGGGATATTTGGGAGGGCATTGAGGCTTATAGTGAAAAAGAAAATAACTTCATATGAAATCTAGAAAGAAGCTTTCTGAGAAACTACTTTGTGAAGTGTGTATTCATCTCACAAAGTTAAACCTTTCTTTTGATTCAGCAGTTTGGAAAAATGTTTTGTAGCATATGTGAAGCGATATTTGGGAGCACATTGAGTCTTATGATGAAAAAGAAAATATCTTCATGTAAAAACTAGAAACAATCTTTCTGAGAAACTTCTTTGAGATGTGTGCATTCATCTCACAGATTTAAAACTTTCTTTTGACTCCACAGTTTGGAGTCACTGTTTTCTAGAAACTGTGAAGGGATATTAGGGAATGAATTGAGGCCAATGGTGAAAAAGTGAATATCCCAGGTTAAAAACTAGAAGGAAACTAACTGAGAAACCTCACTGTGATGTGTGCATTCATCTCACAGAGTGAAATCTTAATTTTTATTCAGCAGTTTGGAAACACTGTTTTTGTAGAATCTGCAGTGTAATATTTTGGAGCACATTGAGGCCTAAGGTGAAAAAGAAAATATCTTCAGATAAGAACTAGAAAGAAGCTTTTGGAGAAACTGATTTGTGATGTGTACTTTCATCTAACAGAGTTCAACTTTTGTTTTATTCAGCAGTGTGGAAACCCTGTTTTTGTCCATTCTGTGAATGGACATGTGGGAGCTCACAGAGGCTGACAGTGAAAAAGGGAATATCCCAGGATAAAAACTAGAGGGAAGTTATCTGAGAAACCACTTTGTGATGTGTGCATTCATCTCACAGAGTTAAACTTTCTTTTCATTCTGCATTTTGGAAACAATGTTTCTGTAGAATCTGCGAGGTGATATTTGGGACCATATTGAGGCCTATGGTGAAAAAGAAAATATCTCCAGATAAAAACTAGAAAGAAACTTTCTGAGAAATTTCTTTGTGATGTGCGCATTCATCTCAAAGAGGTAAACCTTTCTTTTGTTTCAGCAGTTTGGAAACACTGTTTTTGTCCATTCTGTGAATTGATATTTGGGAGATCATTGAGGCCAATGGCAGAAAAACAAATATCGCAGGATAAAAATTAGAAGAAAGCTATCTGAGAAACCGATTTTTGATGTGTGCATTCATCTCACAGTTAAACTTTTCTTTTCATTGAACAATTGGGAAACACTGTTTTTTTATAATCTGTGAAATTATGTTTGTGAGTGCATTGAAGCCTAAGGCTAAAAAGCAACTATAACAGGATAAAAACTAGAAGGAAACTTTTTGAGAAACTGCTTTGTGATGTGTGCATTCATCTCACAGAGATAACCTTACTTTTGATTAAGTAGTTTGGAAATACTTTTTTTTTTTTTTTTTTTGAGACGGAGTCTCGCTCTGTCGCCCAGGCTGGAGTGCAGTGGCGGGATCTCGGCTCACTTCAAGCTCCGCCTCCCGGGTTCACGCCATTCTCCTGCCTCAGCCTCCCAAGTAGCTGGGACTACAGGCGCCCGCCACTACACCTGGCTAATTTTTTGTATTTTTAGTAGAGACGGGGTTTCACCGTTTTAGCCGGGATGGTCTTGATCTCCTGACCTTGTGATCTGCCAGCCTCGGCCTCCCAAAGTGCTGGGATTACAGGCGTGAGCCACCGCGCCCGGCCGGAAATACTTTTTTTGTCCATGCTGCAAATGGACATGAGAGCTCATTGAGTCCAATGGCAAAAAAGCAAATATCCCAGGATAAAAACCAGAAGGAAGCTATCTGAGAAACCGCTTTGTGATGTATGCATTCATCTCACAGACTTAAACCTTTCTTTTCATTCAGCAGTTTGGAAACAAGGATTTGGTAGAATCTGCAAAGGGATATTTTGGAGCACATTGAGTCCTATAGTGAAAAAGAAAATGTCTTCAGATAAAAACTAGAAAGAAGATTTCTGAGAAACTGCTTTGTGATGTGTGCATTCTTCACACAGAGGTAAACTTTTCTTTTGATTCAGCAGTTTGGAAACACTGTTTTTGTCCATTCTGTGAACTGACATTTTGGAGCTCATGGAGGCCAATGGTGAAAAAGAGAATACCCCAGGATAAAAACTAGAAGGAAGCTACCTGAGAAATCGTTTTGTGATGTGTGCATTCATCTCACAGAGTTAAAGCATTCTGTTAATTCAACAGTTTGTAAACACTGTTTTTGTAGAATCCGCGAAGGGATATTTGGAAGCACATTGAGGACTATTGTGAAAATGAAATTATCTTCAGATAAAAACTAGAAAGAAGCATTGAGAGAAACTGCTTTGTGACTTGTACATTCATTTTACAGAGTTAAAATTTCTTTTCATTCAGCAGTTTGGAAGCACTGTTTTTGTCCATTCTCTGAATGGACTTTTGGGAGGTCATTGAGGCCAATGGCAAAAAAGTGATTACTCCAGGATAAAAACTAGAAGGAAGCTATCTGAGAAATGGCTTAGTGGTGTGTGTATTCAACTCACAAAGTTAAATCTCTCTTTTGATTCAGCAGTTTGGAAACACTGGTTTTGTAGAATCTGCAAAAGGATATTTGGAGCACATTGAGGCCTATAGTGAAAAAGAAAATATATTCAGATAAAAACTAGAAAGAATCTTTCTGAGAAACTGCTTTGTGATGTGTGCATTCATCTTACAGAATTAAACTTTTCTTTTGATTCAGCAGTTTGGAAACACTGTTTTTGTAGAATATGTGAAGGGATATTTGGGAGCTTGTTGGTGCGAATGGTGAAAAAGTGAATATCCCAAGATAAAAACTAGAAGGAAGCTATCTGAGAAACCCCTTTGTAATATATACATTCATCTCATAGACTAAATCTTTTTTTTACTTAGCAGTTTGGAAAGACTGCTTTTGTACAATCTGTGAAGGGACATTTGGAAATGCATTGAGCCCTATAGTGAGAAAGAAAATATCTTCAGGTTAAAAGTTGAAGGAAGCTTTCTGAGAAACTGCTTTGTGATGTGTCCATTCATCTCACAGAGTTAAATCTTTCTTTTAATTCAGCTGTTTGGAAAGACTGTTTTTGTAGAATCTATGAAGGGATATTTGGGAGAGCTTTGAGGCCTATGGTGAAAATAAAATAATCAAATAAAAACTAGAAAGAAGCTTTCTGAGAAACTGCTTTGTGATGTGTCCATTCATCTCACAGAATGAAACCTTTCTTTTGGTTGAAGAGTTTGGAAACACTGTTTTTGTCCATTCTGAGGATGGACATTTGGGAGCTCACTGAGGACAATGGAAAAAAAGGAAATGTCCCAGGATAAAACCTGGAAGGAATCTATCTGAGAAACCACTTTGTGATGTGTGCATTAATCTCTCAGAGATAAACTGCCCTTTTAATTCAGCAGTTTGGGAACACTGTTTTGGGAGAATCTGAAAAGGAGCTTTTGAGAGCACTTTGAGGCCTATGGTGAAAAAGAAAATATCTTCAGATAAAAACTAGAAAGAAACTTTCTGAGAAACTGCTTTGTGATGTGTACATTCATCTCACAGAGTTAAAACTTTCTTTTCATTCAGCATTTTGGGAAGTATGTTTTTGTCCATTCTGCAAAAGGACATTTGGGAGCTCATTCAGACCAATGGCAAAAAAGAAAATATCCCAGGATAAAAACTAGAAGGAAGCTGAGAATCCATTTGTGATGTGCGCATTCATCTCACAGAGTGAAAATTTTCTTTTGATACATCAGTTTGGAAACATGGTTTTTGTAGAACCTGTGAAGGGATATTTGGGAGCACATTGAAGCCTAAGTTAAAAAAGAAAACATATTCAGATAAAAACTAGAAAGAACCATTCTGAGAAACTAGTTTGTGATGCATGCCTTCATCTCACAGTGTTAAACGTTTCTTTTGATTCAACAGTTTGGAAATGCTGTTTTTGTAGAGTTTGTGAAGGGATATTTGGGAGCTCATTGAGGCATCTGGTGAAAAGAAAATATCTTCAGATAAAAACCTGAAAGAAGCTTTGTGATGTATGCATTCATCTCATAGAGTTACACTTTTTTTTCTGATTTAACAGTTTGGAAATGCTGTTTATGTACAATCTGCGAAGGGATAATTTAGAGCACATTGAAGCCAGAGATGAAAAAGAAAATATTTTCAGATAACAACCAGAAAGAAGCTTTCTGATTAACTGCTTTGTGATGTGTGCATTCATCTCACAGAGTTAAACCTTTCTTTTGATTCATCAGTTTTGAAACACTGTTTTTTCCCACTCTGCGAACAGACATTTGGGAGCTATTGAGGCCAATGACGAAAAAGTGAATTTCCCAGGATAAAAAAAAGAAGGAATCTACTGGAGAAACCCCTTCATCATGTTTGCATTCACTTCGTAGAGTGAATCCATTCTTTTGATTCATCAGTTTTTAAATACTGTTTTTGTAGAATATGAGAAGGGATATTTGGAAGCACTTTGAAGCCTATGGTCAAAAAGAAAATATCTTCAGATAAAAACTAGAAAGAATATTTCTGAGAAACTGCTTTGTGATGTATGCATAAATATCACAGAGTTAAACTTTTCATTCAGCAGTTTGGAAAAATTGTTTTTGTCTATTCTCTGAATGGACACATGGGAGGTGATTGAAGCCAAAGGCGAAAAACAAATATCCCAGGAAAAAAACTAGAAGGAAGCTATCTGGCAAACAGCTTTGTCATGTGTGAATTCATCTGGTAGAGTGAAACCTTTATTTTCATTCAGCAGTTTGGAAACACTGTTTTTGTAGGATCAGCAAAGGGATATTTTGGAGTGTATTGGGGCCTATGGTGAAAAAAAAACCTTCAGATAAAAACTAGAAAGAAACTTTCTGAGAAACTTTTTGATGTATGCATTCAACTCACAAAGATAAAACTTTCTAATGATTCAGCACTTTGGAAACACTGTTTTTGTCCATTCTGTGAATAGATATTTGGGAGCTCATTGAGGTCAACTGTGAAAAAGTGAATAACCCAGGTTAGAAATAGATGGAAGCTATCTGAGAAACCCCTTTTTGATGCTCCCATTCGTCTCGTGCATTAAACCATTCTTTTCATTCAGCAGTTTGGAAACACTGTTTTTGTAGAATCTGTGAAGAAATATTTGGGAGCGCATTGAGGCCAATTGTGAAAAAGAACATTACTTCAGATAAAAACTAGAAAGAAGCCTTCTGAGAAACTGCTTAGTGATGTGTGCATTCATCTCACAGTGTTAAACCTTTTTTTTGATTCAGCAGTTTGGAACCACTGTTTTTTCTTCCATTCCGCAAATGGACATTTGGGAGCTCACTGAGACAAGAGTGAAAAAACAAATATTCCAGGATAAAAACTAAAAGGAAGCTATCTGAGAAACTGCTTTGTGATGTGTGCTTTCATCTCACAGACTTAAACGTTTCTTCTCATTCAGCAGTTTTGAAACACTGTTTTTGTAGAATCTGTGAAGGGATATTTTTGGGTGCTTTGAGGCCTATGGTGAAAAAGAAATAATCCTGAGATAAATCTAGAAAGAAGCTTTCTGAGAAACTGTTTTGTGATGTGTGCATTCATCTCACACAGTTCAACCTTCCTTTTTATTCAGAAGTATGGAAAAACTATTTTTGTCCATTCTGCAAATGAACATTTGTGAGCTCATTGAGGCCCATGGCAACAAAGTGAATATCCCAGGAAAAAAAGGAGAAGGAAGGTATCTGAGAAACTGCTTTTGGATGTGTGTATTCATCTCACAAAATTAAACTTTTCTTTTCATTCAGCAGTGTATAAACACTGTTTTTGTAGAATCTGTGAATGGATATTTGGGAGTGCATTGAGGCCTGCGGTGAAAAAGAATATATCTTCAGATACAATCTAGAAAGAAGCTTTCTGAGAAACTTCTTTGTGATGTGTGCATTTTTCTCAGAGAGTTAAACCTTTCTTTTGCTTCAGTAGTTTGGAAACACTGTTTTTGTCCACTCTGCTAATGGACATTTGGGATCTCATTGAGGTCAATGGTGAAAAACGAATATCCCAGGATAAAAACTAGAAGGAAGCTATCTGAGAAACTGCTTTGTGATGTGTGCATTCATCTCACAGATTGAAACCTTTCTCTTCATTCAGCAGTTTGGAAACACTGTTTTTGTAGAATCTAAAAAGAGATATTTAGGAGCGCATTGAGTTAAACCATTCTTTTGATTCAGCAGTTTTGAAACAGTGTTTTTTGCTTTCTGTGAATGGACATTTGGAAGCTCATTGAGGACAGTAGAGAAAAAAGGGAATATTCCAGTTTAAAAACTGGAAGGAAGCTATCTGAGAAACCTCTTTGTGATGTGTGTATTCATCTTGCAAAGATAAATGGTTCTTTTCATTCAGCAGTTTTGAAGCACTGTTTTTTGTAGAATCTGAAAACAGATATTTGGGAGTGCATTGAGGCCTGTGGTGGAAAAGAAAATATTTGGGAGTGCATAGAGGCCTATGGTGAGAATGGAAATATCTCCCAATAAAAACTAAAATGAAGGTTTCTTAGACACTGCTTTGTGATGTGTGCATGCATGTCACAGAGTTAAAACTTTCTTTTGATTGAGCAGTTTGGAAACCCTGTTTTTATAGAATCTGTGATTGGATATTTGGGAGTGCATTGAGGCCTATGGTGAGAATGGAAATATCTCCCGATAAAAACTAAAATGAAGCTTTCTGAGACACTGCTTTGTGATGTGTGCATTCATGTCACAGAGTTAAAGCTTTCTTTTGATTGAGCAGTTTGGAAACCCTGTTTTTATAGAATCTGCAATCAGATATTTGGGAGTGCATTGAGGCCTATGGCAAAAAATGAAATATCTTCAGATAAAAACTAGAAAAAAGCTTTTTTCAGATACTCCTTTTTAATGTATGCGTTCATCTCACAGAGGTAAACCTTACTTTTGATTGAGGAGTTTGGAAACACTGTTTTGGTAGAATCTGGGAAGGGATACTTGGGAATGCATTGAGGTCTATGGTGAGAAAAGAAATATCTCCAGGTTAAAACTAGAAAGAAGCTTTCTGAGAAACTGCTTCATTTGTCTACATTCACCTCATAGAGTTAAATCTTTCTTTTGATTGAGAAGTTTGGAAAAATTCTTTTTGTACAATTTGTGAAGGGATATTAGGAAGCACATTGAGGCCTTTGGGGAAAAAGGAAATATCTTAAGAGAAAAACTAGAAAGAAGCTTTCTGAGAAACTGCTTTGTGATGTGTGCATTCATCTCACAGAGTTAAACGTTTATTTTGATTGAGCAGTTTGGAAATATTGTTTTTGTAGAATCTGCGAAGGGATATTTTGTGAGTGCAATAAGGCCTATGGTAAAAAAGCAAATATCTTCAGAGAAAAAATAGAAAGAAGCTTTCTGAGAAACTGCTGTGTGATGTGTATGTTCATCACACAGAGTAAAAAATGTCTTTTTATTGAGCATTTTGGAAACACTCTTTTTTTAGAATATGTGAAGGGATATTTTGGAGTGCATTTAGGCCTATGATTAAATAGGAAATATCATTACAGAAAAACTAGAAAGAAGCTTTCTGAGAATCTCTTGGTGATGTGTGCATTCATCACACAGAGTTAAACATGTCTTTTGACTGAGCAATTTGGCAACACTGTTTGGAGAATCTGTGAAAGGATAGTTGGGAGTGCATTGAGGTCTATGGTGAAAAAGGAAATACCTTCAGAGAAAAACTAGGAAGATTTCTCAGAAACTGCTTTGTGATGTGTGCATTCATCTCACATATTAAATCTTTTTTTTTTTGATTGGACAGTTTGGAAACATTGTTTTTGTAGAATCCACGAAGTGTTATTAGGGAGAGCATTGAGGCCTATGGTGAAAAACGAAATATCTTAAGATAAATACTAGAAAAAAGATTTCTGACCAACAGTTTGTGATATGTGTATTTGTCTCACAGAGTTAAACCTTTCTTTTGGTTGAGCAGTTTGGAAATATTGTTTTTGTACAATCTGCAAAGGGATATTTGGAAGCACTTTGAAGCCAATGGTGAAAAATGATATATCTTCAGAGAAAAACTACAAAGAAGCTTTCTGAAAAACTACTTTGTGATGTGTAGATTCATCTCACAGAGTTAAACCTTGCTTTTGATTGAGCATTTGGAAACACTGTTTTTGTAGAATCTGCGAAGGGATATTTGGGAGTGCATTGAGGCCTATGGTGAGAAAGGAAATATCTTCAGACAAAAAATAGAAAGAAGATTTCTGAGAAATTGCTTTGTGATGTGTGCATTCATCACACAGAGTTAATCATGTCTTTTGATTGAGTATTTTGGAAACACTCTTTTTGTAGAATCTGTGAACAAATATTTGGGAGCACATGGAGGCCAAAGATGAAAAGGGAAATATCATCAGAGGAAAAACTAGAAAGAAGCTGTCTGAGAAACTACTTGGTGATGTGTGCATTCATCACACAGAGTTAAACATTTCTTTTGATTGAACAGTTTGGAAACTCTCTTTGGCAGGGAATTGAAGCCTAAGGTGTTAGGATATTTGGCAGGGAATTGAGTCTTAAGGTGAAAAAGTAAATACCATCAGATAAAAACTAAAAAGAAGATTTCTGAGAAACTGCTCCATGATTTGTGCATTCATCTCAAAAAGTTAATGTTTCTTTTGATTGAACCATTTGGAAACACTGTTTTTGTAGAATCTGCTAAGGAACATTTAGGAGTTCATTGAGGCCTATGGTGAAAATGGAAATATCTTCAGAGAAAAACTAGAAAGAAGCTTCCTGAGAAACTGCTTTGTGATGTGTGCATTTACTTCACAGAATTAAACCTTACTTTTGATTGAGCAGTTTGGAAACACTGTTTTTGTAGAATGTGTGAAGGGATATTTGGGAGCACTTTGAGGCCTATGGTGAGAAAGGAAATATCTTCAGATAAAAACTAGAAGGAAGCTTTCTGAGAAACTGCTTTGTGATGTGTGCATTTACTTCAGAGAGCTAAACCTTACTTTTTATTGAGCTGTTTGGAAACACTTTTGTAGATGTGTGAAGGGATATTTGGGAGTGCATTGAGGCCTATGGTGAGAAAGGAAATATCTTCAGATAAAAACTAGAAAGAAGCTTTCTGAGAAACTGCTATGTGAAGAGTGCATTCATCTCACAGAGTTACAACTATATTTTGATTAAGCAGTTTGGCAACAGTTTTTTTGTAGAATGTTAGACGGGATATTTGGGATTGCTTTGAGGACTATGATGAAAAGGGAGATATCTTCAGATAAAAACTAAAAAAGAAACATTCTGGGCAACTCTTTTATGATGAGTCCATTCATCTCACAGCGTTAAACCTTTCTTTTCATTGAGCAGTTTGGGGAGAGTGTTTTTGTAGAATCCCAGAAGCGATATTTGAGAGCGCTTTGATGCCTATAGTGAAAAACTTAATATCTTCAGATAAAAACTAGAAAGAAGGTTTCTGGGAAACTGCTTTGTGATGTGTGCATTCATCTCACAGAGTTAAACCTTTCTTTTGATTGAGCATTTTGGAAACACTGTTCTTGTAGAATCTGCAAATGGACATTTGGGAGGGCATTGAGGCTGATTGTGAAAAACAAATTATCTTCAGATAAAAACTAGAAAGAAAATTTTTGGGAAACTGCTTTGTGATGTGTGCATCCATCTCACAGAGTTAAACCATTCTTTTGATTGAGCATTTTGGAAACACTGTTCTTGTAGAATCTGCAAATGGACATTTGGGAGGGCTTTGAGGCCAGTTGTGAAAAACAAATTATCTTCAGATAAAAACTAGAAAGAAAGTTTTTGGGAAACTGCTTTGTGATGTGTGCATTCATCTCACAGTTAAACCATTCTTTTGATTGAGCAGCTTGGAAACACTGCTTTAGTAGAATCTGTGAAGGGATATATGGGAGTGCTTTGAGGTTTATGGTGAAAAAGGAAATATCTTCAGATAAAAACTAGAAAGAAGCATTCTCAGAAACTGCTTTGTGATGTGTGCATTCTTCCCACAGAGATAAAACTTTCTTTTGATTGAGAAGTCTGGAAACACTGTCTTGGTAGAATCTACGAAGGGATATATAGGAGCACCTGGAGGCCTATGATGAAAAAGGAAATATCTTCAGAGAAAAACTAGAAAGAAGCTTTCTGAGAAACTGCTCTGTGATGTGGGCATTCATCTCACAGAGGTAAACCTTTCTTTTGATTGAGCAGTTTGAAAACATTGTTTTGGTAGAATCTGGGAAGGGATATTTGGGATCGCATAGAGGCCTATTTGTCTATGGGTCACATGGAGTCTAAACAGCATGTTTATTTCTGCTATATTAAACTCCTGTTAAAACAGGGTGGTGTCTGAGTAACCACGGAAAATACGGCCACTCTAATCAACATGGTGGAAAAACATTGTCCTTGGTTTCCTGAAAAAGGAAACTTAGATGTAGAAGTATGGGATCCTGTTGCTGCAACATTCTGTGAACTGGTCTCCACAGGGAATTATGTTCCTGTCACTGTTTGGGGTGATTGGGCCTTGGCACATGCCATCCTGATGACATACCAATCCTGTGACCCTCTACAGTTACCACAATTTTATGAATCTGATGACACTCCACCTCTTCCTCAACCTTCCTCTCCTGCACAGCCTTCGTTATCTGATCACCCTCTCCCTTCAGCTACTCCTTCCCCCAACTGTCGATGTTGAGAATTCAATGTCTAATTCCAGTGACTTTGGATTACAGTCACCCCCTGATGATCTTATTTCTTTCCATGAAGAGCTGGTGCTTGTAGCTCCTGTGGCCCCGATTCACACAGCCCAGGACCATATACATGCTAATTCTTTTCTTTTCAAACCTACAGAGTCACCTAATCGCTCTGGGACCAAACTACCATTTACCTATAATTCTTTAGGCCCTCCCCCATCCACTTCAGGCCCTCACTCTCCTGTCATTTCAGTTCCTCAACTGGTCACCTTGCCATCCACTCAGCCTGCTTCTCTTTATCCTTCTTCACATATGGATGCCCGTAATCACCAGTATACTTCTGCTCCTTCTGCTCCCCTAATGCCCCTTTCTCACACTCTCATTCTGGTCCGACCCCCTCACCCTCAGTTTCCCTGATCTACACATGTTTTTCCTGTCACTTCTATGCCGACTCCATCTCAGATGCCTACTCTGGAAACTTCAATGCAATGCTTATTATGCCAAAACAAAGAAACAAATATATTAGATATGTGGACTTATCTGGTCGTGTTAGACCCTCCTACCTTCTAAGGGGTACAAATGCATCGTTATGTACCTCTTAATCTTACCTTTTTAAAAGAATTTAAGGATGCTTGTACTCAGTATGGTCCTACTTCTCCTTATGTTAAAATGGTATTACAAACTTTTTGTATTGAGGTCATTTTGCTTCCTTTAGACTGGGACATTTTGTCAAAAGCTGTTTTAACCCCATCTCAGCATTTACAATTTCGTATCTGGTGGTCAGAAGAGGCCCATTGGCAGGCTCAGCTAAATCAGACTAATAGCATTCTAATTACTCACGCTCAGCTCACAGGCTCCAATAGTTTCTCCGATGCTCATGCCCAATTAAACTTTGATGTTCTTACCACAGAAAAAGTAACAAAGGTGTGTATGATATCTTTGGATACATTATGCACTTCAGGCCAAGCTCCTGTTTCTTTTACCACAGTTAAACAAGGTAACTCTGAATTATACACTGATTTTTTAGCAAAATTAGAAGATGCTGTTCAAAATTATTTCTCTGATGAGCATGCTCAAGGTATTCTCCTTTGTATGTTAGATTTTGAAAATGCAAACCATGAGTGTAAAATGGCCATGTGTTCTGTCCAATGACAAAATTTACCTGATCACGAGGTGTTGCCTGTATATATTAAAGGTAGTGAAGACACTGGATCAGACACCCACAAAGCTATTCTCTGGGCATGGGCCATGGTGGACACCAACTAAACTGGTCCCACTAATTATTTTCTTGGAGTCTGCTATAATTGTGGTTAACTTGGTCATACTCAAAAAAATTGCACTGTTTAAAGCCTCCAAGCTGGATCAACAAACACAGCCAAATGCTGCTGCTACTGTTTGCCCACGTTGTCGCAAAGGTAAACATTGGGCAAGTAATTGCCACTCTAAGTATGATATAGATGGAAACCTCCTGCCAAAACACCAGGGAAATGGGGACTGGGGCCAATTCTAGGCCCTAATATCAAATGGGATACTTCAGACTCAGATCAATGTTGGGTTTCCACTTCAGGCAGTCTCAACACAGCCCCCATTACAAACAAATTTACCTACAGCCAACCCAAATTAGTCCAAGCCTCTCCTTCTCTCTCAGTACAATGCTTGTCCACCTCCACAGTAGGGGGTGGGGCAGTCGATCTCTCTAGTACTATTCCTTTAAATTTACTACCTAACTCTTTGCCTTTAATTGTTCCCACGGGGGTCACTGGCCCTTTATCTCGAGGTTTGGTAGGCCTGGTGTTAGATAGGGCATCCACCTCTGGTAAAGGAATGACCATTCGTAATGGTCTCATTAATTCTGATTCCATTGATGAGATTAAATTAATCATGTCTGCCAAGGTTCCTGTTTCCATTCTGGCTGGTGAGTCAATTGCTCAATTGCTTTTACTACCTAATATCGTTTTAAACAAAGGAGGTAAGACACATGGCCCTGGAATTGGCTCTTCTGGTGAAAAGCCTGATATTGGATTATTATAATTTCTAAACAATGGCTCACCTGCACAATACACATTCAAGGAAATAAGTTTAAGGGACTAGTAGATACTGGGGCTGATGTTTCTGTTATTTCCTCTACTTTACAGCCTTCCTCCTGGCTTAAACATCCTGCCAACATGGCACTAGTAGGTGTTGGAAATGCCAAGGAAGCTTATGAGAGCACATTTATCTTGCCTTGCACTGGCCCTGATTGTCAAAAGGGTACAATTCGGCTTTTTATCACACCAATCCCCATTAATCTTTGGGGTAGAGATTTACTGGCACATTGGGGGGCTGAAATTAATATTCCACATGACTCTTATAGTGCTTCCAGTCAGCATATGATGGAAAACATGGGATTTGTTCCTGGACTTGGTCTCAGTCCAAAACGTGAAGGGATTACTAAACCCCTCCCAGTTACTGTAAAAGAAAACAGGGCTGGTTTAGGTTATCCCTATTTATGGTGGCCGCTGTCACACCTCCTGATCCTATCTCTTTACAATGGAAATCTGACACACCCCTTTGGATTCAACAGTGGCTGCTTTCTAAAAAATAACTGGAGGCTTTATCTCACTTGGTTTCTGAACAGTTACAACTTGGAAATGTGGAACTTTCTCTTTCCTCCTGGAATTCTCCTGTGTTTCTAGTAAAAACGACATCAGGCAAGTGGCTGATGGTAACCAATTTAAGAGTCATTAGCTCTGCAATTAAATCTATGGTGGCAATCCAACCTGGCATGCCTGCCCCTGATTTAATACCTTTAATAATTAGAACAGCTTTTGCCAAAAGGTCCCAGTCTAAAGGAAACAAAATGACCTCAGTACAAAAAGTTTGTAATACCATTTTAACATAAGGAGAAGTAGGACCATACTGAGTACAATTTACCTATAATTCTTCAGGCCCTCCCCCGTCCATTTCAGCCCCTCATCCTCCTGTCATTTCGGTTCCTCAACTGGTCACTTTGCCATCCACTCAGCCTGCTTTTCTTTACCCTTCTTCACATATGGACACCCATAATCACCAGTATATTTCTGCTCCTTCTGCTCCCCCAATGCCCCTTTCTCACACTCTCATTCTGGTCCGACCCCCTCACCCTCAGTTTCCCTATCTACACATGCTTTTCCTGTCACTTCTCTGCTGACTCCATCTCAAATGCCTACTCTGGAAACTTCAATGCAACGCTTATTACACCAAAACAAAGAAACAAGTAAATTAGATGTGTGGACTTATCTGGTCACTCTAATAATTCCTCAGGGAATACTAAATAGCCCTACAATCTGCCCATTTTATGTTGGGCAAGTTCTTTCACCAGTTCAAGCCCAATTTTCCCAGGCCTATATTCTTCATTATATTGATGATATTTTAATTGCTGCCCACACTGATAAAGAATTAATTGACTATTTTCAAAGTTTGAGCCACCATGTTACAGAGGCTGGATTACACATCACTCAGGATAAAATTCAACAGACCACTTCTGTTCAATATTTAGGAATAGTGGTCAAAAGACAACATATTCAACCTTAAAAAGTTGAAATTAGGAGAGACTCTTTGAAAACTTTAAATGACTTCCAAAAAGTTTTGGGTAACATTAATTATGTAAGACCTACTTTAGGCATTACAACCTATGCACTGTCTAAATTGTTTTCTATGCTGCAGGGAAAGTCCAATCTCTGCAGTCTCAGAACTTTGACCCCTGAGGCTTCACCAGAACTGGAATTCGTAGAGGAAAGAATCCAAACCACTCAGTTATCTAGAGTACAGCCATTTCAGCCTTTTCAGGTTCTGGTTTTTGCTTCATTACACTCTCCTACTGTACTAATAGTTCAACATAATGATTTAGTGGAGTGGTATTTTCTTCCTCATTCTGTGTCAAAAACTTTCTCTGTTTATCTAGATCAAATGGCCACTCTAATTGGACAGGCACTGTGTAGAATACTTAAAATTTCTGGATTTGATCCAAATTTAATTGTAGTTCCTTTAAATCGGCTCGAAGTTCAGGCCACCTTTCAACATTCTGTACCGTGGCAAATTCACTTGGCTGATTTTATTGCCATTATTGACAATCATTACCAGAAGAACAAATTGTTTGATTTTATAAAAATGACATCTTGGGTGGTCCATTGATTAACCAAAGATCAGCCCTTTCCTGAGGCCTTTACACTGTGCAGTGATGGCTCCAGTAATGGCAATGCTGATTATGTAGGTCCTACAGACAAGCTTATTTGTACCCCTTACACCTCTGATCAAAAGGCAGAGTTAATTACTGTCATTACTGCCTTGAAGGATTTCCCCAAACTGGGAAATCTTCTTTCAATAGCAAATAGGAGAAATATCTTTTTGCCTTGTGACATTTCCCCAAACCTTTAAATATTGTCTCTGTATCTTCATGTGATCTCTGTGACCCACACCCTATTAGTACACTCCCTCCCCTTTTGAAAATCACTAATAAAAACTTGGTGGTTTTGTGGCTTGCACGGCATCAAGGAACCTGCCGAAATGTGATAACTCCCCCAGATACCCAGCTTTATAATTTCTCTCTTTTGTACTCTTTCCCTTTATTTCTCAGACTGGCTGACACTTAGGGAAATAGAAAAGAACCTACATGAAATAAAGTTGAATTATCAAGGACGGGTTCCCCGATAATTTTCATTCATCAGTTTGGAAACACTGTTTTTGTAGGATCTGTGAAGGGATATTTGGCAGCACATTAAGGCCTATGTTGAAAAAGAAAATATCTTCATACAAAAACTAGAAAGAAGCTTTCTTAGAAACTGCTTTTTGATGTGTGCATTCATCCCACAGTGTTAAACCTTTCTTTTGATTCAGTAATTTGAAAAAACTGCTTTTGTGGATTCTGCAAATGGACATCTGGGATTTCATTGAGGGCAATGGTGAAAAAGTGAATATATCAGGAGAAAAACTAGAAGGAAGCTGTCTGAGAAATTGCTTTGTGATGAGTGCATTCATCTTGAAGAGTTAAACCATTCTTTTCATTCAGTAGTTGGGAAACACTGTTTTTTTAGAATCAGTGAAGGAATATTTGGGAGCGCATTGAGGCCTACAGTGAAAAAATCTTCAGATAAAAACTAGAAAGAAGAGATCTGAAAAACTGCTTTGTTATGTGTCCATTTATTTAACAGAGTGAAACCTTTCTTTTGATTCAGCAGTTTGGTAACACTGTTTTTGGCGATTCTGCGAATGGACATTTAGGAACTCATTGAGGCCAATGATGGAAAAGTGAATATCCCAGAATAAAAACCAGAAGGAAACTATCTGAGAAACCACTTTGTGATATGTGCATTCATTTTGCAGAGTGCAACCATTCTTTTCATTAAGTGGTTTGGAAACACTGTTTTTGTAGGGTCTGCGAAGGGATATTTGGGAACGCATTGAGGCCCATGGCAAACAGAAGATATCTTCAGATAAAAAGTTGAATGGAACTTTCAGAGAAACTGTTTGTGATGTGTACATTCATCTCACAGAGTTAAACCTTTCTTTTGATTCAGCAGTTTGGAACCACTGCTTTGGTCCATTCTGCAAGTGGACATTTGGGAGCTCATTGAGGCCAATGACAAAAAAGTGAATATCTCAGGAGAAAAACTAGAAGGAAGCTATCTGAGAAACCACTTTGTGATGTGTGCATTCATCTCACAGAATTAAAGGCTTCTTTTAATTCGGCAGTTTGCAGACACTGTTTTTATAGGATTTGTGAAGTGATATTTTAGAATGCATAGAGGCCTATGGTGAAAAGGAAAATATCTTCAGATACAAAATAGAAAGAATCTTTCTGAGAAACTGCTTTATGATGTGTGCATTCATCTCACAGAGATAAACTTTCTTTTCATTCAGCAGATTGGAAACGCTGCTTTTGTAGAATCTGCAAACTGATATTTGGGAGCTCATTGAGGCCTATGCTGAAAAAGAATCTATCTTCATATAAAAGCTAGAAAGAAGCTTTCTGAGAAAGGGTTTGTGATGTGTGCATTCATCACACAGAGTTTAACATTTGTTTTGATTCAGGAATTTGGAAACACTGTTTTTCTCCATTCTGCAAACAGACATTTGGGAGCTCATTGACGACAATGGCAAAAAAGTGAATATCCCAGGATAAAAACAAGAAGAAGCTATCTGAAAAACCGCCTTGTGATGTATACATTCATCTCACAGAATTAAGCATTTCTATTCATTCAGCAGTTTGGAAAAACTGCTTTTGTAGAATCTGTGATGGGATATTTGGGAGTGTTTGAGATCTATGGTGAAAAAGAAAATATCTTCATAAAAAACTAGAAAGAATCTTTTGGAGAAGATTGCCACATGTGCATTCATCTCACATAGTTAAAACTTTCCTTTGATTCAGAGTTTTGGAAACACTGTTTTTGTAGAATCTGTGAAGGGATATTTGGGAGTGCATTGAGGTCTATGTTGAAAATGAATATATCTTCAGATAAAAACTAGCAGGAAGCATTCTTTAAACTGTTTTGTGATGTGTGCTTTCATCTCTCATAGTTAATCCTTTCTTTCTATTTAGCAGTTTGGATAAACTGTTTTTGTCCATTCTGCGAATGCACATTTGTGAGCTCATTGAGGCCAGTGGTGAAAAAGTGAATATCCCAGCATAAAAACTAGAAGGAAGCTATCTGAGAAACCTCTTTGTGACGTGTGTATTCGTCTCACAGATATAAACCTGCTTTTTCATTCGGCATTTTGGAAACACTGTTTTTGTAGAACCTGCAAAGGGATATTTGAGAATGCATTGTCTATGGTGAAAAAGAAAATGTCTTCAGATAAAAACTGAAAATGTTTCTGAGAAACTGCTTTGTGATGTGTGCCTTCATCTCACAGAGTAACCATTTCTTTTAATTCAGCAGTTTGGAAAAACTGTTTTTGTCCATTCTGTGAATGGACATTTGGGAGCACATTGAGACCAATGGAGAAAAAGTGAATATTCCAGGATAAAGACTAGAAGGAAGCTATCTGAAAAATCACTTTGTCATGTGTGCATTCATCTCACAGAGATAAACCATTCTTTTCATTAAGCAGCTTGGAATATCCATTTTTGTAGAATCAGCAAAGGGATAGTTGGGAGGCCATTTATGCCAAAAGTGAGAAAGCGAATATCCCAAGATAACTTTTAGATGGAAGCTGTCTGAGAAACCCCCTTGTAATATGTGCATTCATTTCACAAGGTTAAACTTTTCTTTTCGTTCAGCAGTTTGGAAACACTGTTTTCATAGAAGCTGCGAAGGGGTATTTTGAATTGCATTGAGGCCTAGGGTGAAAAAGAAAATATCTTGAGAGAAAAACTAGAAAGATGCTTTCTGAGAAACTGTCTTGTGAGGTCTCCATTTATCTAACAGAATGAAAGCTGTCATTTGATTCAGCAGTTTGGAAACTCTGTTTTTGTCCATTTTCCGAATGGACATTTGGGAGCTCATTGAAGACAATGGCGAAAAAGCAAGTATCCCTGGATGAAAACTAGAACAAAGCTATCTGAGAAATTGCTTTGAGATGTTTGCATTCAGGTAGCAGAGTGAAATATTACTTTTCAATCAGCAGTTTGGAAACACTATTTGGGAGCGAATTGAGGCCTGTGGTGAAAAAGAAATTATTTTCAGATAAATACGGAAAAGAAGCTTTCTTGGAAACTGCTTTGTGATGTGTGCTTTCATCTCACACAGTTAATCCTTTCTTTTCATTCAGCAGTTTGGGAACACTGTTTTTGTAGAATCTGTGAAGGGATATTTGGGAGCAACTTGAGGCCTATGGGAAAAACAAAATATCTTCAGATATGAACTAGAAAGAAGATTTCTGAGAAACTGCTTTGTGATGTGTGCATTCATCCCACAGAGTTAAACTTTTGTTTTCATTCAGCAGCTTGGAAACACTGTTTTTGTCCATTTTGTGAATGGATGTTTTGGAGCTCATTGAGGTCAATGGCAAAAAAGCAAGTATGCCAGGATAAAAACTACAAGGAAGCAATCTGAGAAACTGCTTTGTGATGTGTGCATTCATCTCACATAGTTAAACTTTTCTTTTTATTCAGAAATTTGGAATCACTGTTTTTGTAGAATCTGCAAAGGGATATTTGGGAGTACATTGAGGCCTATAGTGAAAAATAAAATATCTTCAGAGAAAAACAAGAAAGAAACTTTCTGAGAAACTACTTTCAGGTGTGTACATTCATCTCACAGAGTTAAAACTTTTATTTGATTGAGCAGTTTGGAAACACTGTTTTGGAAGTATTGCAAAGGTTTATTTGGGAGCCAATTGAAGCCTATAGTGAAAAATGAAGTACCTTTAAATAAAAACTAGAAAAAAGCTTTCTCAGAAACTGCTTTGTGATGTGAGCACTCTTCTCACAGTGTTAAACCTTTCTTTTGATTGAGCAGTTTGGAGACACTGTTTTGGTGGAATCTGCGAAGGGATATTTGGAAGCACTTTGAGGCCTATGATGAAAAAAGGAAATATCTACAGATAAAAACTAGAAAGAAGCTTTCTGGGAAACTTATTTGCCATGTGTGCATTCATCTTACAGAGTTAAACCTTTCTTTTGATTGAGCAATTTGGAAACACTGTTTTTGTAGAATCTGCTGAGGGATATTTGGGAGCGCTTTGAGGGCAATGGTGAAAAAGGAAATATCTTCAGATAAAAACTAGAAAGAAGCTTTCTCAGAAATCGTTTTGTAGGGTGTGCATTCTTCTCACAGAGTTAAACGTTTGTGTTGATTGAGCAGTTTGGAAATACTGTTCTTGTAGAATCTGCGATGGGATATATGGGAGCACATTGTGGCCTATGTTGAAAAATGAAATATCTTCAGAGAAAAACTAGAAAGAAACCTTCTGAGAAACAGCATTGTTATGTGTTTATTTTTCTAACAGATTTAAACTTTTCTATTGATTGAGCAGTCTGGAAACACTGTTTTTTTTAGAACCTAAGCAGGGATATATGGGAGAGCATTGAGGCCTATGGTGAAAAAGTAAATATCTTCTGAGAAAAACTGAAAAGAAGCTATCTGAGAAATGGCTTTTTGATGTGTGCATTCATCTCACAGAGTTAAATCTTTCTTTTGATTGAGCAGTTTGGAAACACTGTTTTGGTAGAATCTGCGAAGGGAAATTTGGGAGCACTTTCAGGCCTATGGTGAAAAAGGAAATATCTTCAGATAAAAAGTAGAAAGAAGCTTTCTGATAAACTGCTGTGTGTAGAATACATTCACCTCACAGAGTTAAACTTTTGTTTTGATTGGGCAGTTTGGCAGCAGTATTTTTGTAGAATCTCAGAAGAGATATTTTGTAGCACTTTGAGGCCTAAGGTGAAAAATGAAATATCCTCAGATTAAAACTAGAAAGAAGCTTTCTGAGGAAACTGCTTTGTGATGTGTGTATTAATCTCACAGAGTTAAGCCTTTCTTTTGAGTGAGCAGTGTGGAAACCTTCTTTTGGTAGAATCAGGAAAGAGATACTTGGGAGCGCATTTAGGCATATGATGAAAAAGAAAATATCTTTAGATAAAAACCAGAAAGAAGGTGTCTCGGCAACTGCTTTGTGATGCAAACATTCCTCCACAGAGTTACACCTTGCTTTTCATTGAGCAATTTGGTGACACTGTTTTGGAAGTAACTGCGTAGGGATATTTTGGAGTGCACTGAGGCCTATGGTGAAAAAGGAAATATCTTCAGATAAAAATTTGAAAGAAGCTTTCTCAGAAACTGCTCGGTGATGTGTGCATTCTTCTCAAAGAGTTAAGCCCTACTTTTGATTGAGCAGTTTGGAAACACTGTTTTGGTAGAATCTGTGAGGGGATATTAGGGAGCGCTTTGAGGCCAATGGTGAAAAAGCAAATATCATCAGAAGAAAACTAGAAAGAAGCATTCTGGGAAACTGCTTTGTGAGGTTTGCATTCATCTCACAGAGATAAACCTTTCTTTTGATTGAGCAGTTTGGAAACACTGTTGTTGTAGAATCTGCAGAGGGTTATTTGGGAGCCCATTTAAGCATATGTTGCAAAAGGAAATATCTTCAGATAAAAACTGGAAATAAGCTTTCTCAGAAACTATTTTGTGATGTGTGCATTCTTCTCACAGAGTTATACCTTCCTTTTGAGTGAGAAGTTTGTAAATACTGTTTTTGTAGTATCTGAAAATGGATATATCAGAGCAGATTGAGGCACAGAGTGAAAAAGGAAATATCTTCACAGAAAACAAGAAAGAAGCTTTCTGAGAAACAACTTCATAATGTGTAAATTCTTCTAACAGGGTTAAAACTTTCTTTTGATGGAGCAGTCTGGAAACACTGTTTTGGTAGAATCCACTGAGGGATATATGGGAGGGCATTGATGCCTATGGTGAAAAAGGAAATATCTTCAGAGAAAAATTAGAATAGAAGCTTTCAGAGAAATTACTTTGTGATGTGTGCATTCATCTCACAGAGTTAAACCTTTCTTTTGATTGAGCAGATTGGAAACAATGTTTTGGTAGAATCAGTGAAGGGATATTTTGGAGTGTATTGAGGCCTATGGTGTAAAAGGAAATATCTTCAGAGAAAAAGTACAGGGAAGCTTTCTGAGAAACTGCTTTGAGATGAGTGCATTCTTCACACAGAGTAAAACCTTTCTTTGATTGGGCCACTTGGCAACAGTGTTTTTGTAGAATCTGAGAAAGGATATTTGGGAGCACTTTCAGGCCCATGGTGAAAAACGAAATATCTTCAGATAAAAACTAGAAAGAAACATTCTGGGAAACTGCCTTGTGGAGTGTGCCTTCATCTCACAGAGTTAACCCTTTCATTTGATTGTGCAGTGTGGAAACACTCTTTTGTTAGAAACTGTGAAGAGATATTTCGGAGCACATTGAGGCCCATAGAGAAAAATGAAATATCTTCAGATAAAAACTAGAAAGAAGCTTTCTCAGAAATTGCTTTGTGATGTGTGCATCCTTCTCACAGCATTAATCGTTTCTTTTGATTGAGCAGATTGGAAACACTGTATGTGTAGTATCTGTGAAGAGATATTTTGGAGCACATTGAGGCCTATGGTGAAAAAGGAAATACCTTCAGATTAAAACTAGAAAGAAGCTTTCTCAGAAACCACTTTGTGATGTATGCATTCTTCTCACAGAGTTAAACATTCCTTTTGATGGAGCAGTTCGGAAATACTGTTTTTGAAGAATCTGAGAAGGGATATTTCGGAGTGCTTTGCAGCCTATGTTGAAAAAGCAAATTTCTTCAGATGAAAAGTAGAAAGAAGCTTTCTGAGAAACTGTCATCTTGGGAATGAGTGCAATCATCTCACAGAGTTAGACCTTTTTATTGATTGAGCAGTTTGGCAACAATCTGCAGTTTTAGGCAATCTGCAGAGGGATATTTGGGATCGCTTTGAGGCCTATGCTGAAAAAGGAAGTGTCTTTAGAAAACAACTAGAAAGAAACTGTCTGAGAAACTGCTTTGTGATGATTGCATTCATCTCCCAGAGTTAAACCTTTCTTTCAATTGAGCCGTTTTGAAACACTGTTTATGTGGAATCTGCGATGGGACATTTTGGAGCGCTTGTGGCCTGTGGTGAAAAAGGAAATATATTCAGATAAAAACTAGAAAGAAGGTTCCTGAGAAACAGTTTTGTGATGACTGCATTCATCTCACAGAGTTAAACTTTCCTTTGATTGGGCTGTTTGGCAACACTGTTTTTGTAGAACCTGAGAAGGGATATTTGGGACGATTTGAGACATATGGTGAAAAAAGAAACATCTTCAGATAAAAAATAGAAAAAAAGATTTCCGGGAAACTGCTTTGCAATATGTACATTCACCTCACAGAGTTAAGCCTTTCTTTTGAATGAGCAGTTGGGAAACACTGGTTTTATAGAATCTCTGAAGGGATATTTGGGAGCACTTTGAAGCCTATGGTGAAAAAGTAATTATCTTCAGAAAAAAACTAAAAAGAAGCTTTCTGAGAAACTGTTTTGTGATGACTACATTTTTCTCAGAGAGTTAAACCTTTCTTTTGATTGAGCAATTTGGAAACAATGTTTTTGTAGAATCTGCAAAGGGATATTTTGGAGCTCTTTCATGCCAATGGTGAAAAAGGAAACATCTTCAGATAAAAAGTAGAAAGAAGTTTTCTGAGAATCTACTTTGAGATGAGTGCATTCATCACACAGAGTTAAATCTTTCTTTGATTGAGCAGTTTGGCAACAGTGTTTTTGTAGAATCTAAGGGATATTTGAGAGCATTTTGAGGCCTATGGTGAAAAACAGAGTAGCTTCAGATAAAAACTAGAAAGAAGCTTTCTGGGAAACTGCTCTGTGATGTGTGCATTCATCTCATAGAATTAAATCCTTCTCTTAATTGAGCAGTGTGGAAACACTTTTTTGTAGAATCTGTGAAGAGACATTTCAGACTGCATTGAGGCCTATGGTGAAAAAGGAAAACTAGAAAGAAGCTTTCTTAGACACAACTTTGTGATATGAACATTCTTCTCACAGCATTAAACTTTTCTTTTGACTGAGCATATTGGAAACACTGTTTTTACAGAATCCACGAAGAGATATTTGGGAGCACATTGAGGCCTAAGGTGAAAAAGGAAATGTCTCAGATACAAACTAGAAAGACGCTTTCTAAGAAACTGTTTATTGATGTGTGCATTCATCTCACAGAGTTAAACCTTTCCTTTGATTGACGAGTTTGGCAACACTGGCTTTATAGAATCTGCGAAGGGATATTTGAGAGTGCTTTGAGGCCTATGGTGAAAAATGAAATATCTTCACAGAAAACTAGAAAGAAGCTTTCAGAGAAACTGCTTTGGAATGAGTGCATTCATCTCACAGAATTAAACCTTTCCTTTCATTGAACAGTTTGGCAACACTGACTTTATAGATTCGGCAAAGGGATGTTTGGGAGCACTTTGAGGCCTATGGTGGAAAAGGAAATATCTTCAGAAAGAAGCTGTCTGAGAAACTGCCTTGTGATGAGAGCATTCATCTCAAAGAGTTAAACCTTTCTTTTGATTGAGCAGTTTGGAAACACTGTGTTGGTAGTATCTGCAAGGGGACATTTTGGAGTGCTTTAAGTCCTATGATGAAAAATGAAATATCTTCAGATATATAATAGAAAGAAGCTTTCTCAGAAACCGTTTTGTGATGTGTCTATTCTTCTCACATAGTTAAACCCTTTTTTTGATTGAGCAGTTTGGAAACACTGTATTGGAAATATCTGTGAAGGGATATTTGGGAGTGCTTTGAGGCCTATGGTGAAAAAGGAAATATCTTCAGATAAAAAATAGGAAGAAACTTTCTGAGAAACTGCTTTGTGATTAATTCATTCATCTCACAGAGTTAAACCTTTCTTTGGATTGAGCAGTTTGGCAACAGTGTTTTTCTAGAATCTAAGAAGGGATATTTTGGGATGCTTTGAGGCTTCTGGTGAATAACGAAATATCTTCAGATAAAAACTAGAAAGAAGCTTTCTGAGAAACTGCTTTGTGATGAGTGCATTCTTTTCATGGAATTAAACCTTTCTTTTGATTGACCAGATTGGAAACATTGTTTTTGTAGAATCTGCAAAGGAATATTTGGGAGCTCTTTTAGGTCAATGGTGAAAAAGGAAATATCTTCAGATAAAAAGTAGAAAGAAGCTTTCTCAGAAACTGCTTTGAGATAAGAGCATTCTTCACCCAGAGTTAAACCTTTCTTTGATTGATCAGTTTGGCAACAGTGTTTTTGTAAAATCTGAGAAGGGATATTTGGGGGCACTTTCAGGCCTATGGTGAAAAACGAAATATCTGCAGATAAAAACTGGAAAGAAACATTCTGTGAAGCTGCTTTGTGAAGTGTGCATTCATCTCACAGAGTTAAACCTTTCTTTTGATTGAGCAGTGTGGAAACATTGTTTTGGTAGAATTTGTGAAAAGATATTTCGGAGCGCATTGAGGCTTAGGGTGAAAAAGGAAATGTCTTCAGATAAAAACTAGAAAGAAGGTTTCTTAGAAAGCACTTTGTGACATGTGCATTCTTCTCACAGTGTTAATCTTTTCTTTTGATTGAGCAGATTGAAAACACTGTATTTGAAGTATCTGTGAAGAGATATTTGGGAGCATATTGAGGCCTATGATGAAAAAGGAAATATCTTCAGATACAAACTAGAAAGAGGCTTTCTCAGAAACATTTTTGTGACGTGTGCATTCATCTCACAGAGTTAAACCTTTCTTTTAATTGAGGAGTGTGGAAATATTTTTGTGTTGAATATGAGAAGAGAAATTTTGGAGTGCTTTTAGGCCTATGGTGAAAAAGGAAATATCTTCAAATGCAAACTAGAAAGTAGCTTTCTGAGAAACTGCTTTGGAATGAGAGCATTCATCTCATAGAGTTAAACATTTCTTTTGACTGAGCAGTTTGGCAACACTGGCTTTATAGTATCTGCAAACGGATATTTTGGAGTGCTTTGAGGTCTAAGGAGAAAAAGGGAATGTCTTCAGAAAAAACTAGAAACAGCTTTTGGAGAAACTGCTTTTTGAAGTGTGCATTAATCACACAGAATGAAACCTTAATTTGATTGAGTAGTTTGGGAAAAGTGTTTTCACAGAATCTGTGAAAGGGTATTTGGGAGAGACTAGGGTGAAAAAGGAACTACATTCACAGAAAAACTAGAAAGAAGCCTTCTGAGAAACTGCTTTGTGATGTGTACATACATCTCACAGAGTTAAACCTCTCTTTTGATTAAGCAGTTTGTCCACAGTGTGTTTTTAGAATCTGAGAAGGGACAGTAGGAGGCACTTTGAGGCCTATGATGAAAAATGGAATATCTTCAGATAAAAAATAGAAAGAAGCTTTCTGAGAAACTCCTTGGAATGAGTCCATTCGTCTCACACAGTTAAACGTTTCTTTTGATTGAGCAGTTTGGCAACACTGGTTTTAAAGAATCTGTGAAGGGATATTTGGGAGCGCTTTGAGGCCTATGGTGAAAAAGAAAATATCTTCAGAAAAAAGTAGAAAGAAACGTTCTCTGAAACTGCTTTGTGATGAGTGCATTGTTTTCACAGAGTTAAACCTTTCTTTTGATTGAGCAGTTTGGAAACACTGTTTTTGTAGAATCTTCGAAGGTACATTTTGGAGCACATTGAGGCCTATGGTGAGAAAGGAAATATCTTCAGAGAAAAACTAGAAAGAAGCTTTCTCAGAAACCGTTTTGTGATGTGTTCATTCTTCTCACAGAGTTAAACTTATCATTTGATTGAGCAGTTTGCAAACACTTTGTATAATATTCAAAGGGACTTTTTGGAGCTCATTGAGGCCTACAGAGAAAAAGGAAGTATTTTCAGAGAAAAAATAGAAGCTTTCTGAGAAACTGCTTTGTGATGTGTGCAATCTTCTAACAGAGATAATCTTTCCTTTTGATTGAGCAGTCTGGAAACACTGCTTTTGTAGAATCTTCAAAGAGACATATGGGAGCGTTTTGAGGCTTACAGCGAAAAAGGAACTATCTTCTTAGAAATATTAGAAAGAAGCTCTCTGAGAAACAGCTTTGTGATGTGTGCATTCATCTCACAGAGTTAAAACTTTCTTTTGATTGAGCAGTTTGGAAACACTGTTTTGGTAGAATGTACGAAGGGATATTTGGGAACCCTTTCAGGCCTATGGTGAAAAAGGCAATTTCTTCTAATAAAAACTAGAAAGAAATTTTCTGAGAAACTGCTTTGTGGTAAGTACATTCATCTCACAGAGTTAAACCTTTCTTTCTTTTGATTGATCAGTTTGGCAACAGTGTTTTTATAGAATCTGTGAAGGGATATTTGGGAGGCCTTTGAGGCCTATGGTGAAAAATGAAATATCTTCAGATAAGAAATAGAAAGAAGCTTTCTGGGAAACTGCATTGTGATGTCTGCATTCATCTCACAGACTTAAACCTTTCTTTTGATGAGCAGTGTGGAAACACGTTTTGATAGAAACTGCAAAGAGATATTTTGGAACACTTTTAGGCCTATTGTGAAAAAGGCAATAACTTCAGAGAAAAACTAGCAAGAAGCTTTCTCAGAAACCGTTGTGTGATGTCTGCATTCAGCTCAGAGTGTTAAACCCTTCCTTTCTTTGAGCAGTTTGGAAACACTATTTAGTTAGAATCTGTGAAGGGATATTTGGAAATGCATTGTGGTATATAGTGAAAAAGGAAATATCTTCGGATAATAACTAGAAGTCAGTTTTTTCTGTAACTGCTTTGTGATAAGTGCATTTATCTCACAGAGTTAAACCTTTCTGTTGACTAAGCACTTTGGAAACACTGTTTTGGTAGAATCTGTGAAGGGATAGTTGGAAGTGCATTGTGGCCTGTGGTGAAAAAGGAAATATCTTCAGATCATAACTATAAAGAAGCTTTCTGGGAAACTGCTTTGTGATGAGTGCATTCATCTCACAGAGTTAAACATTTCTATTCATTGAGAAGTTTGGTAACAGTGTTTTGTAGAATCAGAGAAGGGATATTTAGAAGCACTTTGAGGCATATGGTAAAAAACAAAATATCTAAAGATAGAAACTAGAAATAAGCTTTCTCAGAAATGGTTTTGTGATGTGAGCATTCATCTCACAGGGTTAAACCTTTCTTTGGTTGAGCAGCTTGGAAACACTGTTTTGGTAGGTTCTGTGAAGGGATATTTGGGAGTGCTTCCATGGTTATGGTGAAAAAGAAAATATCATCAGGTAAAAACTAGAAAGAAGCTTTCTGAGAAACTGTTCTGTGATGAGTACACTCTTCACAGAGTTAAACCTTTCTTTTGATTGAGCAGTTTGCCAAAAGTGTTTCTGTGGAATCTGAGAAGGAATATTTTGGAGCCCTTTGAGGCCTATGGTGAAAAATGAAATATCTTCAGATAAAAACTAGAAAGAAGGTTTCTGGGAAACTGCTTTGTGATGTGTGCATTCATCTCAAAGAGTTAAACTTTTCTTTTAATTGAGCAGTGTGGAAACACTGTTTTTGTGGAATCTGTGAGGAGTTATTTTGGAGTGCATTGAGGCCTATGGTGAAAAACGAAGTATCTTCCAAGAAAAACTAGAAAGAAGCTTTCTCAGAAATCGTTTTGTGATGTGTGCATTCTTCTCACAGAGCTAAACTTTTCTTTTGATTGAGCAGATTGGAAAACTTTTTTTTTTTAGAATCTGAGAAGGGTTATATGAGAGTGCATTGAGGCCTACGGTGAAAAAGGAAATATCTTCAGAGTAAAACTAGAAAGAATCTTTCTAACATCCTGCTTTGTGAGATGTGCATTCATCTAACAAAGTTAAAACTTTCTTTTGATTGAGCAGTCTGGAAACACTGTTTTGTGCAATCTTCCAAGGGATATGAGGGAGCACATTGAGGACTATGATGAAAAAGGAAATATCTTCAGATAACAAATCGAAAGAAGCAGTCTGGGAAACTGCTTTGTGATGAGAGCATTCATCTCACTGAGTTAATCCTTTCTTTTGATTGAGCAGTGTGGAAACACTGTTTTTGAAGAATCTACGAAGAGATGTTTGGGGGAACATTGAGGCCTATAGTGAAAAAGGAAATATCCTCAGATAAAAACTAGAAAGAAGCTTTCTCAGAAATGGCTTTATGATGTGTGCATTCTTCTCACAGATTTAAACTTTTCTTTTGATTTAGCAGTTTGGAAACACTGTTTTTGTAGAATCTGAGAAGAGATATTTTGGAGCACTTTGAGGCCTAAGGTGAAAAAGGAAATCTCTTCAGATGAAAATTAGAAAGAAGCTTTCTGAGAAACTGCCTTGGGGTCATTTCATTTATCTAACAGAGTTAAACCATACTTTTGATTGAGCAGTTTGGCAACACTTGTTTTATAGAATCTGCAAAGGATATTTGAGAGTGCATTTAGCCCTATGGTGAAAAAGGAAATATCTTCAGATAAAAACTAGAAAGAAGTTTTCTGGGAAACAGCTTTGTGTTGTGTGCATTCATCTCTCAGAGTTAAAAATTTCTTGTTATTGAGCAGTATTGAAATATTGAAACACTGTTTTGGAAGTATCTGTGAAGGTATATTTTTGAGTGCATTGAGGACTATGGTAAGAAAGGAACTACCTTCAGATAAAAACTAAAAGAAGGTTTCTCAGAAACCACTTTGTGATGTGTGCTCTGTTCTCAAAGAGTTAAACCTTATTTTTGATTGAGCGTTTGAAAACACTGTTTTGGTTGAATGTGTTAAGGGATATTTCGGTGTGCTTTGAGGCCTATGGTGAAAAAGGAAATATCTTCAGATAAAAATTAGAAAGAATCTTTCTAGGAAACTGCTTTGTCATGTGTGCCTTCATTTCACAGAGTTAAACCTTTCTTTTGATCAAGCAGTTTGGAGACCCTGTTTTTGTAAAATCTGCAGAGGTGTATTTGGGAGCAATTTGAGGCCTATGGTGAAAAAGTAAATATCTTCAGATAAAAACCGTTTTGTGATGTGTGCATTCTTCTCACAGAGTTAAATCTTTCTTTTCATTGAGCAGTTTGGAAATACTGTTTATTTTAGATTCTATGAAGAGATGTATGGGAGTACTTTGAGGCCTATGGTGAAGAAGGAAATGTCATCAGAGAAAAACTAGAAAGAAGCTTTCTGAGAAACTACTTTCTGATGTGTGAATTCATCCTGCACAGGTAAATTTTTCTTTTCATTGAGCAGTTTGGAAACACGGTTTTGGTAGAATCTGTGAAGGGATATTTGGAAGCGCATTGTGGCTTATGGTGAAAAAGGAAATATCTTCATATAAAAACTGGAAAGAAGCTTTCCAGGAAACTGCTTTGTGATGAGTGCATTCAACTCACAGAGTTCAACATTTATTTTCATTGAGCAATTTGGGAACAGTGTTTTTGTAGAATCTGAGAAGGGATATGTGGAAGTACTTTGAGGCATATGGTGAAAAATGAAATATCTTCAGATAAAATCTAGAAAGAAGCTTTCTCAGAAACTGCTTTGTGATGTGAGAATTCATCCCACAGTGTTAAACCTTTCCTTTGATTAAGCAGTTTGGAAGCCCTGTTTTGGTAGAATCTGCGAAGGGATATTTTGGAGCACTTTCTGGCCTATGGTGAAAAAGGAAATATCTTCAGATAAAAACTAGAAAGACACTTTCAGAGAAACTGCTTTGTGATGTGTACACTCCTCTCACACAGCTAAATCATTCTTTTGATTGAGCAGTTTGGCAACAGTGTTTTTATAGAATCTGCAAAGGGATATTTGGGAGTGATTTGAGGCCTATGGTAAAAAACAAAATATTTTCACATAAGAACCAGAAGGAATGTTTCTCAGAAACTGCTTTGTGAGGCATGCATTCATGTCACAGAGTTAAACCTTTCTATTAATTGAGCAGTGTAGAAACACTGGTTTTATAGAATCTGTGAAGAGATATTTGGGAGGGCATTGAGGTCTATGGTGAAAAACGAAGTATCTTCTGAGAAAAATTAGAAAAACGCTTTCTCAGAAACCGCTTTGTGATGTGTGCATTCTTCTAACACAGTTAAACTTTCTTTTGATTGAGCAGATTGGAAACTCAGTTTTTGTAGAATGTGAGAATGTATATATGAGAGCACCTTGAGTCCTAGGGTGAAAAATAAACTATCTTCAGAGTAAAACTAGAGGGAAATTTTCTGACATCCTGCTTTGTGATGTGTGCATTCATCTCACAGAGTTAAAACTTCCTTTTGATTGAGCAGTCTGAAAACACTATTTTTGTACAATCTGGGAAGGGCTATTTGGAAGTGCATTGAGACCTATGGTGAAAAAGGAAGTATCTTCAGATAAAAACTAGAAAGAAGCTTTCTGATAAACTGCTTTGTGAAAAGAAAGCTCAAGCTTTCTTTTGCTTGAGCAGTTTGGAAACAATGTTTTGGCAGGATCTGCAAACAGATATTTGGAATTGCATTGTGGGCTATGGTGAAAAAGGAAATATCTTCAGAGAAAAACTGGAAAGAAACTTTCTGGGAAACTGCTTTGTTATGTGTGCATTCATCTCTCTGTGTTAAAACTTCATTTTTATTGAGCAGCTTTGCAACACTGTTTTTGTAGAATCTGAGAAGGGATATTTTGAGTGCTTTGAGGCCAATGGTGAAAAAGGAAATAACTTCAGACAAATACTAGAAAGAAGCTTTCTCGGAAACTGCTGTGTGATGTGTGCATTCTTCTCACAGAGAGCTTAACCTCGCTTTTGATTGAGCAGTTTGGAAACACAGTTTTTGTAGAATCTGTGAAGAGATATTTGGAAACACCTCAAGGACTATGGTGAAATAGGAAGGAACTTCAGATAAAATTAGGAAGAAGAATTCTGAGAAACTGCTTTGTGAGGTGTACATTCATCAAATACAGTTAGAACTGTCTTTTGATTGAGCAGATTGTAAACACGGTTTTTGTAGAATCTGCAAAGGTGTGTTTGGGAGTGCATTGAGGCCTATGGTGAAAAAGGAAATATCTTCAGATAAAAACTATACAGAAGCTTTCTGAGAATCTGCTTGATGATGAGTGCATTCTTCTTACAGAGTTAAAACTTTCTTTTGATTGAGCAGTTTGACAACACTGTTTTTGTAGAAACTGCAATGGGACATTTGGGAGAGCATTGAGGCTTACGGTGAAAAAGGAAATATCTTCACATAAATACTAGAAAGAAGAATTCTCTGAAACTGCTTTGTGATGAGTGCATTCTTCTCAGAGATTTAAATTATTGTTTTGATTGGGCAGTTTGGAAACACTGTTTGGGTACAATCTGAGAAGGGATATTTGGAGGGCACTGAGGCCTATGGTGAAAAAGGAAATATTTTCAGACAAAAACTAGAAAGAAGCTTTCTGGGAAACTGCTTTGTGATGTGTGAAGTCTTCTCACAGAGTTTAACTTCACTTTTGATTGAGCAGTTTAGAAACACTATTTTTGTAGAATCTATGTAAGCATATATGGGAGCACATTGAGGCCTACATTGAAAAAGGAAATATCTTCAGAGAAAAACTTTAAAGAAACATTCTCAGAAACTGCTTTGTGATGTTGGCAATCATCTCATGGAGTTTAAACATTCTTTTGATTGAGCAGTTGGGAAACAATGTTTTTGTGGAATCTGAGAAGGGTTGTTTGGGAGGGGATAGAGGTCTGTGGTGAAGAAGGAAATATCTTCAGAAAAAAACTAGAAAGAAGCATTCTGGGAAACTGCTTTGTGATGTCTGCATTCATCTCACAGAACTAAACTTTTCTTTTGATTGCACAGTTTGGAAACATTCTTTTGGTAGAATCTGCGAAGGGATATTTGAGAATGCATTGAGGCACACGGTGAAAAAGGAAATATCTTCAGATAAAAATTAGGAAGAAGCTTTCTAAGAGACTGCTTTGTGATGAGTGCATTCATCTCACCAGGTTAAACCTTTCTTTAGATTGAGCAGTTTGGCAACTGTGTTTTTATAGAATCTAAGAAGGGATTTTTGGAATGCTTTGAGGCCTAGGGTGAAAAACAAAACATCTTCAGATAAAAACTAGAAAGAAGCTTTCTGGGAAACTGCTTTGTGATGTGTGCATTCATTTCTCTGTGTTAAAACTTTATTTTGATTCAGTAGTTTTGAAACACTGTTTAGGTAGAATCTGCAAAGGGATATATGGGAGCATATTGAGGTCTATTGTGAAAAAGGAAATACCTTCAGGGAAAAACCAGAAAGAAGCTTTCTGAAAAACGGCTTTGTGATATGTGTATTCATCGCACAAAGGTAAAACTTTCTTTTAATTGAGCAGTTTTGAAACACTCTTTTGGAAGTATCTATGAAGGGATATTTGGGAGTGTATTGAGGCCTATGGTGAAAAAGTAAATATCTTCGGATAAAAAATAGAAAGAAGCATTCTGAGAAACTGCTTTCTGATGAGTGCATTCATCTCATAGTGATAAAACTTTCATTTCATTGAGAAGTTTGGCAACACTGTTTTTGTAGAATCTGCCTAAGGATATTTGGGAGCACTTTGAGGCCTATATTCAAAAATTAAATATCTTCAGAAAAAACTAGAAAGAAGCTTTCTGAGAAACTTCTTTGTGATGAGTGCCTTCTTCTCACAGAGTTAAACCTTTCTTTTGATGGAGGAGTTTGGAAACACTGTTTTTGTAGAATCTGCGAAGGGGTATTTTGGAGTGCATTGGGGCTTATGGTGAAAAAGAAATATCTTCAGATAAATACTAGAAAGAAGCTTTCTCGAAACTGTTTTATGATGTGTGCATTCGACTTACAGTGTTAAAACATTCTGGTGATTGAGCAGTTGGAAAACATTGTTTTGGAAAAATCTGCCAAGGGATATATTTGGGAGCCCATTGAGGCCTATTGTGAAAAAGGAAATATCTTCAGATTAAAACTAGAAATAAGCTTTCTGAGAATCTGTTTTTCTATAAGTGCAATCATCTCACAGAGTGAAACCTTTCTTTTCTTTGAGTGGTTTGGCAAAAGTGTTTTTGTAGAATCTGAGAAGGGATATTTGAGATCACCTTGAGGCCTATGTTGAAAAAGGAAATATCATCAGATAAAAAGTAGAAAGAAGCTTTATGGTAAACTGCTTTGTGATGTGTGCGTTTATCTCACAGAGTTAAACTTTTCTTTTCATTGAGCAGTTTGGAAACACTGTTTTTGTAGAGTCTGTGAAGGGATATTTGGAAGTGCATTTTGGTCTATGGTGAAAAAAGGAAATATCCTCAGATAAAAATAAGAAAGAAGCTTTCTGGGAAACTACTTTGTGATGAGTGCAATTATCTCACAGAGTTAAACCTTTCTTTTCATTGAGCAGTTTGGGAACAGTGTTTTTGTAGAACCTGAGAAGGGAAATTTGGGAGCACTTTGAGGCCTATGTGGAAAATGAAATATCTTCAGATAAAATCAAGAAAGAAGCTTTCTGGGAAACTGCTTTGTGATGTGTGCATTAATCTCACAGAGTTAAACTTTTCTTTTGATTGAGCAGTTTGGAAACATTGTATTGTTAGAATCTGTGAAGGGATATTTTGGAGTGCATTGAGGCCTATGAGAAAATGAAATATCTTCAGATAAGAACTAGAAAGAGGTTTTCTCAGAAACTGCTTTAGAAAGTGTGCATTCTTTTCACTGAGTTAAACCTTTGTTGTGATTGAGCAGCCTGAAAACCCTGTTTTTTTGTAGAATCTACTAAGGGATATATGGGAGTGCATTGAGGCTTATGGTGAAAAAGCAAATATCTTCAGAGAAAAACTAGAAAGAAGCTTTCTGGGAAACTGATTCGTGATGTGTGCATTCATCTCAAAGAGTTAAACCTTTCTTTTGATTTAACAGTTTGACAACAGTGTTTTTGTAGAATATGAGAAGGGATATTTCGGAGTGCTTTGAGGCCAATGGTGAAAAAGGAAATAACTTCAGATGAAAATGAGAAAGAAACTTTCTGAGAAACTGCTTGGAAAGAGTGCATTCATCTCACAGAGTTAAACCCTTCTTTTGATTGAACAGCTTGGCAGCACTGGTTTTATAGAATCTGAGAAAGGATATTTGGGAGTGCTTTGAGACCTATGGTGAAAAAGGAAATATCTTCAGAAAAAGTAGAAAGAAGCTCTTTTACAAACTGTTTTGTGATAAGTGCATTCATCTCAAAGAGTTCAAACTTTCTTTTCATTGAGCAGTTTGGGAACGTTGTTTTTGCAGAATCTGCAAAGGGACATTTGGGAGCACATTTAGGCCTGTGGTGAAAGAGGAAATATCTTCAGATAAATACTAGAAAGAAGCTTTCTCAGAAGTTGTTTTGTGATATGTGCACTCTTCCCACAGAGTTAAATATTTCTTTTGATTTAGCAATTTGGAAACACTGTTTTTGTAGAATCTGTTGCGGGATGTATGGGAGTGCATTGAGGCCTATGGTGAAAAAGGAAATATCTTCAGAGCAAAACTACAAAGAAACTTTCTGAGAAACTGCTTTGTGGTGCATGCTTTCTTCTCACAGAATTTAGACTTTCTTCTGATTGAGCAGCCTGGAAACACTCTTTTTGTGGAATCTTTGAAGGAATATACGAGAGCGCATTTAGCCCTATGGTGAAAAAGGAAATATCTTCAGATAAAAACTGGAAAGAAGCTTTCTTAGAAACTTCTTTGTGATGTTTGCATTCTTCTGACAGAGTTAAACCTTTCTTTTGATTTAACAGTCTGGAAACACTGTTTTGGTAGAATCTGTGAAGGGATATTTGGGATCGCTTTGAGGCCTATGGTGAAAAAGGAAATATCCTCAGAGAAAAACTAGAAAGAAGCTTTCTGGGAAACTGTGATGTGTGCAGTCATCACATAGAGTTAAACATTTCTTTTGATTGAACAGTTTAGAAAAACTATTTTGGTAGAATCTACAAAGGAATATATGGGAGCACAGTGAGATCTATGGTGAAAAAGGAAATATCTTCAGATGAAAACTGGAAGAAGCTTTCTGTAAAGTGCTTTCTGATGTGTGCATTCATCACACAGAGTTGAACCTTTCTTTTGATTGAGCAGTTTGGAAACACTGTTCTTGTAGAATATGTGAAGGGATATTTTGGAATGCTATGAGGCCTACAGTGAAAAAGGAAATATCTACAGATAAAAAGTAGAAAGAAGCTTATCGAGAAACTGTTTTGTGATGGGTGCATTCATGTCACAGAATTAAACCTTTCTTTTGACAGAGCAGTCTGGAAACACTGTTTTTGTAGAAACCACAAAGAGATATATGGGAGTACTTAGAGGAGAATGGTGAAAAAGGAAATATCTTCAGAAAAAACTAGAAAGAAACTTTCTGAGAAACCACTTTTTTATGAGTATATTCATGTCACAGAGCTAAACCTTTCTTTTGATTGAGCAGTTTGGAAACACTATTTTTGTAGAAACTGTGAAGGGATACTTGGCAGTGCATGGAGGCCTATGGTGAAAAATGAAATATCATCAGATAAACACTAGAAAGAAGCTTTCTCAGAAACCGTTTTGTGATGTGTGCACTCTTTTCACAGAGCTAAACTTTCCTTTTGATTGAGCAGTATGGAAACACTGTTTTTCTAAAATATGCAAAGGGATATTTGGGAGCACATTGTGGCCTAAGATGAAAAAGGAAACACCTTCAGAAAAAACATTGAAAGAAGTTTTCTCAGAAACTGCTTTGTGATGTGTGCATTCTCCTCACAGAGTTAAAACTTGCTTTTACTGAGCAGTTTGGAAACATTGTTTTGATAGAATCTGTGAAGGGACACTTTGAAGTACATTGTGGCCTATCGTGAAAAAGGAAATATCTTCAGATAAAAAGTAGAAAGAAACCTTCTAGGAAATTGCTTTATGATGGGTGCATTCATCTCACAGAGTTAAACCTTTCTTTTCACTGAGCAGTTTGGGTACCGTATTTTTGTAGTATCTGGAAAGGGATATTTGCGAGTGCTTTGAGGCCTATGGTGAAAAATGAAATATCTTCAGATAAAATCTAGAAAGAAACCTTCTGGGAAACTGCTTCATGAAAAGTGCATTCATCCAATAGAGTTAAACCTTTCTTTTGATTGAGGAGTTTGGAAACACTGCTTTGGTAGAATCTGCAAAGGGATATTTGGGAGTGCATTTAGGCCTATGGTGTAAAAGAAAATATCTTCAGACAAAAACCAGGAAGAAGCATTCTCAGAAACAGCTTTGAGATGTTTTCATTCTTCTCACAGAGTTAAACCCTTCTTATTATTGAGCTGTTTGCAAACACTGTTTTTGCAGAATCTCAGAAGGGTTATTTAGAAATGCTTTGAGGCCTATGGTGGAAAAGGAAATATCTGCAGAAAAAAACTAAAAAGAAGCTTTCTCAGAAACCGCTTTGTGTTGTGTGCATTCTTCTAACAGAGTTAAAGCTTTCTTACGATTGAACAGTTTGGAAACACTGTTTTTGTAGAATCTCTGAAGGGATACATATGGGAGTGCATTGAGGTCTATTGTGAAAACAGAAATATCTTCAAGGAAAACTAGGAAGAAGCTTTCTGAACAACTGTTTGTGATGTATGCATTCATCTCTCAAAGTTAAACCTTTCTTTTGATTGAAAAGTTTGGAGACACTGTTTTGGTAGAATCTACGAAGGGATCTTTGGGAGTTTCTCAGAAACAAAAAAGAAGGTTTCTGAGAAACTGCTTTGTGGTGACTGCATTAATCTCACAGGGTTAAACCTTGCTTTTGATTGATCAGCTTGGCAATGGTGTTTTTGTAGAATCTGTGAAGGGATATATGGGATCACTTTGAGAGACCTGTGGTGAAAAATGAAATATCTGCAGATAAAAACTAGAAAGAAGCTTTCTGGGAAATTGCTTTTTGATGTGTGCATTCTTCTCACAGAGTTAAAACTTCCTTTTGCTTGAGCAGTTTTGTAACACTGTTTATGTGAAATCTGCAAAGGGAAATTTGGGAGTGCATTGAGGCTTATTTTGAAAAAGGAAATACCTTCAGATAAACACTAGAAAGAAGCTTTCTCAGAAACCACTTTGTGATGTGTGCATTCTTCTCAGAGTTATACCTTTCTTTTGATTGAGCCGTTTTGAAACACTGTTTATGTGAAATCTGCAAACGGAAATTTGGGAGAGCATTGAGGCTTATTTCGGAAAAGGAAATATCTTCAGATAAATACTAGAAAGAAGTGTTCTCAGAAGCTGCATGGCAATGTGTGCATTCTTATCAGAGCATTAAACCTTTCTTTTGATTGAGCAGTTTGGAAACACTTTTTTTGTAGAATCTGCGAAGGGATATTTGGCAGTCCATTGAGGACTAAGGTGAAAAAGGAAGTATCTTCAGATAAAAACTAAAAAGAAGCTTTCTGAGAAGCTGCTGTGTGATGAGTGTATTCATCTCACAGATTTTTACCTTTCTTTTGACTGAGCAGTTTGGAGACCCTGTTTTTGTAAAATCTACAAAGGGCTATATGAGGCTGCATTGAGGCTTATTGTGTAAAAGGAAACATCTTCAGATAAAAACTAGAAAGGAGCATTTTGGGAAACAATTTTGTGATGTGTGCATTCATCTGACAGAGTTGAAACTTTCTTTTGATTGAGCAGTTTTGAAACACTCTTTTTGTAGAATCTGCAAGTGGATATTTGGAGCGCTTTGCAGCCTATGGTGGAAAAGCAAATATCTTCACATAAAAAGTAGACAGAAGCATTCTGAGAAACTTCTTTTTGATGTGTTCATTCTTCTCACAGAGTTAAACCTTTCTTTGGATTGAGCAGTCTGGAAACACTGTTTTTAAAGAATCTATGAAGTGATATATGGGAGCACATTGAGGCCTAGGGTGAAAAAAGGAATATATTCAGAGAAAAATTAGGCAGAATTATTCTGAAAAACTGCTTTGTGATATGTACATTCTTCTCAAAGAGATAAACCTTTCTTTTTTTGAGCAGTCTGGAAACACTGTTTTTGTAGAATCTGTGAAGGGATATTTAGGATCACATTGAGGCCTATGCTGACAAAGGAAATAGCCTCAGATAAAAATAGAAAGTAGCCCTCTCAGAAACCGGTTAGTGACGTTTTGCATTCCTCTCACAGAGTTAAACCTTCTTTTTTATTGAGCAGTTTGGAAACAGAGTTTTTGTAGAATATGCCAAGAGATATTTGGGAGAGCATTGAAGCCTATGGTGACAAGGGAAATATCTTCAGATAAAAACTAGAAAGACAGTTTCTGAGAAACTGCTCTGTGATCTGTGCATTTTTCTCATAGAGTTAAACTTTCTTTAGATTGAGCAGTCTGGAAACACTGTTTTTGTAGAATATGTGAAAGGATATATGGGTGTGCATTGAGGCCTATGGTGAAAAAGGGAATACCTTCAGAGAAAAACTATAGAGAAGCTTTCTGAGAAACAGCTTTGTCATGTGTGCACTCATCTCACAGAGTTAAATCTTTCTTTTAATTGAGCAGTTTGGAAACCCTGTTTTGGTAGAAACTGCGAAAGGATATTTGGGAGTGCATTGAGGCCTGTGGTGAAAAAGGAAATATCTTCAGATAAAAACTACAAAGAAGCTTCCTCAGAAACTGCTTTCTGATGTGCTGATTCCTCTAACAGAGTTAAACCTTCCTTTTGAGTGAGCAGTCCGGAAACACTGTTTAATAGAATCTATGAAGTGATATATAGGAGCACATTGAGGCCTATGGTGAATAAGAAAATATCTTCAGAGAAAAACTAGAAAGAAGCTTTCTGAGAAACTGTTTTGTGATGAGGGCATTCGTCTCACAGAGGTAAACATTTCTTTTCATTCAGAAATTTGGAAACAATGTTTCTGTAGAATCTGCCAAGGGATATTTGGGAGTGGAGTGAGGCCTATGGTGAAAAAAGAAATATATTCAGATAAATACTAGAAGGATGGTTTCTGAGATACTGCTTTGTGATGCGTGCATTCTTCTCACAGAGTTAAAAATTTCTTTAGATTGAGCAGTCTGGAAAAACTGTTTTTGTAGAATCTACAAGGGGATATATGGGAACACAGAGTGGCATGTGCTGAACAAGGAAATATCTTCAGAAAAAAAGTAGAAAGAAGCTTTCTCAGAAACTGCTTTGTGATGGTTGCATTAATCTCACAGAGTTAAACATTTCCTTTGATTGCACAGCTTTGAAACACTGTTTTGGAAGTATCTGTGAAGGGATATTTGGGAGCATATGGAGGCCAATGGTGAAAAAAGAATTATCTTCAGATCAGTACTAGACAGAAGCTTTCTCAGAAACCACTTTGTGACGAGTAATCATCTCACAGATTTAAACCTTCCTTTTGATTGAGCAGTTTGGAAAAACTGTTTTGGTAGAATCTGCAAAGGAATATTTGGGAGCGCTTTGAAGGCTATGGTGAAAAAGGCAATAACTTCATTTAAAAACTATAAAGAAGCTTTCTCAGAAACTGCTTTGTGATGGTTGCATTCATCTCACAGAGTTAAACCTTTCCTTTGATTGTGCAGTTTGGAAACACTGTTTTAGTGGCATCTGAGAAAGGATATTTGGGAGCTCTTTGAGGCCTATGCAGAGAAAGGAAATATCATCAGGTAAAAACTAGAAAGAAGCTTTCTGACAAACTGCTTCATGATGAGTGCATTCATCTCACAGAGTTAAACCTTTCATTTCATTGAGCAGTTTGGCAACATTGTTTTTTTGGAATCTGAGAGGATATATTTTGTAGTGCTTTAAGGCCTAGGGTGAAAAAGGAAATATCTTCAGATAAAAACTGGAAAGATGCTTTCTGGGAAACTGCTTTGTGATGTGTGCATTCATCTCACAGAGTTAAACCTTCCTTTTGATTGTGCAGTTTGGAAGCACTGTTGTGGTAGAATCTGCAAAGGGATATTTGGGAGCACATTCTTTGGTGAAAAATGAAACATCTTCATAGAAAAACTAGAAAGAAGCTTTCTGAGAAACCACTTGCTGGTGTGTGTATTTATTGCACAGAGTTAAACTTTTCTTTTCACTGAGTCATTTGGGAACAGTGTTTTTTTCAAACCTGAGAAGAGATATTTGGGAGCATTTTGAGGCCTATGATGAAAAAGGAAATTTCTTCAGATAATAACAACAAAGAAGCTTTCTCAGAAACCATTTTGGTTTTTCTCATTCTTCTCACAGAGTAAAATCTTTCTTCTGATGAGCAGTCTGGAAACACTTTTTTTGTAGAATCTATGAAGGGATATATGGGAGCGCATTGTCGGCTACGGTGAAAAAGGAAATATTTTCAGAGAAAATTTACAAACAAGCTTTCTGGGAAATTACTTTGATGCGTGCATTCATCACACAGAGTTAAACTTTATTTTGACTGTGTCCTTTGGAAAAACTGTCTTTGTAGAATCCGTGAAGGTATATTTGGGAGCACTTTGAGGCCTAAGGTGAAAAAGGAAATATTTTCAGATAGAAGCTAGAAAGAAGCTTTCTGAGAAACTGCTATGTGATGTGTGCAATCATCTCACAGAGTTGAACCTTTCTTTAGTTTGAACGGTTTGGAAAATCTGTTCTGGAAGAATCTGCAAAGGGATAATTGGGAGCACTTTCAGGGCTATGACCAAAAAGGCAATAACTTCAGATAAAAACTAGAAAGAAGCTTTCTCAGAAACCGCTTTGTGATGGTTGCATTCATCTCAAAAGGATAAACCTTTCCTTTGATTTCGCGGTTTGGAAACACTGTTTTGGAAGTATCTGCGAAGGGATATTTGGGAGCGCATTGAAGGCAATGGTGAAAAAGGAAACATCTTCAGATCAAAATTAAAAAGAAGCTTTCTCAGAACTACTTTGTGATGTGTGTGTTCTTCTCACAGAGTTAAATCATTCTTTGGATTAAGCGCTTTTGAAATGCTGTTTTGGTAGCATCTGCAAAGGGACATTTGGGAGCTCTTTGAAGCCTATGTTGAAAAAGGAAATATCTGCAGATAAAAAGTAGAAAGAAGCTTTCTGAGAAACTGCTTTGGAATGAGTTCATTCGTCTCACAGTGTTAAACCTTTCTTTTCATTGAGCAGTTTGGAAACACAGTTGTACAATCTGAGAAGGGATATTTGGGAGCGATTTGAAGTCTATGGTGAAAAACGGAATATCTTCAGATAAAAACTAGAAAGAAGCTTTCTGGGTAACTGCCTTGTGATGTGTGCATTCATCTCACAGAGTTAAACCTTTCTTTTGATTGAGCAGTTTGGAAACACTCTTTTGTTAGAATCTGCGGGGAGATATTTGGGAGCACATTGATGTCTCTGGTGAAAAAGGAAATAGCTTCAGAGAAGAACTAGAAAAAATCTTCCTGAGAAACTGCTTTGTGATGTGTGCATTCATCTTACAGAGTTAAACTCTTCATTTTATTGAGCAGTTTGGGAACAGTGTTTTTGTAGAATCTGAGAAGAGATATTTGGGAGTGCTTTTAGGCCTATGGTGAAAAACGAAATATGTTCAGGTAAAAACTAGAAGGAAGCTTTCCGGGAAACAGCTTTGTGATGTGTGCATTCATCTCACAGAGGTAAACTTTTATTTTGATTGAGCAGTTTGGAAACACTGTTTTTGTAGAATCTGGAAAGCGATATTTTGGAGCGCTTTTAGGCCTATGGTGAAAAAGGAAACATCTTCAGATAAAAACTTGAAAGAAGCTTTCTGAGAAACAGCTTTGTGATGATTGCATTCATCTCACAGGATTAAACCTTTCTTTCATTTGAACAGTTTGGAAACACTGTTTTTATAGAATCTGTGAAGGGATATTTGGGAGCACATTGAGGCCTATGGTGAAAAAGGAAATATCTTCAGATGAAAACTTGAAAGAAGCTTTCTGAGAAACAACTTTGTGATGAGTGCATTCATCTCACAGAACTAAACCTTACTTTTGATTGAGCAATTTGGAAACGTGGTTTTTCTAGAGTCTGCAAAGGAATAGTTGGAACGTGTTGAGGCCTAAGTTGGAAAAGGAGATATCTTCAGATGAAAACTAGAAAGAAGCTTTCTGAGAAACTTCTTTTTGATGTGTACATTCTTCTAACAGAAGTACATCTTTCTATTGAATGAGCAGTTTGGTAACACTGTTTTTTCAGAATCTGTGAAGGTATGTTTAGGAACGCATTGAGGCCTAGGGTAGTAAAGGAAATATCCTCAGAAAAAAATGAGAAAGATTTATGAGAAATAGCATTGTGATGTGTGCATTCATCCCACAGAGTTAAACCTTTCTTTTGATTCAGCAGTTTGGAAACACTTTATGTGTAGAATCTGCAATTGGATCTTTGGGAACCCATTGAGGCATTTGGTGAAAAAGGAAATATCTTGAGATAAATACTAGGAAGAAGCCTTCTCAGAAACTGCCTTGTGATTTGTGCATTCTTCTCACAGATTTAAACGTTTATTTTGATTGAGCAGTCTGGAAACACTGTTTGCGTGCAATCAATGAAGGGATATTTGGGAGTGCATTGAGGCCTATGGTGAAAAAGGAAATATCTTCAGATAAATACTAGAAAGAAACTTTCTCAGAAACCACCTTGCAATGTGAGAATTCTTCTTACAGAGTGAAAGCTTTTTTTTTGATTGAGCACTCTGGTAACACTGTTTTTGTAGAACATGTGAAGGGATATTTGGGAATACATTGAGGCCTATCGTGAAAAAGGAAATATCTTCAGATCAAAACTAGAAAGAAGCTTTCTGAGAAACTGCTTTTGATGAGTGCATTCATCTCACAGAAGTACACCTTTCTTTTGATTGAAGTTTGGCAACAGTATTTTTGTAGAAACTGAGAAGGGATATTTGGTAGCACATTGAGGCCTATGGTGAAAAACGAAACATCTTCAGATATAAACTAGAAAGAAGCTTTCTGAGAAACTGCTTTGTGATGACTGCATTCATCTCACAAGGTTAAACCTTTCTTTTGATTGAGCAGTTTGGAAACAAAGTTTTTGCAGAATCTGTAAAGGGATATTTAGGAGCACATTGAGGCCTATGGTGAAAAAGGAAATAACTTCAGATGAAAACTAGAAAGAAGCTTTATTAGAAACTGGTTTGTGATGTGTGCATCCATGTCACAGAGTTAAAATTTTGTTTTGATTGAGCAGTTTGGAAATAATGTTTCGGTAGAATCTGAGAAGGGATATTTGGGAGCATATTGAGGCATATGTTGAGAGAGGAAATATCTTCAGATAAAATCTAGAAAGAAGCATTCTGAGAAACTGCTTTGTGGTGTGTGCATTCATCTCACAGAGTTAAACTTTTTTTTTTGATTGGGCAGTTTGGAAACACTGTTTTTGTAGAATCTGCAATGCAATATTTTGGAGTGCTTTTAGGGGTATGGTGAAAAAGGAATATCTTCAGATAAAAACTAGAAAGAAACTTTCTGAGAAACAGCTTTGGGATGAGTGCATTCATCTCACAGAGTTAAACCTTTCTTTTGATCAAGCAGTTTGGAAACACTGTTTTTATAGAATCTGCAAAGGGATATTTGGGAATGCATTGAGGCCTGTGGTGAGAAAGGAAATAGCTTCAGATGAAAACTAGAAAGAAGATTTATGAGAAACTGCTTTGTGAAGAGTGCATTCATCTCACAGACTTAAACCTTTTTTTGATTGAGGAGTTTGGAAACGGAGTTTTTGTAGAATCTATGGAGGGATATTTGGGAATGAATTGAGGTCTATGGTGAAAAAGGAAATACCTTCACATATAAACTAGAGAGAAGCTTTCTGAGAAACTGCTTTGTGATGTGTGCATTCATCTCACAGAGGTAAACGTTTCTTTTCATTGAGCAGTTTGGAAACTCTGTTCTTCTAGAATCTGCAAAGGGATATTTATGAGCTTTTTGAGGCCTAAGTTGGGAAAGCAGATATCTTCAGATGAAAACTAGAAAGAAACTTTCTGAGAAACTGCTTTTTGATGTGTGCATTCTTCTAAGAGAATTAAACCTTTGTATTGAATGAGCAGTTTGGCAACACTGTTTTTGCAGAATCTGTGAAGATATATTTAGGAACACATTGAGGGCTATGGTGAAAAAGGAAATATCTTCAGAAAAAAATGAGAAAGATTTCTTAGAAATAGCATTGTGATGTGTGCATTCATTCAACAGAGTTAAATCATTCTTTAATTGAACAGTTTGGAAACACTGTTTTTGTAGAATCTGTGAAGGGATATTTCGGAGCCCATTGAGACCTTTGGTGAAAAAGGAAATATCTTCAAATAAAAGCTAGAAAGAAGCTTTCCAAGAAACTGCTTTTCGATGTGTGCATTCATCTCACAGAGTAAAACCTTTCTTTTGATAGAGCAGTTTGGAAAAACTGTTTTTGTAGAATCTGCAAAGGGATACTTGGGGGAGCATTGGGGTCTATGGTGAAAAAGGAAACATCCTCAGATGTAAACTAGAAAGAAGCTTTCTGAGAAGCTTTTTTGTGATGTGTGCTTTCATCTCACAGAGTTAAACTTTTATTTTGATTGAGCAGTTTGGAAACACAGTTTTTGTTGACTCTGCCAAGGGATATTTAGGAGTACATTGAGGACTATGGTGAAAAAGGAAATAATTTCAGACAAAAACTAGAAAGAAGCTTTCTCAGAAACAGGTTTGTGAATTTTGCATTCATCTCACACAGTAAAACCCTTCTTTTGATTTAGCAGTTTGGAAATACTGTTTTGGTAGAATCTGCGAAGGGATATTTGGGAGCACATTGAGGCCTATGTTGAAAAAGGAAATATCTTCAGATTAAAAACTTGAAAGAAACATTCTGAGAAACTGCTTTGTGATGAGTTCATTCAACTCACAGAGCTAAACTTTTCTTTTAATTGAGTAGTTTGAAAATGCTGTTTTTTTGGTATCTGAGAAGAGATATTTGGGAGCACTTTGAGGCCTGTATTGAAAAAGGATATACCTTCAAATAAAAACTAGAAAGAACCTTTCTGGGAAAATGCTTTGTGATGTGTTCATTCATTTCACAGTTAAACCTTTTTTTCAATTGAGCAGTTTGGAAACACTGTTTTTGTAGAACCAGCAAAGTGATATTTTGGAGCCCTTTAGGCACATGGTGAAAAAGGAAATATCTTCAGACAAAAACTAGAAAGAATGTTTCTGAGAAACAGCTTTGTGATGACTGCATTCATCTCACAGACTTAAACCTTTCTTTTGATTGAGCAGTTTGGAAACACTGTTTTTATAGAGTCTGTGAAGTGATATTTGGGAACGCATTAAGGCCTATGGTGAAAATGGAAATACCTTCAGATGAAAACTAGAAAGAAGGTTTATGAGAAACTTCTTTGAGAAGAGTGCAGTCATCTCACAGACTTAAACCTTTCTTCTTATTGAGCAGTTTGGAAACACTGTTCTTGTAGAATCTGCAAAGGGATATTTGGGAACTTATTGAGGCCTATGTTGTAAAAGGAGATATCTTCAGATGAAAACTAGAAAGAATCTTTCTGAAAAACTCCTTTCTGATGTGTGCATTCTTCTAAGAGAATTAAAACTTTCTATTGAATGAGCAGTTTGGTAACACTGTTTTTGCAGAATCTGTGAAGACATATTTAGGAACGCATTGAGGCCTATGGTGAAAAAAGAAATATCCTCAGAAAAAAACGAGAAAGATTTCTGAGAAATAGCATTGTGATGTGTGCATTCATCCCACAGAGTTAAACCTTTCTTTAGTTGAACAGTTTGGAAACACTCTTTTTGTAGAATCTGTGAAAGGATATTTCAGAGACCATTGAAGCCTATGGTGAAAAAGGAAATGTCTTCAGATAAAAACCAGAAGGAAGCATTCTGGGAAACTGCTTTGTGATGTATGCATTCAGCACAAAGAGTTAAATCTTACTTTTGACTCAGCAGTTTGGAAACACTATTTTGGAAGTATCTGCCAAGGGATATTTGGGAGCGCATTGAGTCCTATGGTGAAAAATAAAATATCTTCAGAAAAAACTAGAAAGAAGCTTTCTGAGAAACTGCTTTGTGATGAGTGCTTTTGTGTCACAGAGATAAACCTTTCTTTTAATTGAGCAGTTCAGAAACACTGTTTTAGTAGAATCTGTAAGGGGATATTGGGCAGTGCATTGATGCCTATGGTGAAAAATGAAATATCTTCTGATAAAAACTAGAAAGAAGCTTTCTGAGAAACTGCTTTGTGATGAGTGCATTCATCTCACAGGGTGAAAACTTTCTTTAATTTAGCGCTTTGACACCAGTGATTTTGTACAATCTGAGAACAGATATTTGGGAGCACTTGGAGGCCTATGGTGAATAATGAATCTGCTTTGAGATTTGTGTATTCTTCTCAATGAGTTAAACTTTTGTGTTGATTGAGCAGTGTGGAAACACTGTTTTTTTAGAATATGTGAAGGGATATTGGGGAGCACTTTGACGTCTATGTCAAAAAAGGAAATATCTTCAGATAAATACTAGAAAGAAGCTTTCTCACAAACTGTGTTTTGATGTGTGCATTCTTCTCACAGATTTCAACCTCACTTTTGATTGAGCAGTTTGAAAACACTGTTTCTGTAAATTATACCAAGGGATATACACGAGCACTTTGAGGCATATGGTGATAAAGGAAATATCTTGAGATAAAAACTAGAAAGAATCTTTCTGAAATCTGCTTTGTGATGTGTGCATTCATCTGACAGAGGTAAACCGTTATTTTGATTAAGCAGTTTGGAAACAGTTTCTGTAAATTCTACCAAGGTATATTTGGGAGTTCATTGAGGTCTATTGTGAAATAGGAAGTATATTCAGAGAAATACTAGAAAGAACGCTTCTGAGAAACTGCTTTGTGATGAGTGCATCCATCTCATAGAGTTGAACTTTCTTTTGATTGAGCAGTTTGGCAACCCTGTTTTTGAAGAATCTGAGAAAGGACAATTGGTAGTGCTTTGAGGCCTACTGTGAAAAATGAATTATGTTAGAAAAAACTAGAAAGAAGCTTTGTGGGAAACTGCTTTGTGATTTGTGCATTCAGCTGGCAGAGTTAATCCTTTCTTTTGATTGAGCAGTTTGGAAACAATGTTTTTGTAAAACATGCAAAGGGATATTTGGGAGTGCTTCGAGGCCAGTGGTGAAAAAGGAAATATCTTCAGATTAAAACTAGAAAAAGCTTTCTGGAAACTGATTTGTGATGTGTACATTCTTATCACAGAGGTTAACCATTATTTTCATTGAGCACTCTGGAAACACTGTTTCTGTAAAATGTACCAAGGGATATTTAGGAGTGCATTGAGGCATATAGTGAAAAAGAAAATATCTTCAGATACAAATTAGAAAGAAACATTTCTGAGAAACAGCTCTGGGATGTGTGCATTCATCATGTAGAGTTAAAATTTCCTTTTCATTGGGCCTTTTGGGAACACTGTTTTTGTAGAAGCTGAGAACGGATAATTGAGAGTGCTTTGACACCAAAAGTGAAAAAGGAAATATGTTAGATAAAACTAGAAAGAAGCTTTCTGGGAAATTGCTTTGTGAATTGTGCATTCATCTCACAGAGTTAAACCTTTCTTTTGATTGAACAGTTTGGAAACACTGTTTAGGCAGAATCTGCGAAGGGACATTTGGGAGTGCATTGAGGCCTATGGAGAAATAGGAAATATCTTCAGATAAATACTAGAAAGAACTTTCTCAGAAACTGCTTTGTGATGTCTGCATTCTTCCACCAGTGTTAAACCTTTCTTTTGATTGAGCAGTTTGGAAACACTGTTTGTGTACAATCAATGAAAGGATACATGGGAGCACATGGGGGCCTATGGTGAAAAGTGAAATATCTTTGGAGAAAAACTAGAAAGAAGCTTTCTGAGAAAGTGCTTTGTTATGTGTGCATTCTTCTGAGAGTAAAACCTTTCTTTTGAATGTGGAATTTGGAAACTGTTTATGTAGAATCTGCAAATGAATATATGGGAGTGCTGAGGCCTATGGTGAAAAAGGAAATATCTTCAGAGAAAAACTAGAAAGAAATTTCTGAGAAACTGCTTTGTGATGTGCACATTCTTCACACAGAGTTAGCCCTTTCTTTTGATTGAGCCATCTAGAAATATTGTTTTTGTGGAATCTACGAAGGGATATATGAGATTGCATTGAGGCCTAAGGTGAAAAAGGAAATATCTTTAGATAAAAACTACAAAGAATCTTTCTGAGAAACTGCTACATGATGTGTACATTCATCTCGCATATTTAAACCTTTCTTGTGATTGACCAGTTTGGCAACAATGTTTTGGTAAAATCTTTGAAGGGTATTTGGGTGAGTGTTGAGGCCTATGGTGAAAAAGGAAATATCTGTAGACAAATAATAGAAAGAAGGTTTCTGGAAACTGCATTCATCTCACAGAGTTAAACCCATCTTTTGATTGAGCAGTTCAGCAACTCTGTTTTTGTGGAATCTGCCAAGGAATATTTCGGATGCATTGAGGCCTATTGTGAAAAAGGAAATATCTTCAGGTAAATACTTGAAGGAAGCTTTCTGGAAACTGATTTGTTATTTATACATTCATCTCACAGTATTAAACCATAATTTTGTTTGATCAGTTTGGAAACATTGCTTCTGTAAAATTCACCAAGGGGTATTTGGGAATGTATTGAGGCCTGTAGTATAAAAGGAAATATCTTCAGATAAAAAATAGAAAGACGCTTTCTGAGAAACTGCTTTGTGATGAGTGCATTCACCTCAAAGAGTTCAACTTTTTTTTTCAATTGAGTAGCTTGGCAACACCGTTTTTGTAGAATCTGCAAAGGGGCATTTTTCAGTGCTTTGAGGCCCATGGTGAAAAAGGAAATATCTTCACATAAACACTAGAAAGAAGTTTTCTGAGAAACTACTCTGTGATGAGTGCATTCAGCTCACAGAAGTAAACCTTTCTTTTGATTGAGTAGTTTGGAAACACTGCTTTTTTAAATCTGTGAAGGGACATTTGGAAGTGCATTGAGGCCTATGGTGAAAAAGGAAATATCTCCAGATAAAAGCCAGAAAGAAGCTTTCTCAGAAACTGCTTTGTGATGTGTGCATTCATCTAACAGAGTTGAACCTTTCTTTTGAGTGTGCAGTTTGGAAACACTGTTTTTGTAGAATTTGTGAAGGGACATATGGGAGCCCTGAGGCCTATGGTGAGAAAGGAAATATCTTCAGAGAAAAACTAGAAAGAAATTTCTGAGAAACTGGTTTGTGATGTGTGCATTCTTTGCACACAGTTAAACCTTTCTTTTGATTGATTAGTGTGGATACATTGTTTTTGTGGAATCTGAGAAGGGATTTGTTGGAGCACTTTGAGGCTTATGGTGAAAAAGGAAACATCTTCTGATAAATACTAGAAAGAAGCCCCTCAGAAACCACTTTGTGATGTGTGCATTCTTCTCCCAGAGTTTAATTTCATTTTTGATTAAGCATTTTGGAAACACTGTTCCTGTAAATTCTACCAAGGGATATATAAAAGCCCTTTAAGGCCTATGGTGTTAAAGGAAATACCTTCAGAGAAGAACTACAATGAAGCATTCTGAGAATCTGCTTTGGAATGACTGCATTCATCTCACAGAGTTAAACCTTCCTTTTGATTGAGCTGTTTGGAAACACTGTTTTGGTAGAATATTTGAAATGATATTTGGGAGTGCTTTGAGGCCTATAATGAAAAAGGAAATATATTGAGAAAAAAATAAAAAGAAGCTTTCTGAGAAACTGGTTTGTGATAAGTGCATTCATCTCACAGAATTAAACATTTCTTTTTATGGAGCAATTTGGAAAAACTGTGTTTCAGAATCTCTAAAGGGATATTTAAGAGCTCCTTGAAGCCTATGGTGAAAAAGGAAATGTATTCAGATAAATACTAGAAAGAAACTTTCTCAGAAACTGCTTTGTGATATGAGCATTCTTCTCACAGAGTAAAACCTTTCTTTTGATTCACCAGGTTGGAAACACTGTTTTTGTAGAATCTGCAAAAGGATACTTGGGAGCGCATTGAGGCCTATGGTGAAAAATGAAATATCTTCAGATAAAAACTAGAAAGAAATTTTCTCAGAAACCGCTTTGTGATGTGTGCATTCTTCTCACTGAACTCAACCGTTCTTTTGATTGAGCAGTTTGGAAACACTGTTTTGGTAGAATCTGTGATGGGATATTTGGGAGCACATTGAGGCCTGTAGTGAAAAAGGAAATAGCTTCAGATAAAAACTAGAAAGAGGCTTTCTCAGAAACTGCTTTGTGAATTGTCCGTTCTTGTCCCAGAGTTAAACCTTTCTCTTCATTGAGTAGTTTGCACATGCTGTTTTTATAGAATCTATGAAGGGATATTTGGGAGTGCTATGAGGCCTATGGTGAAAAAGAAAATATCTTCAGATAAAATCTAGAAAGAAGCTTTATGAGAAACTGTTTTGTAATGAGTACATTAATTTCATAGAGTTAACCCTTTTTTGATTGAGAAGTTAGGAAACATGATTTTTTTACAATCTGAGAAGGAATATTTTGGAGTGATTTGAGGCCTATGGTGAAAAACGAAATATCTTCAGATAAAAATTAGAAAGAATCTTTCTGGGAAACTGCTTTATGATGTGCTCATTCATCTGTAACAGTTAAAACTCTCTTTTGATTGAGCACTTTGGAAACACTGTTTTGTTAGGATCCATGAAGGAATATTTGTGCACTCTTTGAGTCCTATGGTGGAAAAAGAAATATCTTCAGATAAAAACTAGAAAGAAGCATTCTAAGAAACTGCTCTGTGAAGAGTGCATTCACCTCACAGAGTTAAACCTTTCTTTTCATTGGGCACTTTGGCAACACTTTTTTTGAATTACTTAAGAAGGGATATTTGGGAGTATTTTAAGGCTGAGGGTAAAAAAGGAAATATCTTCAGATAAAAACTAGAAAGAAGTATTCTGAGAAACTGCTTTGTGATGTGTGCATTCAGCATATAGAGTTAAAACTGTTTTGATTGGGCAGTTTGGAAACACTGTTTTTGTAGAATTTGAGAAGGGATATTTGGGAGCTCTTTGAGGCCTATGGTGAAAAGGGAAATATCATCAGGTAAATACTAGAAAAAAGTTTTCTGGAAAAAGTTTTGTGATTTGTGCATTCATCTCATACAATTAAACCTTTCTTTTGATTGAGCAATTTGGAAACACTGTTTTTTTTTAGAATCTGCCAAGGGATATTTTGGAGTGCTTTGAGTCCTATGGAGAAAAAGAAAATATCTTCAGATAAATACTAGAAGGAAGATTTCTCAGAAACTGCTTTGTGATGTGTGCATTCTTCTCACAGAGTTTAACCTCACTTTTCATTGAGCAGTTTGGAAACACTGTTTCTGTAAATTCTAAGGAGGGATATATGGGAGCCCATTGATGCCTATGGTGAAAAAGGAAATATCTTCAGACAAAAACTAAAAAGAAGCTTTCTGAGAAACTGCTTTGTCATGTGTGGATTTATGTCACAGAGGCAAACCTTTCTTTTGATTGAGCATTTTGGACACACTCTTTTGTTAGAATCTGTGAAGGGATATTTGGATGTGCATTGAGGTCTGTGTTGAATAAGAAAATATCTTCAGTTAAAAACTAGAAAGAAGCTTTCTGAGAATCTGCTTTGTGATGAGTTCATTCATCTCACAGAGTTAAATATTTCTATTGTTTGAGCAGTTCAGAGAAGGGATATTTGGGAGTGCATTAAGGTATATGGTGAAAAAGGAAATACCTTCAGATAAAAACTGAAAGAATCTTTCTGAGAAACTGCTTTGTGATGGATGCATTCACTTTAAAGAATAAAAACTGTCTGTTGATTGAGCAGTTTGGAAACACTGTTTTTGTATAACCTGCAGAGGTATATTTTGGAGCACATGTAGGCCTGTGGAGAAAAAGGAAATATCTTCAGATAAATACTAGAAAGAAGCTTTCTCAGAGACCCCTTTGTGACGTGTGCATTCTTCTTACAGAGTTAAACATTTCTTTTGATTGAGCAGTTTGGAAACACTGTTTTTGTAGGATATGCGACGGTATATTTGGGAGAGTGTTGAGGCCTATGGTGAAAAATGAAATATCTTCAGATAAAAACTAAAAAGAAACTTTCCCAGAATCTGTTTTGTGTTGCTTGCATTCTTCTCACAGAGTTAAACCTTTCTTTTCATTGAGCAGTTATGACACACTGTTTTTGTAGACTCTGTGGAGGGATATATGGGAGCACATTGAGGTTTAGGGTGAAGAAGGAAATATCTTCAGAGCAATACTATATAAAGTTTTCTGAGAAACAGCTTTGTGATCTGTGAATTTATCTCACGGAGTTTAACCTTTGTTTTTATTGAGGAGTTTGGAAACACTGTTTTGGTAGAATCTGTGAAGGAATATTTTGTATCGCATTGGGGCCTATGGTGAAAAAGGACACATCTTCAGATAAAAACCAGAAAAAAGCTTTTTGAGATACTGATTTGTGATGTGTGCATTCTTCTCACAGAGTTAAACAGGTATTTTGATTGAGCAGTTTAGAAACCCAGTTTTTGTAGAACCTATGAAGGGATGTATGGGAGAGCATAGAGGCCTATGGTTGAAAAGAAAATACCTTGAGATAAAAATTAGAAAGAAATTTTCAAGGAAACTGCTTTGTGATGTGTGCATTCACTTCACAGAGTTAAACTTTACTTTTGATGGAGCTGTTTGTAACACTTTTTCTTTTTTAAATCTGAGAAGAGATATTTGGGAGCGTTATGAGGCATATGGTGAAAAATGAAATATCTTGAGGTAAATAATAGAAAGAAGTTTTCTGTGAAATGGCTTTGTGATTTGTGCATTCATCTCACATAGGCAAACCTTTGTTTTGAGTGAGCCATTCAGAAACACTGTTTTTTTAGAATCTGCAAGGGAATATTTGGGAGCACATTGAGGCCTGTGGTGAAAAAGGAAATGTCTTCAGAGAAAAACTAAAAAGAAACTTTCTGAGAAACTTCTTTATGATGTGTGCATTCTTCTCTCAAAGTTAAATCTTAATATGACTGAGCAGTTTGGAAACATGGTTTTTGTAGTATAAACAAAGGGATATATGAGAGTGCTTTGAGGCTCATGGTGAAAAATGAAATGTCTTCAGAGAAAACCTAAAAAGAATCTTTCTGAGAAACTGTTTTGTGATGTGTGCACTCAGCACAAAGAGTTAAACCTTTCTTTTGAGTGAGCAGTTAGGAAACAATGTGTTGGTAGAATCTCTGAAGGGATATTTTGGAGTGAATGTAGACATTGTGAAAAAAGAAATATCTTCAGATAAAAACTGGAATCTTTCTGAGAAACTGCTTGGTGACCAGTGCATTCATCTCCCCGAGTTAAACCTTTCTTTTGATTGTGCAGTCTGGAAACATGGTTTTTCTAGTATAAGCAAAGGGATATATGTGTTCACTTTGAGGCCCATGGTGAAAAACAAAATATTTTCAGAGAAAATCTGCAAAGAACTTTTCTGAGAAACTGCTTTGTGATCTGTGCATTCATCTCACAGAGTTAAACCTTAATTTGATTGAGTAGTTTGGAAACACTGGTTGGCAGAATCTGTGATGGGATATTTGGTAGTGCATTGAGGCCTATTGTGAAATAGGAAATATCTTAAGAAAAAAATTAAAGGAAGCTTTCTGAGAAATGGCTTTGTGATGAATGCATTCATCTCACAGAATTAAAACTTTCCTTTGATTGAGCAGTTTGGAAACACTGTTTATGTCTAATCTACAAAATGATATTTGGGAATGCATTGAGACCTAGGCAAATATCTTTAGATAAATACTAGAAAGAAGCTTTCTCTGAAACCACTTTGTGATGTGTGGATATTTCTCACAGAGTTAAACCTCTATTTTGATTGTGCACTTATTTATTTATTTATTTATTTGAAACAAAGTCTCACTCTTTCACCCAGGCTGGAGTGCAGTGGTGTGATCTTGGCACACTGCAAGCTCTGCCTCCTGGGTTCACGCCATTCTCTTGCCTCAGCCTCCTGAGTAGCTGGGACTACTTGCACCTGCCACAAGGCCCTGTTAATTTTTTGTATTTTTAGTAGAAATGGGGTATCACTGTATTAGTCAGGATGGTCTCGATTTCCTGACCTTGTGATCCACACGTCTCAGCCTCCCAAGGTGCTGGGAGTACAGGCATGGGCCACGATGCCTGGCCTTGTGCAGTTTCTAAACACTGTTTTTGCAAAATTTGTGAAGGGATATTTGGGAGTGCTCTGAAGCCTATGAGGAAATAGTAAATATCTTTGGAAAAAAAACTAAAAAGATACTTTCTGTGAGACTGCTTTGTGTTGAGTGCATTCATCACCCAGAATTAAACTCTATTAATTGAACAGTTTGGAAACACTGTTTTTTAAGAATCTGCAAAGGGATAGTTGGGACCACATTGAGGCCTATGTGAAAAAGGAAATATCTTCAGATAAATACTAGAAAGAATCTTTCTCAGAAAGCCCTTTGTGATGTGTGTATTCTTCTCCAAAATTAAACCTTTATTTTGATTGAGCAGTTTGGAAACACTGTTTTTGAAGAATCTGTGAGGGAATATTTGTGAGCGCTTTGAAGCCTATGGTGAAAAAGGAAATATCGTCAGAAAATTATTGGAAGGAAGCTTTCTGGGAAACTGATTTGAGATGTGTGCATTCATCTCGCAGAGATTAGCCTTTCTTTTGATTGAGCAGTTTGGAGTCACTGTTTAGGTAGAATCTGTGAAGGGATATTTGGGAGCGCATAGAGGCCTGAGGTGATAAAGGAAATATCTTCAGACAAAATTAGAAAGGAGTATTCTCAGAAACCGCTTTGTGATGTGTGCATTCTTTTCACAGAGTTAAACCTTTCTTTTGATTGGGCAGTCTGGAAACACGGTTTTTGTAGTATAAACAAAGGGATATATGGGAGCACTTTGAAGCCCATGGTGAAAAATGAAATAACTTCAGAGAAAAACTACAAAGAAGTTTTCTGAGAAACTGCTTTGTTTAACTCTCACAGAGTTGAACTTAATTTGATTGCGTAGTTTGGAAACACTGTTTTGGCAGAATCTGCAGTGGGATATTTGGGAGGACATTGCGACTTATTGTGAAATAGGAAATATCATCAGAAAAAAATGAAAAAAAAGCTTTCTGAGAAACTGCTTTGTGATTAGTGCATTCATCTCACAGAATTAAATCTTTCTTTCGATTGAGCAGTTTGGAAACAATGTTCATGTAGAATCTGCAAAGGGATATTTGGGAAAACGTTCAGGCCTAGGGAAATAGCTTCATATAAATACTAGAAAGAAGCTTTCTCAGAAACTGATTTGTGATGTGTGGATTCTTCTCACAGAGTTAAAACTGTCCTTTGATTGTCCAGTTTTTAACCCCTGTTTTTGAAGAATCTGCAAAGGGATATTTGGGAGCCCTTTGAGGCCTATAGTGAAAAAGGAAATATCTTCAGATAAAAACTGGAAAGATTCTTTCTGAGAAACAGCTTTGTGATGTGTGCATTCGTCACACAGTGGTAAACCTTTCCTTTGATTGAGCTGTTTCAATACACTGTTCTTGTAGAATCTATGAAAGGATATTTGGGAGCACTTTGTGGCCTAAGGTGAAATAGTAAATATATTCAGAAAAAAACAAAAGGAAGCTTCCTGAGAAACTGCTTTGTGATGAGGACATTCATCTCACAGAAATAAACCTTTCTATTGATTGAGCAGTTTGGAAACACTGTTTTTTTAGAATCAGCAAAGGGATATTTGTGAGCACATTGAGGGCATGGTGAAAAAGGAAAATCTACAGATAAATACTACTAGGAAGTTTTCTGCATTCATCTCACAGAATTAAACTTCTTTTTGATTGAGGAGTTTGGAAACACTGTTTTTGTAGAATCTGAGTAGGGATATTTGTGAGCACTTTGTGGCTTATGGTGGAAAAGGAAATATCTTCAGATGAATACTAGAAATAAGACTTCTGGGAAACTGCTTTGTGATGAGTGCATTCATCTCACAGAGTTAAGCCTTTCTTTTGATTAAGCAGTTTGGAATCACCGTTTTAGTAGAATCTGCTCAAGGATATTTGGGAGTGCATTGGGACCTATGGTGATAAAGGAAATATCTTCAGATAAAAATTAGAAAGAAGCTTTCTTGGAAACTGGTTTGTGATGTGTGCCTTCTTCTCACAGAGTTAAACATTTCTTTTGATTGAACAGTCTGGAAACATGTTTTTGCAGCATAAACAAAGGGATATATGGCAGCGCTTTCAGTCCCATGGTGAAAAGTGAAATATCTTCAGAGAAAAACTGCAAAGAATCTTTCTGAGAAACTGCTTTGTGAAGTGTGCATTCACCTCACAGAGATAAACTTAATTTCATTGAGCAGTTTGGAAACACTGTTTTGGCAGAATCTGTGATGGTGTACTTGGGAGGGCATTGAGGCCTATTGTGAAATAGGACATATCTTCAGATAAAATCTAAAAAGAAGCCTTCTGAGAACTGCTTTGTGAGGACTGTTTTGTGAGGACTGCATTCATCTCACAGAAATAAACCATTCTTTTGATTGAGCAGTTTGGAAACACTGTTTACATAGAATCTACAAAGGGATATGTGGGAATGCAGCGATGATTAGGGAAATATCTTCATATAAATACTAGAAAGAAGCTTTCTCAGAAACTGCTCTGTGATGTGTGTATTCTTCTAACAGAGTTAAACCTCTCTATTAATTGTACAGTTTCAAACACTCTTTTTGAAGAATCTGCCAAGGGGTATTTGGGAGCACTTTGAGGCCTTTAGTGAAAAATGAAATATCTTCATATAACAACTAGAAAGAAGCTTTCTGAGAAACAGCTTAGTAATGTGTGTATTCATCACACAGTGGTAAACTTTTCCTTTGATTGAGCTGTTTGGAAACACTGTTTTTGTAGAATCTGCAAAAGGTTATTTTGGAGTGCTTTTATGCCTATGGTGAAATAGTAAATATATTCAGAAAAAAACTGAAATGAAGCTTTCTGAGAAACCGCTTTGTGATGAGTGCATTCATCTCACAGAAATAAACCTTTCTATTGATTGAGCAGTTTGGAAACACTGTTTTTATAGAATCTGCTAAGGTATATTTGGGAGGTCATTGAGGCCTATGGCGAAAAAGGAAATATCTTCAGATAAATACTAGAAAGAAGCTTTCTCAGAAACTCCTTTGTGATGTGTGCATTCTTCTCGTGGAATTAAACCTTTCTTTAGATTGAGCCGTTTTGCAACACTGTTTTTTTAGTATCTGACAAGGAATATTTGGGAGGGCTTTGAAGCCTACGTTGAAAAGGAAATATCTTCAGATAAAAACTATATAGAAGCTTTCTGGGAAACTGCTTTGTGATTTCTGCATTCATCTCAGAGAGTTAAACCTTTCTTTTAATTGAGCAGTTTGTAAACACTGTTTTTTTAGAATTTACAAAGGGACATTTGGAAGCTCTTTGAGGCCTATGGTCAAAAAGGAAATATGTTCAGATAAAAAGTAGAAAGAAGCTTTCTGGAAACTTCTTTCTGATGTGTACATTCTTTTCAAAGAGGTGAACCATTATTTTGATTGAGAACTCTGGAAACACTGTTTTTGGAAAATCTGCGAATGGATATTTGGGAGTGTATTGAGGCCTACAGTGAAAAAGGAAATATCTTCAGATAAAAAATAGAAGAACTTTTCTCAGAAACTGCTTTGTGATGTGTGCATTCTTCTCACAGAGGTAAACCTTTATTTTGATTGAGCAATTTGAATACACTGTTTTTGTGGAATCTACGAAGTGATATACAGAGTGCAATGGGGCCTATGGTGCAAAAGGAAATATCCTCGGAGAAAAACTAGAAAGAAGCATTATCAGAAATTGCTTTTGGATATGTGCATTCATCTCACAGAGTTAAACCTTTCTTTTGATTGAGAAGTTTGGAAACTTTGTTTTTGTAGAATCTGCAAAGGGATATTTGGGAGTGCATTGAGGCCTATGGTAGAAAGGAAACATCTTCAGATTAAAACTAGTGAGAATCATTTTAAGAAACTGCTTGGTGATGAGTGCATTCATCTCACATAGTTAAACCTTTCTTTTGATTGGGAAGTTTGAAAAGACAGTTTTTGCAGAATCAGCGAAGGGATATTTGGGAGCACTTAGAGGCCTATGGTGAAAAAGGAAATATCTTCAGATAAAAACTACAAAGAAGCTGTGTCAGAAAGCACTTTGTGTGGTGTGAATTCTTCTCACAGAGTTTAACCTCAGTTTGATTGAGCAGTTTGGAAACACTGTTTCTTTAAATTCTACCAAGGGATATATGGAAGTGCATTGAGGCTTATGGTGAAAAAGGAAATATCTTCAGGGAAAAACTAGAAAGAATATTTATGAGAAACCGCTTTGTGATGTTTGCATTCATCTCATGGTTTTAAAACTTTCTTTTGATTGAGTAGTTTGGCAACACTGTTTTTGTACCATCTGTGAAGGGATATTTGGGAGTGCTTTGAAGCCTATGGTGAAAAAGGAAGTATTTTCAGGGAAAAAGTAGAAAGAAGCTTTCTGGGAAACTGCTTTTGATGTTTGCATTCAGGTCAAAGAATTAAAACTTTCTATTGACTTAGCAGTTTTGGGACACTGTTTTTGTATAATCTGCAGAGTTATATTTAGGAGCACATGGATGCCTATGGTGAAAAAAGAAATATCCTCAGATTTCCTTTGTCCTGATTGAGCAGTTTGGAACCACTGTTTTTGTAGAATCTGTGAAGGGATATTTGGGATACATTCAGGCTTATGGTGAAAAATGTAATATCCTCAGATAAAAACTAGAAAGATTTCTGAGAAAGCTTTGTGATGTGTGTTTTCATCTCACAGTTAAACCTTTCTTTGATTGAGCAGTTTCAAACAACTGTTTTTGTAGGATTTGGGAAAGGATGTTTGGGAACACATTGAGGCCTATGGTCAAAAAGGAAATACTTTCAGAAAAAAACCAGAACAAATCTTTTGGGGAAACTGCTTTGTGATGTGTAGATTCATGTCACAGTTGCACTATTCTTTTGATGAGGCAGTTTGGAAACACTGTTTTTGTAGAATCTGCGAAGGGATATATGGGAGCGCATTGAGGCATATGGTGAAAAAAGAAATATCTTCATGTCAAAACTAGAAAGACACTTTCTGCAGAACTGCTTTGTAATGTGTGCATTTGTCTCACAGAGATAACGCTTTCTTTTGATTGAGTAGTTTGGAAACACTGTTTTTATAGAATCTGCAAAAGGTTATTTAGGAATGCATTGAGGACTATGGTGAAAAAGGAAATATCCTCAGATATAAACTAGAAAACTTTCTGATTAACAGCTTTATGATGTGTCCATTCATCTCACAGAATTAAAATTTTCTATTGATGTAGCATTTTGGAAACACTGTTTTTGTAGAATCTGCGAAGGGATATATGGGAGTACATTGAGGCCTCTGGTAAAAAAGAAACTATCTTCAGATAAAAACTTAAAAGAAGCTTTCAGATTAACTGCTTTGTGATGTGTTCATTCATCTCACAGTGTTAAACTTTCTTTTAATTGAGCATCTTGGAAACACTGTTTTTGTAGAATCTGCAAAGTGATATTTAGGAGCACATTGAGTCCTATGGAGAAAAAGGAAATATCCTCAGATAAAAAAGAGAAAGGAGATTTCTGAGAAACTGCTTTGTGATGTCTGCTTCCGTCTCATAGAATTTAAGCATTCTTTTGATTAAGTAGTTTGGAAACACAGTTTTTGCAGAATCTGTGAAAGGATATTTGGGAATGCATGGGACGTATGGTAAGAGAGGATATATCCTCACATAAAAACCAGAAAGATGTTTTCTGAGGAACTATTTTGTAATGTGTACATTCTTCTCACAGAGTTACAACTTTCTTTTGGTTGAGCAGTTAGGAAACACTATTTTTGTAGAATCTGCGAAGGGATATTTGGGAGTGCATTGAAGCCTATGGTGAAAAAGGAAATATATTCACATAAAAACTAGAAAGACATTTTCTGAGAAACTGCTTTGTGATGTGTGCATTGGTCTCACAAAGATAAGGCTTTCTATTTATTTAGCAGTTTGGAAACACTGTTTTTGTAGAATCTGTGAAAGGATACATGGGAACGCAATCTGGCCTATGTTGAAAAAGGAAATACTCTCAGACAAAATCTTGAAAGAAGTTTTCTGATTAACTGCTTTGTGAAGTGTCCATTCATCTTACAGAGTTAAACTTTATTTCCATTGAGCATCTTGGAAACACAATTTTGTAGAATCTGCAAAGGGATAATTTGTAGCACATTGTGGCCTATGGTGAATAAGGAAATACCTTCACATAAAAACTAGAAAGAGGCTTTCTGGAAATTGCTTTGTGATGTCTGCATTTGTCTCAGAGAGTTTAAGCATTCTTTTGATTAAGAAGTTTGGAAAACAGTTTTGGTAGAATCTGGGAAAGGATATTTGGGAGCACATTGGGGCCTATGGTGAGAAAGGAAATATCCTCAGAAGAAAACCAGAAAGATGCTCTCTGAGGAACTGTTTTGTGATGTGTACATTCATCTCACAGAGTTACGATTTTCTTTTGATTGAGCAGTTTGGAAACACTATTTTTGTAGAATCTGCAAACGGATATTTTGGAATGCAATGAGGCCTATGGTGAAAAAGGAAATATCTTCACATAAATAATAGAAATAAGCTTTCTGAGAAACTGCTTTGTGATGTGTGCATTCATCTCACAGAGTTACAATTTTCTTTTGATTGAGCATTGTTGTGGGAAGTCAGCAACCACAAATGGAGGGACCGGCTAAAGGCATGGTAGAAGAACATAAATTTTGAAGATTTCATGGACATTTATTAGTTCCCCAAATTAATACTTTTATATTTTCTTATGCCTGTCTTTACTGCAATCTCTGGACATAAATTGTGAAGATCTCATGTACATTTATCACATCCCCAATCAATGCCCTTGTGATTTCCTATGCCTGTCTTTAATCTCTTAATCCCATCATCTTCGTAAGCTAAGGAGGATGTATGTCGCCTCAGGACCCATGATGATTGTGTTAACTGCACAAATTGTTTGTAGAGCTTGTGTGTTTGAACAATACGAAATCTGGGCACCTTGAAAAAAGAAGATGATAACTGCAGGTTCAGGGAGCAAGAGAGATAACCTTAAACACTGACCACCAGTAAGTCTGGCAGAACTTACTTCTCTTCTTTCAAAAGCAAATGGAAGAAATATCGCCGAATTCTTTTTCTCAGCAAGGAACACCCCTGAGAAAGAGAATGCTTCCCTGAGGGTAGGCCTCTGAAATGGCTGCTTTGTGGGTGGCCATCTTTTATGGTTGCAGCTGCAGGGGTGAAATAAGCCCCCGTCTCCTGCAGCCCTCCCAGGCTTATTAGGATGAGGAAATTCCTGCCTAATAAATTTTGATCAGACCAGTTGTCTGATCAAACCCTGTCTCAAACCCTGTCTCCTGATAAGATGTTATCAATGACAGTGTGTGCCTGAAACTTCTTTAGCAATTGTAATTTTGCCCCGGTCCTGTGGTTCTGTGATCCCGCCCTGCCTCCATTTACCTTGTGATATCTCATTATCTTGTGAAGCATGTGATCTCTGTGAACCACACCCTATTCTACACTACCTACCCTTCTGAAAATCACTAATGAAAACTTGCTGGTTTTATGGCTCAGGGGGCATCATGGAATGTGCCGACATGTGATGCCTCCCCTGGACACTCAGCTTTAAAATTTCTCTCTGTTGTATTTTATCCCTTTATTTCTCAGACCAGATGACACTAAGGGAAAATAAAAAAGAACCTACTAGAAATGTCGGGGGTAAATTTCACCCGATATTTGGCTGAGTTTCTCCTGATAAAGCATCTTGGAAACACTGTTTTTGTTGAATCTGTGAAGGGATATTTCGGAGCACGTTGAGGCCTATGGTGAAAAAGGAAATATCTTCACATACAAACTAGAAAGAAGCTTTCTGAGAAAGTGCTTTCTGATGTGTGCATTCACCTGACAGTTAATCCTTTCTTTTGATTGAGCAGTTTGGAAAGACTGTGTTTGTAGAATCTGCGATGGGAGATTTGGAAGCATATTGAAGCCTATAGTGATAAAGGAAATATCTTCAGACAAAAACTAGAAAGAAGCTTTCTGAAAAACTGCTTTGTGATGTGTGCATTCATCTCACAGAGTTAAACCTTTCTTTTGGTTGAGCAGTTTGGAAACACTGTTTTGGAAAAATTTGCGAAGAGATATTTGGGAATGCATTGAAGCATATGGTGGAAAAGGAAATAACCTTAGATAAAAAGTAAAAAGACCTCTGAGAAACAGCTTCATGATGATTGGATTCATCTCACAGTGTTAAAACTTTCTTTTGATAGAGCAGTTTGGAATCATTGTTTTTGTAGAATCTGTGAAGGGATATTTGGGAGTGCATTGAGGCCTATGGAGAAAAAGCAAATATCTTCAGATAAAAAATAGAAAGAATTTTTCCAAGACACTGTTTTGGATGTGTGCATTCCCCTCACAGAGCTAAAGGATTCTCTTCATTGAGGAGTATGGAAATACTGTTTTTGTAGAAACTGTGAAGGAATATTTGGGACCACTTTGAGGCCTATGGTGAAACAGGAAATGCCTTAGGGTAAAAGCTAGAAAGAAGCTTTCTGAGAAGCTGCTGTGTGATATCTACATTCATCTCACAGAGATAAAGCCTACTTTTGATTTAGCAGTTTTGAAACACTGTGTAGAATCTGCAAAAGGATGTTTTGGAGTGCATTGAGGACTGTGGTGAAAAAGGAAATATCTTCATAAAAACCTGAAAGAAGCTTTTGGAGAAACTGCTTTGTGATGTGTGCTTTCATCACATAGAGTTAAACAAATATTTTGATGGAGCACTTTGGTAACACTGTTTTTGTAGAATCTAGGAAGTTATATTTGGGAGCACTTTGAGGTCTGCAGTGAAAAAGGAAATATTCTCAGATGAAAACTAGAAAGAAGCTTTCTGAGAAAATGCTTTGGGATGTGCGCATTCATCTCACAGAATTTCACCTTTCTGACATTTGAGCAGTTAGGAAACACTGTTTTTGTAGAATCTGTGATGGGATATTTTGGAGTGCATTGAGACCTACTGTGAAAAAGGAAACACCTTTACATAAAAACTAGAAGGATACTTTCTCAGAAACAAATTTGTGTTGTGTGCATTTGTTTTACTGAGATAAAACTTTCTTTTGATTCTGCAGTTTAGAAACACTGTTTTTGTAGCATCTGCAAAAGCATACTTGGGAACGCAATGAGGCCTATAGAGAAAAAGGAAATATCCTCAGATAAAAACCAGAAAGATGCTTTCTCAGGAACTGTTTTGTGATGTGTACATTCATCTCACAAAGTTACAGCTTTCTTTTGATTGAGCAGTTTGGAAACACTATTTTTCTTGAATCTGCAAAGGGCTATTTGAGAACGCAATGAGGCCTATGGTGAAAAAAGAAATATATTCACATGAAAACTAGAATGATTTCTGAGAAACAGCTTCGTGATGTGTGTTTTCATCTCACAGAGTTAATACTTTCTTTTGATTGAGAAGTTTGGAAACTGTTTTTCTAGAATCTGCAAAGGAATATTAGGGAGCACATGGAGGCCTATGGTGAAAAAGACAATATCTTCTGATGAAAACTAGTAAGAAGCTGTCTGAGACATTGCTTTGTGATGTGTACATTCACCTCACACAGAGTTAAAACTTTCTTTTCATTGAGCAGTTTGGATAAACTCTTTTTGTAGAATCTGCAAAGGGATATTTGGTAGCAAATTGAGGCCTAGGGTGAAAAAGGAAATATCTTCACACAGAACTAGAAAGACACTTTCTGAGAAACTGCTTTGTTATGTGTGCATTCATGGAATATTTTCACATAAAAACTAGAAAGAAGCTTTCTCAGAAACAGCTTTGTGATGTGTGAATTCATCCCACAGAGTTAAATATTTATTTTGATTGACCAGTTTGGAAACACTGGTTTTTAGTGTCTGTGAGGGATATTTGGGAGAGCATGGAGACCTATGGTAAAAAAAAAATCTTCAGATGCAAACTAGAAAGGAGTTCTCTGAGAAACTGCTTTGTGATATGTGCATTCATCTCACAGCATTAAACATTTGTTTTCATTGAGCAGTTTGGAAACACAGTTTTTGTAGAATCTGTGACTGCTTTCATCTCATAGAGTTAAAACTTTCTTTTGATGGATCTGTTTGGAAACAATGTTTTTGTAGAATCTGCAAAGGGATATTTGTGAGTGTGATGATACCTGTGGTGAAAATAAATAAAATATCTTCAGACAAAAACTACAAGGGAGATTTTTGAGAAACTGCTTTGTGTTGTGTGCATCCATCTCACAGAGTAAAACATTTATTTTGATCGAGCAGTTTGGAAACACTGTTTTTGTATAATCTGTGAAGTGATGTTAAGTATCAGAAAAAGGCCTATGGTGAACAAGGAAATATCTTTAGATAAGAATGGAAAGAAGTGTTATGATAAACTGCTTTCTGTTGTGTGCATTAATGTCACTAAGATAAGTCCTTCTTTTTATGAAACAGTTCAGAAACACTGTTTTTGTATAATCTGCAAAGGGATATTTGGGAGCACATTGAGCCCTATGGCGGAAAAGGAAACATCCCCAGAGAAGACCTATACAGAAGCTTTCTGAGAAACTGCTTTGTAATGTGTGCATTCATCTCACAGAATTAAGCCTTTCTTTTGACTGAGCCATTTGGAAACACTGCTTTTGTTTAATCTGCAAAATGATATTAGGCAGTGCAAAAAGCCAATGGTGAACAAGGAAATATCTTCAGAAAAAACCTGGAAAGAAGCATTATGAGAAACTGCTCTCTGATGTGTGCATTCATCTCACAGAGGTAAGTCTTTCTTTTGATGGAACAGTTTGGAAACACCTTTTTTTTAAAATCTGCAAAGGGATATTTGGAAGTGCATTGAGGCCTGTGGTGGAAAAGGAAATATCCTCAGAGAAGACCTATATGGAAACTTTCTGAGAAACTGCTTTGTTATGTGTGCATTCATCTCACAGAGTTAAATCTTTCTTTTGACTGAGGCGTTTGGAAACACCATTTTTGTAGAAACTGCGAAGGCATATTTCAAAGCGCAGTGATGCCTATGGTGAAAAAGGAAATATCTTCAGATAAAAACTAGAAAGAACCTTTTTTAGAAACTGCTTTGTGATGTATGAATTCATTTCACAGAGTTAAACTTTTCTTTTGACTGAGCAGTTTGGAAACACTGTTTTTGTTTAATCTGCAAAGTGTTGTTTGGTAGTGCAAATAGGCCTATTGTGAACAAGGAAATACCTTCAGATAAAAACTAGAAAGAAGCGTTATGAGAAACTGCTTTCTGATGTGTGCATTCATCTCTCAGAGTTAAATCCTTCTTTTGATGGAAGAGTTCAGAAACACTGTTTTTATAGAGTCTATGAAGGGATATTTGGGTGCATATTGAGGCCTATGGTGGAAAAGAAAATGTCTTCAGAAAAGAACTAGGCAGAAGCTATCTGAAAAACTGCTTTGTGATCTGTGTTTTCACCTCACAGAGTTAAACGTTTCTTTTGATTGAGTAGTTTAGAAACACTGTATTTGTAGAATCTGCAAAGGTATATTTGGGAGCGCACAGAGACCTATGGTGAAAAACAAAATGTAGTAGGAAAAAAATAGAAAGAAGCATTTTGAGAAATTGCTCTGTGATGTGTGTATTCAACTCACAGAGGTAAACTTATTTTTTCATTAAGCAGTTTGAAAACACTGTTTTTGTAGAATCTGTGATGGGATATTTGTGAGTGCATTGTGCCTATAGTGTTAAAGGAAATATCTTCGGATAAAAACTAGAAATAAGCTTTTTGAGAAACTGCTTTCTGATGTGTGCATTCATCCCCCAGAGTTAAAAGTTTCTTTTGACTGAGCAGTTTGGAAACACTCTTTTTGCGCTATCAACAAAGTGATATTAGGTAACGCAAAAAAGGCTATGGTGAAGAAGGAAATATCTTCAGATAAAAATGGGAAAGAAGCTTTATGAGAAACTGCTTTCTGATGTGTGAGTTCAACTCACAGTGTTAATCTTGTTTTATTGAGCAGTTTTGAAACACTCTTTTTGTAGGATCAGTGAAGGGATATTTGGGAGTGCATCGAGGCCTATGGTGGAAAAGGAAATATCTTCTGAGAAGAACTACACAGAAGCTATCTGAGAAACTGTTCGTGAAGTGTTCATTCATCTCACAGAGTTAAATTTTCTTTTGATTGAGCAGTTTGGAAGTAAGGTTTTTATAGCATCTGCCAAGAGATATATGGGAGTGCAATGAAGCCTATGGGATGAAGGAAATATCTTTGGACAAAAACAAGAAAGAAGCTTTTTGAGAAACTGCTTTGTGATGTGCACATTTATCTCACAGACTTAGACATTTCTTTTGATTGATCAGTTTGGAAACACTGCTTTTGTAGACTCTGCAAAGGGATATTTGGGAGTGCATGAGGCCTATGGTGAAAAAGGAAATAACTTCAGATAAAAACTACAAAGAAGCTTTCTAAGAAAAAGCTTTGTGATGTGGGCATTCTTCTCACAGTGTTAAATGTTTCTTTTGATTGAGGAGTTTGGAAACACTGTTTTTGTAGAATCTGCAAAGGGATATTTGGGAGCACACTGATGCATATGTTGAAAAAGCAAATATCTTCCTATAAAAGCTAGAAAAATCTTCTTGAGAAACTGCTTTGTGATGTATGCATTCATCTCACCGAGTTAAACTTTTCTTTTGACTGAGCAGTTTGGAAACACTGTTGTTGTAGAATCTGCGAAGGGATATTTGGGAATGGATTGTAACCTATTGTGGAAAAGGAAACATCTTCCAATAAAAATTAGAAAGAAGGTTTCTGAGAAACTGCTTCATGGTGTGTTCACTCACCTCACTGAGTTAAGCCTTCTTTTTGATTGAGAAGTTTGGAAACACTGTTTTTGTAGAATCTGGGAGGGGATACTTTGAGCACAGGGATAAATTTGAGTGCTTTGTGGCCTATGTTGAAAAAGAAATATCTTCAGATAAAAACTAGAGAGAAGATTTCTGAGAAACTGCTTTGTGATGTGTGCATTCTTCTCACACAGTTAAACATTTCTTTTCATTGAGCAGATTGGAAACACTCTTTTTGTAGAATCTGCAAAGGTATATTTGGGAGCATATTGAGGCCTATGTTGGAAAAGGAAATATCTTCAGAGAAGAACTAGACAGAACCTATCTGAGAAACAGTTTTATGATGTGTGCATTCATCAGAGTTAAACCTTTCTTTTGATTGAACAGTTTGGAAACACCGTTTTTGCGGAATCAGCAAAGGTACATTTGTGACTGCACTGAGGCCTATGGTGAAAAAGGAAATATCTACAGATAAATAGTAGAAATAAGTTTTCTGAGAAACTACTTTGTCATGTGTGCATTCAACCCACAGAATTAAACTTGTTTTTCAATTAAGCAGTTTGCAAACACTGTTTATATAGAAGATGCGATGGGATATTTGGGAATGCTTTGAAGCCTATGGTGATAAAGTAAATATCTTCAGTTAGAAACTATAAAGAAGTTTTTTGAGAAACTGCTTTGTGATGTGTCCATTAATCTCACAGGGTTAAACTTTTATTTTGAATGAGGAACTTGGAAACTCTGTTTTTGCAAAATCTGCCAAGCATTATTATGTGGCACAAAATAGCCTATGGTGAACAAGGAAATATCTTCAGATAAAAGCTGGACAGAAGGGTTGGGAGAAACTCCTTTCTAATGTGTGCATTCATCTCACAGAGTTAAGTCATTCTTTTGATGGAACAGTTTGAAAACACTGTTTTTGTAGAATCTGTGAAGAGATATTTGGGAGCGCATTGAGGCCTATGGTGGAAGAGGAAATATCTTCAGAGAAGAATTAGGAAGAAGCTTTCTGAGAAAATGCTTTGTGTTGTGTGCATGTGCAGTCATCTCACAGAGTTAAACCTTTCTTTTGACTGAGCAGATTGGAAACACTGTTTTTGTAGTACCTGCAAAGGGATGTTTGGGAGCTCATTGAAGCCAATGGTGAAAAAGGAAATACCTTTGGATAAAGACTAGAAGGAAGCTTTTTGAGAAACGGCTTTGTGATGTGTGCATTCATCTTACAGAGTTAAACCTTTCTTTTGACTGAGCAGTTTGGAAACCCTCTTTTTGTATATTCTGCGAAGTGAGGTTTTGTAGAGCAAAACTGCCTATTGTAAACAAGGTAATATCTTCAGATAAAAACTGGAAAGAAGCGTTACAAGAAACTGCTTTCTGATGTGTGCATTCATCTCACAGAGTGAACTCCATTTTTTGATGGAACAGTTTGGAAACACTCTTTTTTTAGAATCTGCAAATGGATATTTGGGAGTGCATTGAGGCCTGTGGTGGAAAAGGAAATATCTTCAGGGAAGAACTAGACAGAAGCTATCTGAGAAACTGCTTTGTGATGTGTGCATTCATCTCACAGAGTTAAAACTTTCTTTTATTGTGCAGTTTGGAAACACTGTTTTTGTATTATCTGCGAAGGGATATTTGGGAGTGCATTGAAGCCCACTGTTAAAAAGGAAATATCTTCTGATAAAAACTAGAAAGAAGCTTTTTGAGAAACTGCTTTCTAATGTGTACTTTCAACTCACAGAGTTAAAACTGTTTTTGTTTGAGCAGTTTGGACACAAGGTTTTTGTAGAATCTGCAACGGGATATTTGGGAGTGCATTGAAGCCTATGGTGAAGAAAAAAATATCTTCAGATAAAAATTAGAAAGAAGCTTTTTGAGAAACTTATGTGACTTGTGCATTCATCTCACAACGATAAACCTTTCTTTTGACTAAGCAGTTTGGAAACAACGTTTTTGAAAAATCTGCCAAGCAATATTAGGCACCATTAAAAAGACTATAGTGAACAAGGAAATATCTTCAGATAAAAACTGGAAAGAAGCGTTATGAGAAACAGCTTTGTGTTGTGCATGTTCATGTGATGCAGCTAACTCCTTCTTTATGTGGAAGAGTTTGGAAACACTGGTTTTGTAGAATCTGCAAAGGGATATTTGGGAGCATATTGAGGCCTATGGTGGAAAAGGAAATATCTTCAGAGAAGAAATAGACATAAGTTTTCTGAGAAACTGCTTTGTGATGTGTGCGTTCATCTTACAGAATTAAAACTTTCTCTTGATTGAGCAGTTTTGAAACACTATTTCTGTAGAATCTGTGAAGGGATATTTGGGAGCACATTGAAGCCTATTTTGAAAAAGGAAATATCTTTGGATAAAAATGAGAAGGAAGCTTTATGAGAAACTGCTATATGATGTGTGCATTCATCTTACAGATTTAAACTTTTCTTTTGATTGATCAGTTTGGAAACACTGTTTAAAGAGGATCTGCAAAGGAATATTTGGGAATGCATTGAAGTATATGGAGACATAGGAAATATATTCGGATAAAAACTAGAAAGAAGTAATTTGAGAAACTGCTTTTTGATGTACACTCTCATCTCACAGAGTTAAACCTTTCTTTTGATTGATCAGTTTGGAAACACTGTTTTTGTAGAATCTGCAAAGGGATGCTTGGGAGCTCACTGATGCCTATGGCATAAAGGGAAATATCTTCAGAAAAAAACTAGAAAGAACTTGAGAAACTGTTTTCTGATGGATGCATTCATCACACAGAGTTAAACTAGTCTTTGACTGAGCAGTTTGGGAACACGGTTTTACAATCAATTGCGAAGCAATGTTAGGTAGCGCATAAAAGGATTATGGTGAACAAGAATAATTTCAGAGAAAAACTGGAAAGAATCGTTAAAAGAAACTGCCTTGTGATGTGCGCATTCATCTCACAGTTTTAAGTCTTTCTTTTGATTGAACAATTTGGAAACACTGTTTCTGTAGATTCTGTGAAGGGATATTTCAGAGTGCATTGTGGCCTATGGTGGCAAAGGAAATATCTTCAGAGAAGAACTAGACAGAAACTACCTGAGAAACTGCTTTGTGATGTGTGCATTCATCTCACAGAGTTAAACTTTTTTTTTCTTTTTGAGCACTTTGGAAACACTCTTTTTGTAGAATCTGTAAAGGGATATTTGAGAGTACACTGATGCCTATAGTGTAAAAGGAAATATCTTTGGATAAAAACTAGAAAGAAGCTTTTTGAGGAACTGCTTTTTGATGTATGCATTCATCTCAAAAAGCTAAACTTCTCTTTTGACAGAGCAGTTTGGAAACACTGCTTTTGTATAATCTGTGAAGTGATGCTAGGTAGCATAAAATAGCTTATGGTGAACAAGTAAATACCTTCAGATAAAAACTGGAAAGAAGCGTTATGGGAAACTGCTTTCTGATGTGTGCTTTCATCTCACAGAGTTCAATCCTTAATTTAATGGAACAGTTCGGAAACACTTTTTTTTTTCAGAGCACATTGAGGCCTATGTTGGAAAAGGAAATATCATCAGAGAAGAACTAGACAAGCTATCTGAGAAACAGCTTTGTGATGTGTGCCTTCATCTCGCAGAGTTAAACCTCTATTTTGATTGAGCCTTTTGGAAACTGTTTTTGTATAATATGCAAAGGTATATTTGGGAGCTCGCTGAAGCCTATGGTGAAAAAGGAAATATCTTCAGATAAAAACTAGGAAGAAGCTTTTTGAGAAACTGCTTTGTGATGTATGAGTTCAACTCACAGAGTTAAGCTTGTTTTCTGATAGAGCAGTTTGGAAACAGTGTTTTTGTAGAATCTGTGAAGGGATATTTAGGAGCACATTGAAGCCTATGTTGACATAGGAAATATCTTTGGATAAAAACTAGAAAGAAGCTTTTTGAGAAACTGTTTTGTGAATTGTGCATTTGACTCACAGAGATCAAACTTTCTTTTACTGAGCAGTTTGGAAACACTGTTTTATCAAAATCTGTGAAGCAATATCAGGTAGTGTAAAAAAGCCTATGGTGAACAAGAAGACGTCTTCAGATGAAAACTGGAAAGAAGCGTTACAAGAAACTGCTTTCTGATGTGTGACCTCATCTCACAGAGTTAAGTCCTTCTTTTGATGGAACAGTTTGGAAACTCTGTATTTGTAGAATATGTGAAGGGATATTTGGGATCAAATTTAAGCCTATGGTGAAAAAGGAAATGTCTTCAGTTAAAAATTGGAAAGCAGTGTTATAAAAACTGGTTTCTCATGGGTGCATTCATCTAACAGAGTTAAGTCCTTCTTTTGATGGAATAATTTGGAAACACTGTTTTTGTAGAATCTGCAAAGGGGTATTTGGGAGCATATTGAGGTCTATGGTGGAAAAGGAAATATCTTCTGAGAAGAGCTAGACAGAAGCTTTCTCAGAAAATACTTTGTGATGTGTGAATTCATCTCATAGAGTTAAAACTTTTTTTTGATTAAGCAGTTTGGAAACACTGTTTTTGCAGAATCTACGAAGGGATTTTTGGGAGCACATTGAAGCCTATGGTGAAAAGGGAAACATCTTCAAATAAAAACTGGAAAGAAGCTTTTTCAGAAACTGTTTTGTGATGTGTGCATTCATCTCACAGAGATAAAACTTTCTTTATTTTATCAGTTTGGAAACACTGTTTTTGTAGTAACTGCAAAAACGAATTTGGGAGCCCAAGAGGCCTAAGGTGAAAAAGGAAATAACTTAAGATGAAAACTAGAAAGAAGCTTTTTGAGAAAACAGTTTGTGATGTGTGCATTATTCTCAGAGTTAAACGTTTCTTTTGACTGAGCAGTTTGGAAACACTGTTTTTGTAGAATATGAGAAGGGATGTTTGGGAGTGCACTGAGGACTATGGTGAAGAAGAAAATATCTTCGGATAAAAACTAGAAAAAAGATATTTGAGAAACTGCTTTGTGATGTTTGCATTCAACTGACAGAATTAAAACTTTTTTTTGATTGATCTATTTGGAGACACAGTTTTTGTAGAATCTGTGGAGTGATATTTTGAAGAATCTGTGAAGGGATATTTGGGAGCACATAGAGAAGCCTATGGTGATAAAAAATATCTTTGGACATAAACTGGAAAGTTTTTTGAGAAACTTGTTTGTGATGTGTGCATTCGTTTCCCATAGTTAAACAATTCTTTTGACTGAGCAGTTTGGAAACACTGTTTTTGTGAAATCTGTGAATCAATATTTGGTAGCACAAGAAAGCCTATGATGAAAAGGGAAATATCTTTAGGCAAATATCCAGAAAGAAGCACAATGGGAAACTGCTTTCTGATGTGTGCATTCGTCTCAAAGAGTTAAATCCTTCTTTTGATGGAAGATTTCAGAAACACTGTTTATATAGAATCTATGAGGGAATATTTGGGAGTGCATTGAGGCCTGTGGTGGAAACGGAAATATCTTCAGAGAATAACAAGACAGAAGCTTTCTGAGAAACTACTTTGTGATGTATGCATTCAATTCACAGAGTTAAACCTGTTTTTTCATTGAGCAGTTTGGAAACACTGTTTTTTTAGAATCTGTGATGGGATATTTGGGAATGCATTGAAGCCTATGGTGATGAAGGAAATATCATCAGATAAAAACGAGAAAGAAGCTTTTTGAGAAACTTCTTTTTGATGTATGCATTTGTCTCACAGAGTTAAACTTTTCTTTTGATTGGGCAGTTTGGAAACACTGTTTTTTTAGAATCTGTGAAAGGATGTTAGGTATCACAAAAAGGCCAATGGTGAAGAAGGAAATATCTTCAGATAAAAACTGGAAAGAAGCATTATGAGAAAATGCTTTCTGCTATGTGCATTCATCTCACAGATTTAAATCCTTCTTTCACAAGGACAGTTAGGAAACACTGTGTTTGTAGAATCTGCAAAGGGATATTTTGAAGTGCAGTGAGGCCTAATGTGGAAAAGAAAGTATCTTCAGAGACGAATTAGACAGAAGTTATCTCAGAAACTACTTTGTGATGTATGATTTCCTCTCACAGAGTTAAACTTTTCTTTTGATTGATCAGTTTGGAAACACTGTTTTTGTAGAATCTGTGAAGCTATATTTGGGAGCACCTTCAAACCTATGGTGATAAATCAAATATCTTCGGATAAACACTAGAAAAAAGTTATTGAGAAATTGCTTTGTGATGTGAGCATTCATCTTGCAGCTTTAAACATTTCTTTTGACTGAGCAGTTTGGAAACACCTTTTTTGCAAAATCTGTGAAGTGAATTTAGGTAGTGCAGAAAAGCCTATGGAGAAAAAGAAAGTATCTTCAGATAAAAAGTGAAAAGAAACGTTATGAGAAACTGCTTTCTGATGTGTAGGATAATCTCAAAGAGTTAAACTTTTCTTTTGATTCAGCAGTTTGGAAACATGGTTTTTGTAGAATCTGTGAAGGGATATTTGGCAGCACATGGGAACATATGGTGAAAAAGGAAATATCTTTGGATAATAATGAGAAAGAAGTTTTTGAGAAACTGACTTGTGATATATACAATCATCTAACAGAGTTAAACTTTTCTTTGATTGATCAGTTTGGAGACACTATTTTTGTAGAATATGCGATGTGACATTGGAGAGTGCATGAGGCCTATGTTGAAAAAGGAAATAACTTCAGATAAAAACCAGAAAGAAGCTTTCTGAGAAACTGCTTAGTGATGTGTGCATTCTCCTCACAGAGTTAAACGTTTCTTTTATTGAGCAGTTTGGAAACACTGTTTTTGTAGAATGTGCAAAGGGATATTTGGGAGCACACTGATGCCTATGGTGAAAAAGGAAACATCTTTGGATAAAAACTAGACAGAAGGTTTTTGAGAAACTTCTTTGAGATTTGTGCATTTAGCTCACAGAGTTAAACTTTTCTATAGACTGAGCAGTTTGGAACCACTGTGTTTGTGTAATCTGTGAAGCGATGTTTGGTAGCTCAAAAACACCTATGGTGAACAAGGAAATATCTTCAGATAAAAACTGGAAAAAAACATGATAAGAAAGTGCTTTCTTATGTATGCATTCATCTCACAGAGTTATATCCTTCTTTTGATGGAACAGTTTAGAAACAATGTTTTTTATAGAATCTGCAAAGGGTTATTTAGGAGTGTACTGTGTTCTGTGGTGGAAAAGGAAATATCTTTGGAGAAGAACTAGAAAGACGCTTTTTGAGAAACTGCTTTGTGATATGTGCATTCACCTCACAGCGGTAAACTTGTTTTTGATTGAGCAGTTTCAAAACTCTGTTTTTGTAGAATCTGCAAATGGATATTTGGGAGCACATTGAGGCCTAAGGTGATAAACGAAATATCTTAGGATAAAAACTAGAAAGAAGCTTTCTAAGAAACTGATTTGGGATGTGGACTTTCATCTCACAGATTTAAACCTTTCTTTTAACTGAGCAGTTTGGAAACGCTGTTTTTGCAAAATTTGTGAAGTGATATTAGGTAGTGCAAAAAAGCCTTTGGTGAAAAAGGAAATAAATTCAAATAAAAACTGGAAAGAAGCATTAGGAGAAACTGCTTTCTGATGTGTGCATTCAGCTCACAGAGTTAAGTTCTTTTTTTGATGGAATAGTTTGGAAACGTTGTTTTTGTAGAATATATGAAGGGATATTTGGGAGCACTTTGAGGCCTCTGGTGTAAAAGGAAAAATCTTCAGAGAAGAACTAGACAGAAGCTATCTGAGAAACTGCTTTGTGATATGTGCATTCATCTAACAAAGTTAAACCATTCTTTTGATTGAGCAGTTCGGAAACACTGTTTTTGTAGAATCTGCGACAGGATATTTGGGAGAGCATGGAAGCCTATGGTGATCAAGGAAATATGTTCATATAAAAACGAGAAAGAAACATTTTGAGAAACTGCTGTGTGATGTGTGCATTCATCTCACAGATTTAAACCTTTCTTTTGATTGAGCAGTTTGGAAACACTGTTTTTACGAAATCTGCAAAGGGATATTTGGGAGCACACTGATGCCTATGGTGGAAAAGGAAATATCTTTGTATAAAAACTAGAAACTTTTTGAGAAACTGCTTTGTGATGTATGTATTCATCTCACAGAGGTAAACTTTTCTTTTGAATGAGCAGTTTGAAAACACTGGTTTTGTAGAATCTGCAAAGAGATAGTGGAGTGCATTGAGGCCTGTGGTGGAAAAGGAAATATCTTCAGAGAAGAACTAGAAAGAAGCTTTCTGAGAAACTGCTTCATGATGTGTGCATTCATCTCACAGAGCTAAAGTTTCTTTTGGCTGAGCAGTTTGGAAACACTGTTTCTGAAAAATCTGCAAAGGGATATTTGGGAGCACACTGATGCCTATTGTGGAAAATGAAATATCTTTGTACAAAAACTAGAAAGAAACTTTTTGAGAAACTGCTTTGTGATGTATGTATTCATCTCACAGAGGTAAACTTTTCTTTTGACTGAGCAGTTTGGAAACATTGTTTTTCTATAATCTGCAAAGGGATATTTGGGAGCACATTGAGGCCTGTGGTGGAAAAGGAAATATCTTCATAGAAGAACTAGACAGAAGCTTTCTGAGAAACTGCTTTGTGATGTGTGCATTCATCTCACAGAGCTAAAGCTTTCTTTTGATGGAGCAGTTTGGAAACAATGTTTTTGCAAAATCTGCAAAGGGATATTAGGGAGCACACTGAAGCCTATGGTGAAAAATGAAATATCTTTGGATAAAAACTAGAAAGAAACTTTTTGAGAAACTGCTTTGTGATGTATGTATTCTTCTCACAGAGGTAAACTTTTCTTTTGACTGAGCAGTTTGGAAACACTGTTTTTCTATAATCTGCAAAGGGATATTTGGGAGCACATTGAGGCCTATGGTGGAAAAGGAAATATCTTCAGAGAAGAACTAGACAGAAGCTTTCTGAGAAACTGCTTTGTGATGTGTGCATTCATCTCACAGAGCTAAAGCTTTCTTTTGATTGAGCAGTTTGGAAACACTGTTTTTGTAGAATCTGTGAAGGGATATTTGGGAGGTAATTGAAGCCTGTGGTGAAAAAGGAAATATCTTCAGATAAAAAGTAAAAAGAAGCTCTTTGAGAAACTGCTTTGTGATTATCAGGTGAAATTCACCCCTGATATGTCACGTAGGTTCTTTTCTATTTTCCCTAAATGTCAGCCCATCTGAGAAATAAAGGGACGGAGTGCAAGAGAGAAATTTGAAAGCTTGGTGTCCGGGGTAGACATCACATTGCTGCAGGTTCTGTGATGGGCCACAAGCCACAAAGCCAGCAAGTTTTTACTAGTGATTTTCAAAAGGGGAAGGAGTATACGGTAGGGTGTGGATCACAGAGATCTCAGGCTTCACAAAGTAATAAGATATCACAAGGTAAAAGGAGGTGGGGCAAGATTACAGGACACAGGACTGGAGTGAATTTAAAATTGCTAATGAAGTTTCTGGCTTGCATTGTCATTGATATCATCTTATCATAAACAGGGTTTGAGAGCAGAAAACTGGTCTGACCAAAATTTATTAGGCGGGAATTTTCTCCTCCTAATAAGCCTGGGAGAGCTACAGGAGACTGGGGCTCATTTCATCTCTACAGCTGTGACCATAAAAGACAGCCACCCCCAAAGCAGCCATTTCAGATGCCTACCCTCAGGGATGCATTATCTTTCTCTGGGATGTTTCTTGCTGAGAAAAAGAATTCAGAGATACTTCTCCCATTTGCTTTGAAAGAAGAGAAATATGGCTCTGTTCCACCAGGCTCACCAGGAGTCTGAGTTTAAGGTTATCTATCTTCTTCCCTGAACATTGCTGCCACCCTGTTCTTTTTCCAAGGTACCCAGATTTCATAGTGTTCAAACACACATGCTCTACACACAATTTGTGCAGCTAATGCAATCATCACAGGATCCTGAGGTGACATATATCCTCCTCACTCTCTAGTGAGATGAACCCAGTACCACAGATGGAAATGCAGAAATCACCTGTCTTCTGCGTCGCTCATGCTGGGAGCTGTAGACCAGAGCTGTTCCTATTTGGCCATCTTGGCTCCTCCCCTGAACCTTTCTTTTGATTCAGCTGTTTGGAAACACTCTTTTTGTAGATTCCACAAGTGGATATTTGGAGCGCTTTGAGGCCTATTGTGGAAAAGGAAATATCTTCACATAAAAACTACATGGAACATCCTGAGAAACTGCTTTGTGATGTGTGCATTCATCTCACAGAGTTGAAAATTTCTTTTCATTGAGCAGTTTTGAAACACTTTTTCTGTAGAATCTGCAAGGGGATATTTGGTGCCATTTTAGGCCTATTGTGGATAAGGAAACATCTTCACATAAAAACTGCACAGATGCATTCTGAGAAACTTCTTTGTGATGTGTGCATTAATGTCTTAGAGTTGAAGCTTTCTTTTCATTGAGCAGTTTGGAAACACTCTTTTTGAAGGATCTGCAAGTGGATATTTGGAACGCTTTGAGGCCTATGGTGGAAAAGGAAATATCTTCACATAAAAACTACACTGAAGCATTCTGAGAAACTTCTTTGTGTCGAGTGCATTCAACTCACAGAGTTGGAACTATATTTTGATAGAGCAGTTTTGAAACTCTCTTTTTGTAGAATCTGTACGTGGGTATGTGGAGTTGTTTGTGGCTAATGGTGGAAAAGGAAATATCTTCTCATAAAAACTACACAGAAGCTTTCTGAGAAACTTCTTTGTGATGTGTGCATTCATCTCACAGGGTTGAAACTTTCTTTTGATTGAGCTGTTTTGAAACACTCTTTTTGTAGAATATGCAGGTGGATATTTGGAGCACTTTGAGGCATATTGTGGAAAAGGAAATATCTTCACATACAAAGTACGTGGAAGTATTCTGAGAAACTTCTTTGTGATGTGTGCCTTCATCTCACAGAGTTGAACATTTCTCTGAGCTGTTTGGAAACACTCTTTTTGAAGAATGTGCAAGTGGACATTTGGATCACTTTGAGGCCTATGGTGGAAAAGGAAATATCTTAAAATAAAAATTACAAAGAAGTGTTCTGTGAAACTTCTTTATGATGTGTGCATTAAACTCACAGTGTTGAACCTATCTTTTGAGTGAGCAGTTTGGAAACACTCTTTTTGTAGAATCTGCAAGTGGATATTTGGAGCGCTTTGGGGTCTATTGTGGAAAAGGAAATATCTTCACATAAAAACTGCACAGAAGCATTCTGAGAAACTGCTTTGTGATGTGTGCATTAATCTCACAGAGTTGAACATTTCCTTTGATGGAGCAGTTTTGAAACACTCTTTTTGTAGAATCTGTAAGGGGATATTTGGAGTGCTTTTAGGCCTAATGTGTATAAGGAAATATCTTCACATAAAAGATACACACATGCTTTTTGAGAAACTTCTTTGTGATGTGTGCATTAGTCTCACAGAGTTGAGGCTTTCTTTTGATTGAGCAGTTTGGAAACACTCTTTTTGTGGGATCTGCAAGTGGATATTTGGAACACTTTGAGGCCTATGATGGAAAAGGAAATATCTTCACATAAAAACTACACAGAAGCATTCTGAGAAACTACTTTGTGATGTGTGCATTCAACTCACAGAGTTGAACCTATCTTTTGATGGAGCAGTTTTGAAACTCTCTTTTTGTAGAATCTGCAAGTGGGTATTTGGAGCCTTTCTGGCCAAAGGTGGAAAAGGAAATATGTTCACATAAAAACTACACAGAAGCCCTCTGAGAAACTTCTTTGTGATGTGTGAATTCATCTGCCAGAGTTGACCCTTTCTGTTGAATGAGCTGTTATGAACCACTTTTTTTTTGTAGAATATGCAGGTGGATATTTGGAACATTTTGAGGCCTAAGGTGGTAAAGGAAATATATACAAATAAAAACTATACAGAAGAATTCTGAGAATCTTCTTTTTGATGTGTGCATTCAATTCACAGGGTTGAACCTATCTTTTGATGGAGCAGTTTTGAAACTCACTTTTTGTACAATCTGCAAGTGAATATTTGCAGCACTTTGAGGCCTATGGTGGAAAGAGAAATATCTTCACATAAAAACTACACAGAAGCATTCTGTGAAACTTCTTTGTGATGTGTGCATTCATCTGACAGAGTTGAACTTTTCTTTTGATTGAGCAGTTTGGAAGCACTCTTTTTGTAGAATCTGCAAGTGGATATTTGGAGTCCTTTGAGGCCTATTGTGGAAAAAAAATCTTCACATAAAATCTACACGGAAGCATTCTGAGAAACTGCTTTGTGATGTATGCATTCATCTCAGAGAGTTGAGCATTATTTGGATTTAGCAGTTTTGAAACACTCCTTTTGTAGTATCTGCAAGTGGATATTTGGATCTCTTTGAGGACTAAGTTTGAAATGGAAATATCTCCACATAAAAACCACACAGAAGCATTATGAGAAAATAATTTGCAATGTGTGCATTCATCTAACAGAGTTGAACATTTCTTTTGATTGAGCAGTTTTGAAACACTCTTTTAGTAGCAACTGCAAGTGGATATTTGGAGTGCTTTGAGGACTATTGTGGAAAAGGAAATATCTTCACATAAAAACTACACAGAAGCATCCTGAGAAAGAACTTTGCAATGTGTGCATTCATCTCAAAGTGTTGAAACATTCTTTTGATTGAGCAGTTTGGAAAAACTCTTTTTGTAGGATCTGCATATGGATATTTGGAACGTTTTGAGGCATAAGGTGGAAAAGGAAATATCTTCAAATAAAAACTACACAGAAGAATTCCGAGAAACTTCTTTGTGATATGTGCGTTCATCTCACAGAGTTGAACCCTTGTTTTGATTGAGCAGTTTTGAAACAATCTCTATGTAGAATCTGCAGGTGTATATTTGGACTGCTCTGAGGCCTGTTGTGGAAAAGGAAGTATCTTCACATAAAAACTACATAGAAATATTCTAAGAAACTTCTTTGTGTTGTGTGCACTCATCTCACAGAGTTCAGTCTTTCTTTTGATTGAGCTGTTTTGAAACACTCTTGTTGTAGAATGTACAGGTGGAAATTTGGATCGCTCTGAGGTGTATTGTGGAAAAGGAAATATCTTCACATAAAAACTACATAGAAACATTTTGAGAAACTTCTTTTCAATGTGTGCATTCATCACACAGAGTTGAATTTCTTTTGATTGAGCAGTTTGGAAACACTCTTTTTGAAGGATATGCAAGTGGATATTTGGATCACTTTGAGGCCTATGGTGGAAAAGGAAATAACTTCACATAAAATCTACACAGAAGCGTTCTGAGAAACTACTTTGTGGTGTGTGCACTCATCTCACAGAGTTGAACCTTTCTTTTGATTGAGCACTTTTGAACACCCTTTTTGTAGAATCTGCAAGTGGATATTTAGAATTCTTTGTGGACTATTGTGGAAAAGGAAATATCTTCACTTAAAAACTACACAGAATACTGAGAAACTTATTTGTGATGTGTGCATTCATCTCAAAGTATTGAAGATTTCTTTTGATTGAGCAGTTTGGAAAATTCTTTTTGAAGAATCTGAAAGTGGATATCTGGAGCCATTTGAGGCCTAAGGTGGAAAAGGAAATATCTTCACACAACCACTACACAGAAGCATTCTGGGAAAGTTCTTTCTGAAGTGTGCATTCATCTCACAGGTTTGAACGTTTCTTTTGATTGTGTAGTTTTGAAACACTCTTTTCTAGAATCTGCAGGTGGATTTTCTGACTGCTTTGAGGCTTATTGTAGAAAAGGAAATATCTTCATATAAAGACTATACAGAAGCATTCTGATAAACTTCTTTGTGATGTGTGTGTTCATCTCACATTGTTTAACCTTTCTTTTGATTGAGCAGTTTTGAAACACGTTTTTGCAGATTCTGCAAGTGGATATTTGGAGTGCATTGAGGCCTATTGTGGAAAAGGAAATATTTTCACACAAAAACTACACAGAAGCATTCAGAGAAACTTCTTTGTGATGAGTGCATTCAACTCACAGAGTTGAAAATCTCTTTTGATTGAGGAATTTTGAAACTCTCTTTTTGTCGAATCTGCAAGTGGATATTTGGAGCACTTTGAGGTCTATGGTTGAAAAGGAAATATCTTCACATAAAAACTACACAGAAGAATTCTAATGAACTTCTATGTGATGTGTTCATTCAACTCACAGAGTTCAACCTATCTGTTGATAGAGCTGTTTACGAACTCTCTTTTTGTAGAATATAAAATGGATATTTTGAGTGCTTTGCAGCCTATAGTGGAAAAGGAAATATCTTCACATAAAAATTACACAGAAACATTCTGAGAAACATCTTCGTGATGTATGCATTGATCTCACAGAGTTGAACATTTCCTTTAATTCAGCAGTTTTGAAACACTCTTTTTGTAGAATCTACATGTGGATATTTGGAGAGCTGTGAGGGCTATTGAGAAAAGGAAATATCTTCACATAAAAACTACACAGAAGGATTCTGAGAAACCTCTTTGCGATGTGTGCATTCATCTCACAGAGGTGAACATTTCTTTTGATAGAGTAACTTTGAAACATTCTTTTTTGAATAATCTGCAAGTAGATATTTGGTGCGCTTTGAGCCCTATTGTGGAAAAGGAAATATCTTCACACAAAAACTACAAAGAAGCATTCTTAGAAAGTAATTGGTGATGCGTGCATTCAACTCACAGAGGTGAAACTATCCTTTGATTGAGCAGTTTTGAATCTCACTTTTTGGAATATCTGCAAGTGGATGTTTGGAGCCCTTGGTGGCCTATGATGGAAAAGGAAATATCTTCACACAAAAACTACACAGAAGTATTCTGATAAATTTCTTTGTGATGTGTGCATTATTCTAACAGAGTTGAAACTTTCTTTGAGCAGTTTTGAGACAATCTTTTTGTAGAATCTGCAGGTGGATATTTGGAGTGCTTTGAGGTCTATTGTGGAAAAGGAAATATCTTCACATAAAAGCTACACAGAAGCATTCTGAGAAACTCCTTTGTGAAGTGTACTTTCACTTCAGAGAGCTGAAGCTTTCTTTTGATTGTGCAGTTTTGAAACTCTCTTTTTGTAGAATCAGCAAGTGGATATTTGGAGCCATTTGCAGCCTACGGTGGAAAACAAAATATCTCCACATAAAAACTACACAAAAAAATACAGAGAAAGTTCTTTGTGATGTGTGTATTCATCTAACAGAGTTGAAAGTTTCTTTTGATTGAGCAGTTTGGAAACACTCTTTTTGTAGAATCTGCAAGTGGATATTTGGAGCGCTTTGAGGCATATTTTGGAAAAGGAAATATCTTCACATAAAAACTACCCAGAAGCTTTCTGAGAGCCATCTTTGTGATGTGTGCATTCATTTCACAGAATTGAACCGTTCTTTTGATTGAGCAGTTTTGAAACACTCTTTTTGTAGAATCTGCAAGTGGATATTTGGAGCACCTTGCGGCCTATGGTGCAAAAGGAAATATTTTCACATAAAAACTACACAGAAGTATTCTGAGAAACTTCTCTGTGATGTGTGCATTCATCTCAGAGAGTTGATACTTTCTTTTGATTTAGCAGTTTGAAACACTCTTTTTGTAGAATTTGCAAGTGGATATTTGGAGCGCTTTGTGGCCTATTGTGGAAAGGGAAAAATTTTCACATAAAAAGTGCACAGAAGCATTCTGAGGAACTTCTTTTTGATCTGTGCATTCATCTGAAAGAGTTGAACCTTTCTTTTGATTGAGCAGTTTTGAAACACTCTTTTTGTAGAATCTGCATGGGGATATATGGAGCACTTTGACCTACTGTGGAAAAGGAAATATCTTCACATAAAAACTACACAGAAGCATTCTGAGAAACATCTTTGGGATGTGTACATTCAACTCACAGAGTTAAACCTACCTTTTGATAGAGCAGAAACTCTCTTTTTGTAGAATCTGCAAGTGGACTTTTGGAGCCTTTGGGGCCAATGGTGGAAAAGGAAATATCTTCACATAAAAACTACACAAAATCATTCTGAGAAACTTCTTTGCAAAGTGTGCATTCATCTCAGGGAATTGAATGTTTCTTTTGATTGAGCAGTTTGTAAACACTCTTTTTGTAGAATCTACAAATGTATATTTGGAGCGCTTTGAGGCCTATTGTGGAAAGGGAAATATCTTCACATAAAAACTACACAGAATTATTCTGAGAAGCTTCTTTGTGATGTGTGCATTCATCTCACAGAGTTGAAAGTTTCCTTTGATTGAGCAGTTTGGAAACACTGTTTTCGTAGAACCTGCAAGTGGATATTTGGAGGGCCTTGAGGCGTATTGTGGAAAAGGAAATATCTTCACCTAAAAACTACACAGAAGCATTCTGAGAAACTTCTTTTTGATGTGTGCATTCATATCAGAGAGGTGAAACTTTCTTTGATTGAGCAGTTTTGAAACTCTCTTTTTGTAGAATCTGCAAGTGGATATTTGGAACGCTTTGAGGCATATTGTAAAAGGAAATATCTTCACATAAAAACAACAAAAAATCATTCTGGGAGGGGAGGAGCCAAGATGGCCGAATAGTAACAGCTCTGGTCTACAGCTCCCAGCGTGAGTGATGCAGAAGATGGGTGATTTCTGCATTTCCATCTGAGGTAATGGGTTCATATCACTAGGGAGTGCCAGACAGTGGGTGCAGGACAGTGGGTGCACACACTGTGCGCAAGCCGAAGCAGGGCGAGGCATTGCCTCACTTGGGAAGTGCAAGGGGTCAGGGAGTTCCCTTTCTGAGTCAAAGAAAGGGGTGACAGAAGAACCTGGAAAATCGGGTCACTCCCACCTGAATACTGGGCTTTTCTGACCGGTTTAAAAAATGGCACATCAGGAGATTATATCCTGCACCTGGCTTGGAGGGTCCTATGCCCACGGAGTTTTGTTAATTGCTAGCACAGCAGTCTGAGATCAAACTGCAAGGTGGCAGTGAGGCTGGGGGAGGGGCGCCCACCATTGCCCAGGCTTGCTTAGGTAAACAAAGCAGCTGGGAAGCTCGAACTGGGTGGAGCCCTCCACAGCTCAAGGAGGCCTGCCTGTCTCTGTAGGCTCCACCTCTGGGGACAGGGAACAGACAAACAAAAAGACAGCAGTAACCTCGGCAGACTTAAATGTCCCTGTCTGACAGCTTTGAAGAGAGCAGTGGTTCTCCCAACACACAGCTGAAGATATGAGAATGGGCAGACTGCCTCCTCAAGTGGGTCCCTGACCGCTGACACCCAAGCAGCCTAACTGGGAGGCACTGCCCAGCAGGGGCACACTGACACCTCACATGGCAGGGTATTCCAGCAGACCTGAAGCTGAGGGTCCTGTCTGTTAAAAGGAAAACTAACAAACAGAAAGGACATCCACACCAAAACCCATCTGTACATCACCGTCATCAAAGACCAAAAGTAGATAAAACCACAAAGATGGGGAAAAAACAGAACAGAAAAACTGGAAACTCTAAAAAGCAGAGCGCCTCTCCTCCTCCAAAGGAATGCAGTTCCTCACCAGCAACGGAACAAAGCTGGATGGAGAATGACTTTGACGAGTTGAGAGAAGAAGGCTTCAGATGATCAAATTACTCTGAGCTATGGGAGGACATTCAAACCAAAGGCAAAGAAGTTGAAAACTTTGAAAAAAATTTAGAAGAATGTATAACTAGAATAACCAATACAGAGGAGTGCTTAAAGGAGCAGATGGAGCTGAAAACCAAGGCTTGAGAACTATGTGAAGAATGCAGAAGCCTCAGGAGCTGATGTGATCAACTGCAAGAAGGGTATCAGCAATGAAAGATGAAATGAATGAAATGAAGCGAGAAGGGAAGTTTAGAGAAAAAAGAATAAAAAGAAATGAGCAAAGCCTCCAAGAAATATGCGACTATGTGAAAAGACCAAATCTACGTCTGATTGGTGTACCTGAAAGTGACGGGGAGGATGGAACCAAGTTGGAAAACACTCTGCAGGATATTATCCAGGAGAACTTCTCCAATCTAGCAAGGCAGGCCAACGTTCAGATTAAGGAAATACAGAGAACGACACAAAGATACTCCTCGAGAAGAGCAACTCCAAGACATATAACTGTCAGATTCACCAAAGTTGAAATGAAGGAAAAAATGTTAAGGGCAGCCAGAGAGAAAGGTGGGGCTACCCTCAAAGGGAAGCCCATCAGACTAACAGTGGATCTCTGGGCAGAAACCCTACAAGCCAGAAGAGAGTGGGGGCCAATATTCAACATTCTTAAAGAAAAGAATTTTCAACCCAGAATTTCATATCCAGCCAAACGAAGCTTCGTGAGTGAAGGAGAAATAAAATAATTTACAGACAAGCAAATGCTGAGAGATTTTGTCACCACCAGGCCTGCCATAAAAGAGCTCCTGAAGGAAGCGCTAAACATGGAAAGGAACAACTGGTACCAGCCACTGCAAAATCATGCCAAAATGTAAAGACCATCGAGACTAGGAAGAAACTGCATCAACTAACGAGCAAAATCACCAACTAACATCATAATGACAGGATCAAATTCACACATAACAATATTAACTTTAAATGTAAATGGACTAAATGCTCCAATTAAAAGACACAGACTGGCAAATTGGATAAAGAGTCAAGACCCATCAGAGTGCTGTATTCAGGAAACCCATCTCACGTGCAGAGACACACATAGGCTCAAAATAAAAGGATGGAGGAAGATCTACCAAGCAAATGGAAAACAAAAAAAGGCAGGGGTTGCAATCCTAGTCTCTGATAAAACAGACTTTAAACCAACAAAGATCAAAAGAGACAAAGAAGGCCATTACATAATGGTAAAGGGATCAATTCAAAAAGAAGAGCTAACTATCCTAAATGTATATGCACCCAATACAGGAGCACCCAGATTCATAAAGCAAGTCCTGAGTGACCTACAAAGAGACTTAGACTCCCACACCTAAATAATGGGAGACTTTAACACCCCACTGTCAACATTAGACAGATCAACGAGACAGAAAGTCAACAAGGATACCCAGGAATTGAACTCAGCTCTGCACCAAGCAGACCTAATAGACATCTATGGAAAAGAACAGAAATTATAACAAATTATCTCTCAGACCACAGTGCAAACAAACTAGAACTCAGGATTAAGAATATCACTCAAAACCGCTCAACTACATGGAAACTGAACAACCTGCTCCTGAATGACTACTGGGTACATAACGAAATGAAGGCAGAAATAAAGATGTTCTTTGAAGCCAACGAGAACAAAGACACAACATACCAGAATATCTGGGACACATTCAAAGCAGTGTGTAGAGGAAAATTTATAGCACTAAATGCCCACAAGAAAAAGCAGGAAAGATCCAAAATTGACACCCGAACACCACAATTAAAAGAACTAGAAAAGGAAGAGCAAGCACATTCAAAAGCTAGCAGAAGGCAAGAAATAACTAAAATCAGAGCAGAACTGAAGGAAATAGAGACACAAAAAACCCTTCAAAAAATTAACGAATCCAGGAGCTGTTTTTTTGAAAGGATCAACAAAATTGATAGACCGCTAGCAAGACTAATAAAGAAAAAAAGAGGGAAGAATCAAATAGATGCAATAAAAAATGATAAAGGGGATATGACCACCGATCCCACAGAAATACAAACTACCATCAGAGAATACTACAAACACCTCTACACAAACAAACTAGAAAATCTAGAAGAAATGGATAAATTCCTCGACACATACACTCTCCCAAGACTAAACCAGGAAGAAGTTGAATCTCTGAATAGACCAATAACAGGATCTGAAATTGTGGCAATAATCAATAGCTTACCAACCAAGAAGAGTCCAGGACCAGATGTATTCACAGCCGAATTCTACCAGAGGTACAAGGAGGAGCTGGTACCATTCCTTCCGAAACTATTCCAATCAATAGAAAAAGAGGGAATCCTCCCTAACTCATTTTATGAGGCCAGCATCATTCTGATACCAAAGCCGGGCAGAGACGCCACCAAAAAAGAGAATTTTAGACCAATATCCTTCATGAACATTGATGCAAAAATCCTCAATAAAATACTGGCAAAACGAATCCAGCAGCATATCAAAAAGCTTATCCACCATGATCAAGTGGGCTTCATCCTTGGGATGCAAGGCTGGTTCAATATACTCAAATCAAAAAATGTAATCCAGCAATTACACAGAGCCAAAGACAAAAACCACATGATTATCTCAATAGATGCAGAAAAAGCCTTTGACAAAATTGAACAACCCTTCATGCTAAAAACTCTCAACAAATTAGGTATTGATGGGACATATTTCAAAATAATAAGAGCTATCTATGACAAAACCACAGCCAATATCATACTGAATGGGCCAAAACTGGAAGCATTCCCTTTGAAAACTGGCACAAGACAGGGATGCCTTCTCTCACCACTCCTATTCAACATAGTGTTGGAAGTTCTGGCCAGGGCAATTAGGCAGAAGAAGGAAATAAAGGGTATTCAATTAGGAAAAGAAGAAGTCAAATTGTCCCTGTTTGCAGACGACATGATTGTATATCTAGAAAACCCCATTGACTCAGCCCAAAATCTCCTTAAGCTGATAAGCAACTTCAGCAAAGTCTCAGGATACAAAATCAATGTACAAAAATCACAAGCTTTCTTATACACCAACAACAGACAAACAGAGAGCCAAATCATGAGTGAACTCCCATTCACAATTGCTTCAAAGAGAATAAAATACCTAGGAATTCAAGTTACAAGGGATGTGAAGGACCTCTTCAAGGAGAACTACAAACCGCTGCTCAATGAAATGAAAGAGGATACAAACAAATGGAAGAACATTCCATGCTCACGGATAGGAGGAATCAATATCGTGAAAATGGCCATACTGATCAAGGTAATTTATAGATTCAATGCCATCCCCATCAAGCTACCAATGCCTTTCTTCACAGAATTGGAAAAAACTACTTTAAAGTTCATATGGAACCAAAAAAGAGCCCACATAGCCACGTCAATCCTAAGGCAAAAGAACAAAGCTGGAGGCATCACACTACCTGACTTCAAACTATACTACAAGGCTACAGTAACCAAAACAGCATGGTACTGGTACCAAAACACAGATATAGATCAATGGAACAGAACAGAACCCTCAGAAATAATGCCGCATATCTACAACTATCTGATCTTTGACAAACCTGAGAAAAACAAGCAATGGGGAAAGGATTCCCTGTTTAATAAATGGTGCTGGGAAAACTGGCTAGCCATATGTAGAAAGCTGAAACTGGATCCCTTCCTTACATCTTATACAAAAATCAATTCAAGATGGATTAAAGACTTAAACGTTAGACCTAAAACCATAAAAACCCTAGAAGAAAACCTAGGCGATACCATTCAGGACATAGGCATGGGCAAGGACTTCATGTCTAAAACACCAAAAACAATGGCAACAAAAGACAAAATTGACAAATGGGATCTAATTAAACTAAAGAGCTTCTGCACAGCAAAAAAAAAACTACCATCAGAGTGAACAGGCACCCTACAAAATGGGAGAAAATTTTCGCAACCTACTCATCTGAAAAAGGGCTAATATCCAGAATCTACAATGAACTCAAACAAATTTACAAGAAAAAAACAAACAACCCCATCCAAAAGTGGGCAAAGAACATGAACAGACACTTCTCAAAAGAAGACATTTATGCAGCCAAAAAACACATGAAAAAATGCTCATCATCACTGGCCATCAGAGAAATGCAAATCAATCCACAATGAGATACCATCTCACACCAGTTAGAATGGCAATCATTAAAAAGTCAGGAAAGAACAGGTGCTGGAGAGGATGTGGAGAAATAGGAACACTTTTACACTGTTGGTGGGACTGTCAACTAGTTCAACCATTGTGGAAGTCAGTGTGGCGATTCCTCAGGGATCTAGAACTAGAAATACCACGTGTCCCAGCCATCCCATTACTGGATATGTACTGAAAGGACTATAAATCATGCTGCTATAGAGACACATGCACACGTATGTTTACTGAGGCATTATTCACAATAGGAAAGACTTGGAACCAACCCAAATGTCCAACAATGATAGACTGGATTGAGAAAATGTGGCCCATATACACCATGGAATACTATGCAGCCATAAAAATGATGAGTTCATGTCCTTTGTAGGGACATGGATGAAATTGGAAATCATCATTCTCAGTAAACTATCGCAAGAACAAAAAACCAAACACCGCATATTCTCACTCATAGGTGGGAATTGAACAATGAGATCACATGGACACAGGAAGGTTACTATCACACTCTGGGGACTGTTGTGGGGTGGGGGCGGGGGGAGGGGTAGCATTGGGAGATATACCTAATGCTAGATGACGAGTTAGTGGTTGCAGCGCACCAGCATGACACACATGTATACATATGTAACTAACTTGCACAATGTGCACATGTACCCTAAAACTTAAAGTATAATAAAAAAAAAATCATTCTGAGGAACTTCTTTGTGATGTGTGCATTCATATCAGAGAATTGAACGTTTCTTTTGATTGAGCAGTTTGGAAATACTCTTTTTGTCCAAACTACAGGTGGATATTTGGATCGCTTTGAGGCCTATTGTGGAAAGGGAAATATCTTCACATAAAAACTACACAGAAGATTTCTGAGAAACTTATTTGCTATGTGTGCATTCAACTCTCAGTGTTGAACCTATCTTTGAATGAGCAGTTTTGAAACTCCCTTTTTGGAAAATCTGCAAATCGATATTTGGACCCATTTGCAGCTTATGGTGGAAAAGGAAATATCTTCAATTAAAAACTACACCGAAGCATTCTTAGAAAATTCTTTGTGGTGTGTGCATTCATGTCACAGAGTTGAAACTTTCTTTTGATAGAGCAGTTTTGAAACACTCTTTTTGTAGAAACTACAGGTGGATATTTGGAGCGCTTTGAGGCCTATTGTGGAAAGGGAAATATCTTCACATAAAAACTACACAGAAGCATTCTGAGAACGTTCTTTGTGATGTGTGCCTTCAACTCTCAGTGTTGAACCTATCTTTGATTGAGCAGTTTTGAAACTCCCTTTCTGGAAAATCTGCAAATGGATACTTGGAGCCGTTTGCAGCCTATGGTGGAAAAGGAAATATATTCAAATAAAAACTACACAGAAGCATTCTGAGAAAATTCTTTGTGGTGTGTGCATTCATGTCACAGAGTTGAAACTTTCTTTTGATTGAGCAGTTTTGAAATATTCTTTTTGTAGAGTCTGCATGTGGATATTTGGAGTGCTTTGAGGCCAATGGTGGAAAAGGAAATATCTTCACAGAAAAAATACGCAGAATAATTCTGAGAAATTACTTAGTGATGTGTGCATACATCTCACAGAGTTGAAACCTTCTTTTGATTGAGCAGTTTTGAAACACTCTTTTTATTGAATCTGCAAGTGGATATTTGGAGTGCTTTGAGGCCTATGGTGGAAAAGGAAATATCTTCACATAAAAACTACTCAAAAACATTCTGAGAAACTTCTTTGTGATATGTGCATTTATCTCACAGAGTTGAGGATTTCTTTTGATTGAGCGGTTTGGAAACTTCTTTTTGAAGAATCTGCAAGTGGATATTTGGAGCGCTTTGAGTCCTATCGTGGAAAAGGTAATATCTTCACATAAAAAGTACATAGAAGCATTCTGTGAAACTTGTTTTTGATGTGTGCATTGCACTCACGTAGGTGAACCTATCTTTTCATTGAGCAGTTTTGAAACACTCTTTTTGTGGATTCCACAAGTGGATGTTTGGAGCGTTTTGAAGGTTAAGCTGGAAAAGGAACTATCTTCACATAAAAACTATACAGAAGCTTTCTGAGAAACTTCTTTGTGATGTGTGCAATCAACTCACAGATTTAAACCCATCTTCTGATTGAGCAGTTTTGAAAGTCTCTTTTTGTAGAATCTGCAAGTGGATATTTGGAACCGTTTGTGGCCTATGGGGGAAAAGGAAATATCTTCACATAAAAACTACACAGAAGCATTTTGAAAAACTTCTTTGTGATGTGTGCATTCATCTCACATAGTTGAACCTTATTTTTGATTGAACAGTTTTGAAACTTCTTTTTGTTGAATCTGCAAGTGGATATTTGGAGCTATTTGTGGCCTATGGTTGAAAAGGATATATGTTCACATAAAAGCTATAGAGAAGAATTCTGAGAAACTTCTTTGTGACGTGTGCAGTCAACTCACAGAGTTGAACCTATCTTTTGAAAGAGCAGTTTGAAACACTCTTTTTGTAGAATCTGCAAGTGGATATTTGGAGCCTTTTGCATCCTATAGTGGAAAAGGAAATATTTTCACATAGAAACTACACAGAATCATTCTGAGAAACTTCTTTGTGATGTGTGCATTCATCTCACAGAGCTGAACCTTTCTTTTGATTGAGCAGTTTTGAAACACTCTTTTTGTAGATTCTGTAAGTAGATATTTGGAGTGCTTTGAAGCCTATTGTGGAAAAGGAAATATCTTCACATAAACACTACAAAGAGGCATGCTGAGAAACTTCTTTGCGATGTGAGCATTCATCTCACAGAGGTGATCCTTTCTTTTGTTTGAGCAGTGGGGAAACTCTCTTTTTTTAGAATCTGCAAGTGGATATTTGGAGCGCTTTGAGGCCTATTCAGGAAAAGGGAACATCTTCACACAAAAACTACAAAGAAACATTCTGAGAAACTACTTTGTGATGTGTGCATTCATCTCACAGAGTTGAACTTTTCTTTTGATTGAGCAGTTTTGAAAATCTCTTTTTATGGAATCTGCAAGTGGATATTTGGAGTGCTTTGAGGCGAATTGTGGAAAAGGAAATATGTTCACATAAACACTACACAGAAGCATTCTGAGAAACGTCTTCGTGACATGGGCCTTCATCTCAGAGAGTTGAACCTTTCTTTTGATTGAGCAGTTTTGAAACTCTCTTTTTGTAGAGTCTACAAGTGGATATTTGGAGACATTTGTGGCCTATGGTGGAAAAGGAAATATCTTCACATAACAACTACACAGAAGCATTCTGGGAAACTTCATTTTGATGTGTGCAATCAACTCACAGATTTGAAATTATCTTTTAATTGAGCAGTTTGAAACTCTCTTTTTGTAGAATCTGCAAGTGGATATGTGGAGCCATTTGCAGTCTATGGTGGAAAAGGAAATATCTTCACATAGAAACTACACAGAAGCATTGTGAGAAACTACTTTGTGTTGTGTGTAATCTACTCACAGAGTTGAACATATCTTTTGATTGAGCAGCTTTGAAACTCTCTTTTTGTAGAATCTGTAAGTGGATATTTGGAGCCTTTTGTGGCCTATGGTGGAAAAGGAAATATCTACAAATTAAAACTACACAGAAGCATTCTGAGAAACTTCTTTGTGATGTGAGCATTCATCTCACAGAGTTGAATCTTTCTTTTGATTGAGCAGTTTGAAAATGCTCTTTTTGTAGAATCTGCAAGTGGATATTTGGAGTGCCTTGAGGCCTATTGTGGAAAAGGGAAACATCTTCACATAAAAACTACACAGAAGTAATCTGATAAACTTCTTTGTGATGTGTGCATTCATCTCACAGAGTTGAACCTTTATTTTTATTGAGCAGTTTGGAAGAACTCTTTTTGTACATTCTGCAAGTAGATATTCTTTGTGATGTGTGCATTCAACTCACAGAGTTGAAAGTATCTTTTGATTGAGTAGTTTTGAAACAGTCTTTTTGTAGAATCTGCAAGTGGATATTTGGAGTGCTTTGAGGCCTGTGGTGGAAAACGAAATATCTTCTCATCAAAAATACACAGAAGCATATTGAGAAAATTCTTGTGATGTGTGCATTCATCTCACAGAGTTGAATCTTTCTTTTGATTGAGCAATTTTGAAACACTCGTTTTGTAGAATCTGCAAGTGGATATTTGGAGCGCCTTGAGGCCTGTTGTGGAAAAGGGAAACATCTTCACATAAAAACTACACAGAAGTAATCTGAGAAACTTCTTTGTGATGTGTGCATTCATCTCACAGAGTTGAATCTTTATTTTGATTGAGCAGTTTGGAAGAACTTTTTTGTACATTCTGCAAGTGGATATTTGGAGTGCTTTGAGGCCTATTCTGGAAAAGGAAATATCTTCACACAAAAACTACACAGAAGCATTCTGAGAAACTTCTCTGTGATGTGTGCATTCAACTCACAGAGTTGAAAGTGTCTTTTGATTGAGTAGTTTTGAAACAGTCTTTTTGTAGAATCTGCAAGTGGATATTTGGAGTGCTTTGAGGCCTATGGTGGAAAAGGAAATATCTTCTCATCAAAAATACACAGAAGCGTACTGAGAAAATTCTTGTGATGTGTGCATTCATCTCACAGAGTTGAATCTTTCTTAAGATTGAGCAATTTTGAAACACTCGTTTTGCAGAATCTGCAAGTGGATATTTGGAGCGCTTTGAGGCCTATTTTGGAAAAGGAAATGTCTTCACATAGAAACTACACAGATGCATTCTGAGAAACTTCTTTGCAAAGTGTGCGTTCATCTCAGAGAGTTGAAGCTTTCTTTTGATTGAGTCGTTCTGAAACTCTCTGTATGTCGAATCTGCAAGTGGATATGTGGAGCCTTTTGTGGGCTATGGTGCAAATGAAAATATCTTCACATGAAAGCTACAAAGAAGCATTGTGACAAAATTCTTTGTGATATGTGTATTCACCTCACAGAGTTGAACACTTCTTTTGATTGAGCAGTTTGAAAACACTCTTTTGTAGAATCTGCAAGTTGATATTTAGAGAGCTTTGAGGCCTATTTTGGAAAACGAATTATCTTCACATAAAAACTACACAGAAGAATTCTGAGAAACTTCTTTGTGATGTGTGCATTCATCTCACAGAGTTGAACCTTCCTTTTGATTGAGCAGTTTTGAAACACTCTTTTTGTAGAATCTTCAACTGTATATTTGGAGAGCTTTGAAGCCTCTGGTGGAAAAGGAAATATCTTACAATAAAAACAACACAGAAGCATTCTGATGAACTTCTTTGTGATGTCTTCATTCATCTCACAGAGTTGAAAATTTCTTTTGATTCAGTAGTTTTGAAACACTCCTTTTGTAGAATCTGCAAGTGGATATTTGGAGTTCTTTGGGGCCTATTGTGGAAAACGAAATATCTTCACATAAAAACTATACAGAAGCATTCTGAGAAACTTCTTTGTGATGAGTGTATTCAACTCACCGAGTTGAACCTATCTTTTGATGGAACAGTTCTGCACCTCTCTTTTTGTAGAATCTGAAAGTGGATATTTTGAGCCCTTTGCGGCATATGGTGGAAAAGGAAATATCTACTCATAAAAACTACACAAAAGAAATCTGAGAAATTTCTTTGGGTTGTTTGCATTCATCTCACAGAGTTGAAACTTTCTTTTGTTTGAGAAGTTTGTAAACACTAATTTGTAGAATCTGAAAGTGGATATTTGGAGTGCTTTGGGGCCTACTGTGGAAAAGGAAATATCTTCACCTAAAAACTACATAGACGCATTCTGAGAAACTTCTTTGTGATGTGTGGATTCATCTTACTGAGTTGATCCATTCTTTTGATTAAGCAGTTTGAAAACACTCTTTTTGTAGAATCTGCAAATGGATATTTTCGGTTCTTTGATGTCTATGGTGGAAAAGGAAATATCTTCACATAAAAAATACACAGAAGCATTCTGGGAAACTTCATTGTGATGTGTGCATTCAACTAACAGAGTTGAACGTATCTTTTGATTGAGAAGTTTTGAAACTCACTTTTTATACAATCTGCAATTGGATATTTGGAGACCTTTGCGGCCTATGTTGGAAAAGGAAATATCTTCACATAAAAACTGCACAGAAGCTTTCTGAGAAACTTCTTTGTGATGTGTGCATTCAACTCACAGACTTGTACCTATCTTTTGATTGAGCAATTTTGAATCTCTCTCTTTGTAGAATCTGCAAGTGGATATTTGGAGCCCCTTGCGGTCTACGGTGGAAAAGGAAATATCTTCATATAAAAAATACACAGAAGCATTCTGAGAAAATTCTTTGTGATCAGTGCATTCTTCTCACAGAGTTGAGCTTTTCTTTCTATTGAGTATTTTGAAAAACTCTTTTTGTACAGTCAGCAAGTGGATAATTGTAGTGCTTTGAGGTCTATTGTGGAAAAGGAAATATCTTCACATAAAGACTACACAGAAACAGTCTGAGAAACTTCTTTGTGATTTGTGTTTTCATGTCATAGAGTTGAAACTTTCTTTTGATTGAGCAGTTTGGAAACACTCTTTTTGTATAATCTGCAAGTGAATGTTTGGAGTGCATTGAGGCCTATGGTGTAAAAGGAAATATCTTCACATAAAAATTACACAGAAGCTATCTGAGAAATTTCTTTGTGATGTGTGTATTCATCTCACAGAGTTGAATTTTTTTTTTCTTTTATTATTATACTTTAAGTTTTAGGGTACATGTGCACACTGTGGAGATTAGTTACATATGTATACATGTGCCATGCTCGTGCACTGCACCCACTAACTCGTCATCTAGCATTAGGTATATCTTCCAATACTATCCCTCCCCCCTACCCCCACCCCACAACAGTCCCCAGAGTGTGATGTTCCCCTTCCTGTGTCCATGTGATCTCATTGTTCAATTCTCACCTATGAGTGAGAATATGCGGTGTTTGGTTTCTTGTTCTTGCGATAGTTTACTGAGAATGATGATTTCCAATTTCATCTATGTCCCTACAAAGGACATGAACTCATCACTTTTTATGGCTGCATAGTATTCCATGGTGTATATGGGCCACATTTTCTTAATCCAGTCTATCATTGTTGGACATTTGGGTTGGTTCCAAGTCTTTGCTATTGTGAATAGTGCTGCAATAAACATACGTGTGCATGTGTCTTTATAGCAGCATGATTTATAGTCTTTTGGGTATATACCCAGTAATGGGATGGCTGGGTCAAATGGTATTTCTAGTTCTAGATCCCTGAGGAATCGCCACACTGACTTCCACAATGGTTGAACTAGTTTACAGTCCCACCAACAGTGTAAAAGTGTTTCTATTTCTCCACATCCTCTCCAGCACCTGTTGTTTCCTGACTTTTTAATGATCACCATTCTAACTGGTGTGAGATGGTATCTCATTGTGGTTTTGATTTGCATTTCTCTGATGGCCAGTGATGATGAGCATTTTTTCATGTGTTTTTTGGCTGCATAAATGTCTTCTTTTGAGAAGTGTCTATTCATGTCCTTTGCCCACTTTTGGATGGGGTTGTTTGTTTTTTTCTTGTAAATCTGTTTGAGTTCATTGTAGATTCTGGATATTAGCCCTTTGTCCGATGAGTAGGTTGCAAAAATTTTCTCCCATGTTGTAGGTTGCCTGTTCACTCTGATGGTAGTTTCTTTTACTCTACAGAAGCTCTTTAGTTTAATTAGATCCCATTTGTCAATTTTGTCTTTTGTTGCCATTGCTTTTGGTGTTTTAGACATGAAGTCCTTGCCCATGCCTATGTCCTGAATGGTATTGCCTAGGTTTTCTTCTAGGGTTTTTATGGTTTTAGGTCTAATGTTTAAGTCTTTAATCCATCTTGAATTGATTTTTGTATAAGATGTAAGGAAAGGATCTAGTTTCAGCTTTCTACATATGGCTAGCCAGTTTCCCCAGCACCATTTATTAAATAGGGAATCCTTTCCCCATTGCTTGTTTTTCTCAGGTTTGTCAAAGATCAGATAGTTGTAGATATGTGGTGTTATTTCTGAGGGCTCTGTTCTCTTCCATTGATCTGTATCTCTGTTTTGGTACCAGTACCATGCTGTTTTGGATACTGTAGCCTTGTAGTATAGTTTGAAGTCAGGTAGTGTGATGCCTCCAGCTTTGTTCTTTTGGCTTAGGATTGACTTGGCGATGTGGGCTCTTTTTTGGTTCCATATAGACTTTAAAGTAGTTTTTTCCAATTCTGTGAAGAATGGCATTGGTAGCTTGATGGGGATGGCATTGAATCTGTAAATTACCTTGGGCAGTATGGCCATTTTCACGATATTGATTCTTCCTACCCATGAGCATGGAATGTTCTTCCATTTGTTTGTATCCTCTTTTATTTCATTGAGCAGTGGTTTGTAGTTCTCCTTGAAGAGGTCCTTCACATCCCTGGTTATTGGGATTCCTAAGTATTTTATTCTCTTTGAAGAAATTGTGAATGGGATTTCACTCATGATTTGGCTCTCTGTTTGTCTGTTGTCAGTGTATAAGAATGCTTGTGATTTTTGTACATTGATTTTGTATCCTGAGACTTTGCTGAAGTTGCTTATCAGCTTAAGGAGATTTTGGGCTGAGTCAATGGGGTTTTCTAGATATACAATCATGTCGCCTGCAAACAGGGACAATTTGACTTCCTCTTTTCCTAATTGAATACCCTTTATTTCCTTCTCCTGCCTAATTGCCCTGGCCAGAACTTCCAACACTATGTTGAATAGGAGTGGTGAGAGAGGGCATCCCTGTCTTGTGCCAGTTTTCAAAGGGAATGCTTCCAGTTTTGGCCCATTCAGTATGATATTGGCTGTGGGTTTGTCATAATTAGCTCTTATTATTTTGAGATATGTCCCATCAATACCTAATTTATTGAGAGTTTTTAGCATGAAATGTTGTTGAATTGTGTCAAAGGCCTTTTCTGCATCTATTGAGATAATTATTTAGTTTTTGTCTTTGGTTGTTTATATGCTGGATTACATTTATTGATTTGCATATATTGAACCAGCCTTGCATCCCAGGGATGAAGCCCACTTGATCATGGTGGATGAGCTTTTTGATGTGTTGCTGGATTCGGTTTGCCAGTATTTTATTGAGGATTTTTGCATCAATGTTCATCAAGGATATTGGTCTAAAATTCTCTTTTTTCATTGTGTCTCTGCCTGGCTTTGGTATCAGAATGATGCTGGCCTCATAAAATGAGTTAGGGAGGATTCCCTCTTTTTCTATTGATTGGAATAGTTTCAGAAGGAATGGTACCAGCTCCTCCTTGTACCTCTGGTAGAATTCGGCTGTGAATCCATCTGGTCCTGGACTCTTTTTGGTTGGTAAGCTATTGATTATTGCCACAATTTCAGATCCTGTTATTGGTCTATTCAGAGATTCAACTTCTTCCTGGTTTAGTCTTGGGAGAGTGTATGTGTCGAGGAATTTATCCATTTCTTCTAGATTTTCTAGTTTATTTGTGTAGAGGTGTTTTTAGTATTCTCTGATGGTAGTTTGTATTTCTGTGGGATTGGTGGTGATATCCCCTTTATCAGTTTTTATTGCATCTATTTGATTCTTCCCTCTTTTTTTCTTTATTAGTCTTGCTAGCAGTCTATCAATTTTGTTGATCCTTTCAAAAAACCAGCTCCTGGATTCATTAATTTTTTGAAGGGTTTTTTTGTGTCTCTATTTCCTTCAGTTCTGCTCTGATTTTAGTTATTTCTTGCCTTCTGCTACCTTTTGAATGTGTTTGCTCTTGCTTTTCTAGTTCTTTTAATTGTGGTGTTAGGGTGTCAATTTTGGATCTTTCCTGCTTTTTCTTGTGGGCATTTAGTGCTATAAATTTACCTCTACACACTGCTTTGAATGTGTCCCAGAGATTCTGGTATGTTGTGTCTTTGTTCTCGTTGGTTTCAAAGAACATCTTTATTTCTGCCTTCATTTCGTTATGTACCCAGTAGTCATTCAGGAGCAGGTTGTTCAGTTTCCATGTAGTTGAGCGGTTTTGAGTGAGATTCTTAATCCTGAGTTCTAGTTTGATTGCACTGTGGTCTGAGAGATAGTTTGTTATAATTTCTTTTCTTTTCCATTTGCTGAGGAGAGCTTTACTTCCAAGTATGTGGTCAATTTTGGAATAGGTGTGGTGTGGTGCTGAAAAAAATGTATATTCTGTTGATTTGGGGTGGAGAGTTTTGTAGATTTCTATTAGGTCTGCTTGGTGCAGAGCTGAGTTCAATTCCTGGGTATCCTTGTTGACTTTCTGTCTCGTTGATCTGTCTAATGTTGACAGTGGGGTGTTAAAGTCTCCCATTATTAAGGTGTGGGAGTCTAAGCCTCTTTGTAAGTCACTCAGGACTTGCTTTATGAATCTGGGTGCTCCTGTATTGGGTGCATATATATTTAGGATAGTTAGCTCTTCTTTTTGAATTGATCCCTTTACCATTATGTAATGGCCTTCTTTGTCTCTTTTGATCTTTGTTGGTTTAAAGTCTGTTTTATCAGAGACTAGGATTGCAACCCCTGCCTTTTTTTGTTTTCCATTTGCTTGGTAGATCTTCTTCCATCCTTTTATTTTGAGCCTATGTGTGTCTCTGCATGTGAGATGGGTTTCCTGAATACAGCACCCTGATCTGTCTTGACTCTTTATCCAATTTGCCAGTCTGTGTCTTTTAATTGGAGCATTTAGTCCATTTACATTTAAAGTTAATTTTATTATGTATGAATTTGATCCTGTTATGATGATGTTAGCTGGTTATTTTGCTCATTAGTTGATGCAGTTTCTTCCTAGTCTTGATGGTCTTTACATTTTGGCATGATTTTGCAGCGGCTGGTGCTGGTTGTTCCTTTCCATGTTTAGCGCTTCCTTCAGGAGCTCTTTTATGGCAGACCTGGTGGTGACAAAATCTCTCAGCATTTGCTTGTCTGTAAAGGATTTTATTTCTCCTTCAGTTATGATGCTTAGTTTGGTTGGGTATGAAATTATGGTTTGAAAATTCTTTTCTTTAAGAATGTTGAATATTTGTCCCCACTCTCTTCAGGCTTGTAGGGTTTCTGCCGAGAGATCTGCTGTTAGTCTGATTGGCTTCCCTTTGAGCATAACCCGACTTTTCTCTCTGGCTGCCCTTAACATTTTTTCGTTATTTCAACTTTGGTGAATCTGACAATTGTGTGTCTTGGAGTTGCTCTTCTCGATGAGTATCTTTGTGGTGTTCTCTGTATTTCCTTAATCTGAACGTTGGCCTGCCTTGCTAGATTGGGGCAGTTCTCCTGGATAGTATCTTGCAGAGTGTTTTCCAACTTGATTCCATTCTCCCCGTCACTTTCAGGTACACCAATCAGACGTAGATTTGGTCTTTTCACATAGTCCCATATTTCTTGGAGGCTTTGCTCATTTCTTTTTATTCTTTTTTCTCTAAACTTCCCTTCTCACTTCATTTCATTCATTTCATTTTCCATTGCTGGTACCCTTTCTTCCAGTTGATCACATCGGCTCCTGAGGCTTCTGCATTCTTGACGTAGTTCTTGAGCATTGGTTTTCAGCTCCATCAGCTCCTTTAAGTACTTCTCTGTATTGGTTATTCTAGTTTTACATTCTTCTAAATTTTTTTCAAAGTTTTCAACTTCTTTGCCTTTGGTTTGAATGTCCTCCCATAGCTCAGAGTAATTTGATCTTCTGAAGCCTTCTTCTTTCAGCTCTTCAAAGTCGTTCTCCGTCCAGCTTTGTTCCGTTGCTGGTGAGGAACTGCATTCCTTTGAAGGAGGAGAGGCGCTCTCAGAGTTGAATTTTTCTTTTGACTGTGGAGTTTGGAAACACTCTGTTTGTAGAATCTGCAAGGGGATATTTGGAGACCTTTGTTGCCTTTTGTGGAAAAGGAATATCTTCAGATAAAAACTACACAGAAGCATTCTGATGAATTTCTTTGTGATGTGTGCATTCATCTCACAGAGTTGAACTTTGTTTGGACTCAGTAGTTTTGAAACACTCTTTATGTAGAATCTGCAAGTGGATATTTGTAGCGCTTTGGGTCCTTTTGTGGAAAAGGAAATATCTTCACCTAAAAACTACACAGAAGCATTCTGAGAAACTTCTTTGTGATGTGTGCATTCTTCTCATGGAGCTAAACCTTTCTTTTTATTGAGCAATTTGGAAACACTCTTTTTGTAGAATCTGCAAGTGGTCACTTTGAGCACTTTCAGGCCTATGGTGGAAAAGAAAATATCTTCACATATAAACTACACAGAAACATTCTGAGAATCTTCTTTGTGATGTGTGTATTAAACTCACAGAGTTGAACCTATCTTTTGATGGAGCAGTTTTGAAACTCTCTTTTTGTAGAATCTGGAAGTGGATATTGGGGAGCTTTGAGGTCTATTGTGGAAAGGGAAATATCTTCACATAAAACCTACACAGAAGCATATTGAGAAAATTCTTGTGATGTGTGCATTCACCTCACAGAGTTGAACCTTTCTTTTGATTGAATACTTTTGAATCACTCGTTTTGTAGAATCTGCAAGTGGATGTTTGGAGAGCTTTGAGGAAAAGGAAATATCTTCACATAAAAACTACACAGACCATTCTGAGAAACTTCTTTGCCATGTGTGCATTCATTTCACAAAGTGAACTTTTCTTTTGATACTGCAGTTTTTCAGCACTCTTTTTGTAGAATCTGCAAGTAGATATTTGGAGCACCTTGAGGCCTCTAGTGGAAAAGGAAATATCCTCACATAAAAATTACACAGAAGTATTCTGAGAAACTTCTTTGTGATGTTTACTTTCATGTCACAGATTTGAACCTGACTTTGGATTGAACAGTTTTGAAACACTCTTTTTGTAGAATCTGCAAGAGGATGGATGGAGCGCTTTGAGGAAATGGTGGAAAACGAAATATCTTCACATAAAAACTACACAGAAGTATTCAGAGAAACTTCTTTGTTATGTGTGCATTCATTTCACAAATTTAAACCTTTCTTTTGATAGAGCAGTTTTGAAACTCTCTTTTTGTAGAATCTAAGGTGAATATTTGAAGCCCTTTGCAGCCAACGGTGGAAAAGGAAATATCTTCACATGAAAACTACACAGAGTCATTCTCAGAAACTTCTTTGTGATGTGTGAATTCATCTCACAGAGTTGAAGCTTTCTTTTGATTGAGCAGTTTTGAAAAACATCTTTTGTAGAATCTGCAAATGGATATTTGGAGCGCCTTGAGGCCTATTTTGGAAAAAGAAATATATACACATAAAAACTACACAGAAGCATTCTGATAAACTTCTTTGTGATGTGTGCATTCATCTGACTGAGTTGAAGCTTTCTTTTGATTGAGCAGTTTGGAAACACTCTTTTTGAAGAATCTGCTAGTGGATATTTGGAGTGGTTTCAGGCCAATGGTGGAAAAGGCAATATCTTCACATAAAAACTACACAGAAGAATTCTGAGAAACTTCTTTTGGATGTGTGCATTCAACTCACAGATTTGAACCTATCTTTTGATTGAGCAGTTTTGAACCTCTCTTTTTGTAGAATCTGCAAGTGGGGATTTGGATCCCTTTGTGGCCAATGATGGAAAAGGAAATATCTTCACATAAAAACTTTGCAGAAGTATTCTGAGAAACTTATTTGCAATGTCTTCATTCATCTCGTAAGGTTAAACCTTTCCTTTGATTCAGCAGTTTTGAAACATTCTTTTTGTAAAATCTGCAAGTGGATATTTGGGGTGCTTTGAGGTTTATTGTGGAAAAGGATATATCTTCATATAAAACCTACACAGAAGCGTTCTGAGAAACTTCTTTGTGATCTGTGCATTCATCTCACAGAATTGAACCTTTCTTTTGATTGAGTAGTTTTGAAACACTCTTTTTGTAACTTCTGCAAGTGGATATTTGGAGCTATTTGAGGCCTATTGTGGAAAAGGAAATATTTTCACATAGAAACTACACAGAAGCATTCTGAGAAACTTCTTTGTGATGTGTGCATTCATCTCACAGAGTTGAACCTTTTTTTTTTTGTTCAGCAATTTTGAAACACTCTTTTTGTAGAATCTGCTAGTGGATATTTGGAGCTCGTTGAGGCCTATTGTGAAAAAGTAAATATCTTCACATAAAAACTATGTGGAAGTTTTCTGACACATTTCTTTGTGATGTGTAAATTCAACTCACAAGTTGACCTATCTGTTGTTTGAGCAGTTCTGAAACTCTTTTAGTAGAATCTGCAAATGGATATTTGGAGCCCTTTGTGGCCTATGGTGGAAAAGGAAATATCTTCACATAAAAACTACCCAGAAGCATTCTGAGACACTTCTTTGTGATGTGTGCATTCAACTCGCAGACTTGAACGTATCTTTTGATTCAGCAGTTTTGTATCTCTCTTTTTGTAGAATCTGCAAGTGGATATTTTGTGTCCTTCGTGGCCTACTGTGGAAAAGGAAATATCTTCACATAAAAACTACACATAAGCATTCTGAGAAACTTCTTTGTGATGTGTGCATTCATCTCATAGAGTTGAACATGTCTTTTTTTTTTACATTTTAATTTTTAAAAATTTATTTATTTTTTTCTTTTATTATTATTATACTTTAAGTTTAGGGTACATGTGCACAATGTGCAGGGTAGTTACATGTGTATACATGTGCCATACTGGTGTGCTGCACCCATTAACTCTTCATTTAGCATTAGGTATATCTCCTAAAGCTATCCCTCCCTCCTCCCCCCACCCCACAACAGTCCCACGAGTATGATGATCCCCTTCTTGTGTCCATGTTTTCTCATTGTTCAATTCTCACCTATGAGTGAGAATATGCAATGTTTGGTTTTTTGCTCTTGCCATAGTTTACTGAGATGATGAGTTCCAATTTCATCCATGTCCCTACAAAGGACATGAACTCATCATTTTTTATGGCTGCATAGTATTCCATGGTGTATATGGGCCACATTTTCTTAATCCAGTCTATCATTGTTGGACATTTGGGTTGGTTCCAAGTCTTTGCTACTGTGAATAATGCCGCAATAAACATACGTGTGCATGTGTCTTTATAGCAGCATGATTTATAGTCCTTTGGGTATATACCCAGTAATGGGATGGCTGGGACACATGGTATTTCTAGTTCTAGATCCCTGAGGAATCGCCACACTGACTTCCACAATGGTTGAACTAGTTGACAGTCCCACCAACAGTGTAAAAGTGTTCCTATTTCTCCACATCCTCTCCAGTACCTGTTGTTTCCTGACATTTTAATGATCGCCATTCTAACTGGTGTGAGATGGTATCTCATTGTGGTTTTGATTTGCATTTCTCTGATGGCCAGTGATGATGAGCATTTTTTCATGTGTTTTTTGGCTGCATAAATGTCTTCTTTTGAGAAGTGTCTGTTCATGTCCTTTGCCCACTTTTGGATGGGGTTGTTTGTTTTTTTCTTGTAAATTTGTTTGAGTTCATTGTAGATTCTGGATATTAGCCCTTTGTCAGATGAGAAGGTTATGAAAACTTTCTCCCATTTTGTAGGTTGCCTGTTCACTCTGATGGTAGTTTCTTTTGCTGTGCAGAAGCTCTTTAGTTTCATTAGATCCCGTTTGTCAATTTTGGGTTTTGTTTCCATTGCTTTTGGTGTTTAGACAAGAAGTCCTTGCCCATGCCTGTGTCCTGAATAGTAATGTCTAGGTTTTCTTCTAGGGTTTCATGGTTTTAGGTCTAACGTTTAAGTCTTTAATCCATCTTGAATTAATTTGAGCAGTTTTGAAACAATCTTTTAGTAGCATCTGCAAGTGGATATTTGGAGTGCTTTGAGGCCTATTGCGGAAAAGGAAATATCTTCACATGAAAACTACACAGAAGCATTCTGAGAAACTTCTATGTGATGTGTGCATTCATCCCATGGTGTTGAATTTTCTTTTGATTGAGCAGTTTTGAAACACTCTTCTTGTAGAATCTGCAAGGTGATATTTGGAGCCCTTCGAGGCCTATGGTGGAAAAGGAAATATCTTCACCTAAAACCTACACAGAAGCATTCTGAGAATATACTTGGTGATGTTGGCATTCACCTCACAGTGTTGAACCTATCTTTTGACTGAGCAGTTTTGAATCCGTCTTTTTGTAGAATCTTCAGGTGTATATTTGGAGCCCTTTGCGACCTATTGTGGAAAAGGAAATGTCTTCACATAAAAACTACACAGAAGCATTCTGAGAAACTTCTTTGTGATGTGTGCTTTCATCACACAGAGTTGAAAGTTTCTTTTGATTGAGCAGTGTGAAGCACTCTTTTTGTAGAATTTGCAAGTAGATATTTTTAGTACTTTGACACATATTGTGGAAAGGGAAATATCTTCACATGAAAACTACACAGAAGCATTCTGAGAAACTTCATTGTAATGTGTGCATTCATTTCACAGAGTTGAACTTTTCTTTTGATAGAGCAGTTTGGAAACACTCTTTTTGCAGAATCTACAAGTGTACATTTGGAGCGCTTTGAGGCTTATGGTGGAAAAGGACATATCTTCACATAAAAACTACACAGAAGCATTCTGAGAAACTTCTTTGTGATGTGTGTATTCAACTCACAGAGTGGAACATATGTTTTGATAGAGCAGTTTTGAAACTCTCTTTTTGGAGAATCTGCAAGTGGATATTTGGAGCCCATTGTGGCCTATGGTGTTAAAGGAAACGTTCTCACATAAAAACTGCACAGAAGCATTCTGAGAAACTTCTTTGTGAGGTGTGCAGTCATCTCCACTGTTGAACCTTTCTTTTGATTGAGCAGTTTTGAAACATTTTTTTGTGATATTTGCAAGTGGATATTTGGATCACTATGAGGCCTATAGTGGAAAAGGAAATATCTTCACCAAAAAACTACACAGAAGCATTCTGAGACACTTCCTAGTGATTTGTGCATTTATCTCACAGAGTTGAAACTTTCTTTTGAATGAGCAGTTTTGAAACTCTCTTTTTGTAGAATCTTCAAGTGCCTGTTTGGAGTGCTTTCAGGCCTATGGTGGAAAAGGAAATGTCTTCACATAAAAATTACACAGGAGAATTCTGAGAAACTTCTTTGTGATGTGTGCATTCAACTCACAGAGTTGAACCTATTTTTGAGAGAGAAGCTTTGAAACTCTCTTTTTGTAGAATCTGCAAGTGGATATTTGGAGCCCTTGGAGGCCTATGGTGGAAAACGAAATGTCTTCACATAAAAACTACACAGAAGCATTCTGAGAAACTTCTTTGTGATGTGTGCATTCATCTCACAGAATTGAACCTTTCTTTTGATTGAGCAGTTGGAAACACTCTTTTTGTACAATCTGCAAGTCAGTATTTGGAGTGCCTTGTGGCCTGTGGTGGAAAAGGAAATATCTTCACATAAAAACTACACAGAGGCATTCTCAGAATCTTCTTTGTGATGTGAACATTCAACTAACAGATTTGACCTTCTCTTTCAATTGAGCAGTTTTGCATCTCTCTTTCTGTATAATCTGTAAGTGGGTAATTGGAGCCTTTTGTGGCCTGTTTTGGAAAAGGAAAAATCTTCACATGAAAACTACACAGAAGCATTCTTTGAAACTGCTTTGTAGTGTGTGCATTCATCTCACAGAATTGAACAATTCTTTTGATTGGGCAGTTTTGAAACACACTTTTTATGGAATCTGCAAGTGGATATTTGAAGCGCTTAGAAGCCTATTATGGAAAAGGAAATATCTTCACATTGAAACTACACAGAAGCATTCAGAGAAACTTCTTTGGGATGTGTGCATTCAGCTCACAGAGTTGAACCTATCTTTTTAGAGAGAAGTTTTGAAACTCTCTTTTTGTAGAATCTGCAAGTGCATATTTGGAACTCTTTGAGGCCTATGGTGGAAAAGGAAATATCTTCACATAAAAACTACACAGAAGCATTCTGAGAAACTTCTTTGTGATTTGTGCATTCAACTCACAGAGTTGACCTATCTTTTTAGAGAGAAGCTTTGAAACTCTCTTTTTGTAGAATCTGCAAGTGGATATTTGGAGCCATTTGAGGCCTATGGTGGAAAAGGAAATATCTTCATATAAAAACTAGACAGAAGCATTCTCAGAAACTTCTTTGTGATGTGTGCATTCATCTCACAGAGTTGAACCTTTCTTTTGATTGAGCAGTTGGAAACACTCTTTTTGTACAATCTGCAAGTCAGTTTTTAGAGCGCCTTGAGGCCTATGGCGGAGAAGGAAATATCTTCACATAAAAACTACACAGAAGCATTCTCAGAATCTTCTTTGTGATGTGAGCATTCAACTCACAGAGTAGAGCCTCTGTTTTCATTGAGCAGTTTTGAATCTCTCTTTCTGTATAATCTGTAAGTGGATATTTGGAGCCCTTTCTGGCCTGTTTTGGAAAAAGAAATATCTTCACACAAAAACTACACAGAAGCATTCTGAGAAACTTCTTTGTAATGTGTGCATTCATCTCACAGAGTTGAATATTTCTTTTGATTGGGCAGTTTTGAAACACACTTTTTATGGAATCTGCAAGTGGATATTTGAAGCGCTTGGAAGCCTATTATGGAAAAGGAAATATCTTCACATTAAAAGGACACAGAAGCATTCAGAGAAACTTCTTTGGGATATGTGCATTCATCTCAGAGAGTTGAACCTTTCTTTTGATTGTACAGTTAAAAACACTCTTTTTGTAGAATCTGCAAGTGAACATTTGGAGTGCTTTGTGGCCTGAGGTGGAAAAGGCAATATCTTCACATAAAAACTTTATAGAAGCATTCTGAGAAACTTTTTTGATTTGTGCATTCATCTAACAGAAGTGAAGCTTTCTTTTGATGGACCTGGTTTGAAATACTCTTTTTGTGGAATCTGCAAGTGGACATTTGGAACACTTTGAGGCCTATGGTGGAAAAGGAAATATGTTCACATAAAAACTACACAGAAGAATTCTGAGAAACTTATCTGCGATGTGTGCATTCATTTCGCAGATTTCAACGTTTATTTTGATTGAGCAGTTAGGAAACACTCTTTTTGTAGAATCTGCAAATGGACATTTGGAGCGCTTTGTGGATTATGTTAGAAAACGAAATATATTCACATGAAAACTAGACAAAAAAATTCTGAGAAACTTCTTGGTGATGTATGCGTTCATCTCACAGAGTTGGACCTTTCTTTTGATTGAGCTGTTTGGAAACACTCTTTTGTGGAATCTGCAAATGGATATTTGGAGCGCTTTGCTGCCTATGATAGAAAAGCAAATATCTTCACATAATATCTAGACAGAAGCAATCTGAGAAACTTATTTGCGATGTGTCCATTCAAGTCACCGAGTTAAACCGTTCTTTTGATTGAGCAGTTTTGAAACTCTTTTTGTAAAATCTGCAACTGGACATTTGGAGCGCTTTAAGGCCTATGTTGGAAAAGGAAATATCTTCATATAAAAACTAGACAGAATAATTCTGAGAAACTTCTTTAGAATGTGTGTGTTCATCTCACAGAGTTATACCTTTCTTTTTATTAAGCAGTTTTGAAACTCTCTTTTTGTAGAATCTGCAAGTGGACATTTGGAGCGCTCTGTGGTCTATGGTAGAAAAGGAAATATCTTCACATAAAATCTAGACAGAAGCAATCTGAGAAACTTCTTTGTGATGTGTGCATTCATCTCACAGAGTTAAACGTTTCTTTTGATTGAGCAGTTTTGAAACTCTGTTTTTGTAGTATCTGCAAGTGGACATTTGGAGCGCTTTGAGGCCTATGGTGGAAAAGGAAATATCTTCACATAAAAACTAGACAGAAGAATTCTGAGAAACTTCCTTGTGATGTGTGCGTTCATCTCACAGAGTTGAACCTTTCTTTTGGTTGAGCAGTTTGGAAACACTCCTTTTGTAGAATCTGCAAGTGGACATTTGGATCACTTTGCAGCCTATGTTTGAGAAGGAAATATCTTCACAACAAAACAAGACGGAAGAATTCTGAGAAACTTCTTTGTGATGTGTGCATTAATCCCACAGAGTTGAATGTTTGTTTTCATTGAGCAGTTTGGAAACAATCTTTTTGTAGAATCTGTAAGTGGAAATTTGGAGCGCATTGCGGCCTATTGTAGAAAAGGAAATATCTTCACATAAAATCTAGACAGAAGAAATTTGAGAAACTCCTTTGTGATGTGTGTGTTCATCTCACAGAGTTGAATCTTTCTTTTTATTGAGCAGTTTGGAAACACTCTTTTTGTAGAATCTGCAAGTGGACATTTGGAGCACTTTGAGGCATATGGTGGAAAAGGAAATATGTTCACATAAAAATTAGACAGACGAATTCTGAGAAACTACTTTTTGATATGCGTTCATCTCACACAGTTGAACCTTTCTTTTGATTGAGTAGTTTGGAAACACTCTTTTTGTAGAATCTGCAAGTGGACATTTGGAGTGCTTTGCGGCCTATGGTAGAAAAGGAAATACCTTCACATAAAATCTAGACAGAAGCAATCTGAGAAATTTCTTTCTTATGTGTGCTTTCATCTCACAGAGTTGAACTTTTCTTTTGATTGAGCAGTTTGGAAAAACTCTTTTTGTGCAATCTGCAACTGGACATTTGGAGCGCTTTGCAGCCTAAGTTAGAAAATGAAATATCTTCACATAAAAACTAGACAGAAGAATTCTGAGAAACTTCCTTGTAATGTGTGCGTTTATCTCACAGAGTTGAACCTTTCTTTTGATTCAGGTGTTTGGAAACTCTCTTTTTGTAGAATCTGCATTTGGACATTTGGAGCCCTTTTTGGCCTATGGTAGAAAAGGAAGTATCCTCACATAATATCTAGACAGAAGTTATCTAAGAAACTTCTTTTTGATGTGTGCATTCTTCTCACCAAGTTAAACCTTTCTATTGATTGAGCAGTTTTGAAACTCTCTTTTTGTAGAATGTGGAAGTAGACATTTGGAGCACTTTGAGACCTCTGGTGGAAAAGGGAATATCTTCACATAAAAAGAAGATAGAAGAATTCTGAGAAACTTCCTTCTGATGTGTGCGTTCATCTCACAGAGTCGAACAATTGTTTTGATTGAGCAGTTTGGAAACACTCTTTTTGTAGAATCTGCAAGTGGACATTTGGAGTGCTTTGTAGCCTACGGCAGAAAAGGTAATGTCTTCACATGAAATCTAGACAGAAGAAATCTGAGAAAATACTTTTTGATGTGTGTGTTCATCTCACAGACTTGAATCTTTTTTTTGATTGAGCAGTTTGGAAATACTCTGTTTTCTAGAATCTGCAAGTGGACATTTGGAACGCTTTGCGGCTTAAGGTAGAAAAGGAAATATCTTCAAATAAAATCTAGACAGAATCAATCTGAGGAACTTCTTTGTGATGTGTGCATTCGTCCCACAGAGTTAAACCTTTCTTTTGATTGAGAAGTTTTGAGACTCTTTTTGTAGTACCTGGAAGTGGACATTTCGAAGGCCTTGAGGCCTATGGTGGAAAAGGAAATATCTTCTCATAAAAACTAGACTGAAGTATTCTGTAAAACTCCTTTGTGATGTTTGCATTCAACTCAGAAAGTTGAACTTCTCTTTATATAGTCCAGTTTTCAAACACTATTTTTGTAGAATCTGCAAGTGGATACTGGGACTGCTTTGAGGCCTTCGTTGGAAACGGGATTATCTTCACATAGAAACTAGACTGAAGGATTCTTAGAAACTTCTTTGTGATGTGTGCATTCAACTCACCGAGTGGAACCTCACTTTTGATAGAGCAGTGTTGAAAGACACTTGTTGTAGAATCTGCAGGTGGATATTTGGAGTGCTTTGAAGCCTTCCTTGGAAACGGGAATATCTTCACATAAAAACTAGACATAAGCATTCTCAGAAACTCCTTTGTGATCTGTCCATTCAGCTCACAGAGTTGAACCTTCCTTTTGATAGAGCAGTTTTGAAACACTCTTTCTGTAGAGTCTGCAAGTGGATATCAGGAGCGCTTTGAGGCCTATGGTAGAAAAAGAAATATCTGCATATAAAAACTAGACAGAAGCATTCTGAGAAACTTCTTTGTGATGTTTGCATTCAACTACCAGAGTTGAACCTTCCTTTTGATAGAGCAGTTTTGAAACACTCTTTGTGTAGAATCTGCATGTGGATATCTGGAGCGATTTGAGGCCTATGGTCAAAAAGGAAATATCTTCCTATGAAAAACAGACAAAAGCATTCTCAGAAACTACTTAGAGATATGTGCATTCAACTCACAGAGTTGAAACTTTTTTTTGATAGAGCAGTTTTGAAACACTCTGTAGAATCTGAAAGTGGATATTTGGAGCTATTTGAGGGCTATGGTGGAAAAGAAAATATATTCCCATTAAACTAGACAGAAGCATCCTCAGAAACTTCTTTATGATGTTTGCATTAAACTCACAGAGTTGAACATACCTTTCCATAGAGCAGTTTTGAAACACTCTTTTTGGGGAATCCGCAAGTGGATATTTGGACCGCTTTGAGACCTTTGCTGGAAATGGGAATATCTTCACATATAAACTAGACAGAAGCATTCTCGGAAACTTCTTCGTGATGTGTGCATTCTGCTCCCAAAGTTGAACCTTCCTTTTCATAAAGCAGTTTTGAAACACTCTTTTGTACAATCTACCATTGGATATGTGGAAGGCTTTGATGCCCATGGTAGAAATGGAAACATCCTCATATAAAATCTAGACAGAAGGATTCACAGAAACTGCTGTGTGATGTGTGCATCCAAATCACGGAGTTGAACTTTTCTTTTGTTAGAGCAGTTTTGAAACCCTGTTTCCGTGGAATCTGCCAGTGGACATTTGGAGCGCATTGAGGGCTATGGTGGAGAAGGAAATATCTTCACATAAAAACTAGAAAGAAGCATTCTCAGAAACATCTATGTGAAGTATGCATTCAACTCACAGAGTTGAACCTTCCTTTTGATAGAAGAGTTTTGAAACACTCTTTTGTACAATTGCAGGTGAATATTTGGAGCGCTTTGAAGCCTTTGTTGGAAATGGGAATATCCTCACATTAAAAACTAGCCAGAAGCATTCTCAGAAACTTCTTTGTGATGTGTGCATTGAACCCAGAGAGATGAACCGTTCCTTTGAGAGAGCAGTTTTGAAACGTGTTTTTGTAAGATCTGCAAGTGGATATTTGGGGCGCTTTGAGTCCTTAGGTGGAAACGGGAATATCTTCGAATAAAAACTAGACAGAATTATTCTCAGAATCTTCTTTGTGATGTGGGCATTCAACTAACACAGTTGAACATTTCTTTTGACAGAGCAGTTCTGAAACACTCTTTTTGTAGAATCCGCCAGTGGATATTTGGAGCGCTTTGAGGGCTATTGTGCAAATGGAAATATCTTCACCTAAAAACTAGACCGAAGCAATCCCAGAAACTACTTTGTGATGTTTGCATTCAACTCACAGAGTTGAACCTACCTCTTCATAGGGCAGTTTGGAAAACCTCTTTTTGTAGAATCTGCAAGTGGATATTTGGACCACTTTGAGGCCTTCATAGGAAACAGTACTATCTTCACATAAAAACTAGGTAGAAGCATTCTCAGAAACTTCTTTGTGATGTGTGAATTCAACTCACAGAGTTGAACCTTCCTTTAATAGAGCAGTTTTGAAACACTCTTTTTGTAGAATTTGCCAGTAGATATTTGGAGCGCTTTGAGGCCTTCGTTGGAAACCGGAATATCTTCACATAAAAAGTAGATAGAGCCATTCTCAGAAACTTTTTTGTGATATGTAGATTCAACTCACAGCGTTGAACCTTTCTTTTGATAGAGCAGTTTTGAAAAACTCTTTTATCGAATCTGCAAGTAGACATTTGGAGTGCTTTGAGGGCTGTGGTCGAAAAGGAAATATCTTCACATAGAAACTAGACTGAAGCATTCTCAGCAACTTCTTTGTGACGTTTGCATTCATCTCACAGTGTTGAACATACCTTTTCATAGAGCAGTTTTGAAACACTATTTTTGTAGTATCTGCAAGTGGATATTTGGACTGCTTTGAGGCCTTCATTGGAAACGGGAATATCTTCACATAAACACTAGACAGAAGCATTCTCTGAAACTTCTTTGTGATGTGTGTATTCAACTCACAGAGTTGAACCATCTTTTTTATGGAGCGGTTTTGAAACAGCGTTTTTGTAGAATCAGCAAGTGGATATTGGGAACACTTTGAGGCCTCTGGTGGAAAGGGAATGTCTTCACATAAAAACTGGACAGAAGCATTCTCAGAAACATCTTTGTGATGTTTGCATTCAACTCACAGAGTTGATCCTTCCTTTTAATAGGGCAGTTTTGCAACACTCTTTTTGTAGAATGCACCAGTGGGCTTTTGGAGCACGTCAAGGGCTATGGTGAAAAAGGAAATATCTTCTCATAAAAACTAGACTGAAGTATTCTGTAAAACTCCTTTGTGATGTTTGCATTCAACTCAGAAAGTTGAACTTCTCTTTATATAGTCCAGTTTTCAAACACTATTTTTGTAGAATCTGCAAGTGGATACTGGGACTGCTTTGAGGCCTTCGTTGGAAACGGGATTATCTTCACATAAAAACTAGACTGAAGGATTCTTAGAAACTTCTTTGTGATGTGTGCATTCAACTCACCGAGTGGAACCTCACTTTTGATAGAGCAGTGTTGAAAGACACTTGTTGTAGAATCTGCAGGTGGATATTTGGAGTGCTTTGAAGCCTTCCTTGGAAACGGGAATATCTTCACATAAAAACTAGACATAAGCATTCTCAGAAACTCCTTTGTGATCTGTCCATTCAGCTCACAGAGTTGAACCTTCCTTTTGATAGAGCAGTTTTGAAACACTCTTTCTGTAGAGTCTGCAAGTGGATATCAGGAGCGCTTTGAGGCCTATGGTAGAAAAAGAAATATCTGCATATAAAAACTAGACAGAAGCATTCTGAGAAACTTCTTTGTGATGTTTGCATTCAACTACCAGAGTTGAACCTTCCTTTTGATAGAGCAGTTTTGAAACACTCTTTGTGTAGAATCTGCATGTGGATATCTGGAGCGATTTGAGGCCTATGGTCAAAAAGGAAATATCTTCCTATGAAAAACAGACAAAAGCATTCTCAGAAACTACTTAGAGATATGTGCATTCAACTCACAGAGTTGAAACTTTTTTTTGATAGAGCAGTTTTGAAACACTCTGTAGAATCTGAAAGTGGATATTTGGAGCTATTTGAGGGCTATGGTGGAAAAGAAAATATATTCCCATTAAACTAGACAGAAGCATCCTCAGAAACTTCTTTATGATGTTTGCATTAAACTCACAGAGTTGAACATACCTTTCCATAGAGCAGTTTTGAAACACTCTTTTTGGGGAATCCGCAAGTGGATATTTGGACCGCTTTGAGACCTTTGCTGGAAATGGGAATATCTTCACATATAAACTAGACAGAAGCATTCTCGGAAACTTCTTCGTGATGTGTGCATTCTGCTCCCAAAGTTGAACCTTCCTTTTCATAAAGCAGTTTTGAAACACTCTTTTGTACAATCTACCATTGGATATGTGGAAGGCTTTGATGCCCATGGTAGAAAAGGAAACATCCTCATATAAAATCTAGACAGAAGGATTCACAGAAACTGCTGTGTGATGTGTGCATCCAAATCACGGAGTTGAACTTTTCTTTTGTTAGAGCAGTTTTGAAACCCTGTTTCCGTGGAATCTGCCAGTGGACATTTGGAGCGCATTGAGGGCTATGGTGGAGAAGGAAATATCTTCACATAAAAACTAGAAAGAAGCATTCTCAGAAACATCTATGTGAAGTATGCATTCAACTCACAGAGTTGAACCTTCCTTTTGATAGAAGAGTTTTGAAACACTCTTTTGTACAATTGCAGGTGAATATTTGGAGCGCTTTGAAGCCTTTGTTGGAAATGGGAATATCCTCACATTAAAAACTAGCCAGAAGCATTCTCAGAAACTTCTTTGTGATGTGTGCATTGAACCCAGAGAGATGAACCGTTCCTTTGAGAGAGCAGTTTTGAAACGTGTTTTTGTAAGATCTGCAAGTGGATATTTGGGGCGCTTTGAGTCCTTAGGTGGAAACGGGAATATCTTCGAATAAAAACTAGACAGAATTATTCTCAGAATCTTCTTTGTGATGTGGGCATTCAACTAACACAGTTGAACATTTCTTTTGACAGAGCAGTTCTGAAACACTCTTTTTGTAGAATCCGCCAGTGGATATTTGGAGCGCTTTGAGGGCTATTGTGCAAATGGAAATATCTTCACCTAAAAACTAGACCGAAGCAATCCCAGAAACTACTTTGTGATGTTTGCATTCAACTCACAGAGTTGAACCTACCTCTTCATAGGGCAGTTTGGAAAACCTCTTTTTGTAGAATCTGCAAGTGGATATTTGGACCACTTTGAGGCCTTCATAGGAAACAGTACTATCTTCACATAAAAACTAGGTAGAAGCATTCTCAGAAACTTCTTTGTGATGTGTGAATTCAACTCACAGAGTTGAACCTTCCTTTAATAGAGCAGTTTTGAAACACTCTTTTTGTAGAATTTGCCAGTAGATATTTGGAGCGCTTTGAGGCCTTCGTTGGAAACCGGAATATCTTCACATAAAAAGTAGATAGAGCCATTCTCAGAAACTTATTTGTGATATGTAGATTCAACTCACAGCGTTGAACCTTTCTTTTGATAGAGCAGTTTTGAAAAACTCTTTTATCGAATCTGCAAGTAGACATTTGGAGTGCTTTGAGGGCTGTGGTCGAAAAGGAAATATCTTCACATAGAAACTAGACTGAAGCATTCTCAGCAACTTCTTTGTGACGTTTGCATTCATCTCACAGTGTTGAACATACCTTTTCATAGAGCAGTTTTGAAACACTATTTTTGTAGTATCTGCAAGTGGATATTTGGACTGCTTTGAGGCCTTCATTGGAAACGGGAATATCTTCACATAAACACTAGACAGAAGCATTCTCTGAAACTTCTTTGTGATGTGTGTATTCAACTCACAGAGTTGAACCATCTTTTTTATGGAGCGGTTTTGAAACAGCGTTTTTGTAGAATCAGCAAGTGGATATTGGGAACACTTTGAGGCCTCTGGTGGAAAGGGAATGTCTTCACATAAAAACTGGACAGAAGCATTCTCAGAAACATCTTTGTGATGTTTGCATTCAACTCACAGAGTTGATCCTTCCTTTTAATAGGGCAGTTTTGCAACACTCTTTTTGTAGAATGCACCAGTGGGCTTTTGGAGCACGTCAAGGGCTATGGTGAAAAAGGAAATATCTTCTCATAAAAACTAGACAGAAGTATTCTGTAAAACTCCTTTGTGATGTTTGCATTCAACTCAGAAAGTTGAACTTCTCTTTATATAGTCCAGTTTTCAAACACTATTTTTGTAGAATCTGCAAGTGGATACTGGGACTGCTTTGAGGCCTTCGTTGGAAACGGGATTATCTTCACATAGAAACTAGACTGAAGGATTCTTAGAAACTTCTTTGTGATGTGTGCATTCAACTCACCGAGTGGAACCTCACTTTTGATAGAGCAGTGTTGAAAGACACTTGTTGTAGAATCTGCAGGTGGATATTTGGAGTGCTTTGAAGCCTTCCTTGGAAACGGGAATATCTTCACATAAAAACTAGACATAAGCATTCTCAGAAACTCCTTTGTGATCTGTCCATTCAGCTCACAGAGTTGAACCTTCCTTTTGATAGAGCAGTTTTGAAACACTCTTTCTGTAGAGTCTGCAAGTGGATATCAGGAGCGCTTTGAGGCCTATGGTAGAAAAAGAAATATCTGCATATAAAAACTAGACAGAAGCATTCTGAGAAACTTCTTTGTGATGTTTGCATTCAACTACCAGAGTTGAACCTTCCTTTTGATAGAGCAGTTTTGAAACACTCTTTGTGTAGAATCTGCATGTGGATATCTGGAGCGATTTGAGGCCTATGGTCAAAAAGGAAATATCTTCCTATGAAAAACAGACAAAAGCATTCTCAGAAACTACTTAGAGATATGTGCATTCAACTCACAGAGTTGAAACTTTTTTTTGATAGAGCAGTTTTGAAACACTCTGTAGAATCTGAAAGTGGATATTTGGAGCTATTTGAGGGCTATGGTGGAAAAGAAAATATATTCCCATTAAACTAGACAGAAGCATCCTCAGAAACTTCTTTATGATGTTTGCATTAAACTCACAGAGTTGAACATACCTTTCCATAGAGCAGTTTTGAAACACTCTTTTTGGGGAATCCGCAAGTGGATATTTGGACCGCTTTGAGACCTTTGCTGGAAATGGGAATATCTTCACATATAAACTAGACAGAAGCATTCTCGGAAACTTCTTCGTGATGTGTGCATTCTGCTCCCAAAGTTGAACCTTCCTTTTCATAAAGCAGTTTTGAAACACTCTTTTGTACAATCTACCATTGGATATGTGGAAGGCTTTGATGCCCATGGTAGAAAAGGAAACATCCTCATATAAAATCTAGACAGAAGGATTCACAGAAACTGCTGTGTGATGTGTGCATCCAAATCACGGAGTTGAACTTTTCTTTTGTTAGAGCAGTTTTGAAACCCTGTTTCCGTGGAATCTGCCAGTGGACATTTGGAGCGCATTGAGGGCTATGGTGGAGAAGGAAATATCTTCACATAAAAACTAGAAAGAAGCATTCTCAGAAACATCTATGTGAAGTATGCATTCAACTCACAGAGTTGAACCTTCCTTTTGATAGAAGAGTTTTGAAACACTCTTTTGTACAATTGCAGGTGAATATTTGGAGCGCTTTGAAGCCTTTGTTGGAAATGGGAATATCCTCACATTAAAAACTAGCCAGAAGCATTCTCAGAAACTTCTTTGTGATGTGTGCATTGAACCCAGAGAGATGAACCGTTCCTTTGAGAGAGCAGTTTTGAAACGTGTTTTTGTAAGATCTGCAAGTGGATATTTGGGGCGCTTTGAGTCCTTAGGTGGAAACGGGAATATCTTCGAATAAAAACTAGACAGAATTATTCTCAGAATCTTCTTTGTGATGTGGGCATTCAACTAACACAGTTGAACATTTCTTTTGACAGAGCAGTTCTGAAACACTCTTTTTGTAGAATCCGCCAGTGGATATTTGGAGCGCTTTGAGGGCTATTGTGCAAATGGAAATATCTTCACCTAAAAACTAGACCGAAGCAATCCCAGAAACTACTTTGTGATGTTTGCATTCAACTCACAGAGTTGAACCTACCTCTTCATAGGGCAGTTTGGAAAACCTCTTTTTGTAGAATCTGCAAGTGGATATTTGGACCACTTTGAGGCCTTCATAGGAAACAGTACTATCTTCACATAAAAACTAGGTAGAAGCATTCTCAGAAACTTCTTTGTGATGTGTGAATTCAACTCACAGAGTTGAACCTTCCTTTAATAGAGCAGTTTTGAAACACTCTTTTTGTAGAATTTGCCAGTAGATATTTGGAGCGCTTTGAGGCCTTCGTTGGAAACCGGAATATCTTCACATAAAAAGTAGATAGAGCCATTCTCAGAAACTTTTTTGTGATATGTAGATTCAACTCACAGCGTTGAACCTTTCTTTTGATAGAGCAGTTTTGAAAAACTCTTTTATCGAATCTGCAAGTAGACATTTGGAGTGCTTTGAGGGCTGTGGTCGAAAAGGAAATATCTTCACATAGAAACTAGACTGAAGCATTCTCAGCAACTTCTTTGTGACGTTTGCATTCATCTCACAGTGTTGAACATACCTTTTCATAGAGCAGTTTTGAAACACTATTTTTGTAGTATCTGCAAGTGGATATTTGGACTGCTTTGAGGCCTTCATTGGAAACGGGAATATCTTCACATAAACACTAGACAGAAGCATTCTCTGAAACTTCTTTGTGATGTGTGTATTCAACTCACAGAGTTGAACCATCTTTTTTATGGAGCGGTTTTGAAACAGCGTTTTTGTAGAATCAGCAAGTGGATATTGGGAACACTTTGAGGCCTCTGGTGGAAAGGGAATGTCTTCACATAAAAACTGGACAGAAGCATTCTCAGAAACATCTTTGTGATGTTTGCATTCAACTCACAGAGTTGATCCTTCCTTTTAATAGGGCAGTTTTGCAACACTCTTTTTGTAGAATGCACCAGTGGGCTTTTGGAGCACGTCAAGGGCTATGGTGAAAAAGGAAATATCTTCTCATAAAAACTAGACTGAAGTATTCTGTAAAACTCCTTTGTGATGTTTGCATTCAACTCAGAAAGTTGAACTTCTCTTTATATAGTCCAGTTTTCAAACACTATTTTTGTAGAATCTGCAAGTGGATACTGGGACTGCTTTGAGGCCTTCGTTGGAAACGGGATTATCTTCACATAAAAACTAGACTGAAGGATTCTTAGAAACTTCTTTGTGATGTGTGCATTCAACTCACCGAGTGGAACCTCACTTTTGATAGAGCAGTGTTGAAAGACACTTGTTGTAGAATCTGCAGGTGGATATTTGGAGTGCTTTGAAGCCTTCCTTGGAAACGGGAATATCTTCACATAAAAACTAGACATAAGCATTCTCAGAAACTCCTTTGTGATCTGTCCATTCAGCTCACAGAGTTGAACCTTCCTTTTGATAGAGCAGTTTTGAAACACTCTTTCTGTAGAGTCTGCAAGTGGATATCAGGAGCGCTTTGAGGCCTATGGTAGAAAAAGAAATATCTGCATATAAAAACTAGACAGAAGCATTCTGAGAAACTTCTTTGTGATGTTTGCATTCAACTACCAGAGTTGAACCTTCCTTTTGATAGAGCAGTTTTGAAACACTCTTTGTGTAGAATCTGCATGTGGATATCTGGAGCGATTTGAGGCCTATGGTCAAAAAGGAAATATCTTCCTATGAAAAACAGACAAAAGCATTCTCAGAAACTACTTAGAGATATGTGCATTCAACTCACAGAGTTGAAACTTTTTTTTGATAGAGCAGTTTTGAAACACTCTGTAGAATCTGAAAGTGGATATTTGGAGCTATTTGAGGGCTATGGTGGAAAAGAAAATATATTCCCATTAAACTAGACAGAAGCATCCTCAGAAACTTCTTTATGATGTTTGCATTAAACTCACAGAGTTGAACATACCTTTCCATAGAGCAGTTTTGAAACACTCTTTTTGGGGAATCCGCAAGTGGATATTTGGACCGCTTTGAGACCTTTGCTGGAAATGGGAATATCTTCACATATAAACTAGACAGAAGCATTCTCGGAAACTTCTTCGTGATGTGTGCATTCTGCTCCCAAAGTTGAACCTTCCTTTTCATAAAGCAGTTTTGAAACACTCTTTTGTACAATCTACCATTGGATATGTGGAAGGCTTTGATGCCCATGGTAGAAATGGAAACATCCTCATATAAAATCTAGACAGAAGGATTCACAGAAACTGCTGTGTGATGTGTGCATCCAAATCACGGAGTTGAACTTTTCTTTTGTTAGAGCAGTTTTGAAACCCTGTTTCCGTGGAATCTGCCAGTGGACATTTGGAGCGCATTGAGGGCTATGGTGGAGAAGGAAATATCTTCACATAAAAACTAGAAAGAAGCATTCTCAGAAACATCTATGTGAAGTATGCATTCAACTCACAGAGTTGAACCTTCCTTTTGATAGAAGAGTTTTGAAACACTCTTTTGTACAATTGCAGGTGAATATTTGGAGCGCTTTGAAGCCTTTGTTGGAAATGGGAATATCCTCACATTAAAAACTAGCCAGAAGCATTCTCAGAAACTTCTTTGTGATGTGTGCATTGAACCCAGAGAGATGAACCGTTCCTTTGAGAGAGCAGTTTTGAAACGTGTTTTTGTAAGATCTGCAAGTGGATATTTGGGGCGCTTTGAGTCCTTAGGTGGAAACGGGAATATCTTCGAATAAAAACTAGACAGAATTATTCTCAGAATCTTCTTTGTGATGTGGGCATTCAACTAACACAGTTGAACATTTCTTTTGACAGAGCAGTTCTGAAACACTCTTTTTGTAGAATCCGCCAGTGGATATTTGGAGCGCTTTGAGGGCTATTGTGCAAATGGAAATATCTTCACCTAAAAACTAGACCGAAGCAATCCCAGAAACTACTTTGTGATGTTTGCATTCAACTCACAGAGTTGAACCTACCTCTTCATAGGGCAGTTTGGAAAACCTCTTTTTGTAGAATCTGCAAGTGGATATTTGGACCACTTTGAGGCCTTCATAGGAAACAGTACTATCTTCACATAAAAACTAGGTAGAAGCATTCTCAGAAACTTCTTTGTGATGTGTGAATTCAACTCACAGAGTTGAACCTTCCTTTAATAGAGCAGTTTTGAAACACTCTTTTTGTAGAATCTGCCAGTAGATATTTGGAGCGCTTTGAGGCCTTCGTTGGAAACCGGAATATCTTCACATAAAAAGTAGATAGAGGCATTCTCAGAAACTTTTTTGTGATATGTAGATTCAACTCACAGCGTTGAACCTTTCTTTTGATAGAGCAGTTTTGAAAAACTCTTTTATCGAATCTGCAAGTAGACATTTGGAGTGCTTTGAGGGCTGTGGTCGAAAAGGAAATATCTTCACATAGAAACTAGACTGAAGCATTCTCAGCAACTTCTTTGTGACGTTTGCATTCATCTCACAGTGTTGAACATACCTTTTCATAGAGCAGTTTTGAAACACTATTTTTGTAGTATCTGCAAGTGGATATTTGGACTGCTTTGAGGCCTTCATTGGAAACGGGAATATCTTCACATAAACACTAGACAGAAGCATTCTCTGAAACTTCTTTGTGATGTGTGTATTCAACTCACAGAGTTGAACCATCTTTTTTATGGAGCGGTTTTGAAACAGTGTTTTTGTAGAATCAGCAAGTGGATATTGGGAGCGCTTTGAGGCCTCTGGTGGAAAGGGAATGTCTTCACATAAAAACTGGACAGAAGTATTCTCAGAAACATCTTTGTGATGTTTGCATTCAACTCACAGAGTTGATCCTTCCTTTTAATAGGGCAGTTTTGCAACACTCTTTTTGTAGAATGCACCAGTGGGCTTTTGGAGCACGTCAAGGGCTATGGTGAAAAAGGAAATATCTTCACATAAAAACTAGACAGAAGTATTCTGTAAAACTCCTTTGTGATGTTTGCATTCAACTCAGAAAGTTGAACTTCTCTTTATATAGTCCAGTTTTCAAACACTATTTTTGTAGCATCTGCAAGTGGATACTGGGACTGCTTTGAGGCCTTCGTTGGAAACGGGATTACCTTCACATAGAAACTAGACTGAAGGATTCTTAGAAACTTCTTTGTGATGTGTGCATTCAACTCACCGAGTGGAACCTCACTTTTGATAGAGCAGTGTTGAAAGACACTTGTTGTAGAATCTGCAGGTGGATATTTGGAGTGCTTTGAAGACTTCCTTGGAAACGGGAATATCTTCACATAAAAACTAGACATAAGCATTCTCAGAAACCCCTTTGTGATCTGTCCATTCAGCTCACAGAGTTGAACCTTCCTTTTGATAGAGCAGTTTTGAAACACTCTTTCTGTAGAGTCTGCAAGTGGATATCAGGAGCGCTTTGAGGCCTATGGTAGAAAAAGAAATATCTGCATATAAAAACTAGACAGAAGCATTCTGAGAAACTTCTTTGTGATGTTTGCATTCAACTACCAGAGTTGAACCTTCCTTTTGATAGAGCAGTTTTGAAACACTCTTTGTGTAGAATCTGCATGTGGATATCTGGAGCGATTTGAGGCCTATGGTCAGAAAGGAAATATCTTCCTATGAAAAACAGACAAAAGCATTCTCAGAAACTACTTTGAGATATGTGCATTCAACTCACAGAGTTGAAACTTTTTTTTGATAGAGGAGTTTTGAAACACTCTGTAGAATCTGAAAGTGGATATTTGGAGCTATTTGAGGGCTATGGTGGAAAAGAAAATATATTCCCATTAAACTAGACAGAAGCATCCTCAGAAACTTCTTTATGATGTTTGCATTAAACTCACAGAGTTGAACATACCTTTCCATAGAGCAGTTTTGAAACACTCTTTTTGGGGAATCCGCAAGTGGATATTTGGACCGCTTTGAGACCTTTGCTGGAAATGGGAATATCTTCACATATAAACTAGACAGAAGCATTCTCGGAAACTTCTTCGTGATGTCTGCATTCTGCTCCCAAAGTTGAACCTTCCTTTTCATAAAGCAGTTTTGAAACACTCTTTTGTACAATCTACCATTGGATATGTGGAAGGCTTTGATGCCCATGGTAGAAAAGGATACATCCTCATATAAAATCTAGACAGAAGGATTCACAGAAACTGCTGTGTGATGTGTGCATCCAAATCACGGAGTTGAACTTTTCTTTTGTTAGAGCAGTTTTGAAACCCTGTTTCCGTGGAATCTGCCAGTGGACATTTGGAGCGCATTGAGGGCTATGGTGGAGAAGGAAATATCTTCACATAAAAACTAGAAAGAAGCATTCTCAGAAACATCTATGTGAAGTGTGCATTCAACTCACAGAGTTGAACCTTCCTTTTGATAGAAGAGTTTTGAAACACTCTTTTGTACAATTGCAGGTGAATATTTGGAGCGCTTTGAAGCCTTTGTTGGAAATGGGAATATCCTCACATAAAAACTAGCCAGAAGCATTCTCAGAAACTTCTTTGTGATGTGTGCATTGAACCCAGAGAGATGAACCGTTCCTTTGAGAGAGCAGTTTTGAAACGTGTTTTTGTAAGATCTGCAAGTGGATATTTGGGGCGCTTTGAGTCCTTAGGTGGAAACGGGAATATCTTCGAATAAAAACTAGACAGAATGATTCTCAGAATCTTCTTTGTGATGTGGGCATTCAACTAACACAGTTGAACATTTCTTTTGACAGAGCAGTTCTGAAACACTCTTTTTGTAGAATCCGCCAGTGGATATTTGGAGCGCTTTGAGGGCTATTGTGCAAATGGAAATATCTTCACCTAAAAACTAGACCGAAGCAATCCCAGAAACTACTTTGTGATGTTTGCATTCAACTCACAGAGTTGAACCTACCTCTTCATAGAGCAGTTTGGAAAACCTCTTTTTGTAGAATCTGCAAGTGGATATTTGGACCACATTGAGGCCTTCATAGGAAACAGTACTATCTTCACATAAAAACTAGGTAGAAGCATTGTCAGAAACTTCTTTGTGATGTGTGAATTCAACTCACAGAGTTGAACCTTCCTTTAATAGAGCAGTTTTGAAACACTCTTTTTGTAGAATCTGCCAGTAGATATTTGGAGCGCTTTGAGGCCTTCGTTGGAAACCGGAATATCTTCACATAAAAAGTAGATAGAGGCATTCTCAGAAACTTTTTTGTGATATGTAGATTCAACTCACAGCGCTGAACCTTTCTTTTGATAGAGCAGTTTTGAAAAACTCTTTTATCGAATCTGCAAGTAGACATTTGGAGTGCTTTGAGGGCTGTGGTCGAAAAGGAAATATCTTCACATAGAAACTAGACTGAAGCATTCTCAGCAACTTCTTTGTGACCTTTGCATTCATCTCACAGTGTTGAACATACCTTTTCATAGAGCAGTTTTGAAACACTATTTTTGTAGTATATGCAAGTGGATATTTGGACTGCTTTGAGGCCTTCATTGGAAACGGGAATATCTTCACATAAACACTAGACAGAAGCATTCTCTGAAACTTCTTTGTGATGTGTGTATTCAACTCACAGAGATGAACCATCTTTTTTATGGAGCGGTTTTGAAACAGTGTTTTTGTAGAATCAGCAAGTGGATATTGGGAGCGCTTTGAGGCCTCTGGTGGAAAGGGAATGTCTTCACATAAAAACTGGACAGAAGCATTCTCAGAAACATCTTTGTGATGTTTGCATTCAACTCACAGAGTTGATCCTTCCTTTTAATAGGGCAGTTTTGCAACACTCTTTTTGTAGAATGCACCAGTGGGCTTTTGGAGCACGTCAAGGGCTATGGTGAAAAAGGAAATATCTTCACATAAAAACTAGACAGAAGTATTGTGTAAAACTCCTTTGTGATGTTTGCATTCAACTCAGAAAGTTGAACTTCTCTTTATATAGTCCAGTTTTCAAACACTATTTTTGTAGAATCTGCAAGTGGATAGTGGGACTGCTTTGAGGCCTTCATTGGAAACGGGATTATCTTCACATAAAAACTAGACATAAGCATTCTCAGAAACTCCTTTGTGATCTGTCCATTCAGCTCACAGAGTTGAACCTTCCTTTTGATAGAGCAGTTTTGAAACACTCTTTCTGTAGAGTCTGCAAGTGGATATCAGGAGTGCTTTGTGGCCTATGGTAGAAAAAGAAATATCTGCATATAAAAACTAGACAGAAGCATTCTGAGAAACTTCTTTGTGATGTTTGCATTCAACTACCAGAGTTGAACCTTCCTTTTGATAGAGCAGTTTTGAAACACTCTTTGTGTAGAATCTGCATGTGGATATCTGGAGCGATTTGAGGCCTATGGTCAAAAAGGAAATATCTTCCTATGAAAAACAGACAAAAGCATTCTCAGAAACTACTTTGAGATATGTGCATTCAACTCACAGAGTTGAAACTTTTTTTTGATAGAGCAGTTTTGAAACACTCTGTAGAATCTGAAAGTGGATATTTGGAGCTATTTGAGGGCTATGGTGGAAAAGAAAATATATTCCCATTAAACTAGACAGAAGCATCCTCAGAAACTTCTTTATGATGTTTGCATTAAACTCACAGAGTTGAACATACCTTTCCATAGAGCAGTTTTGAAACACTCTTTTTGGGGAATCCGCAAGTGGATATTTGGACCGCTTTGAGACCTTTGCTGGAAATGGGAATATCTTCACATATAAACTAGACAGAAGCATTCTCGGAAACTTCTTCCTGATGTGTGCATTCTGCTCCCAAAGTTGAACCTTCCTCTTCATAAAGCAGTTTTGAAACACTCTTTTGTACAATCTACCATTGGATATGTGGAAGGCTTTGATGCCCATGGTAGAAAAGGATACATCCTCATATAAAATCTAGACAGAAGGATTCACAGAAACTGCTGTGTGATGTGTGCATCCAAATCATGGAGTTGAACTTTTCTTTTGTTAGAGCAGTTTTGAAACCCTGTTTCCGTGGAATCTGCCAGTGGACATTTGGAGCACATTGAGGGCTATGGTGGAGAAGGAAATATCTTCACATAAAAACTAGAAAGAAGCATTCTCAGAAACATCTATGTGAAGTGTGCATTCAACTCACAGAGTTGAACCTTCGTTTTGATAGAAGAGTTTTGAAACACTCTTTTGTACAATTGCAGGTGAATATTTGGAGCGCTTTGAAGCCTTTGTTGGAAATGGGAATATCCTCACATAAAAACTAGCCAGAAACATTCTCAGAAACTTCTTTGTGATGTGTGCATTGAACCCAGAGAGATGAACCGTTCCTTTGAGAGAGCAGTTTTGAAACGTGTTTTTGTAAGATCTGCAAGTGGATATTTGGGGCGCTTTGAGTCCTTAGGTGGAAACGGGAATATCTTCGAATAAAAACTAGACAGAATGATTCTCAGAATCTTCTTTGTGATGTGGGCATTCAACAAACACAGTTGAACATGTCTTTTGACAGAGCAGTTCTGAAACACTCTTTTTGTAGAATCCGCCAGTGGATATTTGGAGCGCTTTGAGGGCTATTGTGCAAATGGAAATATCTTCACCTAAAAACTAGACCGAAGCAATCCCAGAAACTACTTTGTGATGTTTGCATTAAACTCATAGAGTTGAACCTACCTCTTCATAGAGCAGTTTGGAAAACCTCTTTTTGTAGAATCTGCAAGTGGATATTTGGACCACTTTGAGGCCTTCATAGGAAACAGTACTATCTTCACATAAAAACTAGGTAGAAGCATTGTCAGAAAGTTCTTTGTGATGTGTGAATTCAACTCACAGAGTTGAACCTTCCTTTAATAGAGCAGTTTTGAAACACTCTTTTTGTAGAATCTGCAAGTAGATATTTGGAGCGCTTTCAGGCCTTCGTTGGAAACCGGAATATCTTCACATAAAAAGTAGATAGAGGCATTCTCAGAAACTTTTTTGTGATATGTAGATTCAACTCACAGCGCTGAACCTTTCTTTTGATAGAGCAGTTTTGAAAAACTCTTTTATCGAATCTGCAAGTAGACATTTGGAGTGCTTTGAGGGCTGTGGTCGAAAAGGAAATATCTTCACATAGAAACTAGACTGAAGCATTCTCAGCAACTTCTTTGTGACGTTTGCATTCATCTCACAGTGTTGAACATACCTTTTCATAGAGCAGTTTTGAAACACTATTTTTGTAGTATCTGCAAGTGGATATTTGGACTGCTTTGAGGCCTTCATTGGAAACGGGAATATCTTCACATAAACACTAGACAGAAGCATTCTCTGAAACTTCTTTGTGATGTGTGTATTCAACTCACAGAGTTGAACCATCTTTTTTATGGAGCGGTTTTGAAACAGTGTTTTTGTAGAATCAGCAATTGGATATTTGGAGCGCTTTGAGGCCTCTGGTGTAAAGGGAATGTCTTCACATAAAAACTGGACAGAAGCATTCTCAGAAACATCTTTGTGATGTTTGCATTCAACTCACAGAGTTGATCCTTCCTTTTAATAGGGCAGTTTTGCAACACTCTTTTTGTAGAATGCACCAGCGGGCTTTTGGAGCACGTCAAGGGCTATGGTGAAAAAGGAAATATCTTCACAAAAAACCAGACAGAAGTATTCTGTAAAACTCCTTTGTGATGTTTGCATTCAACTCAGAAAGTTGAACTTCTCTTTATATAGTCCAGTTTTCAAACACTATTTTTGTAGAATCTGCAAGTGGATACTGGGACTGCTTTGAGGCCTTCGTTGGAAACGGGATTATCTTCACATAGAAACTAGACTGAAGGATTCTTAGAAACTTCTTTTTGATGTGTGCATTCAACTCACCGAGTGGAACCTCACTTTTGATAGAGCAGTGTTGAAAGACACTTGTTGTAGAATCTGCAGGTGGATATTTGGAGTGCTTTGAAGCCTTCCTTGGAAACGGGAATATCTTCACATAAAAACTAGACATAAGCATTCTCAGAAACTCCTTTGTGATCTGTCCATTCAGCTCACAGAGTTGAACCTTCCTTTTGATAGAGCAGTTTTGAAACACTCTTTCTGTAGAGTCTGCAAGTGGATATCAGGAGCGCTTTGAGGCCTATGGTAGAAAAAGAAATATCTGCATATAAAAACTAGACAGAAGCATTCTGAGAAACTTCTTTGTGATGTTTGCATTCAACTACCAGAGTTGAACCTTCCTTTTGATAGAGCAGTTTTGAAACACTCTTTGTGTAGAATCTGCATGTGGATATCTGGAGCGATTTGAGGCCTATGGTCAAAAAGGAAATATCTTCCTATGAAAAACAGACAAAAGAATTCTCAGAAACTACTTAGAGATATGTGCATTCAACTCACAGAGTTGAAACTTTTTTTTGATAGAGCAGTTTTGAAACACTCTGTAGAATCTGAAAGTGGATATTTGGAGCTATTTGAGGGCTATGGTGGAAAAGAAAATATATTCCCATTAAACTAGACAGAAGCATCCTCAGAAACTTCTTTATGATGTTTGCATTAAACTCACAGAGTTGAACATACCTTTCCATAGAGCAGTTTTGAAACACTCTTTTTGGGGAATCCGCAAGTGGATATTTGGACCGCTTTGAGACCTTTGCTGGAAATGGGAATATCTTCACATATAAACTAGACAGAAGCATTCTTGGAAACTTCTTCGTGATGTGTGCATTCTGCTCCCAAAGTTGAACCTTCCTTTTCATAAAGCAGTTTTGAAACACTCTTTTGTACAATCTACCATTGGATATGTGGAAGGCTTTGATGACCATGGTAGAAAAGGAAAGATCCTCATATAAAATCTAGACAGAAGGATTCACAGAAACTGCTGTGTGATGTGTGCATCCAAATCACGGAGTTGAACTTTTCTTTTGTTAGAGCAGTTTTGAAACCCTGTTTCCGTGGAATCTGCCAGTGGACATTTGGAGCGCATTGAGGGCTATGGTGGAGAAGGAAATATCTTCACATAAAAACTAGAAAGAAGCATTCTCAGAAACATCTATGTGAAGTGTGCATTCAACTCACAGAGTTGAACCTTCCTTTTGATAGAAGAGTTTTGAAACACTCTTTTGTACAATTGCAGGTGAATATTTGGAGCGCTTTGAAGCCTTTGTTGGAAATGGGAATATCCTCACATAAAAACTAGCCAGAAGCATTCTCAGAAACTTCTTTGTGATGTGTGCATTGAACCCAGAGAGATGAACCGTTCCTTTGAGAGAGCAGTTTTGAAACGTGTTTTTGTAAGATCTGCAAGTGGATATTAGGGGCGCTTTGAGTCCTTAGGTGGAAACGGGAATATCTTCGAATAAAAACTAGACAGAATTATTCTCAGAATCTTCTTTGTGATGTGGGCATTCAACTAACACAGTTGAACATTTCTTTTGACAGAGCAGTTCTGAAACACTCTTTTTGTAGAATCCGCCAGTGGATATTTGGAGCGCTTTGAGGGCTATTGTGCAAACGGAAATATCTTCACCTAAAAACTAGACCGAAGCAATCCCAGAAACTACTTTGTGATGTTTGCATTCAACTCACAGAGTTGAACCTACCTCTTCATAGAGCAGTTTGGAAAACCTCTTTTTGTAGAATCTGCAAGTGGATATTTGGACCACTTTGAGGCCTTCATAGGAAACAGTACTATCTTCACATAAAAACTAGGTAGAAGCATTCTCAGAAACTTCTTTGTGATGTGTGAATTCAACTCACAGAGTTGAACCTTCCTTTAATAGAGCAGTTTTGAAACACTCTTTTTGTAGAATCTGCCAGTAGATATTTGGAGCGCTTTGAGGCCTTCGTTGGAAACCGGAATATCTTCACATAAAAAGTAGATAGAGGCATTCTCAGAAACTTTTTTGTGATATGTAGATTCAACTCACAGCGCTGAACCTTTCTTTTGATAGAGCAGTTTTGAAAAACTCTTTTATCGAATCTGCAAGTAGACATTTGGAGTGCTTTGAGGGCTGTGGTCGAAAAGGAAATATCTTCACATAGAAACTAGACTGAAGCATTCTCAGCAACTTCTTTGTGACGTTTGCATTCATCTCACAGTGTTGAACATACCTTTTCATAGAGCAGTTTTGAAACACTATTTTTGTAGTATCTGCAAGTGGATATTTGGACTGCTTTGAGGCCTTCATTGGAAACGGGAATATCTTCACATAAACACTAGACAGAAGCATTCTCTGAAACTTCTTTGTGATGTGTGTATTCAACTCACAGAGTTGAACCATCTTTTTTATGGAGCGGTTTTGAAACAGTGTTTTTGTAGAATCAGCAAGTGGATATTGGGAGCGCTTTGAGGCCTCTGGTGGAAAGGGAATGTCTTCACATAAAAACTGGACAGAAGCATTCTCAGAAACATCTTTGTGATGTTTGCATTCAACTCACAGAGTTGATCCTTCCTTTTAATAGGGCAGTTTTGCAACACTCTTTTTGTAGAATGCACCAGTGGGCTTTTGGAGCACGTCAAGGGCTATGGTGAAAAAGGAAATATCTTCACATAAAAACTAGACAGAAGTATTCTGTAAAACTCCTTTGTGATGTTTGCATTCAACTCAGAAAGTTGAACTTCTCTTTATATAGTCCAGTTTTCAAACACTATTTTTGTAGAATCTGCAAGTGGATACTGGGACTGCTTTGAGGCCTTCGTTGGAAACGGGATTATCTTCACATAGAAACTAGACTGAAGGATTCTTAGAAACTTCTTTGTGATGTGTGCATTCAACTCACCGAGTGGAACCTCACTTTTGATAGAGCAGTGTTGAAAGACACTTGTTGTAGAATCTGCAGGTGGATATTTGGAGTGCTTTGAAGCCTTCCTTGGAAACGGGAATATCTTCACATAAAAACTAGACATAAGCATTCTCAGAAACTCCTTTGTGATCTGTCCATTCAGCTCACAGAGTTGAACCTTCCTTTTGATAGAGCAGTTTTGAAACACTCTTTCTGTAGAGTCTGCAAGTGGATATCAGGAGCGCTTTGAGGCCTATGGTAGAAAAAGAAATATCTGCATATAAAAACTAGACAGAAGCATTCTGAGAAACTTCTTTGTGATGTTTGCATTCAACTACCAGAGTTGAACCTTCCTTTTGATAGAGCAGTTTTGAAACACTCTTTGTGTAGAATCTGCATGTGGATATCTGGAGCGATTTGAGGCCTATGGTCAAAAAGGAAATATCTTCCTATGAAAAACAGACAAAAGCATTCTCAGAAACTACTTTGAGATATGTGCATTCAACTCACAGAGTTGAAACTTTTTTTTGATAGAGCAGTTTTGAAACACTCTGTAGAATCTGAAAGTGGATATTTGGAGCTATTTGAGGGCTATGGTGGAAAAGAAAATATATTCCCATTAAACTAGACAGAAGCATCCTCAGAAACTTCTTTATGATGTTTGCATTAAACTCACAGAGTTGAACATACCTTTCCATAGAGCAGTTTTGAAACACTCTTTTTGGGGAATCCGCAAGTGGATATTTGGACTGCTTTGAGACCTTTGCTGGAAATGGGAATATCTTCACATATAAACTAGACAGAAGCATTCTCGGAAACTTCTTCGTGATGTGTGCATTCTGCTCCCAAAGTTGAACCTTCCTTTTCATAAAGCAGTTTTGAAACACTCTTTTGTACAATCTACCATTGGATATGTGGAAGGCTTTGATGCCCATGGTAGAAAAGGAAACATCCTCATATAAAATCTAGACAGAAGGATTCACAGAAACTGCTGTGTGATGTGTGCATCCAAATCACGGAGTTGAACTTTTCTTTTGTTAGAGCAGTTTTGAAACCCTGTTTCCGTGGAATCTGCCAGTGGACATTTGGAGCGCATTGAGGGCTATGGTGGAGAAGGAAATATCTTCACATAAAAACTAGAAAGAAGCATTCTCAGAAACATCTATGTGAAGTGTGCATTCAACTCACAGAGTTGAACCTTCCTTTTGATAGAAGAGTTTTGAAACACTCTTTTGTACAATTGCAGGTGAATATTTGGAGCGCTTTGAAGCCTTTGTTGGAAATGGGAATATCCTCACATAAAAACTAGCCAGAAGCATTCTCAGAAACTTCTTTGTGATGTGTGCATTGAACCCAGAGAGATGAACCGTTCCTTTGAGAGAGCAGTTTTGAAACGTGTTTTTGTAAGATCTGCAAGTGGATATTAGGGGCGCTTTGAGTCCTTAGGTGGAAACGGGAATATCTTCGAATAAAAACTAGACAGAATTATTCTCAGAATCTTCTTTGTGATGTGGGCATTCAACTAACACAGTTGAACATTTCTTTTGACAGAGCAGTTCTGAAACACTCTTTTTGTAGAATCCGCCAGTGGATATTTGGAGCGCTTTGAGGGCTATTGTGCAAACGGAAATATCTTCACCTAAAAACTAGACCGAAGCAATCCCAGAAACTACTTTGTGATGTTTGCATTCAACTCACAGAGTTGAACCTACCTCTTCATAGAGCAGTTTGGAAAACCTCTTTTTGTAGAATCTGCAAGTGGATATTTGGACCACTTTGAGGCCTTCATAGGAAACAGTACTATCTTCACATAAAAACTAGGTAGAAGCATTCTCAGAAACTTCTTTGTGATGTGTGAATTCAACTCACAGAGTTGAACCTTCCTTTAATAGAGCAGTTTTGAAACACTCTTTTTGTAGAATCTGCCAGTAGATATTTGGAGCGCTTTGAGGCCTTCGTTGGAAACCGGAATATCTTCACATAAAAAGTAGATAGAGGCATTCTCAGAAACTTTTTTGTGATATGTAGATTCAACTCACAGCGCTGAACCTTTCTTTTGATAGAGCAGTTTTGAAAAACTCTTTTATCGAATCTGCAAGTAGACATTTGGAGTGCTTTGAGGGCTGTGGTCGAAAAGGAAATATCTTCACATAGAAACTAGACTGAAGCATTCTCAGCAACTTCTTTGTGACGTTTGCATTCATCTCACAGTGTTGAACATACCTTTTCATAGAGCAGTTTTGAAACACTATTTTTGTAGTATCTGCAAGTGGATATTTGGACTGCTTTGAGGCCTTCATTGGAAACGGGAATATCTTCACATAAACACTAGACAGAAGCATTCTCTGAAACTTCTTTGTGATGTGTGTATTCAACTCACAGAGTTGAACCATCTTTTTTATGGAGCGGTTTTGAAACAGTGTTTTTGTAGAATCAACAAGTGGATATTGGGAGCGCTTTGAGGCCTCTGGTGGAAAGGGAATGTCTTCACATAAAAACTGGACAGAAGCATTCTCAGAAACATCTTTGTGATGTTTGCATTCAACTCACAGAGTTGATCCTTCCTTTTAATAGGGCAGTTTTGCAACACTCTTTTTGTAGAATGCACCAGTGGGCTTTTGGGGCACGTCAAGGGCTATGGTGAAAAAGGAAATATCTTCACATAAAAACTAGACAGAAGTATTCTGTAAAACTCCTTTGTGATGTTTGCATTCAACTCAGAAAGTTGAACTTCTCTTTATATAGTCCAGTTTTCAAACACTATTTTTGTAGAATCTGCAAGTGGATACTGGGACTGCTTTGAGGCTATCGTTGGAAACAGGATTATCTTCACATAAAAACTAGACTGAAGGATTCTTAGAAACTTCTTTGTGATGTGTGCATTCAACTCACCGAGTGGAACCTCACTTTTGATAGAGCAGTGTTGAAAGACACTTGTTGTAGAATCTGCAGGTGGATATTTGGAGTGCTTTGAAGCCTTCCTTGGAAACGGGAATATCTTCACATAAAAACTAGACATAAGCATTCTCAGAAACTCCTTTGTGATCTGTCCATTCAGCTCACAGAGTTGAACCTTCCTTTTGATAGAGCAGTTTTGAAACACTCTTTCTGTAGAGTCTGCAAGTGGATATCAGGAGCGCTTTGAGGCCTATGGTAGAAAAAGAAATATCTGCATATAAAAACTAGACAGAAGCATTCTGAGAAACTTCTTTGTGATGTTTGCATTCAACTACCAGAGTTGAACCTTCCTTTTGATAGAGCAGTTTTGAAACACTCTTTGTGTAGAATCTGCATGTGGATATCAGGAGCGCTTTGAGGCCTATGGCAGAAAAAGAAATATCTGGCTCTAAAAACTAGACAGAAGCATTCTGAGAAACTTCTTTGTGATGTTTGCATTCAACTACCAGAGTTGAACCTTCCTTTTGATAGAGCAGTTTTGAAACACTCTTTGTGTAGAATCTGCATGTGGATATCTGGAGCGATTTGAGGCCTATGGTCAAAAAGGAAATATCTTCCTATGAAAAACAGACAAAAGCATTCTCAGAAACTACTTAGAGATATGTGCATTCAACTCACAGAGTTGAAACTTTTTTTTGATAGAGCAGTTTTGAAACAATCTGTAGAATCTGAAAGTGGATATTTGGAGCTATTTGAGGGCTATGGTGGAAAAGAAAATATATTCCCATTAAACTAGACAGAAGCATCCTCAGAAACTTCTTTGTGATGTTTGCATTAAACTCACAGAGTTGAACATACCTTTCCATAGAGCAGTTTTGAAACACTCTTTTTGGGGAATCCGCAAGTGGATATTTGGACCGCTTTGAGACCTTTGCTGGAAATGGGAATATCTTCACATATAAACTAGACAGAAGCATTCTCGGAAACTTCTTCGTGATGTGTGCATTCTGCTCCCAAAGTTGAACCTTCCTTTTCATAAAGCAGTTTTGAAACACTCTTTTGTACAATCTACCATTGGATATGTGGAAGGATTTGATGCCCATGGTAGAAAAGGAAACATCCTCATATAAAATCTAGACAGAAGGATTCACAGAAACTGCTGTGTGATGTGTGCATCCAAATCACGGAGTTGAACTTTTCTTTTGTTAGAGCAGTTTTGAAACCCTGTTTCCGTGGAATCTGCCAGTGGACATTTGGAGCGCATTGAGGGCTATGGTGGAGAAGGAAATATCTTCACATAAAAACTAGAAAGAAGCATTCTCAGAAACATCTATGTGAAGTGTGCATTCAACTCACAGAGTTGAACCTTCCTTTTGATAGAAGAGTTTTGAAACACTCTTTTGTACAATTGCAGGTGAATATTTGGAGCGCTTTGAAGCCTTTGTTGGAAATGGGAATATCCTCACATAAAAACTAGCCAGAAGCATTCTCAGAAACTTCTTTGTGATGTGTGCATTGAACCCAGAGAGATGAACCGTTCCTTTGAGAGAGCAGTTTTGAAACGTGTTTTTGTAAGATCTGCAAGTGGATATTAGGGGCGCTTTGAGTCCTTAGGTGGAAACGGGAATATCTTCGAATAAAAACTAGACAGAATTATTCTCAGAATCTTCTTTGTGATGTGGGCATTCAACTAACACAGTTGAACATTTCTTTTGACAGAGCAGTTCTGAAACACTCTTTTTGTAGAATCCGCCAGTGGATATTTGGAGCGCTTTGAGGGCTATTGTGCAAATGGAAATATCTTCACCTAAAAACTAGACCGAAGCAATCCCAGAAACTACTTTGTGATGTTTGCATTCAACTCACAGAGTTGAACCTACCTCTTCATAGAGCAGTTTGGAAAACCTCTTTTTGTAGAATCTGCAAGTGGATATTTGGACCACTTTGAGGCCTTCATAGGAAACAGTACTATCTTCACATAAAAACTAGGTAGAAGCATTCTCAGAAACTTCTTTGTGATGTGTGAATTCAACTCACAGTGTTGAACCTTCCTTTAATAGAGCAGTTTTGAAACACTCTTTTTGTAGAATCTGCCAGTAGATATTTGGAGCGCTTTGAGGCCTTCGTTGGAAACCGGAATATCTTCACATAAAAAGTAGATAGAGGCATTCTCAGAAACTTTTTTGTGATATGTAGATTCAACTCACAGCGCTGAACCTTTCTTTTGATAGAGCAGTTTTGAAAAACTCTTTTATCGAATCTGCAAGTAGACATTTGGAGTGCTTTGAGGGCTGTGGTCGAAAAGGAAATATCTTCACATAGAAACTAGACTGAAGCATTCTCAGCAACTTCTTTGTGACGTTTGCATTCATCTCACAGTGTTGAACATACCTTTTCATAGAGCAGTTTTGAAACACTATTTTTGTAGTATCTGCAAGTGGATATTTGGACTGCTTTGAGGCCTTCATTGGAAACGGGAATATCTTCACATAAACACTAGACAGAAGCATTCTCTGAAACTTCTTTGTGATGTGTGTATTCAACTCACAGAGTTGAACCATCTTTTTTATGGAGCGGTTTTGAAACAGTGTTTTTTGTAGAATCAGCAATTGGATATTGGGAGCGCTTTGAGGCCTCTGGTGGAAAGGGAATGTCTTCACATAAAAACTGGACAGAAGCATTCTCAGAAACATCTTTGTGATGTTTGCATTCAACTCACAGAGTTGATCCTTCCTTTTAATAGGGCAGTTTTGCAACACTCTTTTTGTAGAATGCACCAGTGGGCTTTTGGGGCACGTCAAGGGCTATGGTGAAAAAGGAAATATCTTCACATAAAAACTAGACAGAAGTATTCTGTAAAACTCCTTTGTGATGTTTGCATTCAACTCAGAAAGTTGAACTTCTCTTTATATAGTCCAGTTTTCAAACACTATTTTTGTAGAATCTGCAAGTGGATACTGGGACTGCTTTGAGGCTATCGTTGGAAACAGGATTATCTTCACATAAAAACTAGACTGAAGGATTCTTAGAAACTTCTTTGTGATGTGTGCATTCAACTCACCGAGTGGAACCTCACTTTTGATAGAGCAGTGTTGAAAGACACTTGTTGTAGAATCTGCAGGTGGATATTTGGAGTGCTTTGAAGCCTTCCTTGGAAACGGGAATATCTTCACATAAAAACTAGACATAAGCATTCTCAGAAACTCCTTTGTGATCTGTCCATTCAGCTCACAGAGTTGAACCTTCCTTTTGATAGAGCAGTTTTGAAACACTCTTTCTGTAGAGTCTGCAAGTGGATATCAGGAGCGCTTTGAGGCCTATGGTAGAAAAAGAAATATCTGCATATAAAAACTAGACAGAAGCATTCTGAGAAACTTCTTTGTGATGTTTGCATTCAACTACCAGAGTTGAACCTTCCTTTTGATAGAGCAGTTTTGAAACACTCTTTGTGTAGAATCTGCATGTGGATATCAGGAGCGCTTTGAGGCCTATGGCAGAAAAAGAAATATCTGGCTCTAAAAACTAGACAGAAGCATTCTGAGAAACTTCTTTGTGATGTTTGCATTCAACTACCAGAGTTGAACCTTCCTTTTGATAGAGCAGTTTTGAAACACTCTTTGTGTAGAATCTGCATGTGGATATCTGGAGCGATTTGAGGCCTATGGTCAAAAAGGAAATATCTTCCTATGAAAAACAGACAAAAGCATTCTCAGAAACTACTTAGAGATATGTGCATTCAACTCACAGAGTTGAAACTTTTTTTTGATAGAGCAGTTTTGAAACAATCTGTAGAATCTGAAAGTGGATATTTGGAGCTATTTGAGGGCTATGGTGGAAAAGAAAATATATTCCCATTAAACTAGACAGAAGCATCCTCAGAAACTTCTTTGTGATGTTTGCATTAAACTCACAGAGTTGAACATACCTTTCCATAGAGCAGTTTTGAAACACTCTTTTTGGGGAATCCGCAAGTGGATATTTGGACCGCTTTGAGACCTTTGCTGGAAATGGGAATATCTTCACATATAAACTAGACAGAAGCATTCTTGGAAACTTCTTCGTGATGTGTGCATTCTGCTCCCAAAGTTGAACCTTCCTTTTCATAAAGCAGTTTTGAAACACTCTTTTGTACAATCTACCATTGGATATGTGGAAGGCTTTGATGCCCATGGTAGAAAAGGAAAGATCCTCATATAAAATCTAGACAGAAGGATTCACAGAAACTGCTGTGTGATGTGTGCATCCAAATCACGGAGTTGAACTTTTCTTTTGTTAGAGCAGTTTTGAAACCCTGTTTCCGTGGAATCTGCCAGTGGACATTTGGAGCGCATTGAGGGCTATGGTGGAGAAGGAAATATCTTCACATAAAAACTAGAAAGAAGCATTCTCAGAAACATCTATGTGAAGTGTGCATTCAACTCACAGAGTTGAACCTTCCTTTTGATAGAAGAGTTTTGAAACACTCTTTTGTACAATTGCAGGTGAATATTTGGAGCGCTTTGAAGCCTTTGTTGGAAATGGGAATATCCTCACATAAAAACTAGCCAGAAGCATTCTCAGAAACTTCTTTGTGATGTGTGCATTGAACCCAGAGAGATGAACCGTTCCTTTGAGAGAGCAGTTTTGAAACGTGTTTTTGTAAGATCTGCAAGTGGATATTAGGGGCGCTTTGAGTCCTTAGGTGGAAACGGGAATATCTTCGAATAAAAACTAGACAGAATTATTCTCAGAATCTTCTTTGTGATGTGGGCATTCAACTAACACAGTTGAACATTTCTTTTGACAGAGCAGTTCTGAAACACTCTTTTTGTAGAATCCGCCAGTGGATATTTGGAGCGCTTTGAGGGCTATTGTGCAAATGGAAATATCTTCACCTAAAAACTAGACCGAAGCAATCCCAGAAACTACTTTGTGATGTTTGCATTCAACTCACAGAGTTGAACCTACCTCTTCATAGAGCAGTTTGGAAAACCTCTTTTTGTAGAATCTGCAAGTGGATATTTGGACCACTTTGAGGCCTTCATAGGAAACAGTACTATCTTCACATAAAAACTAGGTAGAAGCATTCTCAGAAACTTCTTTGTGATGTGTGAATTC